>NC_000011.10:28810000-30060000 GCF_000001405.40 Homo sapiens | reverse complement strand
CATAAAAGAATGTAAGGAGACAATTTGAATTTATTGAGTATACACAGCTATTTTAAAGAATGAAGCTTCTCTGGGACTGAAAACTGGGTGAAGAAATTAAAATGCCAGTAAGGGTCACTTTACCTAACTGGCTGCTTATAGTGCTTCTCTCTTGGCTATCTGTATCCTCTTCATTCCGGTAAGATTTTGGAATTTTCCAAATACTATCATATATGTTATGTGATTTGACTATTACAAAAACCCTACTATGATGGAAGGGAAGTGATAATTATTACCTCAACTTTGCAGATGAGGAAATGAGAGTCACTTCACTGGAGGTGAAGTGCCTTACATAGAGTCCCCTGAAAGAATGGTCTTGGCTGCAGGCCTTTTAACATCATCCTACTAAAAAGCTGGCCATCATTTTCAGGTTGACAACACTGCAGCAGCCTCCTATTACGTGAGGATTAGATTCAAAATTTGGTACTTATGACTAAATTTGAGTAAGGCCAAAATTACTTTTAAAAATCCCCTATAATCACCAGCAGGATATGGCTTATTTGAAGTCAAAAGCCAACAACTAAGATTTTTTTCTTAAAGTTGTTTTTGCATATATCTAATTCAAGTAAGTTAAGTGCATCTATGATGAGACCTCACTGAATTTCAGTAACAATGTTTGAAACCCACAGAAACTATATTACCTAATAATCTGTAAACTCCCTGAATTTCCCTTCTAGAATCATTATTCTCTACCTAAATGAACCTCCACTGTTCTAAATTTTGGGGAAGTCTTTTTTTTAAATTATTATTATACTTTAAGTTTTAGAGTACATGTGTACAACGTGCAGGTTTGTTACATATGTATACATGTGCTATGTTGGTGTGCTGCACCCATTAACTCGTCATTTAGCATTAGGTATATCTCCTAATGCTATCCCTCCTCCCTCCCCCCACCCCAAAACAGTCCCCAGTGTGTGATGTTCCCCTTCCTGTGTCCATGTGATCTCATTGTTCAATTCCCACCTCTGAGTGAGAACATGTGGTGTTTGGTTTTTTGTCCTTGTGATAGTTTGCTGAGAATGATGGTTTCCAATTTCATCCATGTCCCTACAAAGGACATGAACTCATCATTTTTTGTGGCTGCATAGTATTCCATGATGTATATGTGCCACATTTTCTTAATCCAGTCTATCTTTGTTGGACATTTGGGTTGGTTCCAAGTCTTTGCTATTGTGAATAGTGCCGCAATAAACATACGTGTGCATGTGTCTTTATAGCAGCATGATTTATAATCCTTTGGGTATATACCCAGTAATGGGATGGCTGGGTCAAATGGTATTTCTAGTTCTAGATCCCTGAGGAATCGCCACACTGACTTCCACAATGGTTGAACTAGTTTACAGTCCCACCAACAGTATAAAAGTGTTCCTATTTCTCCACATCCTCTCCAGCACCTGTTGTTTCCTGACTTTTTAATAATTGCCATTCTAACTGGTGTGAGATGGTATCTCATTGTGGTTTTGATTTGCATTTCTCTGATGGCCAGTGATGATGAGCATTTTTTCATGTGTTTTTTGGCTGCGTAAATGTCTTCTTTTGAGAAGTGTCTGTTCATATCCTTTGCCCACTTTTTGATGGGGTTGTTTGTTTTTTTCCTGTAAATATGTTTGAGTTCATTGTAGATTCTGGATATTAGCCCTTTGTCAGATGAGCAGATTGCAAAAATTTTCTCCCATACTGTAGGTTGCCTGTTCACTCTGATGGTGGTTTCTTTTGCTGTGCAGAAGCTCTTTAGTTTAATTAGATCCCATTTGTCAATTTTGGCTTTTGTTGCCATTGCTTTTGGTGTTTTAGACATGAAGTCCTTGCCCATGCCTGAACGGTATTGCCTAGGTTTTCTTCTAGAGTTTTTATGGTTTTAGGTCTAACATGTAAGTCTTTAATCCATTTTGAATTAATTTTTGAATGAGGTGTAAGGAAGGGATCCAGTTTCAGCTTTCTACATATGGCTAGCCAGTTTTCCCAGCACCATTTATTAAATAGGGAATCCTTTCAAATTTTGGGGAAGTCTTAAGGGCTCTAGGATTCAGTGCTTGGGGGCATCAAGAAGGTCCATTATGATAAAGAGCTAAGAAATGACCCTACCATCTTAGCTTTGTTGCTAAACAACTCTTCACAGCGCAATTTTTTCTGTTATTGTATTTGGACTTCAGCTAACCCATGTACTTTCTGGGAACTTTAACAGGTCTTTGAACATACAGAGTAAAAGCAAAGGATTCACATATTGATCCCTTGCTGTTACAAATTCAATGGTAGGAAATCTGCCATCTGCCTTAGTTTCAGGTATCTGACGTCTTAGGGATGAGTAAGACAGCTTGGAACAATTGCAAATGAAATAAGACCCCCAATTCCACTTTGCTATCAAGGAGCTGTAAGAAATGGGAGTTCAAGGACTTTACTTTCAATGTTTCTAATTTTTTGTAACATTCTAGTATCTATGCCATTTTGAATCTTAAGTTATACTATAGGAATTTATGAAAACTTTTAGTCTAAAAGACATTGCTAACATGATCAAGGGCTTAAAACCAAGCACATTTCCAAGAAATCCAAGCTATTTCTAAAGGAATAGTCTACTGAATTGTTGAAATAAAACAACTAGAAAAGTAATTAAATTAACAGGATTTTAACTTTGGAGTTTAACCTTAATTTTTTTTAAGTTTAAAATTGAATGATGTATTGGGTTAGGATAGGTTTGCAAAGAGCACCGATTGAAAAATACCCAGGTTTGGGGGAGGAGCCAAGATGGCCGAATAGGAACAGCTCCGGTCTACAGCTCCCAGCCTGAGCGAGGCAGAAGACGGGTGATTTCTCCATTTCCATCTGAGGTACCAGGTTCATCTCACTAGGGAGTGCCAGACAGTGGGCGCAGGTCAGTGGGTGTGCGCACCGTGTGCGAGCCGAAGCAGGGCGAGGCATTGCCTCACTCGGGAAGCACAAGGGGTCAGGGAGTTCCCTTTCCTAATCAAAGAAAGGGGTGATGGATGGCACCTGGAAAATCGGGTCACTCCCACCCGAATACTGCTCTTTTCCGACCAGCTTAAAAAACGGCGCACCACGAGATTATATCCCACACCTGGCTGGGAGGGTCCTACGCCCACGGAGTCTCGCTGATTGGTAGCACAGCAGTCTGAGATCAAACTGCAAGGCGGCAGCGAGGCTGGGGGAGGGGCGCCCACCATTGCCCAGGCTTGCTTAGGTAAACAAAGCAGCTGGGAAGCTCGAACTGGGTGGAGCCCACCACAGCTCAAGGAGGCCTGCCTGCCTCTGTAGGCTCCACCTCTGGGGGCAGGGCACAGACAAACAAAAAGACAGCAGTAACCTCTGCAGACTTAAATGTCCCTGTCTGACAGCTTTGAAGAGAGCAGTGGTTCTCCCACTATGCAGCTGGAGATCTGAGAACGGGCAGACTGCCTCCTCAAGTGGGTCCCTGACTCCTGACCCCCGAGCAGCCTAACTGGGAGGCACCCCCCAGCAGGGACACACTGACATCTCACACTGCAGGGTACTCCAACAGACCTGCAGCTGAGGGTCCTGTCTGTTAGAAGGAAAACTAACAAACAGAAAGGACATCCACACCAAAAACCCATCTGTACATCACCATCATCAAAGACCAAAAGTAGATAAAACCACAAAGATGGGGAAAAAAACAGAATAGAAAAACTGGAAACTCTAAAAAGCAGAGTGCCTCTCCTCCTCCAAAGGAACGCAGCTCCTCACCAGCAACGGAACAAAGCTGGACGGAGAATGACTTTGACGAGCTGAGAGAAGAAGGCTTCAGATGATCAAATTACTCTGAGCTAGGGAGGACATTCAAACCAAAGGCAAAGAAGTTGAAAACTTTGAAAAAAATTTAGAAGAATGTATAACTAGAATAACCAATACAGAGAAGTGCTTAAAGGAGCTGATGGAGCTGAAAACCAAGGCTCGAGAACTACGTGAAGAATGCAGAAGCCTCAGGAGCCAATGCGATCAACTGGAAGAAAGGGTATCAGCAATGGAAGATGAAATGAATGAAATGAAGCGAGAAGGGAAGTTTAGAGAAAAAAGAATAAAAATAAACGAGCAAAGCCTCCAAGAAATATGGGACTATGTGAAAAGACCAAATCTACGTCTGATTGGTATACCTGAAAGTGATGGGGAGAATGGAACCAAGTTGGAAAACACTCTGCAGGATATTATCCAGGAGAACTTCTGCAATCTAGCAAGGCAGGCCAACGTTCAGATTCAGGAAATACAGAGAACACCACAAAGATACACCTCGAGAAGAGCAACTCCAAGACACATAATTGTGAGATTCACCAAAGTTGAAATGAAGGAAAAAATGTTAAGGGCAGCCAGAGAGAAAGGTCGGATTACCCTCAAAGGGAAGCCCATCAGACTAACAGCGGATCTCTCAGCAGAAACCCTACAAGCCAGAAGAGAGTAGGGGCCAATATTCAACATTCTTAAAGAAAAGAATTTTCAACCCAGAATTTCATATCCAGCCAAACTAAGCTTCATAAGTGAAGGAGAAATAAAATACTTTACAGACAAGCAAATGCTGAGAGATTTTGGCACCACCAGGCCTGCCCTAAAAGAGCTACTGAAGGAAGCACTAAACATGGAAAGGAACAACCGGTACCAGCCACTGCAAAATCATGCCAAAATATAAAGACCATCGAGACTAGGAAGAAACTGCATCAACTATCAAGCAAAATAACCAGCTAACATCATAATGACAGGATCAAATTCACACATAACACTATTAACTTTAAATGTAAATGGACTAAGTGCTCCAATTAAAAGACACAGACTGGCAAATTGGATAAAGAGTCAAGACCCATCAGCGTGCTGTATTCAGGAAACCCATCTCGCGTGCAGACACACACATAGGCTCAAAATAAAAGGATGGAGGAAGATCTACCAAGCAAATGGAAAACAAAAAAAGGCAGGGGTTGCAATCCTAGTCTCTGATAAAACAGACTTTAAACCAACAAAGATCAAAAGAGACAAAGAAGGCCATTACATAATGTTAAAGGGATCAATTCAACAAGAAGAGCTAACTGTCCTAAATATATATGCACCCAATACAGGAGCACCCAGATGCATAAAGCAAGTCCTGAGTGACGTACAAAGAGACTTAGACTCCAACACATTAATAATGGGAGACTTTAACACCCCACTGTCAACATTAGACAGATCAACGAGACAGAAAGTCAACAAGGATACCCAGGAATTGAACTCAGCTCTGCACCAGGCGGACCTAATAGACATCTACAGAACTCTCCACCCCAAATCAACAGAATATACATTTTTTTCAGCACCACACCACACCTATTCCAAAATTGACCACATACTTGGAAGTAAAGCTCTCCTCAGCAAATGTAAAAGAACAGAAATTATAACAAACTCTCTCTCAGACCACAGTGCAATCAAACTAGAACTCAGGATTAAGAATCTCACTCAAAACCGCTCAACTACATGGAAACTGAACAACCTGCTCCTGAATGACTACTGGGTACATAACGAAATGAAGGCAGAAATAAAGATGTTCTTTGAAACCAAGGAGAACAAAGACACAACATACCAGAATCTCTGGGACGCATTCAAAGCAGTGTGTAGAGGGAAATTTATAGCACTAAATGCCTACAAGAGAAAGCAGGAAAGATCAAAAATTGACACTCTAACATCACAATTAAAAGAACTAGAAAAGCAAGAGCAAACACATTCAAAAGGTAGCAGAAGGCAAGAAATAACTAAAATCAGAGCAGAACCGAAGGAAATAGAGACACAAAAAACCCTTCAAAAAATTAATGAATCCAGAAGCTGGTTTTTTGAAAGGATCAACAAAATTGATAGACCGCTAGCAAGACTAATAAAGAAAAAAAGAGAGAAGAATCAAATAGACGCAATAAAAAATGATAAAGGGGATATCATCACCGATCCCACAGAAATACAAACTACCATCAGAGAATACTACAAACACCTCTACACAAATAAACTAGAAAATCTAGAAGAAATGGATAAATTCCTCGACACATACACTCTCCCAAGACTAAACCAGGAAGAAGTTGAATCTCTGAATAGACCAATAACAGGATCTGAAATTGTGGCAATAATCAATAGCTTACCAACCAAAAAGAGTCCAGGACCAGATGGATTCACAGCTGAATTCTACCAGAGGTACAAGGAGGAAATGGTACCATTCCTTCTGAAACTATTCCAATCAATACAAAAAGAGGAAATCCTCCCTAACTCATTTTATGAGGCCAGCATCGTTCTGATACCGAAGCCGGGCAGAGACACAACCAAAAAAGAGAATTTTAGACCAATATCCTTGATGAACATTGATGCAAAAATCCTCAGTAAAATATGGGCAAAATGAATCCAGCAGCACATCAAAAAGCCTATCCACCATGATCAAGTGGGCTTCATCCCTGGGATGCAAGGCTGGTTCAATATACACAAATCAATAAATGTAATCCAGCATATAAACAGAGCCAAAGACAAAAACCACATGATTATCTCAATAGATGCAGAAAAGGCCTTTGACAAAATTCAACAACCCTTCATGCTAAAAACTCTCAATAAATTAGGTATTGATGGGACATATTTCAAAATAATAAGAGCTATCTATGACAAACCCACAGTCAATATCATACTGAATGGGCAAAAACTGGAAGCATTCCCTTTGAAAACTGGCACAAGACAGGGATGCCCTCTCTCACCACTCCTATTCAACATAGTGTTGGAAGTTCTGGCCAGAGCAATAAGGCAGGAGAAGGAAATAAAGGGTATTCAATTAGGAAAAGAGGAAGTCAAATTGTCCCTGTTTGCAGATGACATGATTGTATATCTAGAAAACCCCATTGTCTCAGCCCAAAATCTCCTTAAGCTGATAAGCAACTTCAGCAAAGTCTCAGGATACAAAATCAATGTGCAAAAATCACAAGCATTCCTATACACCAACAACAGACAAACAGAGAGCCAAATCATGAGTGAACTCCCATTCACAATTGCTTCAAAGAGAATAAAATACCTAGGTATCCAATTTACAAGGGATGTGAAGGACCTCTTCAAGGAGAACTACAAACCTGCTCAAGGAAATAAAAGAGGATACAAACAAATGGAAGAACATTCCATGCTCATGGGTAGGAAGAATCAATATCGTGAAAATGGCCATACTGCCCAAGGTAATTTATAGATTCAATGCCATCCCCATCAAGCTACCAATGCCTTTCTTCACACAATTGGAAAAAACGACTTTAAAGTTCATATGGAACCAAAAAAGAGCCCGCATCGCCAAGTCAATCCTAAGCCAAAAGAACAAAGCTGGAGGCATCAGACTACCTGACTTCAAACTACACTACAAGGCCACAGTAACCAAAACAGCATGGTACTGGTACCAAAACAGAGATATAGATCAATGGAACAGAACAGAGCCCTCAGAAAGAACGCCGCATATCTACAACTAGCTGATCTTTGACAAACCTGAGAAAAACAAGCAATGGGGAAAGGATTCCCTATTTAATAAATGGTGCTGGGAAAACTGGCTGGCCATATGTAGAAAGCTGAAACTGGATCCCTTCCTTACACCTTATACAAAAATCAATTCAAGATGGACTAAAGACTTAAACGTTAGACCTAAAAGTATAAAAACCCTAGAAGAAAACCTAGGCATTACCATTCAGGACATAGGCATGGGCAAGGACTTCATGTCTAAAACACCAAAAGCAATGGCAACAAAAGCCAAAATTGTCAAATGGGATATAATTAAACTAAAGAGCTTCTGCACAGCAAAAGAAACTACCATCAGAGTGAACAGGCAACCTACAAAATGGGAGAAAATTTTTGCAACCTACTCATCTGACAAAGGGCTAATATCCAGAATCTACAATGAACTCAAACAAATTTACAAGAAAAAAACAAACAACCCCATCAAAAAGTGGGCAAAGGACATGAACAGACACTTCTCAAAAGAAGACATTTATGCAGCCAAAAAACACATGAAAAAATGCTCATCATCACTGGCCGTCAGAGAAATGCAAATCAAAACCATAATGAGATACCATCTCACACCAGTTAGAATGGCAATCATTAAAAAGTCAGGAAACAACAGGTGCTGGAGAGGATGTGGAGAAATAGGAACACTTTTACACTGTTGGTGGGACTGTAAACTAGTTCAACCATTGTGGAAGTCAGTGTGGCGATTCCTCAGGGATCTAGAACTAGAAATACCATTTGACCCAGCCATCCCATTACTGGGTATATACCCAAAGGACTATAAATCATGCTGCTATAAAGACACATGCACACCTATGTTTATTGCAGCACTACTCACAATAGCAAAGACTTGGAACCAACCCAAATGTCCAACAATGATAGACTGGATTAAGAAAATGTGGCACATATACACCATGGAATACTATGCAGCCATAAAAAATGATGAGTTCATGTCCTTTGTAGGGACATGGATGAAATTGGAAATCATCATTCTCAGTAAACTATCGCAAGAACAAAAAACCAAACACCGCATATTCTCACTGATAGGTGGGAATTGAACAATGAGATCACATGGACACAGGAAGAGGAACATCACACTCTGGCTGTTGTGGGGTGGGGGGAGGGGGGAGGGATAGCATTGGGAGATATACCTAATGCTAGATGACAAGTTAGTGGGTGCAGCGTACCAGCATGGCACATGTATATGTATGTAACTAACCTGCACAATGTGCACATGTACCCTAAAACTTAAAGTATAATAATAAAAAAAAATTAAAAAAAGAAAAAAAAAAAGAAAAAAAAAGAAAAATACCCAGGTTTTGCCACTTACTGGTAATTTACTTAAACGTGCAGAACTTAGCCTCTTGTTCTTCTTTTCCATCTTCTCTTTCTTCCACTGGTATGAGGCTAGCAATCTAGCAGGAAATATTAAATTGTGATTTTTTGTCTCCCACATTTACCTTCCCCCTCATTTTAAAGTCACAGCTATGCTTTGTAATTTCTTGCCTCTGGAATGTTTGTAATGTATTCCATAGAAAGCAGAAGCTTTGATAATTCTCTTTCTGTTCTGTTGAGCTTTATTTTTTTTCAGGATTTTAAGGCCATGAAAGATTATGCTAGCATTCTGAAACACAGAGAGTTGGGAGCAGATGCATGAATCAGAAATAAGCTGAGCAGGGAGGGAAGCTTCTAAGAAATTGGAAAAACAGGAAAGTTTATGCCTTCTTAGAAGAGAGGATACCTGTGCTCAGGGATTATGTTGCAATGATGTCGAGATCTAAGAGAGAAATGGCTGCCATCTCCTAGGTCTCCCCGCCCTGCCTAAAGGTCACATGCCTCAAGCCTCACAGGAAAGCAGCAGAGCAACTTCTCCTGAAGTGACCATGTGAACTGAGATGATCACGGGTGTCTGAACTGGCATCAGTATGGATGAGTGATCACCAGATGGGCCTCTCCAAAGTCTTAGTGCTATTTTGATCCTGGTGTTTTACACAACTCTGGGGTAAAGGGTGGGGAATGCTGCAACAATAACAGGTTAGATCACCTTTCAACCCAGGAAGCTGGGGACCACAGTCAGTATTAGGTTGACTGAAAATAAATTTTAATGTGAAATTTCTTGCATGCCTGATGTTGTGGGCTGAGAATCTGACAAGTAATATATACTGATTTCCTCCATCCCTCCATTCTTTCCTTCCTTTCTCCTTTCCTCAGTCCCTCTCTTTCTCTTTCTCCCCCTCTCCCCTTTTCTTCCTTCTTGGTATCTTTCTGTAGTTGATCTGAATCATAATTATTGCTGACTCTCTGGACTGACTAGCTTAATGGATTGGGGCATGATGTCAATGGAGCAGTGATCCCACTTCTGTTTAGTCATTGTTCAGCAAGCTTTGAACAGAAGAAAGAACTACTCAATGACTAAAGCTCATTCTTCTTTTCTTCAGCAGTCAAAAAAAAAAAAAGTCCCACAAATAGGAATCGATTGCTCAAAGAGAATTTTACAATATGCATTACTAAGACTTAAAGAGATATGTCCCACAGGGCCTGA
Source organism: Homo sapiens (assembly GCF_000001405.40). Taxonomy (NCBI): domain Eukaryota; kingdom Metazoa; phylum Chordata; class Mammalia; order Primates; family Hominidae; genus Homo; species Homo sapiens. The sequence continues at coordinate 30,049,937 of NC_000011.10, read as the reverse complement.
CCAATCAGAGCATTGTATCTGCTCAAGACAGTCACTGGTTCAAAGATGACAACAAGACATAGGTCACTGCTTCGAAAGTTCAGGAAAGAACTTTTCAGTAGGATCTCTGGCTCTAAGTATGACTTACGCCTAGAATTGACAGTTGTCATTTTTGCCACCACATGAGAACTTATCTAAAAAGTGAAGACATTGAGTCTCTGAATCCAGCCTATTTTAAGTTTTATAATCTCCTGAATTTCTTATGTACATTAGCCAATATAAATTACCTCCTCCACTTTTTTCCTTAAACTATTTTGAGTTGGGCTTCTGTCACTTGCTTTCAAAAGTACCTGATTAATACAGAAATCACGTCAAGTCAGGGAATAACTGTAATCTATAAGGGAAAAGCCAGGATCCCAGAAGGAATTCAAAGCATTTGTAGCAAAAAGAATGGTCATAGTAATCATATATTTTAAATAATATTAACTCTATTTCTCAGTATCATGTCTACCCTTGTTTACTTGTAAAGCCTTCCAATAGGGGTCACTCTATAAGAACAGAATGGTGTTTCCTCTGCTCTTCTGCAAGTTTTGTAATTTCTGAAACAGGAATTATTTCCAAGTAGAAGGCTGCTGTGAACCCACAATGGCTTTCATGGAAGATAATAAGTTTGTATCAATTTACAGTTGTAAGCAGAAGAAGCTTTTGTCTGTTAAGGCGTGTTCATTAAAAGTTACAGAACATTATATAACACTACAGAAAGCCTAGATAAAGAAGAAGGGCTACAATATCTGCCAAAGATGTTGCCCGTGCTGTGGATTCTTTTACCTGAGAGAAACGACATTTGGTTCATTTACTGATCTTGTTGGATGACTGACTGCATTAAACCAACATATGCCAATTCATCACCAAAGCCAATTTCTTGCCACTGGGTCATAGAATAGGTGATATTATTTTATATTATGAGGCAGAACCGTGATAGGTCCTTTTTCTTGTAAGTGCTAGCAAAATAATAAATTTACCCTGTACCATTTTGGGATTAAAGAAGGAAGGTGTTCTGCTTACTTAGAAGAAAATCAAAATTATTCTTGCTCATGATGACTATGCTTTTTTTTCTGATAAAGAAAAAAAGCAGAAAAAAATGTTAATCTTTAAAACCTAGTGCATTTTGGGGTTTTGTGGGTTTTTTTTTTTTTTGGCTTTTGTTATTTGCATCATTATATCAAGTAACAGCAGGTAGGTCAGGTAAGTTTAAGCAAAAAAGGGAAAGTCATTAGAAGGTTTAGAAATAGAGAATGGACACCCAGTTGCAAGAAAGTCAGCGATGCTTTCGGACCTCAAAAATAATTGACACCAGAGATGAGAATTTGAATTTTATCAAATGCTTTTATTAAATGTGTTAATAATAATTCTGTCTTTTTTCTTGTCATCTGGATGATTTATATTAATAGACATGTATTAGGGTAGGCTAACTTCTACAACAAACAGAATCAAATAGCACAACCATTCAAAAGTTTATTGTTGAGACAGAATTAGAGATGAGTAGGTTAACAAGGCAGTCTTCCTCCACATAATCATTCAGAGACCCAGACTGACAGTCTCTACCATCTTTGAAATATAGCTCCTGTTGTCTTCAGCAAACTAACACAGGAACGGAAAACCAAACACCCCATGTTCTCATTTATAAGTGGGAGCTGAATGACGAGAATACATGGACACATGGGGGGAACAACACACACTGGGGCTTGTTGGCGGGGTGGTTGGAGGGAGGAAGAGCATCAGGAAAAATAGCTAATGGTTGCTGGGCTTAATACCTAGGTGATGGGATGATTTGTGCAGCAGTCCACCATGGCACATGTTTACGTATGTAACAAACCTGCACATCCTGCACATGACCCCTAAACTTAAAATAAAAGTTGAAGATAAAAAATAGCTCCAAGATCTTGGTATCATTTCTATTCCAACCACTTCAAAGGGAATAAGGGCATGCAGCAGTTCTTTGCAAGATGTACGTTGAAGATGCTAGTTTTGCTTACATTCTACTGGCTAAAATGTAATCATATAGCCACATCCAGTTGCAAGAATAGCTGGGAAATGTAGTTTCAGTTTGGGTAGCTGATTTCCAGCAGCAAATAATATACCACAGATAATGGGACAAGAATTCTTAGTGGACAGCTGGTTATCTCTACCATAATGTCCTAATATAGACACACCTTTGACTTTCAGGGATGAAACACACTTGGTTATAATGTATTATTCTTTTAAGGTCTTATATATATAAAAACTGGCATTACTATTCATAAGTGAGTAAGCTTGTAGTTTTATTTTTCTATGCTAAATATTTTATATTTAGTTATTTGTATGCTTTTGGCTTTATTTTAAAAAATTGAGGGAAATTCTGGAAAAGTATAAAAATTATTTCTTTAAGCTTTACAAAAATTTACCCATGAAATATCATGCCTAAGTTCTTTTAGTAAGTAATTTTTTTAAACAAATTTCATCATTGTCAGGTTCACGACTACACCAAACATCATGCTAAGGGTCAGGTTCCAGCCCCAGCTAAGGGCCGAGGGAAGTGGGTGTATGTGGCGCAGGGAGCTGGAAGAACACGCAAGAGACAGTAGGTAAATGAGACATGGCTTGATTCAGCATCCCCTTCACAGGGTCAGTGTTACATTTATACACCACACAAACAATAGTGGCTGAGAGCCAGACGGTGAGCTTCTCCATGTTATGTCTACATGGCTATGATTATATAAGACATGGGACTGGTAACGGGTATGTCCACGCAGTACTGGCTTTACTACCCAAACCGAGTCCGAATTCTCCGGCCCTGGTGTGTAAGTCCAGACCATGCAAAATGTCCACCCCCGGAATATGTTCAGGTAAAGGAGAAACATACACAGTATACAGGCACGGAGCCAAGTGGCCATTGCTAAGATGCAGAGACACAGGTTTCACTTTCACCAACTGGCCCCCATAACCATCAATGAATGCAGCTTTGCCCGGAAACTTACCCGGATTTCCATAAACAAAGCTGCAGTCTGCACCACTATCTACCAGTGCTAGGACCCACTGTACATTGGTGGGAGGCCAATGGATTGCCAGTTCCACACGTGGCCTCTGCTGGGCACCTTGGCCAGTTCCCTGTCAAAGGAAGGGTCTGGTCTCTTTGGCCGTCAGCAAACAGTCCTTGAGTACAGCATCTGGGTGGGGCTGGGTTGATCAAGAGTATTTTGCCCCCTTTCGGACATTTTCTGGAATTGCTGCTCTGCGGACAGTTGCCTCCACAGAGCCAACGGCATCCCATTGGGTTGCCTGTCAGTTTTCTCCCAAGCAACCCCAGCTGCAATTAAATCAATCCACATCTGCACATGGGTCACCCGCTGGGGCCCCTGTTGATCTCCTGGGGTGGTTACCTGCAGAGGGGACACCTTCCCCTTCTTTATCGCATGGGTTCCCCAGTCCTGCCAAAGGCCTTCTGCTTCCCTGAGGGCTGCCATAGCAGTAGTCACTTCATGTATGTGGCACCCCACATACGGAGTGAACAGCAGCTAGAGAGCCAAAAGCACTCAGGGGCGCTGAGCCCAGCACAAGATCCCTCATGTGGGAGGTAAAATGTTCATCATTCAGCCCCTGGGTATTCAGATCAAACATAGCCTGCCACATACCCATCTCCTGGAGTACCTGCACCAAATCAGTATATGATTGCCATTTACTCACAATTTCTATTATCTCTGCAGCATCATTCCAAACAGTCCGTATGGCTGCCATCAGCCACTCAATTAACATGTGGTCACCTTGCCCTTGTGCCAACTGTCAGCACAGCTGCAGCTGCTGATAAAGGGAGGGGCGAGTTGTGATAGAAGCCAGCTTCTCCATCTCAGAAGTGTAGCAAGAAAACCTCATCCCAAAGATGGAGTAACTAGGCTGGGAGGCGCTCCCCTGGGTGCTGCCTGCATTGCTTACCTAACTCCTGCAACTCAGTGGGGGTATAAGCACTATAAGAGGTGTGTTTCACCACTGTGGGGGAGTCCCTGGGCTCTCCCCTGGGGTCCCATCAGCTGCTCATCTTCTACCTTCTGACGGATCACAGGATGAGCCCATAGCAGAGGAGCCTCCTCTTCCTCCTCAGCAACAGCATCAGACTGAGTGGGAGTGTCCCGCCTGGAGGTTGGGCTCAAAGTCTCGCTGACAACTGTTTCTGACTCCAGGCTGTTTATCTGGGTCTCTAAGCACCCTGCTTGCACCTGGAGGTCCTTCACCCCAAGGTTTTGCTCCAAGCTGTGCATTTGGGTCCCTGGGTGCTCAACTTGTGCCTGGAGGTCCCTTACCTGTGCTATCTCCCACAGGGACTGAGCATGTACTTCGCGTAGTGCAGTCAGAAACGCCCATCTGACTCTGCTGGCGAAGGTGTGCTCCTTGGTGCTGTGAGCTTCCAGCTGCTTCAGTGCCTTCTCCACACTTGCTGGAGACCTGTCCACTGCCTCTCATGTTTCCACTGGGGCTCTTCCAAGCAGCACCACTGCCACCAGGTACCACAGCCCATGCTGCAGTCACATAGCAGACTGGGAGCTGAAGACCCACTCACCTTATCCTGTTGACGTCACCAATTGTCAGGTTCACGACTACACCAATGTCATGTTGAGGTCCGAAGGGAGTGGGTGGATGAGAAGAAATCTGAAAGAACACTCGTGGCGGGGGGTGCAGGGGGCATAGTTAGGTGAAATATGGCTTTATTCAGCAGCAGCTCTCATCAACAGCTCTGTCTGTCCTGTCTCAGCTGCTTAATCTGGCGGCTCCCACACACAACTATGAGGCTGGCTCTCCCTTGCCTTCAGGGTAAGCAGCTTAACTCTTTCTCTCTCTGGGCATGAGTGAGCTGAGCTGTGTCCTGGCTGCCCTCCGTCCATCTGTAAAGATGGACGTATCTGACTCTCTTTCTCTTTCTCTGGGCACCAGCAAGCTGAGCTGTGTCCTGGCTCCCTCCTTTCTGTCTGCAAAGGTGAACAGCTCTGGCTCTCTCTCTTTCTCTGGGCACATGCCTATATAGTGTCAGCAGGGCAATTATACCTTTTATAGACAATAGTGGCATAGCCAAGGGATGGCCTTCCCATGTTATGGCTACACAGCTGTGTTTACATTATACATGGAATTGTGCACATGCACTGCAAACTCTCTGAGTCACTCTGGCCAGGATGCCCACTTCGGCCTATTCCTTGACCAAAGCACAGCCATTTTCCTTACAGTAATGTATTTCCTGTTGTCCCATTTTGGATATGTATATCTATGTGAGTCATTTTTTTTCCTGTTTCCTATTTGGGCTCCACTTATAGAATTGGTTGTAAATTCCCTGGTGCCCAACAGTCTCCCTGCAGCCACCTCTCTCCTACCGCATCCTTGGGCAGTCAGGAGTCTAATTTCAGCCCTGACTCCTTGAACCTTTATGTGCCCTTGAACAAGTGATTTGACCTTGCTGTGACTTGATCTTTTTGTCTTTCAGATGGTCTGAGAGTACCTGTGCTGAAATGGAATTGTCTTTGAGTGGACACTTCTTAGATGAGACCTATTGTGGCCAATAGCTCCTGAGGAACTGAAGCCTTCAGTTCAAAACTTGTGTGAGAAAAATGAATCTTGCCAACTACTGGAGTGAGCTTAGAAATGAATCCATCCCCAGTTGACCCTTGAATGTAGCCTTGTCAGAGACCCAGAGACAAAGCATCCTGCTAATCTGCACTGGGTTCTAGGCCCACAGAAACCATGGGATAATAACTTTGTGTTGCTATAAGCCACTGAAAACAAACAAATAAAATACTTAAGATGTTCCCCTGTGGAAGGGTTCCATTGCCAGGGATCTGCACTTCACAACCAAAGGGATTAAAGAGAATTGCCTTCTTCAGATTTCAGACTGTGGCCTGCTTCTGGTTTTTCTTTCTATATTCATATATATGTTTGTTTAAATCATCCTACTTTTGGAGCAGGAAAAGTTACTATTACAGTTTATACAAAGGGAAGAAATCTGGTACATGCTAAAGTTATTCATCTGTAACTACCTGACGAGCCCAATTAGTTGCTTGCTCCTATGGATTCTGAGCCTAAAATCCCTTCAACAGATCTTTGACCTTTTCTAAGTTAAGTTTTTGGAAGTATCCTATTTGTTCACTTACTTGGGCCAGAGACTATAGAGATTAAGAGAAAGTTTGATATTTGACCCTAATTTTAGGCTAAAACAATTTAGATGGAAAGAACAGACACAATTCAATTTAACCATCTTCAACTGCTGTGCTTTAGAAAGCTGGGAGTGTGGAGAATGGAGTAGGTGTACAGAAAAATAAGAACAGTTCTGTTCTTCAGGGCTTGATAAAGGCTGCTGTGAGTTGGATGGACAATAATTACTACTGACTAGGTCTAGCTGGGATAGTTAGGGGAGACTTTCTGAAAGAGGCAACACATGAGCTGGGTTCTAAATCTCAAATAGGATTTGATGGCTGAAGATGAGGGTAATAAAACAAGAGAAACAAGTACATTCCAGATAGAAAGAATAGTATAAGCCAAGAAAAACCTATTCCAGGGCAGCAGGGAAGAGTCTGAAGTGGCAAAACAAAGTAGGAGGCAAAGCTGTCAATATAAGTAACTTGGTAGAGAAACATTAGGAGTTTGGATTTTATCCCATTGACTAGGAGGATTTAAAAACAGAAAATGCTCACAGGGGCCAGGCAAGTTATGAGTAAATAAAAGGTCCAGGTGTAAGTGCAACAGGGCCCATGGACATAGGAATGGGGGATGTGAAAAACCAACCTTTGCTAACAGTGAGTTCTACTATGCAGTTTTAGCTGATTATAGCCAGACTCGAAAGCAACCTTTGTAGGGTTGACAGTTCTTGTGATTGTTCAAGAAAAAAATTTATGTAAAATCTACTGACTTGAAAATACTAGATTAATTTATTTAATGTTATAGAGCTCAAATAAAACACATTTGTCTTATTTATAGCCCAAGAGCTTTTGGTGGTGATGGTGGGTAACAATTTTGGTAGGAGAGAAGGCTATGAGTTGAATGGTGTCTTAGGAATATTTGGCATTTGTGATAGATTGGACAAGGTAGAGATGTAAAAGAAAAAATGTCTCAGGCCGGGTATGCTGGCTCACACCTGTCTGAGTACTTTTTGTGGCTGAGGTGGGATTGTTTGAACCCAGGAGTTCAAGGCTAGCCTGGGCAATATGGTGAGACCTTGTCTCTACAAAAACATTTATTAAAAAATTAGCAAAGCATGATGGTGTGCACCTGTAGTCCCAGCTACTTGGGATGCTGAGGTGGGAGGATTGTTTAAACCGGGGAGTTCGGGGCTGAGGTTAGATGAAATACCACTGAAAGGCCACTGCATTCCAGCCTGGGTGACAGAGTAAGACCCTGTCTCAAAATAATAATAATAATAATTGCATCAGACCAGTTAAACAGGAAGACCTTATTCAAGATTACCACAATAAGGAGAGAAATTGAATTCAACTTTGCCGAATGAAAAGTGGGAGAGTTTTTAAGCACTGAGATGCACTAGTAGAAAAATACTGAAGGAAGTTAGTGGAGAGGTTGATCAATGTGATGAGAATATCTGTAATTGCTAACTGGCTGTTTTAAAAGCTAGGCTCCCATCCCTCCACAGAGACCGGACTATAAGAGTGCTATCTTTCTTGAGGAGTACATTTCAAAAGGATGGCTCCCAGGTCCTTCCCATCCCAGGTCCTTCAGACATTCCTGGGTTATACAGGATTTATATCTGTTAAAGCAAACTAAATATGGCCAGAGAAGGACTCCTTATTTCTATATTTGAGTCCACGTGAATGAAATGCAACCTAACTTAATGGGTAGACAAGATTGAGAACCTAACTTGGGAGTGTGTGCCTGTAACAGTGGCTGGGCCTTGGCCAATCCCAGCAGCCATACGTCAACCACTCATACAGCGTGGAGTGTTCAAACTGTGTTCAAATAAGGTAAATGCCAACCTGTAACCAATCCAGCTGTTTCTGAACCTCACTTCTGATTTCTGTACATCACTTTTCTTTTTTTGTCTATAAATTTGTTCTAATCATGAGGCATCCCTGGAGTCTCTCTGAATCAGCTGTGATTCTGGGGGCTGCCCAATTCACAAATCATTCATTGCTCAATTAAACTCCTTTAAATTTAATTCAGCTGCAGTTTTTCTTTTACCACATCTAAAAGGCAGAGAAAGAATTTACAAGTGCAAGTTTTCTGAAGTAAATGCTCTAAGAAAAGGGAGGACAGAGGCCTAAAGTTAGAAATAAACTTGTCTAGGCTGGGCGTAGTGGCTCATGCCTGTAATCCCAGCACTTTGGGATGCCGTGGCGGGCAGGTCACTTGAAGTCTGAAGTTTGAGACCAGACTGGCCAACATGGTAAAACCCCGTCTCTACTAAAAATACAAAAATTAGCAGGGCATGGTGTGCATGCCTGTAGTCTCAGCTCCTTGGGAGGCTGAGGCAGGAGAATTGCTTGAATCAGGGAGGCGGAGGTTGCAGTGAGGCGAGATCGCGCCACTGCACCCCAGCCTCGGCGACAGAGTGAGACTACATCTCAAACACACACAAAAACACGCGCGCGCGTGCACACACACACACACACACAACTTGTCTAGAGTTTAGTCAAGCTGAGTGTTAAGGCCAACTCATTCAGAGGATAAATGCAGGGAGAAGAGTTAGAAGCTATTGTAATAATCCACATGTCACGTTCTAAAGTCCAAAATGAAGGACTAACACCTGAACCAAGAAAATGTGCGAAAGGCCTTGAAATGAACGAAAAAGATTACTAGGTGCTTTCAGCTGATAAAGTAGGTCTTTTCTAGTGAGCACTCTGCCAGTTTATTTGAATCTATGAGGTTTTTCTCTTTCATTGCCTGTGAGTTGTTTTCCAAGGATTTACAATGTAAGTTGTGGTTAACTGATTGCAATACAAATTAATCTTCTTTATAGACATGCAAATGAGATCTGTCTGCTGTAGGAACAATTCATTTTCCTTCCCCCGCTACTGATGTAGTAAACCAGTTTTATATCTACTTATAAATTATTTACATCTATTTATAAATTCATGTTAGCATTTCTTATTGCTTATATATGGGTGGTTCTTTGATTGGAATAGCTTACTGGTTCTTTGTTAATTAAAGAGTTACAATATTTAACATGTGTTTGTTTAATTACATGAGTCTTAATTATATAGTTTTAAAAAACATTATTCTTTAATATCTATAAGAGAATAAAGGTATAAATGTAAGAGATTTAAAAGATAGAATCAATACAACCCAGTGAAAAATGTGAAGGTTAAGAAAAAGGGAAAAAAAATGATGCTGTTGAATTTTGTATCCAGGGGCTTGGATGGATGATTTGTCGTAGATAGAAATAGGAGTAGCAGGAGGAAGAGAAGTTTGAGTGCCAAAGTGGGAGAAGAGGCATTCCTTCTTTTACAAGTATTGAGTTTGAGAGGAGGTTATAATATGCTGGTGAAAATGTCCAGCATTTGGACATGATGTGATTGGAGGTCCCATGGGAGATCAAGGCTAGTTGTATCATCTGGGAGTTGTCTTTACATGGGTGACCTACAGAGACGATGATATCCCTGAGGAAGAAAGTAACAAAAGGAGATGAGGGCAGAGCCTTGGGGATTACCCACATTTAGGGGCAGGATGATAAGCTGAGGCAGCAGAGCAAGATAGATTATAAATGGTGTTTACAGTTTTTCTCAGGAGTCGGAAACCCTTTAATCCTTTCCCTGTTTCTCTAAGAATTTTATCTTAAACCTCATAGCCTTTCTTCTTCTTCTTCTTCTTCTTCTTCTTCTTCTTCTTCTTCTTCTTCTTCTTCTTCTTCTTCTTCTTCTTCTTCCTCTTCTTCTTCTTTTTCCTCCTCCTCCTCCTCTTCGTCTCTTTCTCTTTCTCCTTCTCCTTCTCCTCCTTCTCCTTCTCCTTCTCCTCCTTCTCCTCCTTCTCCTTCTCCTTCTTCTTCCTTCTTCCTTCTTCTTCTTCCTCTTCTTCTTCTTTCTTCTTCTTCTTCTTTCTTCTTCTTCTTCCTTTTTTTTTTTTTTTTTTTGAGATGGAGCATCACTCTGTTACCCAGGCTGGAGTGCAGTGGTGCGATCTCAGCTCACTGCAACCTCCACCTCCCAGGCTCAAGCAATTCTCGTGCCTCAGCTTCCCTAGTAGCTGGGACTACAGGCATGCACCATCATGCCTGGGTAATTTTTGTATTTTTAATAGAGGCAGGGTTTCGTCCTGTTGGCCAGGCTGGTCTCGAACTCCTGACCTCAAGTGATCCTCCTGCCTCGGCCTCCCAAAGTACTGGGATTACAGGCATCATACCCTTCCTTCTATCTATAAACCTTTTCTTCATTCATACATCCTGACTTTCCGCTTTCCAGGATTCATTTCTCTCTTCTGACAGTTCTGAGCTTGTCTGTCAAATAACTTGGAATCTAGAAAATATAGGTGTGACTTCCAGAGCTGCCATTTTAAGCTGTGCAACTAAGCACAAGTGAATTCAGTTCACTGAGCATCCGTTTTCTCATATGACAAAAGCTGACCATGATACTTTCTCTATACCGTAATTGTGAAAAATAAGTAAGGTAACATAAGGCACTGCCAGGCAGAGCACTTGGCATATAGTAAATGCTCTTTGAATCTAAGTATGAATTGCCAGATAGGCTCCCCTATAACAGCATGATTCATTTGTAACTTTTGCCCACAACTGAAAGATTTACCATTACACCCCATTTATTGGGGAAAGAGCTATTTATCACAATGAAATATTGTGCTTTTTGAATTCCAAGAGAATTAACCTTCCTCTAAATTCCACTTCCCTATTCCATCACCTTTTCTCTTTTTGGCTTTTAGTGTATGATGGAAACTTTTTTTCTTGCTTATGCCTCATTTCATGATAGGCTTTCCTAAGCTTATAAACATAGACCACAAAAATATCAGGAAAATATAAAACTGTAAAACTAAAGTTCAATCAGGTTCAGAACTTTGGTTTAATGTGAATCTTTGTATCTTTTCTCCATGGAAATTTCATATTGCAAGGAGTAGATAAGTGGCTTGCTCTAAGAGTTTAGGAGTGATTAGGTAATTTATTTTCTGCCTCTGTTGGCACCTGCTTTTTTTGTTACATTTTATTCTAAACTTTTGTTAAATACATATTTATAATTGAAAGGTTTTATAGTCCATTATGTGCCTTTTATTAGCTATTGAGTTCACATGAAGTTTTCTCTAGGAATCAGCCTGAAAATAATGCTTCTTTATTTTTTATCTTCAAGGTACCCAACCCAATTGAAGGGGAAAAAGAATGTCTGTGAGATTCTGTTAAATTTCTATCCCTACTCCTATAGTTTCGTCAAGATCAAACAGATTCCACACATTGGCAGCCACACAGAGCAGAGACCAAATCAGATGCATATGTGAAGCTGCAATAAAAGAGAGCTTTATAGAAAGGAAATAAAGGCCTAGCAGGCATGGCTGGCTGACAGCTGGAGAAAGTGCTACTATCATTATTAAGGGGAAGCAAATATACTGCCAAGGTTCAGAGAACATAGTATCAAACATTGCATATGGACCCAATGCTAGGTGACTCATTCTTTTGCTCTTATTGTAAATGGGAGAGCCAAGTGCCTATTCAGAAAATCTGTTGACAACAAGATATAATCTAAAACACTTTAATAGTTGTTGAGATTTGTCAGATTCTTTGTGCAAGAACTGTGCTGAGTAACCCAGCATCTATTGTCTAATCCTACTTTTTAACCATCCAGTTACTTTACTTATGAACAATTTTTTCCAGGTAGGGTACAACATTGAAGGAAAGCAGTGCAATCATTAGAAATAGGTTATGTCATCGCTGAGTTTAAAATTACGTGCTTTTAAAATTTTATTTCAGGTGTCTCTTTCATTATATTTTTAAGATACTAATGTAGTTTCGTATTCCTCAGCTAGTGGGCTTGCTAAATCTTATAATGTATATTGATTACTTATAGATGGAGAGCAACTGAAGTTCCTAACTAAATCCCCTCCTTTCTTCCTTCCCTCCCTCCTTCTCTTGTCTCTTTCCTTCTCTCCTCCTTTCCCTCCTTTTATCTAGCAAATATTTACTGAACACTTACTAAGCTCTGGAAGTAGAGTAGTGAAAGCCCTTCTGCCCTTAAAAAGCTTCTAGTTTAGACAAACTAAACAAATAATATGAGCATTCCACATAATGATCAATGGCATGAATGTCGTTAAACAGGATGCTGTGATGGTGACTGGGCAGTGGGAGTCCTTTAGATTAGGTAGGCAGGAAAGGCCTGTGACATCTGCCTGTGACTTGAATGATAAGGAGGAGCCAGTCATGGAAAGAACTTAGGTCAGGCCTACCAGGCAGAAGGAACAGTAAGGACAGGGGTTCTGAGGGTAGATAGAGCTTGGTGTATTTAAAGAGCTGAAAGGCCATTGTGATTGGTCTCCGGTAAGAGTGAAGATTGCTGAAGTCAGAGACTGAGGCATTGTCTGGTTACTTAGAACCTTGTGAGGCTCTGTCAGGAGGTTGGGTGTTGATCCCAATACCAGGGGAATTCATCTAAATGTGGAATTGATATGATTAAAGTTTACAAAGGTAACTCTGATGTGAGGTGAGGAGAAAGAACTTAAGGAATTAGAGTAGAAGCAGAAAGGTGCTTTAAGGAGGCATTTAGAGTAATGTCAATAGAAATGATGGCCATTCAATTTGGGATGTTTTTTCTAAGGGAGAAGGGAGTAAAGGATGGTAGGTAAGAAACTAGCAATGCTCATTTCAGATAAGATAGTAGAATATAAGGAAAAGGGGAGGATCTGATTTAAGAAGTGAGAAACAAAATAAACTTGATTAATCTATATAATTTATGGAGATTTTGGAGTGTTATGACAAGAATGAGATTTCCTTGTAAATATAAAAATCTACCTAGATCTCAATTTCATTTTTCTTCACATCTCTCACAGATGTCACAGCTGAGGCCAATGATGTTACCTTCATCCTCCTGCTCTCTTCTCTACAACTCTTGCAGGCTCATCACCACTCCAGAGTCTAGGGAAACTCACAAGTTAGGAGAATTTAGGAAGATACGGATCTGAGACTCAATGCTAAAGCACCCTTCTAATATATGAGGATAACATTGCCTTTAGAGACTTAGATTGACTGGTATTTAAAAATGAACAATCACAAATTTATATTTTTTAATGATTAAAGTTCTAAACACTCAGTATTCTAAGTTTGATACTGTTGTTCATTTTACTAATGAATGGGTCTTAGAAAGAATTTTATTGTGCCTGTAGTAGGGAGTCATATATAAATACTCATTCTGACAGATAATTTCAAGAACATTTTAATGGAGGGCCTAAAAAATGTATGGCATGACATTTAAGATAGAGGAAGACAGAAATCAAAAGTGTTTTTTTTCCTTTTAATTAGTGGTGGTAACCTCACTATCACAGCTCTCTAAAGTTAAGTTTGACTATATTTGTTATTCTTGAAAATAGGTTCGACTTGACCGGCCAGCCAAGTATTTTCCAACAACCTTCCACATATTCCATTTACACTGAAGCTAATATTGCCCCCACATTTCAATATTATTGTGCTTACAGGAGCATGGCTGAGCTTATTTGATAACACCTCTTTAAATTCAGTTAATTAAATGGAAAAAATGTTAGTAAAAAACATTTGTTACTATAGTAAAAAAGTTTATTTGACTGGAATTTTTTCTTCTTTTTGGACTGATTGTTTTGGCATTGTAAATCTGCCTTCCAAATTCACCCACAAACATGTTTCTGTGGAAACAGAGCCACAAATAGAAGCAGTGGTTATTGATTTTCCTTTGGGGCTACCACCTGGTTTCTGCAAAACCCTGGAGAGCATGTGCCAACTTCCGTGTGTATTTTATCTCCTCTTTTCTCTCCCTATTGCTCCCATACCCACATGAGTTTTAAAATAATCAGTTATCTATTATTTATCAAAAAGCCAGTAAACTGGCTGTGTCTTAGTCATCTCAGGCTGCTATAACAAAATATTATAAACTGAATAACTTATAAATAACAGACCTTTATTTCTCACAGTTCTGAAGGCTGGAAGTTTGAGATCAGGGTGTCAGCAGGATCAGGTTTTGGTGAGAGCCCATTTCTTCATTTATAGACACCCACCATATTTGTGCTGCATCCTCATATGGCAGTAGGAGGAAGGGACGTCTCCAGGTCTTTTTAATAAGGATGTTAATCCTATTTATGGGGCCTCTGCCCTTATAATCTAATTACCTTTTAAAAGCCCCATCTCCAAATGCTTTCACACTGGGGGTTAGGTTTCATTAAAATAATTTTAGGGAGACAAAAGCATCAAGTCTATAGCAAGCTGATGCAACAAGGCGGGGGAGTCTAGACTTTTCCTGTTATTTGAGCCTTTTTGATTTGGTCCACCTATAGCCAGTTTCTTCTGACTCTGGTTTTTAGGAAGCCCACTCAGGCTCAGGCTAACCCATCATCTTAGTCAGCCCCCAATGCCACATCAAAGCTGTTCTTCCTCATGTTCCCCAGTGTTCTCTAGCCTCTCCACAATACTAAGTTCCTTATCCTTTCATCTGGGCCTTCCACCTTGATATGGTTTGGCTGTGCTCCTACCCAAACCTCATCTTGAATTTCCATGTTTTGTGGGAGGGACCCAGTGGGAGGTAATTGAATCATGGGGGCAGGTTTTCTCATGCTGTTCTCATGATAGTGAATAAGTCTTATGAGATCTGATGGTTTTTAAAACACAGAGTTTCTCTGCGCAAGCCCTCTTCTCTTGTCTGCCGCCATGTGAGATGTGCCTTTCACCTTCTGCCACGATTGTTAGGCCTCCCCAGCCACATGGAACTGTGAGTTCTCTATTAAACCTCTTTCCTTTGTAAATTTCCAGTCTCTGGTATGTCTTTATCAGCAGTGTGAAAACGGACTAAAACAGTAAACTGGTACCAGGAGTGGGGTACTACTGAAAGGATACCTGAAAATGTGGAAGTAACTTTGGAACTGAGTAACAGGCAGAGGTTGGAACAGTTTGGAGGGCTCAGAAAAAGACAGGAAAATGTGGGAAAGTTTGGAACTCCCTAGCGACTTGTTGAATGGCTTTGATAAAACTGCTGATAATGATATGGACAATGAAATCCAGGCTGAGGTGGTCTCTGATGGAGATGAGGAATTTGTTGGGAACTGGAGCAATGGTGACTCTTGTTATGTTTTAGCAAAGAGACTGGTGGCATTTTGCCCCTGCCCTAGAGATTTGTGGAACTTTGAACTTGAGAGACATGACTTAGGGTATGTGGCGGAAGAAATTTCTAAGCAGCAAAGCATTCAAGAGTTGACTTGGGTGCTGTTAATGGCATTCAGTTTTAAAAGGGAAATAGAGCATAAAAGTTCAGAAAATTTGCAGCCTGACAATGTGATAGAAAAGAAAATCTAATTTTCTGAGGAGAAATTCAAGCTGGCTGCAGAAATTTGCATAAGAAACAAGGAGCAGAATGTTAATCCCCAAGACAAGGGGAAAAATGTCTCCAGGGCATGTTAGAGACCTTTGTGGCAGCCCCTCCCAACAGAGGCCCTTCTCTGTGTGTGTCTTTGCTGTGTTTCTCTTATAAGGATACATTTCATTGGCATTAGAGGCCACCCAGGTGATCCAGAATGTGGAGATCCTCATCTTGAGATCTTTGATTACATCTGCAAAGAGCATTTTACCAAATAAAGTAATATTCACAGATTCAGAGGATTAGGACATGGACATATCACTTGGGGGAGGGTGGTATCATCATTTAGTCCACTACACATAGTAACTATCAAATAAACACTATGAAGAAGAGTAGCTGTTAATAATAGGATGATAATAAGTACTTGTTGGTAGGAAAATCAGAGCACATCTCCACTGGCTGTCTTTATGTTTTCTTTCTTCTCTAAATTTATTTTATTTTATTTTTTTAACTTTTACTTTACGTTCAGGGGTACACGTTAAGGTTTGTTACATAGGTAAACTCATGTCACAGGGGTTTGTTGTACAGATTATTTCATCACCCAGGAATTAAGCCCAGTACCCAATATTTATCTTTTCTGCCCTTCTTCCTCCTTCTACCCTCCATACTCAGGTAGGCCCCAGTGTCTGTTGTTTCCTTCTTTGTGTTCATAAGTTCTTATCATTTAGCTCCCACTTATAAGTGAGAACATGTGGTGTTTGCTTTTCTGTTCCTGCATTAGTTTGCTGAAGATAATGGCCTCCAGGTCCATCCATGTTCCTGCAAAAGACATGATCTCATTCTTTTTTATGACTGCATAGGATTCCATGGTGTTTATGTACCACATTTTCTTTATCCAATCTGTCATTGATGGGCATTTAGGTTGATTCCATGTCTTTGCTGTTGTGAATAGTGTTGCAATGAACATGCACATGCATGTGTCTTTATGGTAGAATGATTTATATTCCTCTGGGTACATACCCAGTAATGGGATTGCAGGATTGAATAGTAGTTCTGCTTTTACCTTAGTGGACTCTGTCATGTTACTTTCCCACATCAGTGACTTACCTCTTGCTGCTGTTGTCACATGAGAGACTCTTTTGAAATCTTTATATCACTCATTCCTTAAGGTTCAGCTAAAGTTTAACCTCCTCTATGAAGTCTACTATGATCAATACTGGTGATAATGAAAGCACCTAACATTTATCAAGAGCTTACTTGTCATAGTACGAGAAGCATTAATCTGTCCATTGATATCCCCATTGTTCTTCCTTCCTTTGACTTCCTATAATATTTGTATCTGTACCACCATAAATTCTATTTAATTATATATTCTCAGATATAGTAATTATAGGTTATGCATGTAGCCTATGTATACATTCTTGATAATATATATTATTCATATAGTATTTTACTACCACCATTACTACTGTGGTTGACTTCCATTAGAGTACTTAACATGGGCCAGGAGCTGAGCTAACTACAGTTGACCTTCAAACAATACAGGGCTTAGGGGTGCCGACCCCCACACAGTGGAAAACATGTATATAATTTTGACTCCCCCAAAACTTAACTACTAATTGCCCACTGTTGACCAGAAGCCTTACCAATAATATAGACAGTCAATATATATTTGGAATGTTATATGTATTAAATATTATATACCTACAAGAAAGTAAGCAAAAAAAATATTATTAAGAAAATCATAAAAAAGAGAAAATATATTTACTCTTCCTTAAGTGGAACCGGATTATCATAAAGATTTTCATCCTCATCCTCATCCTCTTCACACTGAGTAGGCTGAGGAAGAGGAGAAAGAAAAGGGGTTAGTCTTGCTGTCTTAGGGGTGGCAGTGGCAGAAGAGGTGGAGGAGGTGGAAGGGGAGGCAGGAGAAGCAAACAAACTCGTCCTATTATTGGAAAACATCACCATATAAGTGGACGCACGCAGTTCAAACCTGTGTCGTTCAAGGACCAACACTGTCCTTAAATTTTCTCTTTTAATCCTCAAAGCGATTCTGCAATGTATATGCTTCCATTATTCTTACTCTTTAGATGAAGAAGCTGAAGTTTATAGTTGTTATTTGCCCATGGCCTACAAGTGACGGAATCAGAGTTGAGCTAAGGCCATCTAATTTTAGAGACCACACAAATGTATACATTGTCTTAAATATTTGCTGCTATATCACATAAGGATTAGCCTTGTCTTCCTAACCATTTGGGTAGATTTGAAGCTTCTTAAGGCTATACCTCTGCTGTCCACAATTGCCTGTTTCGCTGAGTGTTTGGAATGAATACAAGTTTTATCTTGTCTTATATTTTAATGTAGGGGATGATTTAAATGATTCCTTAGCCAAAGACTATTTGTTTGATTTCCTTTAGAAAGCAGGTAATACCTCTTCGCAATGCAGAAGTAAATGGCTGAAAGACAGCTTGAAAGGACAAAAACTGCTTCTTCAACTTACCTTTGCCCACCTCCCATCTTTTGTAAACTTTTCTTCGTCACAGGTAGACAGTCAAGAAATTCAGCATAAATTATTTTCCTCCTTGATATTGTAAAGGTCATTAATTAGAGAGAATTACTAGCATCAGTGGAAGACTGAGAACTGAAAAAGGTGTAGCTTAACCTGTGACAAAGCACTCTAAAGTCCAGGTAGAGGAAGATAATTAACATGATTGTTAAGGAATTTATAGGCCTGTTTTATTTGCTATTCTTCAATAGCAAAACCTTTGCTCTCACAGTACCATGTCCACATAAACTCTGATCTGGTGAGATTTCCTTTCCATTTATTTCACTCATCCAAAGAAACAGAAGATGATAAGATTTAAAATATATATTTTTTCAAACCATCCTCAGACAGTTGTCTTGGTAGTTTGCATCAGATAGGGTAGAAAAAACCAGAATTATGGATGTTAACACAGAGAAATACCGTTTAGTTTTCTCTGAATTTTATTTTGTTAATATTCAATTAATTATTTTATCTTCCATTTACTCTGCAATAAAAAGATTTCTTTTGAAGAAACAAATTAAAAATTCCCCCATCTTAATGAAGTGATCAAAATGTTTAGTTAAGAGTTATCAAAAATTCTATTAAAATTACCAAACTAACCTGGCAAATAAAAAAAGTGAGTCATTGTGTTATAAAAATGTTTACTTTGTCAAATAGATTTTAGGAATAGAACAATTATCTCCTTTCTTATGGCATTCATTTAGTTCTAACTGGTGATGATAATAGTATTGCTGATGACAGCTCACCAGCTTATGGTCTCAGAATTTTTCATCTTTACTGCATTTGATCTTCACAACAGCTTTATGGTGAAGCTACTGTTTTAATGCCCAATGAACTGGTAAGAAAAATAAGAATCAGAGATTGTATATTTTCCCAAAGTCATATAGCTAGTGAACAATAGTCATGATTTGCTCCTAGGCAGTTAGAATATAAAAAGTGTACTGCGAAGTGTGCTGCCCTCTCTAACAACTGCCAATACTTTGTTCTTTATGAACAAACATTTTATATAGCTGACAATGTGACAATGTTGAATTTTGAGTCCTTTGCTCCCAGAAAGCAGCAATGGTGAAGAAATCCTCCTACCCTATAAGGATCACCCTGAGCTGGTGTATTTCAAGCTAAGACCCACCTCCATCCTTCCTCATTACTCCAAAAACTCCTGGATGGCTCTCTTGCTTATCTGTCTTTAAAAAACCCCAGACCCCCTTCCTTTTCTTTGAGATGTTCCTCATTAATGAATATTCTCTCTACTGCAGTAGTCTAAATAAAATCACTTCTTTGGTACACTTGTCTTTCTCAGTTTAGTGCCGTAACCAGGATATGATCAGCCCTTGTCTTGGGAGTACCTGCTTACTCTTCTTAGGTAAGGCGTCTTGGAGCCCTTTGTGGTCCACTCCTGACTGGTGATCTGGGACTCAGGACCCAGTGATGATTCTGACTTTTGGTCCTGTGATGTGGGCTCTTGTCTACCAGTAGCAGGGTAATGATTTGATTTTGTTTCTTTTTTGGATATTCACTTGATTTCTGGTGCCCACTTATTTTGATTTTGTGGTCTGAGCATTTGCTGATCTCTGTAAAGAAATGAATGATTTATAGAGATCTTGTCTTTGTTGGGTGAAAGATGTTAGAAACTCTAGTGTGTTAGTCTTTTGTGTTTGCCTACATGTCAATTTTGAGGACAAATCAATCAAGAGCTTGTACCCACTGAGATGAGAATAGCTCTTTAACATGGACTAGTGAGTTTTGTATTTCTGTGTTTATGCTTGACCCATGACTGAATTTTAGAGTTGAGGCTATAAACTTTTTCTCTCTCTTTATATGTTTATGTCTGTGTTTCAGAAAGGCTTTTACCTCTCATTGTATGAGAGTACAATATTTTCCTGCTTCTAGATGGTTTTACCAAATTTGATTATAAAATCTCTTAAAGTTCTGTTCTAATTGGCTTAGAGGTAAATTATTGCTCATAAATGGAATATTCCTAAAATTGCCAGAAATTCTAAGACTTTCAGTGTGCTAAATTTTAAAAGTGTCCTTCTAAAAACTAACTCAGAAAAGTTTTAAGGTTTCAAGCTCATATAATTTAGGCAAAGCTTCACCAATGAGACATTAATATTTTTAGTTTAATAAAACAGCCATGTTTTATGTAATTTATCAATGTTAACTATAATACTCATGTAGATTTTTATTTTACTTGGTTATGTTTTCCCTAAACTTTTACAGGTTTACTGGTAACTATGCTAATATTTCTTCTACTTAGTGTTTAAGTCATAAAATTATAAATTTGTATTTACCAAATTGAATAATTATTTGTGTTTACCAATTGAATAAAACTTTATTTCATTAGCAATTATACTTTTTAGTATGCTAGCTTGAAGATAATTTCCAAAATCTTTAGGTAGCTTAAAACCTTGAATTGATAATAAATTGAGTTACTTATGGGCTACTTGTTAGATTCCTAGATTATTTCTAAGTAACATATCAAAACAATTACTTATTTTAGTTTTAAGTTTGTATGCTTTTTATTTTTACTTTTATATGCTATAAACAAGCTATATATTTTTGGGTTTGTTAATGAACATGTTCATTTTCACCACTTTGAAGAGTTGTGCTGTAAGGATATCTATGGCTATAAAAAGGTATAAAAGACTTTTGGAAAAGGAATTTTATTTGTCATAGCCAAAGCTGGCTAAAGTTTGATTTATTTATAACATTTTTAAAAAGAATATTCTATCAAAGATTATACTGTTGGAAAACTAGCACTTAGTTTTCTCCATTAAAGTAGCATTTTTAAAATTACTGGTCTGCTCTTCATAAGAGAAAATAAATGGTTATTCCTTAGCATCTGTGTAATCTACCTCAATAGCAAAGATTCTGTTTAGGCCTTAACAGACTAACCTATGGTTTATGCTGACTTAATTATATCCTTGATTATTTAAGAAAACCATGGATTTTCACATAGACTATGAAAAGTAAGCAAGGCTGTGGACAGTATCACCAAGAACATGCACATTCTACCTGAAGAGCTTCAAGACACTTAACCAATGGTATTGTATAACCATAAGATTTCCTCCAGCAACCTCTTAGAATCTGCTGCACTGATTACTCTTAGGTTCAATAACTGACTTTTCAGTGCCACCTGTTTTACTAATATTTTCTCTTTTCTAGTTTAGGCATCACTCTTTTAAGATGCCTCACCTCAGACCTCTAAAACAACTGACCGGTTCAACTAGTTTTATAGTAACAATGCCAATAAGAACCATTGAGACTATTTCTTTAACCCTGCCTCACCCCATCTAGGATGCTTATTATTGCTTCTGAGTTGTTGAATGTTGAGTGAAGAATGACATTCATTTGTCTTGAACAAAAGGAAAAGACTGACAATGTTGGAGTTTATCTGAGCTCTGTGTTCCCAGAAAAGAGCCATAAGAAGAAAAGCCGCAAAGGACCACCCTGTTCCACCATATTTGAAGTTAACGCCCACCTCCATCCTTCTTCGTATCATCTGTCCTATAACACCCATAGGATTCCAGGGTGAACACCTTATGTATCTGCCTCCATAAAACACAAGCTTCCTTCCTTTTCTTTGAGACTATCCTCATTAATGGATGCTCTTCATGTTGTAGTAGGCTAAATAAAATAATTTCCTCAATTCTCCTTTGCATTTTGTCTTTCATGTAACTTATCCAATTCTCACAACAACCTTAGAAAGCAGGCATCATCATTATCATCTTGCAGATGAGAACACTACAGTTAGAAAACTTCAGAAAACTTAATCAAGGTCATATAGCTAGTAATTGATGGATTTTTTTTCTGATTTTAGAGTCTGTGCTCTTAACCTATAATTTATATATCAACATAAATTAGTCACATCATTATGTTTTCATATATCACATTCAACTTAGTAATGAAATATTCAATAACTTCCTTAGAGTTGGAGAGAAGAGTATACTATACTGTTCTTTTAGCTTAAAACCAGAGCCACAGTCCACCATTTGATGAGCACTATCTTGAGCAGAAAATTAAATATGTTATTGAATATATTATTAGTACTGGGACTCTGTTGAGCTAAATTTGAAGCACATGGCCGGGCCACTAAGTACATACACATTAGTGGTGGCAGAAGACCATATAAACTGGAGCTCCCTTGAATGATTGCACCAAATACTTTGCATGAGTCCTGGATAGAAAAACCCTTCCAGATGATCACATATCAAGCTAATTTTGTGCATATTGATCTTAAATCTTAATTAATATTATTTTAATTGTCTTGTAAAGGTTAGTATGTCACCCTGCTAAGAATCCTTAATACTCCTTACATTTTTCAGTAAGTATCTCACTGCAAATTCTGAAACTTCCTCACATACATATTTCTGCAATAAAGAAGGCCATAGAGAACTTTTTAGCTTTAGTTTGTTCCTTTTGAAGAATTTTTTTCTCTCTGAATGAACCTGAACAAATAGAACAAGTAATCAAGATATTACTTTGAAGAGTGGCCCTTAACATTTTTGTCAATGCAAGATTCTAAAATAATTGCTGGAATGCTCTGCCTCTCAGAAATCACTCTTTTGGTGCTTTTAACTAACACAGAAGAATATGCATACATGAAATTATTCTAAGATAAAAGCAATGGTTCGATATTGTCTTTAAAATATCTTTAATTAGGATCCAGTTAGTTTTATCATGCATTATTCAAATTATCTGCCTTTTAAGATTTAGTACAGCTAATGAAATATCAGGAAAATATCATAATGTCTTAAAGAAACCTGCTGTTGTTTAGAAAACTGCAAGAACAATTCCCATCTGCAAATGGTTATTTATTACCTAGTTATTTTTAGATTTTATTTTTGGGTGCATCGTTCACAGTAGCCTCTAGGTGCATTTGCAGAGCTTTCCTAGTATAGCTTACACACAACATAGAAGACAACATAAACACAGGCTGCATTCACATACATCAGCATATAAGTCACACACAAACAAGTGAGTGAGGATACTTTTCATAGGGAGTTTATCACACTATTGGATGATCTAACAATTCTTTTTTTTTTTTTTTTTTTTTTTGAGACGGAGTCTCGCTCTGTCACCCAGGCTGGAGTGCAGTGGCGGGATCTCGGCTCACTGCAAGCTCCGCCTCCCGGGTTCACGCCATTCTCCTGCCTCAGCCTCCCAAGTAGCTGGGACTACAGGCGCCCGCCACTACGCCCGGCTAATTTTTTTGTATTTTTAGTAGAGACGGGGTTTCACCGTTTTAGCCGGGATGGTCTCGATCTCCTGACCTCGTGATCCGCCCGCCTCGGCCTCCCAAAGTGCTGGGATTACAGGCGTGAGCCACCGCGCCCGGCCTAACAATTCTTTAAAAGCCAATACATTTAAGTATTTGACAGTAATCAACGAGCTACTTCTTTTTGCAGGGATAATGGTTGGTTTCTGGGCCATGCCTTGTGCCTATAAGTTTTTAATGAGGCTATAAAATGTTTATGTTCTGAAAATGAAATTCTTAGCTCTGAATTACAGAAAAAAGAAACCGCACATAATTTCATTGTAACATTGTATACTAGTTTGCTGTAACTCAGTTGTGAAATAGTTTACATAAACTCTTATATGGAATGTGTAAATTTTAAGCACACTAGATATGACCATGGGAGGGTCTAAGTACGAGTACCAAGGGTTTCCCAAGGTTTTGAAGCAACTGGGCTTGTTGCTGTCAGAATTAATGCACTGGACTTGTGTTGGCTTCTGTTCAGAAAATTTCATCCCACCCACAGACCCAGATGAGTGACTTTGATTTGGGACACAGGTGACTTGACCACTTAAGCTGGTAAACTGTGATTTGAGTGGCCTTGTTCAAACAGCTAAATCAATTAGATTCCTTCTTTTGGAAAGTTGAAAGTTTGTGAAGGACTGTTGACCTGAAAGATCAAGTAACAATGACAAAGTCAGCCATTAGGGGCCCACATGCATGGAGATATTGGAAAAGCAGAGACTCAGAATTGAGAGAGAGGTAGAGACAGGGAGTGGGGTGGGGGATGGTGAGAGAGAGTGAGAGAAGCCCGGCTAATCATCTACTTTTGTCTTTGAATCTTGGTTCCTCAGCTCTTTTCTGGACTCCTGTAAAATCCGAGTCTTCACCACTGTTGTATATACACTAGCTTGAATTGCTTTCCATTCCTTGCTACCAAAAGAACCTTTAATAAAACAGAAGCTATAACAGAACGCAGCCCATCTTGCCTTTCAGAGAACAGGCAGCACCGGACCAGTGAAAGGAATCCTTAACCACATTTACAAATCAGGACACCTGGGGCTAGTAATCATCACTGCCTCTTAAGTAAATGTGAGTGGTATTCAGATGCAGAACTGTGAACACTCCCCTCTAACCCCAGGACTATCTCTCTAACCTCCTTGGGGTGCCCTCCTATCCATTTCCCCGCAGCCTAGAATTAGGTACTAAGTGAAGGAAGGAGAGATGGGGTGTATTAGGTAGTGGTGTGGTAGAATTAAATTGTGCAGTAGATGCTTTGTATTCACCGGGCTCCTTTTGGGAAAGCCTTTACTCTTTACTAACTTGAATCACTCTGCCTAATGGTTTTTCTTTTTTTTCTGCCCCAGATCATCACAGAACAAGCTTTCTTGTCATATAGTCCTCAGCTCAACTGTTATCTCAGTGAGACTTTCCTTAGCTACCCAAATAGAATTGAAACTCCCTTCCCTGACACTCCATTATTGTGTATTATTTTCTGGGTAACATTTATTGTTGTCTGCAATTTCTTGTTTGTTTGAGAGTAAGGACCTTGTCTTCACTTATCACTACTGCTTAGTGCTTAGACTAATGCCTGAGACAAAGTAGATGCTCAGTAAAATTTTGTCGACTGAGTGAAAAATGAATACTGTTAACATTCTGAATGTTCACGCTAATGTAATCTACAGCCATTTTACAAGAAAAACTGCCAAAAATTCCAAGTTGGTTGAGTAGTAAGTTTTAGATTATGAAGGCCTAATAAAATTTTAGTATCATGTTATCACACTGGTGGGTTGATTGCAAACCTTTCTATCAATTCCTTTAAAGAGAACCTGTAAGAACCATTTATAGCCAACACGTTCTTGAGTTTCAGATACCACTGCAAAGTTTGCTAGTAAAAACAGTCTATATATCTATTACGCAGTTCTGATGGGGTCTTAACTCAGGCTGCAAAGACAAAATACACGGTGATTATCCTTTATCTGAAATGCTTGAGACTAGCGGTGTTTCCAATTTTGGAATTTTTTTGTTTTTGGAATATCTGCATTACATTTACTGGTTGAACATTGCTAATCTGAAAATCCAAAATCTGAAATGTTCCAATGAGTACATCCTTTGAGTGCCATGTGAGTGTTCAAAAAGTTTTGAATTATGAAGCATTTTGGATTTTGGATTTTTGGATTTGGTCTACTCAACCAGTACCACAGTCTGAGTGGCTTAAACAACAGAAATCTATGTTCTTATAGTTCTAGGGGCTGAGAAGTACAAGATCAAGGTGCTGATATACTAGGTTTCATTTCAAGGCCTCTTTAGGTTTCGAGGTGGCTGCTGTCTTGCTGTATACTCACATGAGACTTCTGTGTGCTTCCTGAAATGGTATCTCTTCTTATAAGGATACTAGTCCCATCATGAGGGCTTCACCCTCAGGACCTCATCCAATCGCTATTACCTCCCAAAAGCCCCATCTCCAAATACCATAACATTGGGAATTAGGGCTTCAACATATGGATTTTGGTGTGATCACAAGTCTTCAGTCCATGACAGATGGTTATTGTTTTAAAATGATGTCCTATATTTATGTTGTATTTTTATGGTTGTAGAATTCTTTCCCATACACTTTTTCATATGATCCATATTCATGATTTTGTGAAATAGGACTGATGCTATAGTACTCATTTTTACAGACAAGAAAATTTAGGCCTACAAAGGTGAGTTGTCTTAGCCAGAGGTTCTGCAGCCAAGAGGCTGGAGAGAAAAACCTATAGCCCCAGGATCTTGTCTTTGCTCCAGGCCCTCAAGCAATTCAAGAGCAATTGCTTTGGTCAAATGTTTACATAGCTCTTTTCAAGGGTTGCTATGAATAGTTAAAATTTCACTGTAAACTTACAAATTTAAAGTTATAAATTTACTTTCAAGTTTAAACCTATACATGAATGAAGAAAAGGTCTCTTTGCTAAAAACCATCCAAAGGAAATGGATAGTGTTTGTACCGCCATATAGCCTTTGGAGATGACAGCCTAAGATCTCTGTGTTTATTCAGAACAAGAGCTGATATGTGAGACTAACTGAGAAATAAATTGGAGGAGCTTCAAGTGTACATAAAATCTGATGTGTGACATGCTGTTCTCCAGAGTCAATGATGAGAAACTGAAAGTTAGCATCCTTATGACACCCATACTCTCAGCTTTGTTTGTTTTAAATTTTTGTTTTAAAATATATCAGTTGGCTAATCCCTAAAATTTTGTTTCTATCTTTAGCCAGGAGTGGAAAAAAGTGAACAAGTTACAGAAATAATTTTGGGTAGATTTCCCAACTGATCTGTACCCTGTGGGAATTTCTTCCACATGAGAATATCCTTCCTACAAGTATGGTCCTTGTTTTGAAAAGCATGTGCTAGACAAGCTTTTTCTAACACTTAAACAAATCAAAAGGAATGCTGGTCTGATGAAGTAGTCCGGATGCTGGCAGCCTGTAGAAATGCATGTAAACATTCTTATGCTGGAGAACAGAGGCTGTCTGTGAGCTTTGGTGATGGCTGTCCTTGGGCAGTAGGTGAAAGGTGTTGATCAAAATCAAAATGGGAGTGGAAGGGGAGAAGTCAACTCTCAAGAGAAGACGCCAGCCTGACTTAATGTCATTGACTATATTTAAAGGGGCTGCCAATGATTTTGAAACACATTTTTTTTTTGCAGGGGATATACCATGATCTTTAGTTTTTATAAAAAGGATCACGTTTAGACATCTGGGGAAAACTCTTTGAGATGAACAATTACACGTTACTGCAAAAGGCATGGCGGTGGTAGTATCTGTAGAACTGAAACACCATCCCATACCCAAACCTTGTCTTGATTCACCTCTGCCCCAAGTTTGCTCCTGATTGGTGCCAGCAAATGAGGCTATGGATAATTTCTGTCTGCGCCAGGATTGGTACTTCTCTTTCACTGAATCTCCACAACCACCCTATTTCCTAAGCACATATAAGGAAAACAAAGAGCTAAAGGATGATTCTATCTGATAGAGTGGATCTCAACACCAGTGATGCACCACAGTATCAGTGTTAATATGGGTTGTGTTGCAAAAACCGAGTTACTTCAATTAAAGAGGGGCATTTTTAAATAGACTTGCATTTAGAAAGCGAAATCTGAGATTATTTAAGGTTATGCCAATTCAATTTCACCCACTTGGCCTCTGAGATGCATTCATAAATGAAGGAGAAAGTGATATCATTGCAGCTAGGAGGCCCGGAAATGCCTGCAACTCAGTCTATTTAGTGAATGCTGCAGTTGCTAATCTGGGTTTGCTCAAGGGTGTGTGTAGTGCATATGAACTACATCTGTCCTGTGTGTAAAGGTGGAAAGGATTGAGAATCCTATCATGCAGGGTTTTTTCATGGATCCTACTTTGAGCATGGCATATCAGAGTCCTCCCTCACTGCTTCCCTTTCCCATTTCATAGTGGATCCTTAGCTTATCTTTCTTTATTTTCACACATGCTATTGTTGTTCAGTGAGCTTTTGCCATGGGACTCCTTCTGCCCTGAGAACCTTTCTCTATAACTTCAATTAGGTGCCACTTCTTTCTGTCCCTTGTGTGACTTCTATCAGCGTCTTACCACCGAAGTGTGTTGACTTGTCTGTCTCTTGCCGTCTAGACCACAAGTGTCCACACAGAACAGGGAGCAGCTGTCTTAATCACCATTGTGCCTGGCACCGTGCTGCAATCAGAGAGTCAGAGAATGAGTAGTCAGTCTTTCTCTCCAGGGTTGATGTTTTGTTGCTGCTATGGTCTGAATGTGTTCTCTCTAAATTCTTCTGTTGAAATCCTAACCCCCAAAGTGATGCTATTAGGATATAGGATTTATGGTGAGGTGATGAAACCATGAGGGCTGGGCCCTTACGAATGGGATTAGTGCCCTTATAAAAGAGGCCTCAGAGAGCTGCCTTGCCTTTTCTACTTTGTAAGGACCTAGAAAGAAGGCGCCATCTATGAACCAGGAAATGGGCTCTCACCAGACATTGAATCTGCTGATATCTTAATTTTATACTTCCCAGCCTCCAGCTCTGTAAGAAATCAATTTATATTGTTTATAAGCTACTCAGTTTATGTTATTTTGTTATTATAGCAGCTGAAATGGAATAAAACACTAATTATAGTAAGAAACAAATATGCTCTTCTGATATCTTAAGTTTTGACCAGTGCCTATATGCGTAAGATAAATTAGGAAGTGGTGGTGAACAGTCATTGAAAAACCCAAGAAAAAACTAGCTGAGTGACTCACATTTTATAAGGAATGATGGGCTGATCAAAATATCCCCATCCATAAATTTGGATATGGGAGCATGGAACCAAATCTCCAAGGCCTTCTCACCACCCCCACGCCCATCACTTCAGAACTTTAAAAGTGAGATAGATAGTTGAGAGGCTGGGGTGAGCAGGTGAAAAAGCAATCTTCTAGTTCTCTCACAACACATTCACTGAACTTTCTTGGCAAAGGGAAGCCTCTTCCATTATTCATTCACATTCTACTCTGGGTCAAGTACAACGCTAGTTGCTCAGGATATAATGTCTGTTCTCAGTGAAGTATCACAGGCATGTTTGGGGAGATAGAGGAGTAAACAGAACATTGCAATTCACTGTGGACCACAGTCCTCAAAGAGAACAAAAACATTTATAATGGGCCTAGCTTGTATCCCACAGGGCTTCCTATCGTGCTTTGTACAGAGACGATCTGTTGGCCTCTGCCACTTTCTATATAAGCAAAGGCTTCACGGTGTGATCTGGAACATTTGTACCACCACTGAGAGAATTCAAAGCCAGGGATACATTCTTTGTGGTAATAGGTGTATTTGGTGGTGGAGAGCTTAAAGAATTTTGACTAGTTGATGACTAAGAAAGGCAAGAAAATAATTTTTTCCTCTTTATAGAAAAGAGGGGCTGGGCACAGTGGCTCATACCTGTAATCGTGGTGGGCACTTTGGGAGGCTGAGGCAGGAGGAGAACTTGAGGCCAGTTTGAGACCAACCTGGTCAGCATAATGAGACCCTGTCTCTACAAAAACTAAAAATAAATAAATAAATAAAAATAACTGGGCATGGTGACACATACCTGTAGTCCCAGCTACTCTGGAGCCTGAGGCAGGAGGATCACTTGAGCCCAGCAGTTAGTTTGAGGTTGCTGTGAGGTGTGATCATGCCAGTGCACTCCAGCCTGGGTGACAGAATGAGAACCCATTTCAAAAGAAAATAAAAAGTAAACAAGGTTTGGGGACTAAGACAAGGTAGATTTTTATTGGTCTCAATCAAAGAATCTTTTTGCTACTGTTTATGGGTTCCTAGAAATTCCTAGGATAATTTCAAGGAGAGAAATAGAATGTTTCTTGTTTGCTTTATGAATTAATTATTTAAATGGGCAAAGAGGTAGGGGTGTGTGTGTGCATGTGGTGGGAGAAGGCTGGGAGGGGGCATGCTCTTCCCAGTTGGTCCTAACCTATCTCTAGCTCCAGTTAGTTGCTTCTGTTCCATCCCAGCACTATGTGCCTGTGCATTCTCCATGGCGGCCACTCCAACTCTTATGATTTTTCAGACAGTGCTCTCTCTCCTTGGGAATTCTTGCTTACCGCCTCCACACTAGATGCTGCTTTACTCTTTGCACCAAGGAGCAACATTCTCATACCTCCATCATAACACAAATCCCCTTGCTTCATAATCTGTATATGCATCTGTGACAGCCACTAGCTTGTATGAACAAATGGGCATAGACCACATCACTAGCACGGGGTCAGTCTACACTGCAGAGTCAGATATGTAAGGCCTTGTTCTGCTACATAATTAGCTATATAACCTTTGGGCAAGTTAGCTAATCATTGTAAGCCTTCATTTCCTTTTCTATAAAATAGTGGTTATAATAGTACTTATCACATAAAAAAGCATTTAGTTATGCAAATAAAATTACATAATATACATTCAAAGAACTTAGCACAGAGCCAGGTAGGAGGCAGACACTCAGTTAATCTTACCTGCCTTGCGCAAGTCCTCCTGAGAGTAGAGTTTTTCCTCAGCAGCATTCCTGTCGTATTTTAGTAATTCAGATTACCAACACCTAAGAAATGCAAATATTAAAGTCCTCAGGCATTGAAAACTTTAAAATTATCTGGGATAGGAACAAACAGCAAAAGGGAAGCATAATTCATAAAGTTTAAACACGACTCAATTAAAATATCCAAGCTTCAATACAACTATCATCTCTAGTACATCATTCCATCTCACTTTTCATCTCCCTGAAAGCACTGCATAGCTGTACCGGATTGATCTCATAAACTGCTTTTGGGAAACAGGTCCCAGTCCTGCTTTTTACTATCCCAAGAAATATCCTTCTAATGAGCCAACAATAAATATTACCAGTTATTTGCTTCTGGTACTTATGAAACTGCACAGTGATATCACATTGTGGAGGTACAGAGAGGGTTTGAGGCGAGTGAGCATGATCGTTCTCACTTTTAGAGAAACCCGGTCTTGCTGCTCTTCGAATGAACTGCAGTAGGGAATAAATTGAGGCAAAGAACGTCTCTAGAGCCAGCATGAAGATACCTTTCTCTCAGCTCCACCAGGGTTGAGGCCAGGGGGTTACAGTTAAACTTATTCATGCCAAAATTTCAAGCTGCACTAGCTGAAAGACGTTGGAAAAACCAGGGTGCACTCCAGGTTTCATTTCTTCTTTTTCTTTCACACTGATTACAATTCGATTTTGTGTGTGTGTGTCCGGTTATTTGAAAAGATAAAAGAAAAATCAAACAGCAACAAAAAGCAGCCCTCCAGGTGTCCTTTTCCGAGCCCGCAACGGTTAGGTGAGTGAGTGCAAGGCATATCTATAATTCAGCTCGGGAATATTTCCCTTAATAATTAATTGAGCATCACAAAAGGAGGAGGCCCAATAGAGCCCTTGAACAAAGCTGCCGCCCCGAGGACGACAGTGACAGTCCTGGCGCCAACCAACCAGCCCAAGGTCGGATTTGCTCCAGCAGTCCGGGGCATAGCGCTGCCACTGCCTGCTTGGTCCATCGGGCGAGCTGGGAGAGGTGTCTAGGGAGACCCCGTCGCCACGTGGGCTTCTGGTTATTTGTGTGTGTGTGTGTGTGTGTGTGTGTGTTTGTTTGTGTGTGTGCGCACGCGCTCGCGTGTGTGGGAGTGGGGTGGAGATGGACAGCAAAACCCTTTTTTTTTTTTTTTTTTTTTTAAATGGAGGTGGGCAGTGGGAGAGATCACTAAGATAGAGTCCTCCCGGGAGCCAAACCTCTCGCCCGGTTGATTCTGGCAAGCCTGAGACAGGCAAACTGTCTACTTTCCTGTTTTGATGTGGTCCGAAGAAATAAACAAGAAACAAGGAGAGACCCTTCCTCAAACTGTAACTCCAGCCAATTAGCATGAAAAGCTCAAGAAGCTATTAACCAGAAGTTTCGGCTTTAGGGGACCAGGGACTTGCCCGAGGCCCTGGCATGCGCGGCGGCTAGGTTTAACTTTCAACTCATAGTGACCTTTTCCTTAATTTAATGCAAAAAATCTTTCCCAGAGGTGGAGATTTAAGATGCTAATGATACATACGTCCTATGAAGAAGCATGTTAAACCACCATGCATGCACCAGAAAAACTCCACCTCTACATGCCCTGTCTATAGTTCTCCTTATTTCCCCTTACGGGAGAGGCCCGTAAAAGAAACCCACACCCTGACTTCGAGGAACAGCCCACTTTTTTTTTTCTTGGTGTTAGCTCCCTTGTGCGCACAAGCTTTAATTAAAAGAAAGAAAGAAAGAAAACCAAAAAAACTTGCTTTTTGCTGCGATATCCCTTGATTTCTGTCCTGAAGGATCCAAAGAGCCCTCAGGGAGTCGATACCAGAGCCGTATTTGTTTTTGCAGCAACAGGTTGGCTGCGGGCTCTTCCCCCGCCTTCCAAAGCCCTCAGCCCCTGGCCCACCCTGCAACTTACTCATCTCTCCAACCCTCCTCCCCTAGAACTGCTGCCTCCTGTGCGCAGCCCCTAGCCTGGGCCTGATTCCAATTTCTGTAACATTCCCCTGCCCGGGATTGAATACAGGTTGAAAGTCGGTCTCCTCCGCGCCCCTGAGGCCCAACCCCGGCGCTGAAGCCTCCCAACTCCTGTGTGCAAAGGAGACGGAGACTGAGGGATCTGGGCGCTCTGGCAGGCACAGGAGGGCTCCCCGCCCGTGGCCTCGCCGGAGATGCACCCGGCTCCCAACCCAACAAACCCGCTTTGGGAGGGGATGGGGTGGGGAAAAGAAGACGGGGCTCGGGGCTCGAGGGGAGATATAGAGAAAGCAAGTTAGGTAGAGGAGATGTCCCAGAGGACCCCATTTTCGGGACTGCACCTCCCATTGGAGCTCCCCGCTCCCAAGCCCTCTGGGGACTCCCGCGCTGCCGTCGAAACCCCTATTCCGGCCCCAACGGGGACACTTCTCCAGGATTTGCTCCTCGCCTGTGGGGACCACAGCCAAAGACTCCT
Organism: Homo sapiens; assembly: GCF_000001405.40. Classification (NCBI taxonomy): domain Eukaryota; kingdom Metazoa; phylum Chordata; class Mammalia; order Primates; family Hominidae; genus Homo; species Homo sapiens. The sequence continues at coordinate 30,017,184 of NC_000011.10, read as the reverse complement.
GGAATCGATCCCAGATCCTGGGAGTCGGGGGGCCCAGCCGGGGTGCGGGGAGTCGCGGCGTCGTGACTGCACCCGCCCCGCCGCGCCGGGAGGCGCCCCTGGCGACCGTCGCGAACGCCACACCCTCGGTTCGGCCCTGGCCCCGCCCCCGCCCAGAGCGCGTTCGCGGCCAGGGGAGGCGTGTGCTGCTCCCGCAGCCAGCGAGAGCGAGAGAGGGATGGATGTTGGAGGAGGAATTCGGGCTTAACAAGTGATCGCTGCTGTCTAGGATTTTGTTTCTTTTCGGGGGAACCTTGACTTCCTTTCCCAGGCAATCCCTCCTGTGCTGAACTCCAGAGGAACCAGGAGTCTTGGGGTCTTCTCTGGGGCAGCCCCAACCCCCACCCCCAGGCTCCAGCCGCGAGGACTCTGTGCACCCCTCGGGCCAGGCAACAGAACTTGTTCCGTGGATATTTGGAGCCTCCACCTGCCAAACCCGAGTGATTCCTTTTACCACCCCCCGCCCCCCACCCAGGATCATTCTTCCCCTCCTCCAGCTGTTGCAGCTTGAGGGGGAAAAACAAGCCAGCCGGTGGATTTTCTTTATTTTTATTTTTCGCCCCGCCGGGGAACGGTAAGTATGATACCTTTTTTTTTTTTTTTTTTTTTTTGTATCTTTCCTCTACCTTCTTATTTTGGCTGTTAAGAAACAGTGGACATTTGAGGGATAAATAATATCGGGAATGTGACAGAAGGGCATGAATGGAAGGCGGTTAAAAATAAACCAGGAGGTGGGAGAAGGGAGGTGCGGATGCTGCGCGGCGCTCCGGGGGGCCAACAGTTGTTATTTTCCCAAACCCGGGGATGCGGTGAGTGCGCCCTGCTTAACGTGCTGGAGCGGGAACCGAGGTCTGGAGGCGAGGGCGCGATTAAAGATGTCGTTTCCCAACGAGAGGGGGGTTAAGATTTAGCATCGTTTCGCCTCCTCCCAGCCGCACCGGTTCCCTTCTTTTGGGAACAGCCGGTGAACGGGTCTGAATTGCTGCCTCTTCCAACGTTTGGATTTGCGTGCATTTTCCGAGCATTTGAGCAACATACATAGGGGCTGCATAAATGGCGTGCGTTGAAGTGTATATTTCTCACGGTGGTGGCTTTTCTGATTCCCTCTCTCAGTTTCTCTCTCTTTCTCTCTCTCTCTCTCTCTAAGGTTCAGGTACCACCCTGACAGTGACACAGTTGCAGGAATTAGCACTGAGAGACGAACAGCCTTGTTGTTGGAGGGGTGAGAGGAGGAGGGGCGGGATGCTTGGCTGTTGTTTGGGGGCGCCGGGATTGGGGAATAGGTAGTCTGCAAAATCCTATTAGTTTAATGGTGTTAAAGAAGAAGACAAATTCCTCTGCAAAGATCTCTCTCATAAAGGCTCCTGGGAATTGGCTTGAATAGATTCTCCTAACAAGAGTACCTTGAGAAAGAAGAGAGATTTTAAACCAGTCTGATTTGCTGGGAGGAATGATTTTTCTTTTCTCTTCTTTTCTTTCTCTCTCCCTTTCTTTCTAGATCAGGGATAGTGAAGTAACTAGTAGATGATTAAAAGGAAGGCAATTTGCTACTTGTAGGGTGGAGGAGGGAGTTAGATAAACAAAAACTAACAATCCCAAATAAATAAATAAATGTGAAATTATTTGGTGTAGAGCAGAAAGAGGGCAGTTCTAGAACTCCCGAAGAGCTGATGGTGAATTAGAAGACTCGCTAATTCATGACCTTCTGGGAGTCAGTTGGGTGGGAAGGCAGTGTGTGTAGTATTCAACTATACAGGAACTTGGGTTACATTGGGGCTTCATTGAAATTATAATTGTTTTAGGGGAGTTGGGGAAGAAACTGAGCAAACTCTCAGGCTATTTGGTCTGTACCGGTCTTGAAAGGATGTTGGCCTGACACTCCACTGCGAATGTCACCCCAGGATGGTTTTGTAAGTAGGGATTTGGAAACTCCTTGAGGGTAAACATTTCAGAGTATGAGATGATGTTAGGAGTCAGGCAAAGGAAGGGAGATGGCATGTGAGATGCCCTCTGTGGTGTATTTTCTGGAGTTTGTGTTGCAATCAAATGCCCTTCTTGCCCTAGGAAAATATATATGATTGGGAAGGGGTGTATGATTGGGAAGACCTCTGTTTGCCACTTCCATGCTTGTCACTTCATAAAATTCAGTGTGTTTAGGCTTTTAGGCTGACAGGATCAGCAAGGAGCAGCAGGTGGTCAAGAGCTGAATCCTGTTAATGGCTTCAGAAAGCCATTTCTCTTATGCTTTCCAAGTGCTTCCAGTAATAGAAGCTGGTAGATGCCCTGAATTCTGACTATCATCATTCTCTCCAGTTCTCTGGGTTACTCCCTGCATTCTTGGAAGTCCTGTTGAACAGAGTACATGGAAAAATCAAGAGGAGACAGGAGATTTGGATGGGGGCTTTTACAGGGCCTGGCTGAGGAGATGAATTACCTGGATCTTGGGAGAGCAAACTAAGGAAGAAGAAGGGCCAGGAATAACAGGTGACAGAGGGAGCAGATCGGAGCTGCAAGGGACATGCAATTCAGAAGTGTGAGATTGTAAATAAAAGTGGGCAGAGAGAGAGAAAGAGAGAGGAGGGGGGATGTTAGGGATGTGGATTTTATTGAAGTGGGGGTAAGTATGATAGGCTAAGAATGAAGTCCACAGAAACTGACATTTAAAAAAATAAGGAGATAGTCCCTTGAGCAGAGTGGAGGAGGAACCATTGAGGTGAACATGGAGTGACCGCCAAGGAGAGAAGATGGTTATTAGAGATGTGGAAATTGGCATTAGTTCCTAGTCTGTGGGTGGTAGGGAGTGTTCAGGATTCAAGGGAACAGAAAAACAATGGGGACATGCTGTAGGGAGTCAGGCAGTGCCAACTTAACAAGGGCCATTGGTGAGTCTCAGGATGTCTTGTATGTCCTCACGTCCCATCTTCCCCTACTTTAGTTTGTGGCCTAAGGACACAAACACTTGGGGCTGTGTAGATAGACAATAAAAACATAGGTTGCTGTTATGTTATTCATAACTGCCAGTGTTTATTGCCATTCATTAGGTAAAAGGCACTGAGATATTCTATCAACATCCATTATCTCATTTAATCCTTACAAACATGGGATGGGGGAGGTTGTGTTATTATTTGTACTTTATAGATGAGGTGACTGAAGTGCATTCAAGTGGTGCTGTCTGCACAAAGAATAAGAATATTATTATTTTTTTTTCTGACTTCCCCAGTGCTGAGTCAAGATAGAGAGGAGTAGAAGGGCACTTAATTCAGAAACACTTTATGAGTGGAAATTTTAAAAATTGCCTTGAAATAGATGAATGATGGAAGCAGCTGTAAAGTCACAGCATTATTTTTTGTGGAATGAAGAGAGTGACAGTGAGAATTAAGACCTAGCATTGGTGAAGGGGAAGATAGAAGCAAGAGCCATGTGGGCCATGAGTGGAGAGAGGAAAAATAATTGAGTTACCATAAAAATAAACTGAGCTGAAATAATAACTGAAGAAGGAAAGAATGATGTTTAGTGAGTGAGAATAGCCTGCCCCATACTCTTGAAAATATTGGTGCTTGGTGTGTTATATGACTTTCTTGAAGAAAAGAGAAGGATGTGTATGTGAAGAGAAATGCTCAGTTTGCTCTTTATGATTTGTTTCCTTTTTATTTTTCTCCTATGCTTCTTTCCAATCCTTTTTCAGGTGAAGTGCTTCTTCTGCATGATTTTGGCTGAAGAATGCTCTGCATTTCCTTGATTTCTATGGAGACCTCAGAGCTGGTTTTGCTTCTGCTGACACCTCATCTAGCACCTTCTCTACCTCCCAGGGTCTTTGCCTCTATCTGTGGTTTGGCATTGTACCTGGGTACAGGAAGCCTTTGATGAACTTAAAAGGAGAGCCTGGAGAATCATCCTGATAGACTTTGAGTAGAAATGGCTGGACATACTTCAAACCACATCTTAACATGGTTCGAGCCATCACTAGAAGGCAAGTGCTAACAGTAAAGGCTTATTTGCATTTTATTTACATTTAATGGACTGAGCATTGGCCAATTTCCATGGCAGAAAAATATATTTCATTTTCTAGGCACAACTTCTGGCTGTCAGACACTTGCTGCCTTTGAATCTTGCAGCAACATCACTAACCACATCCCAGACATATTTCCAAATTTCAACATCTACCCCCAAAACATAGGTGTCTGAGAGACTCCAGCATTTTCGGACTTCTTAGTCTTGAGAGTGCCAGGCTATTTATCTCGACCAGCCAAGCTCTGGAGAGCAATGTTGAATCCCTGAGAAGAGAGAGCATGGGGCGTGCTGATTTAAAAACAGAAAATGCAAAGTTGGACTGAAAATATCCTTAGTCTTCCAAGCAATCTGCTTAAGGGTTCCAAACTTACCTTAATTTGGTGAGAAAAGAAGCTGCCCTATTTTTCTTTCTTCTTCTTCTACAACTGGAACCAGCCATTTCCGAAAACCACCACCATGGAGGTTGCAATGGTGAGTGCGGAGAGCTCAGGGTGCAACAGTCACATGCCTTATGGTTATGCTGCCCAGGCCCGGGCCCGGGAGCGGGAGAGGCTTGCTCACTCCAGGGCAGCTGCAGCAGCTGCTGTTGCAGCGGCCACAGCTGCTGTCGAAGGTAGCGGGGGTTCTGGTGGGGGCTCCCACCACCACCACCAGTCACGCGGGGCCTGTACCTCCCATGACCCTCAGAGCAGCCGGGGTAGTCGGAGGAGGAGGCGACAGCGGTCTGAGAAGAAGAAAGCCCACTACCGGCAGAGCAGCTTCCCTCATTGCTCTGACCTGATGCCCAGTGGCTCTGAGGAGAAGATCCTGAGGGAGCTGAGTGAGGAGGAGGAAGATGAGGAGGAGGAGGAAGAGGAGGAAGAGGAGGGAAGGTTTTACTATAGTGAAGATGACCATGGTGATGAGTGTTCCTACACGGATCTGCTGCCTCAGGATGAGGGCGGTGGCGGCTACAGTTCAGTCCGCTACAGTGACTGTTGTGAACGTGTGGTGATAAATGTGTCAGGCCTACGCTTTGAGACCCAAATGAAAACTCTGGCCCAGTTTCCAGAGACTTTGTTGGGAGACCCTGAAAAGAGGACTCAGTACTTTGACCCTTTGCGCAATGAGTATTTTTTTGACAGGAACCGCCCCAGCTTTGATGCCATCTTGTATTATTATCAATCAGGAGGCCGCCTGAAGAGGCCAGTCAATGTCCCCTTTGATATCTTCACTGAGGAGGTGAAGTTCTATCAGTTGGGGGAGGAGGCCCTGTTGAAGTTTCGGGAGGACGAGGGCTTTGTGAGAGAAGAGGAAGACAGGGCCCTCCCCGAGAATGAATTTAAAAAGCAGATTTGGCTCCTCTTTGAATATCCAGAGAGCTCCAGTCCTGCAAGGGGCATAGCCATTGTGTCCGTCCTGGTCATCTTAATCTCCATTGTCATCTTTTGCCTGGAAACCTTGCCTGAGTTTAGGGACGACAGGGATCTCGTCATGGCACTGAGTGCTGGCGGGCATGGTGGGTTGTTGAATGATACTTCAGCACCCCATCTGGAGAACTCAGGGCACACAATATTCAATGACCCCTTCTTCATCGTGGAAACAGTCTGTATTGTATGGTTTTCCTTTGAGTTTGTGGTTCGCTGCTTTGCTTGTCCCAGCCAAGCACTCTTCTTCAAAAACATCATGAACATCATTGACATTGTCTCCATTTTGCCTTACTTCATCACACTGGGCACTGACCTGGCCCAGCAACAGGGGGGTGGCAATGGTCAGCAGCAGCAGGCCATGTCCTTTGCCATCCTCAGAATCATTCGTCTGGTCCGAGTATTCCGGATCTTCAAACTCTCCAGGCACTCCAAAGGCCTGCAGATCCTGGGCCACACCCTCAGAGCCAGCATGCGGGAACTGGGCCTTCTGATCTTCTTCCTCTTCATTGGGGTCATCCTCTTTTCTAGTGCTGTGTATTTTGCAGAGGCGGATGAACCTACTACCCATTTCCAAAGCATCCCAGATGCATTTTGGTGGGCTGTGGTGACCATGACAACTGTGGGCTATGGGGACATGAAGCCCATCACTGTAGGGGGCAAGATTGTCGGGTCCCTGTGTGCCATTGCGGGTGTCTTAACCATTGCTTTGCCAGTGCCAGTGATTGTCTCTAACTTTAACTATTTCTACCACAGAGAGACTGAAAATGAGGAACAGACACAGCTAACGCAGAATGCAGTCAGTTGTCCATACCTCCCCTCTAATTTGCTCAAGAAATTTCGGAGCTCTACTTCTTCTTCCCTGGGGGACAAGTCAGAGTATCTAGAGATGGAAGAAGGAGTTAAGGAATCTCTGTGTGCAAAGGAGGAGAAGTGTCAGGGAAAGGGGGATGACAGTGAGACAGATAAAAACAACTGTTCTAATGCAAAGGCTGTGGAGACTGATGTGTGAATCTTTTTCCACCTGCCACTGCTCCCCCCTCAGCATCTCCAAATATATTTATGCATAGAGAGTGCAGTTATGAAAATGAAATATGCAAATGATCCAATGCATACAGTAGTACACTATTTAATGGTTATACATGGCATAATTGTTACTAAACTTGTATTACATATCAAATAAATGATACATCTTGGAGAAGAGGGAGGAATAGGAGCAAATCTATCTTTATATTTTTATTAGAATGCAAGAATTTTGCACATTAACTGGAAAAGATGTTAACAGTAAAGATGGAGAGAGAGAGTGTGTGCGTGTGTGTGTATATGTGTGTGTGTGTGAAGTAAATTGTCAATGTTAGTAATTGTGCAGTGAAGGGAAAAGTTGGCATTTTGAAGTATTTACTATGTAAGAACTAATGAATCTGAGCAGTCATTTATCAGTGCTTTAACAGCATATCGTATGTCTTTGGATTCTGTAGTTGTTTTTTAAAAATTGTAAGAAATACTGTGTAGAGAAAAAAGAAAGTAAATTATTTAATAGACTATAGGTCACAATTTTATCTTGGATTTAATTAAAATTTATTTTTAACTGGAAATTAACTTTTAAAAAGGCTGCAAGGGCCTTTAGAAATTGATTATATTTTGTTATTAATTTTGGGAAGACTTAACAGCAAATGTCTAACATTATAGAATAAGTGAAATTGGAGAATATGTAATAAGTTTTGTTTGCAGGTAACAGGACTGGATTTTTTTTTCTTTGCACTACTTTATATGCTGGAGATTGAGAGAGACTTCAAACTGTGAATGTTTACTAATGTAACAGTTCAATGACAATCATTGGAAGAATGATTTCTTTAGTCTTATTTTATTGTTTTCTTTTCATTGTGTGAGACTAATGATCATGCAGATAACATCACAGGATTCTCTCCTCTTTTAAAATCTAAATAACTGATTGACAAAGGAATTATGAAGTAAAATTTAGCAACTGAATCTTTTGAAATTGGTCTGTTAGAATGATGCTTCTGAAATCATACTATTTTATATATTCTTCTGCCTTTTAACTCCAGAATAATTTAACCAAAGTTAATGCATGCACTGAAAGAATTCTTGAAGAAGATGCCAAGCAGCTACAGTGATTATGGCTTAAAATTTTTCTATTAAATGTGAAACATAAACGCTAGATTTATTAAGTTTATTTTTTTGTGCAGTTATATAAGAACAGAATTTGGGGATTAACCTCAGATTTTAACATTATATTTGCTAAAATGGACATAAGGAAGAATTGTGTCAAACATTTGGTTTCAACATCACCATCATTATTATCTTTATTAAAGGAATTTATGACACATATAACTGCATTTAAGTCATGACAAAGCATTCTAGAATGTGAGATAACAACTAGCGATCAGCCTTGCACTATGAAATCATGAGGTATAGGTTAGAAAACTCAGAATGCATAAGAGGCCTTATTCTACAATGTTTATTTAACTTCTGTTCTTTATAAAATGATTGTCTTGAGCTCTGGTTGGGGGCGGGGGAACAAAACAAAACAAACAACACTGCATACACTATTTCGGCACATAGTGAACTCTGGTAACTGTGAGCTACAAACAAACAAACTGACCTAGAATAGCCTTTCTCAAGCTTTTTAAAATCCAGGCCATCATTTCATAATTACATAAATCCTACCTCTCCTTTAATGGTATTTGAAATTCAAAGTAAATTCAACATTAGGCTTAAAAGTAAAACTGCACCCCCTCTCCACCCTTTCCCCACCATTTGTAGAGAAATACTTTTCTAGAACACCTTTTAGAGAATGAAAACAGCAAGCAGGGCCTTTTATTGAATGTGAAGAACAAAGATCAATAGAAGACAACAGAGAATGATAAAACAAGAAAATGTCATCTTACAATAAGATTTCAAAGATAATGTTTTAATACATTTTAGATTTGGGGCAAAAATGTAACAAGCATTAGAGAAGGGGTAAGGCTATTTGGACAGGCTGTAAGTCATTTGGAAATGTCACTTAACATTTCTGCACCCAAATTTCGTGATTGGTTAAAAAGAGGGCAAATGAAGCACATTACGTTACAGAGTTATGCAAAACAAATGAGAACATGCGAAAACTCTGAAATGTTGACTTCCATACAAATGCCTGATGTTATGTCTAAATTGTTTAATCTTCCTCTGGGAGAAAAAGCGATTTAGAATGCACAAGCATACATCTACTTTATTAGGATATTGTAAAAATTATGGGTAATTGCTTTAACTCTGCAGTCCTTACAAGAAGTTGATGTGCAGATACAAGAGAGTCTATTGTTGATAGATTCAGGCATGTTATAGTATAGAAAGTTGACTCTGTGAACAACAGACCATGTATCTTACAATATAGCCAACTAGGTCAGATTATATCTCAAAATAATTTAAGGGCTGTTTAGTATATAAGGGATGTTTATTGAACTTTCTATAATAGCAATGACAATGATTTGGCTATGTTTGGAAGGGAAATGTACTGTATTTCATTGTTTCCATAATACCTCCTTTTAAATCTGAAAGTTATATTAAATTTGATTGACAAAACACATTATATTGATAATTCTGAGAATCCAGGAAATGTAGTCATTTGGGGTTTACCTTTATTTCACATGGTTTTTTTTTCTTTTTCTTTCTTTCTTTCTTTTTTTTCGGATGAGAAGGTCAAGAAGTGACAGACATAAGCTTTCAAACCAAATATTATTAGGTTATCATACTAAACTTATTGTTTCTTTCCCCCTGCAAGATGCATTTATTTTAGAGTATCTCGATCTTGATCCCACACTGAGAAGGAAGGTTTTAAGCCCTCAAGACTTGTATGGGAGTTCTTCTGTATGGAACACTTCTCTTAGAAGAGAATTCATGAATTCAGGACATCCAGTACAGTTGTGAATTCATAACATTTTTCCAGTTGAAACTAGTCAAAGTGCTTTAGATCCATTTGTAAAAAATTTATACTGATGAATATGCTTTCAGGATGTATTTATAACTAATTTATGAAACTGTATCTTAGAGACCACTATACACATTTGGTTAAGATAAAAGGGAAGTGACCTTCTTTAGAGATCCTAATTATTGGGATCTGGGATCCTTTTATTGCTTTTCAGATGACAATAGATGTTACCAAAAGCACACTATTTGAGGGTCATCCTAATCAGAGTCTTTTCAAGGGAAGATGCATTGTTCTCTCTTGCAAATGATTGGAAAGGAAAACAGGCATAACAGTTATGGGGAAGAAAGGAGGAATAAATAGTCCTTTTGATTTCTGTGAAAGGGAGTCAGTGGGTGCTAGAGGAATGACAGCTGGTCTAGGGAGTCAAGAGAGCTGGCTTGTTAATCGTGGGCAAATTGTTTCATCTCCTTGATCCTCAGGAGTGTGTGTATGTGTGTGTGTGTGTGTGTGTGTATCTAACATGGGGATATTGGGCTACATTATTACTTGGTTCCTTTTCGTACCACAATTCTACTGTGGAGTAAAAGAAATATCAGACTAGCTTCATATTTTCTAAGTACCATTCCAGTCATATCAGCTTGGATTTTTTTTAGTAAGTAATAGGAGCAAAAATAAATAAATAAAAACAAAAATCTCACTGTTAGGTTAACCGCAGAACAGGTGTTTGAGTTTTTTCGAATGTAGACTAAGCTGAATGAATAGGATGTATTCTGAGCTGTTATTCTAACAACTTCTAAAGGGAAGGGATTCATTTAATGAAAAATAACTCTTCAGTCCTCAGTTGAATACATATGGTGAAAATTGGTAAGTAAACATTTTGATGTCTTGCTTTGTTATCGTGCAGTCTTGTCAGTAAACACTATTTTGACCTGTGCTGGGGAACTCATTTTATGCTTAAACACATGTAGTGTTTCACAAGTGCTACTGCATGCTTTGTCAAGTTTGTTTTAAACAGGATCACTGAAGCTTCCTGAAATTTTTTTCATTAAGCATGTGTTGAAATAGAACCCAATATATGAGTAAGAAAGATATAAGGAAAATACTGTGAACTAAGATACATATTTTCCCATTTTAAAAAAGTCAATATTAACCAATGGAAAATTATTTTTAATCACATTGGAATCACAAACAGTAGCCCCCCTACCTTCCAACAAATCAGAAATGGTGTTCTTCCTTGTTGTTAATTTTCAGGGTTTGGATGAGCCTTTAGTACTAACATTGCAGCTATTGCTAGGGAAAGTAAGAAGTATACCTAGATTCACTTCACATTTTTACAATGAACCTGTGGTGATGTGCTCATGTGCAGGGAACAGAGTGTAACATCCTTCTTTATGTGTGTGTATGTGTTTTTATTGATACAGTTTAAAATGATTACAGGGTGTCATTCAGTGACAAAAGGGCCTGTTCCAGGAAATCTCCTTGACCCAAAAGTCATTCTGAATTCTTCAAGAGACATTTGATGTGGACATAAGGTACCTTTCGGTTCTCCTGCCTTTAAAGAAACTTAACTTTAGGCAAAGGATCTTCCAGACCAATGTAGCCACTGCAGGTCAGAAGACAGTGCTACTTTCTAGTATGGAAATCAGTATTCTTATCTGAGGAGAAGGTTGTTGGAGTGGTTGTGTTCAATATTGAAGGAAGCAGAGCTTTTTTTTTGTAATAAATGGGAATATGTACTTCTGAAAAGTAAATTAAGATTAGGACTGTGATATGAGTTTTATTTCTGGCTTGGTTTTGTTTCCATAGCAGTCCCAATTTCTCACAGTATCTTCTTCATGAAAGCATGCTAATACATATCAGACCATATGGCCCCATTTGAGGTTTAGAAAATATGGTCATCTTATTTATGGATAAATAAATTAATCCCAGGGCATAAGTTGGTTGCTTAAAAACATGGCACATATTTAATGAGCGGTGGCTCTAAGTGAGATTCAAGCATCCCCCTTTCAGGCCTGTGGGATGGGAATAAATGTATAAGGCAAATAATGTGCTGAATATAAAGTCATGCTGTCATCTTGAAAAGCATATTCCCAGATTCACTGGAGGTAGTGTTGCTGACTTAAGGTTCAGCTTTTGGTCCATTTGTTGTCATTGGTGTCTTGGAAGGAGATTTTGCATCCAGGGTGCCAGGAGCTAAATGATTTTGTTAGTTGATCCACAAATAGTCCATTCTTTCTTCCTACCTGTAAGCAATCTGTTTTGTAGGTTATCTGTAGTTGGTTTCTCACCTGAGGCTGGCTTTACTCAGGCTCAGAAGCCTATTGTCTTGTGTTAAACAACCAGTCCAGAAAAGGTAAAATTATAAAAAGATAAAACAATCCATGACAAAGAAACAACAAAAACACTAGAACTAGAAAGCCAAGCAAAACCTAAGTGGGAAGCCAAATCTGTTGTTCAAAGTGTTACATATGCTAGAACTAATTATGCAGGATTTTGGGGTAACATTGGTCCTGCCTCTTCACCATTAGCAGAAATAACCAAGAAGTGACTGTTGTGATAGAGGACATAAAGCAGAAATAACCTGCCCCATGAATATATAGGTTAACATTTTCTGTGAAAATGATAGAAATGCCAACCTACCTTAGCAGTGGTTTTAATAGTAACTATTAGAAATGACTAATAAATATGGAAGATATGCTGGTGTTTTTCCCAGTAATCAGTATTATGTGGGAATGTACTTGGATTGTTTCTCATGATTCTGTACACCAAGGGCTATTTCAAAGTCAAAGAGCATGAAGGCATTTTTATCCACAGCTACTTAAGCTATTGGCTGTTGAGGGGCCAGTTACCTCTTAAATCAGTCAAAGCAGTTAAATAAGTAGTCCCTGTGGATATCAGCAAAAGCTGTGCCAGTGCTAAGTCTAAGAATTATATTTGTTTCAAAATAATTATATGAATATATAATATATTCATATGTTCACATATATTATGTATTTTATATTCTGCCCACAAATATAAGCAAAATGAATGATCTGAGGTATTGAAAGAGACTTTTCAAAGTGAAGTAAAAGTGTATAATTCCCATTAGCAGGCAAATGCATGTGTTTTGGAGAAATGGTGAGGCTGGAGGATTAAAAAACCTTTCTTTACACTTTAGGTTGGATTTTTGTGCCCCATAACGACAATAATACTAGTCCTAAGCTCTGAGACATTCCATAAGGGTATATAGAGAGTTTCATTCCCAGAAGAAAGGGTTAATTTTAATACTGTATGGAACATTGCAAAATGCTGATTTTATTTTTTTAATGCACATTATTCTCATTATATAAAGGATGCATATAGCATGGAAACTGGACTATATGACCTGTAGAACAACTGTGTGCTCTTTAGAAATAGAATTACTAGAAGCCATTATCTTTCTGTATTTTTTTGTGATAGCTTTTGTTTGATGTGAATTACTTAATTCTCTCAGGTTCAATTACAGCATTAAAAGTTTCAGGTTATTGTTGTTTTTGGTGAATGTTCCAATATCTTTCTTAGGCTCTGAGGACACACACACAACCATTCAGTAGTTGGAAAATACTATATCTCTTGGAGATTAAGGCGATATTACCTGAACTCTCTCTATGATAGCAGCCACATTAGTTAACATGGAGGATGCATGTTTTTCTATTTATAAACTTAATGCATTTGTACCTGAATAGAATGATGATTTCCCTAAAGAACACTAATGGTGTTGATAGCACCTGAGTGAGCCTTTTTTCCTCCTGTCAATTGGTAGGGATATGATCCAAATGAGCCTTTCATTTGCTATCAGGCAGAGAAGGAAATAATTAATGAAGCTCCCACTCGACTGAAATCTATCAAGAGGTGATGGAATCTCTAGGGAATGCATTAGGATTTTTTTTTTCTTTTTTTTTTATTTACCTGCCATTCCTAGTTGGTGTCATTATGGCATGACTGTTGGGGAAAGATATTAATTTTAGGATGATTTACCTAATACTAAAATGACTTGATAAAAAACAATTCGAAATTATAAGCATTGCACTATCTTATTAGTTTTAGGAATATCTCCAGTTAAAAATTTTAAGAAATTAATATGAGATTTGGAGATTGCAATAGTTATTTGGAGAGAGACATATCCAAAGAATAATGATTCAGTTATTCAGATTTATTAAGAAATCTGAGTTTTATAAGCTTTGCAAGAGATTCACAAAGTCTCTCAACTTTCAAAAATTTTGCTGCAACCCCATCAGATTTCAGAAAGAAATTCAAGAATTCCTCTTGAGAGGAAAATGGTACCTCTTTTTCTTCTTTTGTGTGTGTCTTTTTCACATTCATGATTAAATTGGTGGATTTTATATAATCATTATCTTCCAGCAAATTAAGTGAAAGACTTGGCTACAGATTGATTAGAGGATGACAAAATTGTCTGATAGTCTTTCTTTGCAACATTTGCTGTTGATCAGTTTAGAAGCTGATTTCAGTACATGTGAATTACAACACAGAGAAATGGCTATGTACTATATTAGAATCTAAATGACAAAGCAAGAATATTAGGAATAGGATTTACTTTTGAGTTCCTAGAAGTGTTATTAGAGCTCTTGACCCGTGTCCTCCAGATCTGATCTAGCCAATGAGAATTTAGGAAACTCCTTTTTTTTTCCCTAGAGTAACGACAAGATATAACAGGATCAGTGCCAACTGGGAGATAGGAACAGGAGCAGGGAGGAGGGCAAGGGACAAGGAGTTATGCCTAAATGAAGTCACTAATTTGATGGTGAAAATAGCTAGGTCAGTCTAAAAACTGCTTCATTTTGTCATGCTAACTATTAATTTTTGTTGACCCAAAGAATCCAGGAAAGTGAATTGATCTCTTAGAGTAGGCATATATGTGTATATGTCCGAATATTCCCTTTGCTCTTCGTCTTCGAGGGCACTCACATATGAAACCATAAAACTGCTGCTGGGAGTTAAAACTGTATGTCTCATTAAGGATAAGATTCACCTTTCCCTTCAGAGTAAGGGACTCATGTCTTTAGGAGATTACTCCTTGGACGTTTACGTTTCAAAGGGGGAGAATTCTCCCCCTTAGTCTAATATAGAATGTCAGCATAGCAGTGCATTCAAGCTAAGACAGAAGTAAGCAACCAGTAGGAGCCCTGGGAATGAATGTCACTAACACAGAGCTGAATGATGTGTTTATGTTGGTTATTGCTGGTGTGCAATTCTTAGAGGAATGGAGAAATCATAAAATTTGTGCAATCTAATTAGAACTCTGCCATCATATGCTCCTTGCTGATTTAGCTGCTGCTGCTGCTGCTGCCACTGCTTCTTCTCATCTATACGGAAAAGAGGTGTCATTTCACTACTAGAATCCACATACTTCACAGGTTTCAAGGCAGTGTGAGAAACAGTGGAGAAAGAAAGGGTTAGATTCGATAGATAAGGATGAAGCAACATACAGTATTTTAAGGTGTGAATCATCTTGTGACACAAGACTATTTTTACTCAAGGGACTAAGCAGAATCTTTGGATGGGAGAAGCTCTGTTCAGGAATTACCATTTCCTTTTTGTATGTCTATAGTATCACTATTAGAGATCAGTCTAGTCTAGCAAGGGGATAAATTCTTCTGTCATTGCTAAAACAAGCTGAAAATTACATGCTGAAACATTTTTTTCCTTATTTCGTTTAAGAAAAATTGTAGTTGTTTTATAAGCTTCGCAAGAGAGATTCAAAAAGTCTCTCAACTGTCAAAATTTTGCTGCAACCCTGTCAGATTCAGAAAGAAATTCAAGGTAGGAGAGCCTAATAGAACTTCAGACCAAATATAAACTTATTCAAAGTAAGGTATCCAGGGATCTCCTTCCAGTCTCTTCCCCCATTCCCCCATGTAAGTTTTTCTTTTCTTTTTTTTTAACTGCAGATCTAGACATGTAAAATGTTTGGTTTTCTCACTTTCCCTCCAGCCTATCTCATCCCATTCACCTTTGCATCAACAAAAGCCCAGATCAGGAAGGCTTTTGCAGTCCCTGTTTGCAGATTTCTCAGGGAGAGTTTTTATGTGTGATTTGGGTAGACATCTTCCCATTTTATAAATCAGGTCATGCCAGTGCATATCCAGAAAGCTTCTACAACCACCTGCAATGTGAGTCTGTTATGTTCTGTTGTTATGTTAGCTATTTTCTGCCTATTACTGAACAGCTGGGATTTTAGAAACAGCTGGATGATTAGTTGTGTTTTTTCCGTTTTTCACCCAGATGCTTTATTACTGTGTAGAAACAACCCCAATGTGGAACAACCTGGGAGTATAATAGCGAAAATCTGCTCTGATGCAACTGTTGTTATTAGGAATTGAATCAAGAAAATTACAGGCAAACAGTTTTGACTATTGTCTGCTTTACAAACATGTTTGATACAGCATTCTCATTTCCATTTCTAGGCAAAATGATTTGATTTAGCAACTTTAAAATGCCTCTTCCATTATTCCTTAGGCTATCGAAGCTGTGCTTTGGCTGTTATGTTTATTTGCTTAAGGGAAAATGTCTATACACAATGAGGCATCACCTGAGTTTTCCATTCACTGCTGGCAAGAGGAGCTGACAGAGGCAGGCAAGTGACAGTCTTCACACTCGCCACAGTCTATTTTTAGGTTGTTGACTTTGTGGCTGACTTCAGCCCTGATGGGATGGATTGACATTCGAAGACAATGAAATGTTTTATTATGAAGATTTGCAGATCTATAAAACTGGATGGTATTGTGAAAGTGATAAATTTAATTCAGGTGCTGTTAGTTGGTTCCTTACCCAGGGCTAAAATTAGAATAAAAAAGATGGGTAGACGCTTTTTCCTTTTCTAATTATTCTTTCAACAGATGTTTGTTAAGCTTATCCTAGCTGGCTAGGCTGTGTCATGTACCCAATCTCTAGATGTACTAAAATTTCAGAGAATCACAGTTCATGTAAGGATTTTTTTTTTTTTTTTTAGACGGAGTCTCGCTCTGTCACCCAGGCTGGAGTGCAGTGGCGGGATCTCGGCTCACTGCAAGCTCCGCCTCCCGGGTTCACGCCATTCTCCTGCCTCAGCCTCCCAAGTAGCTGGGACTACAGGCGCCCGCCACTACGCCCGGCTAATTTTTTGTATTTTTAGTAGAGACGGGGTTTCACCGTTTTAGCCGGGATGGTCTCGATCTCCTGACCTCGTGATCCGCCCGCCTCGGCCTCCCAAAGTGCTGGGATTACAGGCGTGAGCCACCGCGCCCGGCCCATGTAAGGATTTTTTGAGATATATATTCATTTTTCTAAATAGCAGGATTCTTGTTTATTATTGTGATTCCTTTTTCCCCCTTTAGAATCTATATGTGTGGGTAGGTCTAGTTTCTCCTTGGGGAGTGAATTGCCAGGCATCATGCTTTAATAATACTTCCTTTTTATAAGTTCTATCTTGTTTCTGTTATGTACTTCATTTTCTGTAATAGCTTCTGTATAAACTGCAGAGTAAATGGGCCTGAATCCAACTTGCCAATTTTTTATGATTCTTGCATGAGCAAAAACAATACTCAGTGTTTTCAAATAGCAGAGGTGATTATATGAACCATATTTACTCCTTTTCATTCCTGTAATGTATTTCTTCTATTCAATAACATGTGATTAAACTATAACTCAAAGAAAGAAGCAGATTTAACTGAAATATTAAACGTTTGTAAAGCAATAAACAATTTTTTTAATTTCAAAGTAATTTGCTATGACCATGGTTCTTCTTTCCACACAAAAACATTTTTTTTTCTTTTAATAATAACCATCTGTATCTTTCTATTTGGGAAAGATATGAGTGCCATTGATGGTTCCTTTACAAATTCTGGCTTGAATAAAAACCTGAGTTTATTTCTTGGAAGCATGTGGAAAGGTTTGTTCTTTTTGTGGATATTCCTACTACCTAGGCAAATCAGATGGAATTGCATTCATTACATGGCTAAGTCAGGACAGTTGAGGCCAACTTTAGGGATTTTTCCGAGGTGCCATCTATCTGCATCGATTGATTTCAAGAGGTGTTTGCTCAGGTTTCCGTTTGCTTTCAAGATAATGTCTGAACATTAAGTTAAAGTTAAGGCTTTACCATTTGAAATGCAGTTGTAATAACATTTTTAGCTCTCTCCAACTAGCTTTAATTTCTTAAGAACAACTTGAACTTCTATGAAATGTATTTTAAAAACCACCTTGTTTGTTTTCTGAGTGTTTCAGGACTTATATTAGAGTCCCTGGCCTTTAGTCTTCATTCAAGCCAAACAACCATTATCTTTAATTGAAGCTGCTTCTACTGGAAGCCAAAACAATTGGTGGAGTCAGTGAAGAAAGAAAAAAAAAAAAAAGCCAAGATGATTGTCTGGCATTGTGAAGCCATTGATTCAATTCTGCTTCATTAAAGCCATTAGAAGCAGACAGATCCTGGATTCTCTTTAACTTTGGGCATTTTTAAATTGCTATCTATTCTGTCAAGGAAATACCTTTAATTGTAAAACCATTATCTTGTGGGATATTTAGTTTTACTTCGGCAAACTGCAACTATTTCTTCTGCTTTAGAAATATGACATTCTGTATTAAAAATGCAAATGAAACCATGATTTTTCTATCTTAAAATGAATAACTTTTTTCCTTCACAATTTTTCACGAAATGTATTTGCAAACTTGAAAATGTATGTTAGCCTAAATCAGCTGACACATAGTTACTATTTGAAGATTTTTAGACAAATAACTGAGTTGCTCATTATTACTATATGAAGAAGGAAATGACTTACAATTTTTTTACACACTGGAAAGTGAAAATGGAAGGCCATATATTTATTTACATTTTCTGAAAGAGACCAAAGGCCATATATTTATTTAGATTTTCTAATGGATCCTAGAATGTTCTGTGTGATTAACTCATAAGTTCTTCAGTGGATGTCAAATACACTTGAAATATGTCAGTCAAAAGGTACAAAGGCTCAGATAGGAGGAATGAGTTTGACTTTTTTTGAGATTAATTCCACAGAATGGTGAATATAGCTAATATTTGAGTACTGTACATTTCAGTAACGTTAAGAGAATAAATTTCAAATGTTCTTATTACAAAAATGTTAAATATTCTAGGTAATGGACAGGTTAATTAGCTTGATTTAATCATTGTATTAAAAAATCTTAACATTACTTTATATTCCATAAATATATGCAACTATAATTTGTCAGTATATAATAAAAATTAGTATTTTCTACATCTAACTAGAAATGTAATTTAGAAATGTGATATTACACTGTATAGATCACATTTCTGATATTTAAAATACATTTATATTATGTAATATTAACCTATTAAATGCCTGTTTTTTGTTTTTTAGCATACTAAATAACCTAACAGGCTATGTGTGAATGTTGTGAAAATAATTTGACAGTTTTAAGTCTATATCCCTAAAGATCAGTTCTATTTTCAGAAGAAAATACCTTTTTATGTTCCTATTTGAATAATAAAAGTTAAATATCTTTAACCTTGATTTTAGATCTTAATCTTATAATTTGGCTTTAAGTTTTTCTTTTTCTGTAGTCAAATGGATGGTTCACATGGCACTAAATGATTATTAATTACTTCTATTAGAAGTATTAACATTTACATTAAAAATAGGAATAATTTGTACAGATTGACCCCTGAGATATTAACACATAAGACAAAATTCCTCTTTTCACTGGCTATTTAGAGCAATTTTTCAGTAATCATGTTTTTTTGTTTTTTAAGTTTCAAGCACATTATTTCACTATTTATTACAGCCTGGTCATACTATTTATCAAAACCTGACTGCTGTGGAGAAGTAAACCTGTTGCTCTCCATAGAATAGTATTAAAAGCATTTTACAGTAAAACTTTTACCAGAAAGATGGTTCCATTGCAAGTATTCAAGGAAAGTATTAGAGACAACCCCAGGGTATATAATGGAAAGTACAGACATCTTAAGTGATTCAATTTCATAAAAAAGTCTAGGTTCTTAGCAAGCTGAATGATTCCATAGCTCTGTCTTTTAAACCATGCTAGTTGCCAGCTGTTAATTAGTAGTGTATGGTCAAATAAAAAATTGGGGATGAAGTACATCAGTATAGAGGTTTTGCTGTTAAAAAAAAGAATTTTTTATTTTAATTTTTGCTATTCATCCAATCAAGTCCTAATTATAGGTAATTCTTGGTATTCTAACTAACAGATAACAAGTACAAGAAGTTCAAAGCTGGATTAATCATGAATAAGGAAAATTTGCCTTTTATGTATTTGTGCCAGAGGCTGTACAACAAACCTATTATCTTATAATTTTTATCATTAGCCTGCTAATATCAGCACATTTTAATAATTTGTTAATTTTCAGGGATGCCTAGGAGGTAAATGCAGCTAGCTAAGAGTTAGCTGATGGACAGACATGGTCATAGAAGTTTCCCATCATCCATGACTACTAGTTTTATGAACATGATTGTGCTTAAAGCTTTTGTCATATTTCTGTTATTTGTCAGATTCTCAGAGAAGAAAGGTATAGACAGTTGCAATTTTTTTTCCTGTTCTGTTTTCGAAATGGAGATCATGTAGCAATGGAGTGTGTGGAAGAAGCAGTTGTCTGTTTTTGTAGTCTTGGCCACGTATGTTGTTTGTAAAATTCAAGACATTCATTCTTTGGTGGATAAAGTGCTTAATGAATGCTTCTTATCTCTGTGAAGTATTTTAAAAGAGACTCATATACAACCAAAAAAAAAGAGTCTTGAATTGTATTCACGCTAGTGGAAAATAAGCTTCATCCTTAGCCAGGCTTAGGCTACTTAAGGACATTGGAGACTCAAGGGGATGGGATGTGCTCCACGCATTCCAGCAATTTGTAAGATGCTCTGGGAGTATTCCAATTGTGCCTTTATATTGATGAAGCTGACCAAATTATTTACCATGGCTTTTGTGGAGGCTGTGCAATTGTTTATCCATATTTTAAAAAGTGCTAATTGAAATATGTTTATCTCATGATATTGATATAAAGTAATATAATATGTAGTAATATAGTGATCACATGTAGCCATGACAGCATGGGATTACAATGAAAAAGAGTAACAACTCTTGTAATTAAGGCCCAAGAAGTTATATTAAATATTTTTTTACTATAACATTACTATATTGTGTTTTTAGTATGTAAAATAGAGACAAGAGGAAAAAAATGTGTTTAGTTATCCGAATTCTCTCCAGCTCCTTTTTCGCTATGCATCTTTATCCTACCTCTTTATAATTGTAACATACAGCATTCAGATACAACGTTTACTTGTATCGGAGGAGGATACATTCCAGGACCCCCAGTGGATCCTTGCAACTGCAGATAGTACTGAACTTTCTATATAGTATGTTTTTGTCCTATGCATACAACCTATGATAAATTAGACACAGTAAGAGATTAACAACTATAGCTAATAATAAAATAGAACAATTATAACAGTATAGTGTAATAAAAGTTATGAGAATGTGGTCTCTGTCTCTCAAAATATCTTATTGAATGGTACTTGCCTATTTTTGGACCACAGTTGACCACAGTAACTGAAAGAAGCCACCAAAAGTGAAACTGAGGTTAAGAGGAGATTACTGTATTAATAATCTAGGTTTGAATTGTGTTTTTCTCCGAGCATAGTATCACTGCCTTTTTCTGGTAGGTACATCATTTGCTACTTTGCTTTTGTGGATGCTGTGCAATTGCTTTCAGATTTTTAAAAAAGCACTATTGAAGTATGTTTATGTCATGATAGTAATAAAATGTAATATATAGTAATATAATGATCACATGTAGCCATGATGGCATGGGATCATAAAATAGAGTTTCAACTCTTGTAATTAAGGCCCAAGAAGTTATTTTAATTTTTTTACTATAATATTACTATATTATGTTTTCAATATGTAAAATAGAGAAAAGAAGAAAAAGAGATATTTTGTTATCCTAATTATCTCTAACTCCTTTTTCCCTGTGCGTCTTTATTCTACCTCTTTATAATTGCTATGTAGTTAGCAAAACTGTTCCTTTTAATAATTGCTATGTAGTTAGCAAAACTGTTGTTACGTAGCTTTTTAATTTTTATTTCATCTTTTTGCTGTGATTTTGTGTCTACATCATATTTTATTCAATTGATGTACATACATTTCTTGGTCATTTCAGTATAATATTTTCTAGATTGCTTTACTTTTTAAAATTATACTGTTATACTATTTAAATCAAACTATGATGAATGTTTTCATAAACATAATATTTTTTTTTGTACTATTCTCTAGGCTATCTTCCCAGAGGAAGTTGTTTTAAATAAAGAGATTTTAATTTTAAATGATACTGCATTATTTTATAATATAATGTAATATATTAACAATAAATCTAGTGGGGCATGAAGTAACTTTTGAAAATTATTCGTTTGCTGTTCTCAGTAGTTGAACAAGTATTAATCATGCAAGTATTATCAATAACGTAATACCTATATGTTGACCTCAGGTTTGCCTATTCATATAGCAAATTGTTTTTGATGCTAAATGTTGCTTGAGCAGCTGATGACAAAGTGGTTCCTATTCGTTTTCTGCTCTTCTATTGCAAGCAGACTCCTGTACCTTTTTTATTTGGCTCATGGTGATCAGGTTAATTATATGTCTCTATCTCTACATGTCTTAGCTAAAGGTCTTGCCTTCAGCTCTCTAATCTCTTTTAATTCTACCATCACTCAGTTGCTTGATTTGTCCTTGATAAAACATAATGTCCTGAATTACCTAATCTCTGTATGGTTTGTGAATGGTTTCCTAGTAATTTCATGAAGGGATACTTAACAACTGGACACCGTTTTTATCTTCAGTTGTTTCTCCTCTTTGTTCTCCTCTTTTTTCTTCAATTTCTTTTCTTTATGTTTCCTAAATTGAATATTGAACTTTTTGCTGACTTGATGATTCAATACTGAGGCACAGGTAATAATTGGGAAACCCTCGGCACACTTCTTTCTTAACTACTTGGAATTGGAAGATCTCTTAGAAGAGCTTAAAACTGTTTAGATGAAAGCTTACCGTACTCTCTCCTGGTAAGTGAATTGAGCTGCATAGACTACTGAGTTTTCCAGAGAATAAATATATATTTTTTAGTGTAGTTGTTTTTGGAAATAATACAGAGAATAAATATATGTTTCTTATTGTAATTGTTTTTGGAAATAATACAGGTTATTCCTGAGAATAATTCATGCTCTTGAAGAACAATCTCTATCTATCTTCAACATTTTAATGAAAAAAGGCAGGGGCGGAAGGAGCGAATAATTTTATTTCTTTCCAATGTCAATTAAAAGCATATTTTCAGCTCCCTTTTCCAGAGTTCCTGAAAGATTTCTGGAATCTTTTTAAAACTCTGCTTTTTCTGAGCTCTGAGCCTATAATTCTTTACTATGTTTCTTATTATCTGCTTATCTTTGGGATTGCTTGTTTGGGGGAACTGATCCAATTTGATTCCAGTTGTTTCCAATTATGCCTGGAGCCATCACTTATGCTGGGGAGAGACTGTAAAATAAACAAGTTTCTTTTTCCCTTTTAAAACTTTGAATCAATCTATGATATCTCGTAGACACCTTGCCAACTGCATTTGAGAATTCTTGGTATTTTAAACCATGAGATACCTCATGGTATCTTGGGGTCTTAGGGGTCAGCCATTTCAATGAAGAGGCAGTAAAACCAGGAGCCAAATCTCAGTGTCTACAACAAATGAGTAAACAAAGAAATTAGAACATTTTAACTAGCTAAATGAGAAAGTTAAGTTACGAATAATGCTTCTATTTTTGAAGCCTCATCAGTTGTGTTTGGGGCTGATTTTTGTGCAGTGGCACAGCAGTTCCAGTTGTTAAATGTTGAAATGCATCTGTATTGGTTAAGTAGTCAGCTGATGCTATGGAGCCCAACAAGTGTCAATTTAGGCTGTGTTCAGCTGGGTGGTTCTTCTTCTGATATAACCAGAGTTCCTGCATATAGCCACAGTCAGCTGGGAGGTCTGCTCTTGGCTATTCTTCCCAAGATGGCCTTGAACACATGCCTGGAAATTGATGAAGGGACCAAACCATTATCTCCAGAGTCCAACAACATAGCTTGGGCTGCTTCCCAGGGCAGCTGGGTTCCAAAGGCAGCAAGAGAGGGTAAACATGTTGCAAGTACTTTTCAAGCCCCTGTCTACATCCTGTTTGTTAATGTTCCATTAGCCAAACAAGTTACACAGCCAATTCCAGATTCAGGGAGTGGAGAACTAGATTTCATTTTTTTGATGAGAGAAGCTGTGAAATATTTGTAGCCATTTTTCTTCAGCTTACAACAACTTTTTGTGACCATTTTTCTTCTCATGAAGAAACTAACACAAAACAAATAGTTTAAATGTAGCTATTCTTGTATGGGGAAAGTATGCATGGGAAGAAGATGAAATATTTTAATTTAGCCTGCTTTTCAAACTTTCTTATGCCTGATCAATCTTGGGACATTTATAGACTGTAGGTTATATGTGTTTGTGAAGGTATTATTTTATAAAATATTTTTTAAAATTATTTCTCTTGATTAGGTTTTTCTTTTTAAATTTCTTTCCTTCCTGAACAAATTATAAGTTTCAAGAGATCAAGGATTCACTGTTTCTTTTGGTGTTCTTTCCTAGTCTGGGGCCTGCACATTATTGTTATTGGCTAAACTATACACTCCACTGGCTGTATGTAAACAAGAATTTCACATTAAGCATGATTCTATCATTTTGTTATATTTGCTTGTGATTCTTTGTACTTTTGAGTAGCTGTTTAAAACAAGTATTTGAAAAATACAGGTCTTTGCATTAATACATCTCTACTACCTCTTTGGGCCTTGAATTTTGAGTCAATAGCATTGCTTTCTGTGGTGAATTTAAAGCTTATCTTGCATGGAATTTTATTAGGAAGTGTGTGTCCAACTTTGGATCTATTTTTTCATTTGTGGAGCACAGGAATTTCATCGACCAGTAGACTGGTTCTAGTATACTACCGATGAAACATCTAATAATGCTATATCACACCCTACAAGCCATTTGATATATATTAACTGCAGTATCAATCTTATAACAAATTTTTAGGTTATTCCAGAGCATTCATATTGGCTAATTGCTGACATTAATAATAGTTATGTTATACTTGGTACTTCTCTTGCCATGTTCATCATAGATGTGTTGTACTTAGAGGACAAAAAGGCTGGTATTTTTTCTAATGTACCTGTGAGGAAATGACTTGAGAATTATGATGTTCTTTCTCCTCCCCATGGTATAAAGTTATTTTTCCAAATGCATTTGATAGTATCATATATTAGCAAATTATTTAAGTAATTTTTCAGGAGCTCTGGAAAACAATTGGTGGAACAGATAGATCCATTTATTTAGAAAGCTTCTTATCATTACCCATAGTCACGTAATAATCGTTGCTTAATTATCTCCTTTGCTGTGGTTGTATCAACACATATGTGATTGTTTCTTGTTCCCTATGGCTCAAAAGTCTAAATTCTTTGTTCCTATCGATAAAAGTGTTTGAATGCTTCTTTTGTTATGTTTAAATTTCATACCTGAGAATTGCCTATTTATTTCCAAATAGCTGTTAGGTGGCAAAGTCAGTGCTTTGCGTAGTGTCAGGGTTATTTAATAACCAAAGGAAATCCTTTTCTGTGTATATTTTCATCAGTTAAATTTCTCACAGAGCCACCTCTCTATACATACAATGTAGCAGAATTCTCTTAGTGTTCTCTGCTTGTGTATAAAGTTTGAATAATAGTTAGAATAAGTATGTTTTCTAAACACTTGTTTACTAGATAATACGCATACTCATCGCTTGGTGTGAGTGGCTTCATTTAATGTTCCATTTTCAGGGATTCCTAGGGGAAGATAATGAAAAGTGTACATTTTTATTTAATGAGAGAAGATAGTAGTCAAAAGTTACTTCATAAATTTCACTTCTGTTTTCTTCTTGAACGTTTGTTTAGCTTTTCATAAAGAAACAAATGGCATACTTATAGGCCACTTCTTGTATGTTCTTTGCCCAACGATGTGGTAGCTAATAGTAGTCAGAGGAAAAATATCCAGGAAAGAGAAGTGATGGGGATGATAATTGAAGGATCTAGAAGATTTTGCAATATGAAGTATTTGTCAAAAATAAAACAATTGGCCAGACTTAGACTTCTCTTCTGTGTCCTTTACCATGTTGATGGGACCTTTAGTTATATCTCTTTATCTCACTGTAAAATGTGAATAATCACATTCTAAAAGTAAAAGGGGATCAAGAAATTGTTTTCTTGGACCACTTATTGCTTATAGTGCACTCATCTGCACCAGTCGTCCTGATTATGAGGTCTTCTGTGCCTTGGTCTCCTCCCTTCTGACAGTAGGGATCAGTGATACTTGATCCTCCCACTTTCCCAATGGGTGTGAAGTAGTAGAAATGACAGTTGAAGCTCTAGAAATACAGGCCACACCTTGCAAATTCAACCTATTAATTCTATTATGTTTATGTTTCTTAAATAGCCTACTAATTTTTCTTGGAAAATATGTCAAGATCAGATACAAACCATTTTTTAAAAATTATTTCTTCTTTTAAAATCATCTTTACTGAAGTATAAGTACAATAAACAATATCCATTTAAAGTGTACAATTCAATGAATTTTGACATATGTATACACCCAAGAAGTTACCACTACAATCAACATACAGAATTCTGTCATATCCAAAGTTTTCTTCACAGTCTATTCCTCCCTGGCTCTCAGATCTCTGGCTCTAGCAATCAATGAAATCTTCATTTTGTCACTTTAAAATAGTTTGCAATTTCTACAATTATGTATAAATAGATACATGTGCTATAGATTTTTTTTGTTCCTGGCTACTTGGCATAATGTTTTTGACCCATCCATGTAGTTGTGTGTATCAAGAGTTGGTTTCTTTACATTGCATAGATATACCACATTTTGTTTATCCATTTACCTTTTGGAGGACAAGTCCATTCTGTCTTCGCATGGTTTTTTTTCCACCAAATCTTGCTCTCTAGTACCACTTGCTAATAGTTTTATGTCCTTAAGCCTAGTTTTATTTATATTTTGTCATTTACTTCACTACATTGATATATAGTTTCATTATGCACTACTAGAGAACCAATATATTACTAAGAGTTTATATAAGGCTTGTATATTTAAGTGGAATTATTTATGATTAAAAAAATTAGTTCTTGATTTTTTGTCCCAAAGAAAATAGCTTCTAATCAAGAATGTATGATCTTTTCTTCCAAAGAAAACTTTTTTATCTCTGGCCCATTTTGCCACTTTGATGGCAGCAATGATGAGGATTCCTGTAGAAATGTATGCTGACATCTAAGTAGATCAGCAGCCCTTCAACATAGCACTTCCTTGGTTCAAAGAAACAGTACATGACAAGTAGGGAGATTTCAGTTACAAAAGTTGGTAAATGAAATGAAAGGTTTTTTATATTCCTAATTCAAAATTTAAGCTTTTTGAGACTTTTCTTAATGTTCCCAAGGTGACAACCATTTGAGCTGGAAGTTGCATTCACCAGGAGAGCAGCAGCCTTTTCACTGAGGCAGATTTAAGAAGACCAGTTTTATCCCTGTCAACCATAGCATTGCTACTGAAGTTAAAAGCAATGCGAGTTTAGGGAGTTGTTCTTTTAAATCTTTCTTTTAAATCTTCAGACTTAACCTCCTAAATCTAATATTACTGTCTAAGTACATTCACATTTTTAATTTCTCTGGGGCCATTTTCCTTTCTGTCTTCTCTTCTTTCTCTCCAGTTTTCTTCCTCCTTCATTTTCCATCTGCATTTGCATTTTTCTCTTTTTTCTTCCTCTAGTCATAAAGATCCTCCAGGGAAGGATTGGCCACTAGAAAAGAAATTCTTTTTTCAGCTCTGCTTTGACTATCTTGCTTATGAAATTTTGCTTTCCTAACACAGAAATCTCAATGATATTGCTGAAGCAACTTCTGTATCCTATACCCTGGCAAGGTTCCTAGAACTGGTCCCAGTGGGATTTCTGTTTTAGAAGCTGCCTTAAGCTTTGTAGCATCATTTAGTTTGGTTTCCTAAAAGAATTCCAAATGCATCTCCTTAAAATGTTTTGCTAAACTACTTGACCACTCCATCAGTGTAAAGATGGTATATATATATACACACAAACATATGTGTGTGTATATATATGTACACACATATATATATTCTGCACGCACACACACACACTACACACCTCTCTAAATAACTAATTAAGCCTCTGAAAGCACCTTCCTCTTCTACCCCAATAGCATTTCCTTCCTCCTACTCATAGATGCTTTGACTGCACTGACTGTATGAGACTCCTGGGATTCTATCTCATTCCTTCTCATGCTAAACTAATCACAGCATACTGTGGCTTAGTCATGATGACATAACAATTAGGTGGTTCTTCTTGTGCTTCTAAATACAGACTGGGCCCCTGGTGAACAAGTTGGCTTAAGTGGGTGAGTGAATGAGCAGTGGGAGAGGTATTGAGTAGAGGTATTGATAGGCTGTGGTGGGTTGATTTTGAGCATTAGTAACAGAAAATTGCCATTTATTATTTGATTTATACCATATTAGCAATGAGTCTTCCATTAGGGAGAAAATACATCAGATGGGCTAATGGACAGTTATGGGTTTTGTAAAGTGATTGTAATTTGATATGTGTCACTTATTTTAAAATTCAAAACACCACTAATATATGGTATAATCATTTCTTAATTAGGTCTTTAACCAATATTTACTGAGCCTGTACTGTATATATAGAACATTTTACTGTGCCAGTGAAATTGCTGATACATTTTCTTGATTTGGGTAACATTTAGGTCTTTGGAATCAATTTATTAATTTATCATTCAGAAAACTCAGTGAGTACCCATACCACTCCTTTAGAGTCAACAAATATTCTGTATTGTGAAGATGAACACAAATCAAGAAGACACTCATTCCTACCCTTGAGTCTTTCAAGGGAGACAGACGTGGGAACAAATAATGATGGTACATTGTGAAACACACTAATGAGAGTACATACCCAGTGCCATGGGAATCTAAATTTCATCGTTACTTGGCATGCCTTTTATACCAGACCCTTCTGGAAAACTCATGGGGGCGTGGGGGAAAGAAAACTAATTTAGTCAGCTAGACCAATTGCATTGCTTTAGGAGGCCTTCTCTTTAGGGGAAAACACACAAATTTTGATCTTATGGAAAACACACAAATTATGATCTTATTTTAAAAAATATTATTGGAAATATGTGTTTAGAATTGTTGTTTTAGTATTTCTTAAATAGTGTTAATTATGTTTTGTCATTTGTCTTTGGAATAATGTTTCCTACTGGAAAAAAGTATTTTATAGCCCATATTCATAAAGATGCTGGGGAGCAATGAATTAGAATAGAGCAAAAGCAGGGACATTGTGACAAATGATGATATATTTTGTTTGCAGATGATTCTAAATTCAGATATTAGTGTTTACAATTGGGTTGTGTCTATCTTTGCTGGTCTTTATGATTTTTTCATGTTATCACTAATGTGGTATTTTCATGAACTGACAATTTTGCTGCTCATAGTGGGTTTTGGTTGTTTTCCGGCATCTACCTCTTGTAAAGAATAGCCTTGCAGAAAGTTAGTAATTGATCATCTTAACAATAATGGAATTCCACTTACGGCATTTTGCTCTTTTAGGTAATTGAATTAAGTGAGAAAGCACCTAGCTCATTGCTGTGTTCTCCCTTTCTCAAAACTATGATAGAATGGACCCCAGTTAAGTAATAATATAATCCTTCTCACAGGAATCCCCAGGTAAGCAGATATATTAGGAATTTATGTCTACATTTCTGTTTTTGGCTTATAAAGCATGGCTTTCATACAAAGTATTTGTGTGTTTGGGTCTCAAATGGAAGAGTAATTATCAGCTGCATTGTAGACTAGTGTCTGACTTGTCTAAAGTGAGTCCAATAAGAGGGCTGTCTCATATTTTATGGTTGTAACTTGGGTATTCTCCCTGAAGTACTGTAGAAGAAAAATAACCTCAGTGGTTTTTTTTTGTTTTTTTTTTGTTTTTTTTTTGAAGAACATTATCTAGTCCTGACTAATCTTACCTTGCCTTCCTACTCCATGGTTTCTATCTGCTGGTGTTGAAGGCTGCTTTTGTGGAGCAGGTGAGAAGGCAGGGACAGACAATCAATGAAATCAGAGCAAGCCACAAATACGATAACACATGTTAAGTGCCTACAATGGTACCTGGCACATAGTAAGTGCTCAGTGTTTGGTCATGATCATGATTATTATTCTCATTACTCCACTTTGCTTTTACATGAATGTCTCATGATTATGTCAGATTGAATAATTGAAGTATTACTCACCATTCCCCATAATCATTAGCAACAGAAAATGTTTACCTTTCAATGTATCAAATTGACAAATAGAAGAACGATAACAGAATCTTTCCAGATTTTTCTTTTTGTGATTAATCTGTATATAAGCCACATTGAAACATATTCAGGAATTAGTTTCCTGTTGCTACTTCTAAAAATTACCACAAATTTAGTGGCTTGAAACAACACAATTTTATTACCTTACAGTTCTGGAGGTCATAAACCCTAAAATCAAGGTGTCAGCAGGGCTATTCCTTCTGGAGGCTCTAGGGGAGAATCTTGTCTTTTGCCTTTTCTAGCTTCTAGGGGCAGACTACCTTCCTGGGCTCCTGGCCTTCTTCCATCTTCAAAGCCAGCAGCCACATATCTCCAACCTGTGCTTCACATCTCCTTTTCTGACTGTGACCCTCCTGTTGTAAGGACCCTTGTGATTGCATTAGGCCCATCTGGATAATCCAGGATAATCCCCCCTTCTCAAGATCCTTAACTTAATCACATCTGCAAAGTTCCTCTCACATGTCCTGGGAATTAGGACATGAACATCTTTGAGGTCCATTATTATGTCTGATGCAAGATCCGGTGAAAATCATGACCATTACATGTTGGATGGAATGATAGAACTTTAGATCTAAGAAATATTTTGGATCATGCCTTTGGGGGATTAAAAAAAAAACTAAAACAATGGAGAAAGATTATACCACCTAGGACTAAAACCCAGGTCTTAGATCCCAAATCAAATGACTTTTCCACTGTCTTTATGCAGCATTTCCTTAAACTATGCCCACTGGCTAATTAATCAGTTTTTATTAAGAGTCTACATTATAAAATTCCAAATAGTATTTGAAAACTTAATTTGAGGCCACTTTGAAATGTGACAATCTACCCTCTCGGACTTCAATTTTGACACACTTAACAGAAGAGCTGGATACTTCAAAATTAGTTCAGTGACATTTTTAAAAAGGGAAAAGTACCTTAGGGCTTCCCCAAGAAACCTATAAAATTTATAACTGTGGCTCCAGTTGAAATTGTGCAGCCCAGAATTCTTCCTCTTCAGAAGGGAAAATATAATCCTTGTGAATAATTCTCATTCAGGTCCCAAGTAAGAGACACTCATACTAAAAATGGTAAACAATTGATTTTTGTGAACAGAAAGCATGATTAGACTTGTGCCTTGCTTATTTTGAGAGACTATTTAATGGGCTTTTGAGAAAACTTCTGGTACCATTTGATTTCCTACGTTTCATCTGTGTAGTGTATCAGGATGCTATAGTCAATTAGAACAGCATGTTCTTATGTACAAATATATGTGGTTTTTATGGAGCTCACCCAAGGATAAGTTAGAAACTGGCTCACTGCCTCTATTTCCTTTTTCTTTTTTACTCTTTTGGCAGTTTGAATTTGTACAGTCTATAGAGGATATATTTGGTCACTTTGATGCTGCTTTATTTTCTGGGGTGCCTTTCAGGTGATCTGAAACATAGACAAATGATCTTGTCATTTGTATTCACAAAACATTTGTGAATTACCTAACCCAATAAGCACATTTTTATTGAGCACAGTCTATGTTCAAAGAACCACACTGGGGATACCAAAATGAATGAGACACAACCTTTTGTAGTAGGAAAGCTATCAACTTCAGATTCAACTTTAATTCTTATCTCCTTTTTAGCCCGTAGTAATAGTGAGACTGTGGCAAATACTTAACCCCTTTGATTTTGTTTCCTTGCCTTCAAAAGTAGAAAAATGAGACACACCTCACAAGGGTGTTATAAGGATTACATTGAGGTATTATCTGTGCAAATATGAAATACAATGTGTGGACAGAGCAGGTGCTTCCTAATTGTTAGTTTCCTGGTTCAGAGATCTCACTGTCTAGCAGGAAAGATGAGATGTCTATAAATAACTGTAGTACAGGGTGAAGGTGATGAGTGGAACAAGAGCCATCCAAACAAGGAGCTGTTGGAGTTCAGAGATGAACTATGTTATAGGGATCAGAGAAAGCCCCTTAGAGCATCTTCATGGCATTTTAGCTGGCCATTAAAAAAGGAAAAGGATCTAGACTTGTAGAGATATAGGACCTGTGATTTATGCGCCTGTTTCCTGGTTGATCTCCCCACTTGATTACCTTCTATGCCATATCTTGTGCATTGCCTAGTGCTTGGATTTTCTGGTTTTGTCTCTTTCAATCTAGCTTCTGGCTATGCCTTTGTATCATCAAAGATTAATTGCCTTTCCTGCAAGGGCACTCTGGGTTATTGCTTTTTTACACTTCTCAAAGGTATATGTAATGCAAATACAATAATTTTATTTATGTTTTCAGAGGTAAGTAATATTTCCCCCAAAATAACTTCTGGTCGTGAGATGGATCCAATTAATCTCATGTGGGTGGTTTGCAGAGATTTAGGGCTAGTTTTGGGGTATGCTTTTGATGGGAATTATTCATGGCCCATGGAATCAAGATTTTCTGAGAAAATAAGCTATTGTCTATTTTTTATTTTCTTTTGGATTGTGTGGTGCTGGAAATCCTGCCCCTGACAGTTGCCCACACAGCTGGCTCCACCTGTGTGACTAGGCATCACAGCCCATTTTAATCACAGTATGACCTCCATTGGCC
The DNA here is from genome assembly GCF_000001405.40 of Homo sapiens. Taxonomy (NCBI): domain Eukaryota; kingdom Metazoa; phylum Chordata; class Mammalia; order Primates; family Hominidae; genus Homo; species Homo sapiens. The sequence continues at coordinate 29,984,750 of NC_000011.10, read as the reverse complement.
TCGGCAGACCTAATTTAGAAAATTGACTCATTTTGCACAGGCTACCGAGCAGCTATTTGGAGCCGCTGTCTTCTAGTGACTTACAGCTTGAACTAGTTGAGAGTCTCAAATTGACATTTTCCTCTTACTTACTTTAAAAAACATACAACCTTTACCAAATTCTATGTATTTCACATACCCGCACTTTTGCTAATGTTAGACTGGCCAAGTTTTCTGAATCAAAGCTTGGAATATATTGTTTGACATAGGACACAATTTTGGGGCCTAATATATCTAATGTGTATGTGTGTGTGTGTATGCATACATATATACGTATGTGTGTATGTGTATGTGTATATGCATACATATATATGTATATGTGTGTATGTGTATATGCATACATATATAAGTATATGTGTGTATAAATATAACTTAAAGCTACTTAATTGTAGCTCTATTACTAATAAATAGATCATTTCTCCTCTTTGGGATTTAAATTTAAAAAAATTAGTATCTTTTAGATTTCAGCACTGACTGTTTGGTACCAAGATGGGTAAATCTGATTAGAGTATAAAGTATTATGGGTTCTTAATAGTTATTTATAGCTCTTAATTAATAGTTATTAATAGCTCTGAATGATGTAAGAGGATGTGTTTATATTTGGGGGAAACTTCGGCAATGTGATTGTACTTTTTTTTCTTCCTGGCTCATAATAAAACATTCCCAGGGCCTCTATTTTTGGTTTGGGATATAGCAATTGTATGCGGACATGGCTTGGTCCTCCATTCTTGGCTGGGAATTCTCATTAAAGAGATCCTCTACCATTAACTCACTGTTTGCAAGATCTTGGTGATGAAGATTAAGAGAGGAAACATCTGCCTTTCCAGAAAGGAACCCATGTCATTATTTTGTTTCTGTCTCTGCATTTGGACTTCAACAAATAGAGGTTTGTGGGAAGAGAAAAAGAGTTTACGCATGCTCCTATGATCAGGTGTTGCTCATCTGTGAGTGGGCAGATGAGTGATGCGTGGGTCAAAGATACAGGATTCCCCTGGGGGCCCTGGCTACTCTTAACAACAGGTTGAAGTTTTGCTTTAGGCTAAATGTCTAGAAGATAAAAGTAAAAGTCTACAAACTATTGAAGCTTTGTGAAATTTTAGAACCTACTCAATATGTCTTTTGGAAGAGATGGAAACTGGGAATTTGATAAGAATATATATGAATCCATCTAACCAAGTTTTGACATGTGTTGGGGTGGGATGATTTGTTGGGGAGTATAAGGACCTGGAATGTTTTTTTCATCCTGTTGTCAACCCAGTTTCTCATTCCGCTGTGGCTTTACCCTATTTAAGTTCTATCTGCTTTCTTTAAATATATGAATGTGGGTGTTATGGGATGGTTAGTCCAGATGAGTGTTGGATCATACCCTGTACTTGACTTATTTATTTATTGCAGTTTTCAGGGAGTAATTGATTATGAGTTGGCTCTGTGTCCCCACCCAAATCCAATCTTGAATTATAATCCCCACATGGTGAGGGAGGGTCCTGGTAAGAGGTGATTGGATCACGGGGACAGTTTCCCCATGCTGTTCTCGTGATAGTGAGGGAGTTCTCACGAGATCTGATGGTTTTAAAAATGGCAGTTTCTCCTGCGTGCATGTACTCTTGCTTGTTGCCTTGTGAAGGAGGTGCCTGCTTCCCCTTTGCCTTCCACCATGATTGTAAGTTTCCTGGGGCCTCCCCAGCCATGTAGAAGTGTGAGTCAATGAAACCTCTTTTGTTTATAAATTACCCAGTCTCAGGTAGTATCTTTATAGCAGTGTGAAACAGACTAATACAGCAATTATGTTCTTATTGTGAATGATATAAAATAGTCACAAGTGAGGGCAGAATTCTGTTCTCAGTATTTGCGAATCATCTTGAGCAATACAATAACTCCAAGAACTTCTAACTCTAAAGCATGAGCTGAAGGCATTAAAATCTTTTTTAGGATGTGCTGCTATATTAAAATGAGTCAGTTTCAAACTCTAGGTCCCTGTTTGTACTTTGACTCTAGGCAAATATACAGGAGCCTTGTGAATACCATCTAATGTACCAAAAATTCACTTTGATACAGGTAATTCTGGAGCCCTAACCAAGATTTTCATTTTTCTTTTACTTTTTTAGTTTTAACCAGATATAGCAAAAGGACTTCACTGTAATTCTGTCTTATAATATGGATCCCATGGATGAGGTAGTACAAGTTTCTGTGTGCTGCACATATATATATGTGTGCGTATATATATATTTCCTGTGTTGCATATATATATATGTGTGTGTGTGCATATATATATATATATATATATATGTATGCTACAGGGAATTATAATCTGTAGCAGTTTTCTCAGAGGATCTCTATAGGCAGTTAATAGTAGTTGAAAAAGGAACTGTTTTTGAATTTTTGAGTTAAACAGTAAAACTAGTTTCTTTGTGGTACTTCTCAGAGCCTACAATCTGCTAATGTGTGTAGTGAATTTCCATGAGGATGATGTGTGGACTTTCTCACATTTTTAAATGTAACCCCTCCTCCTTTTATTTTTTGGCAGAGTATCTTATTGGATTTTTGTTTCATAGAATTTGGTCAATGATATTTACAGGATTAGAAATAAGCATTCTTGAATTTTTTTTGAAATTCTATGAAATAGCTCTTGGATCTGGGCTTCTAAGAGTATAGTTAATGCTTCTAAAACTTTAATATGCCTGTACATTTGCTGGGTATCTTGTTAATATGCGGAATTTACTTCAGTTGGTCTCCATGGGGGCAGTGATTTTGCATTTCTAACGTGTTCCCAGGTGATACTGATGCTACTGGTGTTTTAGCAGTCTTCGAGCAGTAAGGCTCCAGATGTATTTAAGTGCTTTCCTAGGTGAAAAGTGTTAAAGATAACCTCTGCCACCTGGCCTGGAGGTAAGGTGTTTAGAGAGGCTTCACCTTAGGGCACTGGAAGTTGGAGCTGAGTAAGTAGTTATACAAGCCAGATGATCTACTTGTATATTACTAATAATCTGTTTATTTTTCATTGTATACTTTTTCCTGGCTATGAGAGATACACAAACATATTTTCAGAATAAAATAGCAAATACCTATATGCTTTGACACTTGCTATGTGTCCAAAATATCCCATGGCCTTTTGAGAGGTCCTTGGTAGGGGAGTTTAGATCTCTGTTCTGTAAGCAATAATATTGAATGGGAAATACACATGTGGAATGCTTAGTTAGACCTCATTTAACCCCTTCCCTATCTCAACATTCATGTCCTCAGCCGAGGACAAAGACTTAACTGACTTTCTATGTGAAAATGTATCAGTGATTCAGAAGGGGTTTTAATTGTTTAAGGCTGGGATAACAATTAAGGTTTGCCTTTTGTGTTAACTCTATACATTTGTTCTTCAATATCTAAAGGGATGTCTATAGAAAGATTCAAGGCTATGGTCTGAGCTTGACGAGAGTGACACATTAGATTAATGATCTCTCTCCTGGGCATGGGAAGGAAAATATCCTCACAGGAGCTGAGCTGCATATTTGACACCCCTGATAAAGCATTAGGTTATGCTGACACCACATTGTCTACAGATGATCTTTGCACCTTCTGATTTGCTTAGTATCCATTGTCAAACACTTAAATATGGGTTAAGGCTACTATAAAAATTATTTACTTAATTATTTACTTATGCCATTTTTTTTCAGTACTAAAACTGCATTTTAGGTTGTGTGCTCAGAGTAATTGGGCCAAGATTCCAGTGAAATACCTGAATGGTGCTAAAAATAAATTCAATGAAATTCCTTTAAGTCCTTTCTCAGTGGTTAGATTGTTTACTCCTCAAATTCCTTGCTAACAAATTCTTCCTAATAGAGGTCCTGTTAGAGTCAATTAGTTAAGATTTATTTATAATTAGAAACTCCTATTTGCACGCAATTGACTCTTTCAAAGTCTTTCAGTAGGTTAAGTTTGTTTTCTGCAGTTTTGATTACAAATACTTCATTTTTGTTACAAAGTTAAGCTTTAGTTTAATTCTTGGTCATATCAAACATTTTAAATTCATTGAGTCTAAATCATGAGTTGATTATATTAGATTTGTGTAATAAAGCATTAACAATCATGACAGTTAAGATGATTCTTTTATGTGTTAGTTCATTGGGGCAGAAGACAGCATAATACAGATGCCCAGTGTAAAGAAGTTAGCAGATTCAAATTATCCAGTGGTTCACTCAACTAGAAACTCTAATTTTTAAAGAATGATGTAAAATTTGCTGGGCACTTGTGTGTACTCGCGTGCATATGTTCTTGTGTTGTTGGTGTATATTGTTCTGCTTTGTTTTGTTGTTCTTCATATACATTCAAATAAGAGCTTTTCTGACTTGGTAGTAGTAGGTCAGGATAAAGAGCTGGGGTGTGCTATCCCCTACTTGTGAGTTGTATATAATTTGTTAGGATTCTTTTGTGTCCACCTTTTTTTAAGTTTAGATGGCTGGCTCTGACTGCTATAACAAGGTATGTATCACAGCTATGTAATGTAAGAATGCAAAATCTACTATAGTTGTACTATAAATTCAGCACCTGTTACTGTATAATTAAGATACTGCATTTGAAGACAATAAAAAAGCTAATTCAAATACGTGTACAGAATATTGTTTTCTCATTCTTACATTAGGAAAGATGAGAATGTAGATTACTAGGCAGAAAAATAGAGAAATTTGTGTCAGAGATACTTGTAAGCTTATGCTTACATTCTTAACGTTTGTGTATTTGCTTTCATGTAGCTTTATACAAATCACATTGTCTAATGCATGGGGCAGAAGAGATCATAGCATGATGGATAATCCTCTTTGAGAGCAGGGACGGAGTCTTTTATATTTCTTTCCCTGCATGCCCTGTGCTGGGCTCTGTACAGAGCAAGTGTATTGATTGTAGAATCTCCAAATCATTTCTACATGTCTTTGGGCTGTAAGTAGGCATAAAATCAGGCAAAGATGGTAAATGAGGACTATAATATGAAATGATTAAAAATGTCTATCAAAAGCTATTTATGGTGAAGGAAGGAGAGAAGAAAGACTCAAAAGCATTAATTCAGTCAAAACAGGTGATCGATTATAATAAAGTATTAGTTATTTGAGTTTCTTCAGAATTTTTTTAAAGTACATACAATCCCATTATTTTTAGTTTGTTAGCTACTGGCACATAATTTTCTTGAGTGTGTTTTTCCCGTGTTGTGAGTCATTTTTCCAGCCTCAGCCTTGCTGCTGCTTGGGCAGCCCTGAGAATTAAGTTTAGGACAAATGAACTATCCTCTTGTGCTCTTGGCAGAACTGGCTCTGTTATCCAGAAGTCATTACCAATCGTCAACAACATAGGAGTTTTTAGCCTTAAAGAGAAATAAGAGTTTTGGAGTTAAGTATCACTATATAATACTTTATATAAATAGGAAGTTATTTTCACAAAGAAGCCTGATGTCAGTTTATCATGTATATATAATTGGTGCCTGTTGTCAATGCATAACATGGCTGTCTTCTGTTTGCTTCAAGAGCAGCATGGGACAATAAGATTAGAATGTGTAACTTTAGCCATGAACCTGAATTGAGTTTGCTAAAGTGCTAAAGTTTTTGCAGTAGACTTGAACAAGTGCCACTTTTTTCATTGAAACATAAAACTCATTTAAGCATCTTTTTCCAAGGTCAGAGAAGAGTTTTAATGAGTTAAAATATGCCTTATTCACCATGAGTTAGTGAGGATTATGTATTTTACTCTATGTAAAAAATAAAGGTAATACAAATTGTGATTATGTGCTGTAAGGACATTTATGTTGGACTTCAATTCACCAAGTGCAGACTTTTCCTCTTGATTAGTCACCAAATCCCATTTTGTGGAGTGAAAATCAGTGTCCTGGGAGACTTCATTAGTTTGCCCCAAGTCAATGAGTGAATCTGTGTTAGTAGCAATCAAATTCTGAATCCTATGCTTGGACCAAGCTGTTCCTCAAGGCCACAGCGTGTAGTTATCAACTTACTAAAAATAGTTAACATTTATTCGTGCTTGTTATGTGCCAGAACAGTATAAAACCCTTTGCATGCATTACATCATTTCATTCTCACAACAATATAATGTGGACTATATTATTAGTATTTACATTTTTAAAAGATTATAAACTGAAGTTCAGTAATTATAAAGAACCCAACTGTATTAGTCCATTTTCACACTGCTGATAGACATACCCAAGCCTGGGAAGAAAAGAGATTTAATGGACTTACAGTTCCACATGGCTGGGGAGGCCTCACAATCATGGCAGAAAGCAAGGAAGAGGAAGTCATGTCTTACATGGATGTGGCAGGCAAAGAGAGCTTGTGCAGGGAAACTCCGTCTTATAAAGCCATAAGATCTTGTGAGACTTATTCACTATCATGAGAAAAGCATGGGAAAGACCCAACCCATGATTCAATTATCTCCCACTGGGTCCCTCCCACAACACATGGGAATTCAAGATGAGATTTGGGTGCGGACACAGCCAAACCATATCACCATCCAAAGTCACATGGGTGAGAAATCGGTGGAACTGGAGTATGAAGCGAATTTGTCTGCCTCCAGGGTCCTTGACCCAAAACAATATGCTATACATCCTCCAACATATTCAGAGTGAGCCAAAAATTAAAATTTTCATCACAGAACCAAAGGACTTCATTTTCACTGTGGTGGGATTGAGTTATTTCATAACATGATTTGTGGAGGTGTAAAATACAAAATATTGCTTCTATTAATATATTAGGCAAAAATTAGTTTTAATCCAGAAAGTCTATGAATTGGTAAATAGAGGGTTTTTTTCATTTTTTATTTCAGCTTCTGATTCTCTGGTGGAAAGTAGTAAAAACAGCTTAGTTGAAGCTTTCCTCTTAGGACATATTTCAATGTACTTTACAAATAGAAAAGCAAATTTAGCTCCAAATTCAATTTATATCCAAATTTATCTTCTACAATAAATACCTAATTTTCTCTCCAGATGAGTTTATGGAATATATATTCAAAAGGAAACAATTTTGAAAAATTTTTATATATTTTCCCAAAGGAATCCAGAAACCAGTGAATGTCTCAATGAAATATGTGTTTTTTTTTTCCTTTTTCTATAAGCACAGTGTGTTAGTGGGAAAAGGGGGCTTAATTAATTTGAGAAAACATGCTACAGCACATTTACTGAAATGCCATCATAAGTAATTAAACCAAAATTGCTCTTGTCAAAATAAATGAATAAGTTTGATGAGGCATTTTCCTTTACTTTGCAGATTTGTTCCACTTTATCACTAATTCATAAACTCCACAAAGGGTCTCTAGTCATTAGTGTGATTAGTTAAAATCTGCTGCTGTCACATTGTTATGAAAGAGAAATAAAAGCCAGAAGTGCGTATCAGGCCACATGAATAGGGTGAGAGCATGTCAGGTGAATCAGAGGGATACAGTCGTGGGGGTCAGGTGTGGTATCAGGAATAATGTGGGAGGCCAGATTGAAGTCTGGGCCAGTACCAGTGGTAATTGTGGGAGACTCAACAAAGAGTGAGTATAGCTGAAGGAGCCTGGGAGCAGAAAGTATATGTGTCAAGCGTGAGGAAGAAAACAGATTTTGGAAGTTGTGAGAACTGTAGGCAGTGAGTTGAGCATAGTTTGTGATTTTGAGGGCCTCTAAAAGTATTAAGGCAGCGGCAGCTGCTGCACGCAGACATGAGGGCTAGGCTAAAACAGTAAGGTCTAGTTGTTTGGACAGAAAGCTACAGCGTGGGGTCCTGGCTCTTGTGTAAGAATTCTGACCACACTAACCATGCCTAGGAAGGAAAGGGGTTGTTTTGTAGAAGGGATTGGGATTTGGGAGATTAGCCGGACACAATCAGCAGGGAGAGCATGTGTGTTTTTATGAGAATTATGCTGAGATAGGTAATGGATGAGGAAGAAATTTGGGCTTGACTGAAGTAATGGGGGCTGTCTGAAGCCTTGAGGCGGTACAGCCCAGGTAATTTGCTGAGCCTGATGGGTGTCAGGGTCAGTCTAAGTGAAAGTGAAGAGGCTGGGATGAAGGGTGCAAAGGAATAGTAAAGAAAGCATGTTTGAGATCCAGAACAGAATAATGGGTTGTGGAGGGAGGTATTGAGGATAGGAGAGTATAAGGGTTTGGCACCATGGGGTAGACAGGCAAAAACAATTTGGTTGATAAGGAGCAGATCTTGAACTAACCTGTAAGGCTTGTCCGGTTTTTGTACAGATAAAATGGGGGAATTGTAAAGGGAGTTTATAGGCTTTAAAAGGCCATGCTGTAGCAGGCAAGTGACTACAGGCTTTAATCCTTTTAAAGCATGCTGTGGGATGGGATACTGGCGTTGAGCGGGGTAAGGGTGATTGTGTTTTAATGGGATGGTAAGTGGTGCATGATCGGTCGCCAAGGAGGGAGTAGAGGTGTCCTATACTTGTGGTTTAAGGTGGGGAGGTACAAGGGGAGGATGTGAAGGAGGCTTTGAACTGGGGGAAAAGGCAGCAATGAGGTGTGGCTGTAGCCCAGGAATAGTCAGGGAAGCAGATAATTTAGTTAAAATGTCTCGACCTAATGGAACTGGGCAGGTGGGGATAACTAAAAAGGAGTGCTTAGAAGAGTATTGTCCAAGTTGGCACCACAGTTGGGGAGTTTAAGAGGTTTAGAAGCCTGGCCATCAATACCTATAACAGTTATGGAGGCAAAGGAAACAGGCCCTTGAAAAGAAGGTAATGTGGAGTGGGTAGCCTCCGTATTAAGAAGGGGATGGACTTACCCTCCACTGTGAGAGTTACCCGAAGCTCGGTGTCCATGATGGTTTAGGGGGCTTCTGAGGCTGTCGGGCAGTGTCGGTCTTCAGCGGTTAAGCTGAGAAGATCTGGGAAGGAGTCAGTCAGAGAGCCTTGGGCCAGAGTTCCAGGGTCTCTGGGAGTGGCTGCCGGGTTGGACAGTCCAATTTCCAATGGGGTCCCACTCAGATGGGACGCAGCTTAGGAAGAATCCCAGGCTGCGGGCATTCCTTGGCCCATTGGCCAGATTTCCGGCACTTGTAGCAAACTCGTGGGGGAGGAGGTTCTGGAGGAACCCCTGGCAGCTGCAGTTCAGGTGTTTGGAGTTCTTGTGTGCTGGAGATGTGGCTGGGGTTTGTCTCACAGTGGAGGAAAGGGATTGCAACTCAGAAATACATTGCTACTTGGTTGCCTCTACTCTATTATTGTACACCTTGAAGACAAGGTTGATTAATTCCTGTTGTGGGGTTTGAGGGCCAGATTTTAATTTTTGAAGACTTTTTTAATGTTGGGAGCAGATTGGGTAATAAAATGTATATTGAGAATAAGATGGCCTTTTGACCTTTTAGGGTCTAGGGCTGTAAAGCGTCTGAGGGTTGCTGCCAAACAAGACATGAACTGGGCTGGGTTTTTATATTTGATGAAAAAGAGTCTAAATGCTATCTGATTTGGGATAAAGAAAAGGGAGCATTAACCTTGACTATGCCTTTAGCTTCAGCCACCTCTTTAAGTGGAAATTGCTGGGCAGGTGGGGGAGGGCTAGTAGCGGAATGAAGCTGTAAGCTGGACTGGGTGTGAGGAGGGGAAGTGATAAAAAGATTATAAGGTTGGGGAGTGGAGGCTGAGGAAGAATTGGGACCTAGTTCTGCCTGGGGAGGAGGGGAGAGGTCAGATGGGTCTGTAGAAAAGGAAGATTAGAAAGGCTCAGCGATGCTTGGGATTGGGACTGAGGGGACAGGCAGAAGGGAAAAGAAGGAGGATTTGGACGAGTCGCATTGGGAACAGAGACTAGGGAGGGAACAATGTGTAAAAGAATGCCTGGACGTCAGGCACCTCAGACTGTTTGCCCATTTTACGACAAGAATTATCTAGATCTTGTAGGATGGAAAAATTGAAAGTGCCGTTTTCTGGCTATTTGGAACCACTGTCGAGTTTGTACTGGGGTCAAGCAGTGTTGCAGAAGAAAATAAGATGCTGGCCGGGCGCGGTGGCTCACGCCTGTAATCCCAGCACTTTGGGAGGCCGAGGCGGGTGGATCATGAGGTCAGGAGATCGAGACCATCCTGGCTAACAAGGTGAAACCCTGTCTCTACTAAAAATACAAAAAATTAGCCGGGCGCGGTGGCGGGCGCCTGTAGTCCCAGCTACTCGTGAGGCTGAGGCAGGAGAACGGCGTGAACCTGGGAAGCGGAGCTTGCAGTGAGCCGAGATTGCGCCACTGCAGTCCGCAGTCCGGCCTGGGCAACAGAGCGAGACTCTGTCTCAAAAAAAAAAAAAAAAAAAAGAAAATAAGATGCTTAGATTTTAGGTCAGGTGAGAGTTGAAGAGGTTTTAAGTTCTTGAGAACACAAGCTAAGGAAGAAGGAGGAATGGAGGGTGGAAGTTTGCCCATAGTGAAGGAGGCAAGTTTAAAGAGAAGGGTAGAAACATGGAGAGAAGGGGTGGGGGGTGCTTGCCCCCCAGAAAAGCAATGCTTGCCGCTAAGGGTGAAGGACCAAGGCAGGCGTCCCTGTGTGGTCAGACACCTCTGAAATGTGGGTGAATAATCAGGCAGGCATCCCCATGTGATTAAACACCAAGGGAAGACTGTCTTCCCGAGTCTGTGACTGGTGCTGGAGTTTTGGGTCCACGGATAAAACACATCTCCTGTCTCTACCAGAAAAGGGAAGGAACTGAAATTAAGAGAAGGGAAAGATTGAAAGATGGCACCAAGATTGAAAGGAGAGAGGTTGAGGGATAGTGAGAGAGGTTGGAGAAGAGAGTAGAGAGAGGCCACTTACCCGATTTAAAATTGGTGAGATGTTCCTTGGGCTGGTTGGTCTGAGGACCTGAAGTCATAGATGGATTTTTCTCATGGAGCAAAGAGCAGGAGGACAGGGGATTGATCTCCCGAGGGAGGTCCCGCAATCCGAGTCGCGGCACCAAATTTCACTCGTGTCGGTGTGAAGAGACCACCAAACAGGCTTTGTGTGAGCAACAAGGCTGTTTATTTCACCTAGGTGCAGGTGGGCTGAGTCTGAAAAGAGTCAGCGAAGGGAGATGGGGTGGGGCCGTTTATTTGGGTAGGCAAAGGAAAATTACAGTCAAAGGGGGGTTGTTCTTAATGTCAGGCCTCTGAGCCCAAGCTAAGCCATCATATCCCCTGTGACCTGCACGTATATGCCCAGATGGCCTGAAGCAAGTGAAGAATCATAAAAGAAATGAAAATGGCCTGTTCCTGCCTTAACTGATGACATTCTACCACAAAAGAAGTGAAAATGGCCTGTTCCTGCCTTAATTGATGACATTACTTTGTGAAATTCCTTCTCCTGGCTCATCCTGGCTCAAAAGCTCCCCTGCTGAGCATCTTGTGACCCCCACCCCTGCCCACCAGAGAACAACCCCCCTTTGACTGTAATTTTCCTTTACCTACCCAAATAAATGTCCCCACCCCTATCTCCTTTCACTCTTTTTGGACTCAGCCCACCTACACCCAGGTGAAATAAACAGCCTTGTTGCTCACACAAAGCCTGTTTGGTAGTCTCTTCACACCGACAGGAGTGAAAGAGCATATTTCTATAAGTACTTTAAATGAGAACATGTAAGCCCATGTTATATCTGAGGCCAAGGCAGGAGTCAATAGTGGTCAATATTTGTATGTAAATACTGGTTATAGTAATTTTTTTTGGACAAAAGGAACATTTAGAAAGTATTCAGAGCAATACTTTCATAATTAGAAAATCAGACTAGCCTGTTGTCTCATAGTACAAGCTACAGAAAATAAAGCTTGACCACATGTTGTGTTGTTTGGCAGGATATATGTTAAGGCACTAGGGTGAGCCCTGAGTGAAGGCAGATCTGTATGGAATGAAAATATATCACATATTGCATATCAGATTTGCTATGTCAAAAGAGTTTCAGTTAAAAATGATGTTAATGCCACTGAAATGATAAAGAAAAGAAGATAATATTGAGGGGATCATCCTGTAACTAGTAATTTTAATTTAAAGCAAAAATCCAAGCGGAAAATCCTTTGTTGAGTACCTACTATGTTCAACGCACTGATTTAGATAGTATAGGGGATACAAAAATGAAACATCCATGGGCTTGCCTTCATTCTGTATTCTGGTATAGTTGATAAGATATTTAAATAATTGCAGCAAGATACCAGGTAATATTTGTTGAAAAAAGTTCAGAGAATTCTTCTTGGAGATTAGAGTAAGACTTTGCCTCTGACTATGGAGATGAGGGTGGTGCCTAGGCCAGACTATGAATGACAGGGAGGTTTTGGATTTATGGATGTGGAGAACACTTCCAGGCTGATGGAATTATAAACAGATTTCCAGAGGTGCAGAATCATGCTTAAGTTTGGGGAATATTGATTCTTTTCTTTGTCTAGAAAATAGTTATAGAAAAGGGTATAGACTAGCATGTTAGTTTAGAGCCTGAACTTGGGGGGCAGGAGGGTCTTAGATGACAGGTTAGGAGTTTTAATTATTTTTGCAAGATAAATTTGTTGGCAGGGGTCAGGGACATGTTAATGAGCAGGAGAGAGGCATTTTACCTTTGTTCTTCAAAAAGAAATGGAGCAGTGAGATAAAAATCAGTGGGGGAGGTGTTCAGAGTTGAGGAGAATGGGGAAAAGCTATTGCAATTGTCCAGGCAAAAAGCATTGAAATTCTGAAATAAAGTAGTGATAGGAATGGAGAAGTGGTAGGTTAAATGAGGGGGATACTGGGTCATAGAATGGACAAGATTTCGCATGTGATTTAGTGACAAATGAGAGTCAATTATTCTGGATTCAAGTCTGGATCATTGGGAGCATGTGCACGCCATTGATGGTAAGAGAAAGAAGGGGAAAACCATTTGAGAAGGAAGATGGTGAATCTATTTTGGAATCTATTTATAAGTATTAGACATCAATTTATAATGTTGAAACTGAAAATAGGGTATTTGTTTTCTTAATCCAGATATTCTTTGCTGAAAGCCAAGGTTTTATTCTTGAATATAGGGGCAAAATCTGTTGAATTAAAGAGATCCATATTACTATGAAGCAAAGGAAAGAAGGTTTTAATAAATAGGCAAATATCCCCAAATCTTACAATGTTTAAAAGCATTTCAGGCCATTAGAAGACCATAATGACAATGGTAGCTACTCTATACTGATATTTCTAATATTACTATTACTTATATTAGGAATATGAAGAGCTATTACACTTGTTGAGTTAACAGCTCCATAATATTTCATAACATTTCATTAGTCTTCTGATGCATGTTTGGGTTGTCTTCCTGTTTCTCATTATTATAAATACTGCTCCAGCAAACATCCTTGAAAGTAAGCCCTTGAGTATGTATGTATGCAAATATTTTTGTAGGAAAGTTTCTAAAAACTGGAATGGATAAGTCAAAGAGTATCCCATTTAAAGTTTAATGGGTACTGTCAAATTGTCCTCTAAAAATGTTGGTACAATTTTTTATTCACATCAGAAAATGTGTAACAGTGTATTTCCATCAGAACTTCACTAACACCAGTTATCAATCTTTTAAATTTTGGCCTATTTGAAAACCAAAAATCGTATTTGCATATTGTTCAATTTGCTTGAGTCCCCTTTCACGTTTAGTAGTACTTTCATCTTTTTCCTGTTGGGAATTAGGAAAGAGTCTTTTCTTTGATTTTTCCCTAGAATTATAATTATTACCATTTGTTGATTGATTGAGTACATGGGAGCCCAATGAGCAAAGGAACCTTGAAACTGGTAATAACAGCAAAGTTAGTGATGTTGTAATTAAGAATTCCTAGATAATAGTAGTGACTGCTGGCTGGTAAGTTCTTGTGATACTGAGTTCAGATCTGGGTTCAACCATTTCCTGATTTGGTAAGGGGCTGAGCACCCTGAATATCAATTTTTTCATCTTTAAAATAGAAGCAAAGCTAAAACCTTCCCACAGGGTTTTTGAGTGTTAAAATTCAACAATAGGAACAAAGTAGGTTCTCACTAAGCCAAAGGCTGATTATGTTGAAATTGTTTGAAGTTGAACTTGAGGTTTCCTATAAAGCTTTTATTGTAGTCCTGAAGTTTTCACTCGTACTGCCATCCTGTATGTGTACAGGCCAAGACAGTGATATCTCATGAGAACAGATACAATAGTCTACAACCGTGTCTCTGGTCATCCCATTATTAAACATGACTCTGGGGCGATAGGGCCAAAAAGACAGAAAATGCAAATAGTCTCTAAACTAATAAACAGCTACAAGAACAGAATTATTTAAAAGATGTGTGGATTTGAAACTCATGTCTCAAAGAGGCCACTGAAGTGCCAAGCTAAACATTTATTTTTCCTGATATAGAAATTCATATGTCAACTTTCGGGATTACTTGTTTTATGAAATAGTCATAGGAAATCTGTCATTTTGACCTGAATTTCTCAAGGTAAATACAGTGCTTTAGAAGCCCTACAAAGGGATGTTTTTAAACTCATGTCTAAGCTCATAATATGAGCATTAGGAAATATGATAAACCTGTAAAAATCCATATCATATATTTTGAAGTTCAATTTAAGCATTTACTTATTCATTCCAGTCATGCTGTTGAATAACCCACTGGGTGGCAGGCACACTGCTGATCATTGGTAATGTGAAGAGGAAGAAAACCAGTAGAGACCTTAGGAACAAGAAGACAATAAACATAGGTGATAAGGGCTAAAATAGAGGTATAAAACATCATGGAAACAGTAAGGAGTGACGATTGGATAAAGCATCATGGAGAAGGTGACCTGTGATTTGGGCAGGCAGTCCACCAAGGAGTGAAGAAGGCAAGAGAGGTTCAGATGAAGGGAATAACCCATATAAAAGTATAAAGAAGCATGATATTTTCAGGGAACATTTTCAGATGTCTGGATTATAGAGTACTGGAAGTGAATACTAGGAATGCAGTAAGTGATTTGAATTAAGCCCTGTATTCAATCTCTTTTCTGCTTCCCTTTCCAGGCCCACTGCCATCAAGTTACTTCAGACACGATTTACTCCAAAAATTGACAGTGGTATAAAAGAGCATAGACTATTTCCTCCCAAAGCTGACACTGTGTCAGAGATTATAAACTGCTATCTTCCCTTCTAACATTCCTAAACACAGTATTGATTAAATTTGGGTCTATTTTCTTTTCCACTGTTGCCTAGCACAGAGCTTGATTTGATAACTTGTTCTGGTCAAACAGTTGACTGTGAGATGTGGAAGGGTAAGCAAAAATAAAACAACGAAATACTGGACGAAGTTTCAAACTTCACATTTAACTCAGTGAGATTGGCAGTGGCTCCTTGAAATACTGTGTTGAGATGGCATTTGAAGTCATGTAGAATCAACAGAAAGAATGGTAGTTGATTATGGAATTCTGCTATGGACAAAGAAGGCAGCAATGGTGTCATCTGCTATTCTCAACACTTACCCTGCCACCTGCAGCTGCCACCAACCTCTAACAGTTTTATGATTCTACAATTCTATGCCACGTGTATACTGCAATGGTGGCCTACCTTTGCCTGTAATATTAGGCATAACATGTTTATCGTGGTAACCGAAGTTTTCTAACTCCTGGACCTTATGTAGTTTTCAAGTGGCTTGTGTCAGTTTCTCATACAGACATCTAATAAATAATAAAATTTCTGTTTTGCCCCAAACTTCTGAAAAGTCACCCATTCTTTAATATTTATCACTTTGGCTACCTACTTTGGTAGCCATCTCCAGTCATCCAGAATGATCACTAACTTAGGTGTTCTATTGCCTTTAATGTCCATATTATCAATGTGGGATACAACACCGTTGTCTTTTTTTTATATGTTTAGTTGTATGTGTATTTGTCTTACCCCCCACCCTCATTATAAATTCCATAGGATTTTGAGATCTATGCTATATTCACTTTGTATCTTATCACTGGACACAGGACCAACACAGAGATGCTCAAGAAGTATTTGTTGAATTAGTGAATGCATGAATAATTTTCTATGCTTTTGTTTCTTTTCATTATACATATAATTTTTTCACATCTACTTTGTTGAAATTTTACATTTTCATGGGGGTAAAATGTATTTTATAAAAATTAAAATACCGGCCGGGTACGGTGGCTCACGCCTGTAATCCCAGCACTTTGGGAGGCCGAGGTGGGTGGATCACGAGGTCAGGAGATCGAGACCATCCTGGCTAACACAGTGAAACCCCGTCTCTACTAAAAATACAAAAAATTAGCAGGCTGTGGGGGCAGGCGCCTGTAGTCCCAGCTACTGGGGAGGCTGAGGCAGGAGAATGGCGTGAACCTGGGAGGCGGAGCTTGCAGTGAGCCGAGATCGTGCCACTGCACTCCAGCCTGGGCGACAGAGGGAGACTCTGCCTCAAAAAAAAAAAAAAAAAAAAAAAAAAATTAAAATACCTAGGAATTTTTTTCTCAAAAGAAGCAGTATTACTTTTTTTTCTCACAGTACGAGAATTCCTAACTTATAATAATAGATTCTGTTTTTTCTCCCTCATTTTAAAAGTTAGATCCTAATTAGCTGAATTAATTTGATCAAGAACTTGATTTAATTTTAAAATATGCATATTTACATGGAGAAACTGATAATTTAAATTTCAATATTTATCTTTGACATCATCAACTATTTTTCAAAATCTTGGTTATATTGGCAGCCTATTAGCAAAAACTTATTTCTGAAAGTAAAATTCTACAGTCTTTTATATTGTATGAACACAAAAAGAAATTTATGAGGGTAATCTGTTTCCTATAATTACTGTAATTGCTGTTCATGTTACATACATTTTATATTTGAGAGAAATTTATCTTTAAATTTTTTCCTATTTGATACTTATCACTGGTCAGCACCACTATAATGATGATCATTTGGGTTTAGGCAATGTTTGAAGTTTTAATCCCACTAACACTTGGATCCCTTTCCCCGTTTTTCTAAACCAAAGCTATTTGTTCTTTCTTTTTTATTTTGTCATTGTGCTCCAAGAGAATTCCATTTCATGCAAACCATAACCTTCCAATTACATTCAAAATTCATCTCTATTAAAATGCACTAAGTTTATATTAACTTAAGCAACATAATAAAAATAGTCAATTCCTTTAAATTTTTACCCCAATATTACTATTTATAATGTCTGAAATATTATAAAACTTTTCATTGTCTAAAACATTTTATTTTTATATTTTTATTTATAAAAAATAAATTGGGTACAGTGACTCACATCTGTAATCCCAACACTTTGGGAGGCCAAGGAGAGAGGATTGCTTGAGGCTAGGAGTTGGAGGCCAGACTGAGAAACATAGCAAGGCCCACTCTACAAAAAATAAAAATAAAAAAATTAGCCAGGTATGGTAATTTTTTATTACCTGTAGTCCCAGCTACTCGGGACTACATGTACTCCCAGCTACATGCCTGTAGTCCCAGCTACTCGGGCTAAGGCAGGAGGATCGCTTGTGCTCAGGACTTCAGGCTGCAATGAGTCATGATTTTGCCACTGTACTCCAGCCTGGGCAACAGAGCAAGATCCTGTCCCTATAAATAAGTGAAAATTAAATTTATATTTTACTTTGATTTATAGAGTAAGACAGTGGCTAAATTGAAATTATAACTTACATGCGAAGTATATATTTTGTTTCATCAATTTGATCTATAGTAATCTTAGATAATACTCACATTGAGGGCAGGGATAATGTTTTCTTATTCTGTATGACTTGCTCTACCTGAGAAGGGATTAAGCCTGTGGGGAATGTTTAATAAGCACTTATTAAATACAGAATCAGAATTGTAGAGGTCTTGAGGAGATCTACAATGTTATCTGCTTCAACTTTTCATTTTATAGGCAAGAAATCTTTTATTTTCATATTCTTCCCCAAATATCCATAACTTGCTGTTAAATATGAAATCATGCTAGCACTAAATTTTTCAGTATGTTAACTGTTTTTGATAATGTAACATTTTTGCTTCTTATTAAGGTGGATTGAGACACAAAACAAATACATCTCTCTTGTGCACTTAAATTGAATTTTAATTCAATTATTTTCACTCAGTTTTCTGTTGATGGAAACATATCCCTAAATCTTTCTATTCAACTCCAACTACCACTTTAATCCCAGCTAGCAGTTTCTAGCTGGGATTTTGTCTGCTAGCATTAATTTTTAATTATGTACATTCAGAACACAATATTGTGATCTGTTGTGGCCAATCTAGGAACAGTTACCACAAAGCACAGGTTCTGGCAATCAACATCATACCCAGAAATGTTATATGAAGCTATTTCTTAGGCCTGGTGGCACATCTCTAAGTTACATAAAACACCAGAGTACGCAGCTAGTTCCAACTCCAGTTTGACATGTAAAGAATCTAAGACCAAGTAAGAGGTGAAAGATTTACTATGGTCGTATAAATAATAAATGGAAAAGAGGGGGTCTGATTCCAGTGTCCTTGACTCTGCCCATTTTCTTTCCATACTACCATAGCTGCCTCTCAGAAACAACCCCCAGAGAGCACACCTAGGTCATCTTGGTTGCTTAGCTACATTGAGAAAGATACTCAAATTGTATATCTTCACATTTTCAAAACTTACCCTTTTGATACAATTTTCTCCATATCAAAACTAAATATGTCAGAATTTCATTTTCATCCGTAAATGGGGATAATTGTGTATCCCACTGGGATTTTGTGAGGTTTCAAATTACTTACAGACACACACACAGTTAGAATTGTTTAGACAGTAAGTAGGTGGTCAGTAAGCTTTGGCAATTACTACCTGCAAATTAAATCGCCACACAATTTCACATGCTTTTGGCTTGCAGGTCCTGGAGGTGGAGTTGGAAAGATTTATAGGCTAGAAAAAAAAAATAAAAACTTTCTCAAGAGTTTATCTTATTCCACAAATATTATATAGAAAGTTCACTATGTGTTTGCCACTGTGGTGGGCTCTGGGACAAAACAGTGATCAAGATGGAGACGGTGGTTGCTCTTATGGGATTCACATCCCAGTGTAGGAACCCAGCAAAGAGCAGATAAATAGGAGTATAGATAAATAGATGCAACTATAAAATTGGAAGAAAAAAAGACAACGAACAGAGTTAGAGAGCAACAGAAGGAACCTACTTTAAATAAAGTTTTTCAGAGAAGGTCTTTTTTAAAGCTGATTTCTAAAGAAAATGGTAGGAGCTAGCCGTGAAGTGGGTGGGTGTGGGGGTGGGTAAGCCTTCCAGGCAGAGACTAATGTGTATTGGTCCTAAGGTAGGAAAAAAGCTTGGGATTTGCAAGGAACTGTAAGTAGAGCAGGGTAGTACACAAGTGAGAGAATGACAAGGAATTAAATAAGAGGACTAGGCTGTGGGTAGGTTATGTGGATTCTTGTAGGTCATAGTAAGTCTGTTTTTTATTCTGTAAGTTTTGTGGTAAGTTTTTTTTTTTTAATTCTGCAAGTTTCATAAATCAGGATGATTTCTAAACAAGGGGCATGATCTAGTAAAGTCAGGTATAAGGAAGAGTGGATAGACCCTTCACATCATTCTTTGTTTTCTGAGTGAGGTCCATACTCTCCCTCCCCTACCCTCCTCTCATCTCTGTTTACATCTCTTTCTCTTTTCTGAAAGGGAGGAGAATCACTTCTTGGCTCAAAATTCTTCTCACAGGTTTCCTGCAGAATAAATCCCTGTTCATCCCTAAGAGAATGTTAAACTCTCCATGGAACGGCTTTTTATAAGTGTTTTTCATTGTGAAATTATATCCATTTTGTAACAATTTAAAACTACCTACCCCATGTTATATATTCTCGATTTAACTAAGGGTAGATTTGTTCCCTAGAGCAAAGAGGTATTTTGTTTCAACATGTATTTATTTTCTCTTGCCTGTTCTAAAAGTGACTCACTTCTGATGAGAGTTCTTTAAAAATGGCATTCCATGTGTTGGGGCATTCAGGCTTGTGTTCTTAGAGTCTCACAGAGTTTTTTTTTGTGCTCCTATATTTTTCTCCTTCAGAAGATAAATATGGGCCTCTTCCCTGTGCTAAATAATCGTTTGGAAGTTGTTGACTGTGCTGAGAAAGATTCAAAGTAGGTTTCTCAGCAAGAAAGAAAACTATTATCATATAGTGATGTCTACTGCTGGCACAGGCTGAGCAAGCAGGTCCCATGTGTGGGCCAAACATTCTTAATTTAGTATATTAAACATTGCACATGGTGAAGATGAATTGACATACTAAAGGTATGTAATTAAAATGTTAGAGTTGAGTATTAAAACACAGACTCTCAATGTTACGTATATTAGGACAACTATAATATATTCATATTAAGGAAAACGTGATAACTGAGAAATTGGAAGTATTTCTGAGTATTTTGAGGCATCCTTCTCAATAACTTTATAGAATAGGAGACAAAACATACATTTGTGGAGTAGTGGAGAGAAATCATATTGAATAGTACATTTGTCATCAAAGAGTTACATGGTTTTAAAAATTCTTGGAATACTGAATGCCACTGTGATAAAGAGCATAGCTTTGGCCACTAGATATCTGGACAATTCTTGCTCTGGCACTAGCTCACACTATAGCAGATAACTTCAGGTTTGCCCTTCCATATCCACTTTCTTCTAATTTCTATTTTATTTAGTACTGCAGGAGGCTGATCTGTATGGAATACATTAATAGGCCCTCTTGTCTGATTTCTGGTTGTTTCAGCCAATGGAAGCCCTGGCAGGAGATCAGAGAAAGAAGAGAACAAGGATAGTGTGTGTTTTCCTCTAGCTGCCTCCTTGTAAGGTTGCCTAGGGCTAGCTGTGTCTTTCATCTATAGATTACATTATCTCTTAAGGAGGACCTTTCTACATGATTATCTCCTTACAAATTCATGTAACTGTTCTCTTTCCTCCCTTTTTCAGGCCTAAAAAACCAAGTCCATGGCGCTGCACTATCCGTTATTGGTTTTGGAAACCCTGCCCTTACCTTTGTAAATAGTCTCTCTATTTACTCCTCTTTAAATTATCCAAATTTGAGTGTGCCATCTGTTTTCAAAAGAGACTCCAACTGCTGCACTAGCTGTATAATCTTGGCAACAAATTTTAAATTGTGCTTCAGTATTCTCCTCTATATAGCGGAGGTAAAATCATTTTCTTATAGACCCTTTGCATATATAATATCAGGGTGTGGATTAGAATAATTATGTTCAAATGCTATTTTCTGAAGCTCTAGATATTCTGTTTCTACTGCTTTCCATACTTTCTCCAGCAGTAACTTTTACTTGCTCAGTTATACTGAACACCTGAAAAATTTTTACTTGAAGCAAGAACTCTGTGACTAAAACAGCTTGAGAACCATTGGCCTTAGATGATTATAGGGCTCTTTTAGTGCAAAAAATTCTGTTACTCTGTCTGGCTGTTATGTTATATACAGAAACTAGTGTTCCTTGCATCATAGCCTTTGGCCAGTGCTGGAAATTTGGTAGGCTTAAATAGCTGTAGGCCGTCTAGTCACATGATTTACTATCTGCCCATGGGGAAGAGTCAAGTTAATTCTCTAGGATCATATTCCCTTTTATAATTTTTTTTTCATGGCTTAAGATAGAAGGCTGTAGGGGCCAATAAATACACTGCAAGTAGGGGATCAAAAAGCTGTCTTCGGTGGTTTCACTGTGGCCATCTCAGTTCTCAGAGCCCTTGGACAGTAATTGCTTCTCAGTGTGCTGGGTGAGCACTGAGAACCCAGTTCAGAGTAATTGTTAAACTTTGCAATTTGTCCAAGTCTAGCAACACTTTTGAAATGTTCTACCTCTTGGCTTATTGTTTCTATCCTTGTAGCTAACATCTTTTACTTCCTTTTCTATATAAAGGAGTAGAGGAAAGGCATCAACAAATTCTTGGGTGTGCTGTAAGCTATACCTGTCCAGAGATTTATTGCAGCATTTACTGGAATGATGACGTACTCAGAAGCACTACTGATATAGTATGCCAAAAAAAAAAAAAAAAAAAAAAGTCTGGTAAACTGTGAAGTATAGTACTTTAGAGTTGCCCTTTACAACCATCTAAGTGTTGGTTTGTTCTTTTATTTAACATACGTTCAGCAAAAATTTCTGAGTACCTGTGATGTACCCAAGAGTGTGTTAGACATTGTGGAACATGAAATTTGACAGGACCCCTGCACTTAAAAAGCCTGTGTTTAGGATGTATTCAGATAACTGCAACATGATTGGCTGGTAAAGGCAGCTTCCTAACCTGCTTGTTTCTTAGAAGTAGTCTTGAAAGTCAATCTGAGTAGGCTACATTGCCTAGTGGCCGGTCTTGGAACTGCTTGGTTTTGCATTTCTTCAGCATGCTTCTGGCTAGATCAATACTTCTGGCTTGATCTAAGGCTCTTGTCTAGATCAAGAGTCTACCCGCTTATGCTTCCATTTTCTGGTAACTTTCATTGCTGCAATCCAGTTTATTTCATTTAAGGCAACTTTGCCATCACAATACACACATGTCCTTTTAGTGTTCTTTTCTCTCTCTGCTATTCAGATTACAAAATTCTTCTACCCTCTTCTCCCCTTTTCAGTCTAGTTGTGAGCCAATATAAAAACTGATATAGGGTGTAGTAGGGAAGGGAGAGTCAGATATTTTGAAGCAAAAATAAGTAGAAACAATCATTGCTTTTCACCACTAGAATCCTTGTAATCACCCTTAGACTTTGGGCACATTTATTTTCTGCTTCTGACTTTTGTAAGAATAAACTTTCAAGATTTAAAAATAAAAAATAAAACTCATTTAATGGGAACTTTCACTGTATTTTTTAGGAAGAAACATATGCATGATTATGAGGCAAAACCTTGTGAAGGAAGTTGCATTTGTACCCGATTCTGTGGGATCTAGTTAGATGAAGATGGAGGTGTGGGTTGCGAAAGGCATACCAGACAAAACAAAACAAAAAAACACTTAAAGGTGAAAGCTCAGAGCTCACCTTGGTTTCCATCAAATTTTGAGCAGCTTAAGGTATGATAATCTCTTTGCTTGACTGAAATCACTTGTTTGAATGACTGTCTGTAACACTCTAAACTTCTTTAAGGAGAGTCTCTTTTATGTTTTTATTTTCAATGTTTAACACAAGACCTGGCACATAGTTGGTACTCAGTAAATGTGGAAGGGTGAAGGATAAATTGCAAGATACATATTAAGGATAGGAAGTGACTTTGATTGACAAGAGAAAGGATTTGATAGAAAAGGGGTCTAATGTTAGAAAAGTAGATTGGGACAGATTAGGGAGGCTTTATATATCAAGTCATTAAATAGACTGTGAAGAGCTGCTTAATGGCTTTGGAGTGAGAGTGTGACACACATATTAGTCTTCAGAAAGGTGAATGTGGAAACAGTGTGCAGTACAGATTGGTGGAAGGAGGGATTGAACAGGAGATATGGAAATCAATAATGGGGGTAATAAAGTAGAACAGGTGTCAGAGTGGTATAAAGGTTATGAAAAAGTGTTATTTCATGGTTAAGTATGCTAAACAACTGGTTTTAATCTGCTTCTGCCTCCAGAGTACTGTCAGTTGGCCTGGACTTGAATCCTAGTCTGTCACTTAGTAACCAGATACCTTGGACAAGTTACCTAAGCTCTCTAAATTCATTTCTATGTGTTTACTGAGGACTGATATCCCCCAAAACCAAAAACAAAACATGAAGAATTTGTCATGGTGCCCAAAGAATGAGGAACATTCAACACATGATAATAATTATTAGTATTACTATGATTACTTGTGAAGGCTACAAGTAAGGGTTTCCTGCTGTAGGATGGAATGAGGCTTCTGTACATCTTTTTTGCCTTGTGTGTTCTAACTCAAAGAACTGTGCCCTGATCTCTTAAACAGATTTGATGAAAATCTTTCATCTAAGTAGCAAAAGGACAAGCTTTCAAGCAAATATTACAGAAGAAGGGATCATAAGTGGTAGAGTGTCATGGAAAAATTCTAGTCCTAAATTTGTTTCAGAAGAGCAGGGTGACCTTGGGGAAGTCACTTCATCAATCTAGATCTTCATTTTTTCAGCTATAAAGTAAAGGGGTTGGATTAAATGATCTTTTAGTTCTTTCTCAACCAGATATTAAATGATTTTTCAAGTTGCTCATTAAATTTCTAGGCTCCATCAAGCAGTTCATTATGTACCCTACTTGCTCACTTGATCTGTATATTTTTCATCCAATTTTTCAGTCTAGATTTCCATTTGGTACATTTTCATTAGCACTGAAGTTTTTTGAGCATCTCTTTAGGTGATCTGTCCCTCTCTATCTGTGTGTATGTGTGTGTGTGTTTACATGCATGCATGTGCATACAATAGGACATTTTAGATAGGTCTAGGGTTCAAACTTTGTTGATGAAGACAATTGCTTTAACAGTTTTCTGAAACATCTCTAAACTCCTGTAGCTTGGATGCCTCAGGGTAAAGTTGTGTGACATCACTCTTGCTAGAATTTATTTGTGCCGCTAATTTACATGAGAAATAAGAGTTTCCAGGGAGAAAAGAAATAGGGCTTGACTCTTTTTTTAAGTTTCAAAGATACTGAAATATGTCTGATGGATTAGGGTGGCTTGATGAATGCCAAGTTATGGGAAATAGCAAGGAGGTGCTGAAACAACTCATCTTTCTTGGAGGCATAAGGAATTCTGATGAGGGAGGCTGTGTCTCTCTTTAGGGGCTAAACTTTGAAGGAGGGGTAGTCCTGATCCCATGCCCAGGATGACTGACACACTGGAACCATCTTGATGCAACCACCCTGACACCTTGGATATGCCTTGGAATAAACATTTACATATGGTCGAATCGAAAGAACTTCTCTAAAACATGGAAATTCTTAGGCATTTAACAGTTTTGCTATGGGACTATTAAGTGAGTGTAGCTCAAAGGTAACAGCATTATTTCTTTACCATTCAGCACAGAATCGTGTTTGTCTGGGGAATTCATGGAACTCTACCAAAAGCAATGCAAAAATACCTACAGCAACTCAGTGACAATGTTAACCAAAACTAGCAAGCAGGACTGTTGGGGGCCAGCAAATGTAAATGCTAATTTCAGTAAGTGTCAAATTCAGTCTTAAGGGCTATGCCCTTTTCAGGTGCAAAACAGTGACAAACAATGGCTCTTGGACACATGAATACTCTTGGGAGATCCTTAGATATATTTGAGGGAAAAAATTTGTAGAGCAAGTTGGAATTAGTGTTCAAAGGGTAGGTGAGAATGCAGAGACCTTGCAAATTTATGTATTAATGTATGTGGGACTTCATTTGAATGCAGGCCCATATTAATATTAATGCATCCACCAAGCATAAAGAAAGGTTAATCTATTTTGAGGGTCAGTTATATTTATTATAGTAAAATAGTAGCAGGATATTCTGGTTAACATAGTCTCATGAACTTAGTTAACGTGAGGCTACCCCTGAGAGAGAAAGAGATCCTCTCTGTGTACACTGATAGGCCAGATTTTTGAGTCTCCTCTATAAGGCTAAGAAAAATGCTTTAGCAATCTGTCTGAATGGCTAGCTTGCCTCTATCAGATGATATCTGGATTGTCGCTACAGCTTTTTTTTAATCTGCATCAATAATAAACTGAAAATCTTTATTTGTTGGGCAATGTTACCTTTATCCATTTTAAATGGAAATAAACAAGGGTTTAGATCATTCTGACAGTTTCCCAAAGTCACCTTGAGGGTAATAGTGGAATATGGGCTCAAAATTTGGTCTCTTGACTCTAAGTACTATGTTATTTTATCTGTTCCCCTCTTCTGTGGTGAGTGTGACAATCTGAAGACTAGAGATATAGGTGAAAGGAGGGAGGGGAGTTTTCTTTTCATCAGAAAGGGGTAGTAATTCTGGACAGATTGTTGAAACTAGAATTAAGCCTTTAAAAAAAGACTTTTTTTTTTTCCCACAAACCATCCATAATGTTGGAAGTCTAATTGTGTGTGTGTGTGTGTGTGTGTGTGTGTGTGTGTGTGTGTGTGTGTGTGTGTTGGATTGGGCAAGGGAGAGATCCTGAGGTTATTTCTGTGATTTGATTCACTGTATTTTACAAGTAGCTCTCATAAGCATAGTACAACAGTATGACAATAATAATTCTTATATTGATTCTAAATGCAAATGATAATTTTATGGTCTGGGTTATTTAGTTCCGAAGCTTAGGGATTTAATTATCTATTTTTTTTGTTATAATCCAAGTGGCATGTTATGAATTTTCCAATGTATTTGTAACAGTTTGTGTTACATATGAGTTTAACTGTCAGACAGAAATCAAGTAATGCTGAGTTTGGGTGCTCTCTGCAGAATAGCTGACAAGAAATATTAGGGTTAGTGGATCCAAATATCTTTGAAAATATAAAATGTAGAATATATATATTATATATTTCTAAAGTTTGTCTTCTTAAAGCTCATTTATTTCAATGGCATTTTTGTGGATTAAGGAAGTATATGCTTGTTTGACTTGCTGAAAATAAATGCCCTTGAGAAGGAAAATATATGAACCCTCTATCAGTCATTTAATCCATGAGAATTGGCTTTCGCAATTAACTCATGGTAATTTCAGGAGGCACTGGGAAAATAAGACACAAAAAAGCACAATTCACTGAGAGGATTAGATCCAGAAAGTGGGTACTACCCCAGGAGTCAACATGGCAGAAGGAAGAATATGTGTTGGGATCAGAAGAACTGGGTTTGAATCATGTCACACTGTGTGCTGAATATGTGACTTTGAACACTACGATTAACTCATTGAGGCCTCTATTACTTTCCTGGAAATTGGGATCGATAGTACCTCCCTACCTGACTTCAAAAGATTATTCTGGGGGCCAAGTTAAGTAATAAATCTTAAAGTGTTTTATAAAAGCTTGTATCATTTTAGGGTTCTTTAGATATACACAACAGACAGATGCCATTTAACTTCAGCAAAAAGGTAACCTACTGAAAGACCTTGGGTAATTTACTAACTGAAAGGACAGAGATGGGATGCCAGGTATAGAAAGCACAGTAACCAGGGCTGTTGGACCAGGAATCTAAATAACAAGTGGGCAGTCTTATCTGGATGTCATCACCAGGATGAATCAGCCTTGCTTTTCTCTTTGAGATCTTCTCAAGATTCAGAATCCCTGGAGAGAGGGAGGGAGAAGGAGGCGGGGGGGAGGGGGGAGCAGAGACACCAGGAGAAACCGGGACCAAAAGCCCTCCACGTGGATTAGGGATTATCTAGGGCAAAACAGCTTGATTAACAGATCCTCAAAACTAACACGGGGAAAGAGGAAATGCTGTCAGGGGAAAACTGAATGGAAACTGGGTGACAAAAATACTGATGCTTGCTGAAAAGGCTCTACAATTATTTGTTTCTTTGGGAGAACAGGCTGCTGAGAAGATGCAATGGTGGCAGTCTGGGGGAGTGGGAGGGAGGTGGAGCTCTGATTAGCTAGGGCCTCTCTGGCAGGGGTGCATACCTTGGGGAAGAAGATAAAAGAGTGATGAAGGAGGAGGATAGGGTGGATAAAAAAAAATGGAGGTGGGAGAACACTCAAAAGACAAACACTGGTGATTTTGCTTACAGAATGTTTTGTGTCCTAATGATTTCATATAAAATATCAAGGTAAACATAGACATCCGTTCAGTTTTTTGAGTTGGTTGTCCTAGTTTCTCAAAAATGGGGGTTCCAGCCTATCTTGTATGCATCCTAGGGTTGCACGAAAGTGCCTGAAAGGACTTGAAATAGATATTTGGAATGGCTGGGCCTCTACCACATCACTCAGAAATGCTCCAGGTTATATCCTTTATGAATTGGGATTTCATGTGTGAATCTCATAGGGAAAAAAGTTTCATTGCTAAAAATAGCACTAGAAAATCATTGTCTGCTAGAGGAAATCATGAAGAATTTTTTTTTGAATAGCATATTTAGTCTCCTCAAATTGTCTTGGTCTCTATCAACAGCTGGGCAGCTGGGTACACAAGCATGATATTGCTTTATTGTTTGATTTATATTAATATTACCTCAGTGGTGTTTATACAATTCATTTTGCCATAGCTAGAAAGAGCCTCAGTCTGCAGAAAATGTTTACCTGCCAAGAGGGTTTGTTGAAATAATCCTGAATTGTGCTTGATCCATTTGGTCAACAGTGGAATTAATAGGCTCAAGCAGATTGGACTTCTTTGACCAAAAATATCTCCTCCTTCCTTGGTGTGGGCCCTGAAAGGCCAGAGTTCAGCTGCCTTGGAATCCCTAATTTTCTTTGACATCAGGAAATTCTCTTGGCACATTCATTTGCCCCCTGGTATCTATTAACATTTTCATGTGCTTTGTGGAGTAAATGAAACTGTCTTATGTGGACTGCAGTGAGGTTAGAGATAGTATGTGTTAGAGGCAGATGAGAGGTTTCAGGGTGTGGGTTTTCTTAGTTTTGCTCCAAGCAAAACAAATTGTGTGGATATTCTTAGAGTGCTCAAAATAAGCTGAGCAAACAGTTTCATGTACGGTGAAGTCAGTGACTGAAACAATAATACTGTAGACGTACATTAGCCTATCATGTAGCTTTGAAGATGCTTTTATCACATACTTGTTCAATTGCATTTTTTTTTTTGAGACAGGCTGTCACTGTCACCCAAGCTGGAGTGAAATGGCTGGATCATGGCTTACTACAGCTTTGACCTCCCTAAGCTCAGGTGATCCTCCCACCTAGCCTCCTGAGTAGCTGGGACCACAGGCATGCACCACCAGGCCTGGCTAATTTTTTGTATTTTTGTATGGTTTTGCCATGTTGGCCACATTGATCTCGAACTCTTGGGCTCAAGCGATCCAGCCGCCCCAGGCTCCCAAAGTGCTAGGATTACAGGAATGAACCACTGTGCCTGGCCCAATTGCATATTTAATCTGATTATGTAGCTAGATCTTTAGGGTCAAAACCTCACCAACATCTGCTATTTTTTGACTTTTTAATAATTCTGATACCATTCTGACTGATGTCAGATGGTATCTTATTGTGGTTTTGATTTGGATTTCTCCAATGATCAGTGATATTGACCTTTTTTTTTCCATGTGATTGTTGGCTGCATGCATGTCTTCTCTTTTGTTAAGTGTCTGTTCATGTCCTTTGCCTACTTTTAAATGGGATTGTTTTTTTTTTCTAGTAAATTTAAGTTTCTTATATATGCTGGATATTAGACCCTTGTTGGATGCATAGTTTGCAACAGTTTTCTCCCATTCTGTAGGTTGTCTGTTTACTCTGTTGATAGTTTTTTTGTTTTTGTTTTTGTTTTGTTTGTTTTTTTGCTGTGCAGAAGTTCTTTAGTTTAATTAGACCTCATTTGTCAAGTTTTGCTTTTGTTGTGATTGCTTTTGGTGTTTTCGTCATGAAATCTTTGCCCATTACTATGTCTAGAATGGTAGTGCCTAGGTTGTCTTCCAGGGTTTTTATATTTTGTTTTACACTGAAATCTTTAATCCATCTTGAGTTGATTTTTGTATATGGTATAAAGAAGGGGTCCAGTTTCATTCTTCTGCATATAGGTAGCCAGTTCTCCCAGCACCATTTATGGAACAGGGAATCCTTTCCCCTTTGTTTGTTTTTGTTAGGTTTGTCAAAGATCAGGTAGTTGTAGATGTGTAGGCTTATTTCTGGGTTCTCTATTCTGTTTCATTGGTCTATGTATCTGTTCTTTTATCAGTACCATGCTGTTTTGGTTACTGTTGCCTTGTAGTATAGTTCAAAGTTGGGTAAAGGGATGCCTCTAGCATTGCTCTTTTTGCTTAGGATGGCCTTGGCTACTCAGTGTACTGTGGTCCTGGAGATTGTTTCTTATGATTTTTTGGTTCTATGTGAATTTCAAAATAGTTTTTTTTTTAGTACAGTGAAGAATGTCAACATTTAATAGGAATAGAATTGAATCTGTAAATTGCTTTGGGCTTTATGGTTATTTTAATCATATTAATTCTGCCTATCCATGTGCTTGGAATGTTTTTCCATTTGTGTCATCTGATTTCCTGGAGCAGTGTTTTGTAGTTCTCCTTGTAGAGATCTTTTACCTCCCTGGTTAGCCATATTCCTAGGTATTGTCTTCTTTTTGTGGCCATTGCTAATGGGATTACATTCCTGATTTGGCTCTTGACTTGTCTGTTGTTGGTGTATAAGAATGTTAGTGATTTTTGCACATTGATTTTTCTATCCTGAGGATTTGCTTAAGTTTATCAGCTTAGGGAGCTTTTGGGCTGAGACTATGGGGTTTTCTAGTTACAGAATTATGTCATCTGAAAACAAGGGTAGTCTGATTTCCTCTGTTACTATTTGGATGCCCTTTACTACTTTATCTTGCCTGATTGCCCTGGCTAGGACTTAACAATACTGTGTTGGATAGGAGTGGTGAGAGAGCATCCTTGTTTTGTGATGGTTTTCAAGGAAAATGCTTCTAGCTTTTGCCTATTTACTATGATGGTGGCTGTGAGTTTGTCATAGATGGCTCTTACTGCTTTGAGGTATGTTCCTTCAGTACCTAGTTTATTGAGAGTTTTTAACATGAAGCAATGTTGAATTTTATCTAAACCCATTTCTGCATCTATTGAGATAATCATGTAGTTTTTATCTTGTTCTGTTTATGTGATGAATGACATTTATTGATTTGCATATGTTGAACCAACTTTGCATCCCAGGGATAAAGCCTACTTTATCATGGTGGATATGCTTCTGGATTCAGTTTGCCAGTATTTCGTTGAGGATTTTTGCATCAGTGTTCATCAAGGGTATTGGCCTGAAGTTTGTGCGTGTGTGTGTGTGTGTGTGTGTGTGTTCGTCCATGTGTCCCTGACAAGTTTCAGTATCAGACTGTTGACCTCATAGAATGAGTTACAGAGGACTCCCTCGTCAATTTTATGGAATAATTTCAGCAGGAATGGTACCAGATATCCTTTGTACTTCTGGTAGAATTCAACTATGAATCTGTCTGGTCCTGGGCTTTTTTTGGTTGGTAAATTATTTATTACTGACTTAATTTCAGAACTTGTTATTGGTCCATTCAGGGATTAAATTTCTTCCTGGCTCAGTCTTGGGAGGGTGTATGTGTCCAGGAACTTATCCATTTCTTCTAGATTTTCTAGTTTCCATGTGTAGAGGTGTTCATAATATTCTCTGATGGTTATTTGTATTTCTGTGGGGTCAGTGGTAATATTCTCCTTGTCGATTCTAATTGTGTTTGTTTGAATCTTTGCTGTTTATTAGTCTAACTAGCAATCTATGTATTTTATTAATTTTTTCTGAAAAACAGCTCCTGGGTTTGTTGATATTTTGAATGGGTTTTCATGTCCAGTCTCCTTCAGTTTAGCTCTAATTTTATTTCTTGTCTTCTGATAGCTTTGGAATTTGTTTGCTCTCCATTCTCTAGTGTTTTTTTTTTTTTTTTTTTTTTTCCTGGACTGGAGGGCAGTGGAGCACAATCTTGGCTCACTGCAACCTCTGCCTCCTGGGTATAAGTACTTCTTCTACCTCAGCCTCCCAAATAGCTGGGATTACAGGTGCCTGCCACTATGTCCAGCTAATTTTTTGTATTTTTAGTAGAAATGGGGTTTCACCACGTTGGCCAGGCTGGTCTCGAACTCCTGACCTTGTGATTCGCCTGCCTCGGCCTCCAAAAGTGCTGGGATTACAGGCATGAGCCACCGTGTCCGGCCCCTTTCTCTAGTTCTTTTAGTTGTGATGTTAGGTTGTTAAACTGAGATCTTTCCAGCTTTTTGATGTAGGCATTTAGTACTAGAAATTTCTCTCTTCACACTGCCCTAGCTGTGTTCCAGAGATTCTGGTATGTTGTCTCTTTGTTCTCTTCAGTTTCAAAGAACTTCTTGATTTCTGCCTTACTCTCATTATTTACCCAAGACTCATCCAGGAGCAGGTTATTCAATTTCCATGTAATTGTATGGTTTTTAGTGAATTTCTTAGTCTTGATTTCTAATTTCAGTGTGCTGTGGTCCAAGAGATTTTTTGTTATGATTTCACTTGTTTTGAGTTTGTTGAGTGTTTTACTTCTGATTATATGATTGATTTTTAGAGTATGTGCCACGTGGTGGTGAGAAAAATGTATACTCTGTTGTTTTGGGGTGGAGAATTCTGTAGGTGTCTATCAGGTTTATTTGATCCAGTGCTGACTTCAGGTCCTGAATATCTTTTTTGATTTTTTGTTTCAATGATCTGTTTAATATTGTCAGTGGGGTGTTAAAGTCTCTATTATTATGTGGAAGTTGAAGTCTCTTTGAAGCTCTATGAGAACTTGCTTTATGCATCTGGGTACTCTTGTGTTGGGGTGCATGATACTTTACCATTAGGTAATGCCCTTCTTTGTCTTTTTTGATCTTTGTTGGTTTAAAGTCTGTTGTCTGAAACCAGGATTGCAACCCCTGCTTTTTTGTTTTTATTTTGCTTGGCAGATTTTTCTTCATCTTTTTATTTTTAGCCTATGTGTGTAATTGCATGTGAGATGGGTCTCTTGAAGATAACATACCAATGGGTCTTTGTTCTTTATCCAGCTTGACACTGTTTGTTTTGATTGGGTCATTTGGCCCATTTACATTTAAGGTTAATGCTGTTATGTGTGGGTTTGATCCTGCCATGTTGTTAACTGGTTATTTTGCAGACTTGTTTATGTGATTGCTTTATAGTGTTACTGGTCTACATACTACAGTGTGTTCTTGTACTGGCTGGTAAAACAATCTTTGTTTTTCATACTCAGTGCTTCCTTCAGGAGCTCTTATAAGGCAGGTCTGGTGGTAATAAATTTCCTCAGCATTTGCTTTTCTGAAAAGGATCTTATTTCTTGTTTGCTTATGAAGCTTAGTTTGGTCATATATGAAATTCTGGGTTGGAATTTCTTTAAGATTGTTGAATATTGCCTCCCAATCCTGTCTGATTTATAGGGCTTCTGCTGAGAGGTCTGCTGTTAGTCTGAGGGGTTTCCCTTTGTAGATGACCTGACCTTTCTCTCTAGTTGCCTTTAACATTTTTTCTTTCATTTAGACCTTAAACAATCTGATGATTATGTGTCTTGGGGATGATCTTCTTGTGAAGTATCTTACTGGGGTTCTCTGCATTTCCTGAATTTGGATGTTGACCTCTCTAGCTATGTTTGGCAATGTTCTCATGGATGATATCCTGAAATACGCTTTCTAAGTTGGTTCAATACTCTCCATCTATTTCATGGACACTAATTCATATATTTGGTCTCTTCATATAATCCCGTATTTCTCAGATGTTTTGTTTGTTCCTTTTCATTCTTTTTTCTCTATACTTGTCTGTTTAATTTCAGAAAGCCAGTCTTCAAGCTCTGAGAGTCTTTCTTCTGGTTGGTCTATTCTGCTATTTATTTATACTTGTGATTGCATTATGAAATTCTTGTAGAGTGTTTTTTAGCTATGAGGCTAGTTAACATTCTTTTCTATACTGGCTATTTTGCTGTCAGCTACTGTGTTGTTTTATCATAATTTTTAGCCTCCTTGGATCGGGTTTCAACGTACTCCTATAGCTAAATGATCTTTGTTCCTATCTATATTCTTAATTCTGTTTCTGTCATTTTATCCATCTAAACCTGATACAGAACCCTTGCTGGAGAGGTGATATGGTCATTTGGATGAGAGAAAGCACTCTGGCTTTTTGAATCTTCAAAGTCATTGCACTGATTTATATTTGTGGGCTTATCTCTCTTCAATCTGTGAGGTTGCTTATCTGTGGATGGGTATTCTTTCATTTATCCTGCCTGATGACCTTCAGGATTTGATTGTGCTATAAGGTGGCTTCAGCTCACTGGCCTCATTTCTGGAAGATTTTAGGGGGCCAGTCCTTAGCTTCCAACTCCTTGACTGTGTGTTCCAGCTCTGGGGGACTTGTATTGGGCCCAGCTTTTTTCCTCGGGCTCCTTGAGGTTAGGAATCCACTGTGCTGTGGGGACTGAGATGTTCCCAGATCACTGATCACTACACTCCAATGAATTGTGTCAGCCAAAGCATTTCATAGCGCAGTGAAAGCAAGATCCACCCTCCTTTGCATGTGTCAGCAGCAGTGCAACAGCAGCTACAGCAGAGTACTAGTGGGCACCAGGGTGCCTGTCTCCCTGTGGGCATTCACCACAGTTGTGGAGGCAATGCAGCTTGGCAGAGTATGAGTGGGATCCTCTGCTGACAGCTGTGTGTGGTCATAGTGGAGGTGGTGATGGCTAGGTGGCAGGGTGTTGGCAAGTGCAGGTCTGGGTGCCTTTTTTGTACCCTACAAGCAGGAATGGTTGCTCAGGGCAGAGGAGGGTCTATTCTTCTCTGTGCAGTGTTAGCACAAGTTCAGGGCACTAACAGGGTTGGGCCTGGCTGGCTCTGTGCCCACCAAAGCTGCATCTGCAATGGTGGTCAGTGGTGTTGGGGGAGGCAGGAAAGGACTGTATCCCGACACACAACTGGTACAAAACAATCAAAATCTATTGATGCAGATATTTGCCAGCAAACTGCCGTGGGGAGCTGCAGTGGGCCCATGCGGAGCTGAAGTGTGGGGAGGAAGTGTATGGGCTGGTGCCTGCCCATAGGGGTCACCCCACTGGAGTTCTTCACTGGTCAGTCATGGTCTTTCAGTGCATAAGCTGTGGTAAGTGTCTCCAGGGTACCCAAGGCTGCCCTGCAAGCAGGTGTGACCAAGCTGGGCCCTGGGAGAGGCTAGCAGACCAAGGAGTGCCCAGTTTGGACTGGCCCCATCTGATGGGCAAGGCTGCACTGCAGAGTTTAGGACCAACAGTTTCCCTAAGGCAAAAGTCTCCTGTGAGAGCAAGTGGATCCTACGGGGATGGCCATCTCTGGCCATGCTCCGCTACCGGCACTCCCACACCAAACCCTCTGTGCTCCACATCAGCTGGCTTGCTGCCCCTACCACTTCTCTAAGCAGGTCTCCCTGCCAACTCAAGTGTCCTTGGTTTCTTTCTGCTGGGGTTCCAGAGGCTCAAGGTGAGAACAGCTTGCTCCTTGATGGTTCAACTTACCCATTCTCCTGGAGCCACTGGGGGCCAGGAACCACTGTAGGTACACTACAGCCTCATCTATGGTTCCTAGCTTTCTCCCGCTTCAGCCAAGCTTCTGTGTCTTTCCTCTGTCCACTCTCAGTGCCTTTCCTCTGAAGATCTTTTAGGAGCATGCCAGCCATCTAAGTTCCTTGGTGGGAGCTTTCACCTGGCTGCATCTAGTCAGCCATCTTTCCCTCTCCTCCTAAACATGTTTAGATTTTTAAGGCCCCTAACTTCTAGAAGGGCTCTGCTAACTTAAGTTTCCTTTTATATTCAAATTTACCCTTAGATTTATACTTTCTAAAGCCCTCAGTGGGAATGCATATCCCATTTGGGTAGCACAATTGACTTTTATCAACAATGAATTTATAATTTTTTTTGAATTTATGAATTTGATCAGAAAGTTATATTCCATTTTTTACTTTTGCATGTTTTTGATTACTAGTACAGTGATAATGTTTCATGTGTTTATTGGTTATCACTATTTCACTTTTTGTAATTGTTCATGTGTTTATATAGTATTTCCATTTATAGATTTGTACTTTTTCTTCCTGTGTTTGTATTTTAATTTAGATTTACTTATTTTTACTCAAATAAGTTATTAAACATGTTAATACGTAACTAAATTGCACATACTTCTCAGAGTTTATAATGTTTTCTAACCTTCTTATTAATGTGTGTGTATATACGTGTATATATAAAACACTTTTTGAGATGGAGTCTTGCTCTGTCGCCCAGGTTGGAGTGCAATGGTGTGATCTCGGCTCACTGCAAACTCCACCTCCTAGATTCAAGCCATTCTCCTTCCTTAGCCTTCTAAATAGCTGGGATTACAGGCGTGCACCACCACAACCAGCTAATTTTTGTATTTTCATTAGAGACAGGGTTTCGCCATGTTGACCAGGTTGGTCGTGAACTCCTGACCTCAGGTGATCCACCCACCTCAGCCCCCCAAACTGCTGGGATTGCAGACATGAGCCACCATGCCCAACCTATTTATTATACTTTTAATGCATGGGAACTGGAAGGTGTTATGTGTTCATATACATCTGTTTATTCCATTATGATTTGTGCTGTTAATTGAATGCTTTAAAAGGTTTTCACCTTTCTAGAATCAAATAACCCCCTACAATTATTATAATGTTTTCATATTTTATGTTTAATCTTTTGATCTCTTTGGAAGTAATCTTGGCACGTGACATAGTATAGGGGTCTCCTCTGGTTTCTCTTCACCTCTGTCTCCTTATCTGGTTCTGGCCTATCTAGCTGTATCTATTCATCTCCCTTACTCTCCCTTGAATCATCACTCTCCAATCACATAGAGTAATTCTTACTCTACATTTACACTCCAAGCTGGTTTCTCTTATGGTTTTAACACTTGCTTCCCCTGCTTAAAAGGCCCCTCCCCAGATCTCCATATGGCTTATTCCTTATGCTTTGTCTGTTTCAAAGAGGTTTTCCTGATCCCTCTATCTTAGATACACTTTCCTATCAATATGGGTCACTTGACCTTATTAATAGTTTCTTTCTGGGATTTAGCAGTATCCAAAATTGCTTGTCCATTTAATTGTATTGTCTTCAACATCAGGAGTTTAGGCTCCATGGAAACATGGGCTTTGTCTGTCTGCTTTACCACAATTTCCCCAGCATCAAGAATTGACCTGGCATATAGTACATATTCAACAAACATATTCCTTGGGAGAATGAATAAATAGATTTGGTATGTATCATTAGCCAAGTATTATGCTGCAAAAATAAGGACAATAGCTACTAACTTTTACTGAGTACTTATTCTTGATAGTCTGTCTTCTGGAAATTGCCTTTGCAAAAACTGTAATAGAGAAATGTAACATCACTGACTCCATCTGGTTTCTAATTTCACAAGCTAACTGCCCTTGTTCATTCCTGGGCATAAGCCAAGTTAACTATGGGAGAAATTTCGCTTATAGTTTAAAGCAAGGATGATGATAGTCACTTTCTAAAACTAGCCCCCTCTTTGGGGACTGAAACTGCCTTTGCAAAGCTAATGAAAGTCTTCAAGGTTAGAATTATGGGAAGGTCCTGAATTCTGCTATGATGTAGGCTTACTTAAATGATAAACAGCCATTGCTCCCTAGTTTCCTTTTCTACAGTTGCTGCTCAGGAGTCACATAGTCAGAAGTCACAA
Organism: Homo sapiens; assembly: GCF_000001405.40. Classification (NCBI taxonomy): domain Eukaryota; kingdom Metazoa; phylum Chordata; class Mammalia; order Primates; family Hominidae; genus Homo; species Homo sapiens. The sequence continues at coordinate 29,947,554 of NC_000011.10, read as the reverse complement.
GATTTTTAACTACCCCCGGTTGCTCCCATAGATAACGTCACTATTGTAAAACCTAAGACTGGTCTTTGAGCTATTTTTCAGACTTTCACATTCTGGCAGAGCAACTGATGCCACCCAGACCCATGACCCATACCACAGAATTGACTTGATTAGTCCTGTGAGCCCTACCTGGAAACTGATTCAGCACATGAAGACACTTGATTTCATAGTTTAGAAATCCCTATGATTTCATCTGTAACCAATCAGCAGCACTCATTCCCTAGCCCCTGCCTGTCAAATTATCCTTAAAAACTCTAGCTTCTGAGTTCTTGGGAGGCAGACTTGAGCAAAATCTCCTGTCCTCCTCTCTTGGTGCTCCATGATTATTAAGCTCTTCCTCTACTGCAACACCTACTATCTTAGTGTATTGGGTTTTTCTCTTCAGCAGGCAAGAAGGACTTATTGAGCTGTAGTATGCTTGCTTGGTATTTTATGAACATTATTTTATACAATCCACCAAACAAGATTGGCTTATTGAGGACCTAATGAACCTTATTACTGCAAACAGCTCTTAATAATAATAGATGCTCACAGGTAGAAAGCAGAGGCATTGATAGTTTAAGTAGGTATGTTAAGATCAAATAGCTAGTAAGGAAGAATGTTGTAGCTTTGTAGTATGTTTTGCATATTTACCTGCTCAATTTTCTTGGAAAAATGTTTTGAATTCATTTTAATTAGTTTATTTCTAGCAAGTGAACTTTTAGATCTTCCTTTTAGTTTCTTTCTGGCTAATCTTATTGACCTTTTGTTGAGAATTGAGTTAAATACTTCCTTAATTTGGAAAAAGCCTCATCTTTTCAAAATTGAGTCATTCTTATCTAGGAAGATTGCCTCTCTTTTTCTGTATTCCTTTATGATCCCAAACTTTATGGAACATTTTATGGCTTTTTTATAGTTACTGCATATGTTAAAAGTAGTTTACATTGAGCCACTTTATATTTTTGCTTGCTGTTACAAATAAGACATTTGTTACACTGTTAAATTACTGTTACAAATTTTTTAAATTATGTGCAAAGCTATATTTTAAAAAAGAATAGACATTTGAGTCATTATGTGCTTTATTGGCATCTCCAGAGAAAAGTGCTCAGTGGCCAAGTAGATGGGTAAAAACAAGTATCAAAGTCAGAAAACTATCAATAATTCAGCAGGGCAGTCCTGGGCTCAAGTCCTAATTCTTGAATCTGAATAAATTACTTAGACTCTCTGAACTTAATTTCATCTGTAAAGTGAGTGTAATGATAGTTTTTACCCACAAGGTTGTAGTAAGGATAAGCTAGGTAATGATGTCAAACACTTAGCACATTGACATATACTAAATGCTTAATTAAGGTTAACTGTGATTAATACGGCTACTGAACTATAATTTGCAAATTTTTTCTCCAGGTTTTAAGCTATGGAGAGACTATCATATTGTGAAATTTCATGCTCCTTGGTCAGGGATGGTGCAGAGGAGCCTAAAAGAGAAGCCGGTGATTGTAGAGTCACTTTTACTGTCATGTCTTTGACTATAAAGTCAAATGGAAATCTAGGGTTTCATTTGTATTTTCATTTTTTTTTTGTATTTATAACCATAAAATGTAGACACACAACACACAGTCATCAACAGGTAACTGTATTAGGGTTCTCTAAAGAGACAGAACTTATAGGATATATGTATATATGAAAGGGAATTTATTAAGGAGAATTGACTCACATAATCATGAGGTAAAGGTGCATGATAGGCCATCTACAAGCTGAGGAGCAAGGAAGCCAGTCCAAGTCCTAAAACCTCAAAAGTAGGGAAGCTGACAGTGCAGCCTTCAGTCTGTGGCGAAGGCCTGAGAGCCCCTGGAAAATGACTGGTGTAAGTGCAAGAGTCCAAAAGCCAAAGAACTTGGAGTCTGATGTTTGAGGGCAGGAAGCATCCAGCACAGGAGAAAGATGAAGGCTGGAAGACTCAGCAAGTCAGCTTCTTTCACCTTCTGCCTGCTTTTTCTAGCCACGCTGACAGCCGATATAGGCTGGTGCCTATCAACATTGTGGGTGGGTCTTCCTCTCCCAGTCTGCTGACTCAAATGTTAAGCCCTTCTGGCAACACCCAGAAACACCGATACACCCAGAAACAATACTTTGCCTCCTTCAATCCAATCAAATTGATACTTAATATTAACTATCACAGTAACTTTTTAAAAAGTATGATATAGCAGGATTTTTTCATCCCGTAAAATTTTTTCCTTTCTTTCCTTCCTTTCCCTCCTTTCCTTTCTTTCCTTCCCTTTGAGATGGGTTATTGCTATGTTAACCAGGCTGGTCTCAAACTCTTGGCCTCAGTGATCTGCACATCTCTAACTCCCAAAGTGCTGGGATTACAGACATGAGCCACTACACCCAGCCTCATCCCATAAAATTTCCATTGCTCCCTTCTGGACCTTCTCCTCTTTTGATTATCCCCCATCTCCTTACCTAATCTGAGAAATGTACCCAAGCATTGTTCTACAAACATAGATCCACATAAAAGAAATAAAATAAATATGATACAATAAGAATTTAATTTAAATCTGACACTCTTCCATCTCTGTAGGTATGTCTTACTTCTTTTTAAACATCTAATACTTTGATCATAAACATATGATGTTGTAGGGGAGGGATGTGGTGGTTAGATTATGGTTAACTCAGTCCTTATTAAAAACTCTTCCTGCCAGGTGCAGTGGCTCACGCCTATAATCCCAGCACTTTGGGAAGCCGAGGCGGGTGGATCACAAGGTCAGGAGATTGAGACCATCCTGACTAACAGGGTGAAACCCCGTCTCTACTAAAAATACAAAAAATTAGCCTGGTGTGGTGGCAGGCGCCTGTAGTCCCAGCTACTCGGGAGGCCAAGGCAGGAGAATGGCGTGAACCCCAGAGGTGGAGATTGCAGTGAGCCGAGATTGTGCCACTGCACTCCAGCCTGGGTGACAGAGCAAGACTCCATCAAAACAAAACAAAACAAAACAAAAAAACCCTCTTCCTGCTGCTTTTGATCTTTTTTGTTGTTACTTTTGTTTCAATTTTTTTTCTATATTAAATGGGTCAGCTCAGCTCTTTCTCCTCATAAACACTAGGCAGTGTCCATAATTTAATCTTTAAAACTTGAAGCCATTTTCTCCTCATAAACACTAGGCAGTGTCCATAATTTAATCTTCAAAACTTGAAGCCATTTTATTGTCTGAGAGGATCCTCTCCAATATGTATTCCTTAATACATGCAGGCACACCTTAAAGAAGGTGGTAGGGTAGGGCTAGGATATTTGTGATGATGAGGACTTGAAGAGGCCTGAATTGTGTTGAGTGGATTATAGTGAAGTGAAGGTCATCCTAGTCCTGTGAAACAAACATAGGATTTGGAATCAGACACCTCTGGGTATGAATTCTGCCTCTAGCACTGTTAAGCTTACCTTAAACAATTAAACCTTCCTGAGCCTTAATTTTTGCAGCTATTATTTGGGAGGTAAGAGTACCCACCAGAGTATTTGTCATGGGGATTAAGCCAGGCCATGTATGTAAAGTGCTTGACATGGCACCTGATCCATGTGATGTCAAAGTAATTGCAACACTCATGATTATTACATTTATTCATGTCAGTTGCTGGGAAGAAAGCAATCAGGTTGTGATGAGGTGTAGTTTGGCTAGTTTAAAATTTGCTCTGAAGTAGAGCTATTTTCCTTAGAAGGAGATGCATCTCACCAAACTGACTCCACAGCATGTGAAGAAGGCAAGGTGACTTTCAGCCTTCCTATAATCTGGCGGCTTTGCTTGCAAATGGTGGCTGGTAAATGTTTTCCAGATTTTACAGGCACACTGTCATTTGATGGTTTCTTAATAATTTTCCATTTCCTCAATGTGTGAAATAATAAACTATAGCTATTTTGTTGGTCCATGGCAGGCCTATCTGTGATGTTGAGTAATTGCTTGGCACCCAGAAAAGATTGCCTTCTATATTTAAACATGTTTATCAATCATGCCTTCCAGACACCATCTGCCCAAGGAAGGCCACAACAAGTGGAGATCCAGAGAAGAATGACTTTGGGAGGAAGCCTTTCCCAGGAGCATAGAACAGAACCCATTTGGCTCTAATGATTGTTCAAGGTGGATGAGGAGAGGAGAAGGGAAAATGTGTGATCAGATATAACCCTTACCTGCTTATTAATTGAACAAGGCAGGTGCCAGGCTGCTCTGAATTATGCTGGCAGGCTGCAGAATGAGCCATTTCCCCTGTTAATAAGTCCTTTAGTGCAGGAGACATCTCTAGCAAGCTTTATATCAAGAAATAACAAAAAATTCAATTAATATGAACCCTGGGGTTAACTTAAAAATTTCCTTAGCCTATTCTAAAAGTGGAGGGTTGAAAGCAAAGATAAGAAAAGGAAAAAAAAGTAGAAAATTGAGCCTACTGATATTAGGAATTAATTCAAGAGAACGTTTACTGGGTTTTGTCTGAATTCCTTAGCCTGGTATTCAAGGTCACTTTCATGTCCGCATGCCTTACCTTGGACATTGTCTCTGTAGCCTTGGTACCAGTTGCATCTGAGCCCCTGGAGCAAGGCTGGTGGGGCAGCAGGGAAGGGAGTTAGAGGCTTACTTCCCATTTCTGATTCTTTTCATATTTATCCTCACAGATATTTTCATTTCTGTTTATCATCTAAGACCCAAAGAAGGTTTGGGGAACTTGCCCAAGAAATAAGTTAGTGAGTGACTGAAGTAGGACTTAATCCCACTCACATCCTATTTGCTTTCACGTCTTCTTTCTCCTGCTTATCTGAAAGGTCCTTGAGGGCAAGGTTAGCTATTTACATAAGATTTACTGCTTATTCTTTATTAAAAATAATATGCATACCAGACAGAATATTTGATAATAAAAGCCAAAGAAATTAAACTTTCATAGACTTTTCACTAATATTTGGTTTACATGCTTCCATTCGTGTGTGTGTGTGTGTGTGTGTGTGTGTGTGTATCATTACAACATTTGGAAACTTACATAATTGCTAAGATTATGTTTACTTGATTCAGACAGATCTAGACCTCAGTCTGAATTTCTTAGTGTTACATAGGGCACATTGACCCTTAGTTTTCTTATCTGGGGAAATAATAGTGTTTCTCACTTTGCTTTTCTTTGCTTATGAAGTGGGAATAATACCTATTTCATAAGCACTTTCTGAGAATTAAACCATATTGTCTATTTAAAGCACATAACATTGGGCCCATTTGATTAGATATTGTTATAACTACAATGATTACTGCGGTTATAATTATCAAGAATATTTTCCTTGTCAATAAATATTTTTCTACAATAGTATTTCTCAATGTTTGGTTCATTATTGTCCCACAAAAGGAGCTGTGTAAAACATTTTTTACCTAATTGCTTCCTCCATGGAATTTTAATACCACAGATACATTGTATATCTGTTTGTGCACTTATTTATATCTGTGCACTTTATATAGAAAGAGCAAGATTTTAACTCCCCCGAAGCATCAATTTAGTCCCCAAAGAGAATGCATATGGCATAACATGATTTACAACAGTTACGTGATCTTCTGTTAAATAGATAAGCTGTAATTTAGATAATCAAGACTAATATTGAATATTTGGGTTATTTAAATGTTTCACTATTTTTTTAGCTACATTGTAATTAACATTGTACATAATATATTTGCAGATACAAACATATGTTTTTATATGTCTATACTTTTTCTTAGGATAAATTCCTCAAAATAAAAAATCTTGACCAAAGGTTATGGATTTTTAAAGTTATTTCTGAAATATTTTGTTAAACTATTCTTTAGAAGTGTTGATACAAAACTACACTTTAATTAGCAATATCTGAATGTGCCTTTTTCACTTAATTTTATCTAAATGGACTATTAAAATGTATAATTTTTTATAATTTCTACAAATGTCAGCGAAGTTTAGTTTTGAATCTAATTGCATCCCTACTGCACCTGATATTTGTCTAACCCCATGGCATGGCTCACATGACCTGTCAGGGTTCAACCCCAGACTTTTACTCCCTGCATGACCCTTCAGACCCCAGCATGATGAATACAATGCAGCTCCTGATCCAATCCACCTGTTTAATTCCTTTAATGTTCCTGTGTGTTCTACTCAGTGGTGGGTTGTCAAGGTTAGACACCAAGAGTCCTAAATGATTCAATAGAAACAGCCATAGTTCTGTCCAATGGCACTTCCATTTTCATTTTGGATTCTAGTTGCAATTCAGACCTATTTCTTCTAGCCACAAAGAACAAAATGTAATATTTGCCATTGGCACAGCTCTGAAACTAGATTAAAGAAAGACATGGAGTAAAAGACTGCACAGAGATTTAAAAAAATTTTCTATCAAGTTCAGTGTTTATTTTTTGGGGGGGAGGCATTTGTTCATACATCAAATGTTTGGTGTGCACCTAAGCACATAATAGTTCTAGTTTCTGCAAATATAATAAACTAAGTAAATGCTGTCACATTCATAGAGATTGAAAAATCATATAGTAGTAACAACCCCAATTCAAGAAAGTAACACCAGCTTAGGCTGGCAAATAAGGAACAGAGTGGAACAGAAAAATGTGGACCATACTAGAAGAAAAATGGAAACCTTGCTGAAACATTGGTCTGCTAAGCATTTTCATTAGTTCCTTAGAGAAGAGAGAGGTGAAATTTGACAGGATCACACTGTAAATCTTTTGTAGCTTGTTTTATGAGTTTTTCTTTTTCAGCTCTCTAGTAAAATGTAGGTCATTCTTATTTCACAGCGAGAACACAGTCATTCTCAACAAAACCTTTTGTGGACTTCATAAATCTCTGAATTAAATAACTTTTTCATGCATTTTTATACTTAGCTACCTGAAGTACTGGGAGTACTGACCTGACAATCTGATAGTGAAGATTCTGAGCCAAACCAGAAAGTAGTTCCTCACATACACGTGGCCTTAAGGCTCATTTTATGCTGAGTGTGTTATGTGTTGTATAGGCAGAAGCTTTGAATGTCCATGTGTTTTGGCTGGGGTCTTCTTAATCATCATCGTTGCAAAGACTGTCCCTCAATCTCCCGATCCAATTCAGCTGACCTCCCTTTGATGTTTTAAAACACCTTAGAACATACCTGTCCTAACACTGATTTCCTATTTTATGACTACCATTTGACTTCTCCCTTTTCCCAGCTAGACCGGGACTTCTCTGAAATATTAACTGTATTATTATTTCTCTATCATAAACCTGTAGCACAATATAACCACAGTTGTTACTCAATGTAGATTTTTATAAAAGAAGTAAGGAAGGAAAGAACGAAGGGGGAAAAAAACAGGTTCTGGGGCAGATATTCAGTCTGGTATTGAATCCTTCTAAACCTGCAGCTCTGACTTAGGTTGATGCTGAAAAGTCACTGTGACCCTCAGCCACCAATATCTACTTGCCAAAGCAGAAAAAGGATATCAGCAGATTTAAGAAATCTTCCTTATATTGCATTTGCTTGTTTCTTTAAAAAAAAACATTTATTGAGCAGTTATTACATTATAGATATGGGGCTCTAGATGCTGTGATACCACTGTCTGCAGCATACCTTGCAATAATGCTATAAGGTAAGTATAATTGTCCTCACTTCACCTAAAAGAGAGAGAATGAAAGCTTATAGAAGATAAAGAACTAGCCCAAGTGCACATGACTGTTAAGTATGATGGCCGAAATGTAAGTCTCCCCTTGTCCTGATTTGAGAATCCACTTAACTACCAAACCTGTGATTCTCTCTTTAGTCACATACACATTCCATTCAATCAGTGTTTCAGTGAGCTTCTAAAGGGCTGTGGAAGCTTCAAACCTACATGACTTATAGGAAGATATCATCATTATCACCTTTATGACTCTCTGTGTGGCTGCACATGGCTCTTAAATTATTTGGCTTCAGAGAAAAAACATGTGAAATAGTATCTGAGCTTTTGTGTCTGAGACTGATAGAGAGAAAGAGAAGGGGAGAGGGGACAGAGAGAAAGAGGTAGGGGAGGAAATAGACTTTATACTTCACTTTTCTCTTTGGAAATATTTACTTAAAATGAACTTAAAAACTCCTTTCCTGTCTTTTCCTTTAGCTGCATTTATAGTAGAGAAATCAATTATTGTTGTGGATAAGTGAGTCAGTGGTTAGGGGGCCAGCAGAGGTTAGATCATTGCAGTAGAAGACCTCCTGGCTCCTGAGAAGAGTCCACCCAAACTGTGTGAGTAGAGAACTCTCTGTCGCTCTCTTGTTCTCAGCAGGAATTCTCCTGTCCTCAACATTTTCCTGCTTTATGAGATCAAAAATATGGGGGTCAGATATTTCAAGACCCTGTGTTCTACACAAAGGTACTGCATTTTTCCTTTACTGCTAGATTCCTTTGTGGATAGATACATTTTCTCTTGTACTTTTAATGGAAATTCTGCAGGAAAATGTAATAGAATATATTTAGTCTGCCCTTGGTTGGTATTCAATATATATATATATATATATATATATACACACACACACACACACACATATACATATATATATACACATATACATATATATATATATAACTTTATCATTTATAAGGATGATAAAATTGACTTAACCTTTCTGTTTTTCCCAGAAGCTACTTTCTGTATATAATATGGGTAGTTTCTCCATTGGGGGGTTCGATCAACAAAGGGATATAATTCTAAGATATGAGTTTTAGAGATTCTTTTTTATCACTCTATTTTTACATTTAGCTCTTTGCAGGTAAAGCCCATGTTCAGATCTAAATCTCTCACTACAACTTACACAGGGGCTTTCCACATCCAGTGCTTACAGTTAAAATTTAATTTGGAATGAAAATGTATTAAAATTTTAAAATGATGTGGCAATTAGACGAGAAGTTATATATTTATGTGGGGGAGGGGGTGGATGGTTTGTAAAAGAGATTTTTTTTTTGTAGTATGCGAAGTTAAGTTTCTCCAGATAGAAATGGTTGGAGCTTCTGTAACCATCTTTTAAGTTTTCTAGAATTTTATGTATGTTATTTTTTATTATAAATTATAAAATAAATTATACATAATGTATAATCTTCAAATGTAGGAAGAAAATTAATCTAAAATGGAACCTTTGATGTCATGAAAAGATTTAGCATTATATCAAGCCCTGAGTTTGTTTGTTTTCTTTCTGGTAGAGAAAGAGGCAGACAATCGTGTGTAACTTGGCATTTTGGTCTGATGGCAAAACTTGGTAATAAGTTTTTCTGTTGTTGCCCGTGAAAGCTTTGATGCCTTGGTGGCTATTTTCCTCAGGGAACAGTAACACCCAGTAGTAGGAAATGGAAACAGATAAAATCCTAGTTTTTTTTTTTTTTTTTTTTTTTAATAGTCTTCACACTGTAACAAGTTAACAATTAATTCAATTCAGAAAATCACATTAAAACAACATTAGAAATATGACTCAACCAAGTAAGGTCTAAGAAGGTCAAAGCGTGACACATTATCTTTTGCTAATTTGTGAATGCAAAATTCCTTAGGCACCAAGGGACATTTCTACCAGTGAAAGACTTTCTGGGCTTGAACGTGGCATAGAGTCAAATGATTAGGTATGAGTTCCCGATTTTTAAGTGACCTCTGTAACATTATGTTGGTGGTTGAGTTAGACTCATTTTTTTTTGTTTGTTTTCATTCACAACTGTGTGTGTGTGTATGCACATGACTGTGTGTGTTTTCTACAGATGTTCATGTTCAGAGGCATTTTTGATGTTTCATTTTCAGTGGTGATAGGTAAGTTGATGTTTTGTACTGCTGACCCAGAGGCTGGCACTGCCCCAAAAGCAGAGGCAGGGGAATTCCCACAAGGGAGTAACCCAACCATCTTGTTGTGGTGCTGATTGGGATTCCAAAGAAAGAAGTGCGAAGCCACCGGGTTGATTTATCAGGGGAACTTATGCACAGAATGCTGCTGTATGTCCTCGTGATGGACAGTGAGAGAATAGGAATGTTCTACTGTGGTATGCCCGCTGTGAGCAGGTATGGAGTATACATGAAGGCTTAAGGAATTTGGCTCAGGGTTGGGGCCAATATCTTTCAGTGTTTTGGGCAACAATCTCGATACCTTTATTAGTGCCTGGGAATGTTCAAGGCCCTGGTTTGAGTTCAAGCCTGCTGGGAAACACCTGCAGTTGGCTGGGCACTTTGTGATTTTTCAGTCATGATGTAGAAAGAAAGCAGGGGAAACTAGGGGACCCTACAGATATGACCAGGATGACTGCTTTAGTGGAATTTTGTGTTCTCAGGATAATATAAAAAACTCAACTCACAACCAAGGAAACTTGAAATGACCTGGGGAAACATGTGTCTTTAAAAAACTGTATCAAAGGAAGAAAACTCCAAATTCTAATTCAGAGGCTTTCTATGTTGAAGTATAGACTTTTATGTTCACATGTCTCCTAAGATGATTATATGATGGTTTAACTATTTGAGAATGAAGATATTTTATTTTTTCTTAAGAGAAGAACTATGACACTGTATACCACCTTGTGAAGCTTAAAAGCAAAAAAGAAAACATATTCTCTTAACCATTTGTAGTTAGAGGTTGGTTTTCTAAAATAATAATTTATTTAAAAATTATGACTTTGTAATAGAATTTCTATTTTCATATGAGGAATAAATGTGTTCCTCAAATTCTTAGTTGACATATGGAATTGTAAATGACAAAATGACAAATTATATATTTTTTATGAAAGAAAATTCTGAGAAGTCAGGTGAAATTACCCAAACAAATTAGAACAAAAAAGTTATTGTAGGGCTGGACAAATGAAAATCTTGAATTAGCCCTACTGGGGATGGATTGAAATATGTTGTTGCTGTTTTCTGTGCTAGCCTGTAGGGTCTGTATGTAACTGTCCTACAAAATGGGCTGTGTAATGGAGACAGGAGTGAATAATTCAATCCCATCAAATATGACATAGAGTTTGATAAAAATTAACAGTCCTTTCTTTTAGCATCTGCCGTTAACTTTGCACCATGATAAATGTTGGAAAGGCAACAGAAGGGAGAATGAAGTTTCATATTTGTCTTTATGTAGTTTATAATTTAGGCGATGAGAGAAAGGAACTGATATATATTGGGTAATATGCAGTAGACTGAAGTTGTCTATATTCTCATTCCTAAAACCTGTAAATATGTTATGTTGCATGGTAAAAGAGACTTTGCAGATGTGATTAAACTAAGGGTCTTCATTTGGGAAGTTTATCCTGGAATATTGAGAGCTCAAATAAGATCATAGGGTCCTTATCAATGAAAGAGGGAGACAGGAAATTCAGAGGAGATATGACTATGGAAGCAAGGTTTGCAGTAATGTGGGACTGTGAGCCAAGTACTGTGGGCAGCCTTAGGATGATGGAAAAGGAAGGGTAATGGATTCTTCCCTAGAGCTTCCAGAATAAGCACAGGCCTGCCTGCCCATTTAAACTTCTTACCTCCTAAGATAGTACGTTTGTGTTATTTTGAGCTACTACATGTGAGGTTAAGCACTCTTAATTGTTATAGCACCAATAGTTAATTAATCACTATTATATATCAACTATATTTCCCATTAATACTATGAAAAGTTATCCCTTTGAAGAAACCCAAACTGTACTCAGAAGTAAAAATTTCTGCAAGCCATGCATCTACTAGACAGCAAAGCAAAAATTTAAACTCTAGAAACAAATTCTGAACTATACCAAAATGGAGGCTACTGAATTAAGGATAAATAATCATCAAGGATATCATTATGTGCTAAATTACATCACACAGGCAAAGATGTTAGATAAAGGAAAGTGACATTAGGTTGCAAAGTAGTCCTGAATGTTCCATAAAAGAGAATGCTTTTGGTTAATTCTAGAGGGGTGGCAAAACTTCACCAGGCAGAGGGAGTGAGGGGTAAACTAATGCACGAAGTATGGCCAACAAGTGAGTAGGCATGAGGTTAACTGGATAATTAAATGTAAATTATATCCTGGGAAATAATAGGCAGATCATAGGTAGGGAGGGTGATTTCAGTTCATTAAAAATGTCAAATCCAGATTCAAAACTTTTTATTTGATGTAGAAGACAGTAAGAAGTAATGAATGGATCTGAGTTGTTCATGAAGAATGTCTGTTCTGATCATTTCTAATTATTCTATCTTTAAAAAAGTCATAACTTTTAAGTCATCATAATATTGAAGATTGGTCTTCTAGCAGCTTATAATAAAGATTGAAATCTGGACAACTGAGGGCTGTTGAAGTAATCCACACATGCTATTTGTGTCCAGAATTGGTGGGTTCTTGGTCTCGCTAACTTCAAGAATGAAGTCGTATACCCTCGCGGTGAGTGTTACAGTTCTTAAAGGTGGTGTGTCCAGACTTTGTTCCTTCAGATGTTCAGATCTGTTCAGAGTTTCTTCCTTCTGGTGGGTTCATGGTCTTGCTGGCTTCACGAGTGAAGCTGCAGACCTTCATGGTGAGTGTTACAGCTCTTAATGTGGCTTGTCTGGAGTTGTTCATTCCTCCCAGTAGGTAGGTTCATGGTCTCGCTGGCCTCAGGAGTGAAGCTGCCCTTCTTGGTGAGTGTTGCAGCTCATAAAGGCAGTGCAGACCCAAATAATGAGCAGCAGCAAGATTTATTGAAAACAGCGAAAGAACAAAGCTTCCACACTGTGGAATGGGACCCAAGCAGATTGCCACTGCTGGCTAGGGAAGCCTGCTTTTATTTCCTTATCTGGCCCCACCCACATCCTGATGATTGGTCCATTTTACAGAGAGCTGATTGGTGTTTTACAGAGAGCTGATTGGTCCATTTCAACAGGGTGCTGATTGGTATGTTTACAAACCTTGAGCTAGACAGAGTGCTGATTGGTGTATTTACAATCCCTTAGCTAGACATAAAGGTTCTCCAAGTTTCCACTAAAGTCAGGAGCCCAGCTGGCTTCACCTAGTGGATCCCACGCCTGGGACACAGGCAGAGATGCCTGCCAGTCCTGCACCATGCATCCACACTTCTCAGCCCTTGGGCGGTAGATGGAACCCGGCGCCGCAGAGGCTGGGGCAGTGCAGTAGCCCACGGCTGGGGGTAGGCTCGGGCATGGCGGGCTGCAGTTCCCGAGCCCTACCCATGGGGAGGCAGCTAAAGCCTGGCAAGAATTCGAGCACAGTGGCAGCAGGGCGGCACTGCTGGGGGACCTGGCGCACCCTCCGCAGCTGCTGGCCCGGGTGCTAAGCCCCTCACTGCCCAGGGCCGGCGGTGCTGGCTGGCCATTTGGAGTGCTGGCCCACCAAGCCCACGGCCACTGCTCCTCTCCCTCCACACCTCCCTTCAAGCAGAGGGAGCTGGCTCTGGCCTTGGCCAGCCCAGAGAGGGGCTCCCACAGTGCAGCGGCGGGCTGAAGGGCTCCTCAAGCATGGCCAGTGGTGGCCAGAGTGGGCGCAGAGGTCGAGGAGGCACTGAGAGTGAGGGAGGGCTGCCAGCATGCTGTTACCTCTCAATATGATGAGGACCTCAGTGAGGGTGGAGTCAGTGGGAATTTAGGCTCCCTAAATATTTATGAATATCATGTTGAAGAACTAACAATAGATAAATCAGTGATGAATTGATAGTTTTGAGTCCAATTTCCCAAGCAAATAGTTGGATCAATGAAAAAGTTATGGAGATGAATTTGGGGAAAGGGTCAGGAAAAACTAATGAGTTGGGTTTTGAAAATGTTTTTGATGTTGACAAAACATGTAAGTGAAAATTTTCACTAGTCATCTTAAAAAACTAAGTTTTGGAAGTCAGGCCAAAGGATAAAAATGGAGGTATGGTTTGGAAGGTCATAGGCTACCCTAAACTGACATTTCTAGGACAAGGCTGTAAAGAAACAAGGAAATAGAACAATGCATTGAGTATTGGAGAACTGCAGCGTTTAGGTATAGGACAAAAAATATGGAGTGATACACAGAGGAGCTGATTGAGATGAAGAGGAAGAATCAGATTGTGTGAAGGATAGACATCAAGGTATGGGGAATTTCAAAAATGATGGGTAAAGTAGCATTGTCAAATACAGCAAAAACTTCACAGGAAATTGGCCTGAAAAAGGCCACTGGATTCTGGGATTCTACAACAGGAGAGTTGTTGGTGAACCTTGAAAAAGAAATATAATTAGGTTAGAAACAGTACACTAGACTAAGGAGCATCGGAGGGGTTTGAGAAAATTAGCATAATTCACTTATTTTGCAAATAAAAAGACAGAAGAGTAATAGAGAAGGCACTAGAGTTAATTTCCAGTAACTTCTTTTTCTCTCACCTTCCCTCTCTTTATGTGTGTGTATGTGTGTTTATAGATACACAAACAAATATGTATTTGTGCATATATTGATATGTTTGCAGGTGTTTGTGTATACCTGTATATGCACACACATACCTATGTATATATACATAAATACATATAGACACACATATTTCAAACAGCCATTGGGAGCTGTAGGAGAAGCTAGAGAGAAGAGGTAACTAGAAGTGAAGTTTAATGACAATATAAGCAACAAAAATGCATTTTATAGTGTGGATAGAGCTTGAACACATTCCTAAGGAATTTCCAGGAGGCAGAAGGAAATCTGTTATTTTTATCTCTTGTCTTTACTACATTTTCCAAGGATAAGGACTTAGTATTACAAGTCTTGGGGCCTTCTGTTCCCTACACATTTAATGCTCATTAAAAATTTGTGGTCTAATCCTGGCTAACATGGTGAAACCCCATCTCTACTAAAAATACAAAAAATTAGCGGGGCGTGGTGGTGGGCGCCTGTAGTCCCAGCTACAGGGAGGCTGAGGCAGGAGAATGGCGTGAACCCGAGAGGCGGAGCTTGCAGTGAGCAGAGATCACGCCACTGCACTCCAGCCTGGGCGAAAGAGCGAGACTCTGTCTCAAAAAAAAAAAAAAAATTTGTGGACTATGTGAATGAGTGAATTATATTTATTTCAAGTATTGCTTCAAAGAAAGGCAAAACTACATTCTCTGGTAAGGGAAAATAATCTTAACTTGTACTCACCATTTTAAATAGTTTCAAAACCCACGGGATTTACAGAAACAGAATGTAGATCACTCATTGAGAAGTTGCAGAGCCATTTCAATCTAATACAAAGGGCCACTAGTGGGCCAGGAGTTCTCTGGTAAAAATACTTGTGTTTACATTTCTCATCAAGACAATATACATGGACTCCCCTGGTTTCTCTTACTTTCTCTTTGCCAATGTAAATTAACTCAGCATTGTTCAAAATCACGTGTGCTATTCTCTAAAAAGGAAAGGAAAAGGAGTTGGGGGTGAGTTGAGTTGCATTTGTCAGATGCCTATTTGTGCTAGTACTTTAAAAGATAGGCTATATAATCTTCACAGCTCTTTGAGGCAAGTGCCTTTTTATTGTTGTAAAATACATATAACATAAAATTTACTATTTTAACTATTTTATGTGTACAATGCAGTAGCGTTAATCATCACTCTCCATTTCCAGAACTTTTTCATCATCCAAAACAGAAACTCTTCACCCATTAACCAACTTTGCATTCCCACTTCTCCCTTCCCTCAGCCCCTGGTTACCTCTATCTTATTTTCTGTCTCTTTGAATTTATCTACTCTAGTTAGCTCATATAAGTGGAATGGTACAGTATTTGTCCCTTTTTGTCTTATTTGACATAAAATTTTAAAGTTTCACTCATGTTATAGCATGTATCAAACTTTCATTCCTTTTTATGGCTTAGCAATATTCCATTGTATGTATATACCATTTTTTATTCACCTGTTGATGGACATTTGGATTGTTGTCACCTTTTAGCTATTGTAAATAATGCTGCTATGAACACTAGCATACAAGTATTTGTTCAAATCCCTGCTTTCAATTCTTTTGATTATATAACCAGAAGTAGAATTGTTGGAGGCAAGTGTATTTGTCTCCATTTTTCTCCTCATTTAAAAAAATGAAAAATATTAATTTCCCCAAAGCCACTGTATTAGTCTGTTCTCACAATGCTATTTATATAAAGAAATACCTGAAACTGGGTAATTTACAAAGAAAAGAGGTTTAATTGGCTCATGGTTTTACAGGCTATACAGGAAGCAGGGCTGGGGGAAGCCTCAGGAAACTTACATTCATGGCAGAAGGTGAAGGAGAAGCAGGCATATCTTACATGGCCAAACCATGAGGAAGAGAGTGAAGTGGGAGATGCTACACACTTTGAAGCAACCAGATCTTGTGAGAACTCACTCACTATCATGAGAACAGCAAGGGGAAAATCCACCCCCATAATCCAATCACCTTCTCCAATATTGGGGATTACAATTCACCATGAGATTTGGGCAGGGACACAAATCTAAACCATTATCAGCCACATTATAAGTAGCAAGGCTGGGATTACAACCCAGCCTGATATGTCTGATTCTAAAACCTATGTGCTCTTTTTTCTAATATCATGTTGACTTCTGAGTTTTGATATATTTTTACTGTTATTATGAAAAGCTTTTGCTTTTCTCTAAGACACTTTTACGTTCAAATGGCCCAGAATGCATTGACATGACAAAAAATGATTTTGCTAAAGTTGTACTGACCTTGTTGTCATTTTTATCATGTGTTCATATTACCAAAGTTGAAAGAAATAGAAAAAATGGAGAGCAACATTTCAGGCTTTGATTGTCTTGAGATTTACATAAGTAGAAATTTAGACTAGACTTATTACCAACCCATTCATAGTACTTCCCAATGGAAATTGCTTGACAATACCATTTATGTACACGTATAAATAATCAGATTAACTTAAATGCTATAATTTACCTTTGTTTAGTGTTAATCACTGAATTTTTTTATATGCAAGAAGAAACAGGCAAACCAAAACAATTGCTGGCAAATAAAGCAAAAGGAAGCAAATAAATAAGCAATAATTGCCCAAGAGACCAGTCAGACACCAAAGTATATTGTTACATACAACAGCACATGCTCTCATGAGATGCATTTTTTTTCAAATACTCCTACAAACTTCCCGCAGTGACAGTGAGATGATGGGTGTCATACTTGTACAGTACATGTGCTAACTCTTAGAGCAGAAAATAACATTCACTCCTACCCTTCTGAATTACGAGGAGTCAACTTTGGAAAACCCTCCCATAAAAGTAAACTTTCCATCTGCTCATCCTGAAATGCAGTGCTGCTGGAGGGCTTCTTTATCTCTACAAATCATTAGAAAAACATATGCTTATTTTCTGAACAATAACCTCATTGGAATGTATATTTTTAAAATATATATTAGATGAACTTAATTCAGACAAATCTGACTGATATGTATATAAAAGAAATGTGGGCTTTGATTGCAAAATTAAAATCCCAGTATATACATTACTCATTTTTAAAATAATTCTGACCAACCTTTACAATGGTTGTCAATTTTAATTTTATTTCTTCCATTGTTTCCCAAGAGATATAGGAAATTTCAGTATCTTTGGCAATGTATCATATCACATTTATAGGTCAATAACTGATAAGGCTTAAGGGAGATTTATCTCTAACCACAGTAACTCTATTGCATATAAAAGTTGCTACTGCTCAATTTGAGATGCTACAGGGACAATTGTCAATAGTTTCACAAATTGTCAATAGCTTCACATTTTCTGTCTAGCTTGATTTCAAGGCTTCTTGTTCCTTATGGATTGTTCAGTAATAAGGCATTTTACTTGAGTGTACGTGGCCAAAATTCTGAGAACTCTCATTTCTCATTCTATCTGTAGAAACAAATATAAAAATTTGTCCTCAACAAACCTGGTTTTTGTCCATTTATTATATTGTGTTCAGAGTTAGTACCAGTTGATTCTATTTTACTTAGTCATATTTCTAATCTCCTGGTGATGAAATTGTCTGGAATATTTAAGTACACTTACATAAAAAATACATTTCATCTCTTTTTCCATGGGGTGTGTTAAGGATCTTCACATTAAAAGTGAAATGTATTCCCATGTTTACTTTCAACTTTCTCACAATAGTGGTTTGCATCTTACATATTTTATATATCTCAGTATTTGTAACTCTTTTTAAAATGGATTTTAGCTCATAAAACTCCTTATATGTATAGAAAGTGGGTTTTTACTTATGATTACTGCCTTTAAATATTTATCACAGAATAGAAGTTATATATAACATTGTATTAGATACCAATTCTATAATACTTGCCTCCCAATTAAATATACTTATTGAAAGTCAGGATGACCGAAAAGTGTCTGTTCTATGAGTTCTTTAAAGGAATTTAAACATGACTAGGAGAGCCAAGTATGATATTTTAGATAATTGTCATCACAGCAACTAACAATGATTAGCCTCAGGACTGATACTTCTAAAACATTAAGGGTAAAACCTGTCATGTTTAAGTAATATACCAGATAGGAGAGAAAAATAGTTTCCTAGAACAGAGTCTATCTGCGAAATAGCTCAGGGACACTGCTTGAGCACTGAGGTTGGAGGAAGGTGATTTTGAGTGTCACTCTCTGTAGAATCTTGCCTGTTTTGCCTTTGGCCTAGCTCCTCGGGAAACATGCTGATTTCCATGCCAGGAAGGGTAGCTGTTGAAAATGACAAGAACAAGGCAATTAACTAATTGACAACATCAAGGACATCATAAGAACCTGAAAGAATGAGGCTTTCCTGTTTGCGATCTCATGAGTCATAACAATGTTGGAGGCGACTCTTTTCTTCCTTATGGAGAGAAGAATCGATTCCTGTGGGAATGGGGATGGAGCATCAGCAAATGCAGAAGCCCTGGGGTTAGTGCAGGGGCCATAAAAGAGTGATTCTTTGAGGGAACAGCAAGCTCCAACACCCTGAAAGAGGTCAGCTGGTGCCATAGGGGAGAACACAGAGGCAGTCAACATCTTCTGAAGGTCGAATAGAAGGAGTGGCAACTTTATCTTCAAAAGCCCACTTTAGTCATCCTGGACCCTATCAGGGGGAAATCTTGGTCTTTGAAAGATTTGGGTACCAAAAATTATGTTGATGGAGACAATAAAGCAGAAACTTTTATATCCTCTCTTATGACATCCAGATTATAGTTTTATAATACAAGTATTCATATCGCTATCCTCGTATCTATCTCTTATACCCCTTTTTCTGTTTGAAATGCATTATTCATCTTAATCTGATAGTTAAAACTTTACCTCACTTTTGATAGTTGATGGGTTGCCATTTGGTAGGTGGAATGCATTAATTTATTTAGTGTCTCTCCAAGATGTTTTAAATTAACAAAAGTTGTTCTGGAACAAAACGTGAGCAATATTTGTTCTGTGTTTCTCTTTGATGCCCAGTGGACTACCTTGTGCATATTACTTATTTTATGATTTGACCTGAAGGCTCCTATGTGAATACTATTTAGATATAGGTATTTTCATTGTATTCTTTACTCTTGTTTGTTGAATTATGTCTTCCAAAGCTGAATTATTTCGGAGAATGATCTTTTAAAAAATGTCTACTTTCTTTTTTTAACTGTATTAAATAACAAGTATGTTACAGATTTCCAGCAAATACTTGTTAATATTATCATTATCTTTATTAGTACCTGTACCCACTGCTGCAGCCCACTTACAGTCATAGAATAATATAGTTGATAATTGTAAGTGCTTGCCTTCCCTAGATTCACCAGATAGTAAACTTTGTATATGGAACTGTAACTTCCCTTACCCCACCCAAGTTTCAAAATCTTGGGTTTAAAATCTGATATTTCTAGGATTTAGGTTTCACAGATGTTTTGATAAAAACTTTTTTCAGGAGCTCACCCAGAAGGGAAATGACTGGTGATTGATTTCTACAGCTCTCAGACAACTAGCTGAAAAGTGGCATTTCAAAACATGAGTTTGAATGCACAAGGGGAAAATACCAGAGAGGAAAATTGACTGACTAGTTTTAGTTCTCAGCATTCCAAATCTTACTCCTCTTGTCTTAGGCAGTTCAGTCTGTCTAACAAAACAAATATAACAAATATCATAGAGTGGGTGGCATAAACAACAGAAATTTATTTTCTCACAGTTCTGGAAGCTAGAAGTCCAAGATCAAGGTGTCAGCATGGTCGATTTCTGCTGAAGGCTCTCTTCCTGGGTTGTAGACAGCTACCTTCTTGCTGTTTTCTCACATGGAGGCTGGGGATGGAGAGAGGGAGAGGGAGTGAACAAGCTCCCTTGTGTCTATTCCTATAAAGGCACTGATGCCATCATTGGGGGAAGCTTAATGATTTTCCAAAGGCCTCATCTCCAAAACCATCATATTGGGGTTAGGGCTTCACCATATAAATTTTGGGAAGACACAATTCAGTCCATAGCACCTCTCTACAGTATCGAATGGCTCAAAACAATAATTATTCACTAAAGTTATAGTAGTAGCTGAGGACTACGCTGGGTGCTGTGGGAGCCACAAAGAAGGAAGATGACATAGATAAGAACTTGATTTGATTTTAGTAAGTTTTCATATCTCTTAGTAAGAAAACATAGATGTAGACACATAGTTCTCTTTCTAGGATTTTTTAAATGGCAGAACACTTTTGAGGTTCTTCATTGCGAAGGAAAAGTTTAAGATGCACAAGAAGAGTTGGTAGGAAAGTTGAATAGTTCTTCCTTTAAGACATGTCCTTTAAGATTGTTTGAAATGATCAAAACATGAACCAGAATAGCCTAGAGAGGCCTATCTTTCCTTTTCCCTATGGTTCTTAAGGGGTTTATGTAGTTGTGTAAACTGGAATTTGAATGCCAGTAGCTTCAAATTGTATGTTCTTTTTAAGTTCAAATGGGACCATCATTTTATCTGTAACAACATAAAATTACGTAAACGAGGAATTAAAGTAACTTAACCAGAAAGGAAAGGGAATATTAGTCATTTCATGCCTATAATGTGGAAGGCATTTTATATACTATAGCTTATTTCTCATGACCGCATTTACAAAGTAGCTATTTTTATCCATATTTTGTACAAGAAGGAAGACAATAAGGCTTAGGGAGATTAAATAACCTTCTTTTAACCAGTTTAAAAAGCACTTATTCTGCTAATAAGTGGTAGAAATAGAATTTTAGTCAGACCATTTTGACTCTGAAGCCCATAATCTTTTTTACCATTTCAAACTGTTTCCCTGAAATAACTACAATGAACTTCTGTTCAGTAACTGAATATCTATTCAATTTTGTGTTTTCTTCTCAAACTCCTCTGCATATTAATAGCATTTGATTTGCTTCTATATTTCCTCATATTCTCCAATAATCAGCATTAGATATTTACGCAGGTTGAAAAGGATAAAAGCTCATTCCTTCATTGTTCTACCAATTGATCCAAAGCTATTTGATTGAAAGGAATCAGAGTGGTGTTTGCTCTAATATATTGCTTGAAGAGTTATATTTTACAAGAAACATAATAAGTATTGTATGAAGGTAAGAGCTGATGGACAAATTTCAGGAATCCTGGTTTAAGTACAAACAGACTTGTACCTTGGATAATTTCCTATATCTTTAAAATGCTAATGTGCAGTGTATTTCCAAGAAAGTAAAATGAGCTTCAGTGTTTCATCAAATTATTTGTCCACAAAACTCTATTATTACTGAATAACTATTAGCGTCTTATGGAACGTAGAATACTCAAGTATAGTTTGAAGCAGTGGCTTCTGGCAATGAACCACACCTGTTTCATTTCAGTGGTTATTCCAAGATCACTATGAAAGTACATTTATCTTGTGAGTTAAAACTTAAAAGCCCAGAATGCATATGTGGGTGAGCTAGTTCTTTCATTGCAATTGGTAAAGCAGTTTGGAGAAGATGGTAAACAAACCACACAAATATGTGCACAAAATTCCATTTGTCTGTGTAGTTCAGAGCAAGGTGAATTTAAGATTTAATTGCTCTGATGGACCATGAGTGTGGGTAGACTGGGGGTGTGGGTGGGTGGTATTCATTTTAGGCTACCATTATAAAAGTAGAACTCACTTGGTTTTACTATTAGCACAATATGTGCCTTTGTAAACAGGACACAATCTGGAACCTTATTCCTGTATTAAATATACTTTTTCTGCAGCTCATTTTTAGAATTTTAAGCTTAGCTTCCTCATGCTGTTATAGAGAAGGTTTAATTTGTGCCTACAGAAGGCAGTTCTCTTGGAGTCCAGGGGATTATGGAGAAGTAATACATGAACCTGCATTGTTGGGAAGAGAGAAAAACTGATTGCCACAGATCACTCTCTCAAGCTCCCAACCATCTGGAGGATGCCATATGGAGGAGGGAAGAGTTCAGAGAGGACCAGGACTTAAGACATCAGAATCCAGTTTAGTCTCCATTGGACTAGATCTGATCATAAAGAGCTGACTACTGTTGTCTTCATTCTGCCTGTTGAAATCATACAAGACAAGGTTAAAAAAATGGGTCCAACTTTTACTAGCTGTATGTCTGTTTTCAAATGATTCAATTTTCCCAAACCTTATATGAATCATTAGTAACATGAAGATAATGCTTGCTTAATGGACTGATTGTTATTATTAAAGGGAATAATGTATGTAAATCACCTACATTTTGCTTGCCTTGCTCATAGTTGATAAATAATGAGAGCTGCTTTCCTTTTTATTCAGGTTTTTGGATGAGGTTGGAGAAAAAGAATTTGAAGAGTGGGACAAGAAGGAGCCTGGTAGAGGGAACATATGCTGGTGCTTTTCTATATTTGATACTGTTTTTATGTTTAGAAGACAAATCAGTTTTACATTCCAGACAAGAAATGGAAAATGCATTTAATTTTCGGTGACCTTTCTCTAGTTCTCATTCTCTTTTTTCCTCTCTGAAGCCTTTTATAATGATGAATACTTTATTTTTCTTGAATTTCTTCCTTTGGCTGCCACAAAGCTCTCCCATCTTAGTTCTGCCTCATTATGTGACTGCACCACTTCCTCCAGTGTTTGAAAAATTTGCGTTCTGGTTATCCATCGCTGCATAACAAACCACCTCCAAACTTCTTGGCTTAAAACAATGACAATCATTTTATTTTTATCCCTCATCGTTCTGGAGGTTGATTGGCTCATCCTGGTGGTTCTTACTTAGGTTCTCTTAAGCAGCAATCAGGAATGCTGGGCTAGAATCATCTGAAGGCTTATTCACTCATGTCTGGCTCCTGGGAAAGAGGGAGGAGATGCAGAAACTGGAGCATCTTTCTCTGACTGTATGGTGTCTCTTCTCACAGTTTTTTAGTACACCAGCTTTAAGGCAGCCATGCTTTTTGCATGGTGGCTCAGGACTTCAAAAGGGCAAGAGGGTGGAGAGAGAACCAACCTTTTATTACCTAACCTCAGAAGTCATGAATTATCACTTCTGAAACATTTTATTCATCAAGACAATCACAAAGTCCTGCTCAGGTTCAAGGGGAAGAGAAATAGACTCCACACTTGCTGGGGATGAGGCAAGATTCTTCAAAAGCATGTGGAACAAGAAATATTTCTGTGGCCACCTTGGGAACATAAAACTTACCACAATCTGCCCTCTGGTTTCTTCATGCGAAATAAATTCACTCTGTGTCCTGGTCCCCTAAAACACACCCCATCCTCCTCACTTGCCAAAGAAAGTCTCATTCCATTTTGACATTGGGCTCACGCTCAAAGACGAGGATCTTGGCATGTAAGTAAGGTTCAGTGTGGATAAGGCTCTGTAGTGTGGTTCCTTCTGTACAACTCCTTGAGGAATCTCTTCTTGTTCTAAGACTTTTACACTAAAGTGACATGCTGTCTGCCTCTCTCTCACACCCAGTATATGATGGTGGGACAGGTAAAATAATCACAGTAGACATTCCCAATTTAAAAAGGGAAAATTGAGGCACAGCAGTCATTGGTTCATGGTAATTCTGAAAAAGTACCTGGGTGTATGTTGCCAATTTCTTGATTAAAGCTCAGTTGTACTGTCTGGGAATGACTTTTTCATAGCCCTTGGCTTTACCTTTTCTAAAAACGTAGTCTGTGTGTGCAGCTTAATAGTTTTGTCTGCCTGCTTTCTGCTTGCAGAAGTTCAAGAGTCCAAAGTCATCTTTAATTTGATACTGTGTCTGTCCCTTTCAATCTAAGCTGATCTCATACCTTTAAAAACTGTGTTTTTTTAAAAAAGTGTATCAATTTTATAATCTACTCTATTATATAAAAGCCACAACCAAAGATCTCTTCAGTGTAGTTCTTGTGCTACTTTGGACTTCCTGTGTGACTATTGTGGGACAATGTGCTTCAGATTCTTAGAAGCCCAATGTGTAATAGAAAGGATCTATGAGACATGCCTTACTATTCTTAGTAAATCTTTTGTCAGTTTGAGGTAACACCTTAAATTTTTCTTGACAAAAGTTTTTACAGTCATATTCTTGGTTTTATCTTTAGATCATGTTTTCTTGATTGTATGCTAGACTTTTTCTCTGTCCTAAATTCATTTCTTAATTTTAGGGTTATTTTGCCTCCAGAGAGGCTCAGAATGAAAATGTTTTCTTTATCTAGCAAGTCCTGGCTCCTTTATATTTAACAATTCTTTCTTTAGGTTATCTCTCTTCTCTTGCACTTTACTATATAGGCAGCTAGAAGAAGGCAGGCAGCAACTTCAATGCTCTGTTTGCAGATCTACTTACTTAGATTATTTAGGTTGTTTCCTAGTTGCCATATAGCAGACAATGGTGTGCTAAACTTTCCAATATGCTTTCAGGCTAGACTCACTTCCTACTTGGCAGCTCAGGGAGTCAAATGTGCACACATTTCAAGGTAAGACCTATTCTTAGAAGTCATGCAGACTTATTTTTATTTTTTATTTATTTTTATTTTTTGAGATGGAGTCTCACTCTGTCACCCAGGCTGGAGTGCAGTGGCACAATCTCGGCTCACTGCAACCTCCGTCTCCCGGGTTCAAGTGAGTCTCCTGCCTCAGCCTCCCCCAGTAGCTGGGATTACAGGCTCTGTCTATCATGCCCGGCTAATTTATTGTATTTTTAGTAGAGACGGGGTTTCACCATATTGGCCAGGCTGGTCTCAAACTCCTGACCTCAAATGATCCGCCCGCCTTGACCTCACAAACTGTTGGGATTACAGGCGTGAGCCACCATGTCCAGCCTCAACCTTACTTATGCATTTTATTTCTTTAGGTAATCAGAAAGCCCACTCAGGTTAAAGAGGAAGAGAAATAGCCTCTACTTCGTGATGGTGCAGGGCAGGAGGGGAAGTGGCAAGGATCTAGAAAAACATGTTGAAGTAACATGTTGTTATGGCCATTTATGCCAAACGTAATCTAACACACCCTGAATATAAGTGTTCCCAAATGTTCTGGTTTCTTTTTTTCCCCCATTCCACTTTTCTTTCCATAATTGTTCCTTGGCGATTTTGTTTGCACTCATGTCTTTAATATACTATGTATATGACTCCCCAGAATCATCAACTTCATCATAAGCAGCCTCATTATCAAATGGCTAACACATTTTGAACACCAACACTGATCCAAACACTGTATTAAGGGTTTTGGATGAGCTGTCTTTTTATAGTTCCTACCACAAACCTATGACATTGTTTGTTTTATAGAGGAAGGTTAGAGGGTGAAGTAAGTTAAATGCAACCACGGTTATTATATAGTGCTGCTTTTTTTTTTTTTTTAAATCTTTGATCTTTTACCTGTGAAGTCCACACCCTTAACCATTAGTTGAGGTTGTCTCCTAGATGTTTATATATCTGGCTCTGACTTTTTCTTCAAGGAAAAGTGCTGGCTGGATAATGCCACCTTTTTGAATCTTCTCTATATACAGGAAAGTGGAGAAGAGAGGAGGGCTACAGAACTGGCTGGTATGTGTCCTGTGAGCCGAGACTGGAGAAGGAAACAACCCTCTCCTAGAACCATAAAATTCAAAGATAAGGCAGTGTTGGAACCTGGTCACTGAGTAGAGCAGAGCAAACCAGAGAAGCAGGCTTTTATGTCTTATGAGACAAAGAGTTTCTGGGACATGTTATCAGGGAGGATTGGAATCAAGCATTTGCTTGGGAGGTTGTTGAGCTGGCAAGGTGGGAGAGAACTTGGGCAAAACATTGCCTGTTGGTAATAAGTAGCCAAAGCTCAGTTTAAATGCCTAGTCATGGAGTAGATACTGTCATATTTCTCATTATTCCATTAATGTCACAAACACATTATCTTCTCCATATAAGAGATTCCAAAAATGTTACTACCAAAATGAAGAAGGGCCTTAAAAGTAATTTATGTGGGCTGGGCGTGGTGGCTCGTGACTGTAATCCCAGCACTTTGGGAGGCTGAGGTGGGTGGATCATGAGGTCAAGAGATCAAGAACATCCTGGACAACATGGTGAAACTCTGTCTCTACTAAAAATACAAAAATTAGCTGGGTGTGGTGGTGCACGCCTGTAGTCCCAGCTTCTCGGGAGGCTGAGGCAGGAGAATCGCTTGAACCTGGGAGGCAGAGGTTGCAGTGAGCTGAGATGGTGCCACTGCACTCCAGCCTGGTGACAGAGCAATACTCCATCTCAAAAAAAAAAAAAAGTAATTTATGTGAAAACAATTTAGATGCCTTAGTTGACTAACACTTCAGTGCATCTCTATAGTGCCCTGTAACTTTGTTGTTTTTAAATGCTGAGGTGAAAATAGATTGCCATAGAAAAGCCTGCAGCAAAGGAGGTGAGAGGTCCGTGCTGTTCTGAGTATATACAAACAATGCCAGAGTAGGTACAGTGTTCTGATCAGGGCAGTCTCTTCGAGGTTCAGATCTCCTCTCCTTGGCTCTTCAACATCTTGTCTGGGGAAGCCACTCAAAACTGGGTCAAGTTAACTATGGATGAAGAAAGTAAAGCAATTTATCTGGCAGAAACCAGGATATGTGTATTTGTTTTCTACAGCTGCTATATCAAATCATCACAATCTTAGTGGCTTAAAACAATATGAATATATTAAGTTATAGAGTTCAAAAGTGCAACATGTGTCTTACTAGGTGAAAATCCAGGTGTTGGCATGGCTGCGTTCCTTTCCAGATGCTCTAGGGGAGAATCCATTCTCTTTTTCCAGCTTCTAGTGGTGCCCACATTTCTTGGCTTGTGCTCCCCCTTTAACACGAGCAATCATGGACGAAGTCCTTTTTATGTAGCATCTCCCTGACAGGACATTCTTCTGCAATTATACAATTTTAAGGTTTTATTGGGCCCACCTAGATAATCTAGGTTAATCTTCCTATTTTTTAAGGCCTGCTGATCAGCAACCTTAATCCCATCTTTAATCTAAATTGCCTTTTGCTGTGTAATCTAACATATTTACAGTTTCCAGAGATTAAGGCATGGAGATATTTGAGGGCCATTATTTGTCTAGAAGGGACTTTATACATGTGAATGTCTTTCTATCTGGATGTCCTCAGTGAGGAAAAATAGAATTAGTGATTAGAAGCATCAAAGAAATGCTTAAGATTTTTGATTGCTTGCAACATTTCTCATTTCGCTCTCACACATACACACACACACACACACACACACACACACACACACACACACATTTTTTTTTTTCTTTTTTTTGAGACAGGGTCTCAGTCTGTCATTCAGACTGGAGTGCAGTGGTGTGATGATGGCCCACTGCAGCCTCAACCTCCTCGGGCTCAGGTGATCCTCCCGAATGGCTGGGACCATAGATGTGTGCCAGCACACCTGGCTAATTTTTTGTATATTTTGTAGAGGTAGGGTTTTGCCATGTTACCCAGTCTGGTCTCAAATTCCTGGGTTCAAGTGATCCTCTTGCCCTTACCTCCCAAAGTGTTGGGAGTTACAGGCATGAGGCACCGCACTTGGCCATATTTCATATACTTCCTTTAGATTGTCATTAATTATCTTCTAGGAAGAAACTATGCCTTCCTAGATGAAGAGACAGGAGAAATGAAGAATTAGGCTGGTGAACTTGCCCTTGGGAAGTGGTAGAACTAAATGTAAACTTGGGAATTAGTGTGTTCCCATCTCTGGAAGCAGCCAGTTTATTTGGGGGCAGCTCTACTTCTAAATTTTGACTGCTAAGATGGTAAAATGGGAGAAGCATAAGGTTTTGAAGTCCCTGTATCTGAAAGTGGTTTGATCAGAGATTAGATGCTGTCGTTTGAAGGAATGGTTGGGGTCGGAGGTGATGCAGTTGAATAAAACTCAAATCTCTTTACTAGTGCAAAACTAGTTCTTGCTGCAATTTTGTAATAATATTCCAAGTACTTTCCATACCTAACAGCTCTTCCGTCTGTAGTTCATATAAGAAATCTGTGATCATGGTACAGAATGTCTTCAGTTTAAATCCCAGCTGTTGTACTTACTAACCCTTAAGTCATTAGGATATTATTTACCTTCTCTTAGCTTTGGTGTTCTCATCTCTAAAAGAGAGATAATGATAACACAAACTTTTCAGGATGAAATGAAGTCTAAATGAGCAAATGCAAGTAAAAATTTCATCACAATGCCTGTCACATATTAAGCCCATAATAGGTTTTGTCGATTCTTATTTGGATTGTTATTTTTACTCACAATATACATCTCAAACACAGCTCCAATCATGCAGCTTCCTTAAATATTAATCTTTATTGCCCCCCACTGCTAATGGAATAAAAACCAAGATGCTTAAGCTTGACCTGCAGTGTCCTCTCGATATGTCTTTCCATTGCCTGCAGAAGCATACAATCCAGACATGCTCATTTCCTTTGTATCTAACATGTACATGTCACTAATTTTTTTGTTTGGTGTTCTTGCATCACCATTCACTTATTTTAGAATGCTCTGTTTCAAATTTCCCAAATCCAAATCATTCCTTAAGAATAAGCACGAAGAGTGCCTTCTCCATGATCTTTTTCTGAATCTCAACAAGAAGTGATTTCCTCATTTTGTTATAAAATGATTATATATACATATGTAAGGTGATATTAATTGATGTATAGTAGTATATGTATTTGCCACATATTCCCTCCTTACACATCATTTAAAACAGAACCCTATCTTAGTTACTATTTTGTCTTTAATAGGCTGTATAGGTGTGGCTCAATCACTTAAAGCACATACCAAAAGTGTTGAATTAAAGAATGAAAGAAATGAAAATCCTTCACCTTTTTAGCTAATTCTCAATTGCAGCATTTATATGTGATTTCCTGTACTGAAATAAATAATAATCATGATTTTTCATACTTGGTTCTTCAGGCAAAAAACTCAAAATGTAAGATTCAGTAACTCAATAGATATTAAGTTACTAATATGTGGTCAATCATCTCTTATAATCATATCTTATAATCTCTCATAATCACCCCTGTGTCAACAATCAGTGAGCCAGATATTTCTAGGACTTTGGTTGTGGAAACAAATTGTATTGTAAAACATACACATGCAATAGTTAAGTAGCGTGGCATGGTAGGCTCCAGAGCTAGGAAGAATTGGGCTTGAATCTTAGCTCTGCCATTAACTTGCTATGAACTTTGGGTAAGACTCTTCCCCTCCCCGAGTCTTGTTTTCTTATCTGTATAACAATAATGATTATAGTAATGATAGCAATCACAGTAATAACATCTATTTTACATATCTATAAAAATTTAATGGAAGAAATGGTGGTTTCAAAAAGTTAACATTGGAAAATTTTAATCACCCCATAATCTCTCTCGCCATCCCCAGAGCCACTGTAAATAGGCTGTACAATATAAATAAAATTATTAGTTTATCTAGCTTCAGGAAACCTAGCACCCTAAACTATACTGACTTGATTGTCACTGTTCCCCCATACAGACATGCTTGAGCCATCACTAGAGGGATTGTACATACATTATTGGTCAGTGTGCCTGGTTTGTGTTCAGTGAATGCATAGTGTTGCCTTTCTTTCTCTGGTATAGAATGAAATTAAGTACTAAGCACCATAGCATGTTGGTGGGCAGGGGATGCAATGACACAAGGGGGTGATCTTAGATACTGTCCTGTAATTCAGGGTATTTTACTTGTTGCTTTCTGAAAACTACAAATATCCAAGAAGATATTTCTCAGCTAAGACTCCCTGCTACTGCATCAACTCAAACAACTCTACTTTTGCTTATTTTATATATCCAGGTTATTTTTTTAGAGACAGGGTCTTGCTCTATCACCCAGGCTGGAGTACAGTGGTGTGATCATAGTTCACTGCAGCCTTGAACTGCTAGGCTCAAGTGATCCTTCCACTTGAGTCTCCCTGATAGCTAGGACTACAGGCACATGCCACCACTCCTGCCTAAATTTTATTTTATTTTGTAGAGACAAGGTCTTGGTATGTTACCCAGGGAGGTCTTGGATTCCTGGCCTCAAGCAATACTCCCACATTGGCCTCCCAAAGCACGGGGATTGCAGGCATGAACTACCACACCTGGCCTAGGGTTCTATTCAAGATTTTCTTTGGGGATCAATGGCTGTGCTATCTTTTTTAAAAAGTTGAAAATTCACCAATAATATCTATCTCTCTCCTTTAAAAAAAGAAGAAACTGAGATTCATAAAATTTACATCTCAAAGGCACATACAGAGTAAGAGGCAGAGGCAGCACCATTGTTAGCTTCTATTTGTGCCAGCTCATATCCTCCTCCAAATCAGGCTCCAAAGAAAGAGTACCAACTACCTGCATCTGCGTCTCTTCACCTGAGGACTTCTAACCAGGGAGGCTGTTCTGCCTGAATGCAGTGCAGACTGGAAGGGCTGAAGAATTAACCGTCCCGGGAGCAAGCCTCAACCAACAAGTGACAGATCTTGGTGTTTAAATACCTAAATTCCTTGCTCCTCACATGGGAAAGCTCTGAGGTGTATGTTCTATACTATCTTTCTAGGATTGTCCCTGTGAGATTAAGCTGTGGTCATCCACAGTGGTAATTTATTTGATAATAACTACTTACCAAGTGCCTTTCTTTCCTCCTCCTGCTGGAGTTTCCTTGGGATCACAGCGCTAATGAACTACTTTTACTGGAATCCTTGTCTCAAGATGTGTTTCTAGGGGAACTCAAATCAAGACTTCTCTTGAGTCACCAAGTAGTGACGACTTAACTATTGTTGGATGGGTAGATTGAACAAAAGTAAACTATGAGTGAAGGACTAGGTAAAATGTGCAACATGGACAGCTCTGTTCTCACAGGTTATGGACAATTCCGCCATGTTAACGTAAGGTCCTTCCAACCTGTGTAACCCACTTTACTGGCCTCCTATTTTATACCCGCATGGCATATTCTCACTCCAGCATCACGGTTGTACTTTGACAGTCTAACTGTGCTGTCTTCCCTCGTTTATCATGACATCATCAAATCAGGGGCTTCGTCTCATTCATGCAGCATGTTACATAGTGTTTGGCGCAGACGGTTGGTGGGAGCTAAGTGAATCACCTTCATTGTGTATTGGTGAAATGTGTTAGAAATTCATCTAAGTGTAGAAGCAAGTGAAAAAGTACCTACACAGCATCAGGGAGAAGAGTTTAGCTGTGAAGTTGTAAGAACTCACAAACCATAAAAGGTTTTTAAGTACGGGAGCAACATTATGAAAGTGCTATTTAAGGAAGAAAATGCTTTGAAGCTGCACTTAAAATAGATCAGATCAAGTGAGCTTAAAGTCAAGGAGGCTGACAAGAGACCTCTGCTGTTATCCAAGTACAAGGAGATGGTTTGGGGGCAAGGAGAACGTCTGTATCTAGGAGGATGGACAGAAAAAAATTGGTGAGAAAAAAAACACTTTGCATAAAATTTCAACGGCAATTGTTAAATGCTTATGGGTAAAAATTACCAGTTTATATCTGGCGTTTTCTCTTCATAGTGCTTGACTCAAAATTTTGTTTGTAGCCACTAGATAGATATGATATTATTGACAAAGGCAGGGTCATTGAGACTAGAAACTGGTGTTGGAGGAAGTTCATGAGCTCAGTTTAGTTACTTTAATTTGTGTTGACAGCAAGCTCTGAGGAGTAATAAGCTACTCAAATTCAAAAGAAGCCAGGACTGCCTGACTGCCAAAATCTCTACAAATTACTGTTTTAGAAACACATAGATGTATCAGCTGATCTTTAATGGAGAAAATGATAAAAATAGTTGTATCAAAATACTCTTATCACTTTTCTTTTTATAGTATTCAACTAAACTTTAATGATACTGAGTTTAACTAGAGGCCAAGCTTTCACATCAAATACTGAATTTTAAAATACATAAGAGATGAATAAAGTGATTATCAACGTTCTCAATTTTTGCATGTCCTATAAAGTAGCACATTGTTAGGCCTACACTGAAAAGTAGGACATATTTTATGTTTTCATCTTCATTGTGTATTGAGCATGTACTGTGTATGTTACACTTTGGGAGAATATAGAATGAATAATGTAACAATCTTGCCCTCTCAACAAATTTAGCATCTACAATTGTCCTGTTGAGACCAAGTCAAAATATATCCTTAGGCAAGTCAAAATGTCCACATCAAAATGTCACGTGTGCATAAACACTGCTGCAGAATGTCATAAGGGCAACATTGATGAGCTTATAATGTCTTGTAGATGAAGGAGGGTAGGGGAGGCTCAGTGAAGAGAGTCATTGTGCTGAATAGGGTCACCTGGGCAGGTTTTGCTGAAGAGGTGGCTTTTGATCTTGCCCTGGCATGGGATGACTAGATTATCAATAGGTGGGAGAGTATGTAGCAGGTGGTGGGGGAATTGTGGTGGGTCAATGAGGCTAGAAGCTTCCAGATGTCCTTGGGCCAAGTATAGACATATGGGTGTGAAGATGTGAAGGCACGTGGAAACATTGGGGCCTGAAGGCTGTAGCATTGTGGTGACTCAGACCTGAGAGCTTCACTGCCTCCCATTGCATGCACCAGCTTTATTTCACAACAACGCCTGAGTCATTGCTGGAGCAGTTGGCCATGTTGTTACTGTTATTCTCCAAAGCAATCACAGAATATTGATGCTTGCTGACAAAGGGAGATCAGATGAGGGGGCTCAGGATTCACTCCTGTATAAAGGAGTATGCCTGAAGTCTATTTTCCCCTTGAGAGTTCCTCACAAAGAAGGTAGCAAACTTGATAAGAATTGATATGAGTATTAATAGGTCATCACTGTTTCCATTTATAGCTTGTCCTGTGCCCAGTTCAAAGCATGAAAGCATGTTGGATACATAACTTCATTGAAGTAAGTCTTTACAACCACCCTGCTGTCAGTAGCCCTAGTTTACAGGCTACAGGAGTATGGTTTAGGAAGCTGCAGTAACTTGCCCATGGTCATATAGCCTAATAAAGGTGGAATTTGAATCCAATTATTTCTGACTCAAAATCTCATTCTATTTAAATATTATTGCCTCTTATATTTAGCTAAGAATGATTACTCTTGCTGATGGGCCATAGAAATCATTCATATTCACACAGCATTTTAATGTTTTGGTGTCCTAAATATTATAATTAATAGTTAAAAGCACTCCTCTTAAATCTTGTTTGTTTTTCATAATAACCCCGTAAGATAGGGTTAAAGTTGATGTTCAGATAAAGTGCTAGTCGTGACCAAGGTCACAGGTAATTATATAAGGTCACTGGTCTCTTGACCCCTAAACAAATGCTTGTTCTACAAGTGGTTTCAAACTTTTCAAAATAGGACAACCACTTTTTCAAATGAAATATTATGAAAAAGCCCAATATGTGATGAAACTAGAGAGGATAGAGTCCTGGGAATGAATTTGGGTTTTAGAACCTTGGAGGTTCTGTCTGTTCAGATTCTTCCTCCTTTACTTATTGGCCCACTTCAAGGAACCTCAGTAGAAACCTGTGGCTTGAAGGGAATGGGTTCTACTCTTGTTCCCGTTGATGGAAAAGACATAACCACCTTGGTTTAAGCTTTGCTTGCTTTTTTCCTTTCCCTACCTAAGCCTAGCTCTAGTCATTAGAGGATATGTTCCCCATTGTTTGACTCTTGCCTTTGATTCTGCTTTGTGAATTTTGTGGTTTCGGTTTTATGACGTACGTGTTTATAAGGTGGCCTGTACAGATGTTCATATCAGGAGCAATGGCTTCTTTTCCTTTACTAAGGGATTATGAGTCATCTTTATGTGACATCTTAATTATCCTTTTATTACTGAGAAGGTGTTAGGTTGTATAGGCTCAGATCCTATCTCTTTCACTTAATAAGTTGAAAATAACCTCTGTATGTTAGTCTTAAAATTCATAAAATGGAGGTAATGTAACTGCCACCTTGGACTGCTTTGATAATTAAATTAGTACTTCATGTAGAGGACTGAGTACTTGGTACATAAAAATTACGCACCTGGTACATAAAATTAATAAACATTATGCATGAAAAGGTCTTAGAGGTTTTTAACCTCAATGAATCAGTGACATACACACACACACACACACACACACACACACACACACACACACACCTTGATTTGAGGCTCCACTGATCAAAAGCATTGTATTAAGAATGAATCAATTAATCTTTCCTTTTCAGAACAACCATGATTGAATACTGAGGGCAGTTTTTGCTCCCACAGTTTAGGATGGGCATTGAAAAATTGTAGTGTGTATATAGAACCACCGAAATGATCAGGCTTCCGAACATGAGGAGTAAAAAATATTTGAAAACAGGATTTTTGAACTGGAGAATAGGATATTTACTGGGGGCCATAATGGCTCTCAGGTAGAAGCAGAGCCAATAGAGTGAGATAAGAAGGAAGTATTTATACAATTTCTGTGATGTATTAAGATATGCATTTACATATGTCATCTCCTCTAATCTTTATGGATAGCTCATAAAATAAGAGTTGTCCACATTTTTACACATAAGGGAAGCTGGAGTTCACTAATGTCACCTACTCAACTCAATCAAAAGTTAGAATTTCAATATATGTCTCGGACTTCAAGTTCTAAGCTCTTTCCACCTCATTCCTTCTTGTAAATTGGAGCCATCCAACAATGAATAGGTTGTCTAGCAGTTTTGAAGTGTACAGACAACACCGTGAGTAAGTTTCTTCTCTTGTGTCTAGTCTTCAGTCTTACTTCTTTTAAGTTGCATTTAGTCTTCCATATTGTTTTTTTTTTCTTTTTTCAAATGTAAGTTCTTCACTTTCAGGAAATCTGTCAAGTTGCCATTGAGTTTCACTAAGATGTCTGTATTAATTTTAACTGAGGGCAAATTTCAAGAGACAGCAGTTCAGTATGAGCTTTGCCTTTCTGTACATCGACTTTACAGATAAAAATGAAGCATTTAAAGATGGCTTTGATCATTAGGACAATCATATTATATTGATGGAAATCCTTCAAGGCCACCCAGAAGTGAAAATACTGCAAAATAAGCCCAGGGTTAACAAGCTTCTCCAAGTGGCCTCTTCTTTAGTTGCTTCCTTGTTACCTGAATCCATATCTTGCCAAGACACCAGAGGTTTTCCCTTTGCTCCAACTTAAGTTTCTTATTTGTATGATGAAGAAGTTGAATTATCCTTGAAAATTCTTTCTCATACAGACATTTTGTGTCTGAGCATTATACTAAAATAAATTACACGTCTGTCTTTCCATCCTTCCATCCTTCCTCTAATTTATTTGGTAATCTGCTTGATAAATGAGACTTTAAAGTAAAAATCCTTCATTAAAGAAGAATAACCTTGAAGTGTGTAGTTTCTAAAACAAACTGGCACTCTACAAGGTAAGAAAGGATTTTCAATCAGCAAAGCAGTGAAGTTACAGATTATAGCTATCATCACTAATTAGCTACCCCAGATGGAGTGCTGCCCCACCCCAAAGTGGAAGCTGGATGGCTTCCTACAGGTAACTGGGACATAAATAACTCATGCCATTCTCTCTATACAACAACCATACCGCTCTTGTATGAGGTGTGCAATTGGTCCATTTTATATTTGGAGCAAAATAGACTTTTTAAATAATTTTAATAGAATTTTTGAGGTGTAAAAATAATAAATGCTGTTATAGAATGTTTAATGTAAAAGAAATGAGAAAATAAGTCATCCACACTTCTACCATTCAGCTATAACTAAAGTTATATTGGTACATATCCTTCCATTCTTACTCTGATAAATATATATATGGAATACAAGTCTACACTGTACATAACATTTTTCAAGCCTTTTGTCTTAATGTTATCATAACCTTTTCCCTTTTTTTCTTTTATTTTTAAACCACAGTACTGAGGTAGGACTGAAATCCAAAATGCTGCAGATTTTTAATGTATACAATTTGAGTTTGGAAATAAGCATATCAGTGTGTAACCATGACCACAATCAATGCTATGAATATATCCATCACCCCCAAAAGCTTCCTCCTGCCTTCTTCTTATCATTACTTTGTGGTAAGAACACTTAATATAAGAGCTATATTTTTAAAGCAAATTTTTATGAATAATTAAACTTTGGAAAACATGGGGGTTAGGGGTGCCAACCCCCTGGCCCCATGCAGTCAAACATCTGTGTGTAACTTTGACTTTCTAAAAACTTAACTAAAATCTTACCATTGACAAGAAGCCTTACGGATAAAAACAGTTGGTTAAAACATATTTTATATGTTGTATGTATTATGTATTGTATTCTTACAATAAAGTAAAAGAGAAAAAGCAAAACATTGAGAAAACCATAAGAAAATACTTTTACTAGTTATTATATATATATTACATATCTATATATGAGTTTATTAAGTATTAATTTACATGATCACAAGGTCACACATTAGGCTGCCTGTAAGTTGAGGAGCAAGGAGGGCCAGTCTGAGTCCCCAGACTGAAGAACTTGGAGTCCAATGTTCAAGGGCAGGAAGCAATCAGCACAGGAGAAAGGTGTAGGCTGGGAGCCTAGGTCTCTCCTTGTCATGTTTTTCTGCCTGCTTTATATTTGCTGGAAGGTGATTAGATTGTCCCCACCAGATTAAGAGTGAATCTGCCTTCTCCAGCCCACTGACTCAAATCTGTTTTGGCAACACCCACACAGACACACCCAGGATTAATACTTTGTATTCCTCAATCCAATCAAGTTGACACTCTATTAACCATCATACTGTCTTCCAAAATGATAGAACTGATTTACACTCCCACCAACTGGGTAAAAGTGTTCCTTTTTGTCCACAACCTCTCCAGCATCTTTTGTTTTTTGACTTTTAAATAGCCGTTCTGACTGGCATGATACGGTATGTCATTATGGTTTTGATTTGCATTTCTCTATTGATCAGTGATGGTTGAGGCTTTTTTTTTGTATGTTTCTTGGCTACACGTATGTCTTCTTTAGAGAAGTGTCTGTTTATGTCCTTTGCCCACTTTTTAATGGGATTGTTGTTATTTTTTGAGGAAAGTAGTTTTATTATTTTACTTGAAGTTCTGGGATACATGTGCAGAAAGTGCAGGTTTGTTACATAGGTATACATGTGCCATGGTGGTTTGCTGCACCTGTCAACCCATTATTTAGGTTTTAAGCCCCTAATGCATTAGGTATTTGTCCTAATGCTCTCCCTCTCCTTGACCCCCACCACCCTCCATGTGCTCGTGTTTTCTCATTGTTCAACTCCCACTTATGAGTGAGAATATGCGATGTTTGGTTTTCTGTTCCTGTGTTAGTTTGCTGAGAATGATGGTTTCCAGCTTCATCCATGTCCCTGCAAAGGACATGAACTCATTATTTTTTATGACTACATAGCATTCCATGGTATATATATGTTGTTTTTTTTCCTAGTAAATTTAAATTCCTTGTAGACTCTGGATATTAGACTTTTGTCAGATGGACAAATTGCAAAAATTTTCTCCCATTCTGTAGGTAGTCTGTTCACTCTGATGATACACAATTTTGCTGTGCAGAAGGTCTTTAAGTAGATCCCATTTGTCAACTTTTGCTTTTGTTGCTATTTTTGGCATTTTTGTCAAAATGCCTATATCTTGAATGGTATTGCCTAGATTTTCTTCTAGTGTTTTACAGTTTTGGGTTTTACATTTAAGCCTTTAATCAATCTTGAGTTAATTTTTATATGTGGTGTGAGGAAGGGGTCCAGTTTCAATTTTCTGCATATGGCTAGCCAGTTCTCCTAGCACCATTTATTAAATAGGGAATCCTTTCCCTATTGCTTGTTTTTGTCAAATTTGTCAAAGATCAGATGGTTGTAGGTGTGTGATCTTATTTCTGAGTTCTATATTCTGTTCCATTGGTCTACATTTCTGTTCTTGTACCGGTACCTGGCTGTTTTGGTTACTGTAGCCTTGTAGTATAGTTTGAAGTTGGGTAGCATGATGCTTCCAGATTTGTTCTTTTTGCTTAGGATTATCTTGGCTATTCAGGCTCTCATTTGGTTCCATATAAATTTTAAAATTATTGTTTTTTCTAATTCTGTGAAGAATGTCAGTAGTAGTTTAATGGAAATAGCACTGAATCACTATATTACTTTGGGCAGTATGGCCATTTTCATGATGTTGATTCTTCCTATCCATGAGCATAAAATATTTTTCCATTTGTTTATGTCCTCTCTGATTTCTTTGAGGAGTGGTTTTTAGTTCTCCTTGAAGAGATCCTTCACTTCCCTTGGTAGCTGTATACCTAGGTATTTTATTCTCTTTATAGCAATTGTGAATGAGAGTTCATTCACGATTTGGCTCTCTGCTTCCCTGTTGTTGGTCTATAAGAATGCTAGCGATTTTTGGACATTGATTTTGTATCTTGAGACTTTTCTGAAGTTGCTTATCAGCTTAAGCTTTTGGTCTGAGATGATGGGGTTATCTAGATATAGGATCATGTCATCTGCAAAGAAAGATAATTCGACTTCCTTTCTTCCTATTTTAATATGCTTTATTTCTTTTGCCTGATTGCCCTGCCCAGGACTTCCAATACTATGTTGAATAGGAATGATAAGAGAGGGCATCCTTTTCTTGTGCCAGTTTTCAAGGGAAATACTTCCAGCTTTTGTCCATTCAATATGATATTGACTGTGGGTTTGTCATATTTGGTTCTTATTATTTTGAGGCATGTTCCTTTAATATCTAGTTTATTGAAAGTTTTTTTTAACATGAAGACGTTGAATTTTATCAAAGGCCTTTTCTGCATCTATTGAGATAATCATGTGGTTTTTGTCTTTAGTTCGGTTTATGTGATGAATCACATTTATTGATTTGTGTATGTTGAATCAACCTTGCATCCTGTGAATGAAGCCAACTTTATCATGGTGGATGAGCTTTTTAATGTGCTGCTGAATTCGGTTTACCAGTATTTTATTAAGGATTTTTGCATCATTGATATTCATCAAGGATAATGGCCTGAAGTTTTCTTTTTTTCTTTTTTTTTTTTTTTGTATTTATTTCTGACTGGTTTTGGTATCAGGATGATGCTGCCCTCATAGAATGAGTTAGAGAGGAATCCCTCCTTTTCGTTTTTTAAGAATAGTTTCAATAGAAATAGTATCATCTCTTCTTTGTACCTCTGGTAAAATTCAGCTGTGAATCCATCTGGTCCTGGGCTTCTTTTTTTTTTTTGATTGGTAGGCTATTTTATGCTGCCTCAATTTCATAAATTATTACTGGCTTATTCAGGGATTCAATTTCTTCCTGATTCAGTCTTGGGAGGGGTTCTTGTCCAAGAATTTATACAGTTCTTCTAGATTTTCTAGTTTACGTGAGGTGTTTATCGTATTCTCTGGTGATTCTTTGTGTTTCTTTGGGGTCAGTGGTGATATGCCCCCTATAATTTCTGGTTCTGTTTGATTCTTTCTTTTCTTTATTAGTCTAGCTAGAAGACTATCTGTTTTATTAATTTTTTCAAAAAGCAACCTCCTGGATTCACTGAGTTTTTTTGAAGGGGTTTTCATGTCTCTGTCTACTTCAGTTTAGCTCTGATCTTGGTTATTTTTTTTTTCTTCTGCTAGCTTTGGTGTTTGCTCTTGGTTCTCCAGTACTTTTAGTTGTGATGTTAGGTTGTTAACCTGAGATCATTTTAGCTCTTTGATGTGGACATTGATTGATATAAATACCCCTGTTAATCCTGCTTTAGCTGTATCCCAGAGATTCTGTTACGTTGTCTCTGTTCTCATTAGTTTCAAAGAATTTCTTGATTTCTGACTTAATTTCACTATTTACCCAAGAGTCAATCAGGAGCAGGTTGTTCAGTTTCCATGAAGTTGTATGGTTTTGAGTGAATTTCTTAATCTTGAGATCTAATTTGATTGCACTGTGGTCTGAGACACTGTTTATGATTTTAGCTCTTTTGCATTTGCTGAGGAGTGTTTTACTTCTGATTATTTGATCAACTTTAGAGTAAGTGCCATGTGACAATGAGAAGACTGTATATTCTCTTTTTGGGTGAAGAGTTCTGTATATATCAGATCCACTTGATTCAGAGCTGAGTTCAGGTTCTGAATATATTTGTTAATTTTTTGTTTCAATGATCTGTCTAATATAGTCAGTGGGGTGTTAAAGTCTTCCACTATTATTGTGTGAGAGTCTAAGTGTCTTTGTAGGTCTCCAAGAACTTGCTTTATGAATCTGGGTGCTACTGTATTGGGTACACATATATTTATGATAATAAGTTCTTATTGAATTTAACCCTTTACAACTATGTAATATCATTCTTTGTCTTTTTGATCTTTGTTGGTTTAAATTCTGTTTTTTAAGAAAGTAGGATGGTGACCTCTGCTTTTTTCTGTTTTCCCTTTGCTTGGTAAATTTTCCTCCATCCCTATATTTTGAGCATATGTGTGTTTTTGCATGTGAGATGGGTCTCTTGAAGACAGCATACTGATAAGTCTTGGCTCTTTATCTGGCTTGCCATTCTGTGTCTTTTAATTGGAGCATTTATCCCATTTACATTTAAAGTTAGTATTATTACATGTACACTTGATCCTGTCATGATTCTAGCTGGTCTAGACTTCTTTATGTGGTTGTGTCATAGTGTCACTGGTCTTTGTATTTCAGTGTGTTTTTTTTTTAGTGGCTGGTAATGGTGTTTCCTTTCCATATTTAGTGCTTCCTTCAGGAACTCTTTTAAGGCAGACCTGCTGTGACAAATTCCCTCAGTATTTGCTTATCTGAAAAGGATCTTATTTCTCCTTCGCTTATGAAGCTT
Organism: Homo sapiens; assembly: GCF_000001405.40. Lineage (NCBI taxonomy): Eukaryota > Metazoa > Chordata > Mammalia > Primates > Hominidae > Homo > Homo sapiens. The sequence goes on along the minus strand of NC_000011.10, from coordinate 29,906,491 downwards.
AGTTTGGTCAGTTATGAAATTTTGGGCTGGAAATGCTTTTCTTTAAGAATGTTGAACATTGGCCCCCAATCTCTTCTGGTTTGTAGGGTTTCTGCTGAGAGGTCTGCTGTTAGTCTAATGACTTTCTTTTTGTGGATGATCTGACCTTTCTCTCTAGCTGCCTTTAACTTCTTTTTTTTTTCCATATAGACCTAGAAGAATTTGATTTTGTGTCCTGAGGATGACCTTCTTGTGAAGTATCTTACTAGGGTTCTCTGCATTTCCTGAATTTGAATATTGGCCTGTCTTGCCAATATTCAAGTGTGTTTTCCACTTGAATATTGGCAAGACAGGCCAATATTCAAATTCAGGAAATGCAGAGATATTCAGTGTGTTTTCCAACTTGGTTCCATTCTCCCTATCTGTTTCAGGTACCCCAATCAGTTGTACAGTCATAGGTTCAGTCTAGTTTTTTTTTTTTCTTTTTTTTTTTCCAGCAGAATTTCCAGACAAAGCATCAATAGAAGTAGTCCAGAAAAGAGGTTCTTGTTGTGCAGGTCTTCTTGTACAATCAAAAGACTGATAGCTGTTTTTGTATTTTCCGTTCGAGGTTCTGGGGTTCACAGCTTTAGAGATAAGGGCAGTCCTAAATACACATCTGACTGTATTTGCACTAAGCAGTAGAGTTAGCTTATCCCTTCCTACCTTAAATAGTGGTGCTCAATTCTCTTCCTTACTAATAAATGTTTTTGACTTTTTTCCTCCCGGAATAGGACACTTTTGTCTGAATTAAAACCTGTTCAGACAGATATCCTTTCTCCTTAATGATTTTCTTAATGGCTTCTGGGAGCTCATCTACTGCCTCTTGGTAAGCAGAAGCTGCTTCTCCTGTTAGCTTGACAATTTTTTTAATGCCAAACCTCTCTAAAATTATCAAACCATCCTTTGCTGGCATTAAATTCTTCAGCTCTAGATCTGTTATTTTCTTTTTGATTTAAGTTGTCATGTATTGACTTTGCTTTTCCCCAAAACATATTATACCCTATAGTTAAGCCTTTTTTTGCAGCAATCCTTTACCCACATAAATGCTACATTTTCAATAACAGATAAGAAGATATTTCATAAAAATGTCAGGTTTTTGGACCTGCTGGCATTAGCTGCAATGAAGGCATCACAAAGTTTCTTTTTTTAATAATCATTCTTAAACTGGATTCATTTACATTGAAATGGCAGGCAACTGCAGCTTCAGACCTCATTATATGGTACATATCAAGTAATTTAACTTTTTCTTGTAATGCCGTGGCTTCTTGGGAGCAATTTCAACATCATTAGTTGTACTTTGTATGGGTCCCATGGTGTTATTCAAAGTTTATGGTATTACAATAAGCACAATGAAAAATACATGAGAACTGCCAGAAATCTTTTTACTGTGATACTCAACTTACTGGAGAGAAGAACTGCTCATGTGGAGATGATTAGCATCACACAGCATTTTAAGCAGATACTGGCAACAGTTGAGCTCACTCCAAAAGCAACAGGAGGTGGCTATGAAATTTTTTTTTATTATACTTTAAGTTTTAGGGTACATGTGCACAACGTGCAGGTTTGTTACATATGTATACATGTACCATGTTGGTGTGCTACACCCATTAACTTGTCATTTAGCATTAGGTATATCTCCTAATGCTATCCCTCCCCGCAACAGGCCCTGGTGTGTGATGTTCCCCTTCCTGTGTCCATGTGTCCTCATTGTTCAATTCCCACCTATGAGTGAGAACATGCGGTGTTTTGTTTTGTGTCCTTGCAATAGTTTGCTGAGAATGATGGTTTCCAGCTTCATCCATGTCCCTACAAAGGACATGAACTCATCACTTTTTATGGCTGTATAGTATTCCATGGTGTATATGTGAGTGGCTATGAAATTATTACAGTGGTACAGTATGTATTAATTTTATGCAGTTATGACTTAATACTGCATCTTTACATTTGTTTACATTTTCCTCAACTGAGAATGGCATCATGTACCATCCATAAGTTTGTGTCATACGTTTTGATAAATTTTAACTTTTTATGTTTGTGTATATTTTATGGTAGTAAATGATAAAATAGACTACTATCTATATATGTTTCATGCATTCATGGCATATCTAACTTTTTCTTAATTTTCTCAATATTTCCAGGCTATGCAGTTTTTCTGCCAGGTTTTTCAAATTTTTGCAAATCTTCAAAAAATTTTCCAATATATTTATTGAAAATAATTTGAGTATTAATGTGCCCATGAAGCTCAAATCCATGTTGTTCAATGGTCAACTCTATAAAATACCACATTGTCAACTATAGGCGCTGTTTGGTACAGTAGATTCCTAGAACTTACTCATCTTGTGTAACTAAAACTTTGTACCTTTTAATGAATATTTCCTTTTTTTTTCTCAGCTCTTGGCAATGATTCCACTGTGTGATTTTATGAATTTGACTACTTTAAATTCATAATATGAGTTGTTCACATAGTATTTATCCTTCTGAGTCTGGTTTATTTCAATTGGCATAATGTCCTCTGTGTCCGTACATGTTACAAATGGCAGGATTTCCTTTTTTTTTTATAGCTGAATCACTTATGTATGTGTGTATATATGTTAAAAACATATTTCACATTCAAGTGTGTGTGTATATGTATGTGTGTGTGTGTGCATATATATCTATATATATATATTTTTTTCATTCATCCATTGACAGACATTAAGGTTGCTTTTATATTTTGGCTATTGTGGATAATGCTGCAACGAACATGGGAGTTCAGCTATCTCTTTGAAATCCTGTCTTCATTTCTTTTAAATATATTAATGTATCCAAAAGTTGGATTACTGGATTATAGGGTAGCTCTATTTTAAACTTTTTGAGGAACCAGCATACAGTTTTTCATAGTGACTACAGCAATTTACATTCCCACCAAAAGTGTACAAGGGTGCTCTTTTCACCACATTCTTCCCAACATTTGTTATCTTTTTTTTTAATAATAGCCATCCTAACAGTGATATCTTTTTGAAATCTTAGAGTGATATCTTCTTGTGATTTTGATTTGTATTTCTCTGATCAGTAATATTGAGCACATTTTCATATAACAGTTGGCCATTTGTATGTAGTCTTTGAAAAAATGTCTATTAAGTGCCTTTGTCCTGTTTTTCAGTTATTGAATTATATGAATTCTTTATATATCCTGGGTATTAACCCCTTATCAGGTATATGGCTTGCAAATATTTTCTCCCATTCTGTAGGTTGTCTTTTTATCTTATTTTCTTTGCCATACAAACCTTTTAAGTTTAATGTAGTCCCACTTGTCTATTTTTGTTTTTGTTTAATATTTAATATACTTCTGTCATCATCATCCAGGAAATCCTTGCCAAAGCCAGTGTTGAAGATTTTTCCCTGTGTTTTCTTCTAGGAGTTTTACAGTTTCAGGTTTTACATTTAAATCTTTTGAATTTATTTTATGTTGATTTTTATGTATAGTATAAGATAAAATCCCATCTCATTCATTTGCATATGACTATCCAGTTTTTCCAATTATAAACCTTTCTATGTTGCTGTTCTTTCATCATACCATTTATTAATGATCAATAATATCTATCATTTAGGTGTTTATTTAACCACCTCTAATATTTGACATTTAAGGTTTATTTTTCAGTATTATAATAAGCAATGTTGTAATGATCATCCCTATAGATAAATCTCAGTACACATCCACAGTGATTTTCTTGGGATAAAATCTTAATTTTAAAGTTATCAGAGCAAAGGATAGGCAATTTTAATGACAAGTTTCTTCCAAAGATGAGGAACATTTTGTATAGTTATGGTTTATGAATTTGGAAGTTTTCCTTACATATTGGCCAATAGTATATATTACTATTTTTTTAAAATTTGCCAGTTTGCTACATAACACACATACACACACATTTTACTCATTTAGGTTGAGCTTTTTAACATGCTTATTAGCTTTTAAAATTCTGTCATAAAATGCATCTTCCTGTTCTTTCTAATTCTTTACATTCTAAGGGTGATAATACATTATATATATTAAAATATTGTTTTTCAGTTTTTATTTACATTTTAATTTTGCCAATTATATTTTTAGCATAGTACTTAAGAGCAGACTCTACATTTTAACTGCCTGGGTACAAATTTGGAACCCAATCCTTGTGGCTGTATAACCTTGAGTGAGTTACAGAATAACTCTATGCCTCAGTTCACTCACCTACAAAATTGAGATAATAATAGTATATACCTCATATGGCTCTGAGAGTTAAACAGAATGTACTTGAAAAGTATTTAGCACAATCTCTGAAGATCATGAGTACTCAAAAATCATCCACAGGGTAAAAATTGTACAAAAACTTTACCTCCTGACCTACTTGGGCTTACACTGAGGTTGAGAGTTGCTGTTGGGTGGGAAGATGGGTGTGTATTCCCAGACATCTCTGAAAGTTGTGCCCCTATCCTCCTTAGCCTTAAGGCAGTACCGATGCAAACTAAGTTCCTGATGAGACACAAAAAGCCCCCATTAGAGAAGAGGTAAAATGGCTAGTATGTTTGTTGGCCCCATAAATGTCTTCTTTTGAGAACTGTCTGTTCATATCCTTTGCCTAATTTTTGACTTTTTTTTTTTTTTGGTCTTGTAAATTTAAGTTCCTTATAGATTCTGGATATTAGCCCTTTGTCAGATGGATAGATTGCAAATTTTTTCTCCCATTCTGTAGGTTGCCTGTTCACTCTGATGATAGTTCCTTTTGCTGTGCAGAAGCTCTTTAGTTTAATTAGATCCCATTTGTCAATTTTGGCTTTTGTTGCCATTGCTTTTGGTGTTTTAGTCATGAAGTCTTTGCCCATGCCTATGTCCTGAATGGTATTGCCTAGGTTTTCTTCTAGGGTTTTTATGGTTTTAAGTTTTACTTTTAAGTCTTTAATCCATCTTGAGTTAATTTTTGTATAAGGTGTAAGGAAGGGGTCTAGTTTCAGTTTTCTGTACATGGCTAGTCAGTTTTCCCAACACAGTTTATTAAATAGGGAATCCTTTCCCCATTGCTTGTTTTTCTCAGGTTTGTTGAAGATCAGATGGTTGTAGATGTGTGATATTATTTCTGAGGCCTCTGTTATATTCCATTGGTCTATATATCTGTTTTGGTACCAGTACTATGCTGATTTGGTTACTGTATCCCTGTAGTATGCTGTTCACAGTAGCAAAGACTTGGAACCAACCCAAATGCCCATCAATAATAGACAGGATAACGAAAATGTGACACATATATGCCATGGAATACTATGGAGTCATAAAAAACGATGAGTTCATGTCCTTTGCAGGGACACGGATGAAGCTGGAAACCATCATTCTCAGCAAACTAGCACAGGAACCAAAAACCAAACACCACATGTTCTCACTCATAAGTGCTAGTTGAACAATGAGAACACACGGACACAGGGAGGGGAACATCACACACTGGGGTCTGTTGGGAGTTGGGGAGCTAGGGGAGGGGATAGCAGTAGGAGAAATACCTAATGTAGATGACGGGTTGATGGGTGTAGCAAACCACCATGGTGCATGTAGACCTATGTAACAAACCTGCACATTCTGCACATCCAGAACTTAAAGTATAATTTTTTTAAAAAGGCTAATATGGCAAGGATGAATCAACAAGTCCTTTGACTTCAAAGTGCTACCAATTGTTGAAACTTTATCATTTTGCATGTTTTATGATGAAGGATACTGGCACTGAGTGGTGAGGCAGTCAGCCAAAATTTGGAAATTATTGTGACAGTAAAAAAAGAAAGGTTGATTAGAAATAATACAATAAATGTTCTAAACAGCAGGCCTGGCCAATCCATCACTGAGGCAGAGCTATCAAGTCCAAAGCAGGCCAATTCTGTAAATCATGGAATTAGCACTACTCAGACTTGCTCAGAGTGACACTTGGATTTCAGAAGCATTTTAAAGTTCCTGGAGATCATAATGATGTATGTAGAAATGCTTTTAAAAAGCCATAAGGTCTAAATTGCCTTAATCAGGGTTAGTGATGAGATCACAAAAAATGGTCAAAATGGCTGAAATATAAGGGAGAATAAAAGGCTAATTTACTTCTAGGAATGTCTATTGGTATTTGAAACTTGATTTAATAACTGGTTTCTTATATTTGGATAGTAACTATATCTGAGAAGCTCAGGGTCTTGGTAATGCTGGTTTAGACTCCTATTCAAGAAAATAAATAAGTTCTTGTTTAGATGAGATGTAAGAATGCAGAATTTATGTAATTTAGAGTCATATAATGAATGCATTTATGTTGCTAGCAAGAAAAACCCCAGGATTTGTTTTTTTCAAACACAGATAATTTATGTTTAGCAGGTATATTATCACCCTAACAACAGAAATAAACTAGTCCAATGACTTTCTCCCCACAAAATTGTTTATTAATAGAGGTTTACTAATAAAAACATGTTTATTTTCTACAATAAGACATAGAACATAAGAAGAATTAGTTTTTTTTTTTAGCTGTTTGGGAGTTTGATGTTATTTCGTACAAAAACCCTAACAAACTAATATTAAAATGTTAGTGAGAAGGAATTAATACACTTGGAAGAATTATTGTAAATCCTATAAAAACATGAGTTTTTTTTTACTTAAAATATGGGCCAAGAATATAAACAAATAAGTCATAAGGAAGCAATATAAATGAGTGTAGTCATATGAAAAAATAAACTCTCATTAATAAAACACATTTAATTTTAAAAAGTTGTACCTATCAAAATTGGCATTTAAAAAAATCTACCTTTTAATAAGATCATGATGAAAATCATGTAAATGATGGAATGTAAAGCATTTAAAGAGAACAACTTGGTAATGTATGTTAAAAATCTTAAAATATATTACTTAAAAATTTTTTTTTTTATACTTTAAGTTTTAGGGTACATGTGCACAACCTGCAGGTTTGTTACATATATATACATGTGCCATGTTGGTGTGCTGCACCCATTAACTCATCATTTAACATTAGGTATATCTCCTAATGCTATCCCTCCCGCCTCCCCCCACCCTACAACAGGCCCTGGTGTGTGATGTTCCCCTTCCTGTGTCCATGTGTTCTCATTGTTCAATTCCCACCTATGAGTGAGAACATGCGTTGTTTGGTTTTTTGTCCTTGCAATAGTTTGCTCAGAATGATGGTTTCCAGCTTCGTCCATGTCCCTACAAAGGACATGAACTCATCCTTTTTTATGGCTGCATAGTATTTCATGATGTATATGTGCCACATTTTCTTAATCCAGTCTATCATTGTTGGACATTTGGGTTGGTTCCAAGTCTTTGCTATTGTGAATACTGCTGCAATAAACATAGGTGTGCATGTGTCTTTATAGCAGCATGATTTATAATCCTTTGGGTATATACCCAGTAATGGGATGGCTGGGTCAAATGGTACTTCTAGTTCTAGATCCCTGAGGAATTGCCACATTAGTCACTTTCTTTCTGGGTAGCTATACTAGTGTCTTAGTTTGAGTCCACCCAGAAATAGTCTCAGAAATAAACAAGTCATTTGTTTGGGAGGTACCATCAGGAGAGAAATGGGGAAGTGACATAGGGAGGAGAAGATGGTCAATAAATGATGTATTAGCCACAGTGGGCTGCTGGAGCTGGATCCCTTGGGGAATTCTTGGAAACAACAAATATGCACCTCAGAATTATCCCACCTGAGGGGAAAAAGAATTTGGGGTATTTCTACACCAACTCTCAAGAGTCATTAGTTGAGAGTTACTTGTGGGGGTGTTAATTCCCTAATCTTTCAGTGTGCTGTGAGTTTGGGCTGATTGGCTTCCACAGTTCTGGAAAAAACATTCAGCCACAGAGATGCAGATAGTGATAGTTAGAAACAAGTTATGCTCCTCAAGAAATAGACAACCCAGTGACAATGTGCTATGTTAAGGAAACAGTCAAGAAAATTGCAAATATACTTGTAGAAATGTATATATATACATCTGTTTGTTATAATGTATGTTATATATTAGAAACAATGTAAGCGCTCAACATTTAAGGATCCCATAAATAATGGTATATACAATAATAGATAATATCCAAATAAAGTGTGATAATTAAAACGTATGTTGTAGAAGAATATTTACTGATAGGCTGGTAAATATTTATTTAGGGAGATAAACACATTACAAAGCAGTGTGTATAGTATGATTACATTTTAGTTGAAAAAAAGTATGTATTCATGAAAAGATTTGGAAGAACAGAAAATAAGATACTAACTAATTCTCTTTGGATAGTGTGATAATGAATCACACTTCTTACCTGTTTTTACAAAATTTTCTACTCTAAATATATGTTGCTTTTGCAATAGAAAAATTATAGATTTAATAATGAGTCACCAATGGGTTAAAAATAAAATGATGAAAAATGCTTCACTGAATCTAGAAAATTAAGTGAATTAATTACTGTTTACTTCTTTGAACTCAGTCAAGATTATTTCTATGAATAATAGTAATTTTTTTCTTGCAGTTTGACTGTTTATATTAGTCTATTATCAGATATGGCATATAAAAATAGGTTGGGCTTCAGCATGTATACTTCAAAATCACCATTACTTATTCAGTTCATGGCGTTGGCAATACAGAACTTGAATTCTAATTTAAAATGTTTGAATTCAGGCATAGAGAATTCTGTTTTAAAAAACAACTACCCCACTTTGATAAGGAATTAGTATAAATAAAAAAATTGAGAAATAATTCTCAATGGAGTCCCAAAGATAAATGTGCTGGACTAGGAAATTATTTCCTAAAAGGGATTTAGAACTGCCAGCTTGAGTTAGTAATAAGTAAGCAACATCTTCAGAACTAAGATTAGCTAAGAGTGCTGGTGATGTATACTAACATAAATCTAATCAAATTAATTGTCTAGCATAGTGCATTATATACATTAGGCCCACAGAGATACATGTCCAGTAAACTAACATTAGCCTTGGCACAAAATATGCCATAAATATGACTTACTGGTTGGATGGTTCACGTTAGTCAAATTGGCAATTCTTTGTTGCTTGCTTTTTTTTTCCCCCAGAAAGAGAGTAGGAGATCGTTGTTCTAATCTCTTTTTAAGAGCTCATCAATAATGCACCAGATCAAAATTTAGAACAGTCTGTGTAACAATTGGCATATGGGGGATGAAGAAAAATAATTTGATAGAAGAGAACAACCAGACATCTTCTCCTCAATAATCCTACTTCTGTGAAGGGAGGACTTAGGAGTGGGGTGAGCAGATTTTTAAAACCGGGCTTATTTATTTATTTTTAGCCATGTAAAGAATAGAGCTGATTAAAGTGGACCTTTCCCGTCTTCTTCCAATTTGATAGCCAGTCAATTGTTTTGTCATATTGATACTAGCTCTACAGTTTCTCAAGTTGATTTCTTCCCCTCTGTTTTGTCTTTTTCAGGTTCCCCTTACTTCCGTGATTTATTCTAATGGGACCTAACCATATTTTTCTGTTCCCCTCTATCTTTCTCTAATTCAGTTCTATGTTTTTAATATCATTGCCAGGTTAACCTCCAAAAGTACGGTTCTCTTTTTTATCCTATTGTCAGGTAGGATTTCACATTCCATTCTATACTGAGATTGTTTTCAATCTTTATGTTCATCTTTCTCAGATTAAGGCTAAACTTAGGGATGTTGGTTCAGAAGAGTAAGGCTGGGGGCAGGATTCTTGTAGTGCAAACACCCATGTAAAAGAAATTTTCAATGCTCACTGTCCACAGGGTAGGACCTTAAAACATAAGGGCCACAGGAGGTGAGACCCTTGAGGAAAAGCGTCATTGTGTTGTAGACTTTCTGGGCTTGACTTGTAGTTTCACAGTATGACCCTGCTGCTTTCAGAGATTCCTCAATTACCATTAGACCCCAGCACAGCACTGTTAGTACATGTGATTGTCTTCCTGGAAGCCCCATCCTTCACCTTTTAGCTCCTGCCCAATTTGTAGATTTCCTTCAAATGTAATTTCCTTAGGGAAGTCTTCCCTCATTCACTGAAATTAAGCTTAGCCCCCACATAATTAATTTTATAACATCCTATAATTTCGATTTATAGTGCTTATCAGAATGTTTAATTCATAGCTCCCTGACTAGACTTCAAATACACAAGGCCTTTAGTTTTGCTCAGGGGTTTACTTAATACCTGGAACAAAGATGTTCTCAGTGGACATTTGTTCAGTGAATCAATTAATAAATGGATCTATTCATCTCCCAGTATCTTAATATTCTTGTGAAAAGAGATGGCTAGTGAAACTAAAGATTCATATTCTTACCAGTAATTATTAAAGCCTCTTTGGGGTCACCACAGTCATCTTGTGAAGCTTGAAATCATGTATACAGAGTCTACCATATAGTTTTCAAGGATCTTGCCCAGTCCACCCTGATACACTGAGGTGTGGACAATACTACATTGTGGACAATCAGCACTTGAATGTTTATTTGATATGAATTGTTACAGTACCAGCATCCTGCCTCAAGCTCTACTTTTCTGATTCCAGATACCCCTGACTTTAGTCTTGACCCACGAATGGTGAACACAAAAGTAGCAACCACTCAGAAATGAAATTTTGCTCAGCAATTGAATATTACCAAGGTACTACCCCAAGACTCCCCATAGAATACAAATGATGAAAATAATAACCATCAAGAGGAGAGTAAAGATTTGGGCCAAACTGGTCAAAGAGACATCCAATGTAGAACATTGCCCCACTCCAGCAGTAAGGTTTCCCCAAGTTGGTTTTACATTTTTACGAGCCCTCTAAATGCTGCTAAGATCTCTTTTCATTGTCACTGTAGAATCACAGCATTCACCTAAGTTTGTTAGAGAACGTATGTACACGGTTTGCACAAGCAATAAAAAAAGCAATACAAAATCTTAAATGGTTTCAGCAATGATTTTTGGCAAAGATTCTTTCAAGCCATTGGGAAACAGAACAGTGAACAATGAAGATGAGGTCTTTACTGATGTGAACTTATAGTAGCATTGGGCAGTGAGAAAAAATTGATAAGTATATTAATAAATGGTCAGGATAATTTCTCAACGTGTGATGTTTTTATTTAGGCTGCTATAACAAAATATGATAGACTGGGTAGCTTATAAACAACAGAAATTTGTTTCTCAAAGTTCTGGAGTCTAGTAAGTTCAAGATCAAGGTACCAGCAGATGCAGTGTCTGGTAAGGGCTTGCTCTCTGCACCAGAGATCGTGACTTCTTGCTGCATTCTTATACAGTGGAAGGGTCAAGGCAGTTCTCTGAAGACTCCTTTATAAGGTCACTAATTCCATTGATGAGGGCTTCATCCTGATGATCTAAGCACTTCACAAAAGCCCCACCTGCTAATACTATCACACTGGTGAGTAGGTTTTCACCATATAAATTTCGGGGGAACACAAACATTCAGACCATTAGCAGCTGTGAAGAAAACTAAGGGTGATGTCGTGGTGACTGGGGCTGGTGGTTGCTGCTTGAGATTGAGTAATCACGGAGGACATTTTTTGCAGAGGTGACATGTAAGCCTCCACCCTTTTCCTGTACAACAATAGTTCTCAACTGGGAATGATTTTGCCCCCAAAAGACATTTGGTAATATTCAGAGACCAATTTGGTTGTCACAACTGGCAGGGGGCAGGGGTTACTGCTAACATATAGCAAGCTGATTTTAGGGATGCTGCTAAACATTCTACCAGGCAAGAGACAGCCTGTGATAATTCATTATCTATTCCAAAATGTCAACAGCGCCAGGGATGAAAAACCCTGATCTATGGTCTATTCTCATCACAACAACCAGGTTGATTTTTTAAAATACTGAATCATACTATATCAATCCTCTCTTCTAAGACCTTTAATTCATCCTCAGGTCTCCCAGATTCTTCTCATTCTGGCTTCCCATAATCTTTAATCTCCTATTTTATTGTCTTCACTCATTACACTCTGGCCTCAGGCCTTTGCACTGGCTGTTCTCCTGCCTGAAGTTTTCTTCCTTTGGATATCTGAATGGCTTTCTTGATTATCAAAATTGAACCCCCTTCCCCGCTTCTGATTGCCTTACCATACTCCCACCTCTTGCACTTATCTTCTAATGTGCTATATAATTTAGTTATATAACTATTGTTTATTGTCTGTTCTACCCACTAGAAAGTAAGCTTCATAAACTCGGGGGTTTATGATACTTCCTGCCACATAACGGGTACCTTATGAATATCTGTTGAATAAGTGAAGGAAGGAAAAGAAACTTCTATGACGAGAATGTGGCTGCCAAAGAAAAGCTATGGAAAAAAAAAAAAAGAAAAACTCGAGTACAGAGGCCCTAAAAGTGATTGAGCTTAGTATGCTTAAAGGACAACCAGGAGGCCAATAACTCAAGTGCAGTAAATGAGGGACAGAGAATGCAACGCGAGTCAGAAGCTGTCATAGTCAGATCAGATAAAGCCTTATGGAACACAGTGTAGTGTCCAGGTATATTTTGTAAAGGAAGAACTTGTGTGCCATGTTTTGAAAAAATATGTGTGCATTTGTATATTTTTTTTCACCTGCCTGTTAAATTTTTTATTTTCAACATAGGTTATTTTATTTATTTTTCTTTTTGTAGAGACAGGGTCTCACATTGTTGCCCAAGCTGGTCTTGAACTCCTGGGCTCAAGCAATCCTCCCACCTTGGCCTTCCAAAATGCTGGAATTATAGGTGTGGGCCACCGCGCCTGGCTCAGCTTACGTTATAAACATGAATGATCAAATCAATGGGTTTTCTCTATATACTTGCAGTGGAGCCATCAGCCGCATGGTAATACCTATAAGGTGCTCAAAAGTTCAACTGCCCCAAAGTATTTTGACACTGACTCATATGTTTAAAGTGTTTTTAATGGACAAGTACAAATTTGTGTGTATGTGTATGGCACAAAACATGATGTTTCAATATGTGTGTACATTATGCAATGGTCAAATGAAGATATTTAACATATGCATTACCTTACATCCTTTTTTTTTTAATGGGGACAACACTTACCATCTATTCCCTTAGAGATTTTCAAGTATACAATATATTATTATTAACTAAAGTTACCATGATGTGCAATATACCTCTTGAACTTATTCCTCCTAGATGAAATTTTGTGTCCTTTAACCAACATCTTCCTAATTCTCTCACCCTCCAGCCTCTGGTTACCATCATTTTACTCCCTGTTTCCATGAGTTCAGTGTTCTTACGCCTCACATATAAGTGAGATAATGCATTATTTGTCTTACTGTTTCTGACTTATTTCACTTAGTGTAGTATTCTCTAAGTTCTTCTGTGTTGTGAAAAATGACACCATTTTCTCCTTTTTAAGGTGGAATAGTATTCCAGTATGTATGTACATCACATTTTCTTAATCCATGTGTCTGATGGACACAAGTAGATTCTGTGTCTTGGATATTGTCAATAACGTGTCAGTGAACATAGGCATGCGACACTGACCCATTTTGTGAATGTTCATAGTTGCTTTCTGTTTTAGCCATTGTTTCAGAGGCTGCTATTCAAAAGTAAATATATCATTTGGAACATGTGGTGCATAATTCTACTAATACCTGTAATTGTATTGATTATAGTTCTTCTGATATTTCTCCTGAAATATAGAATGAATGAAGGTAGAAGAGAGATCTTTTGAGTAGAAATGCAATGAGAGAGAGTGAAAGTGTCAAGGCAAAGAAAGAAAACTGGTATTTGCTGGTCAACTAGTGTGCAACAACTACTTTGTTAAGTGGTTTGCATGTGTAATGCCATTTCAACATTAAAAAATAAGGTATCCCCTTTCAATAATGAAGAAATTAAACTTGCTCAAGATTGTGCACCTAGTAAGAAGCCTAGCTGGAATTTGAATTAAAATGTTTCTGGGTCCAAGACTGTATTCATCTCCTCAGGCTGCTGTAATAGCATAACAGAATACCATAAGTTGGGTGGCTTAAACAGCCAGACATTTATTTCTCACCCTTCTAGAGGCTGGAAAGCCTAAGATGCGGTGCTAGCTGATTTGGTTCATGGTAAGGGCCTTTTTTCCTGGCTTTCTCTTTTCTTCCTATCTCTTCACATGATGGAGAGAGAAAGAAAGAGACCTCTCTTGCATCCTATCTTAGACAATCATTGGGGATCCACCCTATCCCAAAGGCCCAATCTTTAAATGCCATCGTGTTGGGGGTAAGAATGTCATATGAATTTTTTGGGGGACATGATTTAGTTCATAACACATATGAATGCTCTTTCAATGAAATTAAGTGCTTTCCTACTTAAAAAAAAATGAAAAAAAGAAGATACCCACTTTAATATTTTACCAAAAGTAGGCCCTGAATGAATCACTTCTGAGTCTAGGCTTAGATTCATTCCATTCAATTAAGTCAGTTTCTAAGGTCTTTAGTTAATGCTTAGAAAGTTTCTTTCACATACTTCAGTAAAAGAAGTTTTGATAAGATAGTCTGAATGAATTTTTTTCCCCTTAGTTCTCTAAAAAGTCAGAGATTGTCATAAAGCAACTTTTTTTCTGCTAGTTGTAAAAGGAACATACAAAGGCCAAAATCGTCTGTTTCGGCTTTTGGTATAGCTTTTGTGTCTGATAATAAAAGCCAAGATTTATATTGTTGACTGAAGAAGTTCAACCATTGCCCTACATATACCAAATGGACAAAAGGGCATTCACTATTAAATAAAGGTTGTGTTGGTTACATTCAATCCTGTCGATATAAAGATAGAGAAAGAGAGTAATTTAGATTTTTTTAAAAGCTCTTGCTGAAAGAGTCATATAAGTTTGGCCTATGCCAAAGAATTGCCCATCAACCTCAAAAAACTCAAATATTTTATTTTTAAAAGAAAGGTCTCGTTTTCTCTTCAAACTTTATTTGGAGTGCTTAAATTTCCTGTTAAATGTATAATATGTATTTTTTCCTGTTAAATGTGTAATATGTATTTGTTTTAACTATAAAAATAACTTTTCTATTAGCATGTATGGAGATTATTATAGATTAAACAAATTGACTGCAGTTGAAATGTTTTTATTCAGAAATCTTATAGTTTACGAAATCATAGTTTAAAATAGAGAAACACATACTGAAATCAGTTTAAACATCCCCCAACTACCAATTCTGTCTTGTTATTTGTTAAGGTATCTGGAATCCAACTTAAAAAAAAAAAAAAGCTGTTGTGCTGTCTATGGATATGCTAAACAAATTTATCAAAGTTTTACTTTTTTTCCCTGAAAAATCAGTGTATAGTGGGTAACATTCTGTCTCCTTCATCAAAATCTAAATTTCTGGAGGCCTTAAATGAGATAATGGTACACAGAATCCCACTGCTTGTAGTACAGACAAGTTTGAGAATTGCATCCGCTTGTCCTGGAAAGAAGATAAATAGTATAAGCTTTTATATGTGAGAATGTATTCTCTTTCAGAATTGTTAGAGTTAATGCATTGTATGAAATAGTTGTCTGGTTTTGTGCCAATTTTAATTGCCTATTTGAGCAGAAATGCACTTTGAGTTATTTTTAGCCCTGTAGATTGAATTCAGAATTCAGTGGATTTACGTTTCACCAATACAGATAACAAGATCTGTCATATTTGCAGTGACACTCTATTTTTAACTTCATTGGTTCATTAAAATGATGCATGGCACTGGTTTAAGAAGCAACCAGTCAAGGAAACACAGACTATGAAAACACACTCCAAGGAAACACACTCTGCCTCTATAAGAAATCAACACAACCCAGCATTTATAAAATTCCAGCTTGATGATTATTGTTAATTCTGGAAGAAAGAGTGAAATGCCTTCTTTGGAGAATGTGGCTGCTGTCATCAAACTAATCTCTTTCTTTGCAAGATAAAGACTGCCACTCACATGGATGTCATAGTTTATACCTGTCAGGTATAGACACCTGTGGGTTGCAGTTAAAGATTGTCACTCTGCAGGATATTTTTCAGTAGTTCATTTATATAATTCCATTTTATTAAAAAAGAAAAAGAAAGTGACTCGTCAGAGAAGATTTTCACCCAATTGCCCCAATTCAACATTTATGCTCTAAGGAAGTCTAGGTTTTTGTAATAGCAGGCATACCTGTAAGACTTGGGAAACTGGGAAGTTAGCATAAGCATGATTCAATAATGTGGGTAAGTGGGTAGACTATCAGTGTGTCATTGGAAACTGATGAAATTGATCAGAACACATACAGAATAAACAGCAAAAGATGCATATGAGAATTATACTTCTAGAATGGTGGCAGGAGAAGTTCCACAGACCTGCTCCAGTGAAGCAACCATGGCTGGTGAGAATTATTTTAGAATAAGAACAATCACTTATTCCAGAAAAATTTTGTAAGAACATTAAGTCTGTGACACTTGAGTCATGACATTCTTCTCACATAACCCCCCAGCTCAGCATGATGGAAGATTCCAGGCAAGAGCAGCTGATAAGGTGGGGGCTCCCTTCTACCCTGTTTGATTATAAAGTCTCTGACCTAGTTTGTTTTAGGTCAGTTACCCACTTTTAAAGATAGTTTTAACATTGTAGCTTTTCTTCCTTCACATTCTTATTTGAATACAGAGAAACACACCTAATATTTTCTGCCTAATCTTGCTACTGAAGAGCAGAGTATTTAAATTCAGTCAGAATGATGATTTTGCATTGGTAGTATAAGTGGTTCATTCTTTCTATTTGCATTTTTGATACTGAAAATTGAAGACATTGAGGATTGTTTGGGAATCAAAAAATGTTATATTCAAGGCAATGAAACTAAAATGGCGAATGTGGTATCTATTACTTTGCAGGACATATAGAAACATGGTAGAACAATGAACTCTGCTAGATTACTCTATTCATCATGACTATTTCTGAATGGGGCTTTAGATATAATGAGGATAATTTTAATGAAAAATCTTCAATTTCAGAATTATGACAGCTATATAACCTGTCTGTGCCATAACATGCAAAGTTCTTATAGCCATTTTCTAATAATTTATACCTATGAAATTATACTTTCTATTATTAACAGCACTTATTTTTTCAGCTTCTTCATAAAGCATAGTGATTAATATAATCAAGTGTTTTATGAACTGTTGTATATTAAAAATAAAATCCTATTATGAGGCAATTTCAATGCCATCTTTTAAGCTTAGCAGACTTCTAAAATAAAACTCATCAACTGCTCTTTCCTGCTATACAATGTAAGATTCCCAAAATATTTCAGTTTTGTGTAGCTATCTCCCTTCAACTGTTGTAATTTTTACTCGTTTGGCTCAAAGTATATAGAATTCATTAAAAATAATTTGTCATGTACATGTGAACCACTAAAACAGGAGACCAAAGAGAACCTATTTGAATGTAGTTAAGAAGTAAAATGCACTTACATGCAAACTGGAAAATAATCTATCATATATTAAAAAAGAAAACATACTCTATTCAAACATTTTTTTCCCTTTTCCTTATGTAGTACACATGTTATCTCTATTACTTGGTTTCAGAGAAGGGGAAGCTATTATTTATTATCTACTTTATCACAGTAAATATTTCATAAAACACACCTGAAAAATTCCTTGAATTTTCACACCCACTTTACATAGTAGATAACTGCATTTAAATAACATGAAGAAACAGCTAATTGTATCTCCAACAGTTCCACATAATAAAACTGATTATCTTTAAAATATACTCATGTTTAAAAATACATCAAGAAATAGGGAGCGCAAAACATAAGAAGGTAATATTTAAACAGAAAATCATATTTTTTAAAAAATTATATAGTAAATCTTAAAAAATAGTTATTTAAATTGCAAAGGATTGATTCAACAGCAGATGAGACACAGCTGAAGATAGATTAAATAGACCTAAAAAAATTACCCAAAATGTAGGGTAGTAACATAAATAGAAGGAAAATGTAAAATAAGAGTTCAAAATTTAGAAAATGGAGATTGAGAAGGCAAAACATATGTTTACTAGGAGTTCTAGAAGAAGAAAATAGAGAAAAAGCATACAAAGAGAACACAGTTAATAACTTTCTAAAATTATGAATCCTCAGCTTCATGAAGTACAATGATTCACAAAGAGAAAATCTCAAAAGCGACCAGAGTAAAACCCTCAGATTAACTACAAAGGGATGGCAATTAGACTGCTGTAGAACTTCTCAAATAAGCAGTGAAAAAAGCCAGAATATGGTGAAATTATATATTCAAAGTTCTAAGAGAATATAAGTAATCCCTAATTTTATAAACAGCTAAACCATGAGTCCAAAATAAAGGTAGAAGAAGAAATTTCCAGGTTTTACTAAACCAATAGACATCACTAGAGGAATGTCGAAAGAATATACTTCAAGGCCGGGCGTGGTGGCTTGCGCCTGTAGTCACAGCACTTTGGGAGGCCAAGGCGGGCGGATCACGAGGTCAGGAGGTCAAGACCATCCTGGCTAACGCAGTGAAACCCCATCTCTACTAAAAATACAAAAAAAAAAAAATTAGCTGGCTGTGGTGGCGGACGCCTGTAGTCCCAGCTACTTGGGAGGCTGAGGCAGGAGAATGGTGTGAAGCCGGGAGCCGGAGCTTGCAGTGAGCCAAGATAGCGCCACTCCACTCCAGCCTGGGTGACAGAGCGAGACTCTGTCTCAAAAAAAAAAAAAAAAAAAAAAAAAAAAAGAATATACTTCAAAAAGAATCAAACTGATCCCAGAAGAAGGGCTAAGATAAAAGAATGACTGTCGGGTAAAGTACATATATACACATTTTTTTTTTAAAGTAAACGTGGAGGTACATCTCAACTAACACTGATTTGTTTTTTTTTTTGTTTTGTTTTGTTTTTTTGTTTTTTTTTTTTTTGAGAGGAAGTCTTGCTCTTGTTGCCCAGGCTGGAGTGCAATGGTGCAATCTTGGCTCACTACAACCTCTGCCTCCCAGGTTCAAGCAATTCTCCTGCCTCAGCTTCCTGAGTAGCTGGGATTATACCTTCCAACATACTGGGCTAATTTTTGTATATTTAGTAGAGAAGGGGTTTCACCATGTTGACCAGGCTGGTCTTGAACTTCTGGCCTCAGGTGATCCACACGTCTTGGCCTCCCAAAGTGCTGGGATTACAAGTGTGAGCCACCAGGCCCGGCCCTAACACTGATTTTTATAAAACAAAAACAAAAACTTACAGGGTTTAGGCAAGAAGGTCAAGATGTAATTGAAAAGTTGGACAATGATAATATATCTTTGTATTTGAGATGAAAATAGCACTATAGAAGTAACTGTTCCCACCTTCTTATTCACTAATTAATTCAACAATTATTGATGTTGCAATAATTATGCCCCAGAAATTCCTCAAATTTTTCACAGCACTCAAAAAAATTCCATTAAAAATTCCTGCCATCACAGGGTTTATATTTCAGTGAGTAGGGCCAGAAAATAAATATAATTAAAATGTAGCATAGATACCATTTTCATTAGTGTTAACTACTCCTGGGGATGAGGAGATGAAAGAAGGGTGGTTGTAAGTACATGCATGTGCAATTTTAATAGTGTGATCAGGCAAGGTCTCAGTGAGGAGATGAGATTTGAGCAAACACTGAAGGGAATCAGGGAGGCATGCTGATATTTAGGAGAGAATTATTCCAGCAAAAGGAAGCAAATGTAAAGCCCTAAAGGTAAGGTGGAAGTGTTCCAGATGCATTTGAAAAATAACAGAACAATGTGACTGGAACAGAGAGAGTGAGGAAGATAGAAGATCAGCAAGGTAGTGAGGAGCCAAAAAGTACAAGGCCAGCAGGCACTGTAAAACTTCACCTTTTACAGTGAATGAAGGGTGAGCCAATGATGTGTTTTGAATAGAGGAGAGATGTGATCTGTTCTACATCTTAAAAGGATCACTGTGCTGGAACAAGGCAAGGATAAAAGTACGAAAACCACTTAACCACTGTAATATAGAAGAAAGGTGATGGTGAATGGAATGTAGCAACAGAGGAGGTAAGAAGTGTTTTGATTCTGGATATATTTTATAGGATATCCAGGTAAATTTGATTTTGAGTATGAGAAAAAAGAAATAAAAAGTAACTCCAAGTTTCTTGGCCTGAGAAACAGGAACAATGGAATTAACATATACTGAGATGAGGAACACAGTTGGTAGAGTAGATTTGTGTGTGTGTTTGTGTATAGAGGAAAAATGGACTATAAGGGAAAACATCAGGAGCACAGTTCGAGATAGCTGGATAGCTGGAGGTAGGGAATGTAAACCAAAAAGTGACTGAGGTGGTGTCTTAATCAATTCAAGGTTTATTTAGCCAAGGTTGAGGACAATCTGGGGAAAGAACACAAATCACAGGAGCGTCTGTGATCTATGCCTTTTCCAAAGTGGGTTTTGTGAACTTAATTGCTTAAAGGAAAAAGACCAAGCAGGAGGGAGGAAAAAAGAAAAGAAAGAAGGATAGGTAGTGAGGCAGATGATCACATTCTTGTGAGGCTCTGATTAGCTTCAGTAAATCTACATTTTACATGTGAAAAAAAAAAACAGGAAAATGTCAATTATGCATTACCTCTCAGTGAATCTACATTTTACATAAGATAAAGTAAGCATGTGAAAAGTAGTAGGGGAAATAAGGCTATGAAATGGGGTTGTCAAATTACAGCTATCTGGGAACAAAAGGAAGACAGTATTGGTGGTTCAGTTCCAAAGCTTACCTTTCCCTTTGGCATAGTGCCATAGGGTCCTGAGGTGCTATTTTTCTTTCATATTTTCCCTGTTTAAAAATCTTTTGGGGAAAGCATTATAGAAGTACATGAATCTCTGATCATATGTTTGGCCTGATCACTCATTGCTAGGATGGTTTATTCCTAGAGGGTTAAATCCCATGTTGCTAGGAAGGCTCATTCCTAGGAGGTTGTCAATTTTCATGTCTCATGGAGAAAAATAGGGGGAGGAAGAAATAAAGAAAAAAGGAGAAAAGAAAAGAGACCAAGATCAAATTATAGCAACAAAAGAAAAGCAATCCTGGAAAACTAATTCAGGCTATACTACCACCTCTTTAATCAGAGCAATTCTTTGGGTAACTGTCATTTTAATTCTTTTAGTTGTACATTGACTATTGTATGTCTGGAGAAGTTTATAGACTAGCTGGATTTTTTTAAGTATCTGAAGCATTTTTAAATTTCAGTGGCAATATGACAGATTTTTCTGGATGGTAGTTTGAATCAGGTGTTTAAATGAACTTTATGAGAAGGCAGGCACAAAGCTGATATATAAATACATGTGTGTATACACACACACACACACACATATATATATATAATGTACACATATATTGCTGTTATTACAAAGTTTAAGTTGTCTAGCTTCAGCTTGCATGGCTTTAAGAAAAGTACAGTTTTAATTTCTAGTGATTTCAAGTCAGAAAAATGGGAGAAAACACAATTTGAAAACATTAATTTGGAGACTTGTAGTCAGGAAAGAATTCAGGATTCAGTCCAAATTGTAGAAAAATAATAAAAAATGAAAATTGACAAAGCTAGAACCTAATAACAGGTATATTATAGTTTCTTTGGAAACATAATTTTTCTCTTTAATACCCCATTTTTACTAAATCATAGTAGGACAACTTAGTTGCAAATAAATTTTAGTCTTATTGTACTTGGCCAGATTATTTGCATAAAGTACAGCAAGAATAATTATTGGCCATTTGTCTCTTTCAAAATTGGCTTGCTGAAACTTTTCCATAAGGAATCTCAGATAAGGTTTTTAAAGGCCTCTTGAACCCAGCCAAGGATTTATCTGTGCTTGCAGATACCTGTAAGAATTGGGTGAATTTCTCTCTTTTCAAGGTCCCAGAATAGTTTAAGGTTCCTGGGCTTATCAGAAAGTGGCATTCTTTGGGTCAGAAACCCTGTAAAGGACTACGTAGACAAGGTGTGAGGCCAGTCTTTCCAAGGGGCTTTTATCTGCTCTTTAACCTCAATTCCTCAAAGCATTCTGGTAATATTTGAAAATATGCCATTTCAGTCAAAGCTTCAGTAAAATAACCAGTGTATCCAATTATATCTTATTGCAAAAGACAGATTCTTATTGAAATCATGCAAATAACTATATTGGCATAAATTAAGAATACTCATAAATAGTTTCCAAATTCTGGAGAAATCAGGTAGAAAGAAATATGCTTCAAATTTGCTCACAAGAGTGTATTTCATGCAATTGCTGAAAGTTACAAATATCTCAAAAGAGAAATTTTTTTGACTCTGAAAAACAAAAAGAATCAGCAACATTTCAAACAAAAGCAAAGTCAGAAAAATTTATTTCAGTCCTCTGTTAGTTCAGTTTCATACAACTGAGTCATTTTGTTTGACATTGGGGTTCTCAATCTGTATGAATACATCAGCTCTCCACTGAGAGTACTGCAAGTTTTTTCTTAGTCCAGTGGTACAATCCTTGAAGCTGTCAGAAACCTGCATTGAAGAGCACCAGCAGAGACCTTTCTGTGAACTCCCTTAGAGAAACAAGATTTGGACTGTAGCTGATTATAAACCACTTTTTGAGAAGAATCAAGATAAAATAATAATCTATGGATGACAATAATTTTAGGACTGCCATGTTTAAAGACACAATTGACAAGGAAATTTGATTATTTCTGTGGCATGCAACAATACAGCATAATAATCATAATTACCGATAACATTAAGACATCAGAATTATAGGAATTTCATACAGTTTAACATATTAATAACATATTTATATTAAATGTAACTCTAAGTTAAACACATCTCATATTTGACAATGCTTCCTGTATGATTTTAACATTTCAAATAAACTGAATATGTCTCTCTTGGATTTCAAGGGGCTTAATATCTTTAAAAAGGTAAAGTCAAAATAACTGAATTTAGAGCTTGAAATTTGATTTTAAAAAATTTGTCAAATATCAAAGGTTTAGAACAGTTGATATCACAGTAAGAACATAGGTAACTCTAAGGTAAGTTATTTAGTCAAAATGATAAATCAAAGGTTTTAAAAAGCAAAAGCCTTTACTCTTTGATAGAAAGGAGACTCAGTTCCACAAACAATATGACTTAATAAAGACAGCACAAGGCTAACTGAATCTGTCTCTTCCCTAACCCCTTTTTTTTTGCAGTTTTCTCAAAAGGTAAATAAAAATCTTTTATCTCTTAATATTACATAAAAATCTTGTTCATAAGGGAAAACCAAATTTTATATTTGCATTAGTGTTATTAACCCCGATAAAAAAATCTCATACACAAAACTGTCCAATCTCAGTCTGACCGTAAGGTAAGAATTTCATAAACTTCAATAATATTTTACAATTTTCTATTAAAGAACATATCAGTGTTCCAATGAACCCCTCTTCTTCTGACACTGTGGCCCAGACTTTGGCATCAGTGTGCTTTTTATCTTAATTGTTTTATAGGCAAAAAATTTATTCCTTTTAAATTTTAGCTACTTGGTTATACAGAATTTTTTTAATAAGATCAGTCTTCCACAAACCTTCTACAATTTATTTCAGTTTTGTCCTATCATTTTACATAAGGACAAATATTCACTTTCTTTTCCAATTTTGTATATTCATTTAATTTATTCATCTTTTTACTCCTTTAATGTAAAAAAGCCCACTCAACTGGGCAAAATTACTCTTGCTTTGACAAAAACCACATTTCCATGCCTTCTTATAACTTTTCCCCTAAAATGCATCCTACTCTTATACACTTTTCATGAAGAACTGTTTCTCTTATACCTAGTAGTTTTAATTATATACATTAATTACAATGTTAATTCTTTGTTACTGTTATTTTTAGTGAAAAACCTAGAAAGTAAACAATTTTAAGTATGTATCAGACGCAGAACCAAGGACAAAAAAAATAGAGCTTCAGACAATGCCTGACTCTTTCTAGCATATCTAGGAGGCATATCTGTCCTGGAGAGAACTCCATATGTCCCCAGGCCTTCCCATAGCAATTTTTTTAATAAAAAAATTTTTTTTATTAAAACTCTAGAGGCTCTAAGATGGGTATTAAACAATTATTAAAAATATCACAGAAGGCTGGGCACAGTGGCTCACACCTATAATTCTAGCACTTGGGGAGGCTGAGGCAAGTAAGTGGATTGCTTGAGCTCAAGAGTTTGAGACCAGCCTGGGCAACATGGCAAACCCTGTCTCTATTAAAAATACAAAAATTAGCCAGGCATGGTGGCATGTGCCTGTAGTCCTATCTACTTGGGAGGCTGAGGCAGAAGAATAGCTTGAACTTGGGAGGCTGAGGCTGCAGTGAGCAGAGGTGGTACCACCATGTTCTAGCCTGGCTGACAAAGTGAGACCCTGTCTCAAAAAACAAACAAACAAAACTACAGAACCACTTTATGATGTTTAAAACTCTAGCAAAAACAGTATCTGAACTGCCTGACTGGGAGTTTATAGAAATAAAAGATATTTCTATGTCATTTTACCAATAATTTAAAAACTGTCTTATTTACTAAAATCATGTGAACTAAAAGGCATTTGAGCTAGTTTCCATTTTTCTGAGAAAAGATTTAAGTCCTTTTTCCTTTCCTCTTTCCTTTAAGCCAATTAATTTGCACTCTTTCATATATTTTTGTTATGAGATATCACATACACATGATACCATATAAACACATAGATATATAGACAGTGGGAGATCTTATAGATTTATAATGTAATCACCTGATGGGTCCTTCCTGCTTGCTGTACAGACAAAATCAACTTACTGAGACTGTGGTATTAAAGTAAAAAAAGAGTTTAATTGACATGAGGCCAGCCACATGGGAGATGAAGCTATTACTCAAATAATTCTCTCTAAAGCCTTGGAAGTTAGGGGTTTTTAAGGGTGGTTTAGTGGGCAGGGGTTAGGGAATGGGTACTGCCAATTGGTTGTGGATGCTATGATAAGGGTAAGAAAAATGATCCTTGTGCACTGAGTCCTTCTCTGGGTGGAAGCCCAAGGTCTTGTTGAGGCATAAGTCACGAGTCTGGGTTGTGTCTGTCTGAAAAACATTAAAGAAAAGCAATTTTAGGTTCTACAGTAGCAATGCTATGTATAGGAGCAATTGGGGAAGTCACAAATCTTGTGACCTCTGGCCACATGACTCCTGAGCAGTAAGGAATTATAGAAACTATGCCTACATTTTAGCAGAGCTTAGGCCTTTCCCATCATCCTAATCTTGTGGCCTTTCATTAGTGTTATAAAGATGGTTTCATCCCCTGAACAGGAAGGAGATTTGTTTTAGGAAAGGACCATTATTATCCTTGCTTCAAAGTTAAACTATAAACTAAATTCCTCCAAAAGTTAACTTACATCCAGGAATGACCAAGGACAGCTTGAAGGTCAGAAGCAAGATGGAGTCAACCATGTCATATTTCTCTCACCGTCATAATTTTCCAAAGGTAGCTTCAATAAGATTCTTCATTTGCCTCTTTTCAAAGCTTCTCTCCCTCAAGTTAGACTGTAAATCTCTTGATTATATGTTTCCTGCTATAAATAATTGTTAGCCAGGCAACTCTACAATTGTATTTCTAAAGAGACAATTCTTAGGTGAAACAAGGTAGAAAATTTACATCTCGAAGCACAGAGCTAAGACGTTTGGCCTAAATATTGTACTGTCATTTGCTCAAACCAAGGGACAAAAACGATGTAAGTATAAGTTCAGTTAAGATGGGTAGGAAAATGACCTTAAAGGTATAGCCTACACTTCTGTGAGGCCATATTTTCTAGGCTCTTAGCTTTTTAGATGACCGTCCACACATAAAGGTCCAAAAGCCTGTGTGCTCCCCACAGACAAAAGAATACAGAAAATCAAAAGCTGTCAAAGGAAGGGGAAAACAAATCAATGATAAATTAGTACCCTAGAAGTCACACAAACATTAAACCAAGAGAGGTTAGTTCCCTGACCAGAATCAAAACTATGCCACGGAGGCGAAAGTCTAGAACTGTAACTACCAGGCCACAAAGTAGAGTGGTCTTTGTTGTTCCCTAATCAGGAAGCAAGCCCAGGCCACGGCAGACATTTTAACTACCAGAACTGTTTTGGGTCAGATTTTTGCTCTTAATTTAGTCAGGAGAATTTTTAAGGCTAGCCATGAAACTGTTAGTGTGTTTTTAAAACTTTGATCTTTCCATTAATTGTTTACAATAGGCGATCTCTAAAATCCTTAATAGCACACACACAGAGAGGGGTTAGGAAAACAGTATTGTTATGTAAATAAGACCTCTCAGGTAGTCAAATTTTGATTTTGATTTTTATCTTAGCCAGTCCGGGTTTTAGAGGTGAAACTTGACTTTCTGCAGTTGTGGGGGTTTCAGTAGACATTAGAGTAGGCAAGGGATTGGTCCAGTCTAACAGAAAATGAGCTAAAATAAAAACCAATCACACAATTAACATATTATTGAGATCTGTGAGCATAAGGAGAAGTTCTAGACAACTGACAAAAAAAATCTTGACTTCCAGTTGCCAAATCCCCCCCTAAAAAACCCAAACTAGCTCCTTAACTGGAGATGGAGCCCAAACTGAAGACGGCTCTTTGCTGTCAGGGAAGAGCCTTCCTTGTTGGAAGTGTGTAAAAACTCATTTTTTTTTTTTTTTTTTTTTTTTTTTGCAGCAGAATAAACCTCGGATCTCAACAGAAAATCAGGGATCTCTGGAGGAAGAATCTCCTAGACTGCAGCAGATCATCCTATTGGTCAGAGTGATAAAGAGCTCTAGCTGGCACAGGACCCGGATAGGAGAGTTGCTGCAGGCTAAGGGCCAATTCCACTCAGAGAATCACTTCGTGGTTACCGAAATGTAAACCAAACAATGACTGAGGCAGATGTCTCAATTGATTAGGGATTTATTTAGCCAAGGTTGAGGATGTGCTGGGGGAAAAACACAGATAAAACGGGCATCTGTGATCCATGCTTTTTTCAAAGGGGATTTTGTGAACTTTAGTATTTAAAGGGGAGAGAACAAGGAGGAAGGAGAAAATAGGGGGAGGCAGGGTAGGCAGATGGATACCTTCTTGTGAGGCTCTGATTAGTTTCAGTAAATATACATTTTACATGTGAAAAGGAGTAAAGGAGATGAGGCTATGACATGAGGGTTGTGAAATTACAGCTATCTGTTTTGGAACAAAAAGAAGACATTATTGGTGACTCAGCTCCCAAACTTAACTTTCCCAACGTATGGTGAGTTTGGGGTCCTGAGATTCTATTTTAATTTCACAGGGATAATGGATAATTCTTTAAGACTGATTCCATGTTGGATGTCCTCAAAGATAAAAGCTTTAATGAATCAAATCAGCTTGATTTTTAAAATATATATAGTATTCTAAAGATTTTTAGATTGGTATTAATTTTCCAATCTATGTTATTTAATGAATATGACATGGAAAGAGAAAGAAAGAAGGGTGAGGCTGAAAGGTGAAAGCCTTAGAGGGAAAGAGAAGAAGAGAGAATCTTTAGTTCCACAAGCTCCTTCCCTCAGCTCCTGAGGAAGCCACACAGATGGGTGGTGGTCCATTCTCCTAAGTCTGAGTGTCAGCTCTATGGGGCTCCATCAGTGGCAACTGTTTTGTAGTTCCTATCTTTGTGTTTTTGCATTTTTAATTCCTTTTTTTTTTTTTTTTTTTTTTTTTTGAGACAGTCTTGCTCCGTTGCCTAGACTGGAGTGCAATGGTGCAGTCTCGGCTCACTGTAACCTCCATCAGCCTCCTGGGTTCAAACGATTCTCCTGCGTCTACCTCCGGAGTAGCTGGGATTACAGGCGTGCACCACCACACCCAGCTGGTTTTTGTATTTTTAGTATAGACGGGGTTTCACCATGTTGACCAGGCTGGTCTTGAACTTCTGACCTCAGATGATCCACCCGCCTCAGCCTCCCAGAGTGCTGGGACTATAGGCGTGAGCCACCATGCCCAGCCACATTTTAATTCTTTTAACACTTGTTTAATCAATTCCCTACATTAAATTCTTTATAAAAAATGCCTAGTATGGTTTTTGTTTTTATACCTAAGCTCTACCTGGTGTACTCTAAATATATATGACAAATCCATCCCAGTATAAAACAACCATAGTTTTTTTCATCATTCTTAAAATTATAGGATTCAATTTTCCTCCATTGGCTGTTCATTAATAGGCAGTTTGCATAAAGGGCATATAGCATTCTATACCAATTGTGCAACAGCTTTCGGAATATTTTGGGCCATAACAAAGCAACTATGTTACCACAATAAAAATAAAACTGAGCTTTTAACTTTATTTCTTTTGCAAATTTTGGCATATGAACTGTTTTAACATAGTATAGGGCTCACATTTTCCTAACAACACACACAGTATTTTTGAACAGCTCTCAGGAGTCGAAATGCTATGTGATTTTACATTTAAATGTAGACTTTTTGAGGGGGAAGACATCTCTCCTTGCTGTGGAGCTGAGTGACTGTTTTATTTCTTTGAAGATGCTTTAAAATTACCTTTATTTAATTAAATCAGACTTTCTTTTCTATGCAAGTTTGAGAGAAAGAGTTCTTGATATTCCTATAAATCTGCATATTTCTTTAACCCATTAAATTTTGACTATAAGGGAATCATTCCAACTGAAAAGTTCATCTTTCTGGATGGGATATGAATATTTAAATTTTATACAAATTGTTGTTTGGGGCCTTTGTGGAAAGATAGCATTAAACAAACAAAATCTCCCAAGCTAGGAGAAAAATGTTTAAGCTTAGATAAAAATTACAATAGGTTTCCAAGTTGATTATAGACAAAACCTTGTTTAAAAACTCCATATATTTATCTAACTTGCTTATATTAATAGCATGCTTTTAGTATTCAGGTTGAACTTCTATTTGATAGTCTAAGAATTTGTCAAAACTAAAAGCACTAATCCAATAACCTCTTTATTTTCCCCTTTTTTTTTTTTGACACCAAATACATCAGTTGTTATTGCTTTCTGTGAATTAACCCAATTAACTAAATAAGTTGTCATATAAATTCAGGAAAAAAAATTCTAGATTTTACTGAAGTTTTAATTTCACACATTCTGTGCCATTTTTGGGGAAGAATTATGATTCTGTTTTAAATAGATCCCTAAGGTCATAATCATCTTAACCACATGAAAGCTATTCTCATTTTCACAGTCTTCATTCCTCGTCTACAGAGATATGACCCTCTAAACCTCTAAAATGAAAACTACTTGGTGGTAGGATACAATCCAGGTGAATCAGTTATAGCGGCTAATGTGGGTTGCCTATTCAGCAACCATTCACAGCTTTTTCTTTGTCAAGAAAACCTGATTTTTACATATTTCAGGCAACAAAGTTCAATGAAAAAGGATACATGAAGCAACATGTACAAGGATATGGGCCCTAGAGATGTGGTGTGGCAGTAATTTTGTGACTATGGAAAGGGAAGACAACAACACATTGAGGCCTGTTGCAAATGGCAGAGTAGTAAGACGGGACGTTGGGCCTTGATAGTATTGCAGAGACATTACACCAACCCTGGAATTTCCCTACTTTTGGAGCTCTTGACATATGAAATCATTGATATTAGTATTTAAATTATTTTTTATTGGGCATTCTGTGTTATAACCAACTTTTATGGAGTCTACCATGTAATTGTGTTTTATTTTATTGTACTATAATTGATTGTTATCCATTGATCACAAGGCCAAACTACTGGCCCAAGTTGTTTACGTCTCCTCTGCTATCCATTTGCACAAATCATAGTACAACCACCCCTTCTGCCCCCTGCCAAGCACAAAACCCAACATTTATCTTTTGCTTGCTGCCTTGTAGAGGGCATTTCCTCCTAACAGCTTTCTATGGCTATGGCAATGAAGGATCTGGGCCATGATGTTCCATCGCTTTTTCTGCCTACTGACAAACCTGGTGCTTTACTTTGTGGCCCTTTGTGCTGTGGCACTTTCTCTTAAGACTCTTAAAAGTGTAAGTAATACATTTTCTTTCAATGACATTGACCTTTTCATGTTGTCACCCAGTCGCCTCTATAAATTAAAATCCTGTGGATGCTATTGAGACAGTTTGTGTAGCACACAGGGTGACTCAGTGTTTGACAAAGGAGCATGCCTCTAGACTGCTCTTCTTGGCTTACTAACTGGATTTGCTGAACAATGAGTGCTGTCTGGTAAGCCATGGCTGGCACTTGTGCTTTAGCCATCACTGCATTATGCTGTGTCTGCCATTTGCTGCCATGGTGTTCCAACATACATTGTAAGAGGACATCTGAGGCATGTGCCTCTGTGGTACACCTTACTTAAAGTAATTGAGTTTTAGGGAAAAATTAACTAATTTTTGGGATATGTAACTAGATCCACTGGGTCTTATTTGATACCCTACCTTGCACCAGGAAGGGGAGATTAGGTTGATTGACTAACATTGAAGGCAAAGAATCCTCAAAGGGAGTGAGGAAGGGCTTCCTCTAGAAGTACCGTTTTGGGAGCAAGTCTGATTCATTGACTCAAACATGCCAACATCAGTGGGAGGGTCACTTGGCTGGCCTGGGCTCTTTTCTCATTATAAGTGAATTATTGTATGGGTCTGCCCTTTTAGAGAATGTCCTTGGGCAAAATTCAGACATGGTATCCCCCAGGGAGTTCTAGGGGAACACTGGCAATGCAGCAGGGAGCTCGCTCCTCTCTGAAGCCATAACACTCAATAGACTTAAATGTTGACTCAAAGGCAAATCTCTTCGTTGTTGCTCGCTGTCCTGTTGTCAATGTTTGTCCCTTGACCTCTTAGAGTCTAAGGGATCCCATCTTTGGGCTGGTGGCTCAGTGCTTAATGAAGGAGGAGAAAAGGAAGGAGAATTTTGTTTCCACTTTCCCTAAGACACCTGAGGGCATTCTCTCAGCTCATCTGAGATTGCAAATCTCTGGGTAATATGCTTGGGTACTCAGAAGTGCTGCTGCTTACCAACATTTCGAGTCTCCTCCTTAAGACTAAATTGTTGGAAAACAAAGAATGTGAAAGATAAAGCTGAGGTTACTATTGGTCTTTTGGATACAGACCCCAGCCCTGAGGTTGATTGGGATACTCTAGAAAAGGAGACTGCTGTTCATAGCAGAGGCCTCCCCAGACCACCAGGAGTTTACCAGATAAACATCAAAAGGATGAAAAGGGGCAAGCACATGTTGTAATCATAAATTTCAGGAAAAAATTAAGTGGAGTAAAGGGATAGCGAATGCTATGAGGCTGGAAGAGCTATTTTGTTCAGTACCTGTAAAAGGTGACAATAACCAAATACTTAGGTAAGGATAAGAGTTATGCATCTGTTTGGAAAGAGCATTCAGGTAGATGAATTAGCATATAAGTAAAGACTCAAGATACAGTTGTGGCTGGAGCCATGGAATGAAAGGACAATATACTGTGCTAAGTGTATTTAATATCATTAAAGGATATATAATATGCCCAATATGCTTAGCACAATGCCTTGCATGTAGTAAATAATGAATACATTTTAACTTTTATTTTTACATTCTATTTTATTGCAATTCGGAACACATGGTCTTGGTATTATTTTAATCCATTGCATAGCTCACTGGTCCACATTTTCTGTGAGAAGTGGCTCATTGTGACCAGAAACTTCATTGTCTTAGATTCAACCTTCTACAACTTTTCCACTGTCATTCATATGATAATCCTGACATTCAGTTAATAGCTGAGCTTTTAATCTCATCAATGACATTTATTATACTCATTAGAAAAGAATGAAAGTCTTCCTGAAGTCTGCAACATTTTTTAATGACTTTCCTTGTTTATGGATCAGAGAGGCATATGTATGTTAATGTTCTAACCATTACTATATTCTACCTAAAATTTTTAACCAAAAGTATGAAATATGGAAAGACTTCCAAGACATGTAAAGAGAAAAGAGCAGGTTGTTGAACCATATGTAGAGAACCTTTTATTTTAAAAACAAACAGAGTGTGTTTATGCCTGCATGAAAAGATGCTAAAATGGTCTTGACTGGGAATTTTAGAGCTAAGTTCTGAGAGATGAGGAGAATAGATTTTAAATTGTTAAATACATCTAAATCTACATTGAAGTTCTTGAGCATCGATGTACAATATCATATGCCATGGGGTGGGCAGGGTGAGGGGCAAATAATTTCTCCCAGGATTAGCCTATTACGCACATTGAGTCCAGGCTACATAAGAGACCCTTATGAAGCTAACAGTTCTTGAGAGCAGTCAGAGTGTGACTGTTTTTGGTGACACTTGTGAGTGTACTGACTGATTCCTGCATCCCATTGAGAAACAATGATGAATAGACCTTCCCAACCTTGAAGTCAGGTGAAAGGTTCTTTAAGAAAATCATTTAGAGGACTTGGCTTGTGTTTTCTGAGATTATCATACAACATCTGACATGTGACTCGTGCCTGAAGTGGTCTGTAGTAGTAGAGAAAGAGACAGGCTTGTTCTTCCAGAGTTTTGTGTGAAACAGATATATGCTTATGTAGACCCTAAAAGGACACAGGAAGAGGGGCTTCTCAAAGGCACACCACCCTACAATACCACCTGGAGGGTCAAAGAAGCCCCCATGGAAGGGTGAACCATCTGAAGATTGAGGCAACAAGAGAAGATATTGCCTGTATGGAATACAGGCAACTGCATGGAAACTGCAGTTGTAAATCCCTGGGAAGAGGGTCTAATTAGATAGAAAAAAAGTATTTCTCTCAGCCTCAATATAGGTGGTAACCATATCAGCCAAGCAAGATCTTGACCCAAACTACTTCCCCTTTCCCTACTCCATTTACGGAGCACCCTAAGCAGTCCTGGTGGCTAAAAGGGAGGAGTAAAGGAACAAGATGAGTGAATAATGGAGTCCACTATGTGCAAGCATCAGGAGAGGAAAAGCTTTAAATATATGAGAGATAGCATTGATCTAGACTGGGTTTTATAATATTGTGTGAAATGATGCTTTTGGAAAGGTAAAATCACAACTGTCAGACAAATATAAAATGCAACTGTCAGAAAATACCTAGGACTGCAGCTAACTGGGGAGGTGAAAGATACCTGGAAAGAGAACTATAAGCCACTGCTCAAAGAAATTGGAGATGACATAAACAAAAGGAAAAACATTCCCTGCTCATGGATAGGAAGAATCGATATCATTAAAATGGCTGTGCTGCCCAAAGCAATTTATAGATTCAGTGTCGTTCCTACAAAACTACCAATGACATTCTTCACAGAGCTGGAGAAAAAACTATTTTAAAATTCATACGGAACCAAATAAGAGCTTGAATAGCCAAGGGAATCGTAAGCAAAACGAACAAAGCTGAAGGTGTTATGCTACCTGACCTCAAACTACACTACAGGGTTACAGTAACCAAAACAGCATGATACTAGTACAAAAAAAGACATACCAAAGAAACAGAATAGAGAACCCAGAAATAAGGCTGCACACTTACAACTATCTGATCTTTGACAACAAGCAATGGGGAAAGGACTCCCTATTGAATAAATGGCACTGGGATAACTGTCTAGCAATATGCAGAAGAATGAAACTGCACCCCTTCCTTACATCACATATAAAAATTAACTCAAGATTCATTAAAGACTTAAATGTACAGCTCCAAGCTATAAAAACCCTGGAAGACAACCTAGGCAATATCATTCTGGACAGAGGAACTGGCAACGATTTCATGATGAAGACACCAAAAGCAATTGCAACAAAAGCAAAAATTGACAAATTGGATCTAATTAAATTAAAGAGCTTCTGCACAGTGAAATAGATTATTAACAGAGTGAACAGACAACCTTCAAAATGGGAGAAAATATTTGCAAAGTATACATCTGACCAATATCTAATAACCAGCTCTATAAGGAACTTAAACAAATTTACGAGAAGAAAAAAACATTAAAAAGTGGGCAAAGGACATGACCAGACACTTTTCAAAAGAAGACATACATGTGGCCAATAAGCATATGTTAAAAAGCTCAGCATCACAGATCAGTGGGAAAATGGAAATCAAACCACAATGAGATATCATCTCACACCAGTCAGAATGGCTATTATTAAAAAGTCAAAAAATAACAGATGCTGGTGATGTCACGGAGAAAGAACACTTTTACACTGCTAGTGGGAGTGTAAATTAGTTCAACCATTGTGGAAGACACTGTGGCAATTCTTCAAAGACCTAAATCAGAACTACCATTCAACCCAGAAATCCTATTTCTGGGTATATACCCAAAGGGATAGAAATCATTTTATCATAAAGACACACATACATATACATACACACACGTATGTTCATTGTAGCACTATTCACAATAGCAATGACATGGAATCAACTAAATGCCCATCAATGGTAGACTGGATAAAGAAAATGCAGTGTATATATACACTATGGAATACTATGCAGCCATAAAAAGGAATGAGGTCATGTCCTTTGTGAGAATGTGCATGGAGCTGGAGGCCATTATCTTTAGCAAACTAACACAGGAACAGAAAGCCAAATACCACATGTTCTCACATATAAGTGGAGCTAAATGATGAGAACACGTGAACACATAGAAGGGAACAACACACACTGTGGCATATCAGAGGGTAAAGAGTGGGAGGAGGAAGAGGATCAGGAAAAATAACTAATAAGTACTAGGTTTCATACCTGGGTGACAAAATAGTCTGTACAACAAACCCCTATGACACAAGTTTACCTATGTAACCTATAAACCTAGACATGTACCCCTGAACTTAAAAAGAGAAACAGAAGCACAGGAAGTTATGTAATTTACCTAAGAAAACAAGCTAGCAAATATCAGAGCTGAGATTTTAATACAGAAAGTCATACTTCAAAGGGTGTATTTTTAACAACAAAGCCATAGTGCTTCCTCAGTAAATTACAATATAAGTAACTTAGCATCCATTTCAGTTCTAACACTGGACTGTTAGTCAATAATTCAGTTCATGGTTTTCCACCAAAAGACTCTTGGCATGAGAGTTAGAAAGTATGCTACTTGAGGCCAGGTGTAGTGGCTCATGACTTTAATCCCAGCACTTCGGGAGGCTGAGGTGGGGGGATCACTTCAGTCCAGGAGTTCATGACCAGCCTGGGCAATATGGCAAAACCCCTTCTCAACAAAGAGAAAAACAATTAGGGCATGGTGGTGTGTGATTGTAGTCCCAGCTACTAGAGAAGCTGAGGTGGGGAGGATCACATTAGCTCAGAAGACTGAGGCTGCAGTGAGCTGTGATCAGAGCACTGCACTACAGCCTGGGCAACAGAGAGACCCTGTCTCAAATAAAAACAAAAACAAAAGTATGCTACTTGAGAGCAGATAATTGTTCTTTATTATATTTTACCTCTTGAACCTCCCCCCAAGTACCTACAAGAATGCCTAGTTTTCTACAGGCGCTCTGTAAATGTTTGAATAAATGAGAAAAAATAAAACTATATCTAAGGTTACTGTATATTTAATTGGTAAATTAATGAGAAAATAGTACCGTAGATAAGTACAAGTCTTAAAAATACAACAACTGGTTCAGTGTAAACTATCAATCTTTGTCATGTACTTGTGCATACAATAAGGGTCAGATAAGTGCTAAGGACAGTGTATATAGTAAAAATTTACAGGAAGCAAACACTACTTGAAGGCAGATAGATCTGGTTAGAATCTTCGTAGAATAGGTCCATCTTAGAAATAAACAATGAGCTTCAGATAAACAGAGGGAAGACAGGGAGTGATTGTCAAGTAGCTGAAACAATTAAAGACTTGAAGATCTTATTTCCTGGGACCAAAAAAAGAAATTTAACTGCATTGGGCAGAAGATTTTATGAGTAATATGAGGTAATGTTAAAAATGTAGGTGAGAAGAATGACGCCTGCTTTGCTCAGCATTTTATTTCTAGCTCCTAGCTAGAATGCCTGACATTTCATATGTGATTAATAAATATGTTTTAGTATGAATGATTGTTTACATTGTTCTAAATTGGAAAAGGCCACAGGAACTTTGGATCAGCAAAATAAGCCAAACGATATTTTAGAAATATTAGAATAGTGATAAGAGGCACTGGAGTAAGAAAGAACAGGTATGAAAATGCTAAGAGCCTGGAATGAGAGTGAGAGACGTTGAAAATGTAAAGGAGGAAGTGTATATGAACCCTTTTTACAAAGATAGGATTTGTGGACGGTTTATGAACACAGAGAGGGTATAGGTAATGGAAAGAGGGAAAAAATGTTAAAGGGTAACTCCACATTTTAAAGTTATATCAGGGAACCTATGTTCAGAATACTATTATTAAATTTCCCAGTCTTTGAACGTGGAAGACTTTTTTTTTTGTAGGAACACAAAATTTATAGATTCATTTCAAGATGGCATTGGAAAGTTTTTGAGTTTTCTCTCCATTTTTATCTTGACTTCCTCCCATTTAACAGAGCCTCTGCCCTCTTACTGAACTTTTCTCTGCAACTGGGAAAGGACTTTATTATTATTATACTTTAAGTTTTAGGGTACCTGTGCACAATGTGCAGGTTAGTTACATATGTATACATGTGCCATGCTGCTGTGCTGCACCCATTAACTCGTCATTTAGCATTAGGTATATCTCCTAATGCTATCCCTCCCCCCACCCCACAACTGTCCCCAGAGTGTGATGTTCCCCTTCCTGTGTCCATGTGTTCTCATTGTTCAATTCCCACCTATGAGTGAGAACATACGGTGTTTGGTTTTTTGTCCTTGCGATAGTTTGCTGAGAATGATGGTTTCCAGCTTCATCCATGTCCCTACAAAGGACATGAACTCATCATTTTTTATGGCTGCATAGTATTCCATGGTGTATATGTGCCACATTTTCTTAATCCAGTCTATCATTGTTGGACATTTGGGTTGGCTCCAAGTCTTTGCTATTGTGAATAGTGCCGCAATAAACATAGGTGTGCATGTGTCTTTATAGCAGCATGATTTATAATCCTTTGGGTATATACCCAGTAATGGGATGGCTGGGTCAAATGGTATTTCTAGTTCTAGATCCCTGAGGAATCGCCACACTGACTTCCACAATGGTTGAACTAGTTTACAGTCCCACCAACAGTGTAAAAGTGTTCCTATTTATCCACATCCTCTCCAGCACCTGTTGTTTCCTGACTTTTTAATGATTGCCATTCTAACTGGTGTGAGATGGTATCTCATTGTGGTTTTGATTTGCATTTCTCTGATGCCCAGTGATGATGAGCATTTTTTCATGGTACCAAAACAGAGATATAGATCAATGGAACAGAACAGAGCCCTCAGAAATAATGCCGCTTATCTACAACTATCTGATCTTTGACAAACCTGAGAAAAACAAGCAATGGGGAAAGGATTCCCTATTTAATAAATGGTGCTGGGAAAACTGACTAGCCATATGTAGAAAGCTGAAACTGGATCCCTTCCTTACACCTTATACAAAAATCAATTCAAGATGGATTAAAGACTTAAACGTTAGACCTAAAACCAGAAAAACCCTAGAAGAAAACCTAGGCATTACCATTCAGGACATAGGCATGGGCAAGGACTTCATGTCTAAAACACCAAAAGCAATGGCAACAAAAGCCAAAATTGACAAATGGGATCTAACTAAACTAAAGAGCTTCTGCACAGCAAAAGAAACTACCATCAGAGTGAACAGGCAACCTACAAAATGGGAGAAAATTTTCGCAACCTACTCATCTGACAAAGGGCTAATATCCAGAATCTACAATGAACTCAAACAAATTTACAAGAAAAAAAACAAACAACCCCATCAAAAAGTGGGCAAAGGATATGAACAGACACTTCTCAAAAGAAGACATTTATGCAGCCAAAAGACACATGGGAAAGGACTTTCTTAGTTTGAGTTCCTCTAAAATGCAGAGCCAGAGACAAAAGTTTCCTTGAGGGTTATTTATTTTAGGAAACTATCCTAAAGAACAGCAGTAGGGGAATGGGAAGAGTGAAATAGTGAAATAGAATAGAAGGCTGATTTAAGGTTGTATTAGCCACCTGTTCTATGCTGTGGACAACAGGCTTGATCTTGCTAGGAACTCTGAAGTTGCGTATGTAGTGTTCACCTCAGAACTGTCTGCCCAAGGGAAGATGAGGGAAGCATTTATCCATAGATTTCCTTCTTCAGTGATTAAAGGTTGCCCCATAGTGCATCAACTCCTTCTCACAAAGGTTTGCATGTTGCTAAGAAGATATTGATGGTAACGGAAGTGGTTCTTTCAGAAAAGTTCCAGGACAGAGAGCAGAAATTAGGCAGCAGAGTTTAATTTTGACTGTGTGTATGGATTACCCATACACACAGCTGAGTGCCATGAATACCATAAAAACAATGGCTGGAGTGAAAAAGTGGAATGAAAGGAAGTGAGTTGGACAAAAGTGTCTGATACAGTTTACTCCTTGAGCTTGTGCCCTGCATTAAGTCTAATTCATCATACAGCCTTCAAAGTTGTGGCTGGTTACAATCTTTACAAAAGCCTTTCTCTATGGCTGGTTACAATCTTTACAAAAGACTTTCTAGACCAGAATCAGGATAAGCTGTTCTGTGGATGATAGGCAGCTTTGTCCTAAACCATCTTAGTACTTGCTTAATGGGTCCACCATCAGGGAACATGTAACAGGGACGGAGGCAATGAGCAAGTTAATCAATGTGAGTTTTCTCTAATCAAAGCTTCTCTAGCTCCTCTTTGATGGTCAGCCTGCTGGCATCAGATTAATGTTGATATATCACCTTTCCTCAGGGAGACAAACCAGTACCCTAGTGGCAGGTTGATTATATCAGACCCTTTCCACTTAAAAGGAGGCAAAAATTCACTGGTATTGGGATTAATGCATACTCCAGATATAGTTTCTCCTTCCTTGCCTACAGATCTGCCATTATAAGTGGGCCTGTAAAATGTCATATTCTTTGGCAAGTCTTTGGTATAAGTTCAAACAATAGGTGATTCTGCCTAGGATGTGAAATTGCTTCTTATTGATTATCTTGTCAGGGGGATGAGGTGCAATTTAAGAGGCTTCCTCATGGTGTTTGCTACCATAGTGTTTCTTATTTATCGTTTAGGGAACCAGTGTGAGAATTCTACTAGCTGCTAAATATATCCAACCCAATGATGCACTCAGAAACTGGATAGGTAACCCACAGATGGGTCCATAGACCTTTTGGATTCACTGTGGGGTGAGGATGGGTTAGGATTTGATTTATCTATTGCCTTCCATAAGCACTTATCTAACCACAGTTTACAATTATATTTCTGGTCCCAGGTGTCAGTAGCAGCTCAGATTCCACAATTATCTGTCTTCTTCAGCCCTGAGATGGTTTATATAGTGCTTCAGCACAGGATATATTTTCTCTAATAAATAGCTGCAAGTACCTTTTGGAAAGAAATGGGGAATGTGTGTTGTTCATACTTGAGTCTCTTCTCCAGTGGACATGGACTCTCTGCAGTCAGTGGGCTCTGGGATGGGAACAGACATCTGGGATGTATATGAGACACCATAGTTTTTCATTAGAGCAGTGACCTCAGCCTTCTATGTACCAGCTCTTGATTTTACCTAGTTATGCAAATATACCCTAATCAGCTCCCTATCTTTTTCATCCTAGGAACACTATAGTTTGTTCCTGTCACCATGACCCCTCTGTTTAAGAACTTAACGGATTTCAGTTATTAGTTGGTTACATTGAGCCTTCCATTTTTTTTCTTTTTTCAAGGCTTTTACAGCTGTAAACAAAATCCAGGCAACTCCATAATCTTTATCATCATTGTTTCTATATCATCCAGGTTCCTTCCACTGCTACCTCCTAAGACAGTGCTTCACCATCCACCTGAACCTCTCCCAATTCACCACTGGTGTGAGGGTCCTAGCAATTATGATGCTACCATGTTAGTGGTTGTCACCATTTCCATTATTATTACAGTGGGACACTTAGTGCTGTCCACCTGGTGGGAAATTCAGCCCTGGAATGCCATTGTGAGTCTGATTTCTAGGACCACTTCTGGTACCAGTTGTCTTCATTTGAGATCTCACAAATAACAGAGCCTAGGATGAAGGTTTTTGTGTTGGTAATTTATTTTGGAAAGTAATCTAAAGGAACAGGAGTTGTCTCTAGAGAGAAATAAGAAGAAAACCAGTGTGTGTTAGTAGCCTGTTTATGGCTATAGGCAATTGGAGTTTGATCCTGCAATAAACCCTCTGAAAGGCCCAAGGGACAGAAGACAAAGACAAAAAAGATATGATTTTTCATGCCAAGCCCTGTTATTGTCTCTATCTTCATTGATCAGAGGTTTCCCTAAGGGATTTTAACTCACTAGTACTTGATGAATCCTTCAGAATGACTGAGTGGGTTTCCACAGCCATTCCAGATAGTGCTATCCAACAAGTCTTGGTGCAGAAAGTGAATGACAAAAACTATACTGAAGTTATACCTGGGTGTAGCTTGTTGTCATAGCAATGGCTGGAGTGAAAAAGTGGGTCAAGAAGATGTAAAGTGAGACATAAATATGTGTAATACAGAGTGGCATTGATAATTGATGTTTGAAACTTGAACTTTCAAAAACATTCACTATGTATTTATTACATACATATGTATGTATAATGTCTTCCACTTACTAGGCACGTTGGTTGATTTAGGATACAATTTTGAAGAAAATTGTTACCCTTGACATCATAAGTCTTACAATATAGTATGATCTGAATACGTTCAGTTCAAACAGTTCACAAGACTTGGGAAATTTTAAAAATTCCATTTCTAGTTGTGTTCATATCTAGAGAAATTGTAAGCCTTTTGTTATAAGAGCTTAAATCATTTGGGAGTTAGAAATGCAAATTCCTGGGCTCCACCTCAGATCTACTAAAGAAGAACTTGTGGTGATAGGGCCCAGGGATCTGTATGTTAAGAAGCTCTCTGGATAATTCATATGCATGCTGAAATTTGGGATCTGCTCTTTTCAGATCTTGTTCCTGAACAACCACCTCATATGGTTATATGAGTAGCACTAAAAGGAAATGTAAATCTTTTGGGAACCCAGGGGTACTTTCATGATCTCTCCAGAGATAATTCTTATTTATATTAGAGGCTATGGCCTGGATTTCCCTCATCCATTTCTTCATAGTAATAACTATACTTTTACACTTCCTGCGGAGAATCTAACCCAAAAGTTTTTATCCCTATGACACCAAATGGCATAGAATAAGGAGTTTAAGTATAATGATACTTAAAGCTCTCTCCAGTTGAAAGATAGAATGAGAAGAAGGAAGGTATTAGAGACATACTCTAAGTGACTCTTAAAATGAGTTATGCCTTGGTAAAACTCATCCCCCCACTGTGGGCAGAAGCGTGTGACTTCTAACATACAATATGGCAAAGGTAATAGAATATCTCTCCCTTTATTGGGCTATGTTAATGGGATATCACTGTCTTGACTGGTTTACGTTCTATAGCAAAGGTGATGATTTGTTACTCCTATGAATGATTATATGTGTTATATAAGACTGTCTTAGCAGCTTGGACTCTCCCTTCCTGGCTTTGCTGGAGAAAGCTGCTATGATGTGAAAAGCCTATCAAGAAGGCTTGGCTGGGTGCAGTAGCTCACACCTGTAACCCTAGTGCTTTGGAGGCTGAAGTGGGAGGATTGCTTGAGACCAGGAGTTTCAGACAAGCCTGGGCAACATAGTGAGATAGTGAGACCCATCTCTACAAAAATTCTTAAAAGTAGCCAGATATGGTGGCACAAGCCTGTAGTCTTAGCTACTCAGGAGACTGAGGCAGGAGGATCGCTTGAGTGTGGCAGTTTAAAGTTACAGTGAGCTATGATTACACCACTGCACCCCATTCTGGGTTACAGAGTGAGACTTTGTCTCTAAAAAGAAAAAAGACTAGATGGCATGGAACTGGTGGCCTCTAAAATCTGAGGGACAAAGTCCTATAACCACAAGAAATTGAATTCTGCCAGCAACCGTGTGAGTTTTGAAGAAGATCTTGAGCATTAATGAGACAAGCCTCAGTAAACATCTTATTTGCAGCCTCTGAGACCCTGAGCATAGGACCCAGCTAATCCACACCTGCACTGTTAACCCAGGGAATCTGTGAAATAATAAATGTATATCATTAAAGCCACTATTTATAGTAATGTGTGGTGTTATGCACCAATAAAACCTTAATACAGAAGGCTTGGTATGCATAATCATATCTATTACTGTGCCTTTAAAATTTATGGATTTTGGTGTCTAGGTCTATGTGTGATATGGGTTAAA
This sequence comes from Homo sapiens, assembly GCF_000001405.40. NCBI lineage: Eukaryota > Metazoa > Chordata > Mammalia > Primates > Hominidae > Homo > Homo sapiens. The sequence continues at coordinate 29,864,258 of NC_000011.10, read as the reverse complement.
TAGTTTTCATTACCTGGTTGCAGGTAATAACACAGAGTTGAGAACTCAAGCTCAGATATCTGCAGGGGACATTCAACTTATAGACCAGGATTAAATGAACAGTGTGAGATGAGAATTGCCAAGCTAACTGCATGAAGGTGGGGCACAGAATCTACCTAGTGACTGCGCTTTGAAGACCACTGTGCAGTATCACAGGAAAACTGGGGAGAACAAAACAAAACACCTTAACAGACTGGGCTGCTTATTGCCCGTGAACTGCCAGTTTCCGTAGCTGTTTTACGTGGCTTTTACATTTTTTGCTCAAAATATTTTAACTCCCCATCCCAAAATTCTGGTTTGTTCTCCTATCCTTAACCTGTACTCTGTGGCCATGATCTCCTGTGGTATTACTGTTAAAAGCTTGTTTCATCTTTCACAGATGCTGGGAACAGGTAAAAATGATGAAAAAGCCACTTCTACAGCTATTAATATAAATAATCTGATTCTGGAAAATTGATAGTAGAATGAAGTTCTACTTGGGAAATTCAGTTTAGCTCCATAAGATCAATGCCAATCATATCAATTCCATAAATTTGCTTTCTACAAATACCTAACTCTGATGTTCACTGCTTCAATTGACAATGTTTGAGGAGCAAAAACTATGTGCTGGCCACTGTTGTAGATGATAGTCTAGATGCATAGTCAGAGACCAAAGAATAAATTCCCTTCTTCATGGAGCATTCTAGTTAGTGTGCATTCATGTTACACAGCAATCACTACAAGTGCATAGAATGTGTTAGAGTGTGACTGTGAATTAGTTATGGAATAGTTTTAAAGTTTTTTTCCAATATCAAATAGAGTGGCTGTGGACTCCCAATTTAAAAACAGTAGAGGATTGATTGCTGTACGTTGTGAAGTTGTAGGTTGTATTTAGCTACTTCAGATGTTTTCATTTTTATATTTCTTTTAGACATCGGAACCATAGGTTTATGGTAGTGGACATGAACAAACTTTGCGCAGTCTAGACCAAATCTGTAGTATTTTGTAGTATATAATATATTTTTAAAAGGCAAATATATATCTAAATTGGAGTATAGGGGATTCAGGTAGTGGTCGCAGGATGTTGAAGAATCTACACAACTTTGGGGTATTGCTTGAACCAACATTCTTATCTGACCTAGAAAATTTAGATTGGGGTAGTTTTATGTATCACATGTAAAAGTAGATTAATGTACTGCATGCACACAGTAAGCATCTATTTAATGTTTTCCAAAATAAGTTAAATATGTGTCACACTAGAGCACTGGTTCTTAACCAGGAGAATGGACCAGAAGAAAACAACAGTTTATAAAATCAAATTCAGGAGGCTCTGATTTTCTATAGATCTGAGGTAGGGCCTGGGCATCCATTTTTATTAACAGCTTCATGGATCATTCTGACATAGCATTTATAAAAGGTATGCACAACTTATAAGGCAGAGTTTGATTTTGTGCAGAGGGAGAACTTTCTAACAATTACTATAACTGTCCAGAGTCAGCATAAGTAGGATATCAAATTTAAATGGGAATTGATAGTAATATTCAGACATAGGCATATATACATATTACTACTGGCTAAATTTTTTTTATTTTCACGGTAGACCAAATATTTCAACTCATGTAATATTGTTTATCATGTATCAGTGGAAATCTAAGCTTTTCTCATAATTTCTGTAAACTACTTATTATCCAAGCTCTGCAGAAAAAGGCAACATAACAGAGTGAGTTCAGACTATTTGTAATTACCACCTTTATCACTTGCTGGGTATTCTCATTAATTTTTATTCATATGTAAATGAGTATAATCATGATCTCTATTCTCGGAGAATCCCCTTTTTCCTGGTTTTCTATTTCCGTATGCAGCAAGTTCTACTGGAAACCACTATTGGTTTCTCACCCGATAGATTCTGTGTTGCTTTTCCCAAGTCCTCTCTTTAGGACCAAGGCATTCATTTCTTTAACTGCAAGGCTACTGACTGCCAACAGGCCACAGCTGTCACGCAAGAAGGGCCTGCAACTGAAGGGAGCCGCCTTGAGCAAGTTATTTGACCTCCAAAAGTCAGCCTGCATCCAATGACTAGTCAACGTAAGTATACAAAGGCCCAGGCCTCTTGCCTCTGCACAAGACAACTGTGCAGGGCCTTCCTGCTCCAGAGCTCCCTTTGGGATCTGCAGAAGCCTTTATTGAAATTGCATGACATTTCAATTTCACCTCTGTCCAATCCTGTTTCCCTCAAACCCCACAGATACTGATCCCTCAAGTACTCCCCAGTAAACCAACTATGAGTAAATCTTCATCTCAAAGTCACTTTCCACAGGACCAGACCTAAGATAGGCAACTTTTCTCATCGATGAATATGAAAGAAGGAACAAGGCCTGCATACACTGCTCAGCCTTCAGAAGGTTCTCCTTGTGGATCTTCCTATTTTTTAGGGAGCCTGTGTTCAGACATGGTGGTTGTCTTGTCATTGAAAGGGCCTGACCCTCTGGGAGACTGCCGCTGTGTAGTGCTGTCTGAGACTGGGTGGGGTTGGCTTGCTCCGAAACAAAGACATGTTCTTTGATCAGCTTAAGACATAATAAGAACATTTTGTATCTCCACCTGTCTGTCTGATTGCTTTATCTATTTTATAATTCTGAACTCAGATATAGTAAGACTTCAGCTTAATACATAATAAGAATATTTTGTATCTCCACCTGTCTGATTGCTTTATCTATTTTATAATTCTGAACTCAGATATAGTAAGACTGTTGTGTTAATTACTGGGAGAAAAAGACATTTACTTTACTTACTGTTACTTAATAAAACTCCCATGAATATCTGTCTCCTAGGGTCATCATGATAATTAAATGAGATAATACATTTAACTTGCTTAGCACAGCACCTGATATTTAGTAAACGCTGAAAAAATGTTAACTATTTAAAATAATGAGGTAATGCCACATATATTTCAAAATTCATTCAATTTATTTAAAGCCAGAGCATGTTGAATAGTCTCTGGAGGTATTAACACAGGTATAAAAAATGAAGACCAAGGGGAGGAATTTATATTATATTTTGATTTTTTTGTCAACAGCCCCCAAACCAACCTAAATTTACAACTTCACAGTCTGGCTACCTGCCTGTGATCTTCAAAGCTCATTGGTACTGTGTGCCAAGCCTTGGGCTGAGTAAAGCTCATTTCATACTATTTCATTTAATCCTATTAATAGTAGGATTTCATTAAATAGTATTTCATTAAATAGTATTTCATTTAATCCTCTCAGGAAGAGAACTGTGCTACAGCCATCTTATAATAGCATCGTTGAAATTCTTTTATCTAGAGGCCTTAATAGCAATGCAATTCTTGACACAATTTAAAAACAATTATGTGCAAAGGCAGAATAACGAGTTACTTTCATTTTTAGTGAGCATCCTTATGCATGGAATTAAATAATAGGAATAATGCCAGGACTGAACTGTGAGGAGAACTGTTTTTAAAATTTACCCATGTATAGAAATATAGGTCATTCCATGAATGTGTAGTTTAGGCCTTAGAATCATGTAGGCCTTAGGTGAAATTAAATGCTAACTATATAAATTTTATTAGCCTTTCAAGCCCCTAAACATTTTTGTGTGAATTAAATAGTTAAATTTTCTTATGATCATTTCCTAAGTAGAGAATATAAGCAAAGTATTTAGCATAGTTAATTGCCTGATGAAGTATTTACTCAATAAAAGATATAGGTACTATTAGTAGTAGTAATACTAATAATGGTGGTACTAATAATAGTTGTAAGTATATCCACAAAATGAAATCCAATTGTGGCAGATCCCATTCAATAGCTGCCACCTTTCTTTTTCTTAACAGAATCCTTATTTTGTGTAGGTAGCAGGCAGATGTTCCACATCTCAGGAAAGCTAGCCTTTCCCAACCCAGCAGCTCAAGGAAATAATCACTATGGCACTTGTTAAAATGTTGACATTATTCTTTATCTGTTGGCAGTAATGACCATGACAGTGAAATTAGTTCAAGACAATTGTCATAGGATGTTGCAATGATTATTGTTGAATGGTCACCTTGTTATGGGGATGTTCATGAAATGATTGCAGCACTTTCTGGTGCTTGTCTTTGGCCAGGTAAGCAGCACAACTGTGTTCTGGAATTTTCCAGAATAACTCTACTTTTGGAGAATCACACACAGCCTATAAAAAAATTTTCTCTCTGTAGGTCATGTCTGCCTTGATTGGAAGAGGGTTCTGTGTTGAACAGGTCCTGGTTTACTCTGGAAGGAGAATAGGAGGTATTGCAGTTTAAGACACCATCTCCCTTCCCTGCTTCTGTTCTCTGGGTTAATCTCCAGTGATACTGATTGGGTAAAGGACAGGTGTACTTCAATTGCTGAAGCTGTCTTACAGAAAGTTGGCTAGAACCCAAAGATTGGTAGGCCGGTAGTGTTTACCCACTTGTCCATACAGGGCAGGACCACATGGTGCTTATTCCACTGCTACAAACTCAGCCATGAATGGGGCTCTCTCTCAATGAGCCCTTTCTCTCAATCATCTCTTTTCCCCTGATCATACTTCTGGGACTGCTAAGAACATTGGTCTGAGGTTTACAGAGCTACTGTGAGTTAATAGTATTGGTGAGTTTATAGAAATTTTCTACTCTTTGAGACTGTAAGTCACAGAATAACTATCAACTAGTTGAGAAAGTTGTTGGAATAGTTCATATGATTCATATTAATAAATCATGGCTGAAACAGGGACATCACTTAGCTCTGTCAGTCACAGCAACAGTTTCTAAAAATCAACAAATGACTTGAAAATTATTGGAAGATGTGATGAACGTTGTATGTCACTTTAAAAATAGTCTAGAGTTCAAAAGGGAATATATATTTAAATTTTTGAATCACATATTTATTTGTATGTTTACTGTATTACCATCATGGTTGGTATTTACTTGAACTATCATCTTTGCTTATAACCAAATGCTTTCTAAATAATACATAAATTTTGATGGAAAGAAGGAACAATTATTTTACCCCAGCAGTAGGTTTAAAGAGTTGACTCTTGAGTGGAATTTTCAATTCTGGCAACAGATAGGTGAAAGCCAAGTTCTTCCCACATTGGCGAATTTCTGCATCTCTTAAGAATTCCCTTGGCACCATACTTCATGCTGGGGCCGATGTCAAGTTTAGTTGAACGTGTCTCTTGCTCAACTCAAAGTGAATGAGAAGACACAAAACCACATTTTCTATGAAATGTGAAGCCCAGACATTGGTATAATTTAATTATGAAAGGAAATGTTCCAGGTTTCACTCACCCTTAAATGAAAGACTTTCCATCACAAGTCTATTCTTCTTTGTAAGTAACCCTTGCCTTTTCCTGGATGCCAAGACCGATGCAGCTCAGATGTCACTTGTTGAGAAAACACTGCAGGCTGGTAATTTGACTTTTGACGTCACTCTAAATTTTTTTTTTCCAAAAAATAATCTTTACGACATTGTCTTTGTGAGACTTACTCAATTGAGTAAAGTGTTATACATTATGATTAGATTATATTAGTATTGAAGATAAATATAATAAAAATAGTTAAATTTTCTTATAACTGTTTCTTAGATACTGTGGAGTGTGGTTTTTATTTTGTGTTCTGTCAAGTCCTCATGATTTTTCCTGATTTCTTAAGGAGCACTGTGTAAAAGGGAATGTCATTGGGCATGCAAGACTCCTACCCCCATATCAGAATTTGAAGCTCTGCTTTTATTTGTTTATATATTGAGGTTCCACAGATTAAACAATATTTTATTTAATAGTTAACTTTTTATGTCTATATATATCTGTTTATGTATACACACATACATAATTTGCATTCAATAAAATTTGCCTATTTTAAGTGTGCAGTTTGAGTATTGACAAATATATATATATATCTATATAACCATCACCCCAATCATGATAGAGAATATTTTTATTACTGTCAAAAGTTCTCCATACCTGTTAAAGTCAATTCCCACCACGTCTGGCCTTAGAAACCACTGTTCACCTTTCAGTCACTGCAGATTAGATCTTCGTGTTCTAGAATTTCTTGTACACGAAATAAAATAGTATGCATTATTTTGTGCTGATTTATTCCTCTTAGCTGGTTTTCTTTCCAGATTCATCCAAGTTGTTGCAGGTATCTTTATTTTTTAAATTGATAAATATGCTTTTGCATGAATATCTCACAATGTGTTTATTCATTCACTCGTTTATGAACATTAGTGCTATTTTCTGTTTTCAGCTATTATGAATACTGTTGTAATTAACACTTAATGTAAAAATCTTGGTCAGAGGTATTAAATAAATTTTTCTTTGGTAAATACTTAAAAATGTCATGGCTGAATTCAGTGGTAATTATAGGCTCAACCTTACAAGAAATTGCCAAATTATTTTCCAAAATGATTATTCTATTTTTAATGACCCCAGTTTTATGTGTTTTTTTCTTTCTTTCTGAGATGGAATCTTGCTCTGTTGCCCAGGCTAGAGTGCAGTGGTGTGATCTTAGCTTACTGTAGCCCCCGCCTCCCAGGTTCAAGCAATTCTCCTGCCTCAGCCTCCCAAGTAGCTGGGACTACAGGCACTTACCACCCCACCTGACTACTTTTTGTGTTTTTAGTAAAGACAGGGTTTCACCATGTTAGCTGTCTAGCTGTTCTAAATCCTCTTCAAGTCTTGATATTGTAAGCCTTACTGATTTTAATAATACTAGTAGAGCTAAGATATTGTCGTGGTTCTAATATTTTTTTGCATTTTCTTGATAATTAGTTACTTTGAACATCTTTTCATGTGCTTATCGACAATTGGTATATCTTATTTGGAGAAGTGTCTATTCAAATCCTTTACCCTTTTTTAAATTGTGGGTTTTTATATTGTTGAGTTTTAAGAATTGATTATATATTCTGGAAATTAATTCCTTATCAGATACATGATTTGAGAATATTTTCTACTGTTGTAAGAGTTGCTTTTGTTGATACTATCTTTTGAAGCACAGTTTTAAAAATTTTAATAAAGTTCAATATGCCTATTTTTTTTGTTGTTGTTCTTGCCTATGCCTTTGATGTCATATATTTTGAGCACTATAAATATATAGACCCACTTCCTTCTGGCTTCCAAAATCTCTGTTTAGAAATCTTCTGATAATCTCATTGAGAATCCTTTGTATGTGGTAAGTCACTTATACTGCTTTTAGTATTCTGTTTTGTCACTGTCTTCCAAAAGTTTGATTAAATGTGTCTTGGTATGAGTCTCTCTGAATTGATTTAACTTGAACCTCTTACTACCATTTTGGTAATTGTTTTTTGACTGTTCCGTAATTCCTTTGTCCTGTTCTTCCTCTCTGGATGTCTTCCTTTGTGATTTGATGTCTGTCTGTGTGATGATTTTTTGGGGGTAGGAGTATGCTTTAATTCTTCTACTTATCTTTTGTAAATCTACCACAGATTTTTCTTTGTAGCTCTCATGAGGCCTACACAAATCATGTTGAGACAGCCAAGTAAAGAGGGCTCCCTGCGGAACCTCCAAGCAGCCTGCACAATGGGAGGAGTGAACACTGGGGTGGAGCCTTGGGAAGTTCACGCCCTTTGCTGGGGAGTAGAGCCTGGACTCTCCTGTTCCTGGGTGGTAACCTGGGATTGAATTTGTGAGATGGGGGCCTGTTAACAGGAACCTCTCGTTTTCTTGGGCATCTAGTTTGATTCCATGTCATTGCTATTGTGAATAGTATGGTGATGAACACACATGTTCATGTGTCTTTATAGCAGAATGATTTATATTCCTTTGGGTGTATACTTAGTAATGAGATAGCTGGGTCAAATGGTAGTTTTGTTTTCAGCTCTTTGAGAAATCTCCAAACTGCTTTCCACAATGGCTGAACTAATTTACATTCCCACCAGCAGTGTGTAAGCTTTCCCTGTTCTTTGCAACCTTACAACATCTGTTATTTTTTGACTTTTTTAATAATAGCCATTCTGACTGGTGTGAGATGGTATCTTATTGTGGTTGGGTTTATATTTCTCTGACAATTAGTGATGTTGAGCATTTTTTCATACGTTGGGTGGCTGCTTTTATGTCATCTTTTGAGAAGTGTCTGTCCTGCCTGTTTTTTCATGGGGTTCTATATTTTCTGCTTGTTGAATTACTTAAGTTCCTTATAGATTCTGGATATTAGACCTCTGTCAGATGTGTAGTTTGCAAATATTTTCTCCCATTTTGTAGGTTGCCTGTTTATTCTCTTGATAGTTTTCTTTTGCTATGCAGAAGCTCCTTAATTTAATTAGGTCCTCCCACTTGTGAATTTTCATTTTTGTTGCAATTGCTTTTGAAGACTTAGTCGTAAATTCTTTCCCAAGGCCAATGTCCATGTATTTTCTTGGTTTTCTCCTGAATTTTTGATTTCAGGTCTTGCATTTAAATCTTTAATTCATTTTGAGTTAATTTTTGTCTGTGGTCAAATATAGGGGTCCAGTTTCATTCTTCTGCATATGGCTAGCCAACTATCTGAGCACCATTTATTTAATAATATTTATTAAATATTTCTATTATTTATTGAGTAGAAAATCCTTTCCCTATTGCTTGTTTTTGTTGACTTTGTTAAAGATCAGATGGCTATATGTGTATGGCTTTATTTCTGGCTTCTCATTTCTGTTGTATTTGTCCATATGTCTGTTTTTATAAAGTAGTGTGTTGTTTTGCTTACTCTAGCCTTATTGTATAGTTTGAAGTTGGGTAACCTGATGCTTCCAGCTTTGTTCTTTTTGCTTAGGATTACCTTAGCTATTTTGGCTCCTTTTTGGCTCCATATCAATTGAGAATTTTTTTTTAATTATGTGAAAAATGACAATGATAGTTTGATAGGAATAATATTTAATCTATAGATCGCTTTTGGAAGTATGACCATTTTACTGATATTTATTTTTCCAATCCATAAGCATGGAATGTTTTCCATTTGTTTGTGTCATCTATGCATATTTTCAGCAGCGTTTTGTAGCTCTTTTTGTAGAGATCATTCACCTCCTTGGTTAGATGTATTCCTATGTATTTTATTTTTTTCTGTGGCTGTTGTAAATTGAATTGTGTTCTTCACTTGGCTCTCAGCTTGAACGTTTTTGTTGTACAGAAATTCCAGTTTTTTAACATTGATTTTGTATCCTGAAACTTTACTAAGCCTTTTGTAAGTTCCAGGAACATTTTGGCAGAGTCTTTAGGGTTTTCTAGGTATAGGATCATCTTGTCAGCAAAGAGAGATAATTGGCCTTTTTTTCCCCCTCTATTTTTATGCTTTTCATTTCTTTCTCTTGCCTGATTGACCTGGCAAGGACTTTTAGTACTATGTTGATTAGGACTGGAGAGAATGGGCATGGTGGTTATTTTCCATTTCTCAAGGGGGGTTTTTCCAGCTTTTGCTCATTCAGTATGATGTTGGTGGTGGGTCTGTCACAGACAACTCTTATTATTTTCAGGAATGGATATGGAATTTCACTGAGGCCTTTTTCATGTCCATTGAGATTATTACATTTAAAAAAATTCTGTATATGCAGCAAATGACATTGATTTGCATATGTTGAAACAATCTTGCATCCCTGAAATGAAGCCTACTTGGTTGTAGTAAATTAATTTTTGACGTTCTGCTGGATTTAGTTTACTAAGGTTTTGGTTTGTTGAGGATTTTTGCATCTGTGTTAATCAGAGATGTTGGCCTGTAGTTTTCTTTTATTGTTGTGTCTTTGCCAAGTTTTGGTATTAGAGTGAAGCTGGCTCCACAGAATGAGTTAGGAGAGGAGTCCTTCCTCCTCAATTTTTTGGGATAGTTTCAGTAGAATTGGTACTACTTCTTTGTACATGTGGTAGAATTCAGCTGTGAATCAACCTGGCTGTTTGTTTGGTAGTTTTTAAAATTATGGATTCAATTTTGGAACTTGATATTCATCTCTTCAGGGTTTCAGTTTCTTCCTGATTCAATATTGGGAGGTTGTGTGTTCCCAGGAGTATCCATTGCCTCTATATTTTCTAGTTTGCATGCATAATGGTGTTTATAGTAGCCTCTAAGGATATTTTTTATTTCTGTGAGATCAGTTATAATGTCACCTTTGTAGTTTCTGATTGTGGTTATTTGAATCTTCTCTCTTTTTTTATCTAGTTAGTGGTCTATCAATCATGCTTACCCTTTCAAAGAACTGACTTTTGGTTTTCTTGATTATCTTTGTGGGTTTTTGGGGAGTCTCAGTTTCATTCCATTTTTCTTTGATTTTAGTTATTTCTTTTCTTCTGTTAGTTTGGAACTGTTTTGTTCTTGTTTTTCTACTTCTTCTAGGTGTGATATTATATCATTAATTTGAGATCATTCTAACTTCTTGATGTAAGCATTTAGCACTATAAACTTTACTCTTAATACTGCTTTTGCTGCATCCCAGATGTTTTGGTATGTTGTGTCTCTGATTCTATTTATTTCAAAACTTTTTTTGATTTCTGTCTTAATTTTATTGTTTTCCCCAAAATCATCAGGAATAGGTTGCTTAATTTTCATGTAATTGTGTGGGGTTGGTAATTTTCTTGGTATTGATTTCTATTTTGATTCCCTGTAGTACAAGGGTACTATTATTTCATTTTTTTTGAATTACTGTGACTTGCTTTATGGCTGAGTATGTGGTCAATCTTGGAGCATGTTTCACGTGCAGATGAGAAGAATTTTGTAGTTGATAGGTGAAGTATTCTGTAGATATTCATTAGGTTCAGTTGGTTAAGTGTTGAATTTAAGTCCAGAGTATCTTTGTTAGTTTTCTACTTCAATGATTTGTGTAACACTGTTATTGGGTATTGAAGTCCCTACTATTATTATGTAGCTGTCTAAGTCTTTTCATAGACATGGGAATTGTCATTCTATGAATTTTGGGTGTTTAAGTGTTATACGTATACATATTTAGGATAGCTAAGTCTTGTTGAATTGTGCTCTTTAGCATCATGTAATGCCCTTCTTTGTCCTTTATGACTACTGTTGGTTTACTATCTGTTTTATCTAATGTAAGAATAATGATTCTTGCTCTTTTTCATTTTCCATTTGCATGATGTTTTTCAAACTCTTTACTTTGAACCTATGGTTGTTGTTACATGTGAGATGGGTCCTTTGAAGACTACAGATAAATGGGTCTTGTTTATTTTATCCAACTTGCAACTCTGTACCTTTTAAGTGGGATATTTACACCCTTTACATTCAAGATTAATATTGAGATTTGACGTTTTGATCCTGTCATGAAGTTGTTGGCTGATGGCTTTATTGTTTCTATCATATGATTGCTTTATAGGGTGTGTGAGCTATGTACTTGTGTGTTTTTGTGGCAGCAGATACTGTTCTTTCATTTCCATGTTTAGAACTCTCTTAAGGATCTCCTTAGGTTGGTTTAGTGGTAACAGATTCCCTTAGTGCTTTCTTGTCTAAAAAAGCTTTTATTTACCCTTTGCTTATGAAGCTTAGTTTGAAGGCATATGAAATCCCTGGCTGGAATGTCTCTTTAAGAATGCTAAAAATTGACCTCCAATAAATATCTCCTGGGTTGTAAGGTTTCTGCTGAGAAGTCCTCTGTTAGCTGATGGTGTTCCCTTTGTATGTAATCAGACCTTTTTCTCTAGCTGCCTTTAAGAATTTTTCTTTAGCTTTGACCTTGGCTAGTCTGGTGACTATGTGCATTGGTGATTATTTATTTTGTATAGATTCTTACAGGTGTTCTCTGGATTTCTTGTATCTGACAGGATTTGGGAAATTTTCTTGAATTATTATCTCAAATATGTTTTCCAGGTGATTCACATTTTCTCTTAGGAATGCCAATAATCCATAGGTTTCATAAGTGACCTGTCTTTGAATCCACTGATCCTTTGCTTGATCAAGTCTACTGTTGAAATTCTCTATGAAAGTTTTAGTACAGTCATTGTGTCCTTTTGCTCCAGAATTTGTTTGATTGTTTTTTATCATTGCCATCTCTGTTAAAATTCTTTTTGCTCGTGAATTGTTTTTCTGATTCCATTTAGTTGTCTATCTATATTCTCTATAGCTTAGTGAACTTTTGTAAGGTGATTATTCTGAATTCTTAGGCAGTGCATAAATAAATCAAATTTATTTAAAATTGGCTACTTGTGCTTTATTTTATTTCTTTGGGGGTGTCATGTTTCCTTGTTTATTCATGATCCTTGAGGCCATGCATTTGTGTCTGACAATTAAAGATGTAGGCACTTATTTCAATCTTTACTGAATGATGCTAGCAGGGAAAGCCCTCAACTGTCAGTCTGTACAGAGATTCTGGGTAGGTTATCTAGTGTGATACATGGTTGGGTTTGCTGCTGTAGTACTTGAGGAGACTGGCCTGGTGCCTGGGTAAAATAGTTCTCTTAAGTCTTTAACTAGTAGATTTGTTGTCGGGTCTTTTCCAGTGTCAGTTTTTGTTGATGTGTTCATTCACGTTTTAAGTTTGACTGGGTTACAGTTCACTGTTTCTTTGTATGCCTTGTAATTTTTGGGGAAACAAAGTTTGAATCTAATAATGTACTGACTCTGGAAATAAGATTCTATCCTTCCCTGGGATTAGCTGTTTTTTTGTTACTTATTGTTTATGCTTTTCTGATTGTTGTAGCATGGCCCTGTGTCAAGGATCAGCCTGAGGTGCAAACTCAAGGTCTTCTCAGTTTTCTTATGAGCCTGTGCCTTTCCGTGGGTTTGCATGGTCACTTTCTGCTTTCCCTCATATATCCAGTTGCTTTTGAATGTTCTAATCTATAGTATCTGGCTTCCAAATGGGGAACATAAAATGGGTTTGGGAAAATAAAATTAAATGGGCTTGGAGAAAAATCTAGCCCTTTAAATTTGTAACAATAGGAGGAGGTACAAGAATAATAGCTATCACCTCAGTGTCCTCATCTCTTTGATCAGAAGCAAAAATCAGCAAACAGAGAACAGATCCCCAAAATCTGAACAACAGGATGTGTTTTACTCACCCTGTCTCTCACAGCTGTGTGCAAGCTACCCCAGGAACACGTGCATAGCTGCCTGCCACATGACTGGGGTTGGAAGATGGGTAGCTGCAACTGTGGGAAGAGCTGACATTGACCATAATTAACCACAATTTACCACTCAAGTCTTACCCTGGAAGTTGCAAACCTTCAATAGACTTCAGAGTTCCAAAATAATGTTATTTTTCAAAATTAGTTTGCCTAATCTCTAATTTTTCAAAATTAGGTTCTTTACATTTCCACAAAGATTTAAAAATCAGCATGTAAGTTTTTTCAAAAAATCTGCTGGTATTCCTAATGGGATTGTATCAGATCTATAACAAATCCTTTTATTTATTTACGCAAATATTTATCATTTTGGAGATCATCACTACTTAGTTTTTATGTTTCACTTTCTGCCTGGTATTATTTTTCTTTTGTGAGAAGATTTTATTTTGTTATTTCTTGTAGTACAGAATTGATGGCAATGAATTCTCTTAGCTTCTGTTTGTTGTCTATCAATGTCTTCATTTCAACTTTATTTTGAAGGACATTTTTGGCTGATGACATTTTTGCTGCTTCTTATATGTTGTCTATTTTCTAATACTTGCATTTTTTCTAATGTGATGTCAATCATTCTTACTGATATTTTCCTATGTATTAGAGTTCTCTAGATGGACAGAACTAACAGGAAAATATAGGAGTTTATTAAGTATTAACTTACATGATCACAAGGTCCCACAATAGGCTGTCTGCAAGCTGAAGAGAAAGGAGAGTCAGTATGAAACCCAAAACATAAGAACTTGGAGTCCAATGTTCGAGGGCAGGAAGCATCCAGCACAGGAGAAAGATGTAGGCTGGGAGGCTAGGCCTGTCTCTCCTTTTCATGTTTTTCTGCCAGCTTTGTGTTCGTTGGCAGCTGATTAGACTGTGCCCACCATATTAAGGGTGACTCTCCCTTCCCCACCCTACTGACTCAAACGTTAATCTCTTCTGGTAACACCCTCACAAACACACCCAGGATCAATACTTTGTATCCTTCACTCCAATTAAGTTGATACTCCGTATTAACTGTCACATCCTATATCTAATTTTTCTTTTTTTATAGCTACTTTTAAGAGCTTCTCTTTTTTTAGTGGCTTATTTTCCTTGTTCACTGAGAGCCTTGCAAGTGAGAATTTATAATTATTTACAAATATTGAACAATATTAGACATTTTTATCTCAAATATTCTTTCTGCTTTATCTTTTCTGGAACTCCACTTTATTAATATTAATTTAATGTCTTTCCACAGGTCACTGAGGATCTATTCAGTTTTTTAAACACAACTTTATGAAATCTACTCTCTTAACAAATTTTAAGTGCATTATACAATATAGTTCATTGTAGGCACAATATTCTACAGGAGATCCCTAGAACTTATCCTGTATTATTGAAATTTTATGCCCCTTGAGTAACAGCTCCCCATTTCCCACTACCCCCAACTCTTGGCAATAACCATTTTACTCAGTTTCTGTGAGTTTGACTATTTTAGATTCCTCATAATTGGAATCATGCATTATTTATTTTTCTATGACTGATTTATTTCACTTAGAATATAGTCCTGTAGGTTCACCATGTCACATTTGGCAGGATTTCTTTCTTTTTTGACACTAAATAGTATTCCATTGTTTGTATATATCACATTGTGCCTATACATTCATCTGTTAACGGACATTTAGGTCATTTTCAAATCTTGGCTATTGTGAATAATGCAACAATAAACATGGAAGTGCATATATCTCTTTGGATATACTGATTTTATTTACTTTGGATGTATACTTAGTTGTGGAACTACTGGATTATATGGCAATATGACAATTCTATTTTCAATTTTTTGAAAAGCCTCCATAATGGCTGCACTAACTCATTCCCCACCAACAGTCTACAAGGGTTTCAATTTTTCCACATACTACCAAGCACATGTTAACTTTTATTTTTGTTTTTATTATTTATATTTGATAATAGTCATCCTAACAGTCACTTTTGTTTTGGTTTGTATTTCTCTGATTATTGATGTTAAATATCTTTACATGGCATACAAATGGACAACTTGTCTTCCCATTTGTATGCCTTCTAATTTGTATGCCTTCTTTGAAGAAGTGTCTATCCAAGTCCTTTGGACATTTTAAATCATTTTTTAATGATTTTTGGCATTAAGACATAGGAGTTCCTTTTATGGTTTGGGTATTGGCCCCTTATCAAATATATGGTTTGCAAATATTTTCTCCTATAGATTGCCTTTTCACTCTGATAAGTTTTTCCATTGCTGTGCAGAAGCTTTTTAGTTTGAAGTAGTCTCACTTGTCTATTTTTGCTTTTGTTACTTACGCTTTTCATTTCATATCCAAAAAATAATTACTTATCCCAATGTCATTAAACTTTCCTCCTATGTTTTCTTCAAAGAGTTTTGCAGTTTCAGATGTTACATTTAAATCTTTAATTCATTCTATTTTTATTTCTGCCTGCGAAATAAGTTCAGGGTTTCATTTTTTTTCTTGTGTGTGTGGATGTATAGTTTGCCCAAAACCATTTGTTAAAGAGACTGTCCTTTTTGTAGTCTTGGCACTTTTATTGAAGTTTGGTTGACCATGTATACATGGGTTTATTTTGGGGCTATCTATTCTGTTCAATTGGTCTATATGCATGTTTTTATGCAGGTACCATACTATTTTAATTTCTGTAGCTTTGTCATATATTTAGAAATCAGTAAGATTGATGCTTCTGGTTTTGTTCTTCTTTCTCAAGAGTGTTTTGGTTTTCCATTCTTTATTTTGTTTCATATAAACTTTAGGATTTTTTTTTCAATTTGAAAAATGGCATTCGGATTTTAATAGGGATTGCATCCAATCTTGAGATTGCTTTAGGAAGTACAGAAATTTGAACAATATTAAGTCTTCAAATCTATGAACACTCATTTGTGTCTTCTGCAATTTTTTCTTAATCAGTGTTAGGTAGTTTTCAATGTACAAGTTTGTTACCCCCTTATTTAAGTTTATTCCTAAGTGTTTTATTCTTTTTGATGCTATTGGAAATAGAATTCACCATTTTCTTCATTTTTAGAACACTGCGTGTGTGTATAAACACAACTGATTTTGTTTGTATAGACACAACTGAGTTTTAAGTGTTTTTTTTAATCTTGCAACTTCACTGAATTTTTAAAAAGTCTTCAGTGTTTTCTACATATAAGATCATGTCTAGGCATTGAAATAATTATATTTTCCTTTCTTATATGGATGCCTGTTGCTTCTTTTTCTTGCTCAATTACTCTAGCTAGGACTTCTAGTACTATGATGAATAGAAGTTGGTAGAGTGGGTATCTTTGCCTTGTTCCTGATGTTAAGGAACAAGCTTTCAGTTTTTCACTGTTGAATATAATATCATATGTGTTTATAATGAGTTCATAATTGTATGAGCTGGAAATAACTCATGAGATAAAAAAGACACGAAACAAATAGACATGGAGATAAAGAACCATCCAGAAGTAGAAATAAAAGTGTGTGTGTGTGTGTGTGTGTGTGTGTGTGTGTGTGTGTGTGTGTGTGGCAGGGATAAGGAGGTATGAATGCTGAGGGATGGTACAGCCTATATGATAGTGTCTGAAATTAGGCCTACTGGTGCAGAATTAGTTAATTATTCCAGGGAAACTACCTTTGTTAGAGCTCTCTTGAGAATAAAAATCTATTAATAAATTTGCTTCTGGACTATTCTATATAAGTGATTTTGTCAGTTGGAACCTCAATTGATGATGTAGTTGACCTTTAGTAAACCTCAGTGTACTCACTAATGTATTGAGAGAATTACTAATAATGCATACTGATGATAGATTAACACAACATAATAAATCACCGGGATAGTGCTTTTATACTATATTTCTCCAAAAGACTGTCTAGGGAATGATAGATCTTGAAGATTATTTCATTTAATTATAGTCTGGAAAATGCAAAGATACCATGGAATGTTTTAGTCCTGTAGATAAAAGACAATTTGGAGATATAGCTTGGAGGATTTAACATCTGTGGCATCTGGAAAAAGACTGTCTTCTTCTTTTGCAACAGGAAATGGCCCATTTTGTTACTACCTAGCTTTGAATGTTCTCAGTAATCAATTTGTTTTGTATTAATTGACAAAAATTATGTATATTTTTGGTGTACAATATTCAGTAATCAATTCGAACATACTCTATGCCTAGCAATGGATTGTAAGCATATGTAAGAGGTGTTGTTAAGCAGTTACTTATTTTGTGGGCCCTGGAAAGACAATCACATAAACCAGATGTAGTTCAGGGTATTAGTTTTATTCTATTTGTTTAAAGGTGGGGAAATGGAGAAGGGGAATTGACAAAATAATTCAGGAGTAAAACTGGGAATGATAAACAGATTTCATTTTGTATGTCATTTCTGATAATTTGGTGACAGTTACCTAAAAGGCTGTTCTGAGAACTATTCTGAAGCAATACACAGTTCTGCAGGAAAGTGTGCCATAATAAATTAATGATTGTGCTGAACTTAAGGAAAGGGAAGCACTTTTTTTTTTTGCATTATTGGCAAGTGGAAAATAAGATTGCTGTAAATTATATTATTGATAAAAGAGTGGCAAATTCATGAGTATGATGAGTAAAGGGTCACATTTCTGTACTATACTGTGCTTGAGAGTTAAACTCTAAATAGTGCAACATGAGCCTGGATAAAAGAGGTGACATACATGGGCATTGATGAGAGAAGACTAGAGAGAGTGTGGATGGCTTTATTGAATGAAAAATGTCAAAGTGAAGTTTTAAATTTCTTTTTTTATTAATATTTTTAAATCTTTTTTGGGGGGAGGGGACGGGGTGGGGATGGGGAAGAGGGGGGAAGACAGGTGGACTGAAAAGGGCAAAGTTTTAACTTTAGAGGTGATTTTTGTGCATAGAAAAGCCTATTTTTGGTTACTGCTATTTTAAAGTACTATTGAATTTATTAAACATAAATTTATTAAACATTAAAATTCATAAACTTTATTTTATCTTAAGAATCTTGGCTTATCATATTATTCTATGAATAAATCTAGCAATTCTTACCATCATTTTGATTACCATCACCGACCATAGAGTTTGGTCGGTGGAATTTAGTGTGGTTACAAAATTATATCAGCATCACCTTTACCTAGTGGTAAGACATTGTCAGCATCTGGAAAGAATACACCATGCCTATTAAGCAGTTATTCACCATCTACTCCCCCAGCCTCTGTGAGGTGTCTTGCTCCAGTCTCTGGCATCACTAATCTGTTTTCTGTCTCTATGGGTTTACCTATTTTAGACATTTCATATACATTGAATTATATAATATAGTATGTGGCTTTTTGTTTCTGGCTTCCTTAACATAATTATTTTGAGTTTCATCCATGTTGTAGCATGTATTCAATAGTTTATTTCTTTTTATGGCTGAATAATATTCAATTGCACAGACAGCACACATTCATCAGTTGATGGACATTTGGTTTTTCCATTTTTTTGGTTATTGTGAATAGTGCTGCTATAAACACACACAAGTTTTTCTTTAAATACCTGTTTTAGCTTCTTATTTTTGAGAAGCTAGATAACTTGAGTTTTATAGTTAATACTGGAATTGAGATATGAATAATCTCACAGTCCAAAATCCATACTTCTTCCAGGAGAGAATAATATTTCTCAAGGGCAAAGGAGTTGGAATAGCCCACTTTCTTGCAAGAGGATTTCAAAGCTGCTTACTTCCTTTGCTTAGAAGAAACAAATGGAATTTGATTATTTCTCATATTCTAAAGAGGCCTATAATTAGGATGGGATAGAAAAGGCTTAGGGAAGAAAATGATATGATTGATTATAAATTATTCCTGTATTTACAGATGGGCACTCTTTCTTCTCCACCCTTTCTACTTACCTCCAGTGACTTCTGCCTTATAAACATTATTGGCTAATACGTCAATTAGTTTTAGTTTAGAAATTATCTGGAGGAAATAGGCTCTGAGAGCAAACAACACTGCTCTGTTGGTGTCCTTTTGTAAATGATTCCCTCTAGTGGCTTGAAATTTTTTTCACTGTGTTGACGAGATCTCTACCTTCAAAAATGTAAGCAAAAGAGACTCAGGATATTTATTATTGATAATCAAAATAATGACAATAATTCTGAATGTTTCTGGCTGTCACCACATAGTGGATCCCAGGGTGAGCTTTTAAAATATTTATCAGCTCAAGTAACTTCCTGGCTTTACATTCCAATTAGAATAAATTCCAAGCTCTTTGCTTTATAAAACCCTGAAGGCATGAAGCCTGCCTGTTGCTCCAAACTCTGGCTGGAATGTCAACACTAGTGGAACATGAGCTTCTCTGTCTGTTACTGGTTTATCTTCAGCACCTGGAATAGCACCTAGTAAATGGTTGGTGCTCCATAAAGGTGTATGAATGGCTGAATAAATATCTTCTTATTCCACTCCTCTTTTCAATAATACGTTCTCCTCTCTCCTTTCAGTACCTTGATAATATCAAACTCACTGACCCTGAATCAGGGTCTTCACATTTGCAGTCCCTTCCAGCAGGAGCTTTCTTCCCCAGCTCTTTGCATGTAGAAGAAACTTCACATCCTGCAAGGTCCCAGGCTCCAAGAAGAGACAATGTAAAGCAAACTTCTCCTCATTTGTTAATCCCTATCACATCACTCTGCATATTTCTTTTATTGTCACAGTTTGCAATCATCTGTTTATTTGTTTACATGTATCTTGTTTGGTTTCTCCTAGATGGCAAAAGGGCAAGGTCCAAGTCTCATCTCTTTATTGCGGTATGTCAAATAATGAATGCAGTGTACACTATATGATAGTTTCTCATTAAGAATGTATTGAATAAATGAGCACATGGCATGACAATGAGCAATTTTCAAAGTTAGCTTAAGTCATTCGCTGATGTCATCGTAAAAACAATCCAATTTCAGTGACCTGAGTACTTCTGATTTTATCATAGGTCCCTCTTAGGTCTTTACATCTATGAGTAAGAATAGAACAGTGTTACTTAGCCCTTATGGCCTTCCTTTGGAATACTCTTGGGGTGCATCCTTTGGCAGAGGTATCTTAAGTAGCTAAGTGCTTGGAGTTTCATGCTTTTCTTGACAGCAACAGACTTCAATCTGGTATTGTGAGAAAGGCCTAAGCCTTATGGCCTGAGATGCTCTAAATTTTAGTAGTGTACTGATGGGCAACAAGGAAGGACTAGAAGTCCCTGATTTATCTCAGGATATATCAGACAGTCCCCAGACTAAGGCTGAAATATGATGTTACCTGTCAGAGACATCTTTACACTTAGGTAAGTGTAAAGAGCCTGAACTTTGGAGGTAGAACTGGATTTGAATCTTAGCTCAGCGCCTCACTAGCAATGTGAGCCTGGCAGCGGCTTAAGCATCTTTTAACTTCAGGGTCCTTATCTAAATGCATGAAGAGTAATGTGTACCATGTAGAGTTTTAGGCTGAGGGGAAGGCCCCTAATATATAATGGAGAATGGAGGATGAGGGGTGGGGTGGGGGGATGCATTCCAGGAAAAGGGAACAGAATGTGAAAAGGCTTTGAGGGGGTATAAATTAGATAATGGCCTGTTGGCAAAACCGAATAGGTGGTGGTGTGTGATCTAATACAGGAAGCAAAGAGAAGGGTGATGAGAGATGATGTTGGGGAGGCAGAGAAGGTGTGTCATGAAGGGACCTATGGTAATCAGGAACCAGAACATAGTCCCAAGCAGAGAATTAATGTGATTCAGTTTGTATTTTGTTTTTCACTATAACATATTGAATGTCTCATGATTTATGAACTGTTGAGTTGTGTTCTGAACCCAGATCTCCTTGTCTTCAAAGTTTCACCATTTTCCTGTAAACACTATATATATACACACACATATATATGTATATATATACAGAGAGAGAATATATATTATAGATATATATATTATAGATATAGATATAGATATATATGATAGATATAATGGATATATTATAGATATATAATAGATATAGATATATATAATATAGATATAGATATAATATATATACACTCACCCTACCACTTTATACATGTAAATATATATATTATACATATATTTACCTAGATAAACATTTACCTTTTTTAATAAGAACATTTAATGCCTAGTTCACCAGCTGTGTGACCTCTGGTAAGTTATTCAACCTTGCTACACATCATTAGGACTATTGTGAGAATCATGAGATGTAATTGTACAAATATATACTCGATAACTATTAGCTATAATAATATTTTGTTTTAGGGGTAGAGTTTGGGCAGGTATAAAACACTATAACAAGCTGATAAGAACCTATGTTGTAAGATGTGCACCTTCCTGTGTTTGTTGGTATTCTAATACCAAGGAAGCTGTTCCTACTGAGACAGAAAGTCAAGAAACTTACATCCTAATCTTACCTCTACTGGAAATTCACTTAATCTCTCTGGATCAGTTATTTGCTACTGATTCTCAGTTTTCCCATTTGTAATGAGGGTTGGGGATGTTAGTACCAGTCTCTTTTTGGGGTGTTGTGAGGTGAAGTGAGCTAAACGGAATTAGAGCCCTTAGGAAAAAAAAATGCTAATATTAACTGAAGGAAGCTGGTGTCATTTTTTAATGTTGTGGATGAAAGGTGATAAATTTACACAGCAAATTTCCCTTAATAATTTATTCTGTAACAGCAACATAAAATGGCCCTAAAGAAGTCTAGACATAGCTGGTCTCCCTGGTGTTAGTAAAGCTGAAGAAATGTCAATTAAGATAAATCCCCAAGGCAAAAGACTTATTAGCGTTTGGATCTAGGAAGAATCTATCTTCCTCATAACTCAAAATAGCAATATATAAATTTCTCCACTGCATTCCAGTGACTCAGAGACAAGAACACACTGCTTCCCTTTTATAAAAGGAGAGTCTGAAATGCATAGAGCTAAATGACTTGCCTAAGGTCGCACAGTAAGTGAGCAGCCACTAGAAACCATTATTTCCTTATGAATTTTAGAATAACTACTTACAATGCTATGATTAATGGCATTGGTACTTTAATAGGAATAGCATTGAATCAGTAAATTGCTTTGGGCAGTATGACCATTTTAATGACATTGATTCTTCCAATCCGTGAGCATGTACTGTTTTTTCATTTATTTGTGTTGTCTCTGATCTCTTTCAGCAATATTTTGTAGTTCTCCTTGTAGATGTCTTTGATTTTCTTGATTAGATGTACTCTAGGTATTTCATTTTTCTTGTGGCTATTGTAAATGAGATTGTATTCTTGATTTGAACCTCAGCCTGGATGTTATTAGTATATAGAAATGCAATTGATTTTTTTATATTGATTTTGTATCCTAAAGCTTTACTCAAGTCATTTATCAGTTCTAGGAGTCTTTTATGGAGGCTTTAGGATTTTCTGGGTATAGAATCATTGTCACTGAAGAGAAATAGTTTGACTTTATTTTTCCTATTTCAATGCCTTTCATTTCTTTACCTTGCCTGATTGCCCTGGCTAGAACTTCCACTACTATGTTGTATGAGTGGTGAGAGTGGACATCCTTGTATTGTTTCACTTCTCAAGGCGAATGGTTCCAGCTTTTGCCCACTGGTTATGATGTTGGCTGTGGGTTTGTCATAGATGGCTCTAACGATTTTTAGGTATGTTTCTTTGATGCCTAGTCTGTTGATGTTTTTATCGTGAAGCTATTTTGGATTTTATCAAAAGCTTTTTCTGTGTCTATTGAGATGATTATATGATTTTTGTTTCTAGTTCTGTTTATGTGGTGAATGACATTTATTGATTTGCACATGTTGAACTAACCTTGCATTGCAGGAATGAAGCCTACATGATCATGGGATGAAAAAAGAGCCTGGATAGCTAAAGCAATTCTAAATAAAAAGAACAAAGCTGGAGGCATCACACTACCCAACTTCAAACTACACTAAGGCTACAGTAACAAAAACGGCATAGTACTGGTATAAAAACAGACATATAGAGCAATGGAATGAATACAAAACTCAGAAATAAAGCCACATACCTACAAACATCTGATGTTTGACAAGGCAAACAAAAAACAGGCAATAGGGAAAGGATTCTCTATTCAACAAATGGTGCTGGGATAACTAGCTAGCCATAATCAGAAGAATGAAACTGGACCCCTACATTTTACCATGTAAAAAAGTTAACTCAAGATGGATTAAAGATTTAAATGTATAACCTCTAGCTCTAAAAATCCTAGGAGAAAACCTAGGAAATACCCTTTTCAACATTGGCCTTGGCAAATAATTTTTGATTATGTCCCCAAAAGCAATTGCAATGAAATAAAAAAATTGACATGTGGGACTTAATTAAACTAACGTGCTTCTGCACAGCAAAATAAACATTCATGAGAGTAAACAGACAACCTATAGCATGGGAGAAAATATTTTCAAACTATGCATCTGATAGAGGTCTAGTATCCAGAATCTATAAGGAACTTAAAAAAAATCAACAAACAGAAAACAAATAACCCCATTAAAAATGGTCAAATGACATGAACAGACATGTCATTAAAAAAGATATATAAGTGGCCAACAAACATATAAAAATGCTCATCATCACTAATCATCAGAGAAATACAAATCAAAATCACGATAATATACCATCTCACACCAGTCAGAATGGCTATTATTATAAGTCAAAAAATGCTGAAAAGGTTGTGGATTAAAGAGAATGCTTGTACACTGCTGGTGGGAATGTGAATTAGTTCAGCCACTGTGGAAAGAAGTTTGGTAATTACTCATAAGAGCTAAAACAGAGCTGCCATTTGACCTAGTAATTCCATTATTGGGTGTATGTCCAAAGGAAATGAAATTGTTCTACCATAAGACACATGTACTTGCATGAGCATTAAGACACTATTGAAGATGGTAAAGACATGGAATCCTTCTAGGTATTCATCAATGGTTGATTGGATATAGAAAATGTGATACATACATACCATAGAATACCATGCAGCCATAAAGAATAAAATAAAATCATCTCCTTTGCAACAACATGAATGCAGCTGGAGGCCATTTATCTTAAACAAATTAATGCAGAAACAGAAAACCAAATACTGCATATTCTCACTTATAAATGGGAGCTAAACATTGAACACCCATGGACGTAAACATGGGAACAGTAGACACTGCAGATTACTAGAGGGGGAAGGGTGGGGAAGCCTGGGTTGAAAAACTACCTATTGGGTACTATGCTCACACGTGGGTGACAGGTTTCATACCTTTCATACCTCAAACCTCAGTATCATGAAATATATCCATGGCACAAACCTGTAGATGTATCTAAAAAAGAAATAAAATTAAATTTAAAATATGCTACATAAAAACTATCACTTTCTGTTTCTGAGTCAGGAAATCATGCTTTACAGAGTGATTTGGGAATTCTTTGGAACTTTCTATGAAACCATGTCACCAACCATCATGATAGAATAATTCTGAGATCTTTCCCCATTTAATCAGTTAGTCATGGCCATTCCTGTGATGAGCTTGCTATTTGTCAGTTACAATGCTATTTTAGTGATGTGCAAATACTTGCTTTAGGACTTAGCTTAAGATTAAGTTGTAAAAGAGTCCAAGTTTGTTTTGCTGCTCAGGAACCCAATACCCCAGGTATTCTTGGCCTTTTTTGGGCCCACTATTTCTTTATATCAAGTTCTGCTTTAGTTGATTCTCTCCCAGTCCTTTTATATTAAAGCTCATCTGTTCTGTGTTCCGTTCCCAGGGCCTATAAAAGATGAATTCTTCTTTATATGATAATGGAGGTCTTTGGTACCTAACTTAGCTATCATAAAATCCTTTTAGGTCCTAGATACTTTATCCCTAAGGATCATTTTATTTTTATATTCTCTGTGAATTCACTCTTCTAAAAAATCAGCTATCATGCCAACTGCATATATTAAGGAATAATTAATTTGTTTTTCCATTTTTAATTAACTAGGGACTTAAACAGCTGCCAGATAGAACTCCTGATCAGCATGAGATATAAGATATGTGACTACCCTGAGATGATTACATCTAGTGAAAAGCAAGGAAATTTTCAACCTTGCCATATGTGTAAATGGAGAACTTCAATTAGGTTTTAAAATATCAAAAATTTACTCTTGAAAAATCTACTTCCTCTGTTTAAAAAAATACTTCAATTGTAGGAAACTCAGACTAGAAATCATTTATTGAACCTAAGTCATAGTTCTTGGACTACATTTTAGGGTAAAAATTTTAGGTGTTCCCAAGGGCTAATGGGATGACTTATTTATTTTATGTATTATTTTGTACAAGACACCTTTAGAATTACTTTGGTAACTTTAGGGTCAGCTCCACCTTAGATGATTGTTCAAGAAAAATTTTTACCTTAATATACAAATATTTGCTGGTGTTTGCTAACTCTCAGGAATTAATAGGTCCTAGAGAAATGCGTTTCCGTCTTTGCTTCACTGAGATGACAGCATAGTGAGAGAGAGCTTTAAGCATTTATTTAAGGTTCTCCTTTGTTTTCTAACTTCGATCACTAAATACATGTGGTACAAAAGACATGATCAAAGAAAATAGTGAAAAAAGGAATATAACTAGTTTTCTTTTTAATAGAAAAGTTCAATCATTATTAAAGAACCACTGTATCTTTTCTCCTAAAATTTGTCCATTGTGTGTTAGAAAAAGTTTAGTTTCAACCTTGGTTAGGATTTTCTTTAGCATTCCTACGAGAAATGTATATGTGATTTTTTTCTTTTATCTAGTCAGTTAATTTGTGGAAAAGGCAATATTTTCTAACTCAATCTTGATATATGGGAAATGAAACACTATCATATTTCCACACCAGCCTATCTTTCTAAATTCCCTGTTTTTCTCCAGTCCATCCTCCCAAGCCCTCAGATTGTCTCTCTGTTCAGTGGCATACCACATTTTCAGATTTATTATCCGGAAATATCATATCATATACATATCATACTGTGACTCAAAAATATCTTTTCCAGTAAGTATAGACCAAGCTCTTCAACCAGACAGAGAAGACCTATTATAATTAAACCCAACCTCCTACCCTTTCTTAGGAAACTTTCAAGGATCATCTTAAATCAGAAAAACACTTTTTTCCTGTGAACCTTTATCGTATTATGAACTTCTTTTATTTGTTGCCTAAATCATATTCAGGTACTCATTTTATCTGTCCTACCAGATGATTGACTCCTTTAAGTGAGGACCTTTCTACAACTCAATATTCACAAAAGGCCAAGATTAGAACTTTATAAAGGGGGAATCCTAGGTTATATGCAGTGAATGAGTATGTGAATTAATTTGGTCCTCAGTTCCTAATATTGGGAAATTAAATATTTTTCTCCATGTTTAGTGTATTATGAGTGTATGGCTTGGGCCATAAGACATTTCAAAGAAATGATTTGATTCCACTAGAAATGATGGGGCTAATGAGGGCATTTAATTTTTTTTGTTTTGTTTAATAAAAAACTCGCCAAAAACAGTGGGAAGGAGAGAGAAAAGTTGCCATGACAACCTCCAACGCTGTACCTCTGAAGATTCAGTTTATACATTTAAAAAATGTGCTTCATTTTTTCCTTCCAGAGAGATGAGGACTTAGTTAACTGCTAAAAAGTTTTATGGAGGAGGTTTTAATGATACCTGTCAATTTTGGGGAAAATAAAGAGGACAGAAAGCTTATCATAGCTAGTGAAATGCACTTAGATGTCTGTATCTTATGATATGCCAGAATAGTGTGTATGATGACTAATGGGGATGAGGGTGGGGCTCAGATCTGGCCCAGAAAATCAGGACCTAGGCTGACCCAATGCCTTTTTCTGTACACATTTCCCACCAACTTACATTATAACCTTAAAAGAAAAAAAAACTTAGTAAAATCAAGTAGAATTGATCACCAAAGACAATTTCTTTTTGGTGCAGGAAAATTATAAATTCAATGAGTTGATCAATGTTTATCAAGAGAGGCAGGGTGTATGACGGATAAACCTGATCTTAGCTAAGAATCTTAGCTGCTCTGGCATTTACTAGCCATATGGAATTGAAGATGCTACCTAATTTTCCACAAGCTTGTGTTTGTTCATGTGTACAGTGAGGACAAGTATCTATCTCAATGGGGTGTTGTGACATTTAAAAGATCAGCACAGGACATGGCATACGACAAGAGCTTAGAAAATCTTAGATGATGGTGATGGCGACTGATGATGGTAATGGTGATGGTTTCCTTCTGTGCATAGCACTATGTTGTGGATCTAGGGTACATCAAAATGTTCTTACATAGAGATTGGCCCCAAGAAGAATGTGATCTAATCTGGGTTATATAAAAGTCACATGCTACCGGTTAAACAGCAATAAGCTTCAGACTCCATAAGACAACACCAAGGTCCTCGACTATGTCTTCTACTAGGCATTTCCTGCTCATCTCCTGCTACTATCCCCAACACAAGCTAAACTCAAGTCATACCCAGTTACTTTCCATCCTCTGAACCCATCATGTACCTGGCTCTCCTTTCTGCTGCCTTCACACATGCCACTTCTCCTTGGCATGCCCCTCCTCATCCTCTACCTACTGACCCATTGTAGTGTGACAGGTCCCTCCTCAGTTTACTTAAGAGTGTATATCTGCTGCTTGAATCCTGAAGGCCAGGCAGTAAGCCAAGGCCATGGTATCCAACTGAGGAACAAGTGTCCCTGAGAATCCAAACATCCCAGGGAGTATCTAGGAACATATTAAAAAATCAGTCTCATCGCACACAGTAGGCAAAAAGCCAGAAAACCAGTTTAAAAGAAGCTTAGAGATGAGAGGCAGGGTGAATCTCTAGAGCTATCCTGCTGCCACCCAGGAGTGCCTTGTATGTAAGTCCTAATAAACTCATCTATTCACCAAACTGTACTTGTCCTAGTCATTCTTTGATCTCTTGGCTCCTTCCCAGTTTAGGGAAACATATTTCTAAATAATCCTGGGTTTTTCTTCTAACACCCATTTTTTCAGGCTTCAGCTTCTTGAAAACTGCCCCTAAGTCTCTTTTGTGTCCTGGGGAACTTGTCTTTATTTCTATTAGGAAGCATTTTTTTCCACTAACATTTCTGATGCATGTGTCAGACACTGATAGGCACTGGAATACAAAACCCAGGAAATGGTGATATCTGCCATTAGGACTTTTTGATTTTGTTTTCACTATTGTGCTTATCCTCAACACATTTGTTACAGTTCTTTTTCCTTTTTTTCTTGCCTTAAAGCTAAGTACAGGATCTAACATACAATAGATAATAAATCTTGATAAAATAAAATGATAAGGGATACTATAATCTCTCAGAGGATTTAAGCCAGAGATACTCTTATGATAGGAAGAAAGGAAAATTGTTACTTAAATAAGTTAGATAGTAGTAGATGGAAATTTAGCTAGGTAGAGACACTTATTTGGACAAGTATCTGTTCATTTTGAATGGATGTACACTGGAAAACTTCTCTTCTACAACAGGTGGGCGTAACAAATCTATGCCTTCTCAACTATTGTATGCAATATTAAGCAGGGACACAGGCTCATGGCTGCATAGAGAGACTTATCACATGTATTTTAAGGTGTCTTGACTATTTCAAAGCCAATTATCTTTCTAAGAAATTGATTGTTCTTATAATAAAGTGAAGGTTTTCTTTTTTTAAATTTTTATTTGAATTTTAAGTTCTGGGGTACATGTGCAGAATGTGCAGGTTTGTTACACAGGTAAACTGTGTGCCATGGTGGTTTGCTGCACCTATCAACCCATCACCTAGGTATTAAGCCCTACATGGATTAGCTATTTTTCCTAAAGCTCTCCTTCCCCTCCACCATATGCCCAGACAGGCCCCAGTGTGTGTTGCTCCCCTCCCCATGTCCAAGTGTTCTCATTGTTCAGCTCCCACTTATAAGTGAGAACATGCAGTGTTTAGTTTTCTGTTCCTGCGTTAGTTTGCTGAAGATAATGGCTTCCAGCTTCATCCATGTCTTTGCAAAACACATGAACTCATTCCTTTCTATAGCTGCATACAGTATTCCATGGTGTATATGTACCACATTTTCTTTATCTAGTTTATCATTGATGGGCAGTTGGATTGATTCCATGCCTTTGGTATTGTGAATAGTGCTGCGATGAACATATGCATGCATGTGTCTTTGTAATAGAATGATTTATGTTCCTTTGGGTGTATATCCAATAATGGGATTGCTGGGTCAAATGGTATTTTTCGTTCTTTCAGAAATTGCCACATTGTCTTCCACAGTGGTTGAACTAATTTACATTCTCACCAACAGCGTAAAAGTGTTTCTATTTCTCTGCAACCTTGCCAGCATCTATTATTTCTTGACTTTTTAATAATTGCCATTCTGACCAGCATGAGATGGTATCTCATTGTGGTTCTGATTTGCATTTCTCTAACAATCAGTGATGCTGAGATTTTTTTTCATATACTTGTTGGTCACATGAATGTCATCTTTTGAGAAGTATCTGTTCATATCCTTTGCCCACTTTTAATGGGTTTTTGTTTTTTTCTAGTAAATTTAAGTTTTTTGTAGATTCTGAATATTAGATCTTTGTCAGATGAATAGATTGCAAAATTTTTCTCCTAGTCTTTAGATTGCTTATTCACCTGATGATAGTTTATTTTCTGTGTAGAAGCTCTTTAGTTTAATTAGATTCCATTAGTCAAACTTGCTTTTATTGTAGTTGCTTTTGTTGTTTTTGTCATTAAATCTTTGCCCATGCCTGTGTCCTGAATGGTATTGCCTATGTTTTCTTCTAGGTTTTTTTTTTTTTATAGTTTTTGGTTATACATTTCAGTCTTTAATGCAGCTTGAGTTAATTTTTGTAAAAGGTGTAAGGAAGGGGCCCAGTTTCAATTTTCTGCATATGGCTAGCCAGTTCTCTAAGCACAATTTACTAAATAGGAAATCCTTTCCCCATTGCTTGTTTTTGTCAGGTTTGTCAAAGATCAGATGGCTGTAGGTGTGCAGTCCTATTTCTGAGTTCTCTATTCTGTCCATTGGTCTATGTGTCTGTTTTTTTTGTTTTTGTTTTTGTTTTTTTTTGTAGCACTACCATGTTGTTTTGGTTAGTGTGGCTTTGTAGTATAGTTTGAAGTTAGGTAGTGTGATGCTTCCAGGTTTGTTCTTTTTGCTTAGGATTCTCTTGGCTATAAGAGCTCTTTTTCGGTTCTGTATGAATTTTAAAATAGTGTATTCTAATTCTGAGAAGAATGACAATGGTGGTTTAATGGGAATAGCATTGAATCTATAAATTGCTTTGGGCAGTATGAACATTTTCACGATATTATTTCTTCCTATCCAAGAGCATGGGATGTTTTTCCATTTGTTTGTGTCCTCTCTGATTTCCTTGAGCAGTGGTTTGTAGTTTTCCTTGAAGAGGTTCTTCACTTCCCTTGGTAGCTGTATTCCTAGGGATTTTCTTCTCTTTGTAGCAATTGTGAATGGGAGTTCATTCATGATTTGGTTTTCTGTTTGTTGGTTGCTGGTTTGTAGGAATGCTTGTGACTTCTGCACATTGATTTTATATCCTGAGACTGCTGAAGTTTCTCATCAGTTAAGCTTCTAAGCTGAGATGGTGGAGTTTTCTAGATATAGGATCCTGTCATCTGCAAACAAGGACAACTTGATGTCATCTCTTCCTATTTTAATACCCTTTATTTCTTTCTCTTGCATGATTGCCCTGACCAGGACTTCCAATACTGTGTTGAATAAGAGTGAGAGAAGGTATCCTTGTCTTGTGCTGGTTTCAAGGGGAAGGCTTACAGCTTTTTTCCATTCAGTATGATATTGGCTATATCTTTTTCATAAATGGATCTTATTATTTTGAGGTATGTTTCTTCAATATCTAGTTTATTGAGAGTTTTTAACATGAAGGGATGTTGAAATTTATCAAAGGCCTTTTCTGCATCTCTTGAGATAATATATTAGTCTGTTCTCATGCTGCTAATAAAGACATATCTGAGACTGGGTAATTTATAAAGGTAAGAGGTTTAATGGATTCACAATTCCACATGGCTGAGGAGGCCTCACAGTCATGGCAGAAGGGAAAGGAGAAGCAAAATCACATCTTACATATAGTGGCAGGCAAGAGGGCATGTGCAGAGAAATTCCCCTTTATGAAACCATCAGATCTCATGAGACTTATTCACCATCAAAAGAACAGCATGAGAAAGACCCACCCCCATGATTCAATTACCTCTCTCCCATGACATGTAGGAATTATGGGAACTACAATTCAAGATGAGATTTGGGTGGGGGCACAGCCAAACGATATCATTTCATCCTTGACTCTTCTGAAATTTCATATCCTCACATTTCAAAACCAATCATGCCTTCCCAACATTCCCCCCAAATCTTAACTCACTTCAGCATTAACTCAGTAGTCCACAGTCCAAAGTCTCATCTGAGCCAAGGCAAGTAGTCCCTTCCACCTATGAGCCTGTAAAATCAAAAGCAAGTTAGTTACTTCCTAGATACAATGGGGTACAGGTATTTGGTAGATACATCTATTCCAAATGGCAGTAATTGGCCAAAAAAAGGGGCTACAGACTCCATGTAAGACTGAAATCCAACAGGGCAATCATTAAACCTTAAAGTTCCAAAATGATCTTCTTTGACTCCATGTCTCACATCCAGGTCACGCTGACACAAGAGGTAGGCTCCCATAGCTCTGGGCAGCTCCACTCCTGTGGATTTGCAGGGTATAGCCCTAGTTCTGGCTGCTTTCATGGGCTGACATTGAGTGTCTGTGGTTCTTCCAGGTGCACGGTGCCAGCTGTCAGTGGATCTACCATTTGGGGGTCTGGATGATGGTGGTGCTCTTCTCACAGCTCCACTAGGCAGTGCCCCAGTGGAGACTGTGCCGGGGCTCTAACTCCACATTTTCCTTCTGCACTGCCCTAGCAGAGGTTCTCTATAAGGGCCCCACCCCTGCAGCAAACTTCTGACTGGATATCCAGACATTTCCATACATCCTGTAAACCTTAGGCAGAGGTTCCTAAACCTCAATTCTTAACTTCTGTGTACCCACAGGCTCAACACCACATGGAAGCTGCCAAGGTTTTGCACTTGCTCCCTCTGAAGCCATGGCCCAAGTTGTATCTTGGCCACTTTTAGCCATAGCTGGAGTGGCTGGGATGCAGGGCAAGAATTCCCTAGGCTGCACACAGCAGAGGATCCCTGAATCTGACCCAGGAAACCACTTTTCCCTCTTAGGCCTCAGGGCCTATAATGGGAGGGGCTGCCTCAAAGGTCTCTGACATGCCCTGGAGACATTTTCCCCATTGTCTTCATGATTAACATTTGGCTCATTACTTCTGTGAATTTCTGCAGCAGGATTGAATTTTTTCCCAGAAAATGGGTTTTTATTTTGTACTGCATTGTCAGTCTGCAAATTTTTCAAACTTTTATGCTCTGCTTCCTCTTGAACATTTTGCTGCTTAGAAATTTCTTCCACCAGATACCTTATTATCTCTCTCAAGTTCAAAGTTCCACAGATCTCTAGGGCAGGGGCAAAATGCCACCAGCCTCTTTGCATAGCAAGAGTGGCCTTTATTCCTATTACAAGCTCCTCATCTCCATCTGAGACCACCTCAGCCTGGACTTTATTGTCCATATCACTATCAGCATTTTGGTCAAAGCTATTCAACCACTCTCTAGGAGGTTGCAGTCTTTCCCATATTATCCTCTCTTCTGAGCTCTCTAAGTCTCTAGGAAGTTTCAAACTTTCCCACATTTTCCTGTCTCTTTCTGAGCCCTCCAAATTATACCAGCCTCTGCCTATTACCCAATTCCGAAGTTGTTTTCACATTGTCAGGTGTCTTTACAGTAGTACCCAACACTACCAGTACCAATTTACTGTATTATTCTGTTCTCATACTGCTAATAAAGACATATCTGAGACTGAGTAATATATGGAGCAAAGAGGTTTAATGGACTCACAGTTCCACATGGCTGAGGAGGCCTCGCAATCATGGTGGAAGGCAAAGAAGAAGCAAAGGCATGTCTTAAGTGGTGGCAGGCAAGAAAGTGTGTGTGCAGGGGAACTCTACTTTATAAAACCACCACATCCTGTGAGACTGACTTACTATCATCAGAATATTATGGGAAAGACCTGCCCCCATGATTCAATTACCTCCTCCTGGGTACCTCCCATGACACATGAAAATTATGGGAGCTACAATTCAATATGAGATTTGGGTGAGAACACAGCCAAACCATATCAGATAATCATGGGGTTTTTGTCTTTAGCTCTGTTTATGTGATGAGTCACATTTATTGATTTGCATATGTTGAACCAGCCTTGCATCCTGGGAATGAAGCCAACTTGATTGTGGTGGATAAGCTTTTTGATTCGCTGCTGTATTCAGTTTGCCAGTATTTTACTGAGAATTTTTGTGTCGATGTTCATCAGGGATATTGGCCTGAAGTTTCCTTTTTTTGTTTTATCTTTACCAGGTTTTGGTATCAGGATGATGCTGGACTCATAAAGTGAGTTAGGGAGGAATCCCTCCTTTTCAATTGTTTGGAATAGTTTCAGAAGAAAGGGTATCAGCTCCTCATACTTCTGGTAGAATTCAGATATAAATCCACCTGGTCCTGAGCTTTTAGTTGATAGGCTATTTATTACTGCCTCAATTTCAGAACTTGTTATTGGTCTATTCAGGGATTCAACTTCTTCCTGGTTCAGTCTTGGGAGGATGTATATGTCCAGGAATTTATCCATCTCTTCTAGATTTTCTAGAAGAGGTGTGTATAGTTTTCTCTGATGGTTGTTCATATTTCTGTGGAGTCAGTGGTAATATCTCCTTTATCATTTTTTATTGTCTCTTTGATTCTTCTTTTCTTCTTAGTCCAGCTAGTCGTCTATCTATTTTATTTTTTCACAAGCCACCTCCTAGATTCATTGATTTTTATTTTGAAGGACTTTTTGTATCTCTGTCTCCTTCAGTTCTGCTGTGAGCTTGGTTATTTCTCGTCTTCTGCTACTTTGGTTTTTATTGTTGTTGTTGTTGTTGTCCTTGGTTCTCTAGTTCTTTTAGTTGTGATGTTAGAATGTCGATATTAGATCTTTCTAGCTTTTTGATGTGGGCATTTGATGGTATAAATTTCCCTCTTCACACTGCTTTAGCTATGTCTCAGAGATTCTGGTATGTTGTCTCGTTGTTCTCATTAGTTTCAAAAAAATTCCTGATTTGTGCCTTAATTTTACTATTTACCCAGCAGTCATTCAGGTCCAGGTTGTTCAATTTCCATACAGTTGTATGGTTTTGAGAGTTTCTTAATCTTGATTTTTGATTGCACTGTGGTCTGAGAGACTACTTATTATGATTTCAGTTATTTTGCATTTGCTGAGGAGTGATTTACTTCCAATTACGTGGCCAATTTTAGAGTAAGTGCCATGTGGTGCTGAGAAGCATGTATATTCTGTTTGGTGGTGGAGAGTTCTGTAGTTATCTCAGGTCCCACTGATACAGAGCTGAATTCAAGTCCTGAATATCTTTGTTAATTTTCTGTCCTGATGATCTGTCTAATATTGACAGTGAGGGGTTAAAATCTCCCACTGTTACTGCGTGGGAGTCTAAGTCTCTTTGTAAGTGTCTGAGAACTTGTTTTACGAATCTGTTTGCTCCTGTATTGGGTGCATATATATTTAGGATAGTTAGCTCTTCTTGTTGAAATGACTCTTTACCATTAGGTAATGCCCTTCTTTGTCTTTTTTGATTTTTGTTTGCTTAAAGTCTGTTTTCTCAGATCCTAGGATTGCCACTCCTGCTTTTTGCTGTTTTCCATTTGCTTGGTAAATTTTCCTCCATCCCTGTATTTTGAGCCTATGTGTGTCTTTGCATGTGAGATGGGTCTCTTGAATATAGCACATTGATAGATCGTGACTCTTTATACAGTTTGTCATTCTGTAGCTTTTAATTGGGGCATTTATCCCATTTATGTTTAAGGGTAAAATTGTTATGTGTGAATTTGATCCTATCATCATGATACTACCTGATTATTTTGCAAACTTGTTCATGTAGTTACTTCATAGTTTCAATGATCTGTGTACTTCATTGTGTCTTTGTAGTGGCTGGTACCAGTTTTTACTTTCCATATTTCGTGCTTCCTTCAGGAACTCTTGCAAGGAAGGCCTGGTGGTTATGTATTTCCTCAGCATTTGCTTGTCTGAAAAAGGTTTTATTTCTCCTTTGCTTATGAATCTTAGTTTGCCCAAATATGTAATTTTAGGTTGGGAATTCTTTAAGAATGTTGAATATTGTCCCCCAATGTCTTCTGGCTTATAGGGTTTCCACTGAGAATTCTGCTGTTTGTCTGATGGGCTTCCTTTTATAGGTGAACTGGCCGTTCTCTATGGCTGCCCTGAACATTTTTTCCTTTGATTCAACCTTGGAGAATTTGATGATTATGTGTCTTGGGATTGATCTTCTCATGGAGTATCTTATTGGGATTCTCTGGATTTCCTGAATTCAAATGTTGGCCTGTCTTGCTAGGTTGAGGAAGTCCTCCTGGATGATATCCTGAAGTGTGGTTTTCAACTTGGTTTTGTCCTTCATCTCTTTCAGATACCCCAACCAGTTTTAGGTTCAGTCTTTTTACATAATCCCATAATTCTTGGAGGTTTGTTAATTCCTTTTCATTCTTTTTCCTCTAATCTTCTCTGCCTGCCTTATTTCGGCAAGATAGTCTTCAAGCTCTGATATCCTTTTCTTCTGCTTGGTCTATTTGGCTATTCATACTTGCGTTTGTATTGTAAAGGTCTTGTGTTGGGTTTCTTAGCTACATCAGGTCATTTAAGTTCTTCTTTAAACTGGTTATTCTGGTTAAAAGCTCCTATAATTTTTAATCATGGTTCTTAGCTTCTTTTCAGTGGGTAAGAACATATTTCCTTAGCTCAGTGAAGTTCATTATTACTTGTCTTCTGAAGTCTACTGTTAATTCATCCATCTCAGCCACAGCCTAGTTCTGTGCCCATGCTGGAGACATATTGTGATCATTTGGAAGAGGCACTCCTTTTGAGTTTTCAGTGTTTTTATGTTGATTCTTTCTCATTTTCATGGGTTTATCTACCTTTGATCTTTGAGCCTGCTGACCTTTGGATGGGGATTTTGTGGGAGTCTTTTGTTGTTGTTGTTGTTGCTCTCTGTTTTTCTTTTAGCAGTCAGGCCCCTTTTCCATAGTGCTGCTGCACCTTGCTGGGGTTCCACTCCAGACCCTATTTGCCTGGGTCCCTCCCACACCTGGAGTTATCACCCAATGGAGGCTGCAGAACAGCAAAGATGGCAGCCTGCTCCTTCCTCTGAACTCTCTGTCCCAGAGGGTCACTGACCCGATGCCAGCCAGAATGCTCCTACATGAGGCATCTGCAGACCCCTGTTGGGAGGTCTCACTCAGTCCGGAGGAGCTGGATCAGGGACCCACTTAAATAAGCAGTCTGGCTGCCCTTTGGCAGAGTCATTGTGCTATACTGGGTATAATCTTTCTTCTCTGGGCTGCCCTGACTCTCCAGAGCCGGCAGGCAGAAAAGACTAAGACCGCTGATTCAGGATACTACACCTGCCCCTCCTCCTAGGGGCTCCTCTCAGGTAGATCATAGTTCTGTCCATAAACCCCTGGCTGGGGATGCTAAAAATCCTGCAGGGAGGCCCCACCCAGTGAGGAGGAATGGGTCAGGATCCCACTTAAAGAAGCAGTCTGGCCATGAACTGTCACAGCGGCTGTGCTGTGGGAAATTGCTCCCTGTTCAGACTGCCCTGTCTCACTGGCACTGATGTGAGGAGAAAATGGCCTACTAGAGCTGCAATGATCATAGCTGCCCGTTTCCTGCTAGAACTCAGTCTTTTTAGGCATTGTCCAGCCTGCTGCACTGGGCTGGTGGGGATTCCAAGCCACTGGGTTTTAGCTTGTGGGATTCCATGGGAATAGGGCCTGCTGGGCAAGGCCACTTCACTCCCTGGCTTCAGCCTCCTGCCCATGGAAGTGGATGGGTCTCCTGCCTCACTGGAGTTCCCGCAGTTGGAGTATGCAAAAATCCTGTGTCTCAGTGCTTGCCTGAGTGGCTGCCTACCTGAGCAGCTGCCGTGAGCACAGCTCTCTTCTTGGGACCCAAGGCCCTGGTGGCATGGCCCCATGAGGGGACCTCCTGATCCATGGGTTTCACAGGTCCATGGGAAAAGTGTGGTTTTCAGGGCCATGTAGCACAATCCCACATGGTCTCCCTTGGCTGAGACAGGGAGCTCTCTTTGCCCCATGCAGCTCCCAGGTGGTCCCTCACTCCACCCTGCTTTCCCTCACTCTCTTTATGTTGCACCAACAGCCTATCAGTCCCAGTGAGAGAACCTGGGTATCTCAATTGAAGATGCAGAACCACTTGCCATTTTCATTCTTCTTGATGGGAGCCACAGACTGGAGCTGTTTCTATTTGGCCATTTGGCTTGTTTCCCACAAAGACATTCTTTGGAAGTTTTCTTTTATTTGTATAGACCATGGAGTGGGAATGTGAATAAAATTAAAAGTCATTATTTTTTAAGTACAATTAATAATTGAATTACATTTCTATATTTTTAAATACACAGTGATTATAAGCCCTTTAACAGAGAGAAGTGTCCCAAAAGAGAAAGGATAGGTGCCAATATTTGAAACACCAGATGTCTCCCTGGGGAGCAAGTCTCCCCCTGAGCAGTGGGTCTTTGATTTTCTTGCCATTTGTATGATGTTTATTTCTTTTTTGTCCATTTGTGCAAAATATGTTTTAAGTCTAGAAGCTGTACAAGGCACAATGCCAGGCTCTAGGGATGCAGATAAATTTAGTGTAGATGATCAGAATTTCCAAAAGAAGATAATAGCAGATGTAGGCCTAGTCCTCAGTGTACACCCTGCCACAAAAATCTATTCTCAGCCTATCTTTTCCAATCCTTGAAGCAATTTTATACCAAAGATGTGACCTATTTTGAACTTGAGTGGTTGGATGCATCTATTGTTGTCCCACAAAATTCTGTGTGAAAAAAGCTTTCTGTTGATTACAGTTGAGAGAAACTCTTCCCAGACACCAGACAGGAGAAAATGTGACATAATCTCTCTGTTCCTCTGTTTCTCTGATCTCCATTACTAGGCAGAATGAATAGAAACCATTTTATTTTCTCTTTAATCTTCCAAATCTGGTGCTGGGGCTCATGATTTGTTATCAACAGAACTCATTCATTCTATCCTTAGGAAATATTAACTAGTGCCATCTGAGAAGGGCCTGATTCATGAAACTCCAGGAGTTTGCAAGAGGTAGAAGTACCATATTTTTCTTTTCCAGGCTAGCACTAAGGTCCCAGCTCTGGGGACCTGGTGCTCATAGAAGTATGGAGTAGCTCACCTCACTTTCTCCAAAGTAGGTGTGTGGAAGGAAACATTTTTATTATAATAGCCAACTCACTTCCACATAGACAGATGCTAAATAAAATGTTTTTTATACAAGACTACTGGGTTGTGAAGACTTTGGTAATGAGTAAACCTGTCAAAATAGCATTACCAGGGACAAGAGGATGAGATTCATGACTTTGATGATAGAACTTTCTGCTGTAAAAGTATTTGACCTCTAAATACAACTATTTCCTTATTTTTCTTTTTGTATACTACTTTTACTAAAGGTCATCATGCTTAGTTCCAAGAAGAATTGATGAATTTTCTCATTAAGGAACTAAAGTTCACAGACATCAAAGGAATTGTCCCGTTACCTAGTTACAAGGTGGTAGAGCATTAACTCTGCCCCTCATCTTTACATATTAGGATGGGTACTTTTTTCATGGGTACAAACTGTACGTATTATTGAATTTCAAATATAATACTGCTGATGGGCTGATATTGATTAGGAGACTTTCCAGCACGGCTCGTTTGAATTGGGGAGTGTGTCTAATCCAACTGGTTAGGAACTAAGGATGATCTGAGGAACATATGATAGAGACAAATTGATTTGATCATTCCAGAGAACAAACCCAGGACTTTTCCCTCAGTGACACTGTTTCTAAAATGAGGTATGATGGATTTTGCATGTGACCATGAAATAATCAGTCTTTACTCTTTGTTTTCTAAACCATTTACCTTATTAATGGCTGCATGTTTAAACATTTGATATTTACATTGCGTTGTTAATACTATCTTCCCACAGCCTGTTCCCCCCCCCCCCCCCGCCGATTCCATGTGCTTTAATCACTACTTTAAAAAAAACCTGTGTAACATAGGCTCCTGGCTAATGTTCTTGCCATGGATTTTAGGCTGTCTCCAAACCCATCTGCCAAACAGGACAAAACACAGCCAATGTGACTGTCATTTTTCCCACCAATGCTATTTGTTATCTGCTGAGGCATGTTTCATGATTAGCCAGCCACTGGATTGGATTGACATGTTGTAGTCTAATTGAACTGACATTGGAAATCTTTTTAAATCTCTTATATCTAAGATACTGTGCTTAGTTTTTATGAGGCAACAGAGGAAAAGAGGGATGGATACCTTAAAGTCTAGTAGGAAATAATGATATATAAATAACTAATGAAAACATAGGGCCAGGAAAAATACGTTATACTATAGGTAAATATTGCTATGGGAGAAAAAGTGAAAAACTAATTAATTTTGGCAGACCTGAGAAATGTTTCTTAGAGGTGTAACATTTGAGCTCAGCTCTCAGGGATGAGTTAGATTTTCTTCTGTATACCAATGAGTGAGGAGAAGAATTCTAGGCTGAGGGAATATTGAGATCAGATAGGGTTGCAGGAGTATGAAAGTATAGGAAACCACTAGTAGTGAAAGAATTTGAAATAGTACTAGAGAATTGGAATAAATGTGAGGTGTGTTAGGGCATAAAATCAGGCAGAAGTAGTAGTAGTCTTGAGATGTGTAGGTTTGCCAGATTTAACAAATAAAAAGAGAATGATCAGTTAAATTTGAACTTCAGCTAAAAAAGTGTTTTCTTAGTGTCAGTGTGTCACAAATGTTGGATGAAGGCATATATATACATATATACATATATATGTGTGTATATATATATATGTGTGTGTATATATATATATATGTGTGTATATATATATATGTGTGTGTATATATATACTACAAATTACTGATTTTCTAAAAGTCAGATTTCTCAAAATGTCCAACAGCAAGAATGAAAGAGCCTGATAACTCGGGGAGAAAATATGGCTGTTTGATATAAAATTCTAGAGGAAAATTCAAAGCCTGACAATCTTTGTATTGCATTTGCATGCCACAAGAGAACATTTGCTGCAAAAGAGGCACTAAATAATTAAGTGGACAAAATGACTTGGCCAGCTCACATCAGCAGCAGCGTCTGTCCTGGTCACTTCAGTACCCCAGAGCTTGTGCAGTGGATTATGAATGTGGTTACTATGTTGGCAGAGTCAGAAGCAATGTATAAACCCAACAACAGGTGCTCCATCTTATAAGGATTAGGTAGACTAAGTAAATCCAAGAATCTGCAGGTGGAAGTGAATGTGGCTCTGTATGTGGTCACTACCAGTAACTTACCTAGGCGATTTCCATTTCTTGTCCCCACTACTTTAGGCTCTGTGGGTCTAGAGCAGGGGTCAGCAAACCATGGCTGATGGCCAAATCTTTCCCATAGCCCTTTTTTCCCCCATGACTCCATGAGCTAAGAATGTTTTTTTTCCTATTTTTAAAAAGTTGTTAAAAAATACATGATAGGGACTAAGTGGCTTTGAAAATCTAAAATGTTTATTTGCTGGCCCTTTATAGAAGAAGTTTGCTGATCCCTGGTCTAGGTGTTGGGGGGTCCCAGGGAGGAATGATGCTTCTTCTAGGGGGTACAGTAAGAATTCCATTGCACTTAAAGCTGCAACTGCCATCTGGTTATTTTGGATACCTTGTGCTTGTAGGTCAGCAGGCAAAGAATGGGGTTATGGGCAAAAGTGGTTGACCCTATTATGAGGAGATAGAGTTGCTGCTATACATTTTTGGGAATTGGTTGTTGTATTGAGGGGTCTTTTATTAGTCTCATACAAAGTTTTAACTCAAATGTGCAGGTACAGCAACCATGTTCTGATGAGAGCATGGTAACTAGAACCCAGATACCTTACAGATGAGGATCACCCTGCCAGGCAAACCACCAGTCCAGTAGAAGTGCTAGATGAGCCAGAGGGGGGAGTCTAGAACAGGTGATGGGGTTGGGACATGATTATCCCAGCCATGGGATCAATTGTACCAGGTAAAATTCTCCTCTGGTAAACTTTTTCCAAATTTACAACTAACCAGAATCCTGGACAAATACTGTCTGGATAGGGTGAAGTTCATGTAAGAAGCAAGTGAGTGGTACAAGGAATGGAATTTGGTAGTAGCTCTTGGTGCTGCCCCCAGATTTCATTTGCCAGGCCAACCCAATGGTTGCTGTTAATGGCTCACGATTGCCCACTTCTTCTGAGATTGTCCTTGCCTGGACAGAAGCTATCTCATCTGCCTCACATGGAAGGTTAGCTCCCTTTGTCCCAGGAGCAGCCTATTGGCAATGACTAATGGCACAAAGGAAAAAAAAGACCATTCCTCTTGCTTAAAAGTGACACCAGCTCTGAAGCTTTCTTCATCCCCTAGATTGCCTGTGGCATTAGGACTGAAGCTGCCTTCCACTGAGCTCACATTCATGCTTTGTTTTCCCTTGATAGTAGTATTCCATGATACTTCCTTCTTATCTTTCTTGAGGACTCCCTCAATAAATCAATTTTACATAAATTATCATTTTAGGTTTTGCCTCTAGGATACTTGACCTAATGCAAAGACCTGTACGATCTGGCCACTGCATACGTTGCTAAACTCATTTCCTACTACTTTTCCTCTTAAAATTTTGATTCCAGCCGCACTGGTCTGCTTGCTGTTTCTTCACATGCTAAGCACCTGCCATTCTCAGGGCCATTATTTTTCTCCCAACATGAACCCTATTCTCTTGATAGCCATTGGGTTTCACTCCCTCACTTCATGCATATTTTTAATCAAATGCCACCTGTTGAGAAAAGTCTTTTCTGGATACTATTCTATCTAACGTAGGACATTCTGTCTTTCCATCTACTTGTCCTTCTCTACTATTTTTCCATATATCATATTACATGACATGCTACTATATATTTCTTTCTTTGTGTATTGTCTACCTCCCTGACTAGAATACAAACACCAAAATGATAGGGAATTTTCTATTCCATTTGCTGTAATATCCTTGCTGCTTATAAGAATGTCAGAAAAATAGTAGGTGTTCTGTAAAGGATGTTACTGTATGACAGTCACTCCACTCAATAAGTTCTGAATCTTGAATTCAACCCCAAATTTATCTGGCTCCAAAGATCTTGCTTTTGGTTTTGAACCCTGTCACTGCATGTTTGTTCTTCTCAGCTGCTCCGTTTACCAAATCATTTATGCCAATTCACTTGATATCAGAATTCCAGTGAGGCTAAAATCCTTGAAATTCCCATATATTAGTATATATATATATATATATATATATATATATATATATATATATATATATATACAGAGAGAGAGAGAGAGCCATCTG
Organism: Homo sapiens; assembly: GCF_000001405.40. Classification (NCBI taxonomy): domain Eukaryota; kingdom Metazoa; phylum Chordata; class Mammalia; order Primates; family Hominidae; genus Homo; species Homo sapiens. The sequence goes on along the minus strand of NC_000011.10, from coordinate 29,821,605 downwards.
CTATAACAAATTGAATCCAAAATTTCAATGGTTTAACATAATAAAAGTTTATTTTTTGCTCACATAAAGCCCAGTGAGTAGAGTGTGAGGAAAATAGGTTGGTGTTTTGTTCTACGTAGCCATTCGGAGTCCTAGGTTGATGGCGACATGCCATCCTTAATACAGAACTTCTAATGTTGCCCTGAGGGTCCATGAGCAGCAAAAATAGAAGATCACAAGGTATTAAAAAAACACACACACACACTCCCTCTCTCTTTCTCTCTCTCTCTGTGTATATATATATATATATATATATGTATATATATATATATATGTATATATATATATATATATATATGTATATATATATATATACACATTTTTTTATCAGCTAGGTCTAGAAGTAGTGTACTTCACTTCCACTAGCATTAAATTAGCTAGTAGTCATATTGCCCCAAATGAATGCAAAACAAGTTAGGAAATATAGCACTTTGTCTTGTAGCGCTTTCATGGCAATGACTATATACAGTGTAAGGGAGCACAAGTTTTTGATGGACAGCTAATCATATCTACTACAAGCTGTCTCCACTGCCAGTGGTTATTCACGTGCATCTTTCCTTCCATAACAGAACACACCATCCCTTCCCATGGGAGAAAAATCCAATGCTGCATTCAGTTACTGCATCCAGATCACCCTGGAAACAGAATCTCCCATTATTTGACTAGCCTTGATCCAGGAAATTGAAGTGGTGCAGGAGAACTTTAAACTCAGAGTTTTACAGAGAAGCAAAAAAATATTCTTGTCCACAATCTTCGGTCTACTTGGGATGAATTTCTCTTTTGTAGTCATTATCTCCTTAGGCTTGAGACTTTCACATTGCCCAGCAATTTTTTTTTTTTTTATCACATAAACAGACGGTACTAAAGTTCTAACCAGTACTAAGCAAGGTATTCAGCGATTACTTTCTCTCTCCCAATCGACACTATGTAATTGTGATTATAACGTTTGTTAGTCTTTGCTTAAAGTTTTTTTAGAAAAATTTCTTGCTTTCCCATTTGCTATGTCACTACACACTAATTAGGGAGAAATATGTCTCTTGTGGTTCAAATAAGATAAAGGAAAGTCATTATTTTGTTGGAACACATCACCGGCAATTACTAGAGGAAGTGGCTACAGGTTGTATGTTAGAGCCCTCAAAAACACTCTCCCATTGCCAAGTGAGTTAACACCAGATCTAGCACTGAAGAAACCATTGAATAATTCAATTCTCTTTTCCATGCTGAGAGCAGTGCAGGTAATCATTCTCACTTAACCTTGTACTTGATAATGAACAAAATGAGTGTGAAATCCTGTGGTTGATATCTTTGTTGTATCTTGAAAATAAATTTTGTATCATTTTCATCAAAAGATTAAAAGTATGATCTGAACTTTGGAAGGAACTGAGAGAAACTTTATATATGTGCACTGATTTGGCCATTGTAGTAGATTATACATCAGTGATAATTAATGGCACCTATCAATATTTATAACCTTGTATATTTCCCTTCTAAATGGACTCTGGGCTTGGTTCTATGACTGGCTTTGGTCAATAGGACACCAACAAACATGAAACAAACAGCAACCAGTTAAGTTTTTGAACATGAAGGCTTACCCTTTGGAATGTTGTGACCACCATGTTTGAAGCCTAGGCTTTTCTGCTGAAGAGAACATGTAATGGTTTACCAAGGTTCTTTGGCTGACAGCCCCAGCCCCAACTCAGATCCAGTTAGGCTGCCAGATTATAGCTTCATGAGGGACTTTAGGAGAAACTAGCCAAAAAACAAACAAACAACCTGACAGCCTAACCTAGCCCAAATTGCAGAATCTCAAGCAAATACTTTAGGTTATACTTTAAACCTCTGAGTTTTGGGACTTTGTTACATAGCAATAGATAACTGATACAACTATGGCATATTTATTTGGACAAGATATATTCCAAATATAAAAATTCTCAGCATCTTTTTTGCAACAATCTGAACCTTACCCTCTGCCATTTGTCGTTAACTTTTCCCCACACTTGAATTACTTCAGAAACCAAATGATTTGTTGCAGAGACTTCTGGCTTCCAGCTAGGTCCTTTCACCACTCTCTTACCTTAGTTTCCTGAGGGATCCCATCTTTCCTATCTGTCTATTTTCATTCTACTTTTATTATCTGCCCTTAATCCTGTGGTATTTCTCAGGTTTCTTTCAGCTCTATTGACCATTCAGAGTTAGAAAATGTGGTTGAGTCAGGGTAGTAACTGAATAAACTATTCCAGTTGAGTCTTAAAATGGGGAGGCTGAGATATATTTATATTCTTGTTGTCCTCAACCAGGTTGAATATTTAGCCTATAACACATCTGGCAATTTTCCTACATTTTTTATCTCTGTGTTATTGTTTCTTGAAGCCCCTCCAGTTAAACTTTAGTCTTATGGGCATGGTGTTCTGTGTGTTGAAACGGAAATAGAATGAGCTCTCCAGCCACGAGGCACAATTTCAAGCTATGGTTCTTTGGAGTTCTAATTTTATAACTACAAGGCATTTTACTAACATACCTGAGCCTTAGATTTTCAACTTATATAATAATATTTTTTCCTTATAAATTTGTTGATAGGATGTAACAATGAAAATACAAAATTCCTTGAGCAATTCCAGTAAGACAAGGTAGGGACTCAATGAATGATAATTATCATCAGGATTAAATATAGAAATTTAAAAGAAGTTGACAGTTGATTCTCCCCCAAGCCTGTTCTTCCAGCTGGGTCTGAATCTCATCGATGTATTCTGATATATTTTGAAAATTTAATGTGATTTATTTTACTAGTATTTTATGGAAATTGAATTGGAGGACTAATGATAATAGCCAGTAATTATTAAGCACTTAGTACATGACAGGCACCATTCTAAACATTTTACATGTATTTGTCAAATATTCGCAAGAACACTATTAGAGAACATGATATTTTTATTTCATTTTACAGTAGAGGAAACTAGATATAAAATTATTCCTAGATGCAAGCTTGCCAAAGGCAGTCTTAGCTGACAGGAAAACAGAGCCAGAATTTACCCAAGGGAATCTAGTTTGAAACCTGTAGTTGTAAACACTTCAGCTTTGCACTCCTGCCTTTCCAAAATTCATTTAGATGAGTGATTAGTGAATTATTTTTGCCACAAACACCAAATTTCTTACTGAAGTCGGTTTATTTTTTTTGTCCTGAACACAGACTTCCATTATCAGTTAGGTTGTTTTTATTCTGATTTCAGTTCAATGGAAAATTACCTGTTCCTAAATATCCATAATAAATCTTACCCTTTTTTAAAGTGGAATCCATCCCTGCCTTCTCCTCTCTCCCAATTCCAGAAGGAAGTACCTTCAGTAAGAGAAAGACTCTTTCTACTTGACATGGACATGGATTTAAATTGTAGAATTTAGGAGGCAGAGCAAGATGGCAGAAGAGACGGCTCCACTGATCATCCTCTGCTCCGCCACTAGGCAAGGACCCCAAGTTAACAACTATCTATATAGGAAAAAGAAAAAACTTTCATAAGAATTAAAAATCAGGTGGACACTCATAGTACCTGGTTTTAACTTCATATCACCGAAAGAGGCACTGAAGAGAAACAGTCCCGAATCTCCAGCCACCCTCCAACCGCCCCCACCCCCACCTGGGAGAACTCAGCAATTGTGAGGCATTGAACTCTGCTGCTCTGTTAGAGCAGAAAGGAAAAGTAGACCAAATTCAGTTGATGCCTACCCACAGAGGGAGCATTTAAACCAGTCCTAGCCAGAGGAAAATCACTGATGCCAGCAGGAAACCATCAATGCCAGCAGTCTGAACTTGAATGCCTGAGTACCTGCAACCTCGCTACCAAGGGCCAAAGGGCTCTTGGTTTCTAGGCAAACTTGAAAGGCAGTCTAGGCCATAAGGACTGCAACTCTTAGGCAAGATCCTGGGCAGAACTAGGTCCGAGTACAGTGGACTGGGGAGGCATATGACATACTGAGACACTGGCTGGGGCAGCCAAGCAAGTACTAGCATCATCCTTCCACTAAACCAAGGCTGCACAGCTTGTTGCTCCAAAAGAGAACACTTCCTTCCACTTGAGGAGAGGAGAAGGAAGAATGAGGAGGACTTTTTGTCTTACATCTTGAATACCAGCTCAGCCATAGCAGGATGTGGCACCAGTCAGTCATTAGGCCCCGTTCCAGGTCCTAGCTCCCAAACCACATTTCTCGACACACCATGGACCAGAAGGGAACCTGCTTTCTTCTCCTACGGGTCCTGCCAGCATTCATCATCTGCTAACTGAAGAGCCCTTGAGCCCTGAATTACCAGCAGCAATACCCAGGTACTACATCGAGGGCTTTGGTGAGCCCCGAAGACTTGTTGGCTTCAGGTTAGATTCAGCCACATTACCAGCTGTGGTGGCTATGGGGCAAAACTCCTCCTGCTTAAGAAAAGCAGAGGGAAAAGTAAACGGGACTTTGTCTTAGGTTCCAATACTGCCACAGCAGGATAGAGCACCAAGCAAGTTCTTTTGGTCCCCAATTCCAGGACTCAACTCCTGGATATCATTTCTAGACCTGCCCTGAGCCAGAGGGGAGTCCACAGTCCTGAAGGGTGAGTTCCAGGCTAGGCAAGCATTCACCACAAACTGACTTAAGAGACCTTAGGCCTTAAGTGAACATGGTAGTCTGGCAGTACTCCTTGTGGCCGGGTATGGCGGTGGCTATGGGGTGAGTTTCCTCTGCCATTGGAAAGGGGAAGAAAGAGTGAGAAAGACTGTCTTGTGGTTTGACTGCCAGCTCAGCTGCAATACAATACCAGGTAAACTTCTAAGGTGTTTTACTCTAGTCTCTGATTCCTGGATGGCACCTCTAGACCCACCCAAGGGCTGGGGGACATCGCTGCCCTGAAGGAAAGAACACAGACCTGGGTGGCTTTGCCACCTGCTAATTTTAGAGCCCGAGGGCCTTGAACAAACATAGGCAGTAGCCAGAGAATGGTTACATCAGTCTTTGGGTGAGACCCAGCATTGTTCTGGCTTTAGGTCTGACCTAGTGCAATCAGAGTCATAGTGGACACAGGGGTGATTGTGTCACTCCACACACAGCTTTAGGTGGCTCAGAACAGAGGAGAGAGACTGCATGTTTGGGAGAAAGTAAGGGAAGATAACAAGAGTTTCTGCCTGGTAAGCTAGAGAATTTTCTGGTATCTTGTCCAAGACCATCAAGACAGTATCTCTATGAGTCTGCAAGAACAACGATGTTACTGAGCTTGGGGTGCAGAAACAGTTTAGATCACAATACCTAAGTTTTTTCAAATATCTTGAACACCTTCCCAAGAAGGGCAGCTACAAATAAGCCCAGATAATGAAGACTATAATAAATACCTAACTCTTCGATGCCCGGACACCAAAGAATATCTACTAGCATCAACACCATACAGGAAAACATGGACTCAACAAATAAGTAAGGCACCAGGGACCAATCCTGGATAAACAGACACATGACCTTACAGGCAGATAACTCAAAATAGCTGTGTTGAGGAAATTCAAGATAACATGGAGAAGGGATTCAGAATTCTATCAGATAAATTTAACAAAGAGATTGAAATAATTTAAAAGAATCAAGCGGACATTCTGGAGCTGAAAAAATGCAATTGGCATACTGAAGAATCCTTAGAGTTCTTTGATAGCAGAATGGATCAAGCAGAAGAAATAGCTCAAAGATAGGCTATTTGAAAATACACAGTCAGAACAGACAAAATAAAACAACAACAAAGCACACCTACAGGATCTAGAAAATAGCTTCAAAAGGGCAAATCTAAGAGTTATTGGCCTTAAAGAAGAGGTAGAGAAACAGATAGGGATGGAAAGATTATTCAACGGAATAATAACAAAGAACTTCCAAAACGTAGAGAAAGATATTAATATTCAAGTACAAGAAGCTTATAGAACACTAAACATGTTTAACCCAGAGGAGACTACCTAAAGGCATTTAACGATCAAACTCCCAAAGGTCAACAATAAAGAAAGAATTCTAAAAGCAGCAAGAGAAAAGAAATAACATACATTGGAGCTTGAATGTGTCTGACAGCAGACTTTTCAGTGGAAACCTTACAGGCCAGGAGTGAGTGACATAACATATTTAAAATACTGAAGGAAAAAACTTTTACCCCAGAATAGTATTTTAGGTAAAAATATCCTTCAAACATGAAGGAGAAATAAAGATTTTCCTAGACAAACAAAAGCTGAGGGGTTTCATCAACACCAGGTTTGTCCTACAAGAAATGCTAAAGGAAGTACTTGAATCAGAAAGAAAAAGACATTAATTATCATCTGAAGGTACAAAACTTACTGGTGTGATAGTAAGTACACCAAAAAATACAGAATATTATAACACTGTAACTGTGGTGAGTAAACTACTCTTATCCAAAGCAGAAAGACTAAATGATGAACCAATCAAAAATAATAACTATGAAAACTTTTCAAGACCTAGTATAGTAAGATATAAATAAAAAGATGAAAAAATTAAAAACCAGGAGGACAAAGTTCAGGTGAGTTCTTATTAGTTTTCTTTTTGTTTGTTTGCATATGTGAATAGTATTAAGTTGTTATCAGGTTAAAATAATGGGTTATAAGATAGTATTTGCAAACCTCATAATAATCTCAAACCAAAACCATACTATGGATACACAGAAATAAAAAGCAAGAAACTAAATCATGTCACCTGAGAAAATCATCTTCACCAGAGGAAGACAGGAATGAAAGAATATAGAAATAGAAGACTACAAAACAACTGGAAAACAAATAATAAAATGGCAGGAGTAAGTCCTTATTTATCAGTAATAACATTGAATGTAAATGGACTCCAATCAAAAGACCTAGACTGTCAAAATGGATGAAAAAATAAGACCCATTGATCTGTTGCTTACAAGAAACACACTTTACCTATAAAGACACACATAGACTAAAAAAAGGACAAAGATATTTCATGCTAATGGAAACTAAAAAAGAGCAGGGGTCACTATACTTATATCAGACAAAATAGATTTCAAGATGAAAACTATAAGAGGCAAAGGAGGTCACTATGTAATGATAAAGGGGTCAATTCAGCAAGAGGGTATAACCATTTTAAATATATATGCACCCAACACTGGAGCACACAGATATATAAAGGAAATATTATTAGAGCTAAAGGGAGAGATAAGCCCCAATACAGTAATAGCTGGAAATTTCACCCCACTTTCAGCATTGGACAGATCTTCCAGACAGAAAATCAGCAAAGAAACATCAGACTTAATATGCACTATAGACCAAATGGATATAATAGATAACAGAACATTTCATCGAAGAGCTGCAGAATACACACTTTTTTTCCTGAGCAAATGGTTCATGCTCAAGGATACATCATAGGTTACAAAATAAATCTTAAAACATTAAGAAAAATTGAAATAATATCAAGTATCCTCTCTGACTACATTGGAATACAACTAGAAATTAGTAACATGAGGAATTTTGGAAACTATACAAGAACATGGAAATTAAACAATATGCTCCTGAATGACCCATGGGTCAATGAAGAAATCAAAAAATTTGTTGAAACAAATGATAATGGAAACACAACATACAAAAACCTATGGAATACAGCAAAAGCAGTAGTAAGAGAGAAGCTTATAAATGCCTACATCAAAAAACAGGAAAAACATAAAATAATCTAATGACGCATCTTAACTAGAAAAGCAAGAGCAAATCAAACCCAAAATTAGTAAAAGAAATAATAAAGATCAGAGCAGAAATAAATGAAACTGAAATAAAAAAAAGATCCAATGAAACAAGAAGGTGGGTTTTTTTTTGAATGGTTAAACAAAATTGACAAACCATTAGCTAGACTACTTACAAAAAAAGATTCAAATAAAATCAGAAATGAAAAAGGAGACATTGCAAATAATACTGCAGAAATTCAACAGATCATTAGAGGCAGCTATGAGCAACTATATGCCAATAAATTGGAAAATTGGAGAGAAATTGACAAATTCCTAGCAACATACAACCTACCAAGATTGAACCAGGAAGAAATCCAAAACCTGAACAGACCAATAACAAGCAATGAGACTGAAGTCATAATAAAAAGTCTGTTGGAAAAGAAAAGCACAGGACCCGATGACTTCCATGCTGAATTCTACCAAACATTTAAAGAAGAAATAATACAAATCCTACTCAAACTATTATGAAAATAGAGGAGGAGGGAATACTTCCAAAATCATTCTATGAGGCCAGTGTTACCCTGACACCAAAACCAGAAAAAATACATTAAAAAAAGAAAACTATAGGCCAATATCTCTGACTATTGATGCAAAAATCCTCAACAAAATACTAGCAAACTGAAGTCAACAATATATTAGATCATTTATCATGACCAAGTTGTATTTATCCCTTGGATGCAAAGATGGTTCAACATATGCAAATCAATCAATGTGATATATCATGTCAACAGAATGAAGAATAAAAGCCATATGATTATTTCAATTGATGCGGGAAAAGCATTTGAAAAATTCAATATCCCTTCATGATAAAAATCTTTAAAAACTGGTGATAGAAGAAACATACCTCAACATAATAAAAACTATATATAACAGACCCCAGCTAGTATACTGAATGGGGAAAAAAATGAAAGCTTTTCTTCTAAGATCTGGAACATGACAAGGATGCTCACTGTTACCACTGTTATTCAATATAGAACTGAAAGTCCTAGCTAGAACAATCAGACAAAAGAAAGATATAAAGGACATCCAATTTAGAAGGGAAGAAGTCCAGTTATCCTGTTGGCAGATGAGATGAGATGATCTTACATTTGGAAAAACTTAACACTCCACAAGGAAACTATTAGAACTGATAAATTCAGTAAAGTCATGGTATACAAAATTGGTATGCAAAAATCAGTAGAGTTTCTATATGCCAATAGTGAGCAATCTAAAAAATAAAAAAGTAATTCCACTTGTAATAGCCTCAAATAAAATTAAATACCTAGGAATTAACCAAAGAAGCGAAAGATCTCTATTTAAAAAAAAAAATCTATAAAACACTGAAGAAAGAAATTGGCAGACACCAAAAAAAATGAAGATATTTCATGTCCACAGATTGAAAGAATCAATATTATTAAAATATCCATACTACCCAAAGCAATCTACAGATTCAATGCAATTCCTATCAAAATATCAATGACATTCACCACAAAAATAGAAAAAACAATCCTAAAATTTACATGGAACCACAAAAGACTCAGAATAGCCAGAGCTATACTAAGCTAAAAGAACAAAATCGGAGAAATCACATTACCTGACTTAAAATTATACTAAAAATTATAGTACCGAAACAGCATGATACTGGCATTAAAACAGACACACAGACCAAAGGAACAGAATAGAGAACCCAGAAACAAATTCACACACCTACAGTGAATTCATTTTTGACAACAGTGCCAAAAACGTACACTAGGGAAAAGAAAGTCTCTTCAATAAATGGTGCCGAAGAATGAAACTAGACCCCTATCTCTCACTATATACAAAACTCAAATCAAAATGAATTAAAGACTTAAACCTAATATTTCAAACCTAAGACCTGAAACTACTTCAAGAAAATGTGGGGGACAATCTCCAGGACATTGACATTTGGTGTTGATCTGAATACACCAAAAATGTCTTGAGTAATAACCCACAAGCATAGGCAACCAAAGCAAAAATGGAGAAATGGGATCACATCAAGTTAAAAAGCTTCTACACAGCATAGGATACAATCAACAAAGTGAAGAGACAACCCACAGATTGGGAAAAAAATTTTTGTAAATTACCCATCTGACTAAAGATTAATAACCAGAATATATAAGAAGTTCAAACAACCCTATATAGGAGAACATTTGATAATCCAATCAAAAGATGGGCAAATGATTTGAATAGATATTTCTCAAAAGAAGACATACAAATGGCAAACAGGCACATGAAAAGGTGCTCAGCATCACTGATCATCAGAGAAATGCAAGTCAAAACTGCAATGAGCTACCATCTCATCCCAGTTAAAACGGCTTATTTCCAAAGGCAGGTAATGACAAATGTTGGCGAGGATGTAGAGAAAAAGGAATTCTTGTACGTTGTTTGTGGGAATGTAAATTAGTACAACCACTATTGAGAACAGTTTGGAGATTCCTCAAAAAAAAAAAAAAACTAAACTAAAAATTGAGCTACCATATGATTCAGCAACCTTACATGTGGGTATATACCCCAGAAAAGGAAATCAGTATATTGAAGATCTACCTGCACTCCTATGTTTGTTATAGCACTGTTCCCAATAGCCAAGATTTGAAATAGCCAACTAAGTGTCCATCAACAGATGAATGAATAAAGAAAACTTGGTACATATACATAGTGGAGTACTATTCAGCCATAAAAAAAGAGATTCAGTCATTTGCAATAACATGGATGGAACTAAATATCATTGTATTGGGTGAAATAAGCCAGGCACAGAAACACAAACATTGCGTATTCTCACTTAATTTGTGGGATCTAAACATTGAAACAGGTGAACTCATGGACATGGAGAATAGAAGGATGGTTACTAAGAGACTAGGAAGAGTAGTGGGGAAATAAAGGAGTGGTGGGGTTGGCTAATGGGTGTAAAAATGTAGTTAGACTGAGTAAGACCTACTATTTGATAGCATAGTAGGGTGACTATAGTCAATAATAACTAACTACATTTTAAAATAGCTTAGAGTGTAATTAGATTGTTTGCAACTCAATGGACCTATGTTTGACGGGTTGGATACCCCATTCCTCATGATGTGCTTATTTCACATTGCATGTCTTTATCAAAACATCTAACGTATCCCATAAATATATACACCTACTAGGTATCCACCAAAATTTTCTTAAAAATTTAAATTTTAGAATTGAGAATATGCATCATCCTCTAACCTTCTCCTTAAATATGCAAAGAAACTGAGGCCAAGAATGATTTTCTTACTGCCATAATTTCAGTCACTAATTCTTTCATTTAACAAGGACCTAGGCCCCCTAAAACCAGTTTATATTCACCACTGAAACAAATTGTTTCCCAGGGAGCTACAGGGAATCTGTTTATATCCCAGCAGGTGAGTGCAGCAGAGGCCTCACAGTCCACACTGAGAGTGCAGTCGGGTTGCCATGACTTTTAAACTACTGGTGTGACATTTTAAATAAAGTGACTCTTGCAGCCTTCCCCAAGCTTTTTTGGTTTTCCTCTTCTAAGAAGTTTTAAGGCCCTTGAGTCACATCTTATTTCTAATGAAACCTTTTCCTTGAAATGCTAGTTTTTTTTTCAAAGGCCATGTCAATTCGTCTTACTCCTAGGGCAAAGGAAACTCAATAAGAGCTATACAGTTTATGCTATTTTAGTTAAGCCATACTGCACTTGAAATTGATTCTCAGAAGAAGGGGGAAGTAGGTATTTGGAACTATGAGCTTTATAAAAAAATTCATTTTAAACAATTCACCTAAGGTTGGGTCATTTCAGAACTCCTGGGATCCAATTTCCTATCATTATTACAGCTATTTGAAATTTTTAATGGAGGAGTTTCTAACCAATACTGCAATGTATTGGTGGGAGCAATAATGCTAATGACACAATGTTTTCTTTTTGGTCATACAAAACTTTTGTTTTCCTATAGTTTTAAATTTTAAAGTTGTTTTTAAAGATCCATTGTTCCTTGACTTGCTTATTATAACAGAGGTGTTATGTGGATTATGGTGATGGTAATTTAATGTTATTGAGACATTCATATTGTGTGAGAGCTTATTATATGCTGGGAATTGTGTTAGTTATTTGAGAATCAAAGATGAAAATATGGAAAAGGGTTAGATAGAATAATGGGAATTAAAAGTTCTGGAGCATCTACTATGGGCCAAATATTGTTTTGGACACTCTATACACACAATTTCATTTAAGTTTTAACACTATGAAATATGTGTCATTTTAATTTTTCAGATATAGAATTGAGGCTCTTATTAAATATGGTAGGGAATAAATATGTTTAATAATTTATGTGTATAAATTATAAAATGTAAACCAATGATCTAGGAATTCAGAATAAAACAAATTGTTCTCTCTGGAGTATTGCTCTAGGTAATGTTTCAGCTGGGCTTTGGGAGTTGCATGCGAAAGAAGTGGGAGTAGAGAGCTTCCTGATTGAAGGAATGGAATGCAAATGTTCTTCGAGAGGTGAAAGTGCACGAAGCAGGAAATAATTAGGCATACCTAGCATACAGGATATGTTGTGACATGAATAGCAGGCAGATTGGGTATAGCAGATGCTATTAATATACCAGTCCATATCCTGAGTTCATCTCTGAGTTCACCTGAAGCTGTTGTACACAATTTCTCAACTGAAGCACCTGAGTCTGCTGCTCTGCTGGGAGACTTTCTCTGGCACCAGGACAGTTTGCTCAAGTGCAGAAAGGTGCTGCTAGGAAAAATGGGAGAGTTAACCCCAGGAGCAACTCTCAACCAGTGGGAGATGAGAATCAGTGGTTAATGTTTTTGCTCCTTGGTTCATTGGTGGGGAAATTCTAAAGCACAGTCTCCACAGTTGTACAAAAATGAACCAGCAAAACTGAACTCCAGCTGTCTGGCTTTTTAATGTACATTTTATTGTCTTTTCTTACTTTCCTAGCCTTCTTTCTCCCATCTCCTAGTATCATCTCCCAAATAAATTACATTCACCCAAGTCATTGTTTCAGGGTCTGCTTTGTAAGTGAGTGGGGGAGTTCAGACTAAGGGCAGGAGAAGCGGAAAGCAGAGGAAGATATAAAGTAGATGTGTGGCCTTGTATGCTAAGATACATGGATTTTAACTGAGAGGAGATGGGACATCACTAAAGTCTAAAAAATGTCAGATTTGTAATTTGGAAAAGGTGCTCTGGCTGCTGGGTAGATGATAAACTGTAAGGGTTGACTCAAGAAACTAGCTGAGTGTTGCAATAGCCTAGAGGGTCTCAGTTTGGGCCATTGGTATAACAATAGTGACAGATTGAGACTTTTAAGATAGTATATAAAAGCTAGTTAGTACATATATTAGGGTATCTGCAGAAAATAAATACTCAAAATGGGTTAAAGAGGATGTAATTGAAGACCTATTAGCAAAAATTTGTGCAGAATAAAGTGAAACCATGAGAGATAGTACCCAAGACAGGTAAAAGCAGAGAAGCTTATATCACCATAACTCTAAAAGAACATAGGGGAGTGGTTTCCAGAACCTAAAGGAGAGCATCATAGAGACAGGACCCCTTGATAGGAACAATCAGTCCCCTTAGCCTTCAACTAAAAGATGGAGCCAGCACAAAGATGCCTTCTGGGGAGGAAGCAGGAATCCAGATTTCTCTCCATTCCTTTTAGTATTCTGATGGAGCTCTCCACTGGCCAAACCAATTAGAAACCCAAGGGAAAAGTTACATGTTGAAATAGGCCACACAGATTAGCCACCTAGGTTAGAGGGTAAGGAGGTCAAGGGCAAAGAGACCCAGGGATCTGGAGGGCAAATGAAAGACAGTGTGTACTGTCCATTAGCAGAATATAGGGACTGGAGAGCAGAACAGAAATGGCAAAAATTAGAAAAGAAGGAAAGATACTGGATTCCTTGGAAAGGCATTCTTCCTGTGAGCCATAAAGATACCTATGTAGGTGAAAGGTGAATAAATATGCTTCAGTGGGACAGCAGAACATGGGCACTGGAAGGAAGGAAGGAAGGAAGCTGACAAGAGTATGGGGACATGTAAGGTGAGAGATGGGACCAACGTCTTAACTTGGTCCAGGGATGGCTGTGTCTAGGGCACCTGAAACTGGCACCTTTGAATAAAACGTATCTCTCTAAAAGTTATTTTTTTCTCTGAGAAATAATACTCTCCACTTTCCATATCATTACTTCTCAGTCCTGGAATGCATGTGAACATATACACACATTACACACACTTCTGTAATATTGGAAAAATGATTGGTTTTGATACTATTTTAGTTAAACATATGGTGATAGGTGCTATAGACATTCAGTATTTCTCTTCTTCAAGGATCCTTGCTGGCCAGAGGACATTTAGTTATCTGAGATCTTTTCATGCAGTCGAAATCAATAGTTCAATTGTGTGTAAGTGGAAACAGGAATAAAGTCATGCTGATGGGATTTCTGATAAATCAATCAACTAGTCGAAATTCCTCTCATGATAGGCAAACCTATTTCATCAGAAGCAGGTCTACCTCACCTTGCTAGATAGGTAATGTGTTTGTGAGAAAAGCCTTGGTCTGGAGTCAGAGTCTCAGGGTTCGAATCCTACCTTTACCACTTACATATGTGAGGTTGAGCTAATTTACAGTCACCTTCCGTATTTTATCTATAGCATGAGAAAATGAGCCCTGCTTTTTGTAATAGTTAGAATAAGCCCATGTACGCAAAACACAATTGCTTACTTTATATTTCTGTATAAAGTAAAATATTTTGTTTTATTTTAACATTCTACTAGAAGAGCTCTGTGTTTCCATGGCCCATAGAATTTTAGAGGAATGTGGTAAATTCTGGGTGGAAACACTGTTATCACCATGGGTTTTTGGTTCAGATGGATATGGATTTAAGCACTGGCTTATCTGCTTATCTGTGTGACTTTATGCAAGTTACTTAAATTTCATTCCCTGTTCATACATGCAAATTGAGAATATTTTACAGGATTGCTACAAGAGTAAATTAGACAATACGCAAAAAGTCATAGCATTCACCACCGATGGTGAGCATTCTGCTAATGAAAGTATTATATTTTATTAGCTGGGTTAGCTTATTTTCTTCTTCTCCCACTCCTCTTTCCCACCTTTCCTCATTCTCCATTCTCCTCTTCCTGCCTCAAGCTAAATCCTGAGGGACGCTAGAGTGAGCATATATAACACATTGCCCAGTAATGTGCCTACAGACTTTATGTATATTAACCATTTAATCCTCACAGGAGCCTTAGATATTTTCCCCATGATAAACCAAGGCTCAGAGAGGTTAAGTAATTGCCACAAAGTCACACAGCTAATAATTGGCAATACTGGAACTTAGACCTGGGTTTGACTAGTTTCACAGTTCTTTCCACAACTTCATTCTGGCTCATGCACAATTAAAAGTAATAATGTGCTAAAGATACTGTAAAATTCGAAGTAATACACAAATGTGAAATACTATGATGATTGTTGTAAATTATTAAACTAATACTATTTTATACTGCTAGCTTGGCTCAGGGGCCTTTAACACACAGTCTTATTTGCACTCATCTGCCAGATAAGTCTGTTTCATTCTATACTGGCCAATACTGTGGGCTCAGCACAAATTTCAAGATCTATTTAGACTTCCCTGTCTTTTCTAGCACAGAGATATTAGGGATGGAAAAATAGGACAGGCCAGCAGTCCATTTTCTCCTCATTGCAGAGATGGGGACCAACTATGAGTGTTGAGGTATGGCTCCACACATCCACCAGGATGCATTTTCCCTTGATAGACAAGGCGGTTTCAGGGAATTGCAACTCCAGTATAGTTCTAGAGAGTAACCCTGGGAAGCATGCAGGATACTGGGCTTGATCTGGATTATGGGAAGGCCATTGCCTATGTCTATACAACCCATTTACAGAGCTGAGAGCCTATATGAAAGAACAATTTAAAGATCTGATTAGGATGATAGCTGGATTTTTAATTTTCTTTAAAACATTTCTTCACAAGCTAACTTCTTTCCAGAAAAAAGGCCAAAAATTACCATAACCTATTTTAAAACTCACTTGTTACTGCCAGAGTATTCTGGTTAAGAAACACTAATCTGTCATTGGTAGAGATAATGAGGGAAGAAGATACTAGAAAATGTCAGAATAGAAAACACACCCAAACGAGAGGCTCTTCGATTATTTTTATTCCTTGCACGCCTTCCATTCTTCCTCTTTCCTCCTCCTTCCTTCCTTCCTTTTTATTTAAATTAAGAAACAACAATAAGCCTGGACTACATGGTGAGACCTCCTCTCTACAAGAAATAAACAACATTAGCTGGGCACTGTGGCATGCATCTGTTGCCCTGGCTACTCAGGCTGAGGTGGGAAGATCACTTGGGCCTAGGAAGTCAAGTCTGCAGTGAGCCAAGATTGCACCAATGCACTCCAGCTTGGGCAGCAGAATGAGATCCTGCCTCAAAAACAAAAAACAATACATATTTTCAGAAGAAAGATAGATTTTTTTTTTTTTTCTGAGACTAGGGGTGATAAACTCCTTCCTAACCAGTTCAGAGTGCTGTGGGAGAGACATGGAGGCCTAGCACTACACAAAGAGAAAATCTGGTCCTTGCAAGTCAGTCATTTTACCAACTGTGTGATTTAATGAGCAAAAGCTTTAAAAATCTTATTTTAAAATAAGATTTTTAAAGCTTTTATAAATCTCAACTTTGGACATTTTAATGGAGTTGAAAGATATTGCTGTAATTTCAGTAAGGGCCTTGATGTAAGAAAATGACATCCCTGTGAAGCCCAGCATGGGCTTCACATGAGGGCAAGACAAAAAATTAAACATAACTAGGAGGATGCCTCAACAAGATGAAAATGTTTCTGGGTTAAGGGTTTGCTTTTCAATAGCCCTTTGCTAAGAAGAATGCTGGATTCTAGATTAGGACCTTACTACATACTATTAATAAGTCACAGAATAGTAAATTCCTTCTAGGGACTGATTTCAGAATGCTCTTTGATCATATCCTCTACCATAACCTTTGTTTATTTGACTTTCAGTAGTCCGAGTTCCTTGAGGGCAGGGGCTGTATCTTCTACAATTGTGTCAACAATGCCTAGTACAGAGCAAGCATTCAATAAACTCTGGTTGAATTACTGAATAACCAGCTGTTCTATGTGCAGTTTATGTCTTCGTAAACTCATGACTTGAAGCATCTATCTGAACATTGTTTTAGACAGACACAGGTGAGCCTTACCTGACAAAGTCATGATTGTCATCCCGAGGACCACTGAAGCACGAGCCTTATACAGAAGTCAGCTTAAGAAGGTGTGTTTCTTTCTTGTGGGCTGTGAATTACACTGATAGCCTGGATAAAAGGACAAAAAAATGTTCATAGAAAAATATAAATATCAATGCAAGGCAATGTGAGGATAGTGCCAAATGAATAGAACAGATAATACGTGACTTCAAAGGCAGGAGAAGTTGATGTGGGCATAGGTTGGGGGTCAGGAGGTAACAAATGAAATGGTCTCAAGAGGATGAGTGGAATGTACACAATCGTAAGATGGAAAGTCATCAAGCAGAAAACCAGAAAGTTTTGCTTATTGTTTTTATTTATGGACCCAACATCCACTTCAGGGAGCCCACATAGCATATTCACAGCATAGATAGCCTCAGGCTGGTCTTAATGTTACTGAAAGAATTGGCTTCAGACTCTAGCTCAGGTTTTCCTCCCTGGCATTTTCTACTCTTGAGAGAAAATGGGGAAAAACATTGAGCTCTCTGTACTCTAGAAGGTACTATAGGTATTGCTGTAATTCAATAAGGATTATTACTGAAAGGAGTAATAAAACAGCAGAACTAAGAAAACAGAATGATAGCCCAATACACAGAGACAGAAGTGAAACCAGCTAGAAACAGCATAGCTGTTGATCCATTTATCAAAGCACTTTTGGATTCAAGGCAGGGACAAAAAAAAATCAGAGAAGGTTAATCCATATCTAGAATCCTTTAATGAATAAATCATTTTAAATGGAACAGGGGAGACATGGTTTTTGATTGTTTTTCTTTTGTTTGTCAATTCACCTGAGTCCAAGCCCTATCAATCCATTCTATAGAGTTCTTGGTTTATAACTTTAATTAGTCCCCAATGTCATATTAGCAGTGGATTTGGGGGATTGTAGTATTTTGTAAGAAAATGTGCAAACAAGAAAGAAAAATACCTTCTTTTGTCTAAAAATAAATCTCTACTGCTTAAAGGATCTAGGTTTCCCCCCTTCTTCAACTCCCTTCTTTCCTTCTTTGTCCTCTTCCCTCCTTCCCTTCCTGTTTTCCTCCTGTTCATTTGTTTGATTTGGTTTCTTTTATTTGTTAGAAAACGGAGATATTGCTCAATGATAGCAGATAAGTTAGTGTCATTAAAAATGTTTAATTATTCTTCATAAACAGATTAAAATGTTCTCAATATATAATGTAAATTGTCATTTAACTTAAAAAACACAAAAATCCCCATGCAATTAAATGTACTATATACTGTCTTTGACCCTATATTATTTGGAAGAAGATCTGCATTCTGTCTAGTTACACTGCTGTGAAATTTCACGTTGTGATATTGACAAAATTCCTTAATATCTCTGTATCCAGGCTTCCACATCCATATGTAAAGGTATGTCTTGAGAATCTAATGCAGCAATGTCTACAAAAGTGCTCTAAAATATACTGAGCACAAATATTCAAGAAAGCTAATACTCATACAGGATGTATATCTGAATTTGTAGGTAGCATAATGTCTTTTATTTTCTCACATTTATTTATAACTATTTGGCTTAAGAATCAGTATACTTTCCACAATGGTTAAACTAATTTACACTGCCACCAACAGTGCATAAGCATTGCCTTTTCTTTGCAACCTCGCCAGGATCTTTTTTTTTGACTTTTTAATAGCCATTCTGACTGGTGGGAGATGGTATCTCATTTGGTTTTGATTTGTATTTCTGTAATGATCAATGATATTGAGCTGTTTTTCATATATTTGTTGGCCTCTGGAGAGCCAAATCAAAGATACATGACCTAAGATTAGTCAATTGAATGCTCTCAGCAGAGAGTGAAAGTCTTACAGGAGAAATGCAAATACCCAGTGACCAAAGTCTAGGGCAGAAACCCAGGCCCTTAGTCTGTGTGTGTGTGTGTGTTTTTTTTTTTTTAATTCTGTTATATAAACTGTGTATTTGGAAACTTCATAGTGATCAACCACTAAATTTTTGCTGACCAATTAAGTGGCTTAAGCAGCTGATTTACCCCAGTTATTGTTTCAACACACTTCAGAAAATTTATACTTATGAACAAGGAAGAAGAAAATGAATTGCCTGTAATCCCATACAACTCTTGATTACAGTGAATATTTCAGGATATACTGTTCTGGGAATTTTTATATATACATAGAGATGCATGTATTCATATGCATATGCATGTATACAAACAAACATATATAACATAAATATGCATATAATACATATAGAAGCATATATAAGATAATAAATATGTATAAATGTAAGCCAATTTATGTAATACATAAAGAGGTATAACACATATTACATATAACATATAAATACGTATACCTATACAAATTAATATAAAAGGGAAGCACCAATATTAATTGTTCAGTATTTTCCTCCTAGTAAATTTTACTTACGTAAAGGTCTTCAAGTTTCATTTTACAAAAATGAACTGTGATGAACACTTATTGCTAAATTTTTTTTTTGCTAATTTTTACAGATGGTGATGTTTTATGCAATGTGATGTTTTCCCAGCCCTATTTAACATTTAAGCTTTATATAGAATGTAGAACCAAATAAAAACACTTTTTATCAATTCTAGCCCTATTCACATAAAAAGTTTGAAACCCTCCTGCCTCCCTGCCTTTGTTGTTTGATTCCACTATGATTGCTTTTAATACCTCCTGGACCTTCTTGGCTTTATCTCTCATCTGTGATCCTCAAATTAGTCCTCGGTCCTGACCACAGAATTGGCTGCTTTTCTCTAGTTTTAAAACTTGGCATTCTCCTCTAGGTGAGGCTTACACTCTTCATCTGGCTTTGTTCCCTCCTGACCATTCTGGTAAACTGAAACTCAATCAAGCTTCAGCTTGGCTGTGTCATTCAGTCTGGCTGGAATTTCAATGCATGGCAAGGATAGAACATTTACAGTGGAAGGTCATGGTCAGGAGGCCTTGAGTGCCAAAGTAAAGAGTTTAGACTCTTTTCTGTGAACACTGTGGCCCCAATAAAGGTTTTTGAATAGATTAATTTGGTATTTGTGTGCAAAATAAAGCAGAGAGGGGAAAGCTTAGAGATTAGAGGCTACTAGGGTCAGTCAAGTGATGGGTGTCTTGGTGATAAAATAGAAACAAAAAGAGAGGATGTGACATTTTTAAAATAGACTCAGTGGGACTTGTATAAGCTACACAATTATTATCATTATCAATAATAATATTATATACATCATATGTGCCATGTGCCATGTACTATGTGCCATGACCACATTTGTAGTAGTATTTTTGTTACAGGCCTTAGCTTGTTTAGTCCTTTCAACAACCTGAAATAGATACAAATATTTTCCTACTTTTACAAATGAAGAACAGAGGACTAGAAAGGCTAAGTTGCCCAGGATCATGCAGCTAAGTGGCCTTCAAATCTACATTTCTCAAATTTCAGTGCCCATCCTCTTAATTAAGTTAACCTGGAAGGTAATAACAGAAATAGGGAACACACATGAGCACTAAATTTTTGTTATTGAATACACAGAGGAGTGATTTCTCAGGGGGAAACATTCTTTTTTTCTGGAATTAAAACTTTAATGACTGCTTCTGATTTTCAGGAAATACTTTTTATTCTATAGTATGTTGGAATAATCAGCCCACCCTTTCTCTCTTCCCCAAATCCCTCACAGAGCTTCCTTTTCCCATTTGTGTGGAATGGAGCAGCTTGCATTGTTAGAGCTTTGCCTAAATTGTGATTGCAGAATTAGCCTCCTGCTGTTATAACTCTGGTGTTGTCAAATGAGATCTCATGATACAGTTACAGTCACCCAGTTGATGATAATACTTTTCAGTTGCTGTTTCTTCTCATACAAATAAAACTGCTGCCAAAAATACGTATTAGTTCCTAGGATAAAGCATCTCTCTGGGTTTAATCCAGCACAATACATTAAGTTAAATGTTAAGGTGGCAGCACTTTTTCATTAGAGGGTGTGGTCATATAGGAAACCATGTATGTCTGTTAAGTACAAGACAGGTTCAGGTTTGTAAATGGAATACAGATAATTTCTTCTCCCTAAGAATAACTTCCATTGTAGCTGCATATATACTACAAAATTTCCCAGCTGGCTGTATAAAAATTAATAAATATATATCACAAAATATTACATTATTGAGAGTAAATCTCTCCCTGATTGGGGAATAAAATATATTTTAGCCAATTATTTATCATTGCTAGCACCTACTCTGTAAAAATACCCGAAGACTTGTCCAGATAATTTTTTATTTATCCTAATAACAATTTTTTTCTCTAGTTTCCTCTTCTGGGAATAATTTTTAGTCTTTTTTTCTTTTCTTTTTTTTCTTTTTATGCAAGTATCACCATCCCAAGGTACAAAGAGAGAAATGGCAGGCAGGGTTTAGTGTGTGAGATTCACTTTCCTTTTTAGACCTTATTGAAATCATTCTGATCACATGGATAAAAACTATCTGCCAAATACACGTCTCCTCTTTTAACTGAAGCTCAAGGATCAACTTCTCCAGGAAACTTGCCCAGATTCAGAGTTACTAAACTAGTAGAAAATATAAAGAAACCTACTTTAAAAGTTGGAATCTGGTGGTCAGTAGGAATGGAGTAATGTTTTAAATGGCCTAGTTAATACAAAAAAATTGTTGGTTATTTCCAAATTCTTATTTCTAAATACCTCCCGCCAGACTGTAATCAAACAACTGACTTGATGGAGGCACTTGGCCTTCTTAGCAGGCATCTCCAACTTACGATCAATGCTGAACTCAAAATTTTTCCTTTATTCTTTTTTTTTAATTATTATTATACTTTAAGTTTTAGGGTACATGTGCACAATATGCAGGTTTGTTACATATGTATACATGTACCATGTTGGTGTGCTGCACCCATTAACTCGTCATTTAGCATTAGGTATATCTCCTAATGCTATCCATCCCCCCACCCCACAACAGTCTCCAGAGTGTGATGTTCTCCTTCCTGTGTCCATGTGTTCTCATCGTTCAATTCCCACCTATGAATGAGAACATGCGGTGTTTGGTTTTTTGTTCTTGCGATAGTTTACTGAGAGTGATGATTTCCAATTTCATCCATGTCCCCACAAAGGACATGAACTCATCATTTTTTATGGCTGCATAGTATTCCATGGTGTATATGTGCCACATTTTCTTAATCCAGTCTATCATTGTTGGACATTTGGGTTGGTTCCAAGTCTTTGCTATTGTGAATAGTGCCACAATAAACATACATGTGCATGTGTCTTTATAGCAGCATGATTTATAATCCTTTGGGTATATACCCAGTAATGGGATGGCTGGGTCAAATGGTATTTCTAGTTCTAGATCCCTGAGGAATCGCCACACTGACTTCCACAATGGTTGAACTAGTTTACAGTCCCACCAACAGTGTAAAAGTGTTCCTATTTCTCCACATCCTCTCCAGCACCTGTTGTTTCCTGACTTTTTAATGATTGCCATTCTAACTGGTGTGAGATGGTATCTCATTGTGGTTTTGATTTGCATTTCTCTGATGGCCAGTGATGATGAACAGTTTTTCATGTGTTTTTTGGCTGCATAAATGTCTTCTTTTGAGAAGTGTCTGTTGATATCCTTCGCCCACTTATTGATGGGGTTGTTTGTTTTTTTCTTGTAAATTTGTTTGAGTTCTCCTTCACATCCCTTGTAAGTTGGATTTCTAGGTATTTTATTCTCTTTGAAGCAATTGTGAATTGGAGTTCACTCATGATTTGGCTCTCTGTCTGTTATTGGTGTATAAGAATGCTTGTGATTTTTGTACATTGATTTTGTATTCTGAGACTTTGCTTAAGTTGCTTATCAGCTTAAGGAGATTTTGGGCTGAGACAATGGGGTTTTCTAGATATACAATCATGTCATCTGCAAACAGGAACAATTTGACTTCCTCCTTTCCTAATCGAATGCCCTTTATTTCCTTCTCCTGCATGATTGCCCTGGCCAGAACTTCCAACACTATGTTGAATAGGAGTGGTGAGAGAGGGCATCCCTGTCTTGTGCCAGTTTCCAAAGGTTATGCTTCCAGTTTTTGCCCATTCAGTATGATATTAGCTGTGGGTTTGTCATAGATAGCTCTTATTATTTTGAGATACGTCCCATCAATACCTAATTTATTGAGAGTTTTTAGCATGAAGGGTTGTTGAATTTTGTCAAAGGCCTTTTCTGCATCTATTGAGATAATCATGTGGTTTTTGTCTTTGGTTCTGTTTATATGCTGGATTACATTTATTGATTTTCGTATGTTGAACCAGCCTTGCATCCCAGGGATGAAGCCCACTTGATCATGGTGGATAAGCTTTTTGATGTACTGCTGATTCGGTTTGCCAGTATTTTATTGAGGATTTTTGCATCAATGTTCATCAAGGATATTGGTCTAAAATTCTCTTTTTTCGTTGTGTCTCTGCCCGGCTTTGGTATCAGGATAATGCTGGCCTCATAAAATGAGTTAGGGAGGATTCCCTCTTTTGCAGTTGATTGGAATAGTTTCAGAAGGAATGGTACCAGTTCCTCCTTGTACCTCTGGTAGAATTCAGCTGTGAATCCATCTGGTCCTGGGCTTTTTTTGGTTGATAAGCTATTGATTATTGCCACAATTTCAGAGCCTGTTATTTGTCTATTCAGAGATTCAACTGCTTCCTAGTTTAGTCTTGGGAGGGCGTATGTGTCAAGGAATTTATCCATTTCTTCTAGATTTTCTAGTTTATTTGCATAGAGGTGTTTGTAGTATTCTCTGATGGTAGTTTGTATTTCTGTGGGATCAGTGGTTATATCCCCTTCATCATTTTTTATTGCATCTATTTGATTCTTCTCTCTTTTCTTCTTTATTAGTCTTGCTAGTGGTCTATCAATTTTGTTGATCTTTTCAAAAAACCAACTGCTGGATTCATTAATTTTTTGAAGGGTTTTTTGTGTCTCTATTTCCTTCAGTTCTGCTCTGATTTTAGTTATTTCTTGCCTTCTGCTACCTTTTGAATGTGTTTGCTCTTGCTTTTCTAGTTCTTTTAATTGTGATGTTAGGGTGTCAATTTTGGATCTTTCCTGCTTTCTCTTGTGGGCATTTAGTGCTATAAATTTCCCTCTACACACTGCTTTGAATGTGTCCCAGAGATTCTGGAATGTTGTGTCTTTGTTCTCATTGGTTTCAAAGAACATCTTTATTTCTGCCTTCATTTCGTTATGTACCCAGTAGTCATTCAGAAGGAGGTGGTTCAGTTTCCATGTAGTTGAGTGGTTTTGAGTGATTTTCTTAATCCTGAGTTCTAGTTTGATTGCACTGTGGTCTGAGAGACAGTTTGTTATAATTTCTGTTCTTTTACATTTGATAAGGAGTGTTTTACTTCCAACTATGTGGTCAGTTTTGGAATAGGTGTGGTGTGGTGCCGAAAAAAATGTATATTCTGTTTATTTGAGGTGGAGAATTCTGTAGATGTCTATTAGGTTCGCTTGGTGCAGAGCTGAGTTCAATTGCTGGATATCCTTGTTAACTTTCTGTCTCGTTGATCTGTCTAATGTTGACAGTGGGGTGTTAAAGTCTCCCATTATTATTGTGTGGGAGTCTAAGTTACTTTGTAGGTCACTAAGGACTTGCTTTATGAATCTGGGTTCTCCTGTATTGGTGCATATATATTTAGGATAGTTAGCTCTTCTTGTTGAATTGATCCCTTTACCATTATGTAATGGCCTTCTTTGTCTCTTTTGATCTTTGTTGGTTTAAAGTCTGTTTTATCAGAGACTAGGATTGCAACCCCTGCCTTTTTTTGTTTTCCATTTGCTTGGTAGATCTTCCTCCATCCCTTTATTTTGAGCCTATGTGTGTCTCTGCATGTGAGATGGGTTTCCTGAATACAGCACACTGATGGGTCTTGACTCTTTATCCAATTTGCCAGTCTGTGTCTTTTAATTGGAGCATTTAGCCCATTTACATTTAAAGTTAATATTGTTATGTGTGAATTTGGTCCTGTCATTATGATATTAGCTGGTTATTTTGCTCGTTACTTGATGCAGTTTCTTCCTAGCCTTGATGGTCTTTACAATTTGGCATGTTTTTGCAGTGGCTGGTACCAGTTGTTCCTTTCCATGTTTAGTGCTTCCTTCAGGAGCTCTTTTAGGGCAGGTCTGGTGGTGAAAAAATCTCTCAGCATTCGCTTGTCTGTAAAGTATTTTATATCTCCTTCACTTATGAAGCTTAGATTGGCTGGATATGAAATTCTGGGTTGAAAATTCTTTTCTTTAAGAATGTTGAATATTAGCCCCCACTCTCTTCTGGCTTGTAGAGTTTCTGCTGAGAGATCCGCTGTTAGTCTGATGGGCTTTCCTTTGTGGGTAACCTGACCTTTCTCTCTGGCTGCCCTTAACATTTTTTCCTTCATTTCAACTTTGGTGAATCTGTCAATTATGTGTCTTGGAGTTGCTCTTCTCGAGGAGTATCTTTGTGGTGGTCTCTGTATTTCCTGAATCTGAATGTCGGCCTGCCTTGCTAAATTGGGGAAGTTCTCCTGGATAATATCCTGCAGAGTGTTTTCCAACTTGGTTCCATTCTCCCTGTCACTTTCAGGTACACCAATGAGACGTAGATTTGGTCTTTTCACATAGTCCCATATTTCTTGGAGGCTTTGTTCATTTCTCTTTATTCTTTTTTCTCTAAACTTCCCTTCTCGCTTCATTTCATTCATTTCATCTTCCATCGCTGATACCCTTTCTTCCAGTTGATCACATTGGCTCCTGAGGCTTCTGGGTTCTTCACGTAGTTCTTGAGCCTTGGCTTTCAGCTCTGTCAGGTCCTTTAAGGACTTCTCTGTATTGGTTATTCTAGGTATCCATTCATCTAATTTTTTTTCAAAGTTTTTAACTTCTTTGCCATTGGTTTGAATTTCCTCCTGTAGCTCATAGTAGTTTGATTGTCTGAAGCCTTCTTCTCTCAACTCGTCAAAGGCATTCTCCATCCAGCTTTGTTCTGTTGCTGGTGAGGAGCTGCGTTCCTTTGGAGGAGGAGAGGTGCTCTGCTTTTTAGAGTTTCCAGTTTTTCTATTCTGTTTTTTCCCCATCTTTGTGGTTTTACCTACTTTTGGTCTTTGATGATGGTGACATACGATGGGTTTTTGGTGTGGATGACCTTTCTGTTTTTTAGTTTTCCTTCTAACAGACAGGACCCTCAGCTGCAGGTCATTTGGAGTTTGCTAGATGTGCACTGCTGACCCTGTTTTCCTGGGTATCAGCAGCAGTGGCTGCAGAACAGCAGTGGCTGTAGAACAGCGGATATTGGTGAACCGCAAATGCTGCTGCCTGATCGTTCCTTTTGAAGTTGTGTCTCAGAGGAGTACCCGGCCGTGTGAGGTGTCAGTCTGCCCCTACTGGGGGGTGCCTCCCAGTTAGACTACTTGGGGCTCAGGGACCCATTTGAGGAGGCAGTCTGCCCATTCTTAGATCTCCAGCTGCATGCTTGGAGAACCACTGCTCTCTTCAAAGCTGTCAGACAGGGACATTTAAGTCTGCAGAGGTTACTGCTGTCTTTTTGTTTGTCTGTGCCCTGCCCCCAGAGGTGGAGCCTACAGAGGCAGGCAGGCCTCCTTGAGCTGTGGTGGGCTCCACCCAGTTCGAGCTTCCCAGCTGCTTTGTTTACCTAATCAAGCCTGGGCAATGGCAGGTGCCTCTCCCCCAGCCTTGCTGCTGCCTTTCAGTTTGATCTCAGACTGCTGTGCTAGCAATGAGCGAGGCTCCATGGGCTTAGGACCTTCTGAGCCAGGTGCGGGATATAATCTCCTAGTGTGCCATTTTTTAAGCCCGTTGGAAAAGTGCAGTATTAGGGTGGGAGTGACCCGATTTTCCAGGTGCTGTCTGTCACCCCTTTCTTTGAATAGGAAAGGGAACTCCCTGACCCCTTGCGCTTCCCGCATGAGGCAATGCCTTGCCCTGCTTTGGCTCGCGCATGGTGCGCTGCACCCACTGTCCCACACCCACTGTCTGGCACTCCCTAGTAAGATGAACCCAGTACCTCAGTTGGAAATGCAGAAATCACCCATCTTCTGCATCGCTCATGCTGGGTGCTGTAGACCGGAGCTATTCCTATTCTGCCGTCTTGGCTCCCCCCGCCTCCTTTATTCTTTTTTAAACTTTGTCTTTTCTTTCTCAGTGAATTGCACCGCTATTGCTCAGGACAAAATCAGATTTGAGTTGCTTTTTACTTTTCCCGTATTGCCCACCTTTTTTTTGGTAATTTTTATTTTAGGTTCTGTGGTACATATGCAGGTTTGTTATATAGGTAAACTTGTGTGATGGGTAAATTTGTGTCTTGTTGTACAGTTTATTTCATAACCCAGATATTAAGCTTAGAACCTATTGATTATTTTTTTCTGCTTCTCTCCCTCCTCCCGTCCTCCACCCTCAAGTAGACGTTTGTGTCTGTTATTCCCTTTTTTGTGTGTATGAGTTCTCATCATTTAGTTCCTACTTACAGGTGAGAACATGTGTGGTATTTGGTTTTCTGTTACTGCATAAGTTTGCTAGGATAATATCCTCCAACTCTATCCATGTTCCCACAAAAGACATGCTTGCATGCTTTTTTATGATAGCCCAATTTTAATCCAACATTAAATCCTATTGCCTCTATCTTCAACATGTATGTGTGTGTGTGCATATATATATACTAATTGTATGTAATATATATGAATTATATATACTAATTATATGTATACTAATTAGCAATATACTTTACCTTAACCATATGTATTTATATGTGTGTGTGTGTGTGTGTATATATATATGTGTGTGTGTGTATATATATATATGTGTGTGTGTATATATATATATGTGTGTATATATATATGGATCTTTTCTTCATCTGTCTTTTAGAGAAAACAGTGCTTAAGCTAAAATTTATTGGTAATTAGTAGGATAATGAGGGCTTAGGTGACAAACTCAAGCCATTCGGCAAGGAGAGGAGTGGTCATGGTAATGGTGACAGGAGAAACAAGTGCCCACACCTAAGTGAAATGAAGTGAGGTGGAGAGAACTGAATGAATCTAAGGCAGAACATAAGATGTCTTTGTTAGTCCATTCACAGAGCATTCAGATCCATTTGTGCCCTATGGTATCTGGCTTTCATATTAAAAGAGAGAGCTACTATTTTGTACCCTAGGATGAAAGACATAGTACGCTTTGGGGAGGGAACTCTAATTTGTAGTGTTTGCCACTTTCTGTAGTATAAATACTCCCACCATAACCAATTTCACGAAACCAGTATTAGCTCTCTGAATGCTGAGTTGGGAAGAGATGTAAAGAATCAGCTCTCACTTGGCAGTGGTGGCCTGGCACACAACTACTGGGGGTACAGTTTTCATTAGTCACAATGTTTCTTCAAGGTGTTGGCCAGCAGCTATCTCCTAAGCAAGCAGAGGTAAGAGAGTGAGTGAAACAAATAACAACCTCATGCCATATTCATCAATTTGTTATTCATAACATATTCATCAATTTGTTATTCCCCCCAACCTCCTTACTGGATTTTCTTTCCTTTGAAAGGAGTTTAAAGATATTACTAGCCCATCAGGGCTTTACCCTCAATTATGTGTCTTCGTTTTTTTGTTGTTGTTGTCGGTTTTTTGTTGTTGTTATTTTTGCTGTTTTTTATCACTAAGGTGTAAGTTTGGGCTGCAAATCCTCATGGGAACCAACTTGTGGTTATGACTTCTTTCAGGGACTGTTCCATCCATTCCTCTACACCCTACCATTTTCTTCAACACCAAAGACATTTTCATAAAAGTATCTCAAGGATTAAGGAGGGGGAAGAGTTAGTTCTGGTTTAGTCTTATCTTTAATATATTTTAATCTGATTTCCCTGTTTTACTTGGGGAGAGGATCTCCATTTAAAATTCTTCCTTACCAAGGACCCTGGGCATTGACTTCTGAAGTTCAGGGCTCACTAGGCAGTCAAAAGAAATCAGTTTCACCCATTTTGCAAATCCCTTTGGGGAAAAAGCTTTTTCCATTCTTGGCTAAACTCTGGTATTTCTGCTTTTGCTTTGATCAATGGTGGACAAACTACTAGGTATTTAAATGAAGTTTTGTTAGGGCACAGGCATGTACCTTTATTTACATATTGATTATAACTGCTTTTACAATGATGGTGTTGAGTAATTCTGACATACACTGGCTAACAAAACCTAAATATTTACTATCTAGCTCTTTATGGGAAATATTTGCCAACATCTGACTTAAATAATCAGTTCTCAAATTTTTTATTCTAGGATTCCTTTATATTCTTTAAAATTATTGGGATCCTCAAAGACCTTTTTCTTAAAAATTATATCTATTTTCACTTTTCATATTACAACTTAAAACTGACAAATTAAAAATATATTAATTTATCAAAAATAGATTAATCACATGTCAACACTAATTTGTAGTACTGACACTACATTTTACATTTCATAAAATAACATATTTTATGAAAAACAAATATCCAAAATTTAAAAAGTATGATATTAATATTATGTTTTTGTAGTTCTCTTGAAAGTCTAGTTTAATGGAAGCTGGTTAAATTATCTTATTTGTTTGCATTCAATTTGCTGTGATTTATTGTTTTGATTGAAGTATATGAAGAAAATTTGGTATTACATGAATATATAGCTGAGAGAAAAAGGAATATTTTAATAGCCTTTTTGGATGATAGTGGATATTCTCTTTTAATATTACACCAAAACTTGTAGAGTGGTAGCTTTTTAAAGGTTAATGGTAATGTGAAATTTTAAAGTGTATCAGTGAATTTTTACATTCAATTACATTAAA
The DNA here is from genome assembly GCF_000001405.40 of Homo sapiens. Taxonomy (NCBI): domain Eukaryota; kingdom Metazoa; phylum Chordata; class Mammalia; order Primates; family Hominidae; genus Homo; species Homo sapiens. The sequence continues at coordinate 29,791,767 of NC_000011.10, read as the reverse complement.
TCTGTCTTGCTTTTGGAATGCATATTTTACCAATGCATTTTGTACATATGCATTTTATAACTTAATGTGTCAGTAATTTGGAAAATATTGATTCATTGGGTTTTGAAGGTATTCCAAATGTTTATACAATTGTCTTATTCATTTCAAGCTGCTATAACAGAATACCATAGACTGGGTGGCTTAAACAATATAAATATATTTCTTGCAGTTCCCAATGCTAGGAAGTCTAAGATTAGGGTGCTGGCAAATCTGGTGTCTGGTGAGGCCTTTTTTCTTTGCAGGTTGTAATCTTCTTGTTGTATCTTCACATAATGCAGAGAGCAAGGAAGCAAACTCTCCATGTCTTTTCTTATAAGAGTACTAATCCCATCATGGAATCCCTACCTTCATAACCTAATTGCCTCTCAAAGGCTTCCTCTCCAACTACCATGAACATATGAATTTTGAGGGCACACAAATAGTCATCCCATAACAAAAATATTTTTTAAATATGTTAAGAGCAACATAAACTGAAAGCAAGCAGAAGAAAATAAATAATAACAATTAGAGTAGAAATAAATGAAATTTTAAAAAAGTAAAAAATTGAAAGCAAAACCAAACCTGGTTCTTTGAAAAGTTCAGTGGATTTAATAACCCCTAGCCATGTTAACAAAGAGAAAAAGAAGGCACAAATTACTTATATCAGAAATGATGGAGAATCCATTACTAGCAATCCCAAGGCCATTAAAATTATTTAAAAATGGAATATTATAACCAAATCTATGCCCACAAATTTGATAACTTCTATGATATAGGCCAATTCCTTGAAAGATAGACTCTATCAAAACTCATGCAAGGAGACATCTATAACATCAGTAGCCCTATATATATTAGGAAAAAAATTCAATAACCTTCTTTTAAAAAAAGTGCCAGACACAGATGGTTTTACTGAATTCTACCAACCATTTTGGAAATAAATATACCAATTTGCTACAATCTCCTCCAGGATATAGAAGCAGGGGGAGCACTTTTTTCACAGATTCTATGAGGCCAGCATTACCCTAATAAAAAAATCAGGTAAAGACATTACAGAAAAGGAAAACTATAAACAAATACCTATCATGAACATAAATATAAAAATCTTCAGCAACATATTAGGAAATTGAATCCAACAATGTATAAAGAGAATTATATACCATGACCAGTGGGCTTTATTCCAGGTATGCAAAACTGGTTCAACATTCAAAACTCAATTAATGTCACGTTAATAGGCTAAAGGAGAAAAATCATATGATCATATCAACAGATACCGTAAAAGTATTTGACAAAATCCAGTACATACGCATGATAAAACTCTCAGCCAAGTAGGAATAGAAGTAAAATTTTCTCAACTCGCTAAATACTTAATGATGAGAAACTAGATGCTTTGTCACTAAAACCAGAAACAAGTTACTGCCATCACTCACATTCAACATCATACTAGAAGTCTTAGCTAAGGCCATAAGACAAGAAAAGGTACACAAAATGGAAAATAAGAAATAAAACTGTTACCTCAAGAAAGAAAAAGTGTGTGTATATGTATATATATCTGTAGATATACACACATATAGATATAGATACACACACATATTTGTAAATAGTTTTATTTCACATATATGAAATATATATGTATATTTGAAATATATATGAATATATATGTATATATATGAAATATATATATATATACACACACACACACACATACATATATATTTGAGATCACATGATTGTCTATGTAGAAAACCCCAACAAATTGATAAGAAAACTCCTGGAATTAGTAAGCAATTATAGCAGTTTTGCAGGATACAAACTTAATATACAAAAGTCAATTGGTTTTCTATATATCTAAAATTAAAAACTAGAATTTAAAATTAAAACACAATGTCATGAAATTTATATGAGTGAGTGAGAGAGAAAGAGAGTGATATTTAAGCAGAAATCTAACAAAATATATGTAGGATCTACGTGAGGAAAACCAGAAAACTGATTAAATCAAGGAATATATAAATAAATTGAGTTATAGTTCATATTTGCAGGAAGGAAGGCTCAAAATTCTTTAAGATGTAAATTCTTACTAACTTGATCTGGAGATTCAGTGCAATTGCAATCAAAATTTTAGAAAGTTATTTTGTGAATATTGACAAACTGATTGTAAAGGAATAATTTATATGAAAATGCAAGGACTCAAATAACCAACATAATTTTAAAGAAAATAGATATTAGCCCTTTGTCAGATGAGTAGGTTGCAAAAATTTTCTCCCATTTTGTAGGTTGCCTGTTCGCTCTGATGGTAGTTTCTTTTGCTGTGCAGAAGCTCTTTAGTTTAATTAGATCCCATTTGTCAATTTTGGCTTTTGTTGCCATTGTTTTTGGTGTTTTAGACATGAAGTCCTTGCCCATGCCTATGTCCTGAATAGTAATGCCTAGGTTTTCTTCTAGGGTTGTTATGGTTTTAGGTCTAACGTTTAAGTCTTTAATCCATCTTGAATTGATTTTTGTATAAGGTGTAAGGAAGGGATCCAGTTTCAGCTTTCTACATATGGCTAGCCAGTTTTCCCAGCACCATTTATTAAATAGGGAATCCTTTCCCCATTGCTTGTTTTTGTCAGGTTTGTCAAAGATCAGATAGTTGTAGATATGCGGTGTTATTTCTGAGGGCTCTGTTCTGTTCCATTGATCTATATCTCTGTTTTGGTACCAGTACCATGCTGTTTTGGTTACTGTAGCCTTGTAGTATAGTTTGAAGTCAGGTAGTGTGATGCCTCCAGCTTTGTTCTTTTGGCTTAGGATTGACTTGGCGATGTAGGCTCTTTTTTGGTTCCATATGAACTTTAAAGTAGTTTTTTCTAATTCTGTGAAGAAAGTCATTGGTAGCTTGATGGGGATGGCATTGAATCTATAAATTACCTTGGGCAGTATGGCCATTTTCACGATATTGATTCTTTCTACCCATGAGCACGGAATGTTCTTCCATTTCTTTGTATCCTCTTTTATTTCATTGAGCAGTGGTTTGTAGTTCTCCTTGAAGAGGTCCTTCACATCCCTTGTAAGTTGGATTCCTAGGTATTTTATTCTCTTTGAAGCAATTGTGAATGGGAGTTCACTCATGATTTGGCTCTCTGTTTGTCTGTTATTGGTGTATAAGAATGCTTGTGATTTTTGTACATTGATTTTGTATCCTGAGACTTTGCTTAAGTTGCTTATCAGCTTAAGGAGATTTTGGGCTGAGACTTTCTAGATATACAATCATGTCATCTGCAAACAGGGACAATTTGACTTCCACTTTTTCTAATTGAATACCCTTTATATCCTTCTTCTGCCTAATTTCCCTGGCCAGAACTTCCAACACTATGTTGAATAGGAGTGGTGAGAGAGGGCATCCCTGTCTTGTGCCAGTTTTCAAAGGGAATGCTTCCAGTTTTTGTCCCTTCAGTATGATATTAGCTGTGGGTTTGTCATAGATAGCTCTTATTATTTTGAGATACGTTCCATCAATACCTAATTTATTGAGAGTTTTTAGCATGAAGGGTTGTTGAATTTTGTCAAAGGCCTTTTCTTCATCTATTGAGATAATCGTGTGGTTTTTGTCTTTGGTTCTGTTTATATGCTGGATTACATTTATTGATTTGTGTATGTTGAACCAGCCTTGCATCCCAGGGATGAAGCCCACTTGATCATGGTGGATAAGCTTTTTGATGTGCTGCTGGATTTGGTTTGCCAGTATTTTATTGAGGATTTTTGCATCAATGTTCATCAAGGATATAGGGCTAATATCCAGAATCTACAATGAACTCAAACAAATTTACAAGAAAAAAAACAAACAACCCCATCAATAAGTGGGCGAAGGATACCAACAGACACTTCTCAGAAGACATTTATGCAGCCAAAAGTCACATGAACAAATGCTCATCATCACTGGGCATCAGAGAAATGCAAATCAAAACCACAATGAGATACCATCTCACACCAGTTAGAATGGCAATCATTAAAAAGTCAGGAAGCAACAGGTGCTGGAGAGGATTTGGAGAAATAGGAACACTTTTACACTGTTGGTGGGACTGTAAACTAGTTCAACCATTGTGGAAGTCAGTGTGGCGATTCCTCAGGGATCTAGAACTAGAAATACCATTTGACCCAGCCATCCCATTACTGGGTATATACCCAAAGGATTATAAATCATGCTGCTATAAAGACACATGCACACCTATGTTTATTGTGGCACTATTCACAATAGCAAAGACTTGGAACCAATCCAAATGTCCAACAATGATAGACTGGATTAAGAAAATGTGGCACATATACACCATGGAATACTATGCAGCCATAAAAAATGATGAGTTCATGTCCTTTGTGGGGACATGGATGAAATTGGAAATCATCATTCTCAGTAAACTATCGCAAGGACAAAAAACCAAACACCACATGTTCTCACTCATAGGTGGGAATTGAACAATGGGAACACATGGACACAGGAAGGGGAAGATCACACTCTGGGGACTGTTGTGGGGTGGGGGGAGTGGGGGAGGGGATAGCATTAGCAGATATACCTAATGCTAAATGATGAATTAGTGGGTGCAGCACACCAGCATGGCACATGTATACATATGTAACTAACCTGCACATTGTGCACATGTACCCTAAAACTTAAAGTATAATAATAATGATAAAAAGAAAATGAATAAAGTTGGAAAACTGACACTGACTTCAAGTCTTATTATAAAGTCACAGTGTTCTAGTGAAGTGGTGACAGAGAAAAAAATACAGGGATAAATCAGTGGAACAGAATAGAAAGTTCAGAAATCTGTGTACACAAATGGCACTGGAACAACTGGGCATCCACATCCAAAATATAGAATTCAGATCTATATTTCTATCTTTTACAAAAATTAACTCAAAATAGATTATACATCTATAAATGCAAAACTATAAAATTTCTAGAAGATAATCAACAAGAAACTCTTAGTGACCTTGGGTTTGGCAATGAATTTTTAGATAGAACACCAAAAACATGGTCCCTGAAAGAAAATTAATAAATTGGACTTCATTAAAATTTAAAACTTCTGTGATGCAAAAGACACTGTTAAGAGAATGAAAAGACAAACTACAGACTGGGAGAAAATATTTGCAAAACATATAACTGATAGAGGATTTTTAAAAATATACAAAGATCTCTTAAAACTAAATAGTATAATAATACACATAAAATACCTCAATTACAAAATGGGCAAAAGATCTGAGAAGATACCTCACCAAATAAAAATATCAAAAGATGCTCAGCATCACATACAATTAGGGGATTGCAAATGATAACAACAAAGAGATACTACTAATGCCTATTAGAATGACTTAAATCCAAAAATCTTACATCACTGCATGCTGGATAGGATGTGGAGTAACAGGAATGCACATTCATGTATTAGTGGGAAGGCACAATGGTGCAACTGCTTTGGAGGAGAGTTTGGCAGTTTCTTGAAGTGCTAAATTTAGTCTTAGCATACACGCTAGTAGTTGTGCTTCAAGATACTTAACCAAGTGAGATGAAAGCATGTCAACACCAAAACCTGTGCACAAATGTAGCTGCTTTATAGCAGCTTTACTCATATTTGCTAAAAAATTGGAAGCAACCCAAGATGTTATTCCATAGATGAATGGATAAACTGTGGTACATCTAGGTAATGGAATATTATTCAGTGATAAGAAGAAATGAGCCACCAATCCATGCAAAGACACAGAGGAAACTTAAGAGCGTATTGCTAAGTGAAAGATGCCGGTCTGAAAAGGCAACATACTGTATGATTCTATATGATGTTCTGGAAAAGGCAAAACTACAGACAATAAAATGATCATGAATTTGGAGAGAGGCAGAGAGAGATTAGGTGAAACAGGAATTTTTATGTCCCTGAAACTCTTCTGTGGGATAATGTAGCACAGACACATAACATTTTCTATTTGTCCAAACACATAGAATGGCACACCCAAACAATGAACCCTAATAAACACTGTGGAATTTACTTAATAACAATGTATCAATATTGATTCATATTGAACAAATGCAATGCACTAGTGCAACATGTTAATAATACAGAAAGCTGGGGAGTGGAGGAGGGAATGTATGGTAACACTCTATACTATCTGTTCAATTTCTCTGTAAACCCTAAACTGCTAAACAAAATTAGAGAGCCTATTGATTTTTAAAAATTACATTTGTTAATATCACTACTGATTTTCTCAGAAAACTATGTATAGGACGGCTGTCAAGCTCATGGAGGCAGATAGAAGTTTTCCAAAATTTTATCTTATTTTTTGCTCCAAGCTCAAATTTTATCATTGGCAAAAAATACTGTCACTTGTTTTCCTTGAAGGGACAGTCTGGCTTTCTTTATTCATTTTTAAGAAAAAAATTGGAAAATACCCAAATATGAATAACTAAAGTTTTTCTGTCAGCTCTTTCAGTTAAAAATGGAGATCCACACAAAACGTGGCTAGTAGAGCTCACAGGTCAAAAGGCACATGGGCTTTTCCTCAAGACAAAACACTATTTTTGGTTACACTGAAAATGCTTTGTTTCTGCCCATTTCATCCCACAAGGTATTAAAAAGATATGTACTCAGTGGCCAATGTCTTTAAAATTATTTTTACTACTCAGAGATATTCTTAAGTGAAACTCCCTTCCTCCACTTTTTCTCTGTGAGTCTGTGGTAGAATACCCTGACCACTAATACAGTTTGGGCTACCATCTTAACTTGGGCCAGGGTACCTGAAGTTTTTAAGCCCTCCTCCCCCTTAATTTCTTCTGCACCACCAGTGCAAATGTCAGCCCAGTGAAAAAGGCAAATGACATTCCAGTATTCTTATGAAAATAGTTTTGACCTCATATACTCCCAAGTGGGTGTCAGGGTCCTCCAGTCATAGATGGACCACAATTTGAAAAGTACTGGCTTAGATTTTGGTCCTATAAATATTTTTATATTTTCAATTTTTAAAAATGGTTTAAAGAGAATTTCAACCTAATTTTTATCTATTATTTCAGCAGAGGATTGGTCTGAATAACGTAGCTCATCATCTGAATAATTGGAGATTGAGATCCATCTGACCAGTTTTTTTAACATCTGCCTGATCACTTTTGATAGTATCTTGTTGCTTCCTTATTCTGTCTTTTTAGTGTTTACTAAATTATAACTGAATAACCAAAGGCAAACAGATCACATTTGGTTGAACTTAATAGGTGAAAGCCTGAGAATATAAATTGAGGGTGCTCTTCCTTAGGAGATATTTGTATGTGCTTCTTGCAGAAAGCCAGCCGGCACTACTCATTGGATAAACACCGTCTTCCCCTTGAGGGACCTGGTTCAATGCAGGGCTGAATACCGTATCAGCATCTACTCTAGAGGAAGTCCAGCTTTTTCTTTGGCTTATTTATCACAGTTCAAGTTTCTGTTTGCTATTTTTTTAATGTTATTCTCTTAGATCCTCATGAAGCAACTATATCATGCATGCTTATTTTTCTCTATCTGGGATCTATTCCTGTTTCATAGATGGAGACGATAGAATTTAGAAGGAAGACCCTGAACTTGCCTGAATTGTGTGACTTTTTTCATAGTTTTTTTCTTTATATGGCAGTCAATAGAGATCTTTATTGTTCTTATAGCACTTATTCCTAGCTAAAATTATATTTTTAAAGTTTACCTGTTTGTCTCCTGCATAAGAGTATAAACTCTAAAAGGGTGGAGTCTTTTGTCTTATTCTGCCCTATGCTTAGAGCAGTGCCTGGGACACAGCAAATTCCCACTAAGCATTTACCAAATAAAGGAATGAGTGAAGTTGGAACTTCCATCTATTGATGAAGTTAATCACTAAAGTTGCTGCTCAGTTGAAGTGAGTTACTGACTGTCTTCTAATTCTCAGAGCCTTGATTCTCATTTTGCCCTAAGAGCCTTCTGTTTATTACCTTTGTATATTTCTCTAGATATTTCAGCTGACAGAATCTACTATAGTCAATAACCTTTTCTTATGAATGAGACCCTTGTATCCCAGAGAGTGAAAGTGGTTTGCTCATGGTCACCTGACCAGTTTCTGGTAGCACTTGAACCACAAGCACCTAACCATGTGTCATACATATATCTTCACTTCTTGTAACTCTACGAGGCTAGAAGTATCCTCTGGTTATTATTAATTCCAAATGAGGAAAGCCAACAGGCATCATTAACTTGGGAGTTTGAGATTTCCAGGTCAAGGTATGAGTCAAATAGAAAAAAGAAATTGTAAAGAGTTGGTTCCAAAACCATTTTTTAAAAACATACACTTTTCTGACCACTGGAAAGGTTCATTCTTAAACTCTGGTCAGAGACCAGAGGAGACTAGTCTGTCTGTAGGAGACTAATGGATAATGCCCTTCAAAATGAGTACTAATCTTCCAATGTGTGAAACATGGCATTTAAGCAAATAACAACCTTTCACTGCTTGATTCTAGTGTAGGGATCTATACTCATCTTTCATTCCTTCTATAAAAGCCTTGATAAATATAACTCATTTTATATCTATGTCAGATGAGCAATATCAGCCCTTAGTATCATTTCTGCACCTTTGAAATCTCTCTCTGAATTTACCTTTTCTTGTCAAGTATGACACTTTAAGGATAGATTTTTCTTCCCAGGCCAGTACAGTTAAGCTAATAAAACAAGCTGATTCCCAACCATTTTTTATTTTCTTTTGAAATGCTTTAGAAATCACTTATGTGTTAGGACACTCATCAAATAAACCCACATTTTGACATCCACATTAATATCCAAAGAGACCACTTAATGAGCAGTGTTCTTACCAAGAAGAATGAAGAACTTTTGAATGGCAAAATAATCTAGAATTACACATTAAGTGAAATGTTACTGAGAGAGAGAGATGGAGACTTTAGAACTTGGAGAGGTTTGGAACCTGCAGGATGCATGAATAGGGACCAGTGTTCCTGCTGCTGTGGTCTTCCCAGGATAACCTCCCTTTTCTGCTAATGTACTGGTGCATGGCATAGCAAAGTCAAAATAAAATGGGTCCTTGTTTTGGGGGAGAGATGAAGAAGCTGGGCTCCTCCCCCATGACTCACCCAGCTGGCTGTGAGGTTGAGAGAGTCTTTTTTAAGACTGGGAGGAGAGCGGAGGAGGCAAGAGAAAAGCTCTGGAAGGCTATGCAGAAATTAACTTTTCTGAATAGCACATAAGAAGGTGCATATGTGAATTAGAGGGATATTTGATGTTGCCAGAAAGCATGCAGTTTGTATAAAAGTGAAATTTAGAGAGATGCACACCTAAAACAGATTGTAGGGGACCTACCAGGGTTGGCTGAAACAGGATTTCCCAGGATCCATCTGTGCTTATTCTTTTCTAGCCTAGAGAGTATCTGGAACAGGACCTGTAGCCTGGTAGACATTTAACAAACAGCAGCTGCCATTACTGTCATGGATTTGGTGGCCTCAATTCTACTTTGGAGGTATAGTGGCAAAATATACTGAACATCATCTTAGGATTCCAAAAACCACATGTATCCCAACTTCCCCTTCCTAATTGGTTTGATATGGACAAGTTATTGAATCTCTCTGGGACTCAATTTTCTAATATGGAAAATGGAGGTAAAACCTGTCCTATATGTCTACATACTACATAGGATTGTATCAAGGAAAGTAAAGATGCTGAATGTAATAATGTTTTGTTAGAGAAAAAGTACAAAGGTTGATGGCAGTATTGATGATAATGACAACATTACTAGCTACCTATGAAATATTAGTTACGAGGCATAGAGCTAAGGAAATTTCACATAGATTGCATGGTACATTTTTATAGAAACCACATGGAATAAGTATTTGACAGTTGAGGAAATTGAAGCTCAGAGAAGATGCTAGAGGTTGGGTTAGGCAAGTAAGTGCTAGAATTAGGTTTTGAATGGAGGTATGTATTATTTTCTGTCTACCATGCAACTTATTAGCTAATATTTATTGAGCTTTTACTCTAAGCCAGGCACTGCCAAATGCACTCTGTATATATTACTTCAGTGAATCCTCAAAACACTACTCTGAGGGAGAAATTAAATACTGCTATCATCATTTTACAGTTGGGGAAATAATACCTTCACAGTTATTCTATTCATTGTACAGATGGCCAGGTCCCAGCCCCAGAAAGCTTTCTTCTAACTGGGTCACAGAGGGTTCCAGCTGCCCACCCACTACTGGCCCCACAGGGATCCAGGAGAATGCTATTTATGTCTCTTGCCCATCCCACAGAGCCTGGCACCCAGCTCCCTGGGGGAGGACTGCTCTTTGGAATTCCTGGCACTGTCTCCATTCTCCTCCTCCTCATACGCTGCTCATCTCTCCCAGTAATGCCTGCATTCAGTTTGTCTTTTAGCTCAGGCACAGGCAAGCATGGCCCATGCTTAGGGGGCCCAAACTGGTTACTGAAATCTAGCCAGTGCTTCTGGCATCTCATACTTTGGAAAGGAGACTGGTAGGAATTACCAGGGGCAGGATCTTCACCTGCAGCTAACTCTCTGGGAAGGTTTGTTAGAAGGTTTTCTCCACCTGCCAAAACCATGTTTGCTGTGCAGCTGGGTTTGTTGCATGTCTGTGGGGCATTTCCTTCCTGTTTCTGTAGCCCCTTCGGCACTGGGGAGCTGGTAACCTAGGAAATGGCGGTGTGTGGGAGAAGAAGGCTTTGGTGGCGCTAAGTTGCCAGTGTGATTGTCAGCCTGGTGGGCTGACTCTGAGGGGGTAGGTGTGTGAGAGGGTGGCTGAGGGTGCTGGGCGCGTGCGTGCCTGTGGTAGCTGGAGTGCTGGCACAGCGTGTGGGTGTGATTGCAATGTGAGTGATGCACACTGAGGATAATTGTCAGGCAGCTCAGATTTTTTCTTCTGTCTTTTTTTTTTCTTTTTTTCCCCCTAATTTATAGTAGGTAAAGAAATCCTCCTCTGCATCAGCAAGATAATATTTTTGAAAAGTTTCCAAGGGGATGAATTATGTGCTGTCTCAATTCCTCAGTGTTATTGATTCTCCAAGGCTTTGTGACTAATATTTCTTAATGAGGGGGCCTGGGGTCTGGATGAAGCTTGAGAAGCCAGCCTTGCCTCCTTTTTAGCATGAAAGGAATGCAAGCCAGATGCACCCTGGGGAAAGGTCACCTGCAGAGGCCAACCTTAGTTTTTGTATCCAACCTCCACTCCCCATCCCCACCTTTTGGTAGTACTAGATCCAAGTTTGCTTTAGAAACACATCCCACTCTTATTCTTGATTCACGGGTTTGGTAAAGACTATCCCCACACCCCTTTAGGGAAGGCTCATAACCCAGACCCAAGCCATATTAGCATATGTCATGTAACTACTACATTGGCCAGTTCAAGCATGGGCCGGAGACTCAAATCAGACTGAAATGTTAATACTGAAGAACTGAGATTTTTTTTTTTCCAGAGACAGGGTTTCATTCTCTTGCCCAGGCTAGAGTGCAGTGGCATGATCATAGCTCACTTGGAGGCTCACCTCAGCCCCCCAGCCTCAAGCGATCTTCCCACCTCAGCCTCCCAAGTGGCTGGGATGACTGCCCAGCTTGAAGGATTTTTTTTTTTTATTTCTAAAATGAAAGATGTAATTTTAGAATTTTTGGCAATAATCTTATCTAGATAGTCTGCATGAAAATGGAGCTAACACTAAAGGATTTAGGAAGAGGGAAAGGAACAGAGCCTAAGTCATATCATCTAAGCCTCTGGATCCAGCTGTTCTTGAGGCAGGTTCCATGCCTAAACTTTTTCATCATAGAAATCAATTAGCTCCTTTTGTGCTGCACTCAGTTTGAGATGAGTTTCCTGTGACAGGAAAACTGCTTTTCAACTGGGAGAGATTCTGCCAACAGGGGACATTTGGCAATGTCTGGAAATGTTTTTGTTTGTCACAACGGAGAAGAGGTACCACTGGCATGTAGTGGGTAGAGGCCAGGGAGGTGGCTAGATGTTCTAGGATGCACAGGACAGCCCTCACAATAATTTCTGGTCCAACATGTCAATAGTGTTGATGTCAACAAACTTGCCACACATGAAGCTGTAAAATCTGCTGATCCGTAGCAAGGCTGTCTTTCTCACTTCTCCCTTCCAGGTAACAGTTTCTCTTGCCATGGATGAAACCTTGAATTAGAGGCTTATGAGGGACCCTGAGGCTTGTGATGCCTCAGAGGTGATGCTGCTTGCAAAGTCAGCTGACCTTAGTTCTCAAGGGCTTTGGCTTCCATAGGAAAAACTGCAAATAGGTAGAGGACAGACAAGGTCCCTGGACTTTCTATATCTGGGTCTATGATCTCACTTCAAAGTTTTGGAGTAAGAAATTCTGTAGATCCTGATTTACTACCCATCATTCATTTAATACACTTAAGCTCTGTGCCAGGGGTAATGCTAAACACTTTACAGGAATGTCTAATGGTAGGCTTTTCTTCAACCACAGGGGAGAAGTTGAGGAAATGTCCTCACTTTATCTCCATCTGCATTCGGGGATCTAAAAGTACATGTTCCTCAAAGTTCCAAAGTCTACACAGAGGTTTTGTTGAATTTTCTGTCTTGATGAGTAGGTTCTCTAACTGTTATCCATCTCATGCACCTTTCTCTGAGGCAAATACACTTTGAATTCTGGTAAAAGCATGTATATACTAGAAATGGTTGGAGTGATGTTCTCAGACCAGGTGAGATTTGGTGGTATGTGATTTAGGGGAGAAGGGCTGAGGTGCCATGAGGTGAGATCTCTTTTTCATGTAGTGTTCCTGTCTCTTCTCTGTACCTGTGATCTGCCACTTCTCCTTTAAGAAATGACCTGGTCTCAGACTCCTCACTGCCATTTGGTGCTGTGCAAATTTCATACCTTTTGGTGTTAGTGCCAGGTCCAAAGGAATGTATGTGTGTGCATGTTTGCATGTGTGTGTGTGTGTGTGTGTGTGTGTGATGACTTTAGCCTCCCATCATCTCAATTAACCATGCCCTGCATTTTTGACACGGGAAAAAGATATTTTTTTCAGTTTTCTTCAAAGTACTATGTGTCAGTGCAACTTCAAGGAACAATGGAGCCACTCCTATCATTTTATCTCCTCCTGATTTGTAGATATTTCACAGATTTCCCTGCTGAGCTTTCATTGTCAATGGTTCGTTTTTACCATTGTTATTTTTAGAACACAGAAGGAGAGGTGGATACCCGTACTTCTGTTCCCATGATTGGAGAGATGGGAAGAAATGGTAGTCGTCTTATACTTTGACCTATTGCAATTTTTTCTGTAGAGTATCTAAAATTGATAATCTCACCACCACAAGGATTGTTTTTCCTTATTACTCTCTTTTACAGATAAGAAAACTGAAGCAGAGAACTGTTGTTACTTCTCTAAGTCACGTTTCTAATAGGTGATAAAGGTTAGATTCAGTTTAATCTGGCACCAAAGACTACTTGTAACTACTCTGCTAAACCACGTTCTATCCCATAATCAGGAGTGTTGGACTTTATTTAGAATTGACCTTTCCAAATCACCTGGTGAGCAACTCAGTCTTTCTTTCTTTTTTTTTTTTTTTTTTTTTTTTCTTGAGATGGAGTTTTGCTCTTGTTGCCCAGGCTAGAGTACAGTGGTGCAATCTCAGCTCACCACAATCTCCACCTCCCGGGTTCAAGCGATTCTTCTGCCTCAGCCTCCCAAGTAGCTGGGATTACAGGTATGTGCTACCACGCCTGGCTAATTTTGTATTTTCAGTAGAGACGGGGTTTCTCCATGTTGGTCAGGCTGATCTCAAACATCCAACCTCAGGTGATCCACCCGCCTTGGCCTCCCAAAGTGCTGGGATTACAGGCGTGAGCCATCACACCCGGCCCAGTATTTCATACTTATAAAAATTATTCCAACTATTGAGACAGAGATTGAGTGAAGAGAAGTCATTATTGTGAGGTATTAAACCTGCTTTCTTTGTGACTGATAATTAAATAAGCTGGGCTTGGTATAGTGCAATCAGGAGGCAATTAGATTCTGTTTCCCATCTGCCCCTTTTAATCTTTTCTGTGGATTTAATACTATGTATTATTTATCTATTGCTGCATAACAAATTACCCCCAAATTTGGCAGCTTATAATAACAAACACGCAATATCTTACACAGTTTCTGAAAGTCAGAAATCTAGAAACAGCTTAGTCAGGTGGTTCTGGCTCTCACACTCTATTGTGGCTATAGTCATAATGTCAATGGGGTTTATAGTTATCTGAAGACTTGACTAAGTCTGGAAAACTCACTTTCAAGCTGGGTCACTAATATGTCTCTGGGTAGAAGCTCTCAGCTCTCAACACAGAGACCCCATAGACTTGCTTGAGTGTCCTCATGGCATGACAACTGGCTTACTCTAAAGTGACTAATCTATGCAAGAAGGCAAGGAAGAAGCTAATGTGATGTCTTTTACAACATAGTCCCTAGTCATACTCCATCACTTTTTCCATATTTGATTTTTATTTTTTTTCCAGAGACGAGGTCTCATTATGTTGCTCAGGCTGGATTCAAATCCATGTGCTCAAGTAATCCTCCTGCTTTAGCCTCCCAAGTAGCTGGGATTACAAGCATACACCACTGTGCCCAACTTACTTCCTTTATAGTCTTTTCTTTAGAAGAAAGTCATTAAGTCTAGCCCACACTCAAGATGAAGTGGGTTAAACTCTACCATTTGAAGGAAGGAGTATCAAAGAATTTGTAGACACACCTTAAAACTACAATGTACTGCTTCCCTGAATAAAATCTCAGGCACAGCTTATAACTCTTCTGGTCATTCTCAGATAGTAAAACTAACCAGCCCAGTCTAATAAAAACTCCTACTCAATTTTAGCCTTCTGACTTTGCCCAGTTGAGGCTTATTCACTAAAGGGAAGGAAGATTTTGGTTGATTCTTCCTCTCTCCATTTTTTATTCTCATTCATTTGCTACTATTGGGGGTCCCTCTAGAGTCAGGCCTTGATGGATTTGGACAAGAAGATCTAGAAGCCACATTCGGATTTTGTTAATGCCTGTGTTTGGTAGTGCCAAAGCTGAGGGTTTCTATTACGAACAGCCCTTTTTGGGGTCTTCAGTGGTTCTTCTCATAGGAACCTCCCCTAATACAGATAGAGCCACTGAAAGTGAAATCTTCTCTATTTGTCCACTTACAACTCTCTCCTCAGTCTGTATCTTCCCTTTCTGTGCCACTACCATCAACTCAAACCACAGCCAAGCTTTTCAGTGTTTCTCCTAAAACTTCTCATTTAGTTTTAGATGAAAAAGAGACACCCTTCTCTCAACATTCATGGTGATGGTTTAGTGATTGAGAAAACCTCTTCCAAGTATTCTTTTCCACCCACATCTTAAACCTGCAACCTCTAAGTGGTTGATGAACTAAAGATTGAAGGTCCATTATCAACAGCTTCAATGTATCCTAATTATGAGGACCACTGCCTATTGTATTGTCTTCAACTGTTGAAGCTTCTACAGGACTTGCAAAGAACAGAAAAAAAATAATGTTTAACATCCTATTATATCTATATAAGGTGACTAATAATTCCTCACATCTTAATCTCTTAAACGTTAGCTCAGATAATTTTTCTCCTACAAAGGGGGGTAAAATGTTACTTTTGATAATGGAGATAATAAAGGTTTGATTCCAAAACTCCCAATGCAATAGTTAATTTTAGATGTGAATTTGATCATAAGTGTGAATTTAGTTGAGGAAATATAAAGTGATGTACTAGTATAATCCATCAAAAAATCTCAGCTGCATTCTTACACCAGCACAGCAGTATCCTGGCAAAGATAATCATGTTTCTGAAGAACCCTATTGACTCTTGGGAAAGCCTGGTTTAATTACAAGCCATAGTGTATTCATACACATTTATTATTGATATAGCACTTAGCCTTCTGGCTTCTCCACACTTTCCCTGACAGAAACCCATTACCTCCCCTGCTATGTTTACTTTTCTGATGGAAGTTAACTTTACAGGATGTCATGAGAAGGCAATGGCACATTGAAAATCCTGCCCATGGCTTGGAACTTTATGTCGACTATTTCTCTGAGAAATGAGAACCCATATATGATTAATGAACAAAGGTATGCGTCTTTCTGTCTGTGCTAAAACGCCTTAATATATTTGTGTGCCTCTTATGGAATTTTCATCTCTAAATTATAGATATTTCTGTATTTGACTTTTCTAGTAGAATGTACCCTCCTGTATTTGCATCCCAGTTCTGTACTACTCGTCTCCTCACCCAAACCCCTGCACCTAGATAAAGACTAACAGGAATATAGTGAACTCTTTAATCATGTATTAACTTGGTTAATGGATAGATGAGAGAATAGTGAGATGAACCACTGAAGAATTAAAGAACAGAATGTTCTCAAAAAATCCACTTTACTGAACTCCATAAGCCCTTTTTAGAGAGCCAACATTTCTCTCTTCTCACCCCACTTCATGAAGAGCAGAGGTTGGAAATGTGTCCAACAGGTCACAGATCATTGAGTCAAAACTGGTCAGCTGGCTCAAGTTGAGCCAAACAGATTCTTCTTGAAATTTAAATTTGTAAGATAGTAACTCTGATCAGTTATCTAGATGAACTTTTGTCAGGCAGTACTGATACAGTTGGGTTAAAGACAGAATTAAGGATAAGCACAGAAAAAACGCAGAGATGGGCATGGTTTAGCCCTTGAGAGAATGGCTGTTTTGGTTCCTGATGACTTTGTAGTCCCTGATAACTTTTCAGTTTTCAGTTTTGGGCTCCACACTTCTACTCTTGAATTAATGGGTACTCTTGTCAGGGCCTCAACATGGCTAACTCCTTAGGCCATTCTCATTTCATCTTGAATGTCACTTCCTAGCAGAAACATTCCCTTAATAGCTCTTGTCATGCTCTTTACCTTAGGTCACTCTGCTTGTTTTCCTCACAGCATTTAGCACAACATGGGTATTGCTGTTTGAGTTTTTTTTTCTTTTTTGATCAGATTCTCTTAATAGAATATACCACAACAGATAGCTTCTGTATTTGTTTCACTACTGTTTTTTCAACACTGTAAAAGAGTGGAACTACACTGGAGGTCTGAAGAAGTAGACTTTGAATAAATAATAGGTATAATAAATATTTCCTGTTACTTCAGCCATTTTAAGGAGGCTCCTGTTATTCCAACCATATGAATATCAACACTTAGGAACAATGGCTGCAGGGGTTATTATTGCCCATGTTAGTGAAGAGTCTCCTAAGACTACCATGCACTTCAGTTTTTCCATCAGCTCTAAAAAAGAATCATGTAAGAGAAGATCATGCTCACATCTATCCACATCTGGTTTGGTATGTCTGTTCAGTCTGTTTATTCTCAGTCCACTCAAATCACTAATTTTTATTTTTATCCACACATGTAGACTGGGGAGTGTTCACACATTTCTTCAAGTTATTGTGTCCTACAAATCATGTGTCATCTTTAATATTTTTCAGATACTTTGGAAATGGTGGTGGTGGGGTACTCATTTAACTTAATCTGAAACCTCTTTTATGTAATAGTCAGGGGTAAATTATCACTTATTATTTGAGCATAGTTCTTTCCTGTTTATTGTTGAAAACCTTCTGAGAGAGTCTCAGGGAGATTAGAGAGGCACAGCCAACTATGCCTCCAATCTAGGAAGGAAGTGAGAAATCCTACCTCGTAATGGTCTTCCAAAAACCCAGAAGCACTCAGAGTTCTGTTGCACAGACATGCTGACAAGTACACCATGTGACTCATTTGTGCAGTATATTTGCTCCTATTGATCCATTGGCAGTAAGAAGATTGCGTATCTCAGGAATGAGGTGTGGGAGTGCATTGTTCAGTTCTAAGGTACTGAGTGTGCGGGGGCTGCATGTGCTGTGGAGCAGGCTCCAAATGAGTCATATGTCTGTTAGGAATGTTCCTTTGGATCTGCTGCCTGTGTTTTCAATCTCACATTACTCCTAAGTACCTTACTGACAGCTCGTACTCACACCTCACAGCTTAGAATGGCCTGTCTCTAGAAGACCAATCAAGTCCAAGAAATTCAAGTCCAAGGACTTGAATCAAGTCCAAGAAAGATCACTTCAGGAAACAGTATAGTATCCATGGTGTCATTCTCCTTGGCAAAAAAAAAAAAAAAAAAAAAAGTGACACAGAGTGGAAGTATGAGCAGAAAAATGGACTTCTGGAGTCAAATGGACTTGAATTTGAATAGCAGCTCAGTCATTGCCTAGTGGGGGAACATAGACAAGATTTTTCACTTCTCTTTAAGCATTAATGTTTTTTACTCCAAAACATTATTGGCATACCAAACTGAATTACTTTATAGGGTCATGGTGGTAATTGAATAAAACAACATACATACAACTCTCTGTCACAATACTGAAATATGGTAGGCAATCCCATTTTTTCCTGGAGCCTTGTTTGTATTAATAATAATATGTCATATTCTTGAGTACTTATTATATGCCAGGCACAGTGATAACTACCTTAATTGTTGGAGTAGATATGGTCAATTGTCTTTCCTGTATTCATGCTTCTGTATTAACAGACTCCTAAATTTTGTGCCTGGCTTAAGAGCTACTTTTCTTAGTTTGTCTTGAAGAGCCATGTGACAAAGTTCTGGCTAAAGATTTAGATTGAGAAGTCTGCTAAAGATTTCTGGGAAAGTCCTGCCTCTCCCTAGTTTCTTCTGTTTTCTACCTGAAGTGCATATGTGAACATTGAGTTGAGCAGCCTTTTAGTTCCTGTCAGGCCACCATGGGGATGCAACCTCATATAAAGGACAATGGAGCAGGAGGATAGAAGGAGCCTAGCACATCTGTGCCAACCCTGAAATGCCTACGTATAGGCTGAGTTTGTGAAATACATTTCACCCATTGGGTGAAACTTTGTAAATGGATTTTATATACATGCAGCCAAATTCAATCCCTAAGAAATAAATATGCATTATTTTATTTATTATTCTGATCACATTTTTGACATTATCAAATCCATTTTATATTAAATATATGGAGACAGATTAATCAACCTGCCCAAGGTAACATATGATACGCCTAGGAAGTAAAATAGAGATCTAAATCCATGCTTTAACCAGTAAAATATAAAGTCGGAATGACAGTGTTTCTTCCATGGCCTTTCTAACTACTTCACAAATCTTTGATTTTATCTTTTTATCCTACAAACTTGTTCTGATCATTTTGTATTTTTGTTAAATCCTCCTGAAATTCTCCCAGACTGTAAATCTATTGGAAAATGTTTGAGCTTACGTGGAATTTTTGGCATCACCTAAGTGTCTGATCCAGGCCCTAGTCTGGAGCATTTAACATTTAACATTTAACTTTCTGATCATTTAAAAAATGGCATGGTTTGAGTGGATGATCTCTAAAGTCCTTCTATTTCTAGTTGCCTGTGACTCTGAAGGTACTATTTAGCCAATTTTTAATTAGTCAGCTAGCTGATAATTGAATTTTTATTTTTTCTAGTTCATATCATGTATCCAGTAGGTATTGAATAAATATGAATTGATGGTTATAGTAGAGACTATGCAACCTTTTCCTGATTTTTTATGTTTTCTTCAAATCATTGTCTTTTTATTATTTCTATTTCCACCCAAAGCCTAATATCTCATTAGGAGATTTGGAAGACCTGATCCAGTCAAGATCAAAGACCATTGCTTCAGTCAGGTCAGAATCAAAGAGAACAAATCAAAGGCCCTAAAACATAATATTTGGGGGAAAAATACAAGTTACTCAATGGGTGAAGGAATGGTTTTGGCATATGGATTCAGAAAAACAATCTTCAAATAAGAAAGAGCAAACCAAAACAACTTTAGTTTGAAAGGAGAGGTAAGGTGGTATTAAGAGGAACTGGGGGAGGATATGTGTTATTTTTGAAGCATTTTAGAAAAATAACAGAGGGGAGCCAAGATGGCTGAATAGGAACAGCTCCAGTCTACAGCTCCCAGCATGAGCGACACATAAGATGGGTGATTTCTGCATTTCCAACTGAGGTACTGGGTTCCTCTCACTGGGGAGTGCTGGATAGTGGGTGCAGGACAGTAGGTGCAGTGCACTGTGCATGAGCTGAAGCAGGGTGAGGCATCACCTCACCCAGGAAGCACAAGGGGTCAGGGAATTCCCTTTCCTACTCAAAGAAAGGGGTGACAGATGGCCTGAAAAATCAGGTCACTCCCACCCTAATACTGTGGTTTTCCAATGGGCTTATCAAACGGCACACCAGGAGATTATATCCCTCACATGGCTCAGAGGGTCCTATGCCCACAGAGCCTTGCTCATTGCTAGCACAGCAGTCTGAGATCAAAGTGCAAGGTGGCAGCGAGGCGGGGGAGGGGTGCCCACCATAGCTCAGGCTTGAGTAGGTAAACAAAGCGGCCAGGAAGTTCGAACTGGGTGGAGCCCACCACAGCTCAAGGAGGCCTGCCTGCCTCTGTAGGCTCCACCTCTGGGGGCAGGGCACAGACAAACAAAAGACAGTAATAACCACTGCAGACTTAAATGTCCCTGTCTGACAGCTTTGAATAGAGCAGTGGTTCTCCCAGCATGCAGCTTGAGATCTGAGAATGGGCAGACTGCCTCCTCAAGTGGGTCCCTGACCCCCGAGTAGCCTAACTGGGAGACACCCCCCAGTAAGGGCAGACTGACACGTCACACGGCCGGGTACTCCTCTGAGACAAAACTTCCAGAGGAACGATCAGGCAGCAGCATTTGCAGTTCACCAATATCTGCTGTTCTGTAGCCACTGCTGCTGATACCCAGGCAAACAGGGTCTGGAGTGGACTTCCAGTAAACTCCAGTAGACCTGCAGCTGAGGGTCCTGACTGTTAGAAGGAAAACTAACAAACAGAAAGGACATTCACACCAAAAACCCATCTGTACATTACCATCATCAAAGACCAAAAGTAGATAAAACCACAAAGATGGGGAAAAAACGAGCAGAAAAACTGGAAACTCTAAAAATCAGAGCGCCTCTACTCCTCCAAAGGAACACAGCTCCTCACTAGCAATGGAACAAAGCTGGATGGAGAATGACTTTGACGAGTTGAGAGAGGAAGGCTTCAGAAGATCAAACTACTCTGAGCTATGAGCTACAGGAGTAAGTTCGAACCAATGGCAAAGAAGTTAAAAACCTTGAAAAAAAAATTAGATGAATGGATAACTAGAATAACCAATGCACAGCAGTCCTTAAAGGACCTGATGGAGCTGAAAACCACAGTGTGAAAACTACGTGACGAATGCACAAGCCTCAGTAACTGACGGGATCAACTGGAAGAAAGGGTATCAGTGATAGAAGACGAAATGAATGAAATGAAGTGTGAAGAGAAGTTTAGAGAAAAAAGAATAAAAAGAAACAAACAAAGCCTCCAAGAAATATGGGACTATGTGAAAAGACCAAATCTACGTCTCATTGGTGTGCCTGAAAGTGACGGGGAGAATGGAACCAAGTTGGAAAACACTCTGCAGGATATTATCCAGGAGAACTTTCCCAGTCTAGCAAGGCAGGCCAACATTCAAATTCAGGAAATACAGAGAACACCACAAAGATACTCCTCGAGAAGAGCAACTCCAAGACACATAATTGACAGATTCACCAAAGTTGAAATGAAGGAAAAAATGTTAAGGGCAGCCAGAGAGAAAGGTCAGGTTACCCACAAAGGGAAGCCCATCAGACTAACAGCTGATCTCTCAGCAGAAACTCTACAAGCCAGAAGAGAGTGGGGGCCAATATTCAACATTCTTAAAGAAAAGAATTTTCAACCCAGAATCTCATATCCAGCCAAACTAAGCTTCATAAGTGAAGGAGAAATAAAATACTTTACAGACAAGCAAATGCTGAGAGATTTTGGCACCACCAGACCTGCCCTAAAAGAGCTCCTGAAGGAAGCACTAAACATGGAAAGGAACAACTGGTACCAGCCACTGCAAAAACATGCCAAATTGTAAAGACCATCAAGGCTAGGAAGAAACTGCATCAAGTAACGAGCAAAATAACCAGCTAACATCATAATGACAGGACCAAATTCACACATAACAATACTAACCTTAAATGTAAATGGGCAGCTAAATGCTCTAATTAAAAGACACAGACTGGCAAATTGGATAAAGAGTCAAGACCCATCAGTGTGCTGTATTCAGGAAACCCATCTCACATGCAGAGACACACTTAGGCTCAAAATAAAGGGATGGAGGAAGATCTACCAAGCAAATGGAAAACAAAAAGAAGGCAGGGGTTGCAATCCTAGTCTCTGATAAAACAGACTTTAAACCAACAAAGATCAAAAGAGACAAAGAAGGCCATTACATAATGGTAAAGGGATCAATTCAACAAGAACTAACTATCCTAAATATATATGCACCCAATACAGGAGAACTCAGATTCATAAAGCAAGTCCTTAGTGACCTACAAAGTGACTTAGACTCCCACACAATAATAATGGGAGACTTTAATACCCCACTGTCAACATTAGACAGATCAATGAGACAGAAAGTTAACAAGGATACCCAGGAATTGAACTCAGCTCTGCACCAAGCAGAACTAATAGACATCTACAGAATTCTTCACCTCAAATAAACAGAATATACATTCTTTTCAGCACCACACCACACCTATTCCAAAATTGACCACATAGTTGGAAGTAAAGCACTCCTCAGCAAATGTAAAAGAATAGAAATTATAACAAACTGTCTCTCAGACCACAGCGCAATCAAACTAGAACTCAGGATTAGGAAACTCACTCAAAACTGCTCTGCTACATGGAAACTGAACAACCTGTTCCTGAATGACTACTGGGTACATAACTAAATGAAGGCAGAAATAAAGATGTTCTTTGAAACCAATGAGAACAAAGACACAACGTAACAGAATTTCTGGGACACATTCAAAGCAGTGTGCAGAGGGAAATTTATAGCACTAAATGCCTAGAAGAGAAAGCAGGAATGATCTAAAATTGACACCGTAACATCACAATTAAAAGAACTAGAGAAGCAAGAGGAAACACATTCAAAAGCTAGCAGAAGGCAGGAAATAAATAAGATCAGAGGAGAGCTGAAGGAAATAGAGACACAAAAAACCCTTCAAAAAATCAATGAATGCAGGAGCTGGTGTTTTGAAAAGATCAACAAAATTGATAGACCACTGGCAAGTCTAATAAAGAAGAAAAGAGAGAAGAATCAAATAGATGCAATATAAAGCGACAAAGGGGGTATCACCACTGATCCCACAGAAATACAAACTACCATCAGAGAATACTATAAACACCTCTACGCAAATAAACTAGAAAATCTAGAAGATAAATTCCTTGACACAAATACTCTTCCAAGACTAAACCAGGAAGAAGTTGAATCTCTGAATAGACCAATAACAGGCTCTGAAATTGAGGCAATAATTAATAGCTTACCAACCAAAAAAAGTCCAGCACGAGATGGATTCACAGCCGAATTCTACCAGAGGTACAAAGAGGAGCTGGTACCATTCCGTCTGAAACTATTCCAATCAATTGAAAAAGGGGGAATTCTCCCTAACTCATTTCATGAGGCCAGCATCATCCTGATACCAAAGCCTGGCAGAGACACACCAAAAAAAAAGAGAATTTTAGACCAATATCCTTGATGAACATTGATGCAAAAATCCTCAATAAAATACTGACACACTGAATCCAGCAACACATCAAAAAGTTTATCCACCATGATCAAGTGGGCTTCATCCCTGGGATGCAAGGCTGGTTCAACATACACAAATCAATAAATGTAATCCAGCATATAAACAGAACCAAAGACAAAAACCACACGATTATCTCAATAGATGAAGAAAAGGCCTTTGACAAAATTCAACAACCCTTCATGCTAAAAACTCTCAATAAATTAGGTATTGATGGAACGTATCTCAAAATAATGAGAGCTATCTATGACAAACCCACAGCCAATATCATACTGAATGGGCAAAAACTGGAAGCATTCCCTTTGAAAACTGGCACAAGACAGGGATGCCCTCTCTCACCACTCCTATTCAACATAGTGTTGGAAGTTCTGGCCAGGGCAATCATGCAGGAGAACGAAATAAAGGGCATTCAATTAGAAAAAGAGGAAGTCAAATTGTCCCTGTTTGCAGATGACATGATTGTATATCTAGAAAACCCCATTGTCTCAGCCTGAAATCTCAAGCTGATTAGCAGCTTCATCAAAGTCTCAGGATACAAAATCAATGTGCAAAAATCACAAGCATTCTTATACACCAATAACAGACAAACAGAGAGCCAAATCATGAGTGAACTCCCATTCACAATTGCTTCAAAGAGAATAAAATACCTAGGAATCCATCTTACAAGGGATGTGAAGGACCTCTTCAAGGAGAACTACAAACCACTGCTCAATGAAATAAAAGAGGATACAAAGAAATGGAAGAACATTCCATGCTCATGGGTAGGAAGAATCAATATCGTGAAAATGGCCATACTGCCCAACGTAATTTATAGATTCAGTGCCATCCCCATGAAGCTACCAATGACTTTCTTCACAGAATTAGAAAAAACTACTTTAAAGTACACATGGATCCAAAAAAGAGCTCGCATTGCCAAGTCAATCCTAAGCCAAAAGAACAAAGCTGGAGGCATCACACTACCTGACTTCAAACTATACTACAAGGCTACAGTAACCAAAACAGCATGGTACTGGTACCAAAACAGAGATATAGATCAATGGAACAGAACAGAGCTCTCAGAAATAATGCCGCATATCTACAACCATCAGATCTTTGACAAACCTGACAAAAACAAGAAATGGGGAAAGGATTCCCTATTTAATAAATGGTGCTGGGAAAACTGACTAGCCATATGTAGAAAGCTGAAACTGGATGCCTTCCTTACACCTTATACAAAAATTAATTCAAGATGGATTAAAGACTTAAATGTTAGACCTAAAACCATAAAAACCCTAGAAGAAAACCTAGGCAATACCATTCAGGACATAGGCATGGGCAAGGACTTCATGTCTAAAACACCAAAAGCAATGGCAACAAAAGCCAAAATTGACAAATGGGATCTAATTAAACTAAAGAGCTTCTGCACAGCAAAAGAAACTACCATCAGAGTGAACAGGCAACCTACAGTATGGGAGAAAATTTTTGCAATCTACTCATCTGACAAAGGGCTAATATCCAGAATCTACAATGAACTCAAACAAATTTACAAGAAAAAAACAAACAACCCCATCAAAAAGTGGGTGAAGGAGATGAACAGACACTTCTCAAAAGAAGACATTTATGCAGCCAAAAGACACATGAAAAAATGCTCATCATCACTGGCCATCAGAGAAATGCAAATCAAAACCACAATGAGATATCATCTCACACTAGTTAGAATGGCAATCATTAAAAAGTCAGGAAACAACAGGTGCTGGAGAGGATGTGGAGAAATAGGAACACTTTTACACTGTTGGTGGGACTGTAAACTAGTTCAACCATTGTGGAAGTCAGCGTGGTGATTCCTCAGGGATCTAGAACTAGAAATACCATTTGACCCAGGCATCCCATTGCTGGGCATATACCCAAAGGATTATAAATCATGCTACTATAAAAACACATGCACACGTATGTTTATAGTGGCACTATTCACAAAAACAAAGACTTGGAACCAACTCAAATGTCCAACAATGATAGACTGGATTAAGAAAATGTGGCACATATACATCATGGAATACTATGCAGCCATAAAAAAGGATGAGTTCATGTCCTTTGTAGGGACATGGATGAAGCTGGAAACCATCATTCTCAGCAAACTATCACAAGGATAAAAAACCAAACACTGCATGTTCTCACTCATAGGTGGGAATTGAACAATGAGAACACATGGACACAGGAAGGGGAACATCACACACTGGGGACTGTTGTGGGGTGGGGGGAGGGGGGAGGGATAGCATTATGAGATATACCTAATGCTAAATGATGAGTTAATGGGTGCAGCCCACCAACATGGCACATGTATACATATGTAATGAACCTGCACATTGTGCACATGTACCCTAAAACTTAAAGTATAATAATAATAAAAAAAAAGAAAAAGAAGTGGCTAGACCATTAAAAGTATAAAAGATTTGAACAATACTAAAAGAATAATATGGTATATTATGAATGACCAAATATGTTCAATGATTAAGTTGTTAGAAAGTGCCGTGTTTTAAGCACAATTTTTCTCCATGGTAGATCATGTCAAGAAACTGTCTTAAAAAGAAAAAAAGAAAAATGAAACAGTCTTAGAACTTGCTAAATAGTGCTGCAATATTCCTATGAGACAAAGTTTTCATGAAGTCTTTGTAGCTGATTTAAAAATTGAGGTTATACTAACATAGGCTGTCATTAGCACAAAGAGAATCAACATGAGATAAGGAAAACAGTATGGACTTTGAGGTCATAGTTACTTTCCAAGTTCTTTCTCTAACTAGCTTTGATGACTTTTCTGAGACTAAATTTACTCATTTAAAAATGGAGTTTTGGTATATATAGCCAGGGTTGTTTGCACTATGTGTTAGTCTGTTTTGTGTTGTATAATCAAAGACCCAATGCTGGGTAACAGATGAAGAAAAGAGGTTTATTTGGCTCATGATTCCTGTGTCTGAAAAGTCCAAAATTGGGCAGCTTAATTTGGTAAGGGCCTCATGCTGCTTCCACTCAAGGCGGAAAGCAGAATTAAGAAGAGGATCAGGTGTGTGCAGAGAACACATGGCAAGAGAAGAAGCAAGAGAAAAAAAGGAAGGCATACTCTTTTTAACAATTCACTGTCTCAGGAACTAATCTTTTCCCAAGAGGGCAAGAACTCAGTCAGACCAGCATAAGAGCACTAATCTATGCGTGAAAGATCCACCCCGTGACACCTCCGTCTGGACCCCACCATTCTGCATTGCTAGAGTGGAGATCAAATTTGAACATGAGGTTTGGTGGTGACATACCACATTCAAACCATAGCACACTATGTAAAAATAACATATATAAAGCTTCTTATGAAATGACTAATATGTAGTACCTATACAGTCAATATTCTTTTTTTTCCTAATAATGAGTACATTTTCTGATAACAATGAGTAGATTTTCTTCTCATGGCAAATATAGGCTTCAATTTTACTTGCAATAAGCCCATTTTCATTTATAGTAGCCAATTTTTATGAAAAGAACATGAAAGAAGCGTACATTGTGTACACTTCTATAATGAAAATTCCACTAAGCAATACAATATATTTCTTTCTACATGGCCTTTGTAGACTGTTTATATCATACCTATAACTAAAGTTTGTTCTTTTCAAGGATTTTAATATTTGTTTAGTGAGACTTACTTGATGGATTTTTGGGGTCTGGATTGGCCTGGATGTGAAGTAAAACACTAATTCTCCAGAAACAAGTTTATTGTGCTACATATAGAAGGAAAGTAAATCACCTTACCAGCCGCACCAAAGTCATTCTGGATTTAATTTAAAATGTAGAAGGGCTGAAGAAGTCTGACTGAGTTTCTTAGACAATAGTTCAGAAAGTGATTTCATTATTAATTACTCACCAGAAATGAACATTTGCGAACTCTAGTCACAACCTATAAAGGAAAAAAGAAGTGTCAAACACTTGGAGCATCCTTTGGATAAGTGTCTTGATTTGTTCATATTTTAGGACATTTTAATGCTAACATTATTAAGGGTTACTAATAAGATTTAGTTGTTACATCTGTTTTAAACAATTGTTCAATACCCAGTCTTGATTCTAGGATGCAGTTTTAATATATGTATAAATATAGACAAGGTGGGTAGGGAGTGTTGAAAGAGGAATTAGGGATGTTTATCAAGTAATCTGTATACTTCAGTTCAAGTAATCTGTATACTCTAACAAGATGGAAACTCTAGGAAACTTCTTGGTGGTGATGATTGTGTTCATGTACGTATTTGGCATCCCTCAATGGTTTAAGCCAAGGGAGTTAAGAGATATTCCAGAATAATTGTTTGTTGTCCCAAGTTATGTTGCTAATTAGATATCAAGTAATGTGAAACATACATTATTTCCTTTTTATATGCATTCAATTTATTGCATTTCTATTTTGTGTCAGACACTTTTGAATATTGGCTGTACTTCTGGGACCAATGGATAAGGGCTGGTGCTCCATTGTGAACACAGTGCAGTGCTGGGAAAATAAAACTAATCCATGAAAGACATATATAAGTAATATAATTTCAGCTACTGGTACTTGATGTGAAAAAAATACAGAATAAGAGGAGACTGAATGAGGAAGAGTCACTACTTTTAATGGCTAGTCAGAGAAGACATCTCTTTGAGAAGGGAAACATGGAATTAAGGCTTTAGTGATGAGAAGAAAGCAGAGACATGATGATGAAAGGCAGAGATGTTTCCAAAAAAAAAAAAAAAAACATAAAGTGCAAAGACCCTGATGGGAAAGGAATTTGAGATACTCAAGAAACAGAGACTGTTGGCTAAGGGACTAGTTAGAAAAATAGAACTGTGAGCTGTTAGTGACACTTCCTAAAATTAAGTTTGTTGCATGAAAGAACACTCTAGGCTAGCATTAGAGTCGAAGTTCTCAAACACAGGGCCATGGTCCTACCATGTTAGAATTATTCAACCCTCAGGGCTTTACAGACTTTTGTGGGCTGAGCCTACAAATCTCTGTTTTAAAGAAGCTTTCCAAATGATTCTGATATGGATTCAGTGATAACTATTACCCTTGAAGTCTCTAGAAATCCTGCAGTGAGCAATCTCTGAAGTGATGTAATGAGAGTTACACTGTGATGTCAGTTATTAAAGAACTTAGACACTGTTTGAGGATGTGAGATACACCAAAGGGACAGTGGGAACCTAAAAAAAATACAAAATGAAATCCACATTAGGAGCTACTGTCCCGGGTAATTGCCACCATTGCTAACAGCAGAAGTTACATCACCAGAGGCTACTACACACTGGGACCAACATTTTGAGGAGAGGTTTCTGAAAACCATGATAATTAGGACCCCCCGCCCCGACCTACTCCCAGGATCTTTGGGACCTGACAACAAGGAGAACAACTACCTACTTTTGGTACTTTGAGCTACTGAAAAACCTGACAATATTCAGTGATGAATACCATCACCGACGTCAACAGATACTTCTATTTTATTGGAACGGGGTGAATTAGGAGAATTTTATTTTGTT
Source organism: Homo sapiens (assembly GCF_000001405.40). Taxonomy (NCBI): domain Eukaryota; kingdom Metazoa; phylum Chordata; class Mammalia; order Primates; family Hominidae; genus Homo; species Homo sapiens. The sequence goes on along the minus strand of NC_000011.10, from coordinate 29,762,543 downwards.
AGATCATGTTATAATAAACATAATAGTAGTAATTGTCATGATTCTATTTAAGAATTCTTTAGACTTGATATCTCAGGGGACTAGAGTTGGCCATTCTTTTGATGCATTCTTCAGTAAGAGGTAAAAATATGGCAGTGAGGGAGGTGGTAGAATTTCTGGGGACAGATTTCCTAACTAGAGAAACTATGAAATCCGTCTTTGGATTCCTGGTATGACATGAGTAGAGAGGGTCACACTGAGTAGAGATGCAATCATGGCCTATATTAATTTCTGATGGCTGCTGTAAAAAAGTATCACACACTAAGGGGCTTAAAACAACATAAATTTATTATGTTACAGTTCTGGAGGCTAGAAGTCCAAAATCAAGGTGTTGGAAAAGCCATGTTCTTGCTAAAAACTCTAACAAATGATTTTTCCTAACTTCTTCCTAACTTCCGGTGGTTGCAGGCAATTCTTGGCATTTCTTGGCTTTAGATGCATTACTTCAATCTCTTCTTCCATCATCACATAGCCACCTTTTCTATGATTGTCTCTGTTTTCTCTTCTGGTAAGGATACCCGTCATTGGATGAAGGCCCACTTTAGTATGTCTTCATTTAAACTTAAACTTAATCTACAAAGACCCTATTTTCATATAGCCACATTCTGAAGTTTCAGGTGGATATGAATTTTGGAGGAACACTATTCAACACAGTTCTTAGGCAATTGGCTTGATGTTTTCCTTTCTTTTTTTAAAATATACAACTGAAAATGAGACTATTTCGAAAACACCAGGTGATATGGTTTGGCTTTATCCCCACCCAAATCTCATCTTTAAGTGTAGCTCCCAAGATCCCCACATGTCATGGGAGGGACCCAGTGGGTAATTGAATCATGGGGGATGGGTTATTCCCATGCTGTTCTCATGATAGTGAATAAATCTCATGAAATTTGGTGGTTTTATAAACGGGAGTTCCCCTACACATGCTGTCTTGCCTGCCACCACGTAAGATGTGCCTTTGTTCTTCCTTCACCTTCTGCCATGAATATGAGACCTTTCCAGACATGTTGAACTGTGAGTCCATTAAATCTCTTTCCTTTATAAATTGCACAGTATCAGGTATGTATTGGCAGCATGAAAATGTACAAATACACCAGCTCTCTTAAAATTGGAACAGTTGTCATTTACAAAGTCCTCTCTTTCTTTCTGAATGGCTGTAGCTATTGTCCAAGTCATACAGACGTAAACAAAGTAAATTCAGTCTTCTTGGATTCTATTACCAAAAACCAGTACTGATAACTTGAAAGTTATGTGATTGAGGATAACCAACCAGCTCTTTGCTTCACCTTTATTAGTCTTTTCACTAAATTAAAGCATCAGAAATTAATAAAGATGTTGCTGAGAAGTTAAAAAAATTGTCCCACCGTCACCCATTGAATGGTTAGGCAAAGAAATTGATAACATTCATTGGCCCTCTTTTGGTAAGGTTCAGAAAAGTGAATTATACAGTGGATCTTTAAGATAGAGGATCCTGGAGGATTTAAGGAGCCACGAAATTTTAAGTCTGGGGGACAGTTTGACAATAAATCTTAGCTTTACATAAATCTCAGTTTTTCTTGCTTTGCCATTATTTTCTTTACATTATGAATGCCCAAACAAACATCTTATTGACATACAACTTTGGAAAAATAGTATAAAAGTTTTTACTCCTTTAATGTTGCCCATATTGACACACATATTTTTAGGCATAAATTAGATAATGATTCAATTGCAAGAAATCAGTCGGGTAGGTAAAACGAAAGTTCCCAGTTCATAGTTCCATACTGTGGTAGCAAAAGCTATTTGATCATTCTGTTTTCAAAGCACGGAAGGCTCCTTAGGAATAACAAAATAAGATGAAGAGTGGATACACTTGTACAGTAGGATGTAAGAGTCAGGTCATAAGGTTTTAGCAGAGACAGAATAAGAGAAAAATTAATAAGGATTGGCACAATTTATTAAGTAGCTAAAGGTCTTTCAAAAGGAATCGATCTGAAAACAAATCCCTTTTTACAACACTGAAAGCACAAAGAGAATTTCGCTTACACATTTAGTGCAGATGTAAATTATTTGATAGTTCTTTTGAGAATGTTTTGTGAGCCCTTTTGCCCTGACGTTAGTAATCTGCATTACTCTGAGGATGTGATAGTTGTTAGGATTGCAAAACTAAAGAAGAAATGATAAAATACTATTCTGATTTTTTGTAGAATTTTTGTTATGTGTGTGCTTTACTTCTTAAAACATGAAAAATCCTTTATATCCAGTTGTTATTTTGCCAAGGGGATGCATTAATACTTTTAAATCGACACCATTTCCTTGAGACAATCTAGCCCTCATCTCTCTTCTCTCAGTTCAGATCTGTGGGTTTTTTATCCTTTGCCACCACTGACCCATCCTTTCTGGCAATAGATCAGGGATCACTGAGCTGAAATGGTCAAATGTGCAGTGTCTGCTGACATGGCCGTAGAGGATGCTCTCTTATAGTAATATTCAATCAGAGGAGTATGTTTTTGAAACCAGTTCCCAAACCTCAGAGCAATATGCTTGCTGCTGCTGAAAGAACTATCTGCCTTCAGCAATTGAGCCTCAGTGGCAGAAGCAGCACAGAAGAGAAGATAGAATTCCTGTTCTTTTTCCTCCAGTTAAATTTTATTTTAGGTCAAAACTAATTCTTTTCTGTACCCTGAACTATGGGCTGATGCTAATTTGTGAGGTTAAGGTATAGTATAAACTAATTATATATTCTTATCAGAAAGAAATTCTTCTTTACTTCTGATAACTGAGGATGGTATCAAGCAATTACACACCTCAGGATATTTAACTCCCTCCTCTGAAGCAGACATTTTTGGCTACTGGAATACACCAGATGTTACAGCAACGGGGATGATGGATTATATTGGTTCCTGATTTGCATATATAAATGAATTTTGCATACAAAAAGTACAAGACAAAACAAGAATAGGAAGGGAGACACCTACCAGGATATTGATAAAAAGTAAATATTAATGCCCATTAACATTTCTTTTGACTAGGATTTTTAAAATCCTCTTGAGTTAAAATTTTAAGTAGAGAATAAGCAAAATATGTTGCTGTTTTCCACATGATGAATTATCTAGATTGAAATTGTTTTCATTACGTTATGGAATCTTAATTATATCTTCCATGGGGACCACATACTTATAAAGATACAAGTAATAGGTAGCTAGTAAATATGGCAGCACCTTAATCCACTTCCAGCCTTCTGTTAAGCCCATTTTCAGTCATTCTACACTAATTAATGTTTTATTAATATATAGTATCTATCCCATTTTGGTTTATGAGATGAATAAAGCAATTGTAAATTACTAGTCATCCTAGGCATGTGCATGTAGGTTGTATTTATAGAATCTGTATTGTGAAATATATATTGTAAGGAGCACTTCAGGTTTATAATTGCAGACAGAGGATTCAGGTCAATAGAATAATGTTGTTTCCACCAAAGTGAACCAAATGGCTGTTTTGCAGGTTTTCCAATATCCTCATATAACAGCTTTGGGTTACTAGAGTTAGTACATGCTTCTTTGCTCAAATTAAGATATATGTCCACAATTAATGCTATTTTCATGACCTGAAATTCTAGTTTAAAGCCTACATGTGAACTGACAATTTCTTTTTAATCCCAGCTAAACCTGTCAAAGTTGTATTTGTGTTTATGTGTGGAAAGACAACGGGGATATGACTCTTTATTTCAGTCCAGTAGAATTTGAGTTCATTGTTGATTGGCACTAACCAACTTCACTGTGGAGAGATTTCTCCCATGAAGCATCACACGCTTGAATCTCAATCACTGTGGCTTCTTGCTTTGCTTTTTTGTGTATGACTCTTGGTGATAGGCCTACTTTGTCAGCTCCAGATCAGAACTAATTTGTTCATTCATACAATTAAATATTTACCAAGTACTGTATTGGGTTGAACAGTGTCCCCCTCTAAGTTCATGTTCATCCAGCAACTCAGAATATGACCTTATTTGGAAATTACATCTTTGCATCTGATTAGTTAAAATGAGATCCTACTGAATTAGGAAGGAGCTAAATCATAAATGACTAGTGTCCTTATAAGAAGAGGAAAATTTGGACACAAAGACACAGACACACAGGAAGAAGGCCATGTAGCAATGGAGTAATGCAGCTTTCAGCCAAGGAAAGCCAAGGATTGCCAGCAGCCACCAGAAGCCAGGAGAGGAAAGATTCTACTCCTGACTGTTCAGAGGGAGCATGGCCCTGCCAGCACCTGATTTTGGATGTCTAATCTCCACCACTGTAAGATAATACATTTCTGTTGCTTTAAGCTACACAGTTTGTAAAACTCTGTTACAGCAGCCCTGAGGAACTAATACTAATATCCATCATGGGCTAATAATTATGTTAGGCATTGGATTTGTGGCAGGGAAGAAAATCAGCAGTCCCTGCTCTTATGAACCCTGTTGCTACAGAATATCATACTCATGTGTTTGCAAATGTGAAAACATAATCTAAAATAATACCCATCATTTAATTAATGATTATTCTCATTGTTTTTAAGGGATTTGCATGCATTAATTTATTTAACCTTTATAACAGCCCTGGGTGATAAATATTGCTATCCCTACTTTAGGAATGAAAACATGAAGGTTAGTGAGCCCTCTTATGTTAGATTGAATGTCTCCTAAAGATATTCAGATTGTAATACCTAGAATGTGTAACTATTATTATTATTTTTAGATGGAATCTCGCTCTGTTGCACCATTTTCCTGCCTCAGCCTCCCAAGTAGCTGGGACTACAGGTGCCTGCCACCACACCCGGCTAATTTTTTTTGTATTTTTGGTAGAGACGGGGTTTTACCGTGTTAGCCAGGATGGTCTCGATCTACTGACCTTGTGATCCGCCCACCTCAGCCTCCCAAAGTGCTGGGATTACAGGCCTCAGCCACTGCACCCAGCCTGTAACTATTATCTTATGTAGAAAAGGGACTTTGTAGTTGTAATTAGGTTTAGGATATTGATATGAGTAGATATCCTGAATTATCTGGGTGGGCCTGGTGTAATCATAGTTGTCCTTATAAAAGAGAAGCAGAGGGAGATTTGACATTAGAGGAGAAGGTGATGTGATGATGAAACCAGGGACTGGAATGATGTGGCCATGATCCAAGGACTGCCGGCAGCCACTAATAGCTGGAGTGGAGCAAGGAACAAATTCTTTCCTGTAGCCTCCAGAAAGGACAAGCCAGGCTATTGCCTCTATTTTAACCTCATAAGACTCATTTATGACTTCTGGCTTCCAAAACTATAAGACAATGAATCCAATTGTTTTGAGACACTATGTTTGTGGTAATTTGTTACAGCAGCAGTAGAAAACTAATACATTTCCCATAGTAATAGGTTGTAAATGGCAAAGCTGCGATTTGAATCCATCTGGCTTCACCATCTGTGTGTTTAGACACTAAATCTATTTTCTCTCAATGTATGAATTTGAGATAAGTCATTATGATGGCAATGGCAGCTTGTCTGGAGAGGCTGCTGCAAAGATGCCAGCTGCAGCAGGGCAGGTACAGCCTGGGCTGCATGTTCCACAGAGCCAGTAGGAGATGGAAACAGGTGGAAGCCCTGCCCCTTTCTGAGTTGGCAGGGCAGGAGCCCCACCTTCCAAGATTCAGCCTGCAGGGCCTGGGAAGCCCACCCACCTGCAGGCTTGACAGTGCCTGCCCCTACTACCTGGTCTCTCCCTGCTGTTCTTGCCTGCTCCGATTTCACAGCGAAGTTGAGGTAGAGACTGGGTTCTGCTGCTGCGACTCAGCTAGGTGTACACATGCTTGGGTCACACTGACATGCCAGCTTCTTGACACCCTGGCCCTTTATGGATTTTGTGTGCTGATGAGCACAGAAGGGAGGCTGGGGGTTGCTGAGGGCAGCTCAGCATGTGCCAGCAGGCACTGAACAGCCTGGGCACCATGGATGGTATGTTGATAGTGGAAAGCAGACATATTCCTGGGAGGAAAGGGGCAGGTCCCCAGTCAAACTTCACCTTCAAGCCAGAGATGGCCTGACGCCTGGAGGCCAGGCTGCCAGTTCCAGGTAGAGTATGTGGCCTGGAGTGAGAACTTACGGCGCTTTTTCCAGGCCCACCCATGGCAGCCCATGGACCCGTCAGCATATACTTCCTCCCTTCTGAGCCCGTAAAAACCCCAGACTCAGCCAAACTCACACAGATGTCAGGACTATCAGCTGCAGGAAGGAGCTACCCACTTTGGTCTCCTTGACTTTTCAGGATGACCTGCCTGCGGAGAGGGGCTACCCACCACAGGTCTCCTCACTGCTGAGAGCTGGACACTCATCAGGATGACCTGCCTGCGGAAAGGAGCTACCCTGGGTCTCCAGAGAACTGTTAAGACACTCAGTGATATTCCTCTCCACCTTGCCCATCCTCTGATTGTCCACATACCTCATTCTTCCTGGATGTGGAAGAAGAATTTGGGACCTGCCAAATGGCAGGGCTGAAAGAGCTGTAAGAAAAACAGGGCTGAAATACCCACCTGCCCCCACTGGCCACATTTCAGGTGATGAGGAAAGAAGAACTGTGGCCCTTGGGGTAGTCCAGACTGAGGGGTTCCCTGAACCAGGGCTGTAACACCCTCTTTGGGGCTTTGTGGTTCCTAGCATCTCCAAGCTTCTGGTCACCACCACATTCCCTGGTGCCAGTGGAAACTGCTGATGGTATATCTGGTCCAGTCACAGCCTCACACAAAGCCAGTGCCTGTGCCAGTGTCTGGAGCTGCCCACCCTGCTGCAGCCAGCATGCCTGATTGTGCACAGTGGCTGGAACCCATGCTTACACACCGCTCGCCACTCCACACCTGGTTTGCCCTTGGCAGGCATGGGATCTGGTCCAGTAGTGCGAGCCAAGTGCAGCCTGCTGGACCAAGTGGGTGGAATGAACCCAGTGGGTACAAGCAAAACCCAAGCAGAGGTGCCACTGACCACAGAGGTTTCCAGCCGGCACAGTGACACCCTGTGTCACTTTGGATCCTGTGACAATTATAGTTCACTGAGACATGGTGGTTTAATGCCATGAACGGAGGATTTGGTGTAAGATTGGACTTTAGATACTATTTTTCCTTTTTATTGGTTGTCTTACCTTGGGCAGTTCACTCAAGTTTTCTGCACTTTAGTTTTGGTTGGCAGCTGTTAAGTGTGGTTACAATGCTATCCTGAAGTATGATTTAGACTAGTTCATCCAAAGTGCCCTGTAAAACATATATTGTACACTAGACACTCAACTAATGTAGCTGTTATTACTATCTTTACTGGAGCACACAAAATAATGCTTGCATGAAGTTCTCTGTGGAAATTTCTGAGCTGCTTCCTTTGCAATTATGCCTCTTTAAGGCAAACACCCTACTTCCATTGTCATCTCTTGGATTAAGATGGAATATTTAGCCACCTGTGTCACTTAAAATTTCTAAATGAGTTTTATTGTTTCAATATTCAGATCCGTGTCTCCTCTGATTTCTCATCTACTCTGTCAGTCATTTGCCATTTGCTCTCATGTCCCTTCCGCTCCTGTCCCCCTAGTCTGCTCTGAATCTCAAAGAAACTTTTGCTCTTTCTCAGACTTACTTGCCAGCTGGCTTCCTGTTAGGTTCAGCCAGTGGAAGCCCTGGCAAGAGATTAGAGGGTCAGAGGAAAGAAGAAAACAGAATGTTCCTTCCCTCACTCCTTTGCTCCCTGTGACATTTCTGCCAGCTACTGTGTCTCTACATCCTGCCGTAAAGCCTCTTCTTCTAGCCCCAGATTCTAAGATCTAGTAGTATCCCCTCCTGAATACTTTTTTTTTGTATTTCCATTCCTAGGTGTCACTGTGGCTCTCTAATGTTGTTTATCTTGCAGTTGCCTCAGATTACCTAGTTGGTTTTCAGTTTATCTTAGACCTTCCTAACTAGTTCATAGTATTAAAATCCCTCTACCAAATTAGCATGCATGATTTTGGTTTTATTGACTGTATGTTGACAAACAGAGCCACTTTTCTCTCAAGCCTTACTTATTTCAAGTTCATACCATGATTTATCTCTTTGTCCTTTGATGGCTCATATCAAGGCCTTAACCTCTCCATGCACCTGGTTTTGCTCTTTGCATCTGTTGTCAGGAAGGTTCTTGCCTTCAACTTCTTGCTCATTCTCTTTGAGTCTGTTTGTCCATCCCTATGTGTTTCTTTCATCATGTTGCATTTACCCCTTTTAGGTGAGGTAGGTGCGAACCACTTTTTCTAACCTATTCCTCACACCTGAATTCATTCTGCTCTCACACCTTTTGGCTATCACCTTTGGACATTTTGATCACCCATTGTCTACCTGGCAATGAAACTCCACAGTGAGTTCTATTCTTTGCCTCTGTTCTTTCCATGGCACCTCATGCTCATCTCTATCTCAGATCTCATGCAACTAGAGTTTAGAGACATTCTTTCAACTCTGTGTTCCTAAAGCCACTCACAATGCCTGGCATATAACACAACCTAAGTCTGTGAATAAGTGATAAATGTAAATATAAGTGATGGTTTAACTTCGGCTGAGTGTAGTTCAAATTTATATGGAAAATGCAGTTTAATAGAGACATAAAGTCTGAGAGTTGGAGAGAATCCTAGAGACCAGCCAGATATCTGACTGTTAGTTGTTTCTCTTATGAATGGAAACTAGAATAAAGTGCAATAAATTTTTAAAAACTTACAGAGGCTCATTCTGACTATCAGAGTGATAACAAACCAACACACTTGACTGAAGGGTCTCTAAGCCTCTAATCATGGTCATCTGCATGAAGGAAAAATATAATTCCCAATCCTAGCTGTCTTAGATATTCACTTCCTAGAGGACTGTGGGCTAGACCTGATAATTTGTCATCGTCCCTCAGGTTGTAAGTTTCTAGAATAGGTCAGAGTTTGGTAGTGTTGGTGATGAGGGGATAGGGAGCTAGAGAACAAAATAACTTGATTAACCTTGTAATTCACAGCATTTACATAGAAATATAAGGGATAATAAATTGACGTGATCAAACTTGGTTAATTGCAAGTAGAATCAGGACGCAGGAGATGTAACCATCTAATAAGTAAACACCATTCTAAGTTTTTGGATAGCTTTTACTTTATGTTTATGTACTTAGCTGAGGGCCATTTTGCCCTAGAAATAGTCTATTTGTACACAGGCAGATAGGCAACATTTACTATCTTAATTCCAATTTTTATTTCCTGCTGCTCAGAGTAACATTTTATAAATAAGGCTCTTCATGTGTCCAGTGCTTCTACTCTGCTGTCCACTTAGCCACATGCAGGAGGCATGGAGTACTTCCATCTGCTGCACCTATGCCAGGGACGATGCCTGCAGCATCCCAGCTGGCTTCCCGGATCCAGCTCTTCACACCTGCTTCCAAATGGGAAGGGCTGTTGTTTAAGAAAAATTCATTAAAGAAGCTCTCAAGGTATCCCTGAGTCAGTTAAAATCCACACTTTGGGAGACAGAAGAACACCCAAGATGTAATAAGGAGTGAAGGAACTGACCTTTCAGAGAGATGCAGCACTGTGAGGTCAAAGGGCCTAGTCTCTGAGGCAGGAGAGCCGGTTTTCAGTGATGGCTCTCTTGTTCTTGAGCTGTGAGCTGTTTGGCCTTGGGTGAGTAATTTTATGCCTCTGTTTCTTCATCTATACAATTAAAGGATGGTTTGAGAGGGACAGTCATGGAGGCAACTAACTGCAAGGAAACCAGAGTGTAAGGGCACATGAGTTTGTAGTATGAATTTTCATAGTTATTCCCTTTTCTTACTCTTTGGATGTCTTATTACCCAGGTGTCTTTTCTTTCTTTTCTGATGTGGGAACATAACTACTACATAAGAACAAGAAGCCTTAGGGCTGCTACTAAAATCACAAGGGTTAGGTTTATTTTTCTCTGATTTTCTTGCAGGTGAGTTCAACATAAGGGCTTAGGGTATTGAACATCTGCATGTGGAGGGATTGGTGTTGGGAACTCACCCGTAGAAAGGGATTGAAGGATACAGTATTTATTTTTATCCCTTCAACAAAGATTAATTGAGTACCTACTATGGGCCAGGCTCTGTAAGAGGGAAATTAATCAAAGATATCTCTGAAAATGTTCATTACATTTCCTATTCCATGTTTGAACTTATTTAATAAATCAGCTACTATTGTGTATCTAAGCCAAGAAGCCCTAGTGAGGGGTCTTTATCGAAGCCCCAGTTAGATTTACTTATCTGGAACATATATAGCATGTTACTATCTGGTTTTTAATTCTATTGAACAATTATTATTCTGTTTTCTGCCAGAGTTGTTTATATGTTTCCTCATCCAACTACCTAACATGACATTTTGATGGCAGGGATTGTCTTACTCATTTTTGTTTTTCTTCTTCATTTCTTATTACTCAGCATATGATAAAGCTTAATGAATATGAAATATGTACAAACTAATAAGAGCTGATACTTCCTTAGTCCTTATCACATATTAGGAATGGTTCTCAGCACTATATATGTATTATTATATTTATCATAATTATATGACGTGAGTGCTCCTATTATCACTTTACATAGTGAGACTGAAGCCCAGAGAGTTTCATTAACTTTACCAAGGTCATGTACCAACTAGAAAGCCTGTACTCTTAGTCACTATGTTATACTCTCTCTCAACTAAAGGAGTAAGTCATCAGTGACTAATCCAAATGGTTGGAAATGTGAGTAGATATCATGAGCTATGTTTTCAGGAGCTGCAGTGATGGTGTATGGCTAGAGACTTGACTGACATTCAGAAATCTGCATAATAAGAATTGTGACCTATTTCTCCATTTGGTTGCTTATTCATGCAGTCAAGATTTAAATAATTATTCTTCCTACAATTCCCTATATGTCTTGGAGATAAAGTGATTCACTGGGTAAATGGAAAACCCAGCTGCTCAGTTTTCATCTTCTTCTATATCCCAATAACAGTCAAGAAGAATGTGAAAGATGGCTTGAGGAACTTAAGGCTAGTGGTTATAGGCTGTTATGACATGGGTGACTTACTCACCACAATGACAACAATGGCACTCTTTTAAGATGCCCAGGAAAGAGGATAAGTATAACTTGTGGACTTGGAAACATTTTATACCACATCCAAATGACCGAGCATTTGCATGGATGGAGTGGCTTGCAATGGAAATTTTGGCATGGATGTTCACATGCACATATTGTCTCCTAAAATTTATAGGAAAATCATATCTAACCCAGGAATTGTCAGCTGAATCTATAATGTGTGACAAACATTCCATAGTGGTAAGAAGTTTCATCATTTAAAAATAGACTCTTTTTCAATGACCATGGTAAAAGAAAATTAGCTAGTTTTTCCCTCATATAAATGAAAAAACAGAATCTAGGATTTACTGAGGATTGGTGCGGGTGGGGAGTCTTGATATATCATTCTCAGATATTGACATCTCTCAATCACATACTCTTTGGGAGAGGCATTTATTAAGTTAGAAAAAAATCAGGTAAGGTCTGGGTATTCTCAGTGTACTCAGTCCCCAAGAAGGCTTACAAGTTGCTATTTTCTTTGTTGACTTCATTTAGGGCCAACATTAGCCCTATGATTAAAGTGATTTGTGAAAATTTGAAAACATCACCACTTGCAGGTGGGTGCTAACTCTCACCAAGTTGCATGGCTGGATTTTTATCATCTTCTGCTCACTTTGGCTCTTGTGCAGTGCACAAAGTATACAACTGTCTGTGGTAGTTCTGGCTTTATCATTTCATTTTTTGGTCTTTAGATTAAAAGATATGTTATTCAGTACTGTTTTGGTTAAAACCAACTGTGAACTAGCTTTGGCCTAAAAGAAGAGTGATGAGAAAGCTTACTTACCTGGGGGGAGGGGGGAGAAGCAGCTGGGAGAAGAAACTGCTGCCATCTGTGACAGCTTAATCGCGTTCTTTCATGTCTGCTCTTTCCTATGTGCAGTTTCATTTATTCCTACAGACTGGCTTCTTTCACAGGATGGAAACTGTGGCTGCTCATAGCTCTAAAGTCACATAGCGCCATTTTAGAAAAGAACATTAAATGCATGCTATTTCTCTAATCCTGAGTTAAACAGTCCTAGGGAAAAGTTACGATTGGCTCTATTTGCAACATGTACATTTCCCTGGGCTGAGAATTTGTCTGGGTAAATGGGGTACTACGATAGATTCGTCATAGATCAGCTGCTAACTATAGCCAGAAAGATTGAATCTGCAAAAATTTTAAAAACTTGCATTGAAAAAACATGCTTAGAGTGGGAAGAAACATTTCCTCACTAAAGGGGTGGTAGAAGTTGGTGGCTGATCCAGGAAGATAAAAACAATAGATGTTCATTTAATAGACCCTTAGTTCAAACTTGTTAGTCCCATTTCTGAGATCAGGTAAGGATATCAACTCACACTATTAACTCATAAAAGTCCAAAGCAAATAATTAAAATGCCACCAGGCATCAACACATCGTTTCTCTGTAAGAAAGCCACAAGAGAAGCCAAATTATCCAGGGTTACTGGTAAGCTGGGAATTAGAAGACAGAGAGTCACCTCTAATAAGTTCAGCCCAAAGCAGGCTGTCATTTCTATTTCCACAGCAGGGTAGTACCTTCCAGGGAGAATGGACACTTTTTCTGAGCTGTGCTACCTTGTGACTGCTATGTGGGGGTCAACAAGCATGCAACTGCCCAAGTTTCCATTGTCTGTACTTCAACATTGATTGGATACACAGACTGTAATAGTCCCAAATTTTCAAGTTGTAGCTCTGTTATTTACCACTCGTGTAAACCTTGGACAAATGTTATTTAATGGCTCTAAGCCTCAGTTTTCTAATTAGTAAAATAGAACCATAATAATATTTTCCTCACAAGGTCTTGTTAGAATTAAATAAAATAACCATGGCCAGTGTCGTATATAGTATCTGACACGTAGTAAATATTCATTTCAATTTTGCTAATTTGCTGCTAATATTATTGTTGCCATTGTACTTACACTGCTGATAGCCAGTTCTGCCTCTCTGAGAGAACTGCCCAACTCTTCTTGGATGCATTTTTGTGTGTGTACTGGTGACATAGTTTAACATTCAAATGCCAACCTTATTTCCATCTTTTTCATTTCTTTAGGAGGCGCTGAATTGTTGCCCACATAGTAATTGCTATTTTATATACTTTTTAGAGAAGTCACAGACATATCTTGAAATTTCAGCTTCTGGGATCGTAAGACAATTTGTCACCAGAGGTACTTGAAAGAAATTATTGTGCAGAGATTTCTTCCGAAGGACCCTTCCTTTCCAGTGTAGATTGTCTCAATCTGTGGGGTGTACAGACTGGAAAGAAAAGAGATCTCCCAGAATAATTTGGAACTATTATTGTTTCTGGTCTAGTGGCAAGAAATTTATATAGAGAAAGAAATGCCTTTTCTCTTGCAATGAAATCTGAGCAAGAGCAAGACCAAAACTCTCCCTGTCTTGCCATAAAAAAAAAAGTAATTCTCAGAGTTGGCTGGGAAACAGCTGGAAATGCTTTAATTATTGATAAGATAAACTACAGTATGAATGATCATGGTACTGGACAGAAAACTCTTGAAAGGGTATGTATGAAAGCAAGTCGTATATGGTTGCTTGATTGAAAATACAGGCTGCGGTGTACAGTAGAAGTGAGGGGGAAAATTGAAGAGATTTATTTTTTTTTTTTTGCAAGAAAACCAATTATGGAAAACTCCAGGTACTTTCTTCAAGAAGGAGTTATTATCACTTCAGTTTTTTTTCGCTCGGTCCCCAATTTTATGTGAACAGCAACTGCCAGGCCAGACATGATTTAGTCAAGATGGAAAAGAGTTTCAACAAACAATGGTACAGACTGTCTGAGGTGAACTGGCAAAATGAAAAGTTGGGAAAATTGTTAAAGATAAATGCCAACACTGAGAAATAAAAATTTGATAACTCAGAACTTTTTGTCATTATAACACAAATCATTTTTTACTTCTTTTTATCTTAGTTAAGTTGAAAAGAAATATATTTATTTATAATGTTCTGAGGTCCAATCTTTCATCTTTGAGGGACGCCCTTGATTTTTGTTCTTGATGCTCCGTTTTGTGATGGAGATTTGCCATTTCAGACATTTAGACTTCACATTGACAATTAAAATGTGATAGATCTTTTTTTCTATTTGTCTCTACAGACACATTCTTCATTCTTTTCTATCCTGATTTGTGCCAGGAGGCTCATTTTCATAGAATGCAGCCATAGTCTCTCTTGCCTGTTGACCACTGGTTTCCACTTGGATTCAGCAGAAAATTGTTAGGCAAGAAACAAGTGAAGTTGGGCGATTATTCCCCCATCTTGCTACCTGCTAGGCTAAGAGTTGATAGTTGTTGTGATTCTCTACTGAAGGCCACATTTCCCAGTGGATGGGCCTCTCCTGTAGATATAAGCCCATGCCTGGATCTAAGAATTCCAAGAGCTCTAAGCTCTTTTGCTTCCCATTACTTCCTAGTATACATAGTTGAGAAATTAAAAGCACTGCTAAGGATGGATAAGGAGAAATGGATACTGGAGTGGCACCTAACAAATATCCAAGAGAAAACCCCAAGTTCCAAGCCTGAAGATGAGGAAACTGAAGCTCAGAGCAGTTTAGAAAGCACACAGGGTAACATACAAAGTAATGAAGCTGGAACTCAAGCCCATATTTTTTTATTTCAAAGGCTGTCCTTTTAAAAAGAGCAGCCCTGATTTGAATTTCACTGTTCTTCACTCCAGGATTCCAAGTACTTGTTTTTATTGGGAAGGTACTACAACATCCAGGTTAAGAGTACTGGAGCCAAACTTCCTGGCTTCAGTGACTAGATCTTCCTTTACTGGTTCAATGTCCTTGGGCAAAGCAACTTTTGGACCTTCAGTTTTGTCATTTGTAAAATATGAATAAAAATAGTATCTACTTCAAAATATTGTTACAAGGATAAATGAGATGGTCTGCAATGCATTAACTGTTTTTGTCCCCCAAAATTTATCTGTTAAAATCCTCATCATTAGTATTATGGTACTAAGAGGTGGGGGCCTTCGGGAGGTAATTAGGTTAGGAAGATGGAGGCTTACTAAATGGGATTTGTGCCCATATTAAAGGTACCCCAGACAACTCTGGACCTCTTTCTGCCACATGGGGATTCTACCCTGCAACCAAATGAGGATTCTATTCCGTTCAATGGAAGATTCTAGCATTCTGACCATACTGGCATCCTGATTTCAGACAGCCAGTTTCCAGAACTATGAAAAATAAATATTTGTCATTTAAGCCACCTGGTCTATGGTAATTTGTTAAACCAGCCAGAAACAACTAAGACATAGCCCGATTGCTTAAAACGTTGTTCAGTAAATAATAAGTACTATGTGTTAACTTTCTTCTTCTCCCATGCCTCCTCCTCATCACTTTAATTAATTTGTGGGATTGTTGTAAGAATTAAGTGGTATAGTAAAGATTGTGGGAAATGATTGCATTCAAAATATATGCTAGATTTATAGTTATACGATGTGGAGTAAGAGAAAAAGAAAAAAGAATCAATAATGACTCTAAAATCTTTGGTTTGAGCAATCAGGAGAAAGAAATTGTCATAAACTGAGATATGAAGACACTTGATTTTTATAAAGATTCTATAGGATAAGGGCATTTATTATTGTTTTACAGTAGGTAATTGAAGTCAGATGGATCAGGCAACGTGATCAAGATCACATAGTCAATAAAAGGTAGAGTTGAAATTCTAACCAAGTCTATCTGATTTTGCAGCCTGTTCTGTAGATTTCAGTTTGGAATAGTGGGAAAGACTCAAAAGTAGTCTTGACTTGGTAGATTTTTTTCGTTCATTTCAAATCTGAATATTAGGCCTCTCTTTTGGTTCTCAGTTTGTAAGTGAATTAACTTAGTCTAATTTGTTTTTAATCACAGCTAAAAGAGATTTCAATACTCTTTGTCTCTTGTACTCTCATTTGAGAGATGAGAAAAATGAAACTACAGAAGGATAAGTGACACAACACAGGTCATAAAACCAGTTTAGTGTTGAGCTGGATGTTAAATTCAGGTCTTCTGGTTCTAAGCCCCCTTCAAGTATTTCTAGTATTTCTAATACCAAAGGAAAGACAAAAAAAAATATGTCTTGACTAGAAAGAAAATGAGGCTGATGTCTAATTGAGGAGAAGTATGGGATAATTTATTTATTTCTTGCATTAAAATGGAATGAAGTATCAAATAGAAACTTCTCAGGTGATGCTGTGGCTCTTTGGTGTTAACCTTCTAGATGAAGTGAAGAACATACTAATGTGGTTAGAATGACACCACCCTGAAAAATGTACAAAATTAAATGTTGCAGAAGCCTTTAAGATTGACATAACTTCCACAGGTAATAGCATTTTTATTTCAAAGCAAAGTCAATGTACTCCTATCAATTACTTTCCATGCTAAGAATCATTTACCAAATAATTTTTAAAAAATCACATGCCAGTGTGAAAGGACGAACAGGAGAAACATTAATTCATTGAAGTATTTATTTACCCATGAGTTCCACAAAATTTGTCAGATATCTGTTATATTTCAGACTATCTGCTAGGTACTGGGGATCTACATATATCTAAACCATTGTAGTTTCCTTTCAAGAAACGTCCAATGTCAGAGATGTCAAAAAAAAAAAGTAATTGCAATGACGTCTGAGATGGTACATTGATGACAAGAAGTAGGAAGAGAATAATTAGTTGGTCAGAGAATATTTAAGTAAAAGGGAGAAGAGCGGGTTTGTTCTTGCAAAAGGGTTGAAATTGACCCTGTGGGTAAAGTGAGAGTAGAGAAAGGGAATGAATAATATTCCAAACAGAGGGAAAAATTATAAGCCATGTACAGAGGTTAAACATCTTGGGGAATGGATTAATTGTAGATAGAACAGTATGGCTGTATTGGGTGAAAAAGAAGGCAAGAGATGAGATTAAAGAGAGTCAGGGTCTACCTCATACAGGGTCTTAAATTCCACATTAAGAGTTTTGACTTTATATATTAAATAAAGAAGAACCTTAGAAATATTTGAAGTAAGGAATGAGCCAGGGAAAAAGGAAAAAAGTATAAAATATTTTGACCTATCAATATATGCATATAATAAGTTTATGCTAGGTTTTGCTGCGGTAAAATGTATTCCCAAATCTAACTGCTTTCCAAAGAAAGATTTTTTTTTCATTAATATTACATGTAGATTGTGGCTCTGCTTCATGCCCCTTCCGACCAGGACACATGCCAAAGGAGCCATCCTACCTGAGTGCATGGCACTGGGAAAAGATCGATGGTGAAACTTGTAACAGTGATATCCACTGCTTCTTGTTCCAATTTTAATCACCAAAGCAAGTCACATGGCAAAGCCAGCTGAGGATACGTAATCTTATCATGAGGAGAGAGAGAATAAATAAATGAGCATAATAAATAATCATACAATTTATGAAAGTGTGAATATAACATTTAATTATTATTATTTTGAGATGGAGCCTTACTCTGTTGTCCAGGCTGGAGTGCAGTGGTGTGATCTAGGCTCACTGCAACCTCTGCCTCCCGGGTTCAAGCTATTCTCCAGCCTCAGCCTCCCAAGTAGCTGGAATTACAGGCAACCGCCACTACGCCTGGCTAATTTTTGTATTTTTCGTAGAGATGGGGTTTCACCATAATGGCCAGGCTGGTCTCAAACTCCTGACCTCAGGTGATCTGCCAACCTCGGCCTCTCAAAGTGCTGGGATAACAAGCATGAGACACCAGACCCAGCCAACATCTAATTATTTACTTCTGATTTTCATCCAGAAATCAACTGTGTGTGTGTGTGTGTGTGTGTGTGTGTGCATGCATGTATGTGTGTGTTTCCATCATATCTTATGGTACTGGTAAGGATTACTTGTATGTTTCTCCTTGTAACTTTGATATGTATATATTACTAATGCTCAGCACACTTGAGTTATGCAGAAAGTTAACTGATTACTTGGTTTGCTGCTATTATATAAGTAGAGGAGTAAGTAAGATAAATCTGAAACATCTTAGTCCTTATGATTTCTCCCCAAAATGTGTTCATCTTAAACTTAATTTTCTTTCCCCATAACAACTGAAAATCACTTGGCAAGTAACTTCACTCCTTATACAAAGGCCATGAGCAATTCACCCTGTTGCCCAGAAACTATCCCCTTGCAAACACTAGTCCAATTCAGCCCCCAGGCTTCTGGCTGCACACGGTTTCTGTTCTCCTCCTCTTTTGTGGTCAATTATACAGTGTAATGCTCAAGAAATTCCTCAGGGATCTAGAACTAGAAATACCATTTGACCCAGCCATCCCATTACTGGGTATATACCCAAAGGACTATAAATCATGCTGCTATAAAGACACATGCACACGTATGTTTATTGCGGCACTATTCACAATAGCAAAGACTTGGAACCAACCCAAATGTCCAACAATGATAGACTGGATTAAGAAAATGTGGCACATATACACCATGGAATACTATGCAGCCATAAAAAATGATGAGTTCATGTCCTTTGTAGGGACATGGATGAAATTGGAAATCATCATTCTCAGTAAACTATCGCAAGAACAAAAAACCAAACACCGCATATTCTCACTCATAGGTGGGAATTGAACAATGAGATCACATGGACACAGGAAGGGGAACATCACACTCTGGGGACTGTTGTGGGGTGGGGGGAGGGGGGAGGGATAGCATCGGGAGATATACCTAATGCTAGATGACGAGTTAGTGGGTGCAGCGCACCAGCGTGGCACATGTATACATATGTAACAAACCTGCACGTTGTGCATATGTACCCTAAAACTTAAAGTATAATAATAAAAGAAAAAAAATTGCAAAGGAAAATAAAATAGAAAGATACAGCACAGAGAAAATAAGTTATTTTCTGCTTGAGAGAACCATGAGCCTGTGAATTTGGAAAGCTCAGAAGTCAGAGGCTGATATTTGTTAGCTGTGAACCCACTGTTCATTTTGGAGCAGAGAATAGCAGAATGAGGATATTAATCTTTTCCTTAATGTAGTACTTCTCCCAAGAACTTAGATGTATACACTATCATTCTAGAGAGAGAGATTACCATTTGGGCTTCACAAAAACAAAGGACTAGAGAAAGGGATTTGTTTCGGGCACTTTCAAAGCAGTTTCCTGAAAACAGAGTAGGTTGCCCCTGAAGAAGTGGCATTAAATATTACCTGAGGCCATGAACAACTCTCTTGCATGGTCCTGTCAGTGATTTTTGTCCAAATATGGTTTTATACTTCATGTATTCAATTTCACTTGATATTGGGTGATATCCATCTTGGACCTATTTTAAGGTTTTCAGAGATTTTGCCTATTTGCAGAGCTTACTGAAAGACATCTTTAAAGTCAATGAGTATTAGGAAATGCATTCCTTCATCTAAGTTTATTGAGTGCCTGCCTACTTTATCTCAAGTGTGTGTGGAGTAATAAGGATATGGCAGTAGACAGAAAGAAGAACTTTCATGTATGATGCATATGTTCTAGTGTTTACTAGTTCATTTTACACATTGAACAATATATATTATCTATAATATGCTAGAAACTGTACTAAGTGAGCAAAAACAGATAAATTTCCTGACTTCCAAGAGCCTGTATAGATTAATGGCAGAGAAACTTAATCTATATTAGTGTTGTCAGCAATAAACAAGTCTATATTTTATTTATCACACACATATTTTCTGAGAACTTCTAAATCTCAAGTAAATGATGGAGGGAAGTTGGGATACAAAAATGAATAGGATATGACCCTTATAATTTGTGGGGCTTGTAGTCCTGACTGTGTGTGAGGGGCCAGTCCTGTGACCTCCAGAACACACAGAGTCAGGATATCAGGCTGACCAACATATAACAGACCTTTTGAAGCAGCTAGCCCACCATACTGTATTTTTTTTTCATTTTTATTAAACTTTTGGTTTACCTGAAAAAAAAAAAATGAGTCAAAATATTTTAAAGATATTACATAGTATGTTCCATCAAAGAGTTGATGATGATAATTATAATCACAATGTGACAGTAGTATTAATAGAATGGTGGCTAACACTCATTTTGTTTTTACCATGTGCTAGACACTCTTCTAAGAGCATTATATGTTTTAACGTCTTTCATCCTACAGTAACTATGCAGAATAAGTGTTTTCACCTCATTTTGCCGTTGAAATAACTGACGATATCTTTGGTAGCTGATAGGTAAAGGGTTTTGCTCAAGACCACATGACTAGTGGGTAGTAGGGCCACATTTTCAACACCAACATTAAAGTTGTAGGACCTAAACGCTAAGTAACCCAGTAATAAATATAAATTTTACTTTATAAGAATAAGTAGGGACTTCTCTTATAGAAAAAAAAAACATAAGAGCAGGTTGCTTATAGGAGTAGAGAAATATGAGTTATTTTAGACCAAGGTAATAGGGGATGCTTAGAGGGGAGAATCGGATTTGATGTGTGCTTTATAAAATGGGCACTGTCCTAAACTATGACATCAGACAAATTACTCTAGTGATCTCTGAAGCATCTTCTGTTAACTGGCATTTCAAAAGTCCTTCATACCTATCTTCCATGAGTAGGAAGATGTAATTAAATTTGGAGAATGTCTTGCAGGAACATCTGAGAGCAAAATATGAGTAGTTCTACCTTCCAGAAGGTTTTCTGTTAGGATCTTCAGAGTGTGAAGAGATTTCACTATAGAGAGAAGACATGATTCCAGGTTTGCCAGATTTAGAAATCACATGAACTGCTGAATGTAGAACAAATTTTGATTCCTCTTTGGTCTTTCATTCTACTTTTTATTAGATTAACGTGAACATTCCTTGTTTTTCCTGGCCTTCTTTCACCACATGTCTATTTTCTTTCTCCTTCTACTTCCTCCTTTTCCTCCTCCATCTCTCCTCTTCTAAATGCCTCAAAGCATGACATTATATAAAAATAAAATAATCTTTTTGCCATATGTAACTTGGAATGGATCAGGGTCTGATTTGTGAACTCGATTTCCCTAGAAATGAGCATCACTTTTAAAATAAAATTAGAATAAACATATAACTTCATGAAGCCCACAATATTTTGGACAAAAATTAGATTCATGCTGGATTTGGTTAGAACTTTATGTTCAGCTATAGGCCAACTGGTTTCTGTTAAATTATACTTAATGTCATCCATTTCTTTGAAAGTTCCAGAGACTAAAAATACTTCTTGAGTTTTGGTGCATTTGCATGACTACACTGCATACCATTTTCTCTGTATTACGTAGCACCATGCTTGATATTTATGTAAGCAGTATTGTAAGAATACACATTTTTTTTTTTTTTTTTTTTTTTTTTTTTTACTCACCAGAATTGCAATGTGTTCAACAACATAGGCCTGCCTACTTTGGGAAAAACTGAGATAGGAACATATGAACTTTGGGTACATACAAACTAGAAAGTTACAAAACAACATTTGGCTTTAAAGCAATGCTGTAATAGAACAATTTATATGCAATGAAATATTCACAATATGATTCAATTTCTTAGATCTTTTTTATCATTCAAGTTTTTAGTATCCTGACGATCACATATAAAGTGAAGAACACAGTGGATAGAGCAGCTTTCTAATTTAAATTGTTTTAATAATAATTATTTGTTTTAAGCTTCACGGTAAGAAGCAGATATGGCATTCTATGTTATAAATATGATTTATATGGCCAAGGATGCAATACATATAAATGGAAAAGTTTAGTCAGAACCATGGATACAAAAATTTAACACCATTATAGATTTCTGTGGTTTTTATTCCAGGAAAGAAAAATTTAGCCCTCAAAATAGGATGCGTATTTCTCAAACCAATAATTAGCTTAGAAGAAAAATAGTTGATGTGGATTTTCTGAGTCATTAGGATATGGTCTTCGAGTCATCTTTCTAATTAGCTGGGGGCATCCATCAGCACACTTTGCTAAGTTAAATGATATGGTGCAGTGTTGGAAAGTTTGACAGCTTACTCTATTACATTTCAGTGGAAACATTTTAGCAAAACAAATCTTTAAAAATAGCATTTTAAAAAAGTGGGTGAAATGAATAATCATTCAAATGCTCCATAGCCATACTTATTGAAGAAAAATACAGGACAAATCTCTGCCTTTGAATTTTTGTTTGTAATTTTGACTTCTAATACATGCAACCACTTCAAAATGGGTATTTACTATATCAGTTCATGTAAAGGCAAGATGACAGGTATGGAATGAGGCATTCTTTAATTCCTTATTCTTTTTTTTTCACTAAACTGCCCAGCTTTGTGGTTCTTGTGATATCTTTTTCCCCATGAAACCACAAAGCAGTGGCACTCCAGGCAGGAAGGTATAGAGAACAACAGTGGAAGAAGACTGGTTTACAAAGGGAAGTTTTCCAGGCATATTACTCAGGGAATTGATCACTGGATTTGATTCCAGAAGCTTTTCCTAATGATAGAGTAATAAGAATGCAGTCTATGGCCAGGTGCGGTGGCTCATGCCTGTCATTCCAGCCCTTTGGGAGGCTGAGGTGGGAGGATCACAAGGTCAGGAGATCGAGACCATCCTGGCTAACATGGTGAAACCCCGTCTCTACTAAAAATATACATTAAAAAAAAAAATTAGCTGAGCGTGGTAGCCGGCGCCTGTAGTCCTAGCTACTCGGGAGGCTAAGGCAGGAGAATAGCAAGAACACAGGAGGCAGAGCTTGCGGTGAACTGTGATCGCGCCACTGCACTCCAGCCTGGGTGACAGAGTGAGACTCTGTCTCAAAAAAAAAAAAAAAAAAAAAAAAAAAAAAAAAAAAAAAAAAAAAAAAAAAAGAATGCAGTCTGTAAGTTCAGACAAGCCTGAGGTTGAATTCTCTTTCTTCTACTTATTAGTGGTATGACCTTGGGGAAGTTGCCTTTTCTATGCTTTACTTTCTTGAATTGTACAATAGAGTTACACAACATATACTTCAGATTTTTTTTGAGAATTAAGTATTAAAGTACTATTCATTAATTGGTTACTATTAATATTACCATGATCACTTTTGCTTTCACTCAATATTTTATTTGCATATGACTGCTACTCTGAAAACCTAACAAACCAATAAATTCATTACTGAGTTGTTAATGCACAATCACATATTTCTTGATTCCCTCTTACCTAGCCAAGGGAATATTTAAATCATAACAACCACATATTCCTGCACTTACATATGACAAATAAAGGAGCCCATGACTAAGTCGAGAAAAAAATAGTCACCTGGTACTCTAACACAGGCCCTGCTGGATTCACTGTCTGGAGTTTATGATCCAGACCCCTGGGTTCAAGACTTGCTTCTGATAACTAGCTTGTGTTGCAGTAGGCTGATATTTCCCATGTAACTATGGACACATGAGAGGATTCAATTACTCATTCTATAGCAAAGGGAGCAGGGGCAACTAGCCCTAGCCCAACTACAGACTACATTCTATGAACAATCTCTTGCTCAGCAAAATCTCAGCAACGGTGAAAATGTGGGTATCATGGATTAATGTCCTGCAACTTAACCTCATCTGCCATTAATCAGAAGAGGAAAGAGTTAAGCAGCTCCTGACATCCAGAAGCTGACCTGATACTATCAGCCAGAACTAAAGTTGCTACAAGCTGGTCTGATATTCTGCTAGTCAGGCTTTGGTGTTCTGTTGAACATAAACAATATCCCAGAACTTCAGCATCATTCATGACCATTGTGTGAATCATTGTAATTTTAAGACCCTCTCCCTCCAAAATAAAATTTAAAAAGGGCGCTTCTAGCCAGGCGTGGTGGTATGTGCCTGTAGTCTCAGCTACTCAGAGATGGGAGGACTACTTGAGCTCAGGAGTTCCAGGGAACAGAGTGAGACACTATCTCTCTAACAACAACAACAGCAACAACAAAAAAGACTAATCTGTAATCATGTTTGAACAAAGACAAAGCAGAAACCATGAACATTGTTTAAGCAACAAAAATGACCAAACATTTTCTTATCCTGGCTAATATGAATGATTGCTGCCTCTGTATTCAACACTTTTTTTAGCTTAAGTATTAGTCTAGTCTTCCATTCTCCTAGAGAATATATGTTAGGATATCCAACCATAAAATTACCCCTGATTCTTGGAGGCCGAGGCAGGCAGATCACCTGAGGTTAGGAGTTTGAGACCAGCCTGGCCAACGTGGTGAATCCCTGTCTCTACTAAAGATACAAAAATTAGCCAGGCATGGTGGTGGCTGACTGTAATCCTAGCTACTCGGGAGGCTGAGGCAGGAGAATCTCTTGAACCTAGGAGGCGGAGGTTCCAGTGAGCTGAGATGGCGCCATTGCACTCCAGCCTGGGCAACAAGAGTGAAACTCCATCTCAAAAAAAAAAAAAAAAAAAATATTGCCCCTGCTTCTTGATGCATAAAAAACAAAGCAAACCTGCTTCTTTAAACTTTCCCTAAAGTTACCTCACGCAAGCCTAATTTGTAAGTGTTCTCTAACACCCTTTCACTGAGGTACCTCATGGTTCTCCATGTTGTGTGTTCTCCCTTACTGCAACAAATTATATATATATATATATATATATATATATATATATATATATATATATGCAATTTGTTAAATGTTGGGTGCATTTCCAGTGGTCTTTGGCTGAAGGGTCTTGACAAAGGTAAACAAATAAACTTTCTATATGGTATCGACAATGCAAATATGAGTCAGATGAGTTGCTATAAATGTTTAAACAAAAATCAAATGGAGTACAATTTGCTCTCCTGAGCCTGTAAACAAAGTTGATCTCTTTTGCTCTATTGGTGGATTAGCTTATTTTAGGAAGGAAAATGACAAATGAATTTTATCGTGGTGGGATCTAGCTCCTGCTGGGGGCAGTCTTCCTGATGTATCCTCAAGGACAAATCTTTTACAAAAACAAACCAAACATATAAAATCCCTGAACTCCACACCAATTTGTAAACCATTTTCTTCTAAAGCAGTAAAAATTTAATGACCTACATTATGATAAGATATTGTTAGGGTTTGTGGAATAAACAGGTGTTTTGGTTTTTTGAATATTCTGATTAACTTGAGTGTTTGCTTCAATAATAGTGTGAAGGAACAAAACAACATCGAACTTGCCAGCATTAGAAATGTGGACAATGAGAGAAGGAAGAGTTAGAAAAAAAGGATAATGTGAATTTTTTAGCAATATTTCAGGAAAGACAGGAACATTATAAAGGCAGGAGGATTTCTATGACTGGTGATATGGTTTGGCTGTGTCCCCACCCAAATCTCATCTTGAATTGTAGCTCCCTTAATTCCCATGTGTGGTGGGAGGGACCTGGTGGATGATAATTGAATCACGGAGGCAGAGGTAGTGAATAAGTCTCACGAGACCTGATGGTTTTATAAGGGAAAACCCCTTGCGCTTGGTTCTCATTCTTTCTTACTGTCACCCTGTAAGAAGTGCCTTTCGCCTTCCACCATGATTGTGAGGCTTCCCCAGCCATGTGGAACTGTGAGTCCATTAAACCTCTTTTTCTTTATAAATTACCCACTCTTGGGTATGTCTTTAATGAAAGCATGAAAAGGGACTAATACAACTGTGTAAGATGAGAGTCAAAAAAAAAAAAAAAAGCTCACAGAGAGGTATAGAACCAGGTTTATACTCTATGATTTGAGAAGAAAGTAATAATATGTATGTATACATGAGTAAAATCATGGAGTATCCTGATAAGAATACTTAGGAAACTGATCAGAGAAGCTTATTCCGCACAGGAAAACTGTGTGGCTAGGTCAGAGAGGGGAAGAGAAATTTACCTCCCTATGTATGTATGTGTGTGTTTGTATGTTTATTCCAAACATGCTTTGTTTACTAAAAATAAATAGAATTTTAATATGAAACTAATCAGTCATAAAATAAGTATATATAGAGATAATACATCTGATCATGAGATATTGAGATATAACAAACTTCTTTTCTTTTCTCTTTTTTTTTTTTTCTTTCCGAGACAGAGTCTTGCTCTGTCACCCAGGCTAGAGTGCAGCGGCGCAATCTCGGCTCACTGCAACCTCCGCCTCCCAGGTTTAAGTAATTCTCCTGTCTCAGCCTCCCAAGTAGCTGGGATTACAGGCGCCCGCCATCATGCCCAGCTAATTTTTGTATTTTTAATAGAGACGGGGTTTCACCATGTTGGCCAGGCTGGTCTCGATCTCCTGACCTCATGATCCGCCTGCTTCGGCCTCCCAAAGTGCTGGGATTATAGGCATGAGCCACCACGCCTGGCTACAAACTCATTTTCAAAAGGGAGAAACTACCAATATTACTTGTGCGTTGATACAACCAGAAGGTTTTGGAGACCCTATTTTTTTTGGATCAAGTTTCAGTTCGACTCCTGGCTCTTCTTTTTTTAGCTGGATGACAGAGTGCTTAAACTTTCTGAGCCATAGAGTTCTCCTCTTAATAGAGGGATTTAAAAATATCTACCTCCTAGCACCATTGTGAAGATTTAGTCAATTAAGTAGAGAAATACACTTAGCCAGTGAGTGATTTTTAGAAAATTATTTCTCATTCTTCCAGGTTTACTGATTTTGTTACCCCCATCTGTCCCCCACCCACCCACATCACCAGCCCACTTCTTTGAAGTGACTAGAAGTGAACCATTTAACAAAAGACTTGTGAGTATTCCTCAGAAGAATGGGAAGATGGAAGTAGGAGATAAGGCCCAGTGATATTCTGCAGAGAGGTTGAGAAGAGAATGGCCAGTATCCCCTGTATTAGTTTCCTGGGGCCTCTGTAACAAATTATCTCAAAATTGGTGGCCTAAAACAACACAAATTTATTCTATCATAGTTCTAGAGTTTAGAAGTCTGAAATCAAGGTGTTAACAAGACCATGCTCTCACTGAGGGCTCTACTGAAGAATTCTTAGTTACCTCTTTTTACCTTCCGATGGCCTCAGCAGTCCTTGGCCATCCTTGACTTGTGGTTGCACCACTGCAATCTCTGCCTCCATAAGACTTCCCTGGATATCTGTGGGTCCTTTCTTCTTCTTATAAGAACAACCATTATTGGATTTAGGGCTTACTGTACTCCAAAATGACTTCATTTTAACTTGAGTACTTCTGCAATGACCCTATTTTCAAAGATGGTCACATTTACGGGTACTGAGAGTTAGCATTTCAACATATCTTTTTTGGGGAAATAATGCAACCCACTACCCCTCCTGTCTTGGTAAACAGACTTGTAGTCACATGGAGACGGAGGGATGCAAACAGAATGGCTCTGTTTAGGAGTCAAAAGCGATAAACAGTAAGCTGATCTGGGGGCATAGACAAAGTGTCATTCCTTTAAGTGGCTGCTAAAATACCTTGCTGAAACTTTATAAAATGCAGACATCCTTTCCCATGTTTATTACAAGAGTATTTTTGTAGTGCCTTAGAAAACACTGACTCTCACCTGCAGACCTTTGAGTTATGGTTTATAAAGGGTTAGGGTACTGCAGTCTCACAATTTCTGTCCTCAAAGTTGATTTTAAAAGTATATATCACGTTTACACATTTATATTGACTCTTTTCATAAAAGAAGAATCTCCAGGCTCAAGAAGAATGATGCTGAAATAAAAAATGACATAAAATATACTTGTCACTAAGTGTAAGAGTTCAGAGGAGCAGGCTCTTTCTAACATTTACAGAGCCTTAGACAAGAGTACATTGAGGTTCCCAAGTGTACCCTTCTCTCTTCTTTTTTTTTTTTTTTGCTCTATTATGTGCCTCATCCATATCTGGTGGACATTCCAGAACTCAAGTCCAAGCACTATCTGTTCCCCCAAACAGATGCCCCTTCACTCTGCCTCAGAATTAAGATTATGTTCACCTGAAGAAATGTCTGCTGGAAAGAAACCGGCACAAGCCTCAGAGGTGAGTTTATGGTATTCAGGCATGGAATTTGGAATCCCCCATGCCAAGAATATGACTCAGAAGGTGAGGAAAGACTCAGATTTTGTAAGACTACAGTATTACAAAGGCAGGGAAGATAAAACCTATACTGAGTCTCTGTAAAGTAGGGGACCTCAGAGTAGGGGCTTGATGACCCAGGTCTAAGGGCAGGATGCTAGGTGGTTTTGCCCATACTTTATTAAATGAGTCCCCTTTTCTTGGAAAAGGAAAAATAACTTTATTAACATCTACGTTTCCTTTTCTAAGACTGTGACCATGGTTATAATAGCCTTCTATTGTCACCTTTGACTCCTATTATAGCTTGGCTTGATTTATATACTATTTTAAACACTTAAAAGCAAGATCTCTTAAGCTGGGGGCAGCGGTGCACACCTGTAGTCCCGGATATTCAGGAGGCTGAGGCAGGAGGATTACTTGAGCCCAAGAGACCAACTTGGACAACATAGCAAAACCCCATCTCAAAAAGAGAACAATAAGATCTCTCATCCTTACCCTATTTGCTATATAATACTCCTCTTATTCTGATAGGTGGTAGACTACTTGATGTAAGGAGATTTTTTATCAGGTTAATTGGTAAATATTAAAGGACTTCAAGGTAAAGAATGAGCCCCAGATGGAACCTCTGAAAAACACACCAAAAATTATCCCATTGCTGCCTCTCTGGATTATGACTTGAATTTTTATTATTACGAGGGTTGTGAAGGAAGGGGACTGAATTAAGAGAGGGATTAGAAAAATACTGTCATTGGGCATGAACAACTTGGGAAATAAATTTCCTTGAGTTGGCCCTGAAATATCATACATACTGGATGTACCAGGGATAAGGGCAGAGATAATGAAGATGCTCCTAATGAGTTTTAGTAAGCCAGACTGGTCCTTGCTATCTTATGTTATCCCAGGAAACCCAGGAAAACTATGACTGTTATGGGCTGTATGTCCTACTAGTGATACAGAGATGAAGGATGTTTCATACATAAGGATTTACACTATAGGGTTATTTATAGTCATAAACAATTGGAAACAAATACTTAGCAATTTTCTAACAGTGTAGTTAATACATTTATTCAAGAATAGTCTACTATTAGTCACGTACTACAGTCATGTACTATAACATGATATCACAATTCATGTTATAGTATAATATTTAATAACATGAATATTCTAATAACTAAAGTAAAGTGGGCTATAGAGAAACAGCACATCTAATTTAAACTTGGAGAAGGGAGAATCATTTTTATGTACTCATATGAAAAAGCTTAGTCAAGTATACTGAAGCATTAATGTTATTCATCCTTAAGAGTGGTTTAATTTTCTACCTGTAATTTTTTTCTGAATTTTCATACTGTCTTCAATAGATAAATATTTTACTAATGAAAAATAAAGATGGTGAATAAAAGCATCAACCTATTTTAGAAAAAAGACAATAAGTTATGTCTTGGTATAAAGGTAAAATCATGAGATGTATTAGCTGTTGAGTCAATCTTCTCTTTGCCTCTCTATTCATAGACATTTGAGGCTGCGAATCCTGTGTGTCTATAGAGAACATTTATTTATGGGAAGAGGTGTCACTATCTTTATTTTTAAAAAGAAAGATGTTGGTATTTAAGATTATTCAAAACAATAATGACAGCAGTAACAATAATAATTGTGCACATTTGTGTAGCATCTGTTAATTGGCAAAACTTCTTCACATTTGTCTAAAGAGGAGTAATTCTGCCCAAGAAAAATGTTTTCATTATGCATGGGAGGCAAAAGCATTATATGAGGCTAGTCTAACTAATTTTTTATAATATAGTAATAATAACTTAAAATAGGAAAGAATAAACTTATAGAATAAATTTAACTTTTATATTTTTAATAGAAGTATAAAACTAAGCTTCAACTAAAGATTTTTGTGGGTTGCTTGCAAGTGACAGATTTGAGTTCTGCCCATTGGAAGCTACTCTGCTGCTGGTGTGTTAACATGCCTGTTCCTCTCTATCCACCTACTTTTCCATTAAGGAAGACCCAACATGTTATACATATGAAGGGGCACAGTCAAATGCACAAAACAGCTCCTTCTAGCTTGCTTTACAACCTACTATTTCACAAACACTTTACAAGCCATATTTTCATTGTAAGATGAGACAAGTTTTACAACTGGCAATGGGGGAATCAGCTAGAAACAATCTGAATGGCTACCTTTCCTAGGAAATATATACCATTGTTTTGACTTTATTGTGTGCTGGGCAGGAAAGTAAGATACGGATTATATGGTTTGGCTGTGTCCCCACCCAAATCTCACCTTGAATTGTAGTTCCCATAATCCCCATTTATCATGGGAGGGACAAGGTGGACCAGGTGGAGATAATTGAATAATGGGGGAGGTTTTCCCCATCCTATTCTCATTATTATGAGTCCTGTCTCACAAGATCTGATGGTTTTATAAAGGGCTTCCACCTTTACTGGGCACTCATTCTCTCTCCTGCCACCCTGTGAAGAGGGGCCTTCTGCCTCCCAAATTATGCAGAACTGTGAGTCAATCCTTTTTTCTGTATAAATTTCCCAGTTTCATGTATTTCTTCATAACAGCATGAAAACAGACTAATACATGGGTTTATTAAATTGCATGTATTAAAGGAAAGGCTCATTTTCCTGTTTCCTTTACTTTTTGTTCATAGAGTATGTTTGAAGTTCAGATATCTTTTTTTTTTTCAACTTTTAGATTTAGGGGTACATGTTCAGGTTTGTTACATGGGTAAATTGTGTGTCTCTGAGGTTTGATGCACAAATGATTTCATCACCCAGGTAGTGAGCATAGTACCTGATAGGTAAGTTTTTGATCCTTGCACTCCTAATATTCTTCAACCTCAAGTAGGTCCTGTGTCTATTGTTCCCCTTTTTGTGTCCATGTGTACTAAATGTTTAGCTTCTACTTATAAGTGACAATATGCAGTACTTGGTTCTCTGTTCCTGTGTTAATTTACTTAGGATAATGGCCTCCAGCTGCATCCATGTTTCTTCCAAGGATATTATTTTGTTCTTTGTTTATGGCTGTGTTGTATTCCATGGTATATATTTACCACATTTTCTTTATACAGTCTACTGTTGATGGGCATCTAGGTGATTCCATGTCTTTGCTATCGTGAATAGTGCTGTGATGAACTTGTGAATACTTGTGTCTTTTTGGCAGAACAATTTATATTCCTTTGGATATATACCCAATAGTGGGATTGCTGATCAAATGGTAGTTCTGTTGACTTCTTTGGGAAATCTCCAAAATCCTTTCCACAGTGGCTGAACTAATTTACATTCCCACCAGCAGTGTATAAGTATTGCCTTTTCTCTGCAACCTCACCAACATTTGTTATTTTTTGAATGTTTTATAAAAGCCATTCTGACTGGTTTGAAATGGTATCTCATTGTGGATTTGATTTGCATTTCTCTAATCATTAGTGATGTTGGGCGTCTTCTCACATACTTTTTGGTCATGTGTTTGTCTCTTTTTGAGAAGTGTCTGTTCATGATCTTTCTTCATTTTTAAATGAGGTTGTTTTTGCCTGTTGATTTGTTAGAGTTCCTTAGAGATCCTTGATATTAGACCTTTGTCAGATGCATAGTTTGCAAATATTTTCTCCCATTCTGTAGGTTGTGCATTACTCTGTTGATAGTTTCTCTGCTGTGCAGAAGCTCTTTAGTTTAATTAGGTACTACTTTTTCTATTTCTTTTGTTGCAGTTGTTTTTGGAGACTTCATCGTAAAATTTTTGCCAAGGTCTATCTCCAGAATGGTATATCTTAGGCTTTCCTCTAAGGTTTTTATAGCTTTAGGTTTTAGAGTTAAGTCTTTAGTCCATCTTGAGTTAATTTTTGTATATGTTAAAGGAAGGGCCAGGTGTGGTGGCTCACACCTGTAATCCCAGCATTTTGGGAGGCTGAGGTGGGTGGATCACATGAGTTCAGGAGTTCGAGACCAGCCTGGCCAATATGGTGAAACCCTGTCTCTACTATAAAAAAAAATATATATATATATATATATAAAATTACCTGAGTTTGGTGGAGGGCACCTGTAATCCCAGCTACGTAGGAGGCTGAGGCAGGAGAATTGCTCGAACCTAGGAGTCAGAGGTTGTGGTGAGCCGAGATTGCACCATTGCACTCTAGCCTGGGCAACAAGCATGAAACTCCATCTCAAGAAAAAAAAAAAGAAGTAAAGAAAGGAAGGGGTTCAGTTTCAATCTTCTGCATATGGCCAGTCACTTATCACAGCACCATTTATTGAAGAGAAATTCCTTTCCCCATTGCTTGTTTTTGTTGACTTTATCAAAGATCAGATGGTTGTAGGTGTGCAACTTTATTTGTGAGTTCTCTAACCTGTTCCATTGTGTCTGTTTTTGTACAAGTACCATGATATTTTGTTTATTGTAGCTTATGGTATAGTTTTACATCAAGTAGTGTGATGTTTCTGGCCTTGTTCTTTTTGCTTAGGATTACTTTGGCTATTTGGGCTCCATTTTGGCTTCACATACATTTTAAAATAGTTTTTTCTAGTTCTGTGAAAAACAATGTCATCAGTAGTTTGATAGGAATAGCATTGAATCTGTAAATTGCTTTGGGGAGGATGGCCATTTTAATAATATTGATTCTTCCTACCCATGAGCATGAAATGTGTTTCCATTGGTTTGTGATGTCTCTGATTTCTTCAGAAGTGTTTTGTAATTCTCACTGTAGAGATCATTTACCTCTTCAGTTGGCTGTATTTCTAGATATTTTATTCTATTTGTGGCTATTGTGATTGAGAGCGTGTTCTTGATTTGGCTCCCATCTCAGACATTACTGGTGTGTAGAAATGCTATGGATGTTGATTTTGTATCCTGAAACTTTGCTGAAGTTATTTATTATTTCTAGGAGGCTTTTGGTGGAGTCTTTATCATTTTCTGGGCATAGAGTCATATCATTAATTAAGAGAGATAGCTTGACTTCTTCTTTTCTTATTTGGATATCTTTTATTTCTTTACTTTGCTTTATTGCTCTGGCTAGGACTTCCAGTTTATATTGAAAGAACTGGTGAGAGTGGGCATCTTTCTTTTGTTCCAGTTCTCAAGGGGAATGTTTCCAGCTTTTGCCCATTTAATATGATGTTGGCTGTGAATTTGTCATAGATGGCTCTTATTATTTTGAGGTATGTTCCTTTGGTGCATTAAAGTTTGTCAGGGTTTTTAGCCTGAAGAAATCCTGGATTTTATCAAAAACCTTTTCTGCCTTTATTAAGAGGATCATGTGTATTTTGTTTTTAATGATAAATTATACAACAAGAAAACTTAACTATCATAAATATATATGCACCCAGCACTGGAGCACCCGGATTCATAAAACAAGTTCTTAGAGACCTATGAAGAGACTTAGATAACCATCCAATAGTAATGTGAGACTTCAATATTCCCACTGACAGTGTTAGACACATCACTGAGGCAAAAAATAAAGATATTCATGACATGAATTCGACACTTGACCAAGTAGACCTAAGAGGCATCAACAGAATACTCTATGCAACAATAAAATATACATTCTTCTCATATGCACATGGCACATACTCTAAGATTGGCTACAAGCTCAGCAATCCTTAGCAAATTTTAAAAAACCTAAATCATACCAACCACACTCTTAGACCATAACACAATAAAATATGATTCAGTACCAAGAAGAACTTTCAAAATCATGTAATTACATGGAAATTAACCAATCTGCTCCTAAACTTATGAGTAAATAATAAAATAAAGGTATAAATCCAAAACTTCTTTGAAACTAATGAAATAAAGATATAACATATCAGAATCTCTGGGACACAGCTAAAGCAGTGTTAAGAGGAGTGTTTATAGTGCTAAATGCCTAAATTAAGAAGTAGATCTCAAATTAACAACCTAATGTCACACCTAGAGGAACTAGAAAAACTAGAGCAAGCCAACCCCAAAGCTAGCAGAAGAAAAGAAATAACCATAATCAGAGCTGAACTGAATGAAATTGAGATGCAAAATCCACTGAAAAGATCAACGAAACCTAAAGTTTGTTTTTTGAAAGAATAAATAGTATTGATGGACAGCTAGCTAGATTAATAAAGAAAAAAGAAGATCCAAATAAACACAATCAGAAATGACTAAGGTGACACTCCCACCAACATTGCAGAAATACAAGGAGTCCTCAGAGACTATTATGAACAGCTCTATGTGCACAAACTAGAAAATCTAGAAGAAATGGATAAATTCTAGGAAATATACAATAACCAGAACCAGGAAGAAATTGAAATCCTGAACAGAGCACTAATGAGTTCCCAACAAAATATTTACTAGACAGAAAAAGCCCTGGATCAGATGAACTATAACCAAATCCTACCAGATGTATAAAGAAGAGCCAGTACCAATCCTGCTAAAATTATTTCAAAAAATCAAGGAGGGACTCCTCCCTAACTCATTATATGAGGCCAGCATCATTCTGATACCAAAAACCCGGAAGGGACACAGTGAAAAAAGAAACTTCAGGCAAATATCCCTGATGAACATAAATTCAAAAATCTTCAGCAAAATACTAACAAATTGAATCCAGCAGCACATCAAAAAGCTAATCTACCATGATCAAATAGGTTTTATTCATTGGATGCAAGGCTGATTCAATACATAGAAATTAATAAATGTGATTCATTTACAGAACTAACTTCTGATATTTATCTCTTAAAATAATCCTAAGAAATGTACTAAAATCAATCAAGGGTTGAGGGAAAAGAACTTTAATAAAAACTTTAAAAGATGATAGTGTTTTATTGAGCATCCTTCTGCCCATCACTAAAGGTAACAAGGAATTATGCCTGTTATAATAAAGAAATAGTATGAAAATTTAGCCAGTCTTAGAAATTAGTTCCAGAGAGGCTACTGTGAGGATGTGTGTTTAGGTAGAACACATTTTTTTCAACATCTTCACATAATTGAAAGAGAAGCCAAATAGGAATTCTCTTAATTATTTGGAGTAAACTGATGTACTAAGAGATAGGGAACACTGGACAAAAGTATGTATACAAAGAGCTTGTTTAAAATTCTATTCTGTATCACTTTCTTTACTAAGGTTTACTAAGATTCAGTTTTCTTGCAAAAATGGGGTGAACTACCTACTTTCCAGTGTTGGTGCAAGAGTTAAATTATGTGCAAAATACTTAGCATACTACCTGGTACATTATAAATGTTCAATAAGTAGGAGTTATGCAGCATCATCATGCAGCATTATATTATTTGATATCCATAGTGGCACCAAATATGTACTTCAGTAAAGTTCTTCTGAATTTATTAAGGAAATTAAGGAGATCTATAGATGGATCTTATGTGTATGGCAAACTAACATGTATGGTATGTGAAAATTTAGGAAACACTTATTCTCTTTGTAACATATTTCAACTGGACTACATGTATATGCAACAAAAAAGAGTATTTTCTTTTTTTTTTTTTTTTTTTTTTTTTTTTTTTGAGACGGAGTCTCGCTCTGTCGCCCAGGCCGGACTGCGGACTGCAGTGGCGCAATCTCGGCTCACTGCAAGCTCCGCTTCCCGGGTTCACGCCATTCTCCTGCCTCAGCCTCCCGAGTAGCTGGGACTACAGGCGCCCGCCACCGCGCCCGGCTAATTTTTTGTATTTTTAGTAGAGACGGGGTTTCACCGTTTTAGCCGGGATGGTCTCGATCTCCTGACCTCATGATCCACCCGCCTCGGCCTCCCAAAGTGCTGGGATTACAGGCGTGAGCCACCGCGCCCGGCCTAAAAAAGAGTATTTTCTAATAGTAGGCATATTTTGTTTTAGTTTGTTTGTCCCACTATAGCAGAATACCTTAAACTGGGTAATTTATAAAAACAATAATTTATGTTTTATTTTCTTGAAGGAAAATTTGTAGTTTAATTTTTTTTATGTAGAGAAAACTCAACAGCATACATTTAACCCACTTTAGTGGCAAGTTCTTTAGTCTTTGCCTTTTTGAGCTTGAGAATGTGAGCCACAGATCTGGGAACCCAGGACATTGCTTCCCCAGTGACGGTGGATCTCATTGTATCTGTCATTGCAATTTGTCCTGATAGCTTCCACCAGCTTAGGCAAAGCTCCTTTGCCTTCCGAGTTAACCTATGTGAAGGCGACAGTGGTTCAGGTCTTCCTGTGGACTAGATGTCCCAGTCTTGCCTTCCCCTTGATAATGCAGTAAGGGACCCCCATTTTACAATGTAGGACAGGCAGGAAGACAACCAGCTCAACGGGATCCACGTCATGTGCAATCACCACCAGCTGAGCTTTCTTGTTCTCCACCAAGTTGGTGACAGTCTTAACTCCTGCTTGAAGGACAGGTGGTCTCTTATTGGGGATGTCCCCTTTGCTGGCAGCTTTCTTCTCAGCCCTGGGCCAATAGCCTCTGCTTATTCTTTTGCTTTGTCTCTGGTCTGTACTTGTGGGCCAGCTTAAGCAGCTGAGTAGCTGTTTGCTGGTCCAGGGCCTGGATAAACTGGTTAATCACAGGAGGCATATTCAGTCACTTATCGAGGATGGCTGTCTGCTGCTGCAACCTGATATAGCGGGGCCATTTCACAAAGCAGGTGAGGTCTCTTTTGGGCTGGATGTCTGTCCAATGCCAACATTCTTAGGCCTTTTCTCAAACAAGAGATTCACCACTTTCTTGGCCTCCTGCTTCTTCACAGCAGCAGGGACCAGAGCCACCTTCTTCCCCTTGGTCTTCTTTCCTTTCAGCATCTTAGGCAGTGGGAGGAAACAGCAAGAACAAGAATTTATATTCTCACAATTCTGAAGGCTAGGAAGTCCAAAATCAAGGCACCAGCATGTGGTCTAGTAGGCACCTTTCCGCTGCATCCTCATGTGGCAGGAAGTAGATGTTCATGTGAGCACAGGTTTGCAGAATGCTGCCCAAAGCCTCTTTCAAAGGACATTAATCCCATTAACAAAAAGCATCCCTCATGGCCTAGTCATCTCTTAAAGGCCCACCTCTTAATATTATCACATTGGCAGCACTTGAATTTTAGAGGGGATTAGGTTTCAACATGAATTTTGGAGGGAACAAAACATTTAAACCATAGCAGAAAGTGTGTCAAAAATGGCAAATTATGTAGAATAAATTTAGTGAACTTTAAATGTCAGTACTTCTGATTTGGGTTTAATATCCATTTAGACTGACAATTAGCACTGGGGTTTTAATGCAGACCTCTAACTTTCATTTTTGAAATGATATTTTTTTTCTAAATGTTGGCTTTGTTTTCAGAACAACTTTTCAGTTTAGGTCTTTACTACATGGCTTTACATTTTTTTTTCTTATCCCCCACCTGCCAAATATGGCAATTTTCTTTGGGCTTGAATGTGTCTAATATAGATTTTGTATTTCCTAAAATACTTAGTGGACTACTTGGCACATAGTAGATATTCAATGATATGGTTTGACTTTGTGTCCCCACTCAAGTGTCATCTTGAATTGTAATCCCCATGTGTTGAGGGAGGGACCTGGTGGGAGTTGATTGGATCACGGTGGCGGTTTCCCCTGTGCTGTTCTCATGATAGTGAGGGAGTTCTCATGAAAGCTAATGGTTTTATAAGGGGATCGATCTCTCTCTCTCTCCATCTCTCTCTCTCTCTCTCTCTCTCTGTCTCTCTCCATCTCTCTCTCTCTCTCCGTCTCTCTCTGTCTCTCTTTCTTTCTCTGTCTCTCTCTCTCTCTCTCCATCTCTCTCTCCCTCCACCTCTATCTCTCCCTCTCTCTCTTGCTCTCTCTCTCTCCCTCTCTCTCTCTCTCCCTCTCTCTCTATCCCTCTCTCTCCCTCTCCCTCTCCGTCTCTCTCCCTCTCCCTCTCTCTCCCTCTCCCTCTCCCTCTCTCTCTCTCTCACGCGCTCTCTCTCTTGCTCTCTTGCTCTCTCTCTCGTTGTCTCTCCCTCTCTCTCCCCCCCCGTCTCTCCCTCTCTCCCCTTCCTGCTGCCTTGCGAAGGAGGTATTTGCTTCCCCTTCACCTTCTGCCATGACTGTAAGTTTCCTGAGGCCTCCCCAATCATGTGGAACTGTGAGTCAGTTAAACCTCTGTGTTTATAAATTACCCAGTCTCAGGTATTATCATTATAGCAATGTGAGAACAGACCAATACACTCAGTAAACACGCACACACACCAACATATAAATATATATATTTGCCATTATTATCTGTCTTTTAGTATGTACCTACTATTCATTGTCATAAAACTTTACACTGATTTTCTTATTTAATTTTCTGAGAAACACTGACAAGTTAGTATTCACATTTTAAAAAAGAGAAAACAACTGAGATTTAGAGAGATTAAACCATAAGGCCATATTCCAAGACTATCTAGTTCGTGAGTGGAGAACAATTTAATTCTGTTTCTATGGTCATCATCTGTAACAATGGTATTACAGAAGAGTGAAATCAGCAAGATGGTCAGAGAGGAAGTCTCAGGCTC
Organism: Homo sapiens; assembly: GCF_000001405.40. Classification (NCBI taxonomy): domain Eukaryota; kingdom Metazoa; phylum Chordata; class Mammalia; order Primates; family Hominidae; genus Homo; species Homo sapiens. Next base: position 29,724,041 of record NC_000011.10, on the reverse strand, counting down.
TACTCTCTGCCCAACTAAAAATGCAGCTAGCAACTATCTACAAACCAAAACATATTTTTGAAAATCCAAATACTTGTAACTAAGTCTGACACACTAACGTGGTCTACAGGCTGACTGAGAACGGCATTAGAAGGATAAGAACTGCCTCACTTCAACCCCTCTTCTCCCAAGTCAGCACAATGCCAGATGGGTACAATTTCTGCTGGCCATGGTTTTTACAGGGGGCAAAAAAGAACTGGAGTCAGTCATCCAGCTTCCTTAGCATTCTGAAGCACTTCCTGGAAGCCCGCTTTTGTCTCACCTCATGAGGGAACACTGGGAATAACATCTGAAGTCAAATAAAAACAGAGAAATAAGATAGAGATTACATTGACCAGTGTGTGATCTTGTTGGTACCTTTGTGTTCCTGCCAGCTATGGCACCCAGTCATAGATACCAGCCAACTTCATACCCCACCTGCAAAGCTGATTTGGTTGTTTTCAGAACCACAGTAGGAAGTTCAACCTGGCTTGAGTTATAGATGGCTAGTCTCTATACCAAGCTCCAGATTCCACCCCAACAACCTCACCCAAGCAGGGAAACGCCTTCCTCTCTCTCCATTTAGTAGAAGCAGAGAGGCTAGACCTGCTTGACCTGGAAGTCCAAAGAATGACTCAGCTCAGCCAAAAAGCCTGACAAGTGACCTCATCCAGGCAGGGATATCCCTGCCTCTTCCTATTTTGGAGAAGCATAGGGGCCAGACATGCTTGAACCAAGAGATCAAACAGTGGCTGAACTCAGCCAAAAGCCCACCCCATGGTTCCACCCAAAGAAGGAGGCAACTCTCAATTGTGCATTTCTAAGGAGCATAGTCTCTGGGCCCTGCCTGTCCCAAGCAGCAACTCTGTCTAACCTCAGAGCTGAGCCTGCAGCCCTGTCCAACTGCAGATCTAAAATGTCTCAGTCAGGGAATGTATCCTCTGATAGGTGTGACTAGAGAGCCTCACAGTAATCATCCAGTTGCTCTGTGTAATAGCAGAGCCCAGCCAGAAGCTCCACATGACATAAGAGCAAAGGCAGCAAACCAACCCAAATAAAGAACCCATAACAGGCCTTCCAGAATCACAGAGTAAACTGAGTAGTGAAGGTGCATCCCTGCCAAAGAACCCTTGTAAAAACAAGAAGAGGTGGTTGTCTCTTTATATGTGCACACAACAATGCAAAGACACAAGATTTTCCAAAAATCTGGGAATAATTACATCTTTTATAGAAATTAATAAATCTCCAATAATGGATGCTAAAAAATGGATATCTATGAAATGACAAAAAATTATAATAATCTTAAATAAGTTCAGTGAACTTGAAAAGTATACAGCTAGAAAATTAAATAAAATTTGGAAAATAACATGGAAAGTGAGAACTTTGACAAATAAATAGAAACAATAGTAAAAAATAGAAATCCTGGAAATTACAGACACAATAACTGAACTGAAAAAAAAAATCAATAGAAGGCTTCATCAGAAAACTCAATCAAGCAGAAGAAAGTCTGAGCTTGAAGGCAGGACATTTGAAATTAATCAGGCAGAGAAGCAAAAAATCGAAAGAATAAAAAATAAGAAAGTCTACAGGAGCTATGGGAAACCATCAAAAGTGAAACCTTTGTATAATAGGAGGCTTAGAAGGGGATGAAAGAGAAAACAAATCCAGAAAGCATATTTAAAGAAATAATGTCTAAAAATTTTCATAATCTGAGGATAGATTCCAGTGTTCATGTACAGCAAACACAGAGGTTTCAGTCAAAATCAACCGAAAGAAGAGTTCACTAAGACACAATCAAAATATCAAAACTCAAAAAAACTTTGGGGGCAGCAAGAGATGAGAAACATATTACATGGAAAGGAATCAAAATAAGACTATCAACAGATTTCTCAGCAGAAACCCAGCAGACCAGGAAACAAGGGGAAGAGATATTAAAAATGCTAAAGGAAAAAAGAAAAAACTGATGAAACCACCAACCAAGAATGCTTTACTCAGAAAAACTTTAAGAAATGAAAGAAAAATAAAAACTTTTCAGACAAACAAAAGCTAAGGGAATTCATCACCATTAGGCCTCAAAGATTACTGAAAGTTTTGTAAGTTGAAACAAAAGGCTGCTAACTAAAAACATAAAACACAAAAAGTACAGAACCCAATAGTATACACAATACAGAGCTATATTTAGAATACTTTAGGACTGTAATGACAGTTGTGCAAAGAAATTTTATTCTAGTATGAGGGTTAAAAGACAAAACCTAGCTAAAATAAAATTTTAACAAGAACCTATCTAAAATAAATTTTCAAGGGATAAACATTTGAAAATAATATAAATTCTTCCATATGCTGTGGCACGTGTCTGTAGTCCAAGTTACTTGGGAGGCTGAGGTGGGATGATCACATGAGCCCAGGAGTACTGGGCTGTAGTGCAGTATGCCGATTGGGTGTCCCTGCTAAATTCAGCATCAACATGGTGACCCACCATAGTGGGGACTACCAGGTTGCCTAAAGAGGGGTGTACCAGCCTGGGCCAGAATTGGAGCAGGTCAAAACTCCTGTGCTGAAAATAACATAAATTCTCACATCAAAATGTAAAATATTGGAAGAGGGAGTGAAAGTATAAAGTTGCATGCAAAGTTAATTTATTATCAACTTGAAATAGACTGTTATAGCTATAAGATGTTATGTGTAAATGTAATGGTAACAATGAAGAAAAAAATCTGTAGAAGAATTACAAAACAAAAGTATAGAGAATTCAAAGCATACCACTACAGAAAACTATGAAACTACAAAGACAGCAAGAAACACACAAACAAAAACGTCACAAATCATTTAATAAAATGACAGTAGTGAGACCTTAGCTATCAATAATTATCTTAAATGTAAATGAATTGCATTCCCTAATAAAAATACATAGACTAAATGAATATAAAAAAAGACCCAACTATATGCTGCCTGCAAAAGATTCATCTCAGTTTTAAGTATACACACAGACTGAAAATTCAGGGATGAAGAAAAGGTATTCTACACAAATAGAAACCAAAAGAGAACTGGGGTAGCTATACTTATATAAAATAAACTTTAAGTCAAAAACTATAAAAAGAGACAAAGAAAGACATTATATAATGATAAAGAAGTCAGTTCATCAAGAAAACATAAAAGTTTTAAATATATATGCACCTAACATTGGAGCAACCAAATATAAAAAGGAAATATTAAAGGATCTGATGGGTATTGCAGATTCCAATATGACAATTGTAGGGAACTTCAATACCCTACATTGAAAAATGGACAGGTCATCTAAACAAAATTAACAAGATAATATTAAACTTGAACAACACTTTTAGACCAAATAGCCTTAATAGACATGTACAAACCATTCTCTCCAACATGTGCAACAGAAGGCACATCCTTCTCAAGAACACATGGGACATTCTCCAGCATAGATCATATGTTAGTCCACAAAACAAGTATTAGCAAATTTAAGAAGATTGTAATTATAACAAGTATCTTTTCAAACCATAATGGTACAACTAGAAATCAATAAAATGAGATATTTTAAACAATTGCTTCTGAACAACCAATGGATCAACAAAGAAATAAAATGCAAATTAAAAAATATCTTGAGGCTGGGTGTGGTGGCTCACACCAGTAATCCCAGCACTTTGGGAAGCTAAAGCAGGTGGATCGCTTGAGGCCAGGAGTTCAAGACCAACTTGAGCAACATAGTGAGACCTTGTCTCTACAAAATAAAAAGAATATAAAAACAGCTGAGCATGATTGTGCATTACATGACTGTAGTCCCAACTACTTGGTAGGCTGAATCAGGAGGATCAGTTGACCCCAGGAGTTCCAGGCCACAGTGAACTATGATAATGCCACTGCACTCCAGCCTGGGCAACAGAGTGAGACCCTGTCTCTAAAGAGACAATCTTGAGACAAATGAAAACAGAAACACAATATGCCAAAACTTACGGGATACAGCAAAGGTACTTCTAAGAAGAAAGTTTATAGCAATAAATGGTTACATCAAAAAATAACAAAGATTTAAAATAAATTACAATGTCATTCCTGAAAAGCTAGAAAAAACCCAAACTAAACCCAGTTAGCAGAAGAAAAAAGATCCGAGAAGAAATAAATAAAATAGACTAGAAAATCAATACAAAACATCAACAAAACTAAGAGTTTTTTTTTTGAAATTATAAATACAATCAACAAATCTTAAGCTAGACTAAAAGAAAAAGAAGATTCAAATACATAAAATCAGAAATGAAAGTAGTGACATTACAACTGATACTACAGAAATACAAAGGATCATAAGAAACTATTAGGAACAACTATATGCCATCTTTCTAGTATAATATGTAAAAAATTGATAAATTCCTAGACATATACAACCTATGAAGACTGAATCATAAATAGAAAACTTGAACAGACCAGTAACAATTTAGGAGACCGAGTCAGTGATGAAAAGTTTCCCATCAAAGAGAAGCCCAAGACCAAGACCTGATGGCTTCATTGCTGAGTTCTACCAAACATTTGAAGGTTCTAATACCAAAGGTAAACAAGAATACCATAACAAGTTAAAATAAAATTCCAGGCCAGTGTCTTTAATGAACATAGATGCAAAGATCTTTGACAAAATACTGGCAAACTGAATTCAATAATACATTAAAAGAATTACTCAACATGAACTAGTAGAATTTATCCCTACAATGCAAGGATGACTTAAAATACATGAATCAATAAATACGATACATTAACAGAATAAAACACAAAAACTATATGAGTATCTCATTAGATGCAGAAAAAAATACTTTGCAAATTTTAACATCCTTTCACGATAAACATTTCTTACCAAATTAGCTATAATAAGAATGTGCCTCAACACAATACAAGGCATATACAAGCCCAAAGCTCACATTATACTCAAAAGTGAAAAACTGAAATCCTTTCCTCTAAGAAATGGAACAAGACAAGGCCCATTCTTGTTGCTTCTATTCAACTTAGTACTGGAATTCTTTGCTAGAGTAATTAGGTAATAGGAAGCAATAAAATCTTCCAAATAGGAAAGGAAGAAGATAAATTGTCACTGTTTGCTGACACATGATCTTATGTATAGAAAAGTCTAAAGATTCCATAAAAAACAGTTAGAACTAATAAATATGTTAAAGTTTCAGAATGCAAAATAAACACACAAAAATCAGTAGCATTTTTGTATAACAACAATGAAGTATCCAAAAAGAAATGAACAATCCCATTGACAATTTCTATGGAAAACAATTAAGAATAAATTTAACCAAGGAGGTGAAAGACCTATACACTAAAACACTATAAAATGTTGATGAAATAAATTGAAGACATAAATGAACGAAAAGATATCCTGTATTGTGTGTATTGGACAAATTATTGCTAAAATGTCCATACTACGTAAAGCAAGATACAGTTTCAATGCAATCCCTATCAAAATTCCAATGTGATTTTCATAAAAAGAGAAACAATCCTAAAATTAACATGGAACCAAAAAAATTATAAACATGCAACGCAATCACAAGCAAGAAAATACACCTGGAGGTATTACACTACCAGATTTCAAACTATACTACAACACTATTGAAATGGTTTGGCTGTATGGTTTGGCTGTGTCCCCACCCAATCTCATTTTGAATTCCCAGGTAGGAGGTAATTGAATCATGGGGGCAGGTCTTTCCCATTCTGTTCTTGTGATGGTGAATAAGTCTCATGAGATATGATGGCTTTTAAAAAGGGGAGTTTCTCTGTGCAAGCCCTCTTCTCTTGTCTGCCACCACGTGACATGTGCCCTTCACCTTCCGCCATGATTGTGAGGCCTCCCCTGTCATGTGGAACTATAAGTCAGTTAAACCTGTTTCTTTTGTAAATTGCCCAGTCTCAGGTATGTCTTTATCAGCAGCATGAAAATGGACTAATATAGTAAATTGGTACTAGTAGAGTGGGGCGCTGCTGAAAACATACCCAAAAATGTGGAAGTGACTTTACCTGAGTAACAGGCAGAGGTTGGAACAGGTTGGAGGGCTGAGAAGAAGATAGGAAAATGTGAGAAAGTTTGGAACTCCCTAGAAACTTGTTAAATGGCTTTGACCAAAATGCTGATAATAATATGGGCAATGAAATCCAGGCTGAGGTGGTCTCAGATGTGGATGAGGAACTTGTTGGGAACTGGAGCAAAGGTGACTCTTGTTATGTTTTAGCAAAGAGACTGGTGGCATTTTGCCCCTGCCCTAGAGATCTGTGGAACTTTGAACTTGAGAGAGATGATTTAGGGTATCTAATGGAAGAAATTTTTAATCAGCAAAACATTCAAGAGACGATTTCGGTGCTGTTAAAGGCATTCAGTTTTATAAGTGAAGCAGAGCATAAAAGTTCAGAAAATTTGCAGCCTGACAATGTGATAGAAAAGGAAATCCCATTTTCTGAGGTGAAATTCAAGCCAGCTGCAGAAATTTGCATAAGTAACCAGGAGCTGAATGGTAATCCCCAAGACAATGGGGAAAATGTCTCCAGGGTTTGTCAGAGGTCTTCACAGCAGCCCCTCCTATCACAGGCCCAAAGGCCTGGGATGAAAAAGTTTCGTGAACTGGACCCACAGTCCCCGTGCTGTGTGCAACCTAAGGACTTGGTGCCCTGCATCCAAGCTGCTCCAGCCATGGCTGAAAGGGGCCAACATAGAGCTCAGGTCATGGCTTCAGAGGGTGCAAACCTCAAGCCTTGGCAGCTTCCACATGGTGTTGATCTTGCAGTTGCACAGAAGTCAAGAATTGGGGATTGGGAACCTCTGCCTAGATTTTAAAGGATGTATGGAAATGCCTGGGTGTCCAGGCAGAAGTTTGCTGCAGGGTCAGGACTCCTGTGGAGAACCTCTGCTAGGGCAGTGCAGAAGGGAAATGTGGGGTTGGAGCCCCAACATGAAGTTCCTACTGAGGCACTGCCTAGTGGAGCTGTGAGAAGAGGGCCACTGTTTGAGAAACCCAGAATAGTAGATCCACTGACAGCTTGCACTGTGTGCCTGGAAAAGCCACAGATACTCAACATTAGCCCGTAAAAGCAGCTTGGAGGGAGGCTATACCCTGCAGAGCCACAGGAGCAGAGCTGCCCAAGACCATGGGAACCCACCTTTTGCAACAGCATGACCTGGATGTGAGATGTGGAGTCAAAGGAGATCATTTTGGAGCTTTAAGATTTGACTTCCCTGCTGGATTTCAGACTTTCATGGGGCCTGTAGCCCCTTTGTTTTGTCCAATTACTCCCATTTGGGATGGCTGTATTTACCCAATGCCTGTAATATCTAGGAAGTAACTAAATTGCTTTTGATTTTACAGGCTCACAGGAGGAAGGGACTTGCTTTTTCCCAGATAAGACTTTAGCCTGTGGACTTCTGAATTAATGCTGAAATGAGTTAGACTTTGGGGGGCTGTTGTGAAGGCATGATTGGTTTTGAAATGTGAAGACATAAGATTTGGGAGGGGCCAGGGGCAGAGTGATAGCATTTGGCTGCATTCCCACTCAAATCTCATCTTGAATTCCCACATGTTGTGGGAGGGACCCAGTGGGAGGTAATGGAATCAGGGGCAGGTCTTTCCCATGCTGTTCTCATGATAGTGAATAAGTGTCAAGAGATCTAATGATTTTCAAAAAGGGGAGTTTCTCTGCACAAGCCCTCTTCTCTTGTCTGTTGTCAATGTGAGAGGTGCCTTTCACCTTCCACCATGATTGTTAGGCCTGGAACTGGAAGTCAATTAAACCTCTTTCTTTTGCAAATTGCCCAGTCTTGGGTATGTCTTTATCAGCAGCATGAAAATGGACCAATACAACTGTAGTAAGTAAAATAGCATGGTATTAGCATAAAATAGACACATCAACCAATGCAACAGAATAAAGAGGCCGGAAATGAGCCTACACATATATGGTCAATTGATTTTTCAAAGACATTATCCTTTTCAGAGACATTATTCATGGCACTGATGTGCCATGAATACAAAATGAGAAAAAGACATTGCATTCAATAAATGGTATTGGGAAAACTGGATATCCACGAGAGAAAAAATGAAATTATGCCCTTATCTCACACTGTATAAAAATTAACTCAAAATAGATTAAAGACTTAAATGTAAAACCCAAAACTGTAAAACTTTGAAGAAAACATATCATGTCACATCCTTGATATTGGCCTGGGTGTTTTTTTTAATTTAACCTCAAAAGTGCAGAAAATAAAAGCAAAAATACACAAACAGGATCAAATCAAACTAAAAAGCTTCTGTACAATAAAGGAAGCAGTTAACAATATGACAAGACAACCTACAGATTGGGAGAAAATATTTGCAAACCATATGTCCAATAAAGGGCTAATATCTAAAATACATAAATATGTAATTCAAACAACTGAATAACAAGAAAACAAACTGATTAATAAATGAGCAAGAGACCTTAATAGACCTTTTTCAAAAAAATATAAATGGCCAGCAGAAATATTAAAAAATGTTCAACATCTTTAATCATTAGGAAAATGCAAATTAAAACTACAATGAGATATCACCTCACACCTATCATAATGACCATTATCAAAAAGATAAATTTTGGTGAGGATGTGGAGTAACGTGAACTCTTATATACTGTTGGTGGAAATATAATTAGTATAGCTGTCATGAAAAACTGTATGGAGGTTTCTTAACTAAAAATAAAATTACCATATCATCTAGCAACCCCACTTCAGTATTTACCTGAAAGGTTTGAAATCAGTTTGTCAAAAAAAAAAAGTCTGCATTCCTGTGTTCAGTGTGGCTCTATTTACAATTGCTAAGATATAGAATCAACCTTGTGTCCATCAACAGATGAATGAATAAAGAAAATGTGATATATATACACACAAAGGAATACTATTAAGTCTTTAAAAAGGAGAAAATTCTGCCGTTTGTAACAACACGGATGGAATTGAAAAAATATTATGCTAAGTCAAAAAAACCAGGCATGGAAAGATACATGCTGTGTTCTCACTTGTATATAGGATCTAAAACAATTGAACTCATAAATGCAGAGAGTACAGTGGTGGTTACAGAGGCTGGGACATGGGGAAAATGGGGAGATGATGGTCAAAGGATACATAGTCTCAGACAGGAGAAATAAGTGAGTTTTTGAAATCTATTGCACAGTATGGTGGACATAGCAATTTCAAATTGCTAATAGAGTAAATTTCAAATGTTCTTACCACAAAAAATAAACATTTGAGGTTATGAATCTGTTAATTGGCTCTATTTCATATAGTATTTGTAAATCACAATATCACTTTGTATCCTATAAATATATTCAGTTGGAAAAAGTCAATTTATATATTATAAAATTAATAATGATATTACATTGATTAAGTGAGGTGTGATATATCTGGAGCTTTCAAGTGCTCATATTTTAGGATGTGATTAAAAAAACCTCATATCTTAGAATTAATGGTTGTTTGATTAGTGATCAATTCTGTTAATTCCAAAGGCATTCAGCCCCACCACGTATAGTTCTCATACCCATTTTATAAGAAAGGTGCTAACTACATGTTTTTAAAAAGATAAGCATTGTCCAGAGAAAAATCCTTACCAAGGCTCTTGTGGTTCAAAAAGTAATTGTACATAAATTTATTTGTGTATTTGTTTACTATTTTTTCACAATAAAATAAGCACATTTATTGGAAACCACTTTGTTACAGAGTAGGGCTTCTTTAGAAGCAGGAGGAGGAAATGCCCATACCTAAATTTAATAGTAAAAATAATGAGCCCGACCTTTATGGTTAATTTCAATAACACTGTCAGAAAAGAAGAGAAGAAAACCAGTAGGCAAAATGGTTTCTCACATATACTGCAGACTTCACCTGTAATGAAGAAGCTGGTTTCTTTGGTAATTCTGCTTCAGTGAAGTTCTCACATTGTGTCCGGAATCGGTGGTTTCTTGGTTTCACTGACTTCAAGAATAAAGCCGCGGACCCCTGCCGTGAGTGTTACAGTTCTTAAAAGCAGCGTGTCCGGAGTTTGTTCCTTCTGATGTTCGCATGTGTTCAGAGTTTCTTCCTTCTGGTGGGTTCGTGGTCTCGCTGGCTCAGGAGTGAACCTGCAGACCTTCGTGGTGAGTGTTACAGCTCTTAAGGTGGGGCGCGTGGAGTTGTTCATTCCTCCAGGTGGGTTCCTGGTCTCGGTGGCTTCAGGAGTGAAGCTGCAAACCTTCGCAGCGAGTGTTACAGCTCATAAAGGCAGTGTGGACCCAAAGAGTGAGCAGTAGCAAGATTTATTGCAAAAAGTGAAAGAACAAAGCTTCCACAATGTGGAAGGGGACCCGAGTGGTTGCCACTGCTGGTTCCGGCAGGCTGCTTTTATTCTCTTATCTGGCCCACCCACATCCTGCTGATTGGTCCATTTTACAGAGAGCCAATTGGTCTGTTTTACAGAGAGCTGATTGGTCCATTTTGACAGGGTGCTGATTGGTGCATTTACAATCCCTGAGCTAGACACAAAAGTTCTCCAGGTCCCCACTAGATTAGCTACATACAGAGTGCTGATTGGTGTATTTACAAACCCTGAGCTAGACACAGAGTGCTGATTGGTGCATTTACAAACCTTGGGCTAGACACAGAGAGCTCATTGGTGCATTTACAAACCTTGAGCTAGATACAGAGTACTGATTGGTGTATTCACAATCCCTTAGCTAGACATAGAGATTCTCCAAGTCCCCACCAGATTAGCTAGATACAGAGTGCCGATTGGTGCATCCACAAACCCTGAGCTTGACACAGGGTGCTGATTGGTGTGTTTACAAACCTTGAGCTAGATACAGAGTGCTGATTGGTGTATTTACAATCCCTTAGCTAGACATAAAGGTTCTCCAAGTCCCCACTAGACTCAGGAGCCCAGCTGGCTTCACCCAGTGGATCCTGCACTGGGGCCACAGATGGAGCTGCCTGCCAGTCCTGCGCTGTGCACTGGCACTCCTCAGCCTTTGGGCGGTAGATGGGACCGGGGCCATGGAGCAGGGAGCTGCGCTCCTTGGGGAGGCTCGGGCGGCTCAGGAGCCCACTGTGGGGGTTGGGGGGGGGCTCAGGCATGGTGGGCTGCAGGTCCCCAGCCCTGCCCTGCCCTGCAGGAGGCAGCTAAGGCCCAGCGAGAAATGCAGTGCAGCGCCAGTGGGCCAGCACTGCTGGGGAGCCTGGAGCACCCTCCACAGCTGCTGGCCCTGGGTGCTAAGCCCCTCACTGCCCGGGCTGGTGGGGCTGGCTGGTGGCTCCCAGCACTGGGCCCGCCAAGCCCACACCCACCCAGAACTCTAGCTGGCCTGCAAGAACACCACGCGCAGCCCCAGTTCCCGCCCATGCCTTTCCCTCCACACCTCCCGGCAGGCTGAGGGAGCTGGCTCCAGCCTTGGTCATTCCAGGAAGAGGCTCCTACAGTGCAGGGGCAGGCTGAAGGGCTCTTCAACTGTGGCCAGAGTGGGCACCGAGGCTGAGGAGGTGCCAAGAGCGAGCGAGGGCTGCAAGGGCTGCCAGCACGCTGTTACCTCTCAACATCAGTGATTTCCCAAAGGATTACATCAGGATATTCTACAGATTTGTATATTTTATTGTAAATTTAGTAATTTTTAAGACATTCACATTGCATAGTATATGCACAGACTGGCATAGGTTAAGATTGAGCACAAAGTAGGCATTCAACAAATTGCAAGTGAATTAAACCAACCTATATGTCACATATTGCATTTGGATGTCTATCTTTGCCTGGTGGTATCATCCTGTATCATTTTTATTTCCATAAAGTTAAAAATAGCATAGTAAACCATATACAAGTAAATGAGGGAATATGAGTGAGTAGTAGGAAAAAATAGGTGAATAGTTGAAAAACATAAGCAGACAATTTTAAGCCAACTGTGAGTCAATTCCTTACAAACTCTTGCATTCAAGTTTCAAACAATCAAGTGAAAGGCAGAAATATAATTAACTATATCAATTATAGAGAAACCACCAGTTCAGGAGGAGCACAGGTAGATCTGGTTCTATGGCTACAGGAATGAGTTCTCACTGAATAGAAACTACATTAGAGCAAACATTAGCTTTAGAGTAAATAAGACAATGCATTTCCAAAGGATGTTTTTTATAACATCCTTCACCATGGGCCAAAATCATTGTTATCCATACAAAACAGTAAAAGAACCACCATGGGAAGAGATTGAACGTGGAGGATGCAATGTCCATAAAATACATACATCATCACTAATAGTGTACATTTATTTCTCTAAGGTATTTGACTCAAAAATTTACTTGACATTGTGAACAATGGCATGCTTGTTTTTAATTGGCAGAAGACTCAGGGAATGTAATCATGCTAGACATTAAATGAACTGCAAAGAAAAGGATTAGAGGAAAGCATTTAAATAAATCCCTTTAAAGAGACTCTGTAGCATTTCTTCTTATATTGTTTATTTCCGACAACAAGCAGAACTTGGAGCCTTCAGGTAGTTTGCCTTATTTTTGGGTATTGTGATTGTAAAAAGGAGACAGTCTGTTCTGTGTACTTTAATGTTATTTCCACTATTTAAGAAATCCTGTTGAAAGAAAGCAACAGATGCATCACCAGCTATGAAAAGGATGCTCTCCGTTAAACTGCCCTCATCAAGAAGCATGCTGCATGTTATGGTGGAAAGAGCTTGACTTTTCGGATCAGATACGTTTATAGTAGCTATGTTGACTTGATTTGGACATGTTTTGTTGAAAGAAAAACTTCAGCCAAATTAAATTTAAAAGAGTTGAATTGAGCAATGGACAATTCACAAATCAAGCAGCCCCCAGAATCACAGCAGATTCAGAGAGACTTCAGTACAGCCACGTGGCAGAAGATTTATAGCCAAAAAAAAAAAAAAAAAGGGAAATGTACAGAAATCAGAAGTGAGGTACAGGAACAACTGGATTGGTTACAGCTTGGTATTTGCCTTTTTGAACACGGTTCAAACAGTTGGCTACATTTGGCCAAAACTCAGTGATTGGCACAGGTGTGAGCTACGGTTGCTTCACACCTACACTTGTTATAGTTTACAATGTACACAAAAACCTTTAGGCCAAACTTAAATATGTAAGGAGGCAGCTTTAGGCTAAGCTTGATTAACAGTTTCTAATCTCTTTGTCCTTTAGGTTCCTCATGGTACAACATTATGTTGATGATAAGTATTTTAATAATTAGGGTTCATTTGTTGCCAGTGATGGATACTTGTTGGCAAACTTAACAGAAAGGAAATTCGTTGGAAGAATATTGGGGAAATTCATGGAATACATGGGAAGGCAGTAAAACCTGGACTGCAAATAGGCAGGATTCATGGCTGTCATGGGGAATCAAGAGGCAGAAATACTTCATATCTCCTTTGACAACATTGCTGTAAAAAATGCTGCCCGCTGCTTTTCCCTCTACCCTTAAAATTCTCACATTAAGTTTTAAGGTTCTTGAAAAAAAATCCAGTTGCCCTAACATAACAGCTTGGCTACAAGAGCATAGAATACTTTTATTTACAGACATATAAAGATTACATATATGGATGAGAGGTAATTTCTCAAAAAGGATGTTTGCCACAAGAAGGAGAAATAAATGTCAACAGTCAAAAAACAAAAGCAAAAACCATCTGCACTATACCTACCATGATAGAGTTAATGAAGATTAAATGATATAACATTCATAAAACCCTTGGCACATAGTAGACACTACCCTGGGATAAAAGCTCTGCAAGGGCAAGAACTTGGCTCTATTCCATGCTGCATCTGAAGAGCTTAGAATAATAACTTGCAAAAGTAGATGCTCAGCTAATGCCTGTTGTGGACTCACAACATGTGTTCCTTTCCTTCTTTGTTTCTGTCATCCTGACTCCGTTTACTGGTAAAGTTTGATAGGAAATGACATTTTCTGGTAAAATGTGTTGCCAATAAATAGCATTTAAGAGCACGTGCTACTTGCACTACGTGCTTATCACATTGTCACAGGATCTTTGTAATTTCAGTTATTTATTGAAGCCAAAAGGAAACCATCATCAGGGCATTAGAGTGTGGTGACATTTCCCTTAGCACCTTCAGAAGTGAACTCATATCTATTTTTTAATCTGAATGTCTGGCTCTGTGAGTCAGAGCTCTTTTGTTCTGTCTTCTGTTTCTTGCACACCATTTTTACTGATTTTAAATCCCATTTTAATCTGGATACTTTACATGACTCTGTGATCATACCTTTTTTGTTTTCCTGAGCAAAGCTGCTGAGTGGAACTGTGTGTCACCCAAAGATCCAGAGCTTAAAGATCAGAGCTGCTAGTGAACCATTTGGAAGCTGTCCCTTAAAGAAGGCAGCACCATTTATGTTAGTGTCATTTTGTGCTGCTAAATGTTGTGATAAGTAGTCTCCCTTTTAATGACACTCGGCAAGCAAGGAGTTGGGTCTTTAAAAAGGATTAAAAATTACCTTGATATATTCAAATGAGTATTGGAAGAACTTGGAATTGTATTGTCCAAAGGGCACATGATAAATGACACTAACTTATGCACAGCCAAAAGAATAAAAACAATCTTAGGTTATTTTTTTGTGTATGAGGACAGTGGGAGGAAATGAAATGTACACCGGTTAGAAATGTAAGAAATCTGGAATCCTGTGTCTACCATTACAAGTTGTGTGACTTTGAGTAGATAACTCCTCTCTCTGAACTTTGGTTTCCTTTCCTGAGAAATGGGCATGTAGTTGCCACAGTGATTGTTACAGGAACCCATATATTAATAATTATAATTCACTTAGAAGAGTAATAAGTATAGAAGATATTCAGAAATATAGACCCTCAATGCTGGAGGATAAAAAGACTCATGTTACTCTGAGATATATTTTTCTACATGTAAAGAAATATCCAATTACATTCAAAATGCTTAAGATTGAACCCTGTCTCCATCAGGAAGTGGCTGTGTGAACCTGGATATATTGTGTGTGTGTATTTTGGTTTCCAATACCGCATATGTAAAACAGATGTAAGAATTTCCATTCTGTCTAATTTACGAGGTTGTTTACAGGTTGAGACCACCTGAAACATGTGAAGTTGCAAGGAGCGAGTTCTTAAAATTAATCTTAACAACATTGAGTTAAACAATTTCCACTTATGTATCTATTTTGTGCTAGACCCAATGTTAAACTCTTAATGTACATTAATTCAGTGATCTAATGAAGTTGGTAATAATATTCTCCTATTTTGTATTTGAGGAAACTGGAGCTTCAACAATTTAGGAATATTCCTAGTTTCCAAGGGCTGCTATAACAGAATACCACAAACTGAATGGCTTGAAATAACAGAAAATTATTCTTATAGTTCTTGAAGCTAGAAGTCTGAGGTCAAGGAGTTGGCAGTGCCATGCCCCCTCTGGAACTTGTAGGGGAGAATCCTTCCTTACATTTTCTAATAGCTTCTGGTGGTGGTAGTCAATCTTTGACATTCCTCCAATATATGCATACCTCCAATCTTTTTTTTTTTTTTTTTTTGGTTGTCACATGTCATTCTCCTCGTGTCTATATCTCTGTTGTCACTTCTAAGGACATCAGTGATCTTAGCTTATAGCCCACCCTAATGACCTAATATTAACTTGATTATGTCTGCAAAGACTATATTTCCATATAAAGTCACATTTATAAGTGCTAAGAATTAGGACTTGGACATATCTTTTTTGGGGGCATAATTCAATTCATAACATCACCCAATATAAACTACCTAAAAAGTGTTGTAGCTGAGATTTGGTCTCCAGTGTGTTATTTCTAGAACCTGAAGCAGGACTTACAGAAATTCATGTATTGAGATGTCGGCTGAGCCAGAACTAGTACCTGACATTCGTGATTTCCAGGTCATGGGCTTTCACACTGTGCTTGGCTGCCTCTCAGGAAAAAAAAAATTACAAACTAAAATTAGCAGCATTTTCTATTTTTGTAGATAATGGTTTTCTGTTGTGTTTAAGAGCCTGGATTTCCTGAAGGAGGTAGAGTGAAGAGTGGACTGTTTTAGTAAAAAGTGAGAAATACACCCATCCTTATCTCTCAGCTTATGTTTCTGGATGGAGCTGGGCTATCCTCAATCCTGTACTGAGAATGGTCATATTGTGTAGGCTTGGCAAATAAGAATATCTTATTACCCTGGCTTCAGTGATAGGTTTAGGGATAGGGATGCAAAACTAGCCAGTTCAATGGGATTCAAATATATACAGCTCAAATTGAAAACTTTTCAGAATAAAATATTAAAACATTTTTGCTTCCCATCCCAAATAAAGTTGCCATACATGGAGATAGTGGTGGCCAATGTCCTATTAAAGAGTGAGAGATCTGACTTTAGTGTGAGAAACCAACAGAAATGGAAATTGTTCTGCCTAAACCAGCATAAGCTTTTATTATTGGTAATCAAAATGTCTTTTTTTGTAATTTTTATTGATTAAATAATAGTTGTACATGTTCTTGGTATATGTGTGATATTGTGATATATGTATAGAATGTTTAATGATTAAATCAGAGTAATGGGGTATCTATCCACTCAAACATTTATCTTTTCTTTGTGTTGGGGACATTACAATTCTTCTATTTTGAAATATACATTAATTATTTTAACTACAATTTTCCTACTGTAGTATTGAATGCTAGAACTTATGCCTTTTCATCAGATCCCATTGCTCAGGACAATGCTTATGCTGATAAGATAGCTTAAAAAAAAAAAAAAGCTGCTAGCATTCCAACTTCTATCTCTCATGGCAGTTTTTCTCCTTCTCATTTGGCCATTCCCACCTACTCCCCCACTAAAACTTCCACCTATCAATCTCTTCCCACACAAGGCAAATGGTTCTTAGACCAAGGAAAATATCTCCTTCCAGCCTCACAGGCCCATTCTATTCTGTTGTCATTTCCTAACCTCTTCCATGTAGGTTACAAGCCGCTAGCCCGCCTCTTAGAACCTCTCATTTCCTTTCCATCGTGGAAGTCTATCCTTAAGGAAATCACTTCTCAGTGTTCCATCTGCTATTCTACTACTCCTCAGGGATTGTTCAGGCCCCCCCACCTTCCCTACACATACATCAAGCTTAGGGATTTGCCCCCTCCCAGGAATGGCAAATTGACTTTACCCACATGCCTCAAGTCAGGAAACTAAAATACCTCTTGGTCTGGGAAGACACTTTCACTGGATGGGTAGAGGCCTTTCCCACAGGGTCTGAGAAGGCCACCACAGTCATTTCTTCCCTTCTGTCAGACATAATTCCTCGGTTTGGCCTTCCCACCTCTATACAGTCCAATAACGGACCGGCCTTTACTAGTCAAATCACCCAAGCAGTTTCTCAGGCTCTTGGTATTCAGTGGAACCTTCATATCACTTACCGTCCTCAATCTTAATGAAAGTTAGAATGGACTAATGGTCTTTTAAAAACACACCACACCAAGCTCAGCCTCCAACTTAAAAAAGGGACTCTGTCAAGAATAGAGCCGAAAAACTCACCAACCAAGCAAGTAACTACACTGAATCCCCCTTGGACACTCTCTAATTGGATGTCCTGGGTCCTCCCAATTTTCAGTCCTTTAATACCTGTTTTTCTCCTTCTTATTCCATTTAGTTTTTCAATTCATACAAAACCGTATCCAGGACATAATCAATAATTCTACATGACAAATGTTTCTTCTAACAACCCCACGATATCACCCCTTACCACAAAATCTTCCTTCAGCTTAATCTCTCCCACTCTAGGTTCCCACGCCGCCCCTAATCCCACTCGAAGCAACCCTGAGAAACATCACCCATTATCTCTCCATACCACCTCCCAAAATTTTTGCCACCCCAACACTTTACCACTATTTCATTTTATTTGTCTTATTAATATAAGAAGACAGGAATGTCAGGCCTCTGAGCCCAAGCTAAGCCATCTTATCCCCTGTGACCTGCACGTATACATCCAGATGGCCTCTGAAGAATGACAAAAGAAGTAAAAATTGCCTGTTCCTGCCTTAACTGATGACATTACCTTGTGAAATTCCTTCTCCTGGCTCATCCTGGCTCAAAAGCTCCCCCGCTGAGCACCTTGTGACCCCCACCTCTGCCGGCCAGAGAGCAACCCTCCTTTGACTGTAATTTTCCTTTACCTACCCAAATCTTATAAAACGGCCCCACCCCTACCTCCCTTCACTGACTCTTTTTGGACTCAGCCCGCCTGCACCCACGTGAAATAAACAGCCTTGTTGCTCACAAAAAAAAAAAAAAAAAAAAAGAACTTAGGCCTTTTATCTAACTGTATGTTTAGACATGGTATATATTCTATTGGTTTTATGTATGTAATTAGTATATATTCTATTTACATGGTACATATTCTACTGGTTTTATGTATATAATTAGTTTTATATACTATTGGGTATAATTGGATATAAAATTTGTTATATATGCATATATGTGTATACAGTATATATATTAATATTACATACATATATATTTACAGAGCTATATTTTAAGAAATTGACCCACATGATTGTCAGAACTGGAAAGTTTAAAATACATAGGATAGGCCAGCAGGCCAGAAACTCAATATCAGGCAAAATTCACCCCCGATATTTCATGTAGGTTCTTTTCAATTTTCCCTAAGTGTCAGCCAGTCTGAGAAATAAAGGGACAGAGTAAAAAAGGGAGAAATTTTAAAGCTGGGTGTCTGGGGGAGACATCACATGTCGGCAAGTTCCGTGATGCCCCCTGAGCTGTAAAACCAGCAAGTTTTTCTTAATGATTTTCAAAAGGGGAGGGAGTGTACGAATAGAGTGTGGGTCACAGAGATCACATGCTTCACAAGGTAATAAGATATCACAAGGTAAATGGAGGCGGGGCGAGATCACAGGACCACAGGACCAGGGCGAAATTAAAATTGCTAATGAAGTTTCGGACATGCATTGTCATTAATAACATCTTATCAGGAGACAGGGTTTATGAGCAGACAACTGGTCTGACCAAAATTTGTTAGGCGGGAATTTCCTCTTCCTAATAAGCCTGGGAGCACTATGGGAGACCGGGGCTTATTTCATCCCACAGCTACAACTGTAAAAGACAGCCGCCCCCAAGGCAACCATTTTAGAGGCCTCCCCTCAGGGACGCATTCTCTTTCTCAGGGATGTTCCTTGCTGAGAAAAAGAACTTAGTGACAGAAGAGAAATATGGCTCTGTTCCACCTGGCTCACCGGCAGTCAGAGTTTAAGGTTATCTCCCTTGTTCCCTGAACATTGCTGTTATCCTGTTCTTTTTTCAAGGTGCCCAGTTTCATATTGTTCAAACACACATGCTCTACAAACAATTTATGCAGTTAACGCAATCATCACAGTGTCCTGAGGTGACATACATCCTCCTCAGCTTATGAAGATGATAGGATTAAGAGATTAAAGTAAATACAGGCATAGGAAATCACAAGGGTATTGATTGGGGAAGTGATAAGTGTCTATGAAATCTTCACAATTTATGTTAGAGATTGCAGTAAAGACAGGCATAAGAAATTATAAAAGTATTAATTTGGGGAACTAATAAATGTCTATGAAATATTCACAATTTATGTTCTTCTGCCATGGCTTCAGCTGGTCCCTCTGTTCAGGGTCCCTGACTTGCCGCAACACTCAAGCAGAGCTATGTTAGAGTTTTAAGGTAGAACTCCTTCTTCTCCAGAAAATGTCAGCTTCTGCTCTTAAGGCCTCGATTGGATGTGTTCCACTCATATTATCAAATGTAATCTCCTTTACTTAAAGTCAACTGATTACAAATGTCAATCACATCTACAAAATGCCTTCACAGCAACATCTAGACTAGTGTTTTACCACACTGCTGACCACCATAGCCCAGCCAATTTGACACATGTAATAATCATCACAGGTAGCAGATCTTATAAAGGAAGGCCTTATTAACATGGGTAAGACTTATTAAGAAGTTGACACTGAACTAAGATTTTAAAAATATGAAGAAGTCACTCATGTGAACATCTAGAGTAAGAACTTTCAGGCACAGGAAATATCTAGTGCAAAGTCCCTACTATTGGAGTATGCCTGGCATGTCTGAGGCACAGCACTAGAAGATAAGTGTGGTTAAAATAATAACTAAGGAGGTGATGGGTATTTATAGAAATATTTGAAGTCAAGACATTTCTGTAAATGTTCTTTGATACTGCAGCTTGAGGAAGGCCAATGAAAACACAAATGCTGCAATAGAAATAGAAAATAAACATGCTTCCCTAAGAGGTAAGATGACAAAGTCATCCCTCTCACTTTTAAAGTATAGGTGCCCTGAAAGCAGGCACTAAGATTATATACTGCTCACTGTTTTATCTCCAGCACCTAGCACAGTACATGACATATTGTAGGTGGTTGCTACATATTTGAAGAATGAAGGAACCTCATACTTACAGCCAGTTACTTATGGATTCCCCTCAATTTGGAAAAACGTTAATTCTAATCTACAGATACTGGAATGTTTTCTTGATCATTTCCCAGTACTCTCATTATTTTCCTTTTCCATTCCTACTGTGTTCTTGTTTATGATTGGACCTTGATCATTTTATTCATCTGCCATTTGCAATCTGTGGTGCAGTATTGAGAGTAAAACTTACCTCTTATTATTGATGCCTCTGAAATTGGCATAAGTTTCTCTTGGATTTATAGATTCCAGATCTTGAAAGTATCAGTGGATAATCTGGGAAAACACTTTACTTAAGCAGATGTGTTTCGTGGTCTTTGATTTATAAGGTATTTATAAATAACAGACAAAAGCAAAGAAAGTGATTTATTCAGTTGAGTGAAGAATCTTCATTTTGTAATAATGGAAGCAGAAAGGGGATGTGACTGAGTTGAATAGAGCCATGAGTGGACAAAAGGTGCGTAGGATGAAATAAATTCATCATATTTAAAAATACTATGCTAAAGTTTTTCAATCAATCCAAAGGAAGCAATAATCTGTATAATAATAGCAGATCTCACTAAGTGCAAGAGGAAATGTAGGCTAAAAATATAGACTTACAAATAAATTGGCTAAATTCTTGGAGTACCAAGCCATACTGAGTTATTGGGTTAGGATATTTTAAAAAAATGATCTATAACTTGGATATTGATAATGGTGTATTGGAGATGTCTAACAATAGTAAATGTGATAAAATAACATATATGTATACTCAAATCTATAATATACTTTAATGATATAAAGGCTGTATAGCATGAAATTTACAAATAATAAAATATACAATATTTCCTATTGTACATTACATATAATCAACTGTTTCTGAAATAATACTTTTGTTCGTTTTGTTAAACTCTTTTACCTGTAGCCAAACTATGGTTGCAATTAAACAATGAACTGACAAAATCAGACTACAAATAAACACTTGTTTACTATGAGATTTGACAAAAGGAATCAGACTACAAATAAACACTTGTTTACTATGAGATTTGACAAAAGGAATCACTCTTGACATTGATAAATGAGTGTAGCCTCAACATGAATGTTGATTGATATTTTCATTGACTTAGTCATGTAAAAGTGAAGGAAGGAGAACGTTTGTATGACTATTTGTTCTTCAAGCATACAAATGATTTCTCTGCTGAATTAAATAATCATTTTTGAAAACAGGAGTAATATTTTCTTATTTTTTGTGCAATTTATAATGTAACAGCTAGAGACATAACCCACTTTTATATTTAATCTTCATATTAACATTTTCTACCACATCGAATACAGACAACAACACAGTAAATCAAGCTTTGATTCATAGCATTTGCTGATTTTCATGATGTAAATACAGCATGGCCAGTTTCAAGCTATGAATTTACTATCACTGAACATGGAATTAGGAAAAATGCACAGAATTTACGATTATATAGTATTTATCATACAGATAATGCCAATGTAAATAACTTCAACAGCATAGTTGGTATTTGGTAGTAAAATACATTTAGGAAGTGATGAATTTTGAGTATTTATTACCTTTGGTTTTTAAAATTTTTAACTGTAATTTTATATGATTAAAAAAAGCAGCTGTGTTTAAAAATTAGTTGGACAAATTTCTAAAAATTTAACACTTAGCTAGTGGCAGCTCCAGTACACTGCTGGATCTGACCACAGGCAAGAGAATTCATCTTTCATACCTGCCATTTTTTGATAGATGTCGAAAACACAGAACCTATACTCAGTAGAAGGATGATTTGATCTTGTGATCCATTGCTTATATTCTTTCATAAAAAGTTAACTGACTTTTCTTATAGGTCCCATGATTTTAGATTATTTTCTTAAAATGGGAAAATAATAGGCAATTCTGTTTTGAAAAAAATCTTTTCAGCCAAAATAGAAATAACCATGTCCACTAAAGTATGTTTTACAAAATATTTTTCTAATTTACAGAATTAGGTACTTTATGACAGAATACATAAAAACACAGCAGAAAACACCATAAAAGCTTGTTTTATACTCTTTTCTGCCCTTTATATATACGTTAGTTTATTCTCAGTGACCAACTCAGGATTTCAAGTCCTGAGTTGAGAACAGTTTGCTTTGCCTTCGTTTATCTTTTCTAAACCTGCCTTACAAAAATATTCGTAGTCCATTTTCCTCCTTGATTCTATTTATTATTCTTCCCCCCAATTTTTAAGGAATATGTCTATAAGCTCTAACATATTTATAATAAGTTATTTAAACATCAGCAACCCTCATTGTAGTTAGTTTTCTGATAACATAACTAATCTTTGGATCATGGGCTTATAAAAGTCTATTTTTTGATACTTCTGGCCATTATAAACATGAACCCCAATTCTTGCCTAAATGACTTTGTGCTGCAAAGTCATTTCATTCCCAGAGCAAGAAATAGCAAAGGTAACCATGTAATTTTTAGAGCATCTTTATTCTCAACTGGAACAAGTGCTTCAATTACTGAAGATATTATTGATTGAATTTCAAGTGATTTTGCTGCTTTGAGACCTCAACTTTTTCAACAATTCATTCCTGGCAAGTTTTTAATCTAAATGTGTGATTCATATGACTGAGTATATGCATTAGTGATGTTGAAGTAATGGTACATTAATCACATCCTAAATAAGAAGTTTATTGGGCAGAAAACCAAATTTGAAGCATGGACTTTTGTGTTTGTTCAGAAAGAATGTTACCACACTTGTAGGCTAATCATTCATAAGCATGACTATTTTCTTTTGGTTATTTATCATACTCAAACCAGGATATTGTACTTTAAATTTATGAATAAGTACTTTGTATGGAAATTGGATAAACTGGATAACAAATACATATAATTTTTTCCAAATGACTATTTTCTTATTTTTTCAAAGCAATGGTTATAGTGGATCCTTTTGAGACAAAATCTATTTTTAGGTTGATATTAATACTAAAAAGTATTAGGATTCTGCATAATGAAAATGAGATAGCTATTCATTGGATCCAGAACACGGATTTATGATTTTAGTGATTTCAATGACCTATGTTAAGTTTAGCCTAAAGCAGTCTCCTTACATATTTTAAGTATGGCCTAAAGGTTTCTCTGTACATAGTGGCTGTCTTCTTACATATTTTAAGTATGGCCTAAAAGTTGCTCTGTACCTAGTGAACTATAACCTAACTGGATGTGTAAAATGACTGTGGTCTACTCTTGTTTCAGTCATCGAGTTTTGGACAACCAGAAGTGGCCAACTATTCAAACTGCGTTCAAATAAGGCAAATGCTGAGCTGTAACCAATCTGGCTGTTCATGCATTGCACTTACATTTTCTGTCTGTCACTTTCATTTTTCTGTCCATAAATTTTCTTTGATCTCATGGCAGCACTGGAGTCTCTTTGAACCTATTCTGGTTTGGGAGCAGTATGATTCACGAATCATTCTTTGCTGAATTAAACTTTGTTAAGTTCAATTTGTTTACAATATTTCTCTAACACCTATGAAATATTTATTTGATTCTCATGTGACTATTTGGAACTCTTAGTACAGTTTGTATGTAATTTTTAACATAACAATGAGGTTGTAGAAAAAAATGATTGAAGGATTTTTGAAAAAAAAAATTAACAAAAATCTTTTATAAACTGCCCTATGGTCAGTCAGGATACTGTATGCTTTCAAAGTATTTTCACACATACAGGAGAGACACAATGGAGATTACTGATTAGAATAAAGATCCTATCACTGTATGGATTTAATATCAAAGATGGAATTGTTTTAAGGATATTATTTTTAAGGTAGCAACATGGGCTTAGACATTGTTTTAACAACTGAGATGCGAAAATACAATAAAAGTGAAAAGGTATTTTTTAGTTACCTCTGTTAAAATACAAACTTAGGCTCATTAAAATTTTAAAGAATTTATTTGAGCAGACAGCAAGTCATGAATTGGGCAGCACCAAACCACAGCAGTTTAGGCTTCATTGAGAAAAGGGGAGGGGAAAACTTCTATAAGGTGGTTTGTAAAAGCAAGACAAATGAAATATTTGGGAAGGAAGTGGATTTCTCCTGCAGGCCCTGGTAAATAGTTGAAAAACTCCAAAGACAAAAGGACACAATCTCTTGAGAGCTCTAGGACGCCACCCACAGCCTGACTCCCACTATACTACCACAGCTGATGCTCTCTTGAAAGCACCACCTCCTGGAAGGAGGCCAACCAACAGAAAACTAGTGCAATAAACAAAACTACAAGAACCATCACAGAGTTTATATCACTCCCCTGCCACCTCCACTGGAGCAGGTGCTGCTATACACAGCTAAGAGATGTGAAGATGGTTCATATCACAGGACTCTGTACAGACACCCCCCCAGTCCAGCCCGGAACCTGGTAACTCCACTGAGTGGCTAGATCCAGAAGAGAAATAACAATCACTACAGTTCAGCTCCCAGGAAGCCATATCCCTAGGGGAATGGGGGAGCACTATATCAAGGGAGCATGGAACAAAATAATCTGAACAGAAGCCCTTGAGCCCCAGATATTACCTCTGACATATTCTACACAAAAGAACAATTGAGAAAAACACAAAAATAATTCTGATAATATGACAAAACAAGGTTCTTTAGTACCCCCAAAAGATCACATTAGCTCACTGGCAATGGATCCAAACCAAGAAGAAATCCCTGAATTGCCAGAAAAAATAATTCAGAAGATCAATTATTAGGCTAATCAATGAGGCACCAGAAAAAAAGTGAATTCCAACTTAAATGTAAAAAAGATACAAGATATGAAGGGAAAAATATTCAGTGAAATAGATAGCATAAATTAAAATATCACAACTTCTGAAAGTGAAGGGCACACTTAGGGAAATGCAAAATATGGTGGAAAGTGTCAGCAATGAATTGAATAGTAGAAGAAAGAACTTCAGATCTTGAAGATAAAGTTTTTGAATTGACTCAATACAACAACAAAGACAAAAAATAATTTTAAAAATGAACAAAGCCTCTAAGAAATTTGGGAATATGTTAAACAACCAAGTCTAAGAATAATTGGTGTTCCTAAAGAAGAAGAGAAATCTAATAGTTTAGGAACCATATTTAAGGGAATAGTCAAGGAAAACTTCACCAGTCTTGCTAGAGATCTATTAGGTTGGTGCAAATGTAATTTAGGTTTTTGCCATTACTTTGAATGACAGAAAATGCAATAACTTTTGCACTACCCAATAGACATCCAAATAGAAGAAGCTCAAAGGACACCTGGGAAATTTACCACAAAAAGATCATCACCTAGACACATAGTCATCAGGTTATCTAAAGTCAAGATGAAGGAAAGAATCTTAAAGAGTTGTGAGGCAAAAGCACCAGGTAACCTATAAAGGAAAACCTAACAGATCAACAGCAGATTTCTCAGCAGAAACCCTACAAGCTAGAAGAGATTGGGGCCCATCTTCGGCCTCCTTAAACAAAACAATTGTCAGCCAAGCATATTGTATCCATTGAAACTAAGCTTTGTAAATGAAGGAAAGATACAGTGTTTTTCAGACAAAGAAAAAAAAAAGTTGAGAGAATTTCCCACTACCAAGCCAGCACTAGAAGAACTGTTAAAAGGGGCTCTAACTCTTGAAATAAATCTTCAAAATATACCAAAATAGAACCTCCTTAAAGCATAAATCTCACAGGACCTATATAACAACACAATGAAAAAAAAAAAAAAACAAGGTATTCAGGCAACAAATAACATGATGAATAGAATAGTACCTCACATGTCAATACTAACATTGAATGTAAATGGCCTAAAGTAAAAGTAACAGAATGGCACTTAAAAGTAACAGAATGGCAGAATAGATAAGAATTTACCAACCAAGTACCTGCTGTCCAAGAGACTCACCTAATGCATAAGGACTCACATAGACTTAAGGTAAAGGGGTGGAAAAAGGTAGTCCATGCAAATGGACACCAAAAGCAAGCAGACGTAGCTATTCTTATATCAGGCAAAACAAACTTTAAAGCAACAGCCATTAAAAAGACAAAGATGGGCATTATATAATGAAGAAAAATCTTATCCAACAGAAAAATATCACAATCCTAAATATATATGCACCTAACATTGAAGCTCCTAAATTTATAAAACAATTACTACTAGACCTAAGATATGAGATACAGAGCAACACAATAATAGAGGGGGACTTCAATACTCCACTGACAGCACGAGACAGGTCATCAAGACAGTCAACAAAGAAACAATAGATTTAAACTATACTCTAGAACAAGTGGACTTAAAGTATATTTACAGGACATTCTACCCAACAACTGGAGAATATACATTCTATTCATAAACACATGAAACATTCTCCAAGATACACTATATGATAGGCCACAAAACAAGTCTCAATAAATTTAAGAAAATTGAAATTCTATCAAGTATTCTAACTACAATGTAATAAAATTGGAAATCAACTCCAAAAGGAACCCTCAAAACCATGCAAACACATGGAAATTAAATAACCTGCTCCTGAATGATCACTGGGTCAACAATGAAATCAATATGGAAATTAAAAAATTCTTTGAAAAATAATAGTGACATAAACTATCAAAACATCTGGAATATGGCAAAGGCTGTGCTAAGAGGAAAGTTTATAGGCTGAAATGCCTATATCAAAAAGTCTGAAAGAGCACAAATAGACAATCTGAGGTCATACCTCAAGGAACTATAGAAACAAGAACAAACCAAGCCTAAACCCAGCAGCAGAAGAAAAATACCAAAGGTTAGAGCAGAACTAAATGAAATTAAAACCAAAAATGCAAAAGATAAATGAAACAAAAAGCTAGTTCTTTGAAAAGATAAATAAAATTGATAGACTATTAGCAAGATCAACCAAGAAAATAAGACAGAAGATCCAAATAAGCTCAATTAAAAACAAAATGGGAGATGTTAGAACTGATGCTACAGAAATACAAAAGATCATCAAGGCTACTATGAACAATACCTTTATGCACATAAAATAGAAAACTTAGAGGAGATGGATAAATTGCTGGAAATATAAAACCCTCCTAGATAAACTCAGAAACAGAAATTCTGAACAGCCAATAACAAGCAGTGAGATTGAAATGGTAATAAAAAAAAAGTTGCCAACAAAAAAAAGTCCAGGACCAGACATATTCACAGCTGAATTCTATCTGACATTCAAAGGAGAATTGGTACTAATCCTACTGACACTATTCTATGACATAGAGAAAGCGGGAATCCTCCCTAAATCATTCTATGAAGCCAGTTCACCCTAATACCAAAACTAGGAAAGAAGGTAACAACAACAAAAAAACTACGCACAAATATTGCACATATGCAAAAATCCTTAACAAAATACTAGCTAAGCGAATCCAACAACATATCAAAAAGATAATCCACCATGATTAAGTGGGTTTCCTAACAGGGATGCAGGGATGATTTAATATATGCAAATCAATAATGGTGATACATTACATAAACAGAATTTAAAACAAAAATCAGATGATCATCTCAGTAGAAGCAGAAAAAGCATTTGACAAAATCTAGCATCACTTTATGATTAAAACTCTCAGCAAAATCAGCACAGAAGGGACATACCTTAAAGTAATAAATGCCATCTATTACAAACCCACAGCCAACATAATACTGAATGGGGAAAAGTTGAAAGCATTCTCTCTGAGAACTGGAACAAGACAAGGATGTCCACTCTCACCAATTCATTTCAACATAGTGCTGGAATTCCTAGCCAGAGCTATCAGACAAGAGAAAGAAAGAAAGGGCATCTGAATCAGTAAAGAGAAAGTCAAACTATCATTGTTTGCTGATGATATGATTGTATACCTAGAAAACCCTAAAGAATCCTCCCAAAAGCTACTAGAACTGTAGTTTCAAGACACAGAATTAATATGCACAAATCAGTAGCTCTGCTATACACCAACAGCAACCAAGCTGAGAATCAAATCAAGAACTCAACCCCCTTTACAATAGCTGCAATAAAATAAAATAAAATAAAATAAAATACTTAGGAATATACCTAACCAAGGAGAGGTGAAAGACCTCTGCAAGGAAAACTACAAAACACTGCTGAAAGAAATCACAGATGACACAAAAAATGGGAACACTTCCCATGCTCGTGAATGGGTAGAATCAATATTGTGAAAATGACCATACCACCAAAAGCAATCTACAAATTCAATGCAATTCCCATCAAAATACCACTGTCATTCTTCACAGAACTAGACAAAACAATCATGATTCTTCACAGGACTAGACAAAACAACCCTAAAATTCATATGGAACCAAAAAAGAGCTCACGTAGCCAAAGCTAGATTAAGCAAAAAGAACAAATCTGGAGGCACCACATTACCTGACTTCAAACTATACTGTAAGACCATAGTCAACAAAACAGCATGGTACTGGTATAAAAATAGGCACATAGACCAATGGAACAGAATAGAGAACCCAGAAATAAAGCCAAATACTTACAGCCAACTGATCTTCAACAAAGCAAACAAAAACATAAAGTAGGGAAAGGACATCCTAGTCAACAAATGGTGCTGGGATAATTGGCAAGCCATGTGTAAAAGAATAAAACTGGATCCTCATGTCTCACCCTATTGAAAAATCAACTCAAGATGGATCACGGACTTAAATCTAAGACCTGAAACCATAAAAATTCTACAAGATAACATCAGAAAAACCCTTCTCGACTTTGGCTTAGGCAAAGACTTCATGACCAAGAACCCAAAAGCAAATGCAACAAAAACAAAGATAAATAGATGGGACTTAATTAAACTAAAAAGCTTCTGCATGGCAAAAGAAACAATCAGCAAAGGAAATAGCCCACAGAGTGAGAGAAAATTTTTGCAATCTGTACATTTGACAGAGGACTAATACCCAGAATCTACAAAGAACTCAAAGGAGCAAGAAGAAAAACAATCCCATCAAAAAGTGGGCTAAGGAAATCAATAAACATTTCTCAAAAGAAGATATACAATGGCCAAGGAATATATTTAAAAATGCTCAGTGTCACTAATGATCAGGGAAATGCTAATCAAAACCACAATACAATACCACCCTACTCCTGCAAAAATGGCCATAATGAAAAAATTAAAATTAATAGATATTGACATGGATGTGATGTAAAGGGAACACTTTTACACTGCTGGTGGGAATGTAAACTAGTACAACTACCATGGAAAACAGTGTGGAGACTTCTTAAAGAACTAAAATGATACTTGCACACACATATTTATAGCAGCACAATTAGCAATTGGAAAAATACAGAACCAGCCCAAATGTCCATCAATCAACGAGTGGATAAAGAAATTGTGATACACACACACACACACATACACACACACACACACACCAGGAAATACTAGTCAGTCATGAAAAGGAATGGAATAATGGCATTTACAGCAACTAGATGGAATTGGAGACCGTTATTCTAAGTGAAATAACTCAGGAATGGAAAACCAAGCATCGCATGTTTTCACTCATAAGTGGGAGCTAAGTTATGAGGATACAAAGGCATACGAATGACACAATGGACTTTGGGGACTTGGGGGAAAGGATGGAAGGGGGTTGAGCGATAAAGGCTACACATTGGGTACAGTGTACACTGCTCGTGTGATGGGTGTACCAAAATTTCAGAAATCACCACTGAAGAACTTACACATGTAACCAAATGCCACCTGTTTCCCCAAAAACCTATTGAAGTAATAAGAAAATATTTGATTGGTTAAAATGGAAAGTCTCTAGTTAAATTAGTGGTTTATGATTGGCAAGTCTCTAGTTAGATGTTAGCTGGTAGTTTTTGATTGGTTAAGCTTAAGTTTTGTTTTACTGTTTACACTGAGTTGGGTCTTGGTTTGCTTATGTACGAACCCAGGGCACTGGAGCTATCACATTCTAGTGATCTCTCAGTTGAATTTTTTTAACACCTCCTAGTTAAACAAAAAAAATCAAAGTATGCATAAACCCATTGTATAAGAATTATGTTCAAATTATGGAGACTAAATTATAATTTGACCAAAATGATACAGGTTCTAGAAGGTAATTAGCAGTGGAAAAAAAAGAAAAACATTGTATTAATTTTACCAAAATAAAAAAGATCTAGGGTGAGCATGGTGGCTCATGCCTGTAATTCTAGCACTTTGGGAGGCTGAGGTGGGAGGACTGATTGAGCCCAGGAGTTTGAGACCAGCCTGCACAACACACTGAAACTTTGTCTCTAAAAAAGTACAAATATTAGCCGGGTGTGGTGGCATGCACCTGTAGTCACAGCTACTCCAGAGGCTGTGGTGATAGAATCACTTGAGCCAGAGAGGTCAAGGCTTCAGTTAGCTGTGATTATGCCACTACACTCCACCCTGAGTGACAGAGCCAGACCCTGTCTTAAAAAACAAACAAACCAAAATCTAGAGTTGCAGAGAACATTAAAGAGATTATCTGTAGTTTAATAAACAAGTGAATTTTGGACCTAGAACCTAGAATTTGTATTATGTTAAGCAATGAGAAAACTTAATGTATCTTAATAATTAGATTATTAAAAATACAATGTCTTGAGTTTATTGAACACTGCCTATATTCTACAAAGTATATTGAATGTTCACATAGTATAGGACAGACTGCTACTTATTTTCCCTTTTTCTTTAGTAAAATAAATCTGATTTTTATAAAAATCTAGGCATACTACAATTTAGCTAAAAGATTATAACCTCTACCTCTCCTCTCCTCTCCTAATTTCTTTCATAGGTAGATCATGTGATAAGTTTTGCTTGGTGAGAGGACAGTAAGGGTCTTGTGTGGGGTGTCCAAGAAGTGTAATTTGCAGATAACTAATACTCTCTCTTTTGACCCTTCCTCTTACTGTCTGAAATGCAAAGATGATGCCTCTAGTTTCAACAGCTCCTTAGGATAATGAAATAACCATGAAAATAGAATCTAAGTACTGTAGAGCAGTGGTCCCCAAACTTTTTGGCACCAGGGACTGGTTTTGTGGAAGACAATTTTTGCAGAGATTGAGGGGTGTTAGCAGAAGGTTTCAGTATGAAACTGGTTCCATCTCAGATCATCAGGCATTAGTTACATTCTCATAAGGGGAACACAACCTGGATCCCTTGTATGTGCATCTCACAGTAGGGTTCACACTCCTATGGGAATCTAATGTCACTGCTGATCTGACAGGAGGTGGAGCTCAGCCAGTAATTCTTGCTCAAATGCAGCTCACCTCCTGTTGCGAGGCCCAGTCCCTAATAGGCATGGACCAGATTGGTAATGGTCCATGGCCT
Organism: Homo sapiens; assembly: GCF_000001405.40. Classification (NCBI taxonomy): domain Eukaryota; kingdom Metazoa; phylum Chordata; class Mammalia; order Primates; family Hominidae; genus Homo; species Homo sapiens. The sequence goes on along the minus strand of NC_000011.10, from coordinate 29,692,262 downwards.
GGGGGTTGGGGACCCGTGCTGTAGATCAACAAGAGAAACAGCCTAGCTTCCTGATACCATGGAGCCACCCTACCAGCTTGCTGACCTGTGGACTTCTTTCTCTGGGCCTTTCTTTCTCACAGCTGAACCAAACTCATCAGTACACATACAGTAGGATTAGCTCATTTAATTCTTACAAACAAGATAGGCACTATTATTAGCATCCTAATTTTACAGATGAGGAAAGAGTTGCAGAGAAAACTGAAATAACTTGCATAAGGTCACATATCTTAGTAGGAACTGAACATGGATATGAGCCCAGCCAATCCTTTTCTAGGGCCTCTGAACTATTGTCTTACATGAGAAACAAACAAGAAGATTCAACTCAGCCTATCTGAAAAAAGCAGTGAGCATCTATGGTACTAATGAAGTGACAGGTATATATTCTATGACATGTCCTCATAATTTTAATGGAACTTTATAAAACATGATCTAGTTACCTCATCTTCCAAGGACCAATATGAGAAATTGAGCCTTGGTGACACTGAGGACTTAGAAAGATTTTAATGTTGTGTAAAGCACTAGGGTCTTTTTGTAAAATATAGTAAAAGCAAGAATTGTTCTCTCTTCAAAGTGATTCAAATACTGTGGCTAATAAAAGTTCATAGGGAAAATTTGAAGTTATTAGTATTAGATGCTCAGGGTACTTTTATTCCTAAAAAGTTCTTAGTAGGATGGCTTGTTTTTAGAGCATACAAATTGGTAATGAGATCACTGATAGCTGAATGAAAGCATTTGGTCAGAATGCTAAGCTATTTGATACAGTTCAAAGAGGTGAGATGCTACATTTCTGGATGAAAAGTATGTTATTTGTCTCAAATACACCTTCTATTTGATCTATTGTTTTTTGACCTATTTTTTTAACTGCTGCTTCTGCACTTCTGCTTATTCCTTTTCTAAAGTGTGTCCATTAACTCATGTCTTCAGGTAAGTCAGAGCCTAGTATCGATCTTGCTTTTACCATACATAGTCTTTCCTAGTTAATGTGGTCCAGAATTATCTCTGTATTCTTTGAAACCTGATGGTGTTCTAGGAATTTTTCACTTTTTGCAAGAATAATATTTTTTTAATTTGAAACCTTTATCAATGTATCTCTGCTATGTCTTTTTAAATGCATGGAGTTATAATACTGCATTGCACCTTTTCTTTTTCTCTGTTGTGGTTCCAAATGTTAATCAAGGTTTCTCTGCTTCTCAGAGATTTAGAGGTGATTGGTTTCAATGCCAGTTCATTCCATGCCTAAGAAATCCAAATTTCTGAGGATTGCTACTCATCTCAGTGGACTTTGACTCTCATGTTCTTCCCTACTTCTCACTCCTATGTACGCATAAGCTTATTTTTTATCCTTTTCTTCAGTTTCCACCAGAAATATACTCATGCCACAAATTCTATGAACTAATAATCTTAAGATGACAGGGCTAAGGGATGGGTGACGGGAGGCACTTTCTCATGTAATTCCCAATTTGCCGGCTTGCTTATGTCTCTCATTCCTTCTCCTCCTCTGCTCCTCCTTCACACATTGTCCTCTTCAGCTCTAAGTTTTTCCCTCAATTTTGCATAGAAATTTAGCTACTAGCTCCTGAGGACAACTTGCAATCCCAAACTCGTCAAAGTGCAGCAGAACAAAGAAACTTTGAATTGTCAGAAGTCATGTTCCTTAGAAAATACTTGATATTATAAAAGAGCTTTTTTTTTTTAAATGAAAGGATAATTTTCTCCCCTATTTTATATCTATTTTGTGGGTGGTAAGCTCTGGACTAGCTAAATACTAAGAGATGTGCTGTCTGAGAATATGGTTAAGGATGCCCTAGGTAAAAACCTGAATCCCCTGTTGCATATGACATTCTGAAGAAATAAAAGTACACATTCAGTTCAGTTTAATAAATAATTTTATGCTCACATTATATGTTAGGCACTGGGAATGCAAAAATTATAAGGTACTTGACTTCAATAAATTTTCAATCCAGGGAAGAGACTGACAAAGAAACTGATCATATGGATACTTTATGTGAGAATAAATCTATTAAGTGAAGTGATAGCGGTCTGATGAACTGACGCTAGTGTGAAGGTTAAGGTAAAGTCTTCTATGAGAACCAAGCTGAGTCTTGAGGAAAGAACAGGAGTTACCTAGGCAAATAAATGTTTGGGGTTGGGGAATGAAGGGCATCCTAGACAATTGAAAGTTAGTGCACAATATGTAAAGACCCAAGAAACATAGTGATGTGTCGGACACCACAGCAAATTCAGTATTTTAAGGGTATAATTATATTGGTAATGATGGGAGATAAACCCAGATTCAGGTGGTAGAATATACAGGCTATCTGCAAAGCAGCTCAAACTTTATCTTGAAGGCCATGGTAAGCCATAGGAAAATTTTAGAAGTGTGGCTCTGGGTCATTATCAAACTTGGCCTTTTAGATATACTTCTAGGAAAGATGAATTAGAAGGCAATAAAAGGCAAGGACAACTGCAATTGTTGAGGTAAGAAGTGATAAGTACTCAAAGTTAAAAAAAAAAAAAAAGAAAAGAAGTGGTAACTGCTCAAGTTAGAGAAGTAACAGGCACAGTCACTGAATACAAAAGTCAAGACCATGTAATGCGCAATTCCAGGGAACACACCATTCACAAGAGCCACAGTGTACATATACATTGTGGCAAAGTTGCAGAGAAAATGGAGTGGAGGGACAGCAGGCAGTATTTGCACAAAAAATCAGCAGTCCTTGGTGAGCAGTTAATATTTGGATGGTGACAGAGAGGGAGGATTCTAGGGAAACTATGAGATTTCTGGTTTAGAGGAATGTAAAAATCTGAGGATTATGCTTCAATTGTTTGGCAAGTGTTTTTATGGACAGAAATGCCAACCACCCCACCTTTTACCCTTGTAATCTGAATTATATATAAAACAAAAAAAATGGCTTTGGCTCTGGGTCCATGGAGTGAGTGAAATGGCTCAACAAAAGTGAATAACTGGAATGTTACTGTACCTCTAGGCATCTTTCTGTTCTTTGGGTAATGTATTAATCTAGCAGTTTCCAAACTTTGTAAATAGCTTACCAATGTAGGTAAAACATTTTTGAGCCTCCACTAGTATCTGTAGATTGATTTATTTATAAATTATCCACATTTACCATTTTATCAATATTCTATGCATATACAAACAATACACATGCAAAATAAAATTTTGAAATGAGACAAAAGTTCTAATATTCCATATCTAATGGATTATTTTGCCTTCACTTTAAAGGGTAATAAATCAATCTAAAAGATATGTTCTATTCTTTGTGTCACCCTCAACAGTCATTCCAGAATTTCTCTGCTATGTAAAATCTAGCCAAAAGCTAGATTTACATCATATTCTCTCTCACTCTCTCCCTCTCTCGCTCCGTCTCTCTCTCCCTTCCCCTTTCCCTTTCCCTCTCTGTCTCTCTGAAGAGTAATTATATGATTGGTCAAAAGGAACAATCAATAGCAGCCAGGGTTTATTTTAAACAGTATTCTTCCTATACTAGGAGAACAATAAAACTGACTCAAATAATAAAAGTGGTGGCAGTTGTTTGTGACATGACAATGAACCTCTGTGACCTGGTGCTATCAGAACTCTAGTTCTGAGTTCCTTTTCTCAGCTATGCTTGAGAGACCAGAAATGTGCTGATCAAAGATAAAGGTTTAGCAATCTTTAAAGAGGGAGTGCTATTGAGGTCTGGTAGTTTGCTAAGCCCTTCACAAGCTGAGGCCATATTGCCACTGATGAATATGATGTTCCCATTGCTTGCAACATGTTCCTTTTTAGTTAAAGGAATAGGTCCCCTCCAGTTTGCATGGTACAATGATTGGGATTGTTAGTAGAAAGGGAAGTGGTAGAACAAATAGCATGGAAAAGACCTAACTCCTTAGCATCTGGGAAGGCATTAGGAGAGGAACCAGCACAGTTGAATAGAGACTTTGTAGGGGTCCGGAAGGGACACAGTGACTAATAGATAACGGTCATATTAACAGAGGTAGGAGATATTGAAAGAGAATTATATTAGGAAGGGTTAGAGGAGAGGGGAGTGGGACTAAGATGGGGAGAGTACACAGCTGTTGAGTTCAAATAAAGGGTAATTTATCATCTGTTTAGAGTCACAATTAAAGTCAGAGATCAAATTTAATATAAGCCCCTTGGGTCATTGCTTCCAGCTTGAGCCACTTGCATCCCTGTTCCTGCAATGAATCTTTATTTACTTTGAAGGCAGTCTGCATGTTTGGGGACTGAAGTTGAAGAAAGTTGGCAGAGGGAAGGCTACTAACAATTAACTTCTTATTACAGTTAAGATAATTGGGGTTGTCTCTAGAGAAAGGCATGCCTGTTGCAGAAAGTTGTTAAATTTAATTTTTCCTCTTCTGTCCGTATAGTCTATGCAACATTTTTTATACTTCAGAAAGGATGATAGATCATAAATAGGAAATGACTTAGCTCTACATATCTTTTGAAGTTGGAATACCAGCATTTGCTATTAGACTGGCTTCATCTACCTAGTCAGAATGAATCAAAGTTGTTATCTGTAAGCATTTTAGAATTTGCCATGAAATGACAAAAGCAAGGGAGTTCAAAACAAAGGTTGGTTATTTTTCCTGTGCTTGTGATTCTGAGGTGGAAGAAAATGCTATTTAAAAATTGAAGTTGCATAACATCTTGAATTTTCTGGTGCCAGTTAAGCACATAAATCGTCTTCAATTTTTTTTCATCACAACTTCTGTTTTAGATAAATGAATAAAGATGATCATAGAAATTGAGTTTCTGAATGCTACCAAATATGTCACAGACCAGTAATGAATGGATTTCATTTCTGTTTTCTGTTAAAGAAGCAGGTATGATTCTTGAGATTAGGTTGTAGCTGTGGGCTCTGTTGTTCTGATCACCAGCCTGGAAATGCAAAGCCACTGATTTTAGTACTGGCTATGAAAATAATCTTCACCATATCATTCAGCCAGCTGAATGAAGACTTAGCATTCTCTGTTGTGCATTGGGAATCTACATATTTCTTTCTAATTCACTGTGGTACTGACAGCAATAATAATAATAGCAAAGAAAGCCATAACTATTACTAACGATTATTAAATGTAGCTACTAGGTTACATACTTCAGTAAAAACTTTTTAAAAAAGACTGAATTCATAGCTGATAATGACACTAAAAAGGAACAAAATATGTTTTTAGTAGAAAGGGCTGTTGTGTTTTGTTTCATTTTGTCTCAAATGTTGTTATCCCTGGTAATGTCTAAACATAACTTATTAACTCATTTTTTTTACTCACATCTTCCCTGAGCACTAATTAGACCCAAAATATGATGTTGGACATTATGTAGGCTACAAAGTTGTACCAAACTCAGAACTGTTTTCAGTGATCTTAGTCTATCACAGTAGGGAGAATAGTGGAACAGGGGTGAGAATGAGTTCTAGAGTCAGACTACTCAAGTTTGAGGGCTAGTAATTTCATCTTCTAGAAATGTAACCTTTGTGAGACACAACTTAATTGTTATTATTTTAGTTTCTTCATCTGTAAAATGGTATAATAATGGTTTTTAACTTACATGGTTGCTGTGAGAAATAAATAAGCTATCCAAGTGAAATGTTTAGAAGTGTTTGGCATAAGATAAATGTTCTACTGCCATTGCTACTACTACTATTAATATTGTGGGAGAAAGGTATATATTAAATAATATAACTAGGTAAGATAAGTTAAATGGCCAATGGAAGGAATAGCTGAATTCTCAATAAAGCTCAGAAATTATATTTCATTTCTACTGGGAATAATTAAGAATTAGGACTGAATGAAGATGGTTGCATTTGGACTGGGCCTTGACAAATAAATATGATTTAGATATGTGAAGATTAAAGGGGTGACAGGGTCTAGTTTAATTAAAAACAGAGGGATGAAAATACAGGGTCATGGACAGGAAATAGTAATTGATCAATTTGGACTATAATATGGGATAATGGAAAGGGAGAAAATGAGAGACTACGTTGAAAAGGCAAGGTGGGTCCATTGCATGAAAATCCTTGAATTGAATCCATTTAAGGAGGTTGAATTTTGCTTTATAGACCATGGGGAGTCATGGAAACTTTTTGAGAAGCAAAGCAATTTGATATAAACATACTCATTGTTTAGGAATGACTTATCCTGAATGTGTAGACTAATGACATACAGAATACACTTGGAAGGAGAGAAAAAGCTGAAGGATAATCACTTAGAAGAATTTTAAATGGACCCTGAGGAGAGACAGGCAATGGAAGTGATTAAATAGTACTAGTTTACTTTTGTTTATGAGTGCATTTATTTATTATATCTCTAGATCCAAATAAGATTTTGTAATTGCTTATAATAAAACAGGCAACATGATAAGACAGGAAAATGTTCATAATGTTCACAGATTAAAACACAAAAGATGAAGGGATGAAAAAGATGAAAGTCAGCTTGGAGGAAGTAGAAAAGAGGTAAAATGAAACCAAAGGGCAAATTAATACAATAAGTCTCTGGCATAGTTCTCAAATGATTCCAAAAAGTGAGTCAAAAGCGTGGCTCAAAAATGTTTAGTGGCTAAAGCCAAAGAGAATATGATCAGTTTCAGGAGTCACATATTCCCTAGATAGACACATACCAATTGCCAAGGAGAATCCTACTTTGAGTGACTCAGCAGTATCAAGATATTTTTATCCTGTCAATTCTTGCACATGAAATAATGGAACCACTGAAAGATGGCTATTGAAAATAATTTAAAAAGAAATTAAAAACCAAACAAGTTGCACAATTGCACCACCTCAGAAAGACATGAAATTTCTAATTTGTCATCTATATTTCCCAGGTTCATCTGCTCCAGAAAACCCTGCCTTATTACCTATCCTTTCCCTGATGTCTCCAAGGTGGGCTAAGTAACTATTGTCTGTGTTTCTATTACCTGCTGTGGATATGTTTATCAGAACCTTTATTATGTATACATAATCTTTGTTATTGATGCTGTTAAGGCCAGAGGTGGTACATAGCTTCTCAGTTCTGAGATTTTAGTATCATTTTTGGCATAGAATAGATTTCAATAAATGTTTGAAAATGAAGGAACAAATGAATGACACTCTCGTTCAATCTGATATGCTTCTTGACAAAAATAGTCTCAAGTCATCTGGGCCTTTCTTTACATGTCTTTACAATGAAAGGCAAACATGTATATACAATTGAAAATGCAGATTATTACTAGGTGCTCATTTCAGTGCCAGTAACAGAAATCCAACCTGAACCATCTTGGGCAAAGGACTGGATTTATTAAGTATATATGGGAGTACCTCAGTTGAAGGGCTTAGGAACTAAACTATAGGAAAGGTAGGAATTCTGTCAACCTTCATGTCTAACTAAAGCCAGGCTGAAATGCTGCTGGGTCTCTTGGTCCATGAATCTTCTTTTTTGTTGGTTAACTTTGTTTTACACACACACACACACACACACACACACACACACACACACACACGCTCTTTTGACCACAGTGGGGAAAACACAGCCGCTGAAGATTGAGCGTCTAACACCTTCATGTATTATGTCCCCAAAGAAAAGCTGAGTAAATCTCCAAATCTAGTTTAAAAAAAATTATTAAGAAAGACTCTAATGGGCTCAACTTGTGTCAAGAAATGCTCCTTGTCCTATAGACTCTATGAAAAGTTTTGGATTTCCTATAATAGAGTTTGGATTATATTCTATGGCAGGTGTTCCCAACCCACAGTCTGTGGACTAGTACTGGTCCATGGCCTGTTAGGAACTGGGCCACACAGCAGGAGGTGAGTGGCTGGCGAGCAAGCATTACTGCCTGAGCTCCACCTCCTATCAGATCAGTGGTGGCATTGGATTCTCATAGAGTGCAAACCCTATTGTAAACTGTGCATGTGAGGAATCTAGGTTGGGCATTCCTTATGAGAATCTAATACCTGAAAATCTGAGGTGGAACAGTTTCATCCCAAAATCATACCCTCCTTCACCCCCTCTGTAGAAAAATTGTCTTCCACGGAACTAGTCCCTGGTGCCAAAAAGGTTGGGGACCACTGTCCTATGGAACAGAATTTCTTCAGTTTTGTATGTGCCGTGCACTTTTTTGGTAATATAGTAAAGCCGCTTCTCAGAAAATTTTTGAGTAACGTTAAACAAGACTATTATGATTTCAAAGGCATTTGTGTTGAACCAAAATATATTTTTAAAATAGTGATAATCATAGTATATGTGCTTCTTTATTAGTGCAATAAATAAGAAGATTTAGTGGCAGGTACTAACAACCTAATTACATAATTGCAATAAATGGTGATGACAAACGTATTTTGAGATATTTGCAATGTAAAGTGATATGAAAATATCTGTGGTTTCTATTAGTGACAAAGTTAGAGGTACTGGTGATGTTACTACAGTGTTTTGCCTAAATTAATAATGTAAGGCTATGTTAACGTGCCTTAGAAGTTGGTGAAAATATAAAGATACATAATTTTTTCCCAACCACATTCATAGACAACCAAAATTCTATCCATAACTAGCCTATAGAAGAATGAGGAACCTTGCTACACATGAGAGAGACTGTGAAGAAATGGTAATCAAGGATGTGATGCGATTATAGAGACACCATATCAGAATAGTTAAGAGTATAGAATTTGGCATTAGAAAAATGTGGAATTGAATCTCATTTCTGTAACTTTGTTGTGGATGGAACCAGTACCTTAACTTCTGTAGGGACTTTTTTTTTTTCACCTACTTAATGATTATACCTTTAACTAAATTCCTAGAGTCATTGTAAGGCTTAAATAAAATAATGCATATGGAGTGGTTAGTGAAGGTTTGGCAGGGAAATTTTAGGTTAAAAATAATCAACATGGGTATTGAGACTCTTTTCTACCTCTTATCTTCTTTGGATATTGACATACTTTGGTATATATTGGTAGAAAAAAATCTTTGGTTATCTTCTTGGAAAGAGTGCTAGACTTTTGCACATTAAACCTTTCTTGGAAGGAGATGAGGGAGAATGATATTTCCTTTTCCTGTTAGTTTAGGGTTATAGGCATAAATTCAGTGACATCTTGGAAAGAGTGACTTCTCATATGGATGGCAGATGGGGCTGTCATGTTTCTTAAAATATCAACAGCATAACCAGGAAAGGCTCTATTCTAAGTTTGGGATGTAAGCTCAATCTCTTGGATATGGCAAGCTGTGCCTTCCAGCCTCCTGAAATGATTTCAGCTAGCTAAAATACCACTGAAGTCGCTAAAATTTTAGTTGATTTTGCATCCAACACCTGGCTCTTGGTTGAATTGTTTATACTCGTGGGTTTAATTTTAGATTTAAGCTTCATATTTTTCTTACTACTCCAGATATTCTTGATTTTCTTACTGAATTTAAAATGTTTATGATTTACCGGCAGAGTATGTAGTTTTAGACCTTGTTGTAAATATACAAAATGCTATAGCAGCCCATTAGCATGAACATACTGATTTGCTCTCTGCCTCTTTACCCAAGACATAGATCTTTATGTGTCTTACCAGTTCCTCCTATATCCAACCACTTATTCATTGACAAAGCCAGTAAAGATATAGGTAATTAAATGAAGTGGGTGTTATTTTGTTTGGTTAGCTGGATTTTTGCCAGGTTTTTTTTTTTTTTCTTTATCTATTTGGAAGAGGCTTAAATATACTCCAACGAGGCCGGTGAGTCAGATTACAAGGCCTCCTTCTATTCTGTAAAGTCCCTCTAAGTTTTTAGCGCCATTAATTCTCAGGAATCTCAGCTCTTTTTGGCTCTTTGGAGTCTCTACGAATAATGAAAAATACCAGAAGCAGCATTTTCTGCAACATATCTGGGGTCCTTTTACATTTTCCCATTCTTATCTTCACTTGTTCTGCCAGATTGAGATGGGATGTGACTTTCTTCTTCACCATTTCATTGTAGGAGAGTTTCTTACTCAAGCTGGCCAAAAAGGCTCCAATTTACTTTCCATAGTGGAATTCTTGAACTAAGCATATCAGTTAGACTTTTCCTCATCTCAGCCCCAGAAAGCAGGCATTTATATCACTATTATCACACTTATTAAAAACAATATAATTAGCTTCACCAGACTGTGAACATTTTGCAATGAATTTTTATTTATTCATTCAATTAATAAAAATCATTTATTTGTTGAGTACTTATTCTGTATCAGGTGAGTGCTAGGCACAGAGTATATTACTGGTGAACAAGAAGGACAAGGTTCCTGCTCTCACAAAATTTAGAGTGGAATGGACTTTCACTCCATATCCCAACACCTTCCATCAAGTATGGCATAAAGAAGGTAGTAGATATTATCAGAATAGTGCAAAATTAAATTTGTAGTTAACAACCACTGTTAAAATAAATTATAAAATTTACCATTATTTAGTTATAATAAATTGAAGCTATCCTAAGAATAACATGGGCAAAAGAAAAAGTGAAAGACAGGCAAAGTGTTCTAAGAAAACCTTTCTCAGGCAAAGCAAGGTTTAACTTTGGTGAAGACTGTGGTATTACCAATGAGTTTTGAGACAGCAGTGCATCATTTCTATAACTTTTCAATGCTGACCTAAGAAAACCCTGCCTGCAGGTATTTCAGGCATTGGAAACTTTCAGTGCTAACAATTATATTCAGATGGTTGCTCATCAACAGGCACTGGCATCTTGTTATAATGGAGTGTATTTCCTCTGCTTGAATAGATTTCCATGCTCCATTCATTTGATAGTTTTATTTGTAAAACTCCAGTCTGCATCAACTTACTTCTATTTCATTATCTTTGAAATAACAAGCTGTAAGCAAAGATAACACAGGGTGGATATTCCTAATACAGCACGTTATAAGAAATGCACTGAATGTGTGATGTAACTAGGAGCTTGTTTATTTTGTATTTCAGTCCAAAATGAGGAGAGAGGAAATCTTAGTATGTATTTAGTTAGGTCAAGGAAAATAAAAGCAATTCATATTGCAGGGAATAGAAGCTGGTAGCTTGGGAGACAAAGAGAAAGGGGAGTGAAGATTAAGGAATGGGATCATGTATGGGAAAAGGAAGCTATTTAAAGCAGATAGCCATTCTGAATTAAGTGGATTAACTGAATAAGATTGTTTGCATTCTTCTATGGTCAGTTAAGGGAACAGTTTAGGAGGTCTTATAACAGAACTGCAAGTCATTGACTCTGAGGGACTTCATGCAAATCACTTGACATCTCTGGACATCAGTTTCCTCATCTACCTGCTATGGGAATAGTGGGTAGTTTCTAAGGTCTTTTGTTACTCAAAAGTCTCCAAGTTTTTCACAGGACCCAAGGGAATTAAATATTTACTTTGGCTACTACATGTTTTAAATAATAAAACCCATATATTAGAATAAAAACATGACATATCCCTATTGGTTTTAAGTGAATGACATTGCATTTTTTAATGCTTTCGTACTACATTTTTAGCTTTGGATAGTAAACAACTTTGTCCAGAGCTTTGCAGCAGGCATGGGCATTATGAAATCTTTGGATCAGTCAGAAATGAGAACCACTGTAAGTTTTATGGAAATCAGGGGTTTCTATTAGAAATAAAAATTTTATTAGAAATTAGATTTACACAAATGTAGGAGAAAATGCGGAAGTAGAAGTCTGAAAAGTGAAAGTTGGGGGGTTACAGTAATAGTGGCTAATCAGTCAGTCTCATACGCTAGTGTGAGTGGACAGAACAGAGCCAAGGTGGACAGCAAAGGGGTGACTTCTGAAGGATCTGTGGAGATTGCTGCCCTGGAAGAAGCTGTTGTCTCTACAGAGGTAAAGCTACCCTTTTGTGGATCTACAGCGAAGTCTCTGATGTAGGGCTAGGGATTGCTGTTGGCCAGCAGAGACTATAGTCAGGCACTAGCTGAATGTGGAGCAGAAGAGAACCTAGATAAGCTTGGATTTGCTGGGTACCTCTTCATCTGTCCTTATTGTGTTCACCTTTATCATGTCTGACTGCAACGACTTTCAGTCAAGTAATGTCTCAACTTCACTTCTGCTTTCCAAACCACATGCAGGTTTCCCTTTTGGCCAACTCTGACCTGGAACCGTATGGTTGACATAGCACATAGGGACAGAAAGAAAGTGACTGATACTTAATATATTTCATTTAAGTCTTCCTGATACCAAATTTAAAGTATATATGATATTGGATACTGCTTTTAAGCCTTTTCAAGTAGAGGGCTCTAAGCTAAGATAGATTTCTGAAAGCACCGTCAAACCTATAAGAAGATAGATAAATAAAGACACAATCTATAATTTGCACATCACATTACAGTGTACAAAATGTTTTAGTTTTACTTAGGGTTTATTGTATATGGTTTTACAATTACCCTGAGGAATGATTAAACCAGGAGTTATTAATCCTGATGATTAAAAAAAAAATGACTAAAGTCTAAATAAGTGACACACAGTAAGAGCCAAGGATGAAGCTGGTTGATCTTAGAATATGCTGAGTAGGGAATCATTTATGTGATTCAAAGGATTCCAAAAAGTATGTCTCACTTCAAGCATCTTCCCATTTTGTTTTGACCATAACAATTTGATTAATGATGTGCTTCTTTGGATTGTGTATAATAGTAATATTGTTAGTATTTCATTCTGTTCCATGTATAATCCATTTTGGAGTTTACAATGGACTTTCAAATCTTTTATCTCATTTTGTCTTCAGAAAATATTCCTCTGGTAGATTTCTACTACCTCCATTTTGCAAATAAAAAAGTCTCAGAAAGACCAAGTAACTGCTTCACTCTCATGACAATTTGACTAGTTGAAGCAGAACTCAACCCACCAGATAATCTCACTTCAAGTTCATAGCTCTTTCTAATCTTTTCACTGCTATTCTTATTGTTAGTCAGGAGACACTAAAGCTATTTTGCATGCATGGATTTATGAAAGAGAAAATACTTTACAGTGGAGGTGTTAAATAAATATTTTACTAAGTCAGGCTCAGATCAGAGAAATATATACTTAATACATCAGCACCAGAGGAGACCCTCAGAAGCAGGTATGACTGCAGAGCCTAAGGAGAGAGTTGGCATTTGTGGGAGGAAGAGGGTACAGATGCCCTGGGAATGGCAATACTTCACCAACCTCCAAGCAGAAGATGCTGAGCAGTAAATTGGGAAAATGCCATATTTTCTCTGGGAAAATGAGAATGTGGGCAGATAGACAATAAAAGAACAAACAGCGTATCTTGTTTCCATTAGTATCATCCTTTCGGAACATTGATGGTGGAGGGATGGTCATGAGTGTTCCTGGAAGCCCTTGAGAATAGATGCTTTGAAAAATATCTTATACTGTTTATTTCTTAGTATGTATTTGAAATGGTCTGAGAAAATAAGACTACTTGATGATGTTTATTTGACAACTTACTGGTTTAACTTACAAAATTTCTGTTTCAGGTACACCTCAGAGCTCTCTATGGTACAGTAGAAATAGACTTGCACAAGAAAGGAATGTGATCTGGTAAAATGTCAGTGGTTTCATGTATTCTTAGATCTCTTCTCTGTTCCATTTTTTACTTTTTTTTTTTGTCATTATGTTCTTGATCCACCAGGAGACCTTATACTTCTCATCTCTGAAAGTCTGGGATATGGAGGTTCAGAGATCTTGGTTCCCCTAAAGGAACACTCTTGCCAGTGGACAGGGGAGATTTTATCGAACTATAAGTTGTGGATGCTGCCTGAGAACTTTGGACTCTTTGTGAGTAGGGACCACCCTCAGGTGAGAAGAGTTACCATATTGACCAAGACAGTTGATCTTGATCAACACCAGAGATATTCTTTGTTTTATACCTTGAGGCAGAGAAGACTATGTATGGAACACGTGATCAACTTGGTTGTTTTTTAGTATTCCCTTGTACAATTTCGACTGTAAATTATGTGAAATTCTACTAGCCTGAGATGTGTATGATTACTAGCCACTTAGATCCCTTAAAAATGAGGGGTTAGGTGACAGCTGGTAAGCTACTAAGACCTACAGGGGTAAAGGAATTTAGAATGGATAACAAAGGACAGAGATGGAAATTTGGAATGGTTAGGAGAAGGGAGAGATGGTTACCCGTTGCAGCCCCAAAGCAAAGTGTAGTAATGGGGTATGTTGTTCATCCTACTGACCTCTCTTTAAAGTTTCCTTTTATGAAGAGAGCGTTAAGGGGAAAATGGAGGAACTACTTTAAAAACTGTATGGAGAAGTAGATCTGTGCAGAGCAAGGGAGGCACTATGGCAGCAACAGAATTTTGCTGCTCAGTTGTCACTTTAGGATAGAAGATCCTGTGAGGAGTACAGTAGCCTCCAGCTGCATTCTAATTGGAATCCACTGCATTGTTCACACCACAGCCATGATCCCCCATGCCATGACTAGCTCAGCAAGGGTACTAGACTTTGGCCATTTTTGCTAAATGCAGGATTCCTTTAATATGCAATTTCTTATCTGGGCTCCTCATTGAGCTGATAGAGACTTTCTCGGAACTACAATGCAGTATGAGACTTTCTACAGCATTCTCCTTCTTTTCCCTGTCCCTTTACAGGTATCAAAACTGCATCTATCTGAAGGCAATCCCTGTCTACTCTCGTTCCCTCTCTTCTTTATTTTTCACTGGCTTTTCCCTACTAAATCTCTTTCATGTATAATTCCATTTTGGCATTTGCTTTCCGAAGGAAGTGAATTCACCCAAGGATGAAGCTTCATTTTTTTTTTCCATTCTTGTAGGCCTTCTTATTGAGATGGCATGCATTTACTTCAGAAGCTGTAGTAGCAAAAAAAAAGAGGCAATGTGGTTGAAAGGTGACCATGATACAGTGCTATTGGTAGTTCTGGCCTCTGTAACTATTTTGCTCCACTGGCTGCTCAAAAGTGTTTCTGGTTCCTAGTACATTAAAACCAGAGAAATGTCCAGACAGAATCTGCTCCTCCTCCAACTGCTGGCAACATATGCACTTGACTCAGTACCAATCTGTTTTGGTTCATCTGTTGATCCTCACTTTTGAATTTGAGTCACTCCTCCAAATGATATGGCACATTTCTCAAATTCCAGGGTTTTTTTTTTCCCACTTTCCTTTAATAACCATAGTCTCTCTTTCAGCTGACCCATTTTCATTCACAGGCCTTTACAAAACTTTATTATCCATCTCTTTCTTCTAGGCAACTTTCAGCCACCAGAAACCACCCAAAGACTCATTTGACACTGTCCCAAACCAATCCTTTAGTTAGTCTTGTTTTAGCTAAGTTACAACATTTATCTATAACATGCTTAGTTACTACTATAGAGAGCATATAATATTTGGTGTTTGTAATTCCTTTGCATTTTGAGATGAATTGTGAATTACCTCTACAAGAGGAATTCTTAGTCTCATAAACAGAATATAGCTATGTGATACTTTAAATCTTCATTTTGTATTAATGAAGAAAACCCACCTAGTCTGAACAATGGTTTTAAAAGACCCAGGGAGCCCTATTAAAAACAAAACAAAACAAAACAAAAAAACTTGTTTTAAACTTGTTTTATTCCATGCATTGTTTTGATGTAACAATCCAGTATTATAATAATTGTTAAGTAGACATTTGACTAACTCACTTATTTGAAATACTGGGTCTTATTAATCTGATAGGTTTAATGATCTTAGAAAATAAAATGTACATTGCTGCCCCTAGCTGTCCTACCAAAAACACTTCAAACGTGTTTTTGTCCATAAGCATAGTGCTGATAGGAAGTATAAGAAGTTAGACCTTCTTTTCCTTTGCTGGGAAAGCCCAGCTTCCAACATGACAGTAACTATAAGATTGAGAGAGATCAACACTGATTTTATTAAAATAGTGCCTGTCACTGTGTCGAGGCTCCACTATTTTCTCCATATCTGAAATTGTCTGGATGACCAAAAAACCTAATAAAATTTTGGTGATGGTAATGAATACAAAGATAGTGAATAAATAATTTATGTAATTGTGAATTCAACTCCTAACTTTCTGCTCATGCTTATAATGAGTAGGGGCAGACAATTCAGTACCTTGTTTTTCTGATATTGATTGAAAAGTTAGATTCCATCTCCTGGCTGTCTTGTTTAGACTGTTCATGTTGAACAACTAATTCACTGCTAGTTTTCCTCCTATTTTAACCTCTTCCCCACTTAATTGAATCTCATTTTCATGTATACATGGTGACACCCAGGTGCTCCTTCTGATTAAATCTGCCTATGAAATCCTATCTAGTATCTACTAGAGAAACTTCTATTTATGAAACACACCAATTTGTTCAATATTAAATACTCAGTAGATAATTTTTTTAATAGAAATGGTATTTTTATTTCAGTAAAAACCTTCAAACTGATTGTCAGCATTGGCATCTCCAGTATTGTAGATTAGAAGCCTTGACCATACTGAGGCATAACCTAACTCACAGTGCTTGGAATATTTTAAAAAATATCCCGTGTTTAATAAATGGGTTTGATATTCCATTAACAAAAAAGTATTCAAAGACAACAGTAAGTCTGGTTGTGATGGATGTTAAAGTGGACACAGCTAGGAGATATGGTTCAGTCATTGACTAAAATATTTTTTATTTATTTGGGGTAAAGGAACAAATTATGTTGGACTTTAAGCCCCTTGAGAACAGGAAATTTTTCCTTGTCATTTTAGCACAATAACCTGCTCAATAAATGTTTACTAAATGAATACATGATAGACTAATAAAGAGAACAATTTGGGGCTAACCGACATAGAATAGATGATTTCTTGCTATAAAGTCCTGATAAGAAGGAATAAGAAATTGCTAGAAAGCTGGGAATGTATGCCATATATTGAAAAGTGACTTTTAAAATGACTTTGATTAAAGTCATGACTTATATTGTGCTGTCCAAGATACAGCCTTGGCATAAAAAGGTTGCTTTTTCCTTTTGACTGAAACCAGGTTTCTGTTTCCTAATTTCTGATACTAGTCCTCAGGCATCATTCTCTGACTTCTTCCAGGAAACAATTTATTTTTGTTTTTTGGGAAGTTCTAAGCATCACTTTAGGTCCCCTTAGAATCAATCTTCTCTAAGATGTGCCTCTGACATGACAGATTTTGCTGGTCAGCAGCTTGGACATATCCACAATCGACCTTGCAGGCATACACTTTTTATCTTTATTTAATTCCTATGTGACTCTGGACACTCCCCCATCAGGAGATGTTATCTGAGCATGCAATAGCTCCTGATGTAAGGAGCAGAAATCGTGCGGGTGTTTGCACTCTTATTCCTTCCTTGTATTTCCAGCCTTTTCCAAATGCAAGCCCTGATGTCTTCAGCTGGCAGCTACCAATTACAGTTGCTCAGTCAAAGTGGAGAGTATGTTATTAGCTTATAACACTTATGAATAAGTGCACCCCAAATTAGCCTTGCTATATAAACCTTATATAAAGTCTGATAAGCTGAATTGTTCAGGTCAGCTTTAGAGTGATTTTGTAGTTACTGAGATGCAAATTTCCCCCAACCACTGCATCTGCCCTCTTTTCATAGTCTGAATGAAATGAGTCTTTCTTGTTTTTGATTTTGCTCCAGTTTGTAAAATCTTGAATTTTCCCTGAAGAATACATTTGACTGGGACTTTGACAATCTCTCCAGCCATAATCAGCTTCTCTTCTTAGGGCTGGTTGCTAGGTAGACCAGTGATTTCTATTAATTTTTTAAGTATGGGCCATGAGACACCTATAGAGTCACCTAGATTGCTTAATAAAAGTACATGTTTCAGAATCCAATTTTAGACTTCTGAAATTATAATACCCATATAGAGTACCCTAGATTTTGGAAGTTAAGAAACTTTCATAATTTGAAAAAGTTTGAGAAAACACTATACTAAATTGTGAGAAATATTACTATAGCTTGTACATCTACCATTGAAGTTTGTACTCAAATTGAGATGTAATTACGTTAATAATAGCTTTATTGAGATATAATTTACTTAACATAAAGTTCCCTCTTTTAAACGTATAATTCAGTGATCTAATTATATTCAAGTTGTGATCTTGATGTTTTTTGTTTTTGTTTTCTTTTTTATCTTTTTATTTTTAGTTGACACGTAGTAATTGTACATATTGTTGAGATGCAGAGTGATTTCTCTCTCTCTGTGTGTGTGTATGTGTGTGTGTGTGTCACTCTGTCACCAGGGGTGGAGTGCAGTGGTGCAATTATAGCTCACTGCAATCTAGAATTCTGGGGCTCAAATGATCCTCCTGCCTCAGTCTCTCAAGTAGCGGGGACTACTTGTGTGTGTGTGTGTCATCATGGCTAGCTAATTAAAACAAATTTTTTTTTTGTAGAGATGGAGTCTCACTATGTTGCCCAGGCTAGTCTCAAACTCCTGAGCTCAAGTTATCTTCCCACTCTGGCCTCCCAAGGCAGTGGGATCACAAGCAAGAGCCACTGCAGCTGGCTCAGAGTGACATTTTAATACATATATACGAAGCATAACAATCAAATCAAGGTAATTAGTACATATATCACCTTGAACATTTATCATTTCTTTGTGTTATAAGCGTTCAAAATTCTTTTTAAATAATTCACTATCCTGGAGACTCCTACTGTAGTACCTAGTCTATAATATTAGACTCCTTTAAATTTGGTGAATGAGTTTACCATATCTCTGAACATTCTTAATTAGACTGCTAATTACCCACCTTGCAATCTAAGTCTACTGCTTGTAATTCTTTGGGACAGGATCACAGGCTTGTTTCTTCCCAACCAGGTTTCTTCTATAGAACTAGTAGGCCTCGCAGACAAACCCACTTAGAATACAAATGCTCCTTGAATTATGATGAGGTTATGTCCCAATAAACCCATCATAAATTGAAAATATTATTAACTTGAAAATGGATTTAATACACCTAACTTTTGAACATTGTAGCTTAGCCTGGTCTACCTTAAATGTGCTCAGGACAGCTACATTAGCCTACAGATGGGCAAAGTCATCTAACACAAAAACTATTTTATAATGAAGTGTTGGATATCTCCTGTAATTTATCAAATCCTGTACTAATAGTGGAAAGCAGAATGATTGTATGGGTACTCAAAGTACAGTCACTACTGAATGTATGTAGCTAACCCACCATTGTAATGTCAATAAATTGTAAGTCAAACCATCAGAAGTTGGGAGCCATCTGTATTCCACACAAGATTGTTTGGAGACAGCCTTGTCTAGAATGACAGATAAATGTTGGAAAGAGTGCATCATTAGTTTGGGTAGAAATGATGGGACCATACTAATAAAACGAGGAACTGAAGTTTACATTGGGTTTGGTAGAAAATAGATATCCACTATGAAATCAACTAATAATATGAAGAAATACATTGTGGGTGTTTGTGTAAAATTGGTCTGGTAAGGGTGTATAGATAGGTCTGACAGAAATGAACCTAATATGAAAAGAACCCAAATGAAGGATATTGAACTGAACGAGGAGTTAGGTGATGAAGGCTGAGTTTGAGTCTTATTAGTCAGAATGAGAGAAAATTTTGCTAATATTTATTGCTTAAATGGAGCTGAAATAGTTAAACTGCATAATACCATGGCCTGGTGGCAGAGAAGCAGGTGATGCTGCTGAATGGCAGCAAAGTTGATAGTGGAGCTGATAAAGAGGAATGAAAGCACTGAGTCTTGTACCTCACAGCTGAGCCCAAGCTGCCATTGTCATTTCTCAACTACAAAATATGATTGATGCTACGATGGAGAAATAAAAGAGGGTGGTTATCAGATGTTGTTGGGAGGTGGTATATTGAGGTGCAAGGACATACTGCTTATATGTTTGAGCAAATAATATCATTTCTGGAAAGCAACAAGATAGTGCTAGCATACATCCACATGATGAATCATATTAGGTACTTATTTATACAATATTTCTTTCAGGGCACATTCTCTCCAAAGCATTCAGTTTCACCTTCCTCATCACATTTCATCCTCATTCCTTTCTTCATCAATTTTCTTACCAGTAGAGAATTATGGGAAAAAATATTTATAATTTATTTTTTTAAATATGTCTGTATTAATCAGGATATTTTTGGTGAAAGATATCCCCCAAAATTTTTTGGTCGAAACTAATATTGCTCAGTATTTGATTCTGCATTTCTTGAACATGAAAACCACACGACAAGTTTTAGACAATGGATCCCAAACAGAAGCAATCTGTGTAGCATCTAGCCCAAAGCCTTTAAGAACAAGATGTTACCTCATGCTGTCTCTTCCCCTTTAGTGGTAACCTTGCAGGCCACAGGTTGAATCAGCCTGGATCCTTGAATCACTGCATGGAAGAGAGCTTTCCTAGAGAATTGTCTAATCTAAATCAGATATTGTGTGATCCAGAAATAAATCTGTTCTGTTAAGCCACTAGGTTTGTACTGTTTACTTGTTAACATAATCTTGCTTGTACATCTTGCCTGGTATTGTAAGTTGGCATGGCTTTTGCTAAAAAGCACATAGCCTAAAACTACAGGGGTAACTGACTTTGGAAATAGCTAGACTTAAGTGATTACTTACTTTTGTTTTTAATCCCTCTGTATTGCCTTCATTCCTAGACAGTCTCTCTCTGTCTCTGAAGTATCTCAGGCTCTTTACTCAGCAGTCTGGTTAAAAAATGTGGGGTAGGGTGCTTTTTAAACAGTAGTTTTCTGACTCTGAGCAAATCAAGTAAACAAACAAATCTGAAATTGAATATCATTTTATTTGCCTGGATCATGTATTTACTTCTCTATCCATGAATATAAATTGTGACCATATATTTAACGTGTTAGGATTGGCCTGACCGTGGGTCAAGAGGTATGATGAGTCCCACCCAAATAATACAAACTAACAAGGAGTGAGGAGCAGTTCTCCAAAATGAAATAGAGTCATGGAATATTAATGCTGAGGGGCAAAAAAGTTCATATTAATTCATATATTAGTACAGAGACTAACTCCTTATAATTCTAGGCAATATTGTACAAGAATGCCCTATAGAGGGTTTTCTGAGTGGATATTTCCCGACGGAATACTACCTTTTACTTTTTAATATCCAAAACTCATGGATCCTACAAAAATATCAATGCAACATTTTTCAGCCTATATTTGCATCAAAAACTGTATATTTTTGTCCCTAGACACAATATAACATTTCAAACAAAATGATGTTTAGGAAAAGTCTTGAGTTGTATTCCAAAACACAATTAGTAGAATGTCAAAATCATGATAAATGTTCGAAAACTATAAAGTCTGGTGAGTGTCAACAAACAAGATATGTAATTTGGATATGTCTGATTCTAAGAAGGCATCACAGTGTCACACTCAAGGTGAGCCACCCTCTGCCACTGGGCACTTGTTCTGAATAGCTTTCATATTGTTGCAAGGTTTTTGCCAAGAATAATACAATGTGAGCCCCCAAACACAAGAAATTACTCATGAAAATTGTGGGGAAGTAAGCAAAGCAAATGAGGAAGTAATTGCAATGGAAATAAAAGTGCTACTGCATAAAATGTAATTGCTTCTTTTTTAACAACTATATTGTTTTGATAATCATGGGGTTATAGGCTAAGTATTTTTTCTGTATTTCAATTATATTTTAGAAATATGTTGGGAATTTTTCCTATATAAAATATAGGAAAAATAATGGGAAATGGGCTTCATGACATTGCTTTGTTTTGTTTGGCTTTCTTTTTAGAGAACATCTGATTTCAAGGGCATATTACCATCCACAAGCAGGACATCTCTGCATTTCTAAGCTACTGTCCTGGTACTCTACTTGGATCTGTGTTAACCTGTCTCCTCAAGGGTCACCTCTTCTGCTGTTCTTTATTTTCTAGGACAGTGGAGTGTCTAGAAATCTTACACAGTGAGAAGTACCATATAACAGTGAAGGCCAAAGTTTGAAATGACGTGAAATAATAACATCTTTTAGGCCTGATTTTAGGCTATAAAACAATGCCATTAAATGACCCAGAGGCTCTCATAGATTCTGAGAATATATATGTCTTAGACGATAGACTTGATGTATTTAAACTTCTTTATTTTGAATTTTTTATCTTTTTAAATTTATTTTTTTATTATTATACTTTGAGTTTTTTGTTGTTGACAATCCTGTAATATCATCAATTATTCAGTGTACAAATTTCCCCATTTGTCTCATACGTTTTGTTCGCACTTTGCTTGAATCGGGATTCAAATAACATCCACTCATTGCATTTGATGGATAGCCTCTGAAATCTCTTTCAATCTAAACATTCTTCATCTCTTTTTCTTGTAATTTATTCCAAACTACCAAATCATTTGTCCTTCAGGGTTTCCTGCATTTTGGATTTTGCTGGTTGTCTCCTCATGGTGTGTTTAACACGTTGCTATGTGCCCTGGATTTCCCATAAACTACTACAACTAAATCGGGAAGCATGATCTGACTGAAGCTTTTTTTTTGTTTTTTGTTTGTTTTTGTTTTTGTTTTTTGGCAAAAATACTTGATGGGAGCAGAGGAGGGTGGCACTCCCACCATCTAGTTATTTTCAAAGTGCCAAGGATCAGTTATCAGTGGCCAGTGTGCCCGCTCTTGCTTTGCCCTGCATAATGAAAGGGCAATCAGGTCAATGACAATGGGAATCAGTTAAAAAGAAAACATGAATCGATGTGTCTCGTGTCACTCACACAGAATACTGTCAGACTGATGGAGGCAGGTCTCCCTTGGAAGCAGGCAGAAAGGGCTAATGAGCTATTTCAGACAGGCTTGGTAATTTATGTCAACCTTGATGAACGAGTACTTAATGCTCTCAGATAGCTCTGTGGGGCTTCAATAGTTCAAAGAAAGTGATTTGTCACATCTTAGGCTCTTAGATATTTCTTTTTATTGATTATTTGTCTATTCTAGAACAAAATACATTTCTGCGTCAAGTTATTAAGTATGAAGATCAGCAAACAAAGGAAGAAATGTGAGCAAGTTGTGAGAATCCACAAAAAGATCTGATGAAGGCTTTGGTTGAGTGGATCAGCTGTGTGTTGGACGCAACCACAGGTCAGAGGAGACAGGACAATCTTCCTTCAGATGGCATGTACTCTGGTGCACTGCCTGGAACTGGAACCATTACTTTTATTGATAAGACACCAAGAGATTTAACTGAGGATGAGTTTGTGCTGCTCTTGAGGATGGACTCGCTTGAGATCTATATCCTATGACTAGTCGGAACAGAAAGTATGCATTTAGGATTATCTGTGAAAGGACACTGTGCTGTGTGACAGCTACAGAGTTTGCCCTGGAGTCTGCATTTCTGTGGCTAGCAACAGGCTGGAGTGATTCCACAATGTAAGACAAAGAAAAAGATTCCAAAAGACATCTGTGATGTTACACAGTTTGGTTAGTGTTATTTCCTTCCAACTATTTTCTATCATCAATTTATTTTCTCTTTTCTTTTTTTTTTATTATACTTTAAGTTTTAGGGTACATGTGCACAACGTGCAGGTTTGATACATATGTATACATGTGCCATGTTGGTGTGCTGCACCCATTAACTCGTCATTTAGCATTAGGTATATCTCCTAATGCTATCCCTCCCCCATCACCCCACCCCACGACAGGCCCCAGTGTGTGATGTTCCCCGTCCTGTGTACAAGTGTTCTCATTGTTCAATTCCTAACTATGAGTGAGAACATGCAGTGTTTGGTTTTCTGTCCTTGCGATAGTTTGCTCAGAATGATGGTTTCCAGCTTCACCCATGTCCCTGCAAAGGACATGAACTCATTCTTTTTTATGGCTGCCTAGTATTTCATGGTGTATATGTGCCACATTTTCTTAATCCAGTCTATCATTGATGGACATTTGTGTTGGTTCCAAGTCTTTGTTGTTGTGAATAGTGCCACAATGAACATACGTGTGCATGTGTCTTTATAGCAGCATGATTTATAATCCTTTAGGTATATACCCACTAATGGAATTGCTGAGTCAAATGGTATTTCTTGTTCCAGATCCTTGAGGAATTGCCACACTGTCTTCCACAGTGGTTGAACTAGTTTACAGTCCCACCAACAGTGTAAAAGTGTTCCTATTTCTCCACATCTTCACCAGTACCTATTGTTTCCTGACTTTTTAATGATCGCCATTCTAACTGGTGTGAGATGGTATCTCATTGTGGTTTTGATTTGCATTTCTCTGATGACCAGTGATGATGAGCATTTTTTCAGTGTCTTTTGGCTGCATAAATGTCTCCTTTTGAGAAGTGTCTGTTTATATCCTTTGCCTACTTTTTGATGGAGTTGTTTGATTTTTTTTCTTGTAAATTTGTTTAAGTTCTTTGTTGATTCTGGATATTAGCCCTTTATCAGATGAATAGATTGCAAAAATTTTCTCGCATTCTGTAGGTTGCCTGTTCACTCTGATGGTAGTTTCTTTTGCTGTGCAGAAGCTCTTTAGTTTAGTTAGATCCCATTTGTCTATTTTGGCTTTTGCTGCCATTGCTTTTAGTGTTTTAGTCATGAAGTCCTTGGCCATGCCTATGTCCTGAATGGTACTGCCTAGGTTTTCTTCTAGGGTTTTTCTGGTTTTAGGTCTAACATTTAAGTCTTTAATCCATCTTGAGTTAATTTTTGTATAAGGTGTAAGGAAGGAATCCAGTTTCAGCTTTCTACATATGGCTAGCCAGTTTTCCCAGCACCATTTATAAATAGGGACTCCTTTCACCATTTCTTGTTTTTGTCAGGCTTGTCAAAGATCAGATGGTTGTAGATGTGTGGTGTTGTTTCTGAGGCCTCTGTACTGTTCCATTGGTCTATATCTCTGTTTTGGTAGCAATGTCATGCTGTTTTGGTTACTGTAGCCTTGTAGTGTAGTTTGAAGTCAGGTAGCATGATATCTCCAGCTTTGTTCTTTTTGTTTAGGATTGTCTTGGCAATGAAGGTTCTTTTTTGGTTCCATATGAACTTTAAAGTAATTTTTTCCAATTCTGTGAAGAAAGTCATTGGTAGCTTGATGGGTGTGGCATTGAATCTATAAATTACCTTGGGCTGTATGGCCATTTTCATGATATTGATTCTTCCTACCCATGAGCATGGAATGTTCTCCCATTTGTGTCCTCTTTTATTTCATTGAGCAGTGGTTGTAGTTCTCCTTGAAGAGATCCTTCTCATGCCATGTAAGTTGGATTCCTAGGTATTTTATTCTCTTTGTAGCAGTTGTGAATGGGAGTTCACTCATGATTTGGCTCTCTGTTTGTCTGTTATTGGTGTATAAGAATGCTTGTGATTTTTTTACATTGATTTTGTATCCTGAGGCTTTGCTGAAGTTGCTTATCAGGTTAAGGAGATTTTGGGCTGAGACAATGGGGTTTTCTACATATATAATAATGTCATCTGCAAACAGGGACAATTTGACTTCCTCTTTTCCTAATTGAATACGATTTATTTCTTTCTCTTGCCTAATTGCCCTGGCCAGAACTTCCAACACTATGTTGAATAGGGGTGGTGAGAGAGGGCATCCCTGCCTTGTTCCAGTTTTCAGAGGGAATGGTTCCAGTTTTTGCCCATTCAGTATGATACTGGCTGTGGGTTTCTCATAAGTAGCTCTTACTATTTTGAGATACTTTCCATCAATACCTAATTTATGGAGAGTTTTTAGCATGAAAGGCTGTTGAATTTTGTCAAAGCCCTTTTCTGCATCTATTGAGATAATCACGTGGTTTTTGTCATCGGTTCTGTTTATGTGATGGATTACGTTTATTGATTTGCCTATGTTGAACCAGCCTTGCATCCCAGGGATGAAGCCAACTTGATCTTGGTGGATAAGCTCTTTGATATGCTGCTGGATTCGATTTGCTAGTATTTTATTGAGGACTTTTGCATCAATGTTCATCAGGGATATTGGTCTAATATTTTCTTTTTTTGTTGTGTCTCTGCCAGGCTTTGGTACCAAGATGATGCTGGCCTCATAAAATGACTTACGGAGGATTCCCTCTTTTTCTATTGATTGGAATAGTTTCAGAAGGAATAGTACCAGCTCCTCCTTGTACCTCTGGTAGAATTCGGCTGTGAATCCATCTGGTCCTGGACTTTTTTTGGTTGGTAGTCTATTATTGCCTCAATTTCAGAGCTGTTATTGGTCTATTCACTGATTCAACTTCTTCCTGGTTTAGTGTTTGGAGGGTGTATGTGTCCAGGAATTTATCCATTTCTTCTAGATTTTCTAGTTTATTTGCACAGAGGTGTTTATAGTATTCTCTGATGGTAGTTTGTATTTCTGTGGGATCAGTGGTGATAGCCACTTTATCATTTTTTATTGCATCTATTTGATTCTTCTTTCTTTTCTTATTAGTCTTGCTAGTGGTCTATTTTGTTGATCTTTTCAAAAGACCAGCCCTTGTATTCATTGATTTTTTGAAGGGTGTTTTTGTGTGTGTGTCTCTATCTCCTTCAGTTCTGCTCTGATCTTAGTTATTTCTTGCCTTCTGCTAGCTTTTGAATGTGTTTGCTCTTGCTTCTCTAGTTCTTTTAATTGTGATGTTAGGGTATGAATTTTAGATCTTTCCTGCTTACTTTTGTGGGCATTTAGTATTACAAATTTCCCTCTACACACCGCTTTAAATGTGTCCCAGAGATTCTGGTACATTATGTCTTTGTTCTCATTGGTGTCAAAGAACATCTTTATTTCTGCCTTCATTCCGTTATTTACCCAGTAGTCATTCAGGAGCAGGTCATTCAGTTTCCAGGTAGTTGTGCGATTTTGAGTGAGATTCTTAATCCTGAGTTCTAATTTGATTGCACTGTGGTCTGAGAGACTGTGGTGATTTTTGATCTTTTACATTTGCTGAGGAGAGCTTTACTTCCAACTACGTGGTCAATTTTGGAATAAGTATGATGTGTTGCTGAGAAGAATGTATATTCTGTTGATTTGGGGTGGAGAGTTCTGTAGATGTCTATTAGGTCCACTTGGTGCATAGCTGAGCTCAACTCCTGAATATCCTTGTCAACTTTCTGTCTCGTTGATCTGTCTAATATTGTCAGTGGGGTGTTAAAATCTCCCATTATTGTGTGGGATTCTAAGTCTCTTTGTAGGTCTCTGAGGCCTTGCTTTATGAATCTGGGTGCTCCTGTATTGGGTGCATATGTATTTAGGATAGTTAGCTCTTCTTGTTGAATTGATCCCTGTACCATTATGTAATGGCCTTCTTTGTCTCTTTTGATCTTTGTTGGTTTAAAGTCTGTTTTATCAGAGGCTAGGATCGCAACCCCTGCTTTTTTTTTTTTTTGGCTTTCTATTTGCTTGATAGATCTTCCTCCATCCCTTTATTTTGAGCCTGTGTGTGTCTCTGCATGTGAGATGGGTCTCCTGAATACAGCACACCAATGGGTCATGACTCTTTATCCAATTCGCC
Source organism: Homo sapiens (assembly GCF_000001405.40). NCBI lineage: Eukaryota > Metazoa > Chordata > Mammalia > Primates > Hominidae > Homo > Homo sapiens. The sequence goes on along the minus strand of NC_000011.10, from coordinate 29,664,851 downwards.
AGTCTGTGTCTTTTAATTGGGGCATTTAGCCCAGTTACATTTAAGGTTAATATTGTTATGTGTGAATTTGTTCCTGTCATTATGATGTTAGCTGGTTATTTTGCCTGTTATTTGATGCAGTTTCTTCCTAGCATTGATGGTCTTTACAATTTGGTATGTTTATACTTTAAGTTGTAGGGAACATGTTCACAACGTGTAGGTTTGTTACATAGGTATACATGTGCCATGTTGGTTTGCTGCACCCATCAACTCGTCATTTACATTAGGTATTTCTCCTAATGCTATCCCTCCCCTAGCCCCCAACCCCCCAACAGGCCCCAGTGTGTGATGTTCCCCTCTCTGTGTCCATGTGTTCTCATTTTTCAACTTCCACTTATGAGTGAGAACATGCAGTGTTTGGTTTTCTGTCTTTGTGATATTTTGCTGAGAATGATGGTTTCCAGCTTCATCTATCTCCCTGCAAAGGACATGAATTCATCTTTTATAGGTGCATAGTATTCCATGGTGTATATGTGCCACGTTTTCTTTATCCAGTCTATCGTTGATGGACTTTTGGGTTGGTTCCAAGTCTTTGCTATTGTGAATAGTGCTGCAATAAACATACGTGTGCATGTGTCTTTATGGTAGCATGATTTATAATTCTTTGGGTATATACCCAGTATTAGGAATGCTGGGTCAAATGGTATTTCTATTTCTAGATCCTTGAGGAATTGCCACACTGTCTTCCACAATGGTTGAACTAGTATACACTCCCACCAACAGTGTAAAAGCATTCCTATTTCTCCACATCCTCACCAGTACCTGTTGTTTCCTGACTTTTTAATGATCGCCATTCTAACTGGTGTGAGATGGTATCTCATTGTAGTTTTGATTTGCATTTCTCTGATGACCAGTGATAAAGAGCATTTTTTCATATGTCTGTTGGCTGCATAAATGTCCTCTTTTGAGAAGTGTCTGTTTATATTCTTTGCCTACTTTTTGATGGAGTTGTTTTTTTCTTATAAATTTAAGTTCTTTGTAGATTCTGGATATTAGCCCTTTGTCAGATGAGTAGATTGCAAAAATTTTCTCACATTCCGTAGGTTGCCTTTTCACTCTGATGGTAGTTTCTTTTGCTGTGCAGAAGCTCTTTAGTTTAGTTAGATCCCATTTGTCAATTTTGGCTTTTGCTGCCATTGCTTTTGGTGTTTTAGTCATGCAGTCCTTGGCCATGCCTATGTCCTGAATGGTATTGCCTAGGTTTTCTTCTAGGGTTTTATGGTTGTAGGTCTAACATTTAAGTCTTTAATCCATCTTGAGTTAATTTTTGTATAAGGTGTAAGGAAGGAATCCAGTTTCAGCTTTCTACATATGGCTAGCCTGTTTTCCCAGCACAATTTTTTAAAAAGGGAATTCTTTCCCCATTTCTTTTTTTTTTTTTTGTCACATTTGTCAAAGATCAGATGGTTGCAGATGTACGATGTCATTTCTGAGGCCTCTGTACTGTTCCATTGGTCTGTATATCTGTTTTGATACCAGTACCATGCTGTGTTGGTTACTGTAGCCTTGTAGTATAGTTTGAAGTCAAGTAGCATGATGCCTCCAGCTTTATTTTGATTTGAACATATTTATGGATTATGTTTTATAAGATGATATAACATGAATTATATCCCAAATAACTGATATTTTATGATCATCTAATTTTTGAATAAAATATAAGGTGTCACTAACACATTGTAAAGCATAGGGTATCTGAAATAATTTTTCCCCATTTTCAGGTGAGTACAGCTGTTCCATCTGGTTTGCTCATTTATTCATTAATTCGAGAAATATGCCTTGACTTTCTATTACTTACTGGGCTTATTCTGACCAAAATATTTCTCTTTTGAAGGAAGGGCTTTGGCTCTTTGATAGAAACTCTCTTCATTGATCTATTTAGAGCCAGGTTTCCAAGGGGTAGAAAAGAATGTACTAACATCTTTGAGAACAGAATTCTGGACATTGGTAGTCACTCAACTAAATAATATTAGGTTGAATAAAGATAAAGGCTATTTAAATGCTTGAAGTAAGTTTCAGTAGTAGATAATCTTCATGTCTGTGGGCCAGACACTCTGTGAATCCCTATATAGACAATATGTCTTTCAATCTTCCTTACAATCCCAAGTTAGTGGCTATTACTATTTGCATACATGATTACTTAATTAGGATACAGGAGCTGGAATTTTAACTACCTCTGCCTGGAAAGATGGTTAGAATTTATATAGGTGCACAAAACATTTGAAAAACTATTGAAAGCAAAGATATGGAGAATAGAAATGTAAAGTCAGATGAGAAACCCAATTCTAGACAAACCCAACTGGATTAACGATCTGTATAGGGAAGATATTCCAATCCACAGGCCATTTCAAGATAATAGATGTTTTGGTTCTCTATTGCCATGTGACAAACCACCCCAAAACTTGTTGGCTTAGAACAATCACAGCCATTTATTCTCACTCAAAATTATGTAGGTGAACTGGGCTCAGCAGGTGGATCCTTTGCTGCCATGTGTTGTCAACCACTTCAGTAATAATCCAGAGGCTTGAATCGCTTGGAATGTCTAAGATTACTTACTCAAATGCTTTGGGAATGGTAATGACTATCAGCTAGGAGCTCAGCAGGGGTACTAATTGTAGTGCATCATTTATCCTCCACATGGCCTCTCCATATGGCCTAGACTTCCTACAGAATGGCATCTGGAATTCAAGGGGAAATATGTGAAAATAGAAGTTACATATATCATATGTTTATACAGCATCATTTCCCACTGCATTATATTGGTCAGAGCAAATCACAGGGCTAACTCAGATTCAAAGGGAGAAGCAATAAACTTACCTCTGGCTTGGAAGAGTGTCATATAATTTGTTGTTATTTTAAATCTGCCACAATGTAAATGAGTGAAGTTGGACAGGCATGAGATAACAAAGAGTGGTAGGGAATACGTAAATGAGAGAACTTTTGCCTCCTATAGAGTTTAGAGTTCAGATAGTTAAGAAACAGAGTTTAGTCCATACATAATATGTTTATTGGTTTAATTTTACCATTGTCAACTTGTTTGTAAGCCTTGATCTAGGAGATTTTGTGAAGTATTGACTATATGGATAACCTAAGAAATGTGAAAGCTAGGATAGTAGAAAAAGTGGTTTGAATGCATCCTGATAGAATTGCGAATACAAAGAAAATGAAATGGAATTTTGGTTTGATTAAATATAGAAGATATTTATTTCTTCATTCACAAAATAGACCAGTGGTCTAAAAAGTGGGTTATTCAAAATGATCCATGAGGGAGAAAACAAAATATTGGAGCTTTCATTAATATTTATTTCATCCTTCCTCTAAATAAATTTTTCTTTATGTATTGTAGTATTCACAATATGTTCAACTAGTATACTACTTGCGTATACCTTATAAATAAATCAATATTTCTTGGGAAATGCATACTCAAAATTTTTACTGATAGCTCTGTGTGATATGCTCATTAGGGTTTGTAGATCATTGGTCTAAGAAATGAAAATAACCAATATAAAGTCAAGAAATTAATCAAATTTTCCACTCATGGAAGAAAATTTTCTGGTGCTAATGTATGGTTAATGTTGAAGTAGAGAGCTGTACATAACACAAAAAGATAACTCTCCCTCTAGGAGAAAAAAGATATTTATTAAGTTTATAGAAAAAGATAACAGTTTCACACATAAATTATCCGATTGTATTGTTAGGAAAAAAACAATGTCCTTTCATATAAATTACATTCTCCTTACCTGGAAGGCCTACATGGCTATATTTGTATGTGTTGATTATCGGGACACTCATTGTTATATTTGAGCCTGTAGTCAAATATTCAAGCAAGAACCCTTAATGTCTAACATCAATTTATTTAGCACTTGATTGTCCAGGTTACTATTCTTACTCATAATTTTATTAGCAGTTTTTTTTTCCTTTTCTATACAAATCTCCTAAAAAGCATCCAGTCTTTTCTCTTTTGGAACCCTTGTCCCCACATGACATCTTGAAATTCCTTTTTATTGTCTTCAGTTGTGCGTGCTGGAGCTCTTCAGAAAGTTGCTGCATCTGCTATTTAGGCTTCTTGTTTCTTTGGGAGCACAGTTTTTTTGTTTTTTTGTTTTTTTGGTTTTTTTGGTCTCATTTCCATTCTGTGCTTGACCTCAAGAAAGTCTCTTAGTATCTTTGTCCTTGGACTCATAATCTGTGAAAAGTCATGACTGGAAAAGTTAATGTTTAAGTTCCTTCTTAAATCCAGTAATAAAGGATTTGTCTGTATAGTTCTCACATTTAATAAGCACCATTAAGAAATCAAGTATCTCCTGACAATTACATGATTTATACAGACCATTTTGAATGGTACCATGAGGCCCAGAAAAACTTCATTAGAGAGCTGGGGCAGCCGATGGGAAGTTACAAAAGAAGTACCAGTTTTCACAGTACACTGTGTTGGGTGTGGGTAAGGGGAAATAATGATATTGCTGATCAAAGCAGTAGAAACACTGACTTCTGGCAGAGTTGACTAGTTAGACAAGAGAATCTAACTTGGAATTAGAGCAGAAATCATAGTCTTGAAAACTCTATATAATGTGTTCAGTAGAGTAGGTTTATATTGAATAATTGATAAAAAAAAAATTTTGAAAAATACAGCCAGGAATAAGGGTAAGGCAGTTAAACCCTATATAAATAAATTCTGAGTGTCTGCATCATTTTGGATCCTAAAAGAAGTAGATGATATGGTGAAATTAAGCTGCATTCATTGGGGCAACTATCTGTGAAGGATCAGGTGGTGAGCCAGAGGAGGAAGAGGAGACTTCATCCCACCATGCAGGCTTAACACCTGTGCAAGAGAGAGTGAGGAAGGAGCACAGTACAGGAAGAGTCTCAGTCTAGAGACTCTATAATAGCTCAAAGAAAGTGTTGACTAGGCTGATGGACGTCATCAAGCCAGAGGCACTTTGGTTAAAAGAATGCTGTGTCTCACAGAGTAGGCCTACATTAGTATTTTCATCTTGCTTAGTCATTGGCTGAGAGTGGCCCATAGAAGGTGGAGCCTTGGCATGAATGTGGGGAAAAAATTCAAAAGGGAAGCTTCTGGGGGCTATCAATTATATTCCCCATAGCAAGAGCTCTGAGCAGCATGTTTTCAAGGCTGCCACAGTATCCAATGGGTCTCAATATGCCCCCTTTAGGAACTAAAGGGGCTTGAAAAATTCAGGATATACTCCATTGTGATAAAGACTCTAGATAGTAGACATTTCTGAGCTCTGTGGGGAAAGATAATAAACACTTTTTTTTTAAGGTTCATTCTAGGCCAGGCGCGGTGGCTCGTGCCTGCAATCTCAGCATTTTGGGAGGCCGACGCAGGTGGATCTCCTGAGGTCAGGAGTTCGAGACCAGCCTGGCCAACATGGCGAAACCCCGTCTCTACTAAAAACACAAAAAATTAGCTGGGGCCTGGTGGCTTGTGCCTGTAGACCTAGCTATTTGGGAGGCTGAGATAAGAGAATCACTTTAATCTGGGAGGCAGAGGTTGCAGTGAGCCAAGATCACGCCACTGTACTCCAGCCTGGGTGACAGAGTGAGACTGTCTCAAAAAAAAAAAAAAAAAAGTTTATGCTATAACTAGCTCCATGCTAGGTAGTTCACATATGCTATCTCATTTACATTGCACAATAATGCAATGAGACAGCCATTATTATTTCAATACTTATTTTACAAATGAGAAAATCAACTTACAGATTATGATACTTACTCAAGGTTACATGTATTGTAAATAGCATAATTCTTATCCACTGTCACACGAAAAAGCTTTGGATACTACTAGATTCCAGTTCCGCCTAGGGATGAATATCACTTATAAATTATCATAAAGGAATTTAATCCATTGAAGGGTATGAAGCTACCACAATTTCATGACCTTAACTACAGTCTAAGTAAAAGATTATCATGTATTGCAGTTCCTTGGTATTTTCTCTGATAGCTTTTGATTTCGTATTTCACTTCAGAATCATATTCTAGTTCTTTCTCCACCTGAGATACACCATCTTATGTTTTCCTCACTGTATTCCAGAAATGCACACATGAGACTTTTGATAGATGCTTCTGATATATACCAAGGAACATAAACTGAATTAAGGCAATTATACTTACAATGTTTTAATGCAACTGGCACATCATTTTTCTAAAATCACCCTGAAATTTCTCAAAGCTATAATGGCTACTAGATTTTAAGCTCCTTAAGGGCCAGGGCTGTGTCTTATTCAGAAGAACTGCTGTTGAGAGTATAAGCTCAATCAATATTTCCTTACTTAAAAAAATGGCAAAATTAAGAATTCTTTCCCCCATATTCTTTAATAAAAATAGCTAGTGTTTATTGTGTGTTTCTCCTGCACCAGGCACTTTTCCAAACACTTAGCATGCATATATCAATTCATTTAATTCTTACCAAACCCTGTGAATTTAATAATTGTCTTCCTTTTACAGATATGTGGTGGAGACAGAGAAATGAGTTAAGTTTTCCAAGGTCATATAGCCATCAAATGTCAGAGCCAGGATTTGAACCTGGGTGGTCTGGCTCATGAGTCCATTCACTGCATGACACAGCCTCTCTACTTAGTAATGACTGATTACTTCATGAGGAAGCAGGACACTGTAACAAATAGTGATCAATTAATTACTCAGTTCTGGTAAAGTATCTAATAGCAAGGTGAAAGAGTTTGTCAGAATTGTCACTTTCCTATTGGGGTGGCCATAGAAGAATTTGAGTTTGAAAGAACTGTATTCATTTATTTTCCCTTCTTTTGTTGCTAGGAAATGTAAAAGAGTTAACCCAAAGGTGAGAGGTGATGAAAAAATACATTCACTCTGACCCAGCTTTGTCCAGGCTGAAAGGCTGCTGGTCAAGGGCCAAGTTTCCATTGGCTTCATTTGGAGCAAGAGTAAACATTACAGCTTCTTCTTTCAAGGCTCATCCCACTGCCTGGGGCCAAAGGAGAAGGTTGATAAGGTGATGCGGAGGCAGAATCTTCATTCAAAGACCATCTAGTTTCAAAGTTGTAAGAGATTGCTGGCTACTTTGATAAAGTTCAGCGCACTCATTGTGTTGAGCAGGAGTATGCTACACACCTGTTTCTTTGAAGTTTTATTGGAATATGGCCACCCTCACTCATTTACATATTGTCTGTGTCTGTTTTTGCATTATCCCAGTAGAATTAGTGGTTGTGACAAATATGGCCCACAAAGACTAAAATATCAACTAGGTGGCCTTTTATAGAAAACATTTGCTGGTCTTGAGCCCATGCTTGGCTCTGGAGCCAGACAATCAGTGCTAGGATCCTGGCTCTGCCACCCATTCACTGGGGGCATTAGACATAATGCCCAACCTCTCAGAATTAGTTTCCCCCTTCTATATAGTGGAATACAAATATTTACTTCTTAACTTTTCTGCAAATTAAATGACTTAGTATACCTTATTCCCTTAATATAATGGATGATATATAGTGAATACTCAGCAAATGTAAATCTGTAGTTATTTTATCATCATTTTTACCTCACCATTGTTAAGCTTTACATTATTTTTTTCACTTAGTCAAATCCATAATTCCTAAAGTTATAGGGAAAAAAATGGAAGCAGCTCCCTTTTGAATTAGACTTTGTATCAGGGCCAAATATTAATATTTATTCAACTGTTCACAAACTACTAGCCCATGGCTGTCCTGAACTGTCATCTGTTTCTCTTTTCACAGGGAGAAACCAGAATGCAGATTTCCTAACCAGCATAAATTATTTTTCAGTATGTTTGTAAGCTTCTTGTAATTAGTCACTTCCTTGAAATGAATGAATGGACTGATCAGTTATCATAAGCATGACCTTGGTGGTTTCTATGATTTCCTGCTATCTAGCAAAGAGAGATACATATATTAATAAGGTATGAGCTGTAAGTGACAAGGAGAGCTGTGAGGGATGTGTGGCCTGATGTACCAGAGAGTGGAATGAAACTCAGCCCCTGTGGTCCTTTAGGGGGTCAAAGAGCAAGCTGCAGACACAGTGGTTCTGCTGAGCGCTCGGTGGCTTTCAGCAAAGCTGCTAATGGAATAATGATAGTTCCTGACACAAAGCAGAAGGTGTTCTATTTTTAGGCAAGAGGAGTTATGTGCTAGGGATGATACAGTTGCATTCTTATCTTAGAAGAAACTGAAAAATGCCCGCACTGTTTCCTAACACTTTACTGCCATATGTTAGATGATGGACTCCTGGAGAGGATCCATACAGAGTCCTAACAATAGTACCTGACATAGTTTGAATCTTTGTCCCCACCCAAATCTCACGTTGAATTGTAATCCTCAGTATTGGAGGTGGGGCCAGGTGGGAGGTGATTGCATCATGGGAGTATGTTTTCCCTCAGTGGTTTAGCAGCATCCCCTTGGTGCTGTCCTCACAATAGAGAATGACTTTTGTGAGATCTGGCTGTTTAAAACTGTGTGGCACCTCGCTTTCTCTCTCTTGCTCCTGTTCTGCCATTGTGAGAGGCCTGTTCCCCCTTCACCTTCCACCATGACTGTAAGTTTCCTGAGGTCTCTCCAGAAGCTGAGAAGATGCCAGCATCATGCTTCCTATACATCCTGTGGAACCATGAGCCAATTAAACCTCTTTTCTTTATGAATTACCCAGTCACAGGTACTTTATAGCAATGCTAGAATAGTCTAATACACTACCACTTATCAAGAATTTACTATGTACCTGGCAGTGTGCAAAGCACACCATCTGGTACCAATCTAGTGAAGAAATACTAATGTTCCCATTTTGCAGATGAAAGTGGTATTTAGAGGAGTTAAGTAATTTTTAGGTGTTAATAGTACAGCCAAGTTTCAACTTCATTTCTGGCTGACTCCAAATTCCAAGCACAACTGGAAAAGAAGAATGGGACATAATTAGTTTAAAATCTCAGCTTCCAAATTAAATTAGAGAAATGATTTCCTACCATTTCATTATTTGCAAGGCACATTGTACTCTGGTCCACAAACTGGAAATGAATAAAGCAGTCAAATATGATGATATTCCACAACAGTGGAAAGATTCAGGTAACAGGATCTGGAATCTGAAGGTGGGCTATAAATGAAAGGAGAGGGAGTTAGGACATGATATTATGAAGAAATAGGAATAGACAATGGTTTCAGGTCAGCAGTTACCTTCAGGAAAGGCTGAGGAGTATATCACAGGAATAAGATGTGCAAGAGTAGGTTGCAGTCAGGCAGCAAGGGAGTCAGGCAGCAGTTCAAAGAAACTCAACCACTGGGCTAGGTACTCTTGGGGCCAGGTGACAATTTTGGAAAGAGAATGACAAATCCTCCCTATACAAAAGGACTAGAGTCATCAACAGTTTGTCAAACCAAAGGATTAACTAAAATCTCAGTTATCAGAACAGAAATCCAATTATTCTGAGTATATTATAACACATAATGGAAAATAGACTAGCAAAAGTCTCAAAACAAAATCTTTCAACAACTGTGTGTTAACCACCTACCCAGTGGTAGGAACTAGGACTTTGGTATTAGGTCATATCTCTAAAATTTAACTGCCTACAATCATGTATGTTGTTTGGCTCCATTTAAAATGAATATCTAATCTGAAGCACAGACTGATGAGACATGACTGTTCAAATCTGAGAGCCACACAGGGCATTCATTCATCATTTACTCTTCCCTTCACTTCTCTTTGAGAAAAGTGGTTGAATTCCCATATATGCTAGGGAGTATGCCAATGGCTGGAAATACAAGGACAAATAGGATGTTGTTTCTATCCTTGAGGAACTTAGAGCATAAGGCAGAGGTTCTCAGGCCTCTGTGCACATAAGAATGACCTAGCACACAACTGAAAAATTCTGGGATCCAGATTTAGCATGTCAGGGTAAATGAACTTGGAATATACATGTTTGCAAGCACTACAGGAGGGTCTGATCAATCTTATTTGAGGCTAACATCTGGGGAACTCTGATATAGATAAATGAAAGTCTTTAGTGAGATTTTTTTCTTTGTGAACTTGCCAGATTTCAGTGCAAAAGAGGGACAATCTAACATTTTTAGCTGCATTGAAATAAACTATATTACTTAGTGAGAAAGCACATTATTTATTGCTAAATGTGTGCAACCAAGCCTAGATACTCACTGGCCTGAATTCTGTATAGGAGGTTGAATCCCATGTCTTGTGAAATGTTTCCAACACTGATATCTGTGCTTCCATAACATCAAGGTTTAACTTACCTTAAGCTTTATACTTAAGTAAAAAAATAATATTTATGTTTATTATAGTCAATTTATTTGTTTTGGTTGATAATTCAGAGTTAATTCTTTCTCCTCCCTTCCTTTCTTCCATGCCGACCCAGCTATTGAGTCACTTATCACTTTCTTACTATTGATGCAGATGTTTCTTCTGAGAAATTTGTAGCCAAGATTTATATTGAATAATATTACTTGAATGTAATAGTATTTTTAAAAATATTGGAGGCAGTATAAATTAAAGCATTATTATTCAGCTTTACTCAAATACTCAGGACCTCCTTTAATTATGTTAATATCTGTGGAAAGAAGGGAAAACTGATATTATCATGTCTGTATTGCAGATGTTAGAGACAGATGAAAGCTACGTAATTTCACGTGTGTCACATGGTGTTTTCATTATCTATGGGTGAATAACAAACCTGAAGCTAAGCCGTAAAATGGTGGCTTAAAAACAGTTTATTTTTTCTTATGATTCTGTAGATTGATGGAGTGGTTTTTCTTCAGATTTCACCTGGGCTTCCTCAGGCAGCCAGTTACCTGATGGATGACAAGTGTTGGGTGGAGCAGCTTAGATGACTAACTTCTCCCTTCCTCTAGGTTTTAATCCTGGTCCTTTTCACAGCAAGGAGGTCTCAGCTTTTGCAAAAGCGAAGAAGTTGCACTGGCTCTAGCGGCCTTGGCTTGGAAGTCATACAATGTTACTTCCTCCACATGCTACTAGTTAAAGCTAATCACAGTTCATCTCAAGTGCAAGAAGCGAAAAAGTAGATTACTCATATTGATGAGACAAATGCCAAAGTCATAGTGCAAAGAGGCTTGTATAATAGAAATGGAAGAATATGGCTGTGTTTTGCAATTTACCACAATTGACTTGTAAACTTTGTAAATTTCTAGCTCTTTGGGCCCCAAATTATTCACATTTCTCTTACGTACAAAATATACTCAAATCCATCATAGGACCAGCATCAAGCTTGAAGGGCCCATATTGTCAGGTTCTTCAACTCTAGAAAAACATGTTCTTATATTAGGACCAACTTCTGCTTCCTGAAAGTAATTCTTTTATCCTGTTTTCTTCTGCTCTTGGCTCTGAGCTGTGGGCTTATGTCTGTGCCCACTAAGATATAATTAGTTTTCCATGTGTGTAGCTAGGTAGCTTTGTCATCATGCTTTTTTCTTGTTGAAATCTGGAGAACTAGTGGCCTCTTCATTTTGAATTCTATTTTTTTGGTCCAAGCTGGTACATCTCCCATAAAAATTTTATGGGCTTTTCATGAATCTGATTGAGGTTAACTCTGCCTAAAAGCCATATCCATAATTCTTTGCACAATAGACACAAAGTAAAAATCACTACCTTGAATTTTCCATGTGAAGATTAATGAAGAATATATACATAAAGAACATAATGTCTGGCACAAAAATATTACCACTGTCACTCATAATCATCATCATCACAACAGCAACAATAATAAGAGAGGCTTCAGGCTTAAGAAGAAAGATGGAGAAATAAATTCTCAAAAGGTTGTCTAAGATGGAAACTTGAGTTAAAAATGGGAAAAAAGTTTGTTTCCTAGGGCAGGGGATACTGGGTGACAATGAAAGGGAAAGTAAAAATGGCTTACTCATAGGTCACCCAGGTTACTGAATTGGGCTCCATGCATTCCCTTGGCTAAGGATGTAATGCATATGATAACTAGCTCCTAAGGGAGCTTGTGGAGGGTGAGGGATAGAAGGGAAAAATCAAGAGGGAGAAGTCAAGTATGGAAGACTAGCTGGGGGAGTCAGTAAAAGTATCAACACTAAAGAGAGCTTTTTGTTGGTCCATCTTGTTTCCATGTTAGGACACTTTCCACAGGCATGCTGTTATATTTTTATAGCTACCTCAATTATCAAGTACAACAGCAGATCCTTCTAATTTCCTTCCTGACTTCCATTTATTAAATGGTAGAAAACAGGTATCCTGGTTAGGGAATATCAACAAGAATCTTTCCTCTACCTAAACAACCTGCCAACTTCTCTTTTTTGCTTTTAATTTCCACCTGAGGGCAGAGATTTCATTCCAAAAGCATACCTGGGCCCAGAGAATGAGTCTATTAATCCCCTCCAGATGTACAAATTCTATAGCAAATATAAATCTACCAGAAGAAGATTTCTTCTATGAAGAAACAGAGGGATTGTTGTTGTTGTTTTCTGTTGAGCTAGAATGACTATGCCTTTCTTTGGAGTTATCATTTGGCAGGTTTCCATTTGGGGATCACCATCATGTCTGTTTCTAACAGCCTGGGTTGCAAGATTGAGATTCCATGGCAGCTTTCTTACCTTTAATTTGGTTTATTGCTCAGAGCCTGTAAGTTTATACTTATAATAATTATAACTTTTTAGAGTGAATTCTGTTTTTTTATAGAAAGCACAAAAGAAATTATTCCAACAGAAAAAAAAGCAAGGATTAATTCATCCTTTAAATAGATTTTGATATGACTCTATGAAGTGTGAAAGATTGTTCCTATGGGCATTCTTTCCTGTTGATTTTTACTGCTGTCATTATATGCAGTATGAAGTAGGTTGTGGGCATGTCTTCAATAATTCAATATACAATTAGTTCTCCCGTAGCTATCCTACTCGCTACCAACTTTTCCATGCTTTGTTTTCTTAGCACTTTCATACTCTGTCATAATATTTTTTGGTTATTATCTGTCTCCTAGTTGCTAATATTCTTGCCTTCACTGGTAGAAGGTAAGGGATATTTTTGCTCTGGTATCGTCCAGAGGAAGCCTAAGCCTCCTTTCAATATTATTTTTCATGTTGATGGGGATGGTATTGTTACTAGTGGTGTGTAAGGCACTTTATTATGTGATTTCTGCACGAGTCTCATTTAATTCTTCTAACAAGAATTCAAGGTAGCTATTTCTATCCCTACTTCTTTACAAATGAAAAAACAAACAAACAAAAAAACTAAGAGTAGGTAATTTGCTTTGTTCTTAGAATATCACCAATGTTGAGAAATGCACCTGGCACACAGTAGGTCCTCAATAAATATTTGTTAAAAGAATGCACACATAAGGTAGGAAAAAAAGTCATCTTCAGCTGCCCCACGCTCGGATTATTAAAAAGAGGTGACTAGAAAGGGAAAAGTGCTAATTATAAACACAGCCACATTTTAAGTGGAGTAAGCTATAATATCATAAAGTTCCCTTTGTTTGGCTGAGTGCCTTGATAGATGGCTGAGTTACCTGCTGCTATGTGAACCCTTCACATGACCCCCAAGTCTTCTTGGAAAAGAGAGGAAGTACAGAGCAGCTGAGTGATTCCAAAGTAAGACCCAGACCAGGAAGCCAACTTAATAGCTAACTTAAGAAATCAGCTCCAAAATGGAATTTTGGAATGTAAGCACCCTGGAAATTTTAATTCCCTTTGAGGAATACTACAAGCCAGCCAGTCTAATTTCAATCTTAATGAAGTGGAGGACATGAGCTAAAATAAATGTTACACACACCTGGCATAGAAAAACATCCTTTTTTCAAAAACAAAAGACAACATATGAATTGGGTATTTTCCATGATTTAAAGGGGAAATGCATTTTTTAATTAAAAATTAAAAAATGCTAAAATTTAGAATAAAGAACTAAAATGGCACATATGCAAATATTAAAGACAACTGTAATTTGAGAAGGTGTATGTCTTAGGCCGTTCAGGTTGCTATAACAAAATATTATAACTGGGTACCTTACAAAGGATAGAAATTTATTTCTCACAGTTCTGGAGCCTGGAAATCTAAGGTCAAAGCACCAGCAGATTTGGTGTCTAGTAAGGGCCTGCTTTCTGGCTTATAACATTGTGCCTTCTTGCTGTGTTTTCATGCAGTTGAAAGGGCAAGGTTCTCTGGATCCTCCTTTATAAGGATACTGATCCCATTCAAGAGAGTTCCACCATCATGACCCAATTACCTCCCAAAAGTCCCACTTCCTGTATCACTTTGGGGGTTAGGATTTTAACATATGAATTTTGGGGAAACACAAACATTCAGACCACAGCAGTGTGTTAATGAAGACACAGCATTAGGAAATAGAGAAGTAAGAAATTATCCTTTTTTCATTGATGATTATTTTCTTTCTCAGATGCCATGTAGTTTCTTTTTAAAATTTAATCAAAGTGTAAATTGGGAAAGAATTAAAACAAGATAAAAGTAACATGAATAATTTATAGAGCTCAATCACATTGTGATGTCAGTCCTCTGTGGGGGGACATTTAGGGATGAGGCAGCTAGCCATCTCTCAGAATATGTTTAACAAGATGGTTAACATGTTGACATCACTATCAGTCCTGATTGCCACTAATGTGGATTTACAACTTTCCACATTCCTGGCTTATTTTTTTTTTTATTTTTTATTATTATACTTTAAGTTTTAGGGTACATGTGCACAATGTGCAGGTTAGATACATATGTATACATGTGCCATGCTGGTGCGCTGCACCCACTGACTCCTCATCTAGCATTAGGTATATCTCCCAATGCTATCCCTCCCCCCTCCCCCTACCCCACAACAGGCCCCAGAGTGTGATGTTCCCCTTCCTGTATCCATGTGTTCTCCTTGTTCAATTCCCACCTATGAGTAAGAATATGCGGTGTTTGGTTTTTTGTTCTTGCGATAGTTTACTAAGTATGATGATTTCCAATTTCATCCGTGTCCCTACAAAGGACATGAACTCATCCTTTTTATGGCTGCATAGTATTCCATGGTGTATATGTGCCACATTTTCTTAATCCAGTCTATCACTGTTGGACATTTGGGTTGGTTCCAAGTCTTTGCTATTGTGAATAATGCCGCAATAAACATACGTATGCATGTGTCTTTATAGCAGCATGATTTGTAGTCCTTTGGGTATATAACCAGTAATGGGATGGCTGGGTCAAATGGTATTTCTAGTTCTAGATCCCTGAGGAATCGCCACACTGACTTCCACAATGGTTGAACTAGTTTACAGTCCCACCAACAGTGTAAAAGTGTTCCTATTTCTCCACATCCTCTCCAGCACCTGTTGTTTCCTGACTTTTTAATGATCACCATTCTAACTGGTGTGAGATGGTATCTCATTGTGGTTTTCATTTGCATTTCTCTGATGGCCAGTGATGGTGAGCATTTTTTCATGTGTTTTTTGGCTGCATAAATGTCTTCTTTTGAGAAGTGTCTGTTCATGTCCTTCGCCCACTTTTTGATGGGGTTGTTTGTTTTTTTCTTGTAAATTTGTTTGAGTTCATTGTAGATTCTGGATATTAGCCCTTTGTCAGATGAGTAGGCTACGAAAATTTTCTCCCATTTTGTAGGTTGCCTGTTCACTCTGATGGTAGTTTCTTTTGCTGTGCAGAAGCTCTTTAGTTTAGTTAGATCCCATTTGTCAATTTTGGCTTTTGTTGCCATTGCTTTTGGTGTTTTAGACATGAAGTCCTTGCCCATGCCTATGTCCTGAATGGTAATGCCTAGGTTTTCTTCTAGGATTTTTCTGGTTTTAGGTCTAACATTTAAGTCTTTAATCCATCTTGAATTCATTTTTGTATAAGGTGTAAGGAAGGGATCCAGTTTCAGCTTTCTACATATGGCTAGCCAGTTTTCCCAGCACCATTTATTAAATAGGGAATCCTTTCCCCATTGCTTGTTTTTCTCAGGTTCGTCAAAGATCAGATAGTTGTAGATAAGCGGCATTATTTCTGAGGGCTCTGTTCTGTTCCATTGATCTATATCTCTGTTTTGGTACCAGTACCATGCTGTTTTGGTTACTGTAGCCTTGTAGTATAGTTTGAAGTCAGGTAGTGTGATGCCTCCAGCTTTGTTCTTTTGGCTTAGGATTGACTTGGCGATGCAGGCTCTTTTTTGGTTCCATATGAACTTTAAAGTAGTTTTTTCCAATTCTGTGAAGAAAGTCATTGGTAGCTTGATGGGGATGGCATTGAATCTGTAAATTACCTTGGGCAGTATGGCCATTTTCACGATATTGATTCTTCCTATCCATGGGCATGGAATGTTCTTCCATTTGTTTGTATCCTCTTTTATTTCCTTGAGCAGTGGTTTGTAGTTCTCCTTGAAGAGGTCCTTCACATCCCTTGTAAGTTGGATTCCTAGGTATTTTATTCTCTTTGAAGCAATTGTGAATGGGAGTTCACTCATGATTTGGCTCTCTGTTTGTCTGTTGTTGGTGTATAAGAATGCTTGTGATTTTTGTACATTGATTTTGTATCCTGAGACTTTGCTGAAGTTGCTTATCAGCATAAGGAGATTTTGGGCTGAGACAATGGGGTTTTCTAGATATACAATCATGTCGTCTGCAAACAGGGACAATTTGACTTCCTCTTTTCCTAATTGAATACCCTTTATTTCCTTCTCCTGCCTACTTGCCCTGGCCAGAACTTCCAACACTATGTTGAATAGGAGTGGTGAGAGAGGGCATCCCTGTCTTGTGCCCGTTTTCAAAGGGAATGCTTCTAGTTTTTGCCCATTCAGTATGATATTGGCTGTGGGCCTGGCTTATTTTAAGGACTAATACATGGTAGCAATTTTTAGTGATATAACTTCTTGCCTTGTGAGCACCTCTTCAACCTCTAAGGTCTATTTCAAAGATTATTTTTCTGCGAAACGTTCCCAATGTCCTTTTGTCTCTTCCTGGAAGGAATAATTTTCCCCCTTCTGCTGTGTTCTCATACTACCTCTTACACATCTCTCTTTTGGCCCTAAACAATGTCTATCTGGAGTAGCATTTGTTATCTTCGTTGAATTGTGTACTCTTTGAATGCCAGGAGTATACCATTTTCATCTATGCCGTGTGCTTCTTCCAATGTGTACACTTAGTTATCAACTGCTTAACACATACAAAGAAAAAAGAATTAATGAATGAATTAATGAATGAAAAAATGGGGTTGGGGCAGCAACACTGAGTGATGGGCAGATGTTGAATCAACCAGTTTACAGAAAAAGAAAAGCACAGATGAGAAGTGTTAAAGTGGTCATACTTACAGTGAAAAATGTTTGGATGTCTACCGTGCTTCATCTCTGGTGGGTATTTTACATGCATTATCATCATCCTTACAGTGGCCATCTCAAGTAGGTGATATCAGCCTCATTTTACAATCAACTTGGTAGCAACCATGAGAGGTATTTATTACTATCTTTATTTTGCAGATGAGTAAGTGGAGGCTTGTAGATATCATAGACTTGCCCAAAGTCACATAGCTGTTAAATGCAGAGGTAGGATTTTAATGCAAGGCAATCCAGCTGTAAAGATACTGTTAGTTATAAAATTAGGACAATAACCTACAGTTTTTGACATTAGTCCAGTATTTCCTGTTAACTCTGATTCTCATTTTTGTATTTCAATAGTTATAGCAAAGTATTTAATAATCTCAAATATAATCATGTACGGATACATCAGGTATCCATATACATTGTGGAATTTGAAAGGAAAGTAAAACTCTATCTTGTTCTTCATTATCTCTCCCAACAATTTGCCAATGTATCTGTAATTCCCAGCATCATGGAAGGTGGTATTTCCCAAAATGGGTTCTGTGGGCTCCTAAGAGGTCTTCTGTGTTCAAATACTTCAGGAAATCTGGAGCTAAATAGAGTTAGATTCCTTTTTTTAAGTATCCTATGTGGGACTCCTTTGATATACTAATATACATGTGAATTTAAATCAGGTGATTAAGATATAGAGCACTTCTCAAATTTAGACATAGACACCATCCTTCTCCATTTTATTTCTAAGTATATGAAAAAACTAACAGTATTAGTGCCTCATAGTAGCAGGGACAAAACAAATGTTGCTCTTTCAAAACAAGAGTTTTGTTTCAAAAGATGCACTTATGAAAAGTGCTTAAGGCATTGTGCCTCTGGAAACCAACAAAAATGTTAACCTATTAGCCTCTGGAAACCAATAAAAATATTTACCCATTAACCTATTGTACATAGACCCATAAGCTTTCACTAACAAGCCATGGCAGGAAATAACTATTTTCTGCAAAGAAATTTTGCCTAAGTGGATACTGGACTGCTTAAGAATCAGGAGATCTATGGGCCAGGCACGGTGGCTCACGCCTGTAATCCCAGCACTTTGGGAGGCTGAGGCAGGCGGATCACGAGGTCAGGAGATCGAGACCATCCTGGCTAACACAGTGAAACCCCGTCTCTACTAAAAATACAAAAAATTAGCTGGGCATGGTGGCGGGCACCTGTAGTCTCAGCTACTCGGGAGGCTGAGGCAGGAGAATGGTGTGAACCTGGGAGGTGGAGCTTGCAGTGAGCCGAGATCGAGCCACTGCACTCCAGCCTAGGAGAAAGAGCAAGACTCCGTCTCAAAAAACAAACAAACAAACAAAAAAATGAATCAGTAGATCTAGTCTGTCATCTGAGTTCTGCCCCTTAAGAGGTTGGGTGAACATGTTCAAGATATTTTTCCCTCTACAAACTTTAGTTTCCTCTTCAATAAAATGAATACAGCAAAAACCCTCATGTGAATATTGTGACTAAATAACAATAACAATAATAAAACTATAGAAAGAGCAACATTTGTTTTGTCCCTGCTATTATGAGGCACTAATACTGTTAGTTTTTTCAGACAGCATGTTTTAAATTTTTGCAGCAATCATGAGCAGGCTATTGTCCTCATTTTCCAGGTGAGCAGACTGCAACTCAGAATTGTTATATAGGTTTCTCCAGATTACACACGTCTAGTAGAAGGAGAAACCTAACTCAAATCCAGTTCACACGATGCCTTTACCTATGGTTCACTAACTTCAAATTCCAAATGCAACTATTGCTATGATCAATAATAATAATGAGGAAAGCAAACTTTTTTTTGATAGTCTCTATGTGCCAGGCATTATTCTATTTGTATTATTTAGTCATCACAATAATTGTATTTATGGAAATTTTTTTGTAAATTTTATATGCTATTTAATTCCAGCTTTTATTATTTATTATTTAAATAAATAACTAATACAAGTATTTAAATTAATTATTATTTCTAATTTAAATAATTAAATAATAAAATTCAATTAAAATTTTTTTTTTGGAGACAGGGCCTCATTCTGTCACCCAGGTTGGAGTGCAGTGGTGTGATCTCAGCTCACCACAATCTCCGCTTCCTGAGCTCAACCAGTCCTCCCACTTCAGCCTTCTTAGTAGCTGAGACTACAGGTGCCTGCCACCATGCCTAGCTATTTTTTTTTTAAATAGAGATGGCGTTTTACCATGTTGCCCAGGCTGGTCTCAAACTCATGAAATAAAGTGATTCATCTGCCTTGGCCTCCCAAAATGCTGGGATTACAGGCATAAGCCACCAAGCCCAGCCTTTTTCCGAAATTTTAATTTAAACAATGCTTTATAATATTAAAGCTAAATGGGATGTTAGAGGTTATTTAATCTTCTTCTTATTCTTAAGACTATCGTTTAATTTTCTAAACCACTATGGGCATGCTGCTTGGACTGGATTGTTTATAATTCTAGACTTTACCTTGGTCAAATTGTTTAGAAAGCATAGCTCCTAATGACATTTATTTTATTTGTTTATTTTTTAAGTTTGAAGTTGTTTAATTAGAAGAGCACAAGGCATAATGAACTTATAGCCCCAAATTCCTTTTAAATAATCTTGTGGTCAAATAGCAAGTCATCTGATGGTGTATGTGGAAAAATTGTATTTCTACTCTTCACTGATTTTTTAAAAATTTATTTCAATAGCTTTTGGGGTACAAGTGGTTTTTTGTTACACGGATGAATTATATAGTGGTGAATTCTGAGATTTTAGTGCACCTGTCTCCTGACTAGTGTACGTTGTACTTAATGTGTAGTTTTTTATCTCCAGCCCCACTTCCACCGTCTTTCATCTGAATCTCTAAAGTCCATTATATCACTCTGTATACCTTTGTATAACTCATAGCTTAGCCTCCACTCATAATTGAAAACATACGGTTTTTGGTTCTGGACTCCTGTTTACTTCACTTAGAATAATGGCCTCCAGCTCTATCCAAGTTGCTGCAAAATACATATTTTGTTCCTTTTTATAGCTGAGCAGTATTTCATGGTGTATATATATATATATATATATGTATATATATATATATATGTATATATATACATACATATATATATATATATATATGTATATATATATATATATATATATATATATATATATATATATACACACCACACTTTCTTTATCCACTCATTAGTCAGTGGTGCTTAGTTTGGTTTCACATCTTTTTTTTTTTTTTTTTTTGAAACTAAGTTTCACTCTTGTTGCCCAGGCTGGAGGGCAATGGTGCGATCTCGGCTCACCACAACCTCTGCGTCCCGGGTTCAAGCGATTCTTCTGACTCAGCCTCCCGAGTAGCTGGGATTACAGGCATGTGCCACCATGCCCGGATAATTTTTGTATTTTTAGTAGAGATGGGGTTTCTCCATGTTGGTAAGGCTGGTCTTGAACTCCTGACCTCAGGTAATCCACCTGCCTCAGCCTCCCAAAATGCTGGGATTACAGGCGTGAGCCACTGCACCCAGCCTGGTTTCACATCTTTGCAATTGTGAATTGTGCTGCTATAAATACGTATGTGCAAGTGTCTTTTTAATATAATGTCTTCTTTTCCTTCGGGAAGATGCCCAGTAGTGGAATTGCTGGATAGAATGGTAGATCTAATTTAGCTCTTTACGGAATCTCCATGCTGTTTTCCATAGAGGTTATACTAATTCACATTTCCATCAGCAGTGTATAAGCGTTCCCTTTTCCCTACATCCACACCAACATCTATTGTTTCTTGACATTTTCGTAATGGCTATTAATGGCATTTATTTTAAAAGACACATAGAGCAGCAAACAATTACCAGATATTACCAAAAACGCTGGAAAATAAGTTTTAACTTGAAATAAGACAGGCACCTTTTTTGTGTGTATTTACCAAGGAGTAAATATAACAGGGGCTCGTTGTTCTCAAAGACTGGTCTTTGGTAGCAAACACTCAGTTAGAAAACTTGTAGATGAGTTTATGACACAATAAAAAGGACAGGCCTTTTTAGGTGTCAGGAAAATTGAATCTGAAGTCATACTCTGCCATTGGCTTATTCTGTGGCTTTGTCTTTAATAAAACAGTTATTAATTCATGCCATACATATTTATTGAGCAACTACTAAGTGTGAGGCCCTATACTACACAGTGATGTAAAAGATGAGCAAACATTGAAATAGCCACTTGACCTTGGGGAACTGGCCTTATAAGGTTAATCTGTGACACATAGCACCCATAGATAATGTGTCTGGCACATGGCAGAAGTTCAATACACTGTATTTTCTTTTCCATTTCTCAGGACAGAAACTTCACTTTTCTTATTGCCAATTTCTTCATCTAAAAAATAAAAATGACAAGTTTCAGGACTGGCATCATGGAGAGGATGATTTTCAAGATTTCTCCTGGTTCCAAATTTCATGTTAATTCCAGGATAATAATTGGGAACAGATGCAATATTTATGGTGTTTGTGGTGGGTGTAGTTCTGCAATAAGAGGACAAGAAGTTGCTTTTTCTGTTTAATTTGTACTTCACTGTTCTATTTTAATACCATGAATTAAAAATCCATGCAATATGCAATCCAGTTTACTGGCTTACCTTGTGAAGAATCCAGTTTGAGACTTGCATACAAAGTGAAGTTTCACTGAAAACATTCCATGAACCAAATCCACCTCCCGCTCTTGTCTCTTGCAGGTGTCCCAGACTCAAGCTGCGCTCAGCCTTCATCACAGGTAAGATATGAATTTCATTTTCTGTCCAGAAGCAAACTTATTTAAAAAGCATCTCATTTCTTTGTGATGAGCTTTTGTATATAAACCCTAACAATTTTTCCATGTCAGGCCACAGTAGGAATGCAATTCAAGGTTGGTATGAAAAATACATCTCTTTGCCTTGAGTATAATTAGAATTCAAGTGTTGTGATCTGAGTCAAGGCAAAAAGGAGCTACTGATTATCGCAGTATTATATACCATTTTAAATAACTTGGTTTTAAGTGGTTGAATTTTTTAATTTCTTATGTGGCCTGACATATTTAAACGGACTGGTTATCTATCATTTCTCAGGGAAAATTTTCTGCCTGAAAAGTTTAGGAGTGAGTTTAAATTCTGGTGACAGAATTTTCTCCTTAGCTAGTCATTCAAACTCTGTAATTGGAGAGATCTTTTTGAGATTTTGGTCAATGGATACTGCTTTCATCAGTTTCTAGATCTGAAAAACTTTGCTAGTAGCTTATTTGCAATGTTGAGGCAATAATGTCATACATGTGTAAATAATAATAATAATCCCATCTCATATTAAGGTATGTAAAATTTTTAACTCAGAAAATCCCTTACAATAACCCTGTGAAATAGTCAAACATTATTATTGCCAATCTTCTGATATTTAAAAAAGTTAGAAATTAAAGAATGAGCAAAATAGAATTCAATTTTTATACTTTACAGAGCTCATGGTGCAAACTTTAAAAAGTCTACTTTAACTCCTATCGCAGTTTATAATTATTATTTAATAACGTTTATCTCCAGATTATAAGCTTCTTGAAGTCAAGATCCCTCTATATGTTTTTATATCCGTGGAGCCTAGTACATTGGTTGGCTCATTGCTGTTGTTCAAATGTATGTTAAATCTCGTCATAACACACGGGTAATTTTGACTTACTTGAATAAAGTTTGACTCAACTTGAACAGATTGAGGATTGTTATGCATATAAAATTGCTGAAAAATATGAACATAAAAGATTGAGGCAACCTTGCTGTCACATCTAGAACTCGTTTCAATAACTTGACAAGTGATTCAAGGATTTGTGGCCTTCTTTGATTAATTTATTCACTCCCTCATTAATTCATTCACTAATTTATAATATATTTATTGGGTGCCTATTATTTATCATATACATTATTAGGACTTGAATAAGCTACTTTCTGTCTTCTGCTTAGGCCTGTTTTTCTTCATTAATATCCTGGTTTATTATCTTAGCCTGTACCTGAACTTTGAATGATAAGTGAGTTTCAGAACTTCTCATGCCTCCTTATTTCTTGCTGTAAAATAGAAATTATGATTCATGCACTTGTTCTTTAGGGAGAGAGATGACTAAGGAGCAATTACTTTGAGATAAATGTTTTGATGACAGACAAGTGGAAAGCAGAATGAGTTCATGATGGATGACCTCATTTCTAAGAGAAAGAAATGATTTTTGGAGCTGAGTGATACAGATTGGCCCTCTGCTTTTGTCAAGGTCCCAAGACTGTTCCTCTTTCTTCCTCTGTCTTTTTCTTAGGAGACACCATTTAGGTTTCTTCTCCTCAGTGGGCCATAACTCTTTTTTCATTTCTTTTTTCTCTTGTTCCTAACACTTATTTACTGGTCTGTGCTACTCCAGCCTGTTCCCTGCTCTACCTAATACAAGAACACTCCAAACATAGCCATGACCTTATCCAATACCTGTTCACAGTCATTCAGTGTCTCCCATTGTCCAAACCTATTAGTCAGGCTTTCAATGCCTTCTACTTTCAGGCCACTTTTACATTAGAAAAATTATTTCCCACAACTTCCTTTGCATCTGTCTCAAATCAAACAGATCACTTATTATTCTGTGTTCTATATTCGCTTAGGAAAGGCTCCTATGTCTTTGTTCATTTTAAGCCTGTGATGACCTTTCTCTCTACCTTCTCTGAATCCAAATTCTACCCAAGCTCAAAGACTCCGTTACTATTTCAACTCTTTTCTTGAATCATTCTTGGTCTCCTAAACTAAAATAATTTTTCTCCTCTCTTTGAATGCTAAACTCCAAAGGACTTTACCTGTAATAGTCTTATAACACTTACAAATTTTGATAAAACACAATGATTCATGTAGAGTATGATAAAATTCTAATCAGTTGTACAAGATTATTTCCATTTCTATGCTAACTGTATAATGAGGTAAATGTTTTATTCCTTATTGTATTTATTATATTTACAGTTTACATTGGGGGTGGGCATTATTTTTTGAAAGAATAAATGAATGAAATATTGAGTGAATGAATGAATGAATAAGGTACCTCTAGAGGAATGTCTAAGCACTCCCATTCTGCCCCATCTTCCTTAATACCACAGTCAGTGTATAGGAGAACACTACTTTTTATAAAATGATCAGATTGTTGGCAATCTCAACTATTTAAATACAGCAAAAAATCTGAAATTAAGTGAAAAATTCCTCTGAGCAGCAAGAAAAATAGCAATCACAACTTTTTTTAAGTTGGTGCACATCCTCAAGCTAGCTGGCACTTATTTGGTTAGTATTAGGTGTTAACTTGGGTTACTGTTTTAATGAGCTTAGTTACTTAGTTTCCATAGAAACTAATGGCAATAAGAAGGGGCCATGAGGGAAAAGAAAGAATAAAAGCAAATAGTGTGACTTATCACATTAGCCTGGAGAGCATTGCTGTTGCAGTGTTACAGCTCTGAGAAGTAATTCAACAATATTTATCAAATACAGTTTATTGGAGATTTGTATTTTCACCTGATAGAAATATTTCCATCAAAAATGGCCCACAAAAGTTGTTAGTTTTTTAAGGGGGTCAACTTCAGTTATCTAGACCTGACAATTGTAAGAATACCTTACTGTAAAGCATTTTGATGTGTTCAAATGACTTTAATATAAAAACCATGAATGGTAAATATTATTTCCAGTCTAATAAAGTAAGAAGAGAGGCTCAAAGAGATTGTATAATTTGGTTAAAAAGTGATAAATTAGGCCAGGCACGGTGGCTCACGCGTGTAATCCCAGCACTTTGGGAGGCCGAGGCAGGTGGATCACCTGAGGTCAGGAGTTCAAGACCAGCTTGACCAACATGATGAAATCCCATCTCTACTAAAAATAAAATAATAAAAAAAAAATAGCCAGGGGTGGTGGGCACCTGTAATCTCAGCTACTTGGGAATCTGAGGCAGGGGAATCACTTGTACGCAGGAGGTGCAGGTTGCAGTGAGCCAAGACTGCGCCATTGCACTCCAGCCTGAGCAACAACAGCGGAACTCCATCTTAAAAAGAAATCATAAATTAGTTATGTGACTGTCAAGATTTAAATGCAGAAATTCTGTACCCCCCATTTTTTAAATTTCTTCTGTATTATAATGACACTTATATTCCATATTGCTTCTCTTAATGCTTTTGAAAAAATTGACATAATTCTCTTTTGGATCAACTCTGCAAAGTGACAGCTTGGCTGGAAACCACCTGGTGGTATGATCATTTCCAAGACCACTTAAATTTTAGGGTTACTTAAGGAAGTCGCCTGCCTTAGTCCAGAGCTGTATCCTGAAAGCTGCTGTCTTTGATGCCATGAGTTATCATTAATTTCAGATGTCTGTTTTGTGCTTTGGACATTTTCCAACTTCTAGTACATGTTTCTCTTTGCCTAAGGGCTTTTTCTAGAAAATGACTCTGCCATGGACAGTAGGCTAGAAATGCTGGGTAATTAGTGCCCTCAACCAATTACTGAAGCCAGTGAGCACATAAATATGTTAACTCCTTTCATCTTTAAGTGATACACCATCATTTCCTGGAAATTCCCTACAGAATAGCTTCAGCCACCCAGCATGGTTGCTGATTTAACTCAGCTTGTATTTACTGCCTTCCCTCCTCATATCACTTTCTGGTGTCCTTGAAGGTTATCTCTGCACTTCCTGCACAAATTTCTTGCACTCAAATCCTTGTCTAAGTCTACTTTTGAAGGAACTGACAAGAAGAAAAACATCTGGAAGAATTACTATGCTTAAAGTACATCACTTCATCTACAACTCTTAATAATAAGAAGTAATACTATAACAATAACTGATACCTTTGAGGTTTATTATGTGACAGCCACAATTTGAAGTGTTTTAAAGTTTTACCTTATTTAATTATCATAACAGCCTTATGAGATAGAAACTAGTACTGTCCCCATTTTACAGGAAAAATAGCTGAGGTTTGGAGAGAGTAAGTAGGTTAAATAAAGTCATTCAGCTTGGCAGTGATACAGTCAGGAGTTGAAACTAACCCTTCTCTTGCTGAAGCCTAGTTCTTAATCCTAAATAAATTGATTTATGCTCAGATGGACTTAAAGAAAGAATAAATAGATATAAAATATATATTTTCTTTATCCTTCTCATTCTATTACAGTAAGGTGTACTAAATTAAGAATTTTAGAAAAGAAGTAAAGTAAAATTTCAATACAATTCAAAGATAAACTGATCAGGGGCTCCTGAGAACAGGTTTGACTGGACTCTGGGCTTGGTAAAACAAGTTTAAGGAGAAGGACCCAGCTCTTTACCAGCAGGCAATGCACAGAGAGATGGCTTTCTTCTCTGAGACACCCACCTGCAGATACCTAAACTCTCTATTACCCTAAGCCCATATCTTTCAGAGACCCAAGAAGCAGCAACTACTTTTAGTGTCAGTTGGAATGTGTAAATATTTAACTAAAATGATGAAGCTTGGAAAAGCCTGGTTTCTCTGCCATTCCTTTTAGTGTAAGGGAATTGGTGATTAGAATAAATAATCATTCTGAAAATAGCTCCATCTCATTTGTTCAAACAATTAAGCCCATCAAGGAAGTTAATTTATGAGAGAAATGACATACGTGTTGGCAAATTGTTCTGTTCATCTTGAGAGCCTTCATATTTTCTCATTCCCTATTTTATGTCTTCCTTTCTGTCTCTATTATTGTTTATGCTATCACTTCTCAGTGTCTTTTGGGAACTGTTGTTTCCTACAGCTAGTTTGTTTTTTTCCATTCCCAAATTCATGCACAGATCTATTTTGTCTACTTGCTTCCAAGGACATGTTTGCTATCTCCTCTCTCCCAATTTGGTAATGACCATCTGATTTCTTCTCTTCTGGCTTTGGTCTGCCACAGTCATTTTTTATAAAACATCCCTCATACATCTTGCATTCTGGTGTTGATAGGGCATAATTGGATAGATTCAGGTAAGTAAAACGGAAGCAAAGGACTCTGACACATGTAAAGAAAAGAAAATAATTGCTATTTTAAAAGCCAACTGTACTTTAAACTGCTGGGGTACGTGGAAAAAGAATTCTTTTTAGAAAGATATTTTCTCCTTTGCTTATGACAAACCCTTCTCTGGGCTTGTTTGATATGAAAACCAAAGTCTCCTATCTCTTGTCCTGTTCCCCACTGCCTTGATATATATGGCAGAAACTTAGATGGAAGCAGCACCTTTGAGCCTGGTAAGAGGTAGACAGGGATCTGGGGAATCCTGAGATTTGGAGAAGATGGAGGAACAAGATTACAGTAGGAAAAAAGGTGTAGGAAGACAGCAGTGAGTTGGAGCTGAAGGCAAGAAATTCGGGGAGATAATCCTGGAAGAAATTATGCAGAGAGCTTATAGAGAGTAAAATCCAAGGTTCAGTATATATATTTTTACCTCTTCTGCACTCTGCTGAAACTCTTTTCTGTAATCACTAAGCATCAATAGAAAACATGCTACATGCTGCCTTACATTGACGGTGTTTAGAGGACTAAAGAAAACGGGACAATGTCTAGTGTGGGGACCAAGAGATGAAAAAACAAAAACGTAGCCACAGGATGCATGCAGGTAAATGGGGTGATAGAAATCTAGTGAGAACAAAACTTCAGAGTTCAAGGTGGGCTGGTGAACTTGTGTCCCCTACCAAACACATGCCCTGCATAATCAATTCTTCACATTTAGGCAATAAAATTTAAAAACACAAACCTGATCAAGTCATCTCTTACTTATAGCCCTTGTGAGGGTTTCATGAAAAACTCCTTACAATGATATACATGTCCCTTTATGCTCTTACTCATCTCTACAACCTCATCTTGCTACAGACTTAGCCTCAGCATTTGTCCTTCATCTACACTGGCATCTGTTCATTCCTTCCAATATGCCACATTCCCCTTGCCACAGGACCATTGCACATGCTGCTCCATCTGCCTGAAACGTGTTCTCTACCCTCTGTGAAAAGTTGGCTTTTTATCTCAACTCAAGCATCCCTTCTTCAACGAAGCTTTCCTTGCCCTCCCTGACCAGCCAGTCTCTCAAAGAGCCCTGTGCACCTCTTCTTTAGTACATCTGTAGCAATTGCCATTGCTCAATGGTTTGTGTGGTCACTTGATTAATTTCTATCTCCTCCACTAATCACACAGCTCCATTCAATGGTTACATTAGGCCTGCATGAAAGTTTTATCCCAGGGCTTTGTTCAGTGCTAATCATATCATAGGCACTCAGTAAACATTTGCTGGAGAAAGGAGGAAGGGAAAGAAACAAGCAAGGAGGAAGGGAATGGAGAAAGAAGGAAGGGAGAAAGGAATAGAGGGAGATAATAAATAAATGCATTCATTAAAGGCCTCAACAGTCTTCTCTAAAAATATGCATTAGTGAACTTATAGTTTATTGTCTGGTTCTACTATAAAGACAAGCATTTGGAAGAGTGGATTTTTTTTTGTGGTTTTCAGAATGGACTAAGAGTTCTATTTCAAATGCTATAAAACCACTGAGGGAAAAGGAAGAACTTGTTAAAATTGGTAGTTAAGGAAATTCCTTACCTATTTAGTTAAGCTTTATTCTGTGATAATGATAATGAAGATGATGGTGATGAAGATGAGTATATAAAATTTCTTTTGATTACCCTTCCTAAACTCTTTTATGTGTATGTATATATTTTCTGTGTGTATCTGTGTATATGAAGAAAGGAGAACTTTTCCACTAGCCATAATCATTTAGCACCAACCTAAAAACCTTGTGAAGAAGAAGAAATTCTCGGTCAATCTGACAGTTGTTTCTGCTTAGCAAAGAGAATGATTTGTCAAGAACAAGGACCATACATGAATAATGATCTAATAATTTTACTTTCTTTTCCAAGTTGCATTTTGGCAAAACAAGCTCTTCCTCTAGGGTGTTAGTTGGCTGTTATTAAAGTATTTTATCCCCAGGTACTACCCTATGGCATTGGAGTTTGAATTAGGACTGTTTGCCAGGTTAGAATTCCTAACCTGACTTTACCACTTAGCAGCTATGTGACCCAAGCTATTTAACCTGTTTGAAACTCAGTTCTCCAGTCTTTAAAATGAATATAATAAGTTCATGTCAGGGGGCTGTGATGAGTGCTATGTGAAATGATATATAGAAAACCAGGTGCAGAGTGGATGCTTAAAAGTTGCTCCCTTTTTCCTGTCTGAATTCTATTTTCTGAACATGTTTTCTTCCTTCATAGCTTCTGCAAGAAGTGAGTTGGTTCTTTAATTATTATTCCACGGTGCAGGTGAGTTGCCTTTTGTACCATGAAAGGGAAAAAATAACGTTAGTAGTCTTTCTTAATTGACCCTCCTGAGACAGATCAAATGCCAGCTTCAAATAGGAGCAGCTTCAAATACAAGGGGCTGAAGTTAGATATTAAATTCTTATGAATACAGAGAAAGGAGAATTCTCTGTGACCCAAGGCAACTTTTGGTGAGCGGTGTAATGCAGCATCTCTGAAAATAACTGCATCATTTTGGTTCCTGTCTAGCTAAGAAAAAGGGAACACAGAGCTTCTCTGACTTCTCCCTCCCTCCAGTCATACCTTCTTCCTCTCCTTTCTGGAAGCTGCCAGAGAGGGCTCCCTAGTACTGGTCAGAATATGTAGAGAAACTGTCTTTCTTCTTTTCCTGCTTTCACTCTTCCTCCAAGATTATTCCCGCAGAGACCTCTCAGAGAGACTCTTCTCTTATTTGCCAAGCTGTGTCTAACCCGTATGAAATAGTTTAATGCCACTTTGTGGCCCATTTCATTTATGTTTCTCCTCTCATTCAGAAGCACCATAATTCTCCAAATTGAATTTTAAATGAGACCCTGTTCATTGACCACAGGGACAGTCAATATATGCATAAACTGAATCAAACCACTTTTCTCAAGTAATTTGTCTTCACTCTAGCCTGCAATTGTCTTTTAAAGCTGGGTAACAGTCTTAATTCAGACTTCAACTTGATAGTGCCTGGGGATTAAATAACTTAATGGTCAACCAGAGAAGTTTATTTTGTAAAAGTAAAATGAGGAATGGAGATGGAGTCATTATATTATTGTCCACTAGTGGTCAGGAGAGGAGTTGCTTGGGTCAGTTCTGGATGGCATGGGCAACTTCTTGAAGGTTAGACATGAGATCTCTGCAAAAAACTTGCATATTTCATTCTCTGCTCTAAGAACCTGTTGAGTTAGTGAACATTATTACCCCTATCTATTTTATAGATGAACTCTGAACAGAGGTCAGAGAGATTAAATAATGTGATATTATTTATAGTTATTAAGTGATAGAGACACAATTTTAATAAGAGCTGTCTTTCCCTAGAGCCCAAGATTCTATCTGACCATTATATTATACTGTGAGGTAGCATTTCTTAAAAGTATTCATTTGTGGAGACTTAAATAAAATGATAGCTAACAGTACCAGGTGATTTGGGATAAATATAAAACAGGCAGAGCAATTCATAAACCCTGAGGGTATCTCTGATGAGGCTCCGTTCAGATGACAACCTACGGCACCAGACTCTGGGGCCTTGTCTAAAGGTCACTAGGATAATTAAAGTCTGTCTCCGATTTCGATTTGCCATACCAGTGAAGGCTGATTAAACTGCAAATCAAATAAAAACCTTAGAGCCCACTCATACTTTTGTCCCAACATCAAAAGTGTTCTTTTCACTCTATTTACCAAAAGAGTTCCTTAACACGGAAGCTTCCAGAACTTGTCTTATAGAAGTTTCTGGTCATCAGGGAAGACTTTAAGATGGCATATTTGGAACGTCATAAAAAGTCTTCAGTTGTTTCTCCTTCTACTTTCAAAATTTCATTCATTCATGCATTTAACATCTCTTTATTGATTGATTACTATATATAGACACCATATATGCAGCCCTCCTCACTTGGCCTGATCATTATTCTGGTCACCATCTATTCTGTAGTAGACCCTAATACCTCTCTAAAATTGGCCAGGACATCTGCCACTAACTCCTTCCACATTTTGCAGAAAAGTAGATACTATAATTCAAAGATAGACCAGTTACTGAAGTTTCTTAGTGCACACATCTTTAAAATAGAGGCAGATACAAAGAAGTAGCTTGGACTTGATAGAATATCAGATGTCTTCTATTTCTAAGGTTCTTTAATTCAACAGCTCTGGTTTTAGCTACACTCAGCAAAGTTATCTCATGATTTCATTCAGGTTTGAGAGCCTTAGGGTTTTCATTTGTAAAATAAACAGCCTGGATACATTTTTTTTCCAGTACTATGATTTATCCAAGCTCCTGCTCTACTTTGCCCCAAAGTACCTCCATGAGGTAGCTGCATCTCCCAAATCCCCACTGATTTTGAGAAAGGCACACTTTTTCTCATTGGAGGATGCAGTAGCTTAGGAGAATTAGGAGTCTGGGATAAGCATTTGACCTGCCTCTCTTTTCCTTCATGGGAGGCAGTGCTGGGTGGATGGGGAGGCAGGAGACAAGGTGGTGAGGAGCATGAGTCCCAGCTGCAGACCATTCTGGACTGAATCATGACATCTTTCTTGATGTATGACCTGAGGCAAGTTATTTAACCTCAGTTTCTTCATCAGAAAATGAAGCTAATAGTAAGCTTTACATGAGATGAGGACAACTAGAGGCAACAACACTTGGAATAGAGCCCAGATCATAGGGAGCAGACAATAGACAACAGCTAATAGCTCTTTCTGTTTTGAGACGGAGTCTCACTCTGTTACCAGGCTGGAGTCCTGTGGTGTGATCTCTGCTCACTATTACCTCCGCCTCCTGGGTTCAAGTGATTCTCCTGCCTCAGCCTCCTGAATAGCTGGGACTACAGGCACGTGCCACCAAGCCCAGCTAATTTTTGTATTTTTAGTAGAGACGGGGTTTCACCATGTTGCCCAGGATTGTCTTGATCTCTTGACTTCGTGATCCACCTGCCTTGGCCTCCCAAAGTGCTGGGATTACAGGCATGAACCACCACTCCCGGCCAGCTCTTTGTCAATCAAGCAAGCAGTCAGTCAACTACTGTCTCCATGTTTGGGAACCTGTGAATCTAAGGAAGAACCTACAGTTAGGGCTTCACTGGGGATGCTGGGTCCAAGCAGAGGCAGCTGGAGGGCTTGTGGAGGGGATTAAGACAGGGCTTAGGCTGTGGCTTCTGCTTCAAGCCAGTGGGAAGAATAAGAGTATATGACCCTGTTTCCAGAATAGAAAGATAATTCTTTTGTCTCCCTTTCTGTATTTATTCAAGCAATTCAACATATTGCTTCCCTTTTTGTTCCCATTCTCTTCCTCCTCCCTCATGCTTCTGTCTTTTAATTCCTCCTTCCCATCCTTTCTTCTTTTTTCTCTCCTGTAGTAAATTTGATGTAAATTCTAGCCTTGGAGTAAGAAAACACCTGGGCATGGTGGAGGAGGTGAAGGGTATATGGGAGTTAAATGCTAGGCAGAGGCAGAGTCTATTTTGGCCTTCTTTCCTTTTGACCTCAAGCCGTGCATCTCTCATTGCTGGGAAAAGGCCAAATAGGCTTGTGACTTATTGATCAAGAATGGAAGAAAGATCATGTTGGCAGGAGGTGGGCTGCACTGCATCCAAATGAGCAGGGCCTCACTATGGAAGGCCTGAAAGGAAAACTTAAGTTATTCCAATGGAAGCTGCAGGGGAGGCTCGAGCTCTAGAACTGAGAAGAGGGAGAACCACTCTGTGGTCAGCCCCAGCCTGAAGGGAAGTTACAACATCCAGCTTCCTTCTGTTCCAGGTTGGTAGTGGATGGGACACCTGGCTGGGGTGGGGAAAGGAATCGTGTTATCTCAAGAGCTGAAGTGGGGAAGGCTTCAGAGAGAGCTTAGAGGCTTGCCTGTCAAGAGATGCACTGGGATTCGCAAACTTTGTCTCTGCCTGTTGCGGTTTCTAGTGAAAAAAACAAAATGTAGCTTCATCAACTAATCTCCAACCTTGCTCCCAATCAATATCCAGGTTCAGACAGACATTAAAATAAGCACTTCCATTGTGTATTGAGAGCAGCTATTTAATAGAATAGCTGTGCCCGATGACAGGGACAGAAATAGGGAGAAAGCTATGATTACTAGGCAGTGTGAGCATCTTGTGTTAATCTGTTCCCATTTCATCCTCCTGCATGTTATCTCTTTGATTCTCAAAACAACCGTGGGTTGACAGAGCATTGGCTAATAGGAAGACAAATATACATACACAATACATACACAAATACATAGTCACAATATGACAAAACTATACCCCACGGGAAACAGACTTTACAGTTCCATAGATGTCAGAAGTGACCTTAGGCATCCTCCACAATTTCTCAGTCAAAGCAGGATGTTTTCTGCAATAACCTGGGTGAGTGAGCATCCCACCCTTTCCTAAATGTCCCTATTAACAAGAATCCCACTGGGATTTTTTTGTGTGTGTGTGTGTGGTGGTTGTTGCAGCCCATTTTATTGTCAGTAGCTCTAGAGAAGTCAACCATACCACTGGGTTCCTGCTTTTCAATATTTCCAGGCAAAGTGGTGATGGGAGAAATCAACCATTTATCCTTTTATCATTACTAATCCCATTTAGTTTAGATCTTGAGTGTCTAATTCCAACAGCCATGTTTCTCCTGAATCCCTCCCTCAACTTTCTTACTTTTCTGCAATGTCACCACTGTCACCACCATTGACTCCAGCTTCAGATTGGTGGGACTTGTTCCAGAAGAATGGCTGTACCTTGAGTATTGCTGCTGTCTTCCTTAGAGCTACCATTCTGCTGAATGACACAATTATTTCTGTGACAGTTAATGGTGTTTTTCCTCCATAATCATTCTTTACTCCACAAAAGATACCTTGTTTTTCTGCTTTATAACTTTCTATAGGAATTTATTCTGTGTTTCCAGGGAAGGGATTGGAGGTATTCTGGTGAGGTGAGGGGTAACATCTTAGGTTGGATACTCAGATTTTGTTACCTATACCACAACTGTGTATCAGGACAAGGCACATTGTTCTTAGTGTGTCCACCCTCCTGGGCTGGCTTTGCCTTCTCAGAGCTCCTTAATTCACTTGTAGGAGTTGAATGAGTCTTCATCTCTTCTTTAGCCAAAGATCTTTTAGTTCATAGTGCCAAGTATGTTCATCCATTTTTGGTCCCTTTAAATGGTCTTACTCTATACAAACAGAAGAGAAGAAAGAAAAAGCTGAGAAAGTTAGCCCACCAGAGTAATTGTTCGGATTTCCCCATTCTAACATTGAGCTCCTCCCAACTCCTCAACCCTCTCCTGGTTCTCTTGCCTAGAAGATACTTTGGGTGTTTTTCTTTAACACTGTCTTTCAGATAAAATCCTGAGAATGACCTACCTAACTTTATACCAGAGAAAAGTAGAAGACAAACTCTCTTCCTTTAGCCCTGTCTTTGAGGATTCTGGTGATCCAGTCAGACCCTCCTGCCTTTCTCCTAGGAAAAAACAAAAACAACCCTCCTCCCCCAACCAAAAAAAAATGGGCTCAGAACCTGAGCTTTAACTCCAGAGTTCCCTTTGCTCTTTCTCCACTGGTCAATCAAAACATGAATTAGGCTCAAAGTAGACTTTCTTCACGGACATAAAGGCAAAGCCTATCCCCAGTAATATCATTGGTCTTGCTTCTGCCTCATGGAACAACACAAACATGCCACCTCTCAGGTATTAAGGCATTGGGCAAAAAAGAAGAGTTAGGGAAAATTCAGCCATGCCTAAGGCGATTCTTGTTTGCCATAATGAGTTACTCAATAGCATTTCGTTATACACTGTAGTCCCCTATTGGAATTTAAAGTTGATATGAAGAACACTGAATGGTTTTGTATTCAGAAAAAGGTTTACTTCCATTGCACTGACAGCAGGCTCATCTCTAGCAGAGACATTTATGGCTGACTGAATTTCCACACGTTAGTCTCAGTTCCCTTACTCCGCATTGTTTTTTGACTTTCTTTGTAATGAGGAGAGGTCAAGTGACTCTGGGCAAGGGCTGTAAATCTGAGTAATGCATATCACCTCTGGACCAAAGCATGTAAGAGTCTGTATGGAAACTGCCTGGATCCTGAGTCACTGCCGCAGCCAGCTTCCCCAGAGTCACTCAACTTGCTGGAAGCAGACTTTACAAGCACAAGAAGCAAGTATTTGTTTTATCATATCACTGAGATTTCAGGCCTATTTTGTTGGCACAACCAAGCCTAGTCACCATGACTAGTATGGCATCTTTGTAATAGTCCTTTAAAAATGTCCATTTGTCTTGTGTAATTGTAATTATGTTCTCTGGAGCCCGACAGCATGCTTCCTAAGAAGGAATGTCAAACCCATCAAAAGTCTTCTCTTTAAAAGCAAAGAACAAGGGGATGTTCTTCAGGGATAGTAGAACTACTGAGTACTCAGGGGCCTGAATCTAGAAGCCTCCTTTTCTCCCACTGTCCTTGCCATATACTCTGGTTCATCTCAGAGCTGCTGCAGCAAAAGGCAAGCTTAGGAGAGAAACAGCATATCCTTAATTCCTGGGCATGCTGAGCCAAGGCTGCTGAAAGTAATGAGAATGCTATATGCTTGATATGGGATCTGGGATTTAAAATCTAACCGACACATATTCTCTGTGGAGACTTCGTGGCTGCAGCCAGTCTTCAGGTTTCAAGCCCTATTTTGCTGCCCATCAGAAACTGCTCTTGCGTGAGAGCTAGACAAGTACTGAATTTTCTACTCAGTTGCTGTCAGTAGTATCTGATAGGTATCTTCCCCCCTCTCTCCTCTCCTCAGGAAGATTTATCAGGCTGTCTTTCTAGTGCTGCCATTAACTAGTTTTTTAGCCTCCCTAGAGAGGGAAAGAAAACCAATGTTTATTTAGCATCTAACACAGGCCACAAAATGTGCTAGTCACTTTTTTTTTTTAAATATGCCCTCTCATTCCTAATAGGCAGTATAGTGACAGCCAGGTAATACAGATTAAAAGGAACAAAGGACTTTGGAGTCTCAGAAATGTTGGTTCAGAACCCCAGGTCTGTATTAGTGGTATGACCCAGAGCTAATCTCACTGAACCTATTGCCATAACTCTCCAAGGAGCTAATCCTACCTCAAACACCACTATTGTGAGAATGAGGTACTTGGTGAAATTGTGTGGTGCTGTCCCTGGCATGTACTAGGGACTCAATAGCAAGCTCCTTAACAAGCCTATGAAAAAGATCTTGCTTCCATTTTACAGAGGAATTATGGCTCATAGACAGTAAATAACTTAGCCTAAATCATGTCATGGGAGAACTGGATGCCAAATTCAGGTCTATCTGATTCTGATTTCAATGCTGCTATGATGGCAGAGTTAAATAGTTATGACAGAGATGCTATAGCTACATATTCAAAATATTTACTGTCTAGCCCTTTAAAGAACTAGTTAGCCATATCCAGAATTGACAGAGTATAGAATCTTTGCATATTAAATAATTCTCATGCATAGAAGACATTCTTCAAGGACTCTACACTAGTTAAACAATGTTTGTGGCAGAGAAAAAAAATTTCATATTTTAATGTGCTTTATATATAAAGAAGGTAAAACATAAGACAATTCAACACGTTGAAATTAATAAACATACAGTTCAACTCCCTAACACATCTGGTTAAGCTATAGAAAGCGAGAGAAAACTTTATTTTATAGATTGATTGTTTTTCCTGTGGGAAAGTGATAACAGGAATGTTACCAGACAGCTTCATGAGCTGTGATCCAGAGGGAATAGTTCCCCATCAACCCCAGGAGGCCTGACTGTGTTTGCTTGGTCATCAAAGACTGGAATATTCTGAGAGGACACAATGTGCTTTAATATAGTGTTGAAGGAAGTGGTAAATTCTAGGACTCTCTGAATTATTTCTATGTAACCACAAACAATTTGATGTTTTACTACAAAAAGCAGGGCATTCTATTTTGATTGAATAAGAATGGTTCTTCATTCCAGGGAGTATTTTACCTCCTGTGTCTTTAATGTCTGCTTGATAAAATCACACATTAAATTATTTAAAACAGCCAAGAACCAATAAGGGACTTGCTGACCTGGCGCTTAAAGCTTAAAAATCTAATTTGCCTTTCCTTCACTGCTAGCAGATCAGACTCAGGTTGAGGGGGATGGAAACTATTGGACATTTTAGAATCATTTTGAAGAGCTGAGACTTGGTTCACTGAATCTCATCTATATCTGAATAGAATGAATTTCATTATTGATGTTATCACAATTGACATTTCCCCAGGTTTTCATCTATTCTATCCCCAGATTCATTACCTTTTTCAAATTGTTAATGTACTAATGTACTGAGTTCTGGCGATTTCCACTGTGATTTTTATCTATACAAGAATTTTCAGAAATGGTGAAGGTTAATCTATCACCAGCTGTTAGGCTAGCCTGGAAGGACAAGCTGGGAGACTTGCTAGAGTATTTGTGCCTTCTTTAAAGATGCCATGCTGTCCTAAAACAATCACATGCATTTTACTTAAAGAAAATAGTTTTATAATTATTGAAGACACTTAGACTTTTCCAAGCAAAGATGGAAGAATAGGAAGTTGGCCATTTTTTCTACAATCAAATTTGTATTCAATGTTTAAAATAAACTTCACCTTTTAATTGTACAGAGAAGTGTGCTGATTATTTGTTTTTCCTTTATTGTTAATTTTAACACCAAAACAATATTTCCTTTTCATTTTCTGTAAACATATAAATATAAGTACTTTGCTATTTTTACGTATAACTTGATGTTTCTGAAGTTGACTTCAAATATAAGTACTTTGCTATATCTAAGTATAATTTGATGTTTCTGAAATATTAAAGGAAGTTTGTTTCACCTAGATTCATTACATCAGAAGGGATAGTTCAACTAAACTCTGTCTCAGTAATGTGGATAGTCACAGTCACATGGTATATAATTAAGGCAAAAATGCTGTATAGCTATTCTGTTCCTCATAATTATTAATATGTTCAATTACCATGGAGTGCTACTAACAGCTCTTAAAATAATCAGCCTGGATTTCAGTAGAAATACTGGATAGGAAAACTGCACTATTTACAAAGTTATCAAGATAACGAGATGCTGGCTCAGGAAATATGATTTCTAAAGTAATTATTTTTACTAGTTGCATGGCCATCACATTTCTTAGCAAATTACGTTTTTTTTTCTTTTTTCTCATCGCAAATTACTTATGATCCTACATGCAGAACTCTATTCCCCTGCCCCGTGCTTCCACCAAATTAAGCACATTATAAATTCTTTGAAGCAAGTACTTTTTAAAAAAATCATTTTTGCCTTTCTGTCAGCTATTATTTACACTTTCTTTTACTATTCTTTTAGTAGTCATTCTGTCTATACTTGTGATTCTCAAAATGTGGCTCGAGATCAGCAGCATCAGCTGTATCAACTGCATCAGCATACCTAGGAACTTGTTGGGAATGCAAATTATCTGGCCCTAGTCCAGACCTATTCCTTCAGAAACTCTGGAGATGGAGCCCAGAAGTCTTTATTTTAAGCCCTGCATGTGAGTATAATGCATGCTGAAGTTTGAGAACCACTCAAACACTATACCACACTTTTTGTCCCCTCTCCTTATTTTATCCTATGTGCTCTATGTTCCTTCCTTGTTTCCTGGTAAAAACAGCATTTTTTTTTCTTGTCCCATCTCAAATGCCATCCTTGTTTTCTCCCTTATCAGAATTCCTTTAAAATAAAAAATATATATTAAAAATTACAAGACATATATCTATGAAACCTTGCTTTATAGTTGTTTGGTAACATCTATTATCTCCTCTCCAATGATACAAGTCCCAGAAGCAAGGCACTATGTCCTTATATTCTATTGGCATGTAGCCCAGTAGCTGGTGTTCAATCAATAACTGACTGCCTGCCACATCTTGTCTCTAACACATACCCTTTACCACTATAGACTTAGTTTTGCCTCTGAAACTTTTTCAATACCGATTCACCTCTTTGCAATATTTTTCACTATCTTTATGCTACGTAATTCTTATTAAGCTCCAATTCTCTCTCTCTTCTCTCAAGAACTTCCCAAAGTTTGTCTGAATTTCTACTTCTAGCTAGGAGATGAATCCACCCATCAAAAACAACAGAAAAAGATGGATAGAGTAATTAAAATACATTGTTTTAAGGCATCAGAGAAATATTAAGGCATCTGCATAGAAGGGTTACATCTCAGAGAAAGGAAAAACATTGTGCTAAGTGAATGGAACATATTACCCTGTCTTTCTGAGAGATTCACTGATGCCTAAGAGTCATGACTCAAGAAGTTGAGATGCTGAGTAGTAAGTTGCTACTAAGAAGCTAAGAAGTTCAAAACAGCTTTTTGACAGTCTCATGCGTTTGTGAATATTTTTTTAAAAATGAAGCTCAGGGCTGCCTAAGCAGCTCATACCTGATGAATCAAGATACAGGACAAAAAGCAAGCACAGAAAAGTGAAGTCGACATCCCAGACTTCTCTCATCTTCATCACATTTGCCAACCATAAGCAACATGGACTTACATATGAAGAAGTCAAGTTAAAGGGGGGTAATTAAGTAGTTAAGCAGATAATTGGAATTTTTGGCAGTCTTACAGGCTATAAACCTAAATGTTGGAGTTTTATTGACTAAGAAGAGGGACCCCGATAACCCAAGCTTTCAGCTGGGGTCCCTGAAAGATTACATCATAGGAGTAAAAGTAAACCAGAGATAGATTAGAACTTACAAAAAAAAAAAAAAAAAAAGACATTCAACTTTGAAATATTTTATACTCTTGGATTAAGGTGACTTATTCTTTGACTTTTAGACATGAAGACTCATCTAGAACTTCTAGAACTACCTTATTTAAAATAAGTGCATTAAAAATTACAAAGCTAACCAAAAGACACAAAAAGATAATACTAATAGAAAAAAAAAGTAAGAGAAATAGTGTCCTTAAAAATAGTTATGATTAATATGTCTAAGAAAGCAGATGGCAAGATGGAGGATGTCACAAGTGAATAGAAATCTTTTTTTTATTTTCCGTTTTGAGACAGGGTCTCATTCTGTCAGCCAGGCTGGAGTGCAGTGGCGTGATCTTGGGTCACTGCAGCCTCCACCTCCATGGCTCAAGGGATTCTCCCAACTCAGCCTCCTGAGTAGCTGGGATTACAGGCATGCACCACCACACCTGGCTAATTTTTACATATTTTATAGAAATGAGGTTTCGCCATATTGCACAGGCTGGTGTTGAACTCCTGGGCTCAGGTGATCTGCCTGCCTTGACCTCCCGAAGAGTGATTACAGGAGTGAGCCACCATGCCTGATCAATAAATATTTTAAATACTAAATAAACATTTGAGACCAAAATATGACATAACTAAAATTAAGAAGGTAAAGATTCTTGAAATACCAGATTTGACAAACCAAAGAGAAGATTAGTTACCTGTAATACAGATTAATAGAACAGAGAAAAAAAATTGATCTGAAACAGAGAAAAAAATTGATCGGAAACACAGAGAAAAAACAAAATACACAAAAGAGCATTAGTGGCATTTAGCATATAGTGAAAAGGCCTAATCTACATGACATTAAAGTACCAGAGGAAAGGAGAAAATGAAGTGAAAATAATATTTGCAAAATGAAGAAAGATAATTTCCCAAAAATAATAAAAAAGAACCTTTAACTCAAAAACTAAAGAAGTTCTATAAACCTCAGTCGGGGTAAAGCTATGGAAAACAAAGACAGTGATAAAATCTTAAAGCAGCCAGAGGAAAAGTTATCTTGCTACCAAAGGAGTAACCATAAGAATTATAGCTTATTAGTCAACAGAAATGACGAATGCTGGAAGAAAATAAAAAGGCATTTCTAAAATCCTAAAATAAACTAACTATAAGAGCAGAATTTGATGCCATGCAGGATAGTATTTTGAAAATTAAGAATAAATAAAGCTGTTTCCAGATAAAAATAAATAAATCTTACAGAAATAATTGAAAACAGATCTACACTTTAATACTGACATGGTCTTCGAGGAGGAGGAGGTAATTCCAAAGGGAAAAACAGAAATGCAGAAAGGAATCAGAAGTAGCATAGTGGGAGGTTGAATCCCCCTACTACTAAGGTGGGTTTCAGTTTGGTTGTTACTGTGGTTGCTCTCAGTGCACCACATTCCTCAAATTCCTCCAGGCATCCTCTCCGTGGGGGATGGGTTGGTAGAAGGTAATTCTCAAAGTTTCTGTTACACTGCGATTGGCCAAGACTTAGCTATAATTACAGGCGCATACTCTTAAGTTGGGTTTTCAGTCTTGTTTTCCTGTTAAGCTAGGTTGCAGTTAGTCCACAAGGACTCAAATATAGAAGTCCTTCTCAGGCCATATTCAGTTTGCTTGTTTCTGTTATACTGCAATTGGCCAAGACTCAGCTATAATTACAGGCACATACTCCTAAATTGGGTTTTCAATCTTGTTTACCTGTTAAGCTAGGTTGCAGTTAGTCCACAAGGACTCAAATATAGAAATCCTTCTCAGGCCATATTTATTTGCTTTAACAGTGGGAAAATTCTGTCGTTACGGCTCAGCCTCAGTCTTAGTGCCCCTGAGTTTGTGGGGTGAAGCTTTCTCAGTAATCTTGTACTTGTCCCGGGGTTAGAGTTTTGCTGTTCTTCATTTCTCCAACCACAGTTGATCTTCACTAGTGTTCACATTTGGCCTCCAATAATTTGATAAATGTTTCAGCTGCATTCTTTTCATCCACTTTCAAGGCGATTATATCTTGGTCTGTGCTATGTGTGCCCTAGGTAATCAAGTACTCATGTTTGTTACTTCTGGGAGGCACCTATCTTTTCTCAGGTGTTAAGCTTGTTGGTTGCTCTGTTGTATGTTGTTATATATTATTATTATGACACTAATATCACTGCAAAAGGGAAAATACAATTAAGGAAATTAAGGCATTTTAAGATCCCTATAATGTCCAGAAATCAGTATATCCATGCTTCTGCTACTATATGTCTAGATAAAATAAGCAGTAAAATACATTGATCAGTATTCTGTCCAAAGGAAAAATATCCTTTCACTACTGTATTTTTAGAGACACTTATGCTTGGGTTGTAGGACTCTACTAGATGAATTGAATTTCAGTTGGCACTGGCATATAATGCAAAATTATCTGTAGAGTATACCTGAGGTTTTTCTCTTTAACTGGCGGTAAGCAACTCTTCATGATACTATGAGAATAAATTAGTGGAGCTAAGACAGTGCAACAGGGATAGATTTCTAGTAGCATGAGTCTCTTAGTCATTAACATTACTTGCGTTTTCTGTGTCTACCTGAGCTCCACACATTTCTACCTGAGCTTCCATACATTTTACATACAATTCTTATGTGATGATTTCTAATGCTGTGCATGCCCAGCCTTAGAGGTTTGGCAGGTAAGAAAACACTCAGGTAATTGTGGGTATGGAGGGTGATGTAGTTTGGATGTGTGTCCCCACCCAAATCTCATATTGAAATCTAATTCCCAGTGTTGAAGGTGGGGCCTAGTGGGAGGTGATTGGATTATAGTGGTAGATTTCTCATGAATGGTTTATTACCATCCCCCTTGGTACTATCTTCACAATACTTAATGAAATTTTTCTGTGTGTACCTGTGTGTGTGAGTTCTGGTCATTTAAAAGTCCATAGCACCTTCTCCCTCTCTTGCTTGCTCCTGCTCTGGCCATGTAACATACCTGCTCCCCCTTGGCCTTCCACCATGACAGTGAGTTTTCTGAGGCCTCCCCAGAAACGGAGCAGATGTTAGCATCATGCTTCCTGTATAGCCTGCAGAACCATGAGCCATTTAAATATCTTCTTTTAATATAAGTTACACAGTCTCAGGTATTTTTTATAGCAATGTGGGAATAGACTAATACAGAGAGAAAAAACTAAGTAATGTGTGTATCACTCCAAATGACTGCAGACTCTATTAAATGAGTCTGTTTAAAATGTTTGTGTAATTAAAATATATGACAATAATACACAAGAGGATAGAGAAGGGATAAACAGACCTTAAGTTGTTTAACGACCTTATGTATTATATTAAACTCTAATAAGTCAAAGATACATATTTAATCTGTAGGGCAGTGATTTTCAAATTTTAGAGTTGTTTAGAATTATATGAAGGGCTTCTTCAAAGTGTGCTATATACCACCCTCAAAGTTTCTCATTTAACTTTTTGAGTGGTGGGGTGGGGTCAAAAGTTTGCATTCCTGCTAAAAGTTGCAGATGCAATTTTTTTTAAGAAGACACTTTGAAAACTACTTCTGTAAGGTAAACTATTGAAGTAGTGGTAAAATAATATGTAGTGTATAGCTAGTAGAACAGAAAATACACTAAAAAGAATAATAGTAATAATAATAATAATAGGCCTGACTACTCCAAAGTGAGCAAGAAAGGAGAGAAAGAACATAATATGAATGAGTCAAGGACAAATCAAATTGTGACAAGGTAAATTTAAATCCCTAGGAACTACATTTTATTTAGAAAGACTATTCTAATTAAAATGCAAAAATTATAATATTGAATAAATTATGAAATGAAATTTACAGAGATAAGGTAAAAAATGTTGAAAATAGATATAAAAAAGTTTTACACAAATATTAACCAAAGAAAACTGTGTGAATATGTTTATATCAGATGCAGTAGTCATTAAGGCATGATGCATTTATTAAAGATAAAAAGATTGTTTTCATATTGATAAAAGGTCAGTTTGTCCGTAGAACATAACAACTATAAATTTTTATGCACATTATAAAACCTACAGATATACAAATGAGACATTGTCAGAACTAACTGGGAAATAGAAAAATCTAAAATCAGATTTGGAAGTGGGGCATGGTGGTTCACATCTATAATCCCAGCACTTTGGGAAGCCAAGGTGGGCAGATCACTTGAGTTCAGGAGTTCAAGACTAGCCTGGGCAGCATGAGGAAACACGGTCTCTACCCAAAAAAAAAAAAAAAAAAAAAAAAAAAAAAAAAAAAAATTAGCCAGGCATGATGGTGCATGCCATTGGTCCCAGCTAATTGGGAGGCTGAGGTGGGAGAAAGCTTGAGCCCAAGAAGCAGAGGTTGCAGTGAGCTGAGATGGCACCACTGCACACCAGCCTGGGTGAAAGAGTGAGACCCCATCTCTAATAGAAAAAAAAAAAAAATCAGAGTTGGAGAGCTAACAGGTCTCTCAGTATCTGACAGTACAAATAATCCAAAATATCAACAATGATT
The DNA here is from genome assembly GCF_000001405.40 of Homo sapiens. Classification (NCBI taxonomy): domain Eukaryota; kingdom Metazoa; phylum Chordata; class Mammalia; order Primates; family Hominidae; genus Homo; species Homo sapiens. The sequence continues at coordinate 29,620,288 of NC_000011.10, read as the reverse complement.
TAGAAGATCTGAAAAGCATGATTAGCAAACTTTACCATGTATAAATAGAAACAACAAAACCTGTAACTGCAGAATGCAGTATACATTGTTTTTAATTGAATACTCATCAGAACTGATTATGTGCTGGCCATTAATGAAGTTTCAACAGATTTTAGTGGATTGAAATGATTTAAAAGTGTATTATCTGGCTATTGTGAAACTGATCTAGAAATGGCTTTAAAAATCTAACTAGAGCATTGCAGTTTTTTTCCTGGCTTATGGCTGCATAAGTTCAGTCTGCTTCCTCCTTCACATGGTCTTCTTTCTGTCTTTTCTTCTGTTACTTAAGGATACTTGTCATTGGATTTAGGAGCTCACCTGGATAACCTAAGATGATATCATTTTGAGATCCTTAATTAATTACTTCTGTCCAAACAAAGTCACTTTTAAAGAGTTTAAGATATGAAAGTATTTTGGGGAGTCATCTTTCAACCACTACAAAGATTATAAAGTTCTAGCAAGGCTGATGAAAAACAACCAAAAATAATAAGGTACAAATTACCAACATCAGGAATGTAAAAAAACATCATTGCAGATCCTTAAAATATTACAAAGATAAGAAGAGGATATTATTAACTACTATATGCTGATATTTGAAAAGTTTGATGAAATGGAAAAAAATTCTTTGGAAAACATTACTTACCCAAACTGGTATAAATGATGTAAAAAGAAATTGAAATACGTTTAGTCCTATATCTTTGGGGACATTTAATTTTGTAATTAAAATCTCTAACAAAAAGAAATCTCCAAGTGCTTGTGGCTTCAAGGGCCATTTCCCCTCCAAGTATTTAATGAAAGAAATAGTTCTAATCTTACTCAAATACACACAGAGATTAGAAAAAGTAGGAAACAGCTCTTGTTTTGTGAGGCCAGCATACTCTTAGTATTATTGCAAAAAGATACTTACATGACAATTTTTCATGATAAAAAATGCAAAAAAACTGCAACAGAATATTAAGAAATTGAATCTGTATAGGTAGTAAAAGGATAATGAATAATGTCTGACTTCATTATATTCCAAACTATATTACAGAAATGCAATTACTTAACATTCAAACAATAAAATTCATAACTTTTAGAAATAAAGTAGAAAATTCCTATGGTCATCTCACTAGGTATAAAAAAGTTATAATATTCAATACTCATTAGTGCTGAACAAATTGGGTGTGAAAGCAAACTTTCTGATAAAGAGTATCTACAAAATATCTATAGCAAACATCATTTGAATGAAAATAGTAAAAGATTTACCACAGAGATTAGGTAGGTAGCAAAAATATTTGCTCCCATTGTTCTTATTCAACTTTATCCTGGAGGCCTTAGCCAGTGCAATAAGATAAAAAAGTAAACTAAGGCATAAAGATTGAAAAGAGCAAAAATTGTCATTATTTACCAATGAAAGTTTTGTACACATGTGTCATGGACTTATGTTCTCCCCAAATTCAGATACTGAAGCCCTAACACCCAACATGACTATATTTGGAGATAGGGGCTTTGAGAAGGTAATTAAGATTCAATGAGGTCATAATGGTGGGGCCCTGAAGAAGAGACACCAGAGCCATTTGTTCACTCTGTCTCTCTCTACATGCATGGAGAGGACAGGCCGCATGAGGACATAGAAAGCAGGCAGTTGTCTCCAAGCCAGGAGGCTCACTAGAAAGAAACCAGGGCTGCCCCTTAATCTTGGAGACTTTCAGTTTCCAGTGCATGAAAAAATAAATTTTTGTTGTTTAAACCACCTAGTCTGTGGTATTTTGTTATGGCAGCTCAAACAGACTAATCAGCATGGAAAATCTAAAAGGCTCTACAGAAGTAGTAATTGAATTCGGTAAAATTGCATGACATTACACCAATATACAAAAATCACTTTCATACTGATAGACCAAAAGCAGAAACTCATGAATATTTTAAAATGATACCATTGGTAATAGTACCTGAAATACGAAATACCTAGAAATATGTATAATATAGGAATTATAAATGTGTAAACAAAAAACTACAAAATATTAAAGAAGTCATAAAGGGGTATATACCATGTTCAAGTATTAGGAGTCTCATTATTATTACCACAAAAATAAGACTTCTTATCAAACATCTAAAGATTCAGTGTAATCATAATAAAACAATTTGTCATATTTTGATAGAAATTTAAAAGCTGATCCTAAAATATATTTGGGAATGCCAAGGGCCAGGAATTGCTAAGAAAATTAAGAGAGTTTGAGATATCAATACTTATGAAGGCTTAATAATTAAGATGTGTAACTTAGGCAAGTAGACCAATTGATCAAAATAAAAAATGTAGATATAGTCCACATGTATATAGTCACTTGATCTATGATAAAGGTGGGATTTCTGCACAATGAGTAAAAAATGGTCTTTTCAATAAATGATTAGAAGTCAACTAGATATGCATAAGAAAAGACTGACTCTTGATCCTTATTTCACGCCATACACAAAAGTATATTTCTTTAGAATGAGTGTATATATGTGTATATATACACATATATGTATACACATGTATGTGTATATATACACATATATGTCTACATATATGTGTATACATATATGTGTATATATACACATATATATACACATATATACACATACATATACACATATACACATATATATACACACATATATATGTGTGTATATACACATATATATACACACATATATATACGTATATATATATATGCACACACACACGTACACATACATACAAATATATCTTGGGGGGGATGTAGAAACAATAAAGTTTCTAGAAGTTAATATAGAAAAATATTTTAACATTATTAGGGTATACAAATACTCAGAGCACATAAAAAGAAACCATAAAGGAAAAATTGTTAACTCAGGCCACATAGGAATAAAAATTTTTGGACTTCAGAATATACCATTGAGAAAGTAAAAAGGCAAGAAACAGGGTAGAAAAGATATTTTAATACGTACATATGAATAAAAACACATATCCAAATTATTTTTTTAAATGCCTCTAAATACTAAGATAAGGACAGAAAACTCAATAGAAAGGTAAGTAAAAAGAGTTGAAGAGGCATTTCACAAAGTTATCCACATGGCTGGTAAGCATAATGAAAGGATTTTATCCTCATTACCCAAAAGGGAAAGATAACACAGCAAGTTACTCTTACATCCCTGAAATAATGGCTAAAATTAAACAGTTGAATAATACTAATTATTGGCTGAGATGTGAAGCATATTATGCACTTGTTAGTAGGGCACAAATTATTAGGATTGCTGTAGAAAACCATTTGGTAGTATGAAAATTGTCAGAATCAAATGGAGCCACTTGTATCAAAACCCTGAAAAATGGGAACAGGCAAGGCCATGAAGGGAGGATTCTCATGCAAGTATGCCTGGTAATAGGAACTTTCACAGAAGACTACATAAACCACAACATTGCACAAATGCCACAGCAACCCTTACACACACAAAAAAATGCTTCTATGAGGACATCTGCCCAGCAACTGCCTGTTCAAACTTGGACTGACCTCAAACTTGTTATTAATCCTTACAGCCAAGGATAATTGTTTCAAAACAACTCATGTAACTCTCCTCATTTTTCCTTTAAAAACTCTTGTCTTCCTTTACCTCCCTGAATGTACCCATTATATTCCCACTGCAATGCTCAATCCCAAATAAATATCATTTTCTTTTAGACAGCCACTTTGTTATTTGGGCTTTACAGTAGTATATACTAAAGCCAAACAAGCTCCTGCCATGTTTTCCAACTTATCTCCCCCACTAAGCATATCTCCAATAGAAATGTAGTCATATGGGCAACAAAATACATGCACGAACATTTTTATTGAAGCCGTCTTTGTAGTAGCTAAAGCCTGGAAACAACTCATATGCCCATATAATAGACTAGAAAAATAAATAGTGCTATGTCATATAATGAAATAACATACAACAATGAAAATGAACAAATTGCTTCTCATTACACCACCACCTATGAATCTACAAACACAATGTTGAATGAAAGAAACCTGATACAAACCAAAAAGACAAAACTAATCTACGATGATGGAGATAAAAACAGTAGTTACTTTTGGGGAAAAGGGATAGTGACTTGGAGGAAGGTCAAGAAGTTTTATGAGATGCTGGTAATACTCTCTTTTCTGATCTGAATGATAATTAAATGGATGTATTAATTTTGTCAAGACTTATCGAGCCCGTATATTTAAAATGTGTGTAGTTTTGTGTGTATGTTATACCTCTATATAAAATGATGATGACTTCATCCTTTTCAGGACATCTAGTACAATTTGGGATTCATTAATTTGTCCAATATTTATTGAGCATCTGCAGTACACCAAAACACTGAGCTAGGCCTAGGATTTACAGTTGTGAATAAAATGTAGTCTTTACCTTCATGGAGCTTATATAGCTTTATTTGTAGTTTTCTGTAGTACACCCATATAAAATTGGCATGGTTAAACAAAAGCCATTATATAGCTGAAACAAGATGCTAATGTCTTCAACTCATGTACAGTTAAAATGATATTCATAATAGAGCCTGCATAACAGTTAAGATAGCTATCATTATCTTGAAGTGGATATCCTTCATCTGCCCCTCTGATCAATTTTCCAGTTTTCTCCTCTGCATCAGGAATCCGATTTGTATGGACTACATCAGGTATCTGTAAACTGTTGCCTCATTAGGTAACTAAGGTTTTATTGACACAGTAACACCCATCATTTACATAATGTCATTGGCTGTTTTCAAGAGACCATGACTTGCATGTCAAAAGTATTTACTATCTGACTCTTTACAGAAAATAAATTACTGAACTCTGGACTGCGGTAGGCGTCCTTTGCCTTCAAAGTTCCAGTTTCATTGGTCAATGGAGAACAGAGCTAGAGATTAGAAGAAGAGGAAAAACTGAGGTCTATGCAAGGTCTCCTTGAGCTAAAATGTCCCTCCATCAAAGTTCTTAGCTCTTCTTAAGGCAATTCTCTCTTAATCTCTTCCTCTGGGTCAGGTACCTCCATACACCTTCATTTTTTCCCATATAGTGATGGTAATATCTCTGCACTATCTCTTGTAGTTAACAAACAGCTCTGCACTTTTTGCATATTGTCCCTTTATTGAATCTTCCTCAAATTATTCTAAACTGTATGAGCCATATGTTTCCCAATAGTATACTAGCTGATAATTTATTAAGCACTTACTCCTTGCCAGGCACTGTGTTAAGAGCTTAATTTCATCATGTAATTTAAACCTGATAAAATAACTCTTGTGAGGTAGAATTATTATCATTCCTTTTTTACAAATGAGGCAGCCAGTGTTGAAGTTTGGAGACTTTACAAAGTTCACACAGCTAATGAGAAGCAGACAGTCCTAGGACTTGAATTCAGTGCTGTTGATGAGAACCTCTAGAACTGAATATCATAACCATTCTCAATAATCTTTGTTTTATAATTTTCATGATAATCCCTTATTACCTTGGTGCTTAAATTAAAAAATAATTCTTAACTATGACTTCATTTAATTATTACCCTAACAGTAGATCTGAAAGTATTTTCCTATTATTACAGACAAATAGAGGCCAATGCATTTTAAATGACTTTCTCAAAAATACTAGAGGATACAATTTAATCTAGCCAAGGGTCATGCCCCTAGATTCCATACTATATATGACTGTATAATCATCCTTTATCAAATGCATATACTCATCTGTTTTAAATGATACTTGGAATGGCACTTATACCACTGAGTTATCATCTGGGTACAGTAATGTGATGAAAATGTGGTAGATATTATGTTTTCAAGACAGAGAGGTGGACGGTTAGGAGAAAAAGCTGTGGCTGAAAAAAATAAAATGTTTAGCCTGTTTTCCTAGTCCTAGAGTATTACAAATTAATTGATTCAAACCAAATATGAGAAGTAGAGAAGAAATGTCCTTCCATGCTGCTGGGAGTTGATTGATGAGGAGCAATGTCTCAGCCAAGTTGCCAACTGATTTCTGTCTAACCCTTGGTTTCCTATAGTTCACAGAGTCCTAAGCCAAGAGTCAGCCTTGAGTTGCTGCTAGAGACCACAGATACTCTGAATTCCAACTTTAATTGGCCTTCTGAGAAGACAAAGAGCCACAGGTCCCCAACAGGTCCTAGCTACTTCCTTCAGTCCCAAGGTAGGGCACTCTATGGATTTCAATAAAAGCTCCTCCTGTTTGTCCATGAACACACTTTATGTTACCAGATTCATGTTGTGGGCACAGATGCTACTAGTTGCCTCTTCCACATTTAGAGAATGTATATTTTGAGAAGATCTGTTAAAAGCAAATACACAAATCCCTAGTCTTATTTGTTTTGTTCAGTGTAAAGATGGTACTTTTTAAAAAGAACTGACTTCTCTTAAGACAAAACCTCAGGTTATATGTGAGTGTGTGTGTGGTGTGTGGATGCGTGTGTATGTGTGTGTACCTATGTGTATTTAAATCCTTTATCTTTGATCATATCCTCCCTACCAGACCCATTTTTCCTGGGATTTGGGTGGAGTGGGAGAGGTGGGGAGAGCATCTGTTTTGAGCAGCCATTTGCGAAGACAACATTCTACCTAACCACGTGACAGGCAGCCTTTTGTCATGTATCCATGCCAATAACTAATGAGGAAAACACATTTATGTGTTAGTTTAAATCCTGGAATGGATCAGTTCAATCATGGTAGATAGTTGTAACATCAACATTGTATCTCCCACCATGTATGATGAGTAAATGAATGTCAATTTTGGGTCCCCCCAAAAAATGCTAGAAACATTCTACTTTTGTCTCTGGAGAGGTCTTATTTCCAGGACTTACTAAAATGCTATATTTTTACCTATTTCTATTGAGTTTATATATTTCCAGTGGAACTCGCCAGTTGGCCCATCAAAAAGTCCAACAGCCTGTCTGCCTGCCAGCTGATCAGTCAGGCAAAAATTCAGGTAGTTCAGGGGCAAGAAGCTCAGTCTGTATCTGGATGAAGCATAACAAATATGACTGGACAGATCTGGACACAGGCTTAAAGAATCTGGGTCACTGGGTCCCAATATGTTAAGAGCAAACACTGGTATTCTATGGGATATACTGAGATACCTCATATTTAAAAATCTCAAAGTTGGCATTTCTCCAGTTCCCAGAAAATACTAAAAGTGACAATGATTTATTTATTAACTTAAGCTTTTGTTCAACACATTTTTTAACTAAACCATTAATACCTATACCTCTTATGTGCTAATAAAAGTGCTCATTGAAGACATAACAAATTATCCGGTAACTATATATTTAATGGAAAAAGCTAGAAAATTGCTAATTTTGTCTGACAGCTTATTTTGTGAATACACATTTATGGTTGCTCTTTGATATGTATTAACTACCTCATTGTAGTTATGGTTGAGGTTTTCTTCTAGTCCTAGAAACTACATGATGAGGGAGTTCTGAGGAAGGCAATTGCCCTACTGTGGGACGGAGAAATTAAGTCCTTTTTCCATAGAGGAGATAGCTCTGGAGCCAGATCTAAAAGGATTGTCAGGATTTTGAGAACTAGAGAGGAGGGTTGACCAGCAGGAGTCCCGGTGGGAGAGTAAAACTGGGTCTGTCATATATGGAAGGCTACTCAAGCTAAAACATCTGGAGTGGAAGGCTCATTGCAGGTGGTGAGCAATAAGAATAAAATGTTTGCTGAATTCTTGTGTAAGACATCTCTACATGATTTGGGATCTTGATACTTCTGGGAGCCTCAGATATTTACCTCCTGATATCAGGAAATATTTAAACTGCTTGATGTCTTCATTGAGTGGCTTTGGCTAAGAGGCCAAAACTCAAATGTTCTTCATTAATGCCAGAGCCAGATGTCATCCATTATGATGACCTTGCCAGTCTTCTGGACCCTGGGACCATACTAGCTGGCATCTGAGCCTGAGATCTACTTCCCAGCTAAGCTACCAACATACTTGGCCAAACTACACTTTCAAAATGACAAGATGTAAGAAGTCTGAAGATGGCACCTTCTGAGCTTCAGAATTTCAGGAACACTCATAAAATCTCTGCCTATTACAAACCATTCTCTCCATCAATGGAAATAAGTAATCATTTCAAATTTCTCCTTTGAGGGTATTGTGAAAATGTACATCTGCTTGCCTGCTACTTTGCCCAGCTGACCATTAATAGACTTGAGTTTTCTTCCAATCTATCATGATATGAAAGGTCATCAACCCTGAAACTTTCAAAAGCAGGGACTTCCTGGCAAGAGATTTGTTGGTGGGAAAATTGAAAAAACCAACATGTACTCTGACATTCTACAGTGGCATGGACATAATACAAATTTACTCTTACTTTTCATAATTTTATTCCATAAAATTACCGTTGTTTTGTAATGGTGACCCAGATGGTAGGCATTTTGCATAGAAAGAGGATGGAAACATCTTCTGATAAGATGTGAAGCAAGCCAAGACCTCATTTTCTTTCCTTTTATGGAATTGTGGCTATAGACATATTTTCCCTCTCTCTTTCAAGGTGCGGAAGGCTCCTTGAAGGCTGAGTGAAGTTTCCTTTCTCTTTGCACTAAAACTCCTGTTTTAATTTTTAGCACAGCTATCATAGTGCACTGACATATCCACTTATTTGCCCACCTGCCCCTTTGGGGAAGGAACCTAGTTTATTGATGATTATGCTGCCATTGGAATAAAACTGAATTTTTCATTAGAATTGCAAGGCATGCCTGATTAGCCTTCTGCTACATCTACCACCTCATCAGCACTTTCTCATTTGCTTGGTACTTTAGTTTACACTGGCCTTATTCAAGATCCTTGAACTTTTCAAAGGCTTTATTTATTGTTGTTGTTGTTTGAAATTCTATTCCATTTACCAAAATCTCTGTATTCTGAAGCAGTATCTTAATAACTACAGAATCCAAGTATGTAACTATGAAAATGTTGATGGTAATAATAACAATGATGATGATATTTTTAGGTTATGATTTTGTGCAAGTCACTGTGCTAGGTTTTCCAGTGGATTTCCTCATTTATTCCTATATCAACTCTATGATGTAGATATTGATATTATTATCTTAATTTATAGATGAGAGAACTGAAGCATAAAGAGAATAAGGCAGTTTCTGAAGGACAAACAGTTAGTGCTGAAACTGTGTGTCAAACTTAAGAAGCCTACCTCTAGAAAGTTGTTCTCAAACCATTCTCCTATAGTGCCTCTTACAGTACAGGCCTTTCTGGGCTTTAGAGAATGCCTTGGTCTACTCAAGGATCTAATCTATTTGAAGTGTCTTTCCTGAAGTGGAGGTGAATGATAACTCTTTCTATCAATCTATCACGGATAAAACTCCTACATATGATGGGAGGCTGAGTCCAAACCAGCTTACTGTTTTCTACACAAGGCATATGCGTCTATGTCTTAAGAACTGCCTGCAGAATCTCTTTCTCTGCCTCTCATTTCTTTCTCAACCATAAGAACTTGCTTAGTCTTGCTGACACCAAGTGTTTCGTCTTTAATTTTGACTAAAATTTTGTCTAGTCTCTCTTTTGGTTAAGTGCTTTTTCTGACTATTTTTACTGTATTTTCTAACCTCTTGTTCTGAAGTTATGGGCTAACTTCCCATACATATAGTCACTTAATTCTAAATTCTAAAATCCCTATCTGAGTCTGATTTTCCAGATCCTTGCTTGTGCAGGATGAAAATAAAGGTATTATAAATGATTACATATGTTTGTCATTTTCAACAGGGTTGTTCTACCAAGTTTTAGAGTGCATTCACATTTGAGCTCCAACATAATTGACGTTAAAATGGACAGTTTTCTTCAGTGATTTTCTTCATTACCAGATAGGATAGTTTGCACTGTGACATTTCTCACATCACTCTATGAAAAAGAAGCAGAACTGGATCATGGTTAAAAGCATGTGTTTTGCAATAGGACAGATATGGGTTTGAAGGCAAGCTTTGCAGTTGGTAACTACATCCCTCAGCAAGCTACTGAAACCTCTCTAAGCCTCAGTGTTCTTATCTGAGAGGTAAGGATAATGCCCGTGCTAACCTCAAAGAATTATCATAAAGTTATAAGATAATGCACATGAAGTCTTTACAATATTTCCCGAAACCTATTCAATGAGCAGTTGACATTATTATGTGAAGTTCTCTTTTAAAAGGTTAAGGCCACCAAAAATTTTGGTCCAAAAAGGCTAATGTCCATTATCTTTGTTATTTTGAGCCACCATTTTTGTCTACAAACAACAGTTATGTGAGCTAGTGATCAATTTACAATCAGAATTAACTAAATGGAGAGGATGTGGATTTTTAAATGGAACACTTGAGACTCCTAAGTCACTGTCACTGTATACTATATTTTGGTAATAAAAGACAAACTACATAGTTGCTTCTATCTGTGGTGTCACCTTCAGGGGATTGCTTCAGCTTTATAGGTTGAGAAAGTGAATTTCATTAGCTCATTCTGGGATGACCAAAGATATTTATCAGTTGTTTTCAGGGAAATAACACATGTCATTCAAACTAACATAGCCTGGAGCTAAATCAAAACACTTTTCCTAAAATGTAAATATGATCATTTCATTTTCTTCCTTGGCACTCATCAATGGCACGCATCAATGTCTTCCCATTTGTCTCAGGAAAGGTACTAATATCTTAACCTACAAAATTCTCCTGTGCTATCTCCTGTGAACCTGGCCACCCTCATGTCTTTCCACTTAGCCTTTGCAAATGGTACTCTGAGCATAGTGAACGTTTGACACTTGGTAAAATTGATCATACTTCCAGTAGACTATGAGTCTTTCCAGATGCTATTCATTGATCTTAGAATACCCTGCCCCCTGCTTCTTTTTTCCAGAATCACTCTCACTAATCCCTTAGTCCAAATTAAGTATAATTTCTTCTGGAAAGTCATTGTCGTCCCCATATCTCTGGTTAGGTTCCCTTGCACCCTGCATTATCCCACTGTGCTGTTATTGACTGTTGACTTACTTTTTCTAATTGAATGTAAGTTCAGTGAGGGCAGGGATCTTGTCCACTATGCCTACCACTCTATGTCTAGAACTCAAAATGTACATGAAAAATATTTTCTACTGAATAAATAGGAATAAATAAATACAATTTTTGTAATGGGAGAAATCTTTGTCAATCAGAACTTGGTGTCTGCAAGTAAGACTCTCTGTACCCTTTCAACAGGTTTACTCTCAACCTGCTTTTTGGTGAGTGAGCTTACCCAGCAGGGTTTAATTATGAAGCAATTGCATACTGAGTGCAATTTAAATATATCTATACAGTTTTATAAGCCTGATGATTTACCCTTCCCTATTGCAGGTATTTGTTTCAAAATCTGCGATCATCTAATTTAGAATCAGTCTGCTTTTTTCTCTGTCTCTGTGTTGCACCTATTTTTTAAATGCTTTTTCACTGGACTGTGAAGTCTAGTCATTTCTTCCATACTAGCTTTAGGCTCATCAGTTCAGGTACAGAATTATATCTTAGTGACTAGGCATGACTCAAGCTCCTCGAAGTAAGAGCATCTTCCGATTTTAAGTAGGACCACTGAAATTCCTCTACTTTTACTACCCAATTTTTAATCTTTTCATTTTTATTCATTTTAACTTTTTTTTTTTAGGTTTGGGGGCACATGTGCAGGTTTGTTATATAGTTATATTCATGTCACAGGGACTTGTTGCACAAATTATTTCATCACCTAAGTACTAAGCCTAGTATCCAACAGTTATTTTTTCTGCTCGTCTCCCTCCTCCCAACCTCCACCCTCAAGTAGACCCCAGTGTCTGTTGTTTCTTTCTTTGTGACCGTAAGTTCTCATCATTTAGCTCCCACTTATAAGTGAGAGCGTAGGGTATTTGGTTTTCTGTTCCTGCATTAGTTTGCTAATTAAATGGCCTCTAGCTCCATCCATGTTCCCACAAAAGACACGATCTCATTCTTTTTTATGAGTGCCTAGTATTCCATGGTTTATATGTACCACATTTTCTTTATCCAGTCTGTCATCGATGAGCATTTAGGTTGATTCCTTGTCTTTGCTATTACGAATAGCGCTGCAATGAAGATTTGCATGCATCTGTCTTTATTGTAGAATGATTTATATTCCTCTGGGTATATACCCAGTAATGGGATTGCCGGGTCAAATGCTAGTTCTGCTTTTAGCTCTTTGAGGAATTGCCACACAGCTTTCTACGATGGTTGGATTAATTTACATTCCCACCAACAGTGCCTAAGTGTTCCCTTTTCTCTGCAACCTTGCCAGCATAAATTATTATTTTTTTATTTTTTTAATAATAGCCATTCTGACTGGTTACTACCTAGTTTTTTAAAAGACCAATTTCTAGCTACTTTGTTTTTTTGTCATTGCTAACTGATGATTTAATGACTTCTTCCTTCACGTGGCATGCTCCATTCACATACCTAGTAAGTGACCTTGGCTTTGGTCCTCAATTCGGTCTTTGCCTCTGGGACTGAACCTGAAGTTAAATCACTGCTTCTGTCCCCATGGACTCTTTGGTCATGCCTCATTGACACTAGCCAGCTAATTTTGGTATATCCCTATGTGTCTCTCCTTCCTGAAACTCAGTCTAAATGAATGGCTTTCTCAGATTGAAAAGAAACTTTCTTCACTAATGAAACAGGATGAGCTCTGCTACACTGTTAGAATTTCTAAATAAGATTCTATTTCATGTATATTTTAGGCAGGCTGATTCTCAATGGGAGTCATTATCTCAATAATGAAGGGGTTAAGGGAATAAGGCCTGAAGTCACACAGGCCTTCAATACTAGCTATGTGACTTTGGGGAAATCATTTCTCCTCTCTAAACCTAAGTTTCTCCATATATAAATTAAAGAAAAAATAATAGTACTTAACATATAAGGTTGCCATAACATTAGATGATGCTTATAAAGCTCTTATCCCAATGCCTGCACAGACTAAATAAATAGTACAGGTATTATTATTTTTATTATTATTAATAGTCGACTATGTTAAAATACTACAATGGAACTCCCAGTCTCTAACCCAGTATTTCCAGTCTGGCAGTAAATCCTGAAAACTAATTTGGGTGATGAAAATATCAATAATATTAGAGCCGATATACTGGTCATAATGACAAAAAGAACTGGTGTATGGGTATCAATTGGTTGCTTAAGGCCGAAGACAACATCGCTGCTTTAGTGACACCTAAATTCCCAGGGAGAATCCTAAAATTCAACAATAATGACCCTGTTCATACTCGGGTCCAAAGCCTGCCTCAGGGAATATATTGCCTTTATGAGATGACATTGGAAAAAACAAAATAACCCTTTGGCATTTGCATTATGAAATCAAAGGACCAGATGTCATCGTAAGTGATTTGTGTTTATTTGTGTGTGTATGTCCCTGAATACAGGACATGTACTATTGATTTTCAACCAACAGTTGCACAACGGCTTCTACAGCCTGACCTTGGATTATCTGGGTTGCACATAAAAAAGTTCCTTAGACTTTTTATCACATCATGATTCTACCCAGGCACAAGGAGGAGGGAGATGAGGATGTAAGGACAACTTCAAAGCTCTATGGAGAATTAATAGCTTTTTGTATTTCTTCTTGTTAACAAGGTGGATAAGAGGAGAGACATCTAATTAGAGGCTGGAAGTGTGGAATGGCAGAGCTGTAGAGGATTTTGACTCAGTTGATGCAATCCCTCATTTTACAGAAGAGAAATCGCAGGCCCAGGAAAGTGGGTCACTGGCTCAGATTCATGTGATACACAAGAGCCAGGTCTGTAACTCAGCTCTTCAGACTTTGGGTTTAGTTGTTATTAGTTAAAATCTTTATATTACTTCTCTTAAGTCTTTAAAGTACAGTACCACTGGAATATATTAGTGCAGGACTATCAATCAGTAACTTTTATAGGACAGTAGTTAAGAGCATAGGAACTGACATCAAGCAAACCTGGGTTCCAGTCTTGGTTCTACTGTTTGCAACATGACTTCAGACAAGTTACTTAACCCCACTTGTCATAATTTTCTTCATTTGTAAAGAGTAAAATCATAGTTTACATCTCCTTTTATTTTTGTGACAGTTAAATGGGATAATAAAGATAAATGATCAAATATACATAACATAAAACTTACCATTTTGAACCATTCTTAGTTAGATGGTCCTGTGGCATTAAATATATTCACATTGTTGTCTAACACTAGCTTTTGATTTAAAATATTTTAACATAGATATATTACTATGATTTTAATATTTCTTTCCACCCAAAATTCATATGTTGAAATAGTAAACCCAACATGAGAAAGGGCCTTTGCAGAGTGATTAGGTAAAAGGGACAGAGTTCTCGTGGATATGATTCATGCTTTTCTGAAAGAGATCCCAGAAAACTTTTTTGTTCTTTCAACATGTGAGGAAAAGCTAGAAGGGGGCATTTATGAACAAGAGTGTGGGCTCTCGCCAGTCACCAAATCTTTTGGCACCTTGATCTTGGACCTCCCAGCTTCCAGAACTGTGTGAAATAAATGTGCGTTGTTGATAAGCCTCCCAGTTTATGATATTTTCTGAAGCAGGTCAATCTGACTACAAAAAGTATTTCTTTTTGGTAAAAGCTTCTACATGTGGCTTCTATAAAGGGATTAGGGATCTCATAAGGTACTGAATTCCATAAATGTAGAAAGACTTTTCAAAGACTTCATATGCCCCCCCGCAAAAAAAAAAAAAAACTACTACAATTCACCCCCTTTGTTGTGCAGTATCAGATTACGCAGACGATATTTAAATTTCAAACTACAACAGTACCAGATGTTTCTGCCTAACACAGTGCAGTTATTTTGTACACAAAATAAAATGTGCTTTCCTTTACCCTAAAAAGCAGGGAGGGTCATGTTTATAGCAGGTATCTCATTAGTGGGTATTTCATTCCATGTCATAGCCGATCCACTCCATAGTGCAAGCATCTCTCTTACATGGCCCCTGTGACTTGGTGTATCCAGTGGTATGTGAAATATCTTTGGAAAATCAAGTTGCCTTATGGAATCCAACCCAATATCTGTTTAGAGTCCCTAAAGCACTGTGCTTAAGATCGCAGACTCTGAAACCCAAACTGCCTGACAACAACTCGAGCTCCATCATATTCTTGCTTTCTGACCTCAGACAACTTACTAACTGATTTTTCCTCCCCATTTTTTTTTGTAAGTATCTATGTGCTACAATTCCTAGAAATACTAAATGGGCTAATAGATGTAAAGTGCCTGGAAAAAGGCATGGGATAAAATAAGCTCTAACATATATGTATTTGATAATCTGTTACTATATCGATTCTGACTCTAGTTCCATGATGAGCCCTTTGATATTCTCTACCTTCTAGAGTAAATTGTAATGATAACTATCAATAACATATCTGATATAAAATAGTAGAATAAAGGAAGAAGAAAACAAATGAAATTTATTTCAGGTAAATAAATAGCAAGAAATAAACCGTGGGCAGGCATAGTGGTCCTTATTTCCCCTTTAGTCACAGGGCAGAGTCATGGCTGGTATTTATACTTCCTGCCTCTACCACCAAGCCCATATTTCCTTTAAACCAGCTGCTTCAGGGTCAAGGTCACCTGGTATCCCAAGACCCGGAATTCATTCTCTACCAAAGCATAGTAGGATATTAAAAGTGATTTTTAACATGAAGAGATCATGCATTTGCTTTAAAATGCAAGATGTGTCCACCAGGATCTCTCTAGATTTCTTCTAAAGAGAATATCTTGATTTGTCATTTGCCTTGCTGAACTTATCTCTGTATCCACAACACAAATGGACTCACATAAAACTCCCAATAATATTTCTTGAAGGGAAATCCTCAACAATTAAAATGTAAACCATGTGAGGGTAGGCTTTCCTTGGTTTCATTTACTACTATACCCTCAATACCAAAATCAATACCTGGTGCAAAATAGGTTCCCATAAAATATTCTTCAAAAGAATAAGCAAATATACAAAATAAATGAAACTTAAAAAAGAATTATTTGATAGCATGAAAGTTCAGGAGTGTTGATGTGGGTGAAAGTAAATAAAGGTAGTTGGGCATTTCTCCTTCCACATCTTAAATACTGAGTATTTCAAGGAAATGTGATTTGCTTATGGTTGATTCAAGGCCTTTGTGCTACAGTTAAAGTTTTACCATAAATTCTGGTTCGAAATATTAGGTAATATTTTCAGAAGGTGATGCATGTCTAGAAAGATAGATATGGGGTTGAATTCTGTTTTACCATAAATTCTGGTTCAAAATATTGGGTAATATTTTCAGAAGGTGATGCTTGTCTAGAAAGATAGATATGGCATTGAATTCTGTAGGTGACCATGATAGCCTTCTTTGACAATGAATACTCAAATTATATTTCATTATTTAATATTGTGTGCAAATTGGGAGAAAGGAAGCTTTCTTAGTCTTTTAAACTGCTATAACAAAATATCATAAACTGGGTAGCTGATAAACAACAAATATTTATTTCTTACAGTCCTGGAGGGTGGGCAGTCTAAGATCAAGGGACCTGCAGATTCAGTGTCTCGTAAAGGGCCTGCTTTCTGTCTCATAGACACTGCCTTATCTCTGTGTCCTCACATGGTGGAAGGGGCAAGGAATCTCAGTCTCCCTCAGGCCTTTTTTTTTTTTTTTAAATAAGGGCACTAATTGCATTCATGAGGGCTTTGCCCCAATGACCTGATCACCTCCCAAAGCCCTCACTTCCTAATGCTATCATTTTGGAGGTTAGGATTTGAATATATAAACTTTGGCAGTCACAAAATTCAGACCATAGCAGAGGCCCTCATGTGATTTATGACTTGTCTCTAAATGGAGTTAGTGCAAGGCCCTGTTGTTCTGTTAATGACTCTTGATGGCTTCATCAGTGCTTTCATTTTTTTTCATATTTTGGATATTCCCATTTATATGAGTAAGTGAGAAGAAGGTATCATTTATAATCTAATAGAAGATAAATCCTTTCGTTATTTTTGAAGACAATTTCAGCTTACGATTTTATAGAAAGGATGAGAAATAAGTTTGGAAATACTCTTTAAGAGAAGCAAAAGTCAGTTTTGAGTTACCCAGAATTTCTGGATATATACAAGAATTTATGAAATTTTCAAAAGAGGCCATCTGGATTAAGGGGGTGTAACAGAGGAAACATTTAAATTTTAGAAGGATGTGTTATTCTTTTTAACATATTGTGTCTACTTGCCAAAATGTTGGAGGTAACTTAGAATCGTAGAATATATATCTTGAATTGTTTTCAGACCAACCAAGCCCAATCCCAGGTTAAAAAGTGGAATTATGTTAATACTAATTACTCAAGGTTAGTTGGCTTTTGTTATTACTCGTGCCATGTGACCAAGCTCTGTAACATCTTCTTCAGTTAGAGATCCCAGGCTGTTTCTCACATAGCTTCACAAATATGAAAATACTTAAAACGTGGACTCCTCAGTTGTCCCGTAGGAAATGAGACACAGCCTCTGCAAAGACTATCTGATTTGTTGAGCCACTGCTTCTTGTGGATTCACTGTACGCCTGTACACATATCCTAAAACCATATTTACTTAAGCTATTTTATGTGTGAGCCTGATGGCTTATCTGTGCTCAAGTAAAACACACACACACACACACACACACACACACACACATATTATATGCTTTTTTCTCTCCCATCATTATGGTAGATGGGATAAGTTTATTTTTGTGCTCTCCTCTGGGTCTCAAAATGTGTGAAATAGTAAAAAAGCCGTTGTGCTACTTCCGTAAACTAAAAACACTGAAAAGATATCAAAATAAAGACAACTGGAAGGGTTTGTAACTTGAATTTAACTATTACTGGGTTTGTAAGAAGGGATCTAAGCATCCTGTAATCCTCAGAGTCTCATTGTGGAAGGAAGTTCAGATGATAGAAATCCAAAATTGGTTTAAGAAGAATCTTGTGCTTTTCCAGTGAAAAGATCTCATCTTCAAAGATGGCACCCAAATGCTGCCATTTTTCTACCCTGTTTTCTCTTCTTGCCTTCTGAGGAGGTAATTTTTTTTTATAATCTATATAAGCCAAGAAGCTCTTTGAAAGTATATCTGTAGGACTTATATCATTCCAATTATACCAGTGAATAACCAAGAATAATTAAAAGTTCAATTCAGATATTGGATTCTCACAAAACACAGGAAATGGCATATTAATTCATGTTTAAGCAAAACTTTTAATGTCATCTCTATCAATTCTGTTTTGGTCTCTTGGACACTGCAGTGGTTCTCAAGTTTTCTGTGCCTTTTTCGTGAAGGCAACCCCCACACTCTAGGCTTTGTCTCCAATTAGATGCTAATTGTGGGGTCTGGGTGCTCTGGTTTCTCTCCTTGCTCTTTTGTACAGCTCACTGTCATTCCTCTGCCTTTCTGTATCTACGTCAATTAGTGGAACAGAGGAAATAAGCAGCATGCCTTTGTTTCCCTATAATCATCTTCCTCTCTTCCCTAGTTGGTAAGGCATATCTATAAAATTTACGTGTTTCTCTTATGTATTGATGTGGACTTAGGGTATCAATTCAGGTAAAGTTTTTAGTGCTAAATGCTCACTAAGGTTGAGATGCTTAAGTGTTTATGGGCAGCTTCTGAAAGTCACATAGTTCTAACAGAGAATAAATAGAAGAGGAAAGGCCACTGCTAAGGTGGTAAAGGTCCTGCAACAGGCTGACAACACTTATCCCCCTTAATAATGTGTTTCCTCCACTCCTGTCATGTTCTACCATGTGTGATGGCTTTTGGAGAGGACTGAAAATTGGGAGAAGATGAGAATTGTCACAATGAGAGTTGTATATAATTTTAAAATCAATTTTATTGAAATACAGTTTAAGTATAGCAAAATGTATGCATTATACTTGTATATTGCTATGAGTGTTGACAAATTTATATTGACATGTAACTTCTACCACAATCAAAATATAAAACATTGCCCCCCAAATTTAACCTGTGCCCGAGATAACCACTGGCCTGCTTTCTACCATTATATATAAGATTTGCCTTTTATAGTTTTATATGTAAGTGAAAACAAGTATTATATACTCATTTGTATCTGCTTCTTTTGCTTAGCACATTTCTGATATTTATCCATATTGCTTTGTGCACTAGTAGTTCATTTTTATGTATTACTAAATAATATTCCATTGTATGGCTATACTACATTTGTTTATATATTCACCAATTGTTGAGTATTTGGGTCGTTTCCAGTTTTTGACTATTATGAATTAAACTTCTGTAATTATTCATATACAAGTCTTTGTATGAATGTATGTTTTAATGTCTCTGTCATAAATTCCTGAGAGAGAAATTTCTGGAGTATATAGTAATTGTACCTTTGTACCTTTAACTTTATAAGCAATTGCAAACTGTTTACAAACGTGATTGCAATATTTTACATTTCTACCAGCAGAATTATGATAATCCCAGTGACTTCACATTCTTGACAACACTTGGCATTGTCAATTCTTTTAATAATATTCATTCTAATGTGTATGTAGTAGTGAGAGGTGACAGCGTGCTGGCAGTCCTCACAGCCCTCACTCGCTCTCAGCGCCTCCTCTGCCTGGGCTCCCACTTTGGCGGCACTTGAGGAGCCCTTCGGCCTGACACTGCACTGTGGGAGCCTCTTTCTAGGCTGGCCAAGGCTGGAGCCCACTCCCTCAGCTTGCAGGTAGGTGTGGAGGGAGAGGCGCGAGCGGGAACCGGGGCTGCCTGCGGCGCTTGCAGGCCAGCTGGCGTTCCGGGTGGGCGTGGGCTTGGCTGGCCCCGCACTTGGAGCAGCCGGCCAGCCCTGCCGGCCCCGGGCAATGAGGGACTTAGCACCCGGGCCAGTGGCTGCGGAGGGTGTACTGGGTCCCCCAGCAGTGCCAGCCCACCAGCGCTGCTCTCGATTTCTCACGGAGCCTTAGCTGCCTTCCCGCGGGGCAGGCTCGGGACCTGCAGCCTGCCATGCCTAAGCCTCCACCCACTCCATGGGCTCCTGTGCGGCCCGAGCCTCCCCGACGAGCACCACCCCCTGCTCCACGGCTCCCAGTCCCATCGACCACCCAAGGGCTGAGGAGTGCGAGCGCACGGCGCGAGACTGGCAGGCAGCTCCACCTGCAGCCCCGGTGTAGGATCCACTAGGTGAAGCCAGCTAGGCTCCTGAGTCTGGTGGGGACGTGGAGAGTCTTTATGTCTAGCTCAGGGATTGTAAACACACCAATCAGCACCCTGTGTTTAGCTCAAGGTTTGTGAGTGCACCAATCGACACTCTGTATCTAGCTGCTCTGGTGGGGCCTTGGAGAACCTGGGTGTCCAAACTCTATATCTAACTAATCTGATGGGGACGTGGAGAACCTTTGTATCTAGCTCAGGGATTGTAAAGGCACCAATCAGCGCCCTGTCAAAACAGGCCACTCGGCTCTACCAATCAGCAGGATGTGGGTGGGGCCAGATAAGAGAATAAAAGCAGACTGCCCGAGGCAGCAGTGCCAACCCGCTCCGGTCCCCTTCTACACTGTTGTAGCTTTGTTCTTTCGCTCTTTGCAATAAATCTTGCTGTTGCTCACTCTTTGAGTCTACAGTGCGTTTATGAGCTGTAACACTCACCACGAAAGTCTGCAGCTTCACTCCTGAGCCAGCGAGACCACGAACCCACCAGAAGGAAGAAACTCCGAACACATCTGAACATCAGAAGGAACAAACTCCAGATGTGCCACCTTAAGAGCTGTAACACTCATGGCGAGGGTCCGTGGCTTCATTCTTGAAGTCAGTGAGACCAGAAACCCACCAATTCCGGACACAGTAGTATCTCGTTATTGTTTTAATTTACATTTCTCTAATAAAGATCTTAAATGTCTTTTCATGAGCTTATTAGACAATTGTGTATATTGCTTGCTTTTTTTTTTTTTTTTTTTTTTGATACAGAGTCTTGCTCTATCACCCAGACTGGAGCACAGTGGCGCCATCTCAGCTCACTGCAACCTCTGCCTCTTGGTTTCAAGTGACTCTCCTACCTCAGCCTCCCGAGTAGCTGGGACTACAGGCACGCACCATTACACTGGCTAATTTTTGTATTTTTAGTAGAGACGAGGTTTCACCATGTTGGCCAGGCTACTCTCGAACTTCTGATCTCAAGTGATCTGCCTGCCTCGGCCTCCCAAAGTGCTGGGATTACAGGCGTGAGGAACTGGGCCCGGCTGTTTATTCATTTTTTATTGATTTTTTTTTTTTTTTGTCATCTGATTGAGTTGGAAGAGTTCTTTATATACTTTGGATATAAGTGCTTGTCAGATATACATATAGTGAGTATTCTCATTCAGTTGGCAGCTTCCTGTTAATAACTTCAACATTGTCTCTCAATGAGAAGACTGACTTTGAATTTTGGTGAAATCCAATTTTAAAGATTTTTTTCTTTGTATGCTTTCTGCCTTATATATCCTATGAAATCTTTTTTGACAGTAAGGTCATGAAGATTTTCTCCTCTATTTTATTTTAAAAATTTTATAGTTTTATGTTTTATATTTAGGTTAATGGTCCTTTTAAGTGAATTATTTTGTGTGTTTTATAAGGCAAAGTTTGAGATTTACTTTTTCTCCACATGAATATCTGCTTGTTCCAGCACCATTTCTTGAAATGATCTTCCTTTTTCTTTTTCCTTTTTTTTTTTTTTTTTTGAGATGGAGTCTCGGTCTGTCGCCCAGGCTGGAGTGCAGCGACACGATCTCAGCTCACTGCAACCTCTGCCTCCTGGGTTCAAGCAATTCTCCTGCCTCGGAATCCCATGTAGCTGGGATTACAGGCATGCACCACCACATTTGGCTAATTTTTTTTTGTATTTTTAGTAGAGATGGGGTTTCACCATATTGGCCAGGCTGGTCTCGAACTCTCGACCTTGTGATCCGTCCGCCTCGGCCTCCCAAAGTGCTGGGATTACAGGCGTGAGCCACCGCACCTGGCTGATCTTCCTTTTTCATTCAATTATTTTGGCGCCTTTGTGGAAACTAACTGGCCCAATGTGTGAAATTTATATGATCTATCATTTATCTATATGACCCTTCTTTTGTCAATGCCACACTTTTTTTTTTTTTTCTTTTTTTTTTTTTTTTTTTTTTAGATGGAGTTGTACTCTTGTTGCCCAGACTGGAGTGCAATGGCGTGCTCTCGGCTCACTGCAACCTCCACCTTCCTGGGTTTAAGCGATTCTCTTGCCTCAGCCTCCCGAGTAGCTCAGATTACAGGCTCCCAACACCATGCCTAGCTAATTTTTGTATTTTAGTAGAGACGGGGTTTCACCATGTTGGTCAGGCTGGTCTCAAACTCCTGACCTCAGGTGATACACCCACCTTGGCCTCCCAAAGTGCTGGGATTACAGGCGTCAGCCACCACACCCGGCCAATACTACACTTTCTTAGTTACTATAAGTTTATAGTAAATTTTGAGATTAAGTAGTGTAAATCCTCCAACTTAGTTCTTTTTCAAAGTTGTTTTGGTTCATTCATATCCTTTACATTTCCATATACAATTTAGAATCAGTTTGTAAATTTATACAAATTCCTACTAGAATTTTGAATGGTAGTATACTGACTCTACAGATTGTTATGTGGGAATATTTATCTTTGTATCTATAAGGATGGCTTTCATTTATTTTTTATTCTTTAATTCCTGTCAGTGATGTTTTGTAGTTTTCATTGTACTAGTTACGTTAAATTTATTTCTAACTATTTCAAGGTTTTATGCCATTGTAAATTATATTGTTTTTTAAATTGCAAATGTTTATTTTAGTATACAAAATACTACTCGTTTTTGCCTATTGACCTTGTACCCTGCAACACTGGTAAAATGTTGTTACCACTTACTATTTTTAGTCACTTTTTTTTTTTTTGTAGACTGTTAGGATTCTTATATATAGTCCTGAGTGTATGTCATGGGTGACTGGTGTGGAGTCCTAATTTTGGGGGTGGGGTGGAGTCAGGCTGGCAGGACCAAGGGAGAGCAAAAAGAGAAAGCAAATAAGCTATAGGTCTGCCTTTCTTCATGGTCTACAACACATAGCCCTCCCGTGCAAATAATGCACAATCTTCCTGCATGCAGCTGTCACCAGACCCTTGGCTGGTTTAAAAATTACAAGTTAGCTCACTGCAACCTTGGCATTATCAGTACTACACAAAGTTCTTTTTTAGCATACAGCTCACGCACCATTCTATAAAATCCCCAACAAGCCTCTTTTTCAGTTAGCTCCTCTCTTGCTGACCTGCCCATTGCTCCCTTGCAATATGTTTTCATACTTTCTCTAATAAATCTGCCTTTCTTTATCTACAACTGTCCTGGTAGATTCTTCTTACCCCTGTGCCACCAGCCCCAGATAGTCACCACTCACCTGCGACAGTTGTTATCCACAGGGGATTGGTTTGAAAATCCACAACCTAGAAACCAAAATCCATGAGTGCTTAAGTTTCTTGTATAAAATGGTGTAATATTTGAATGTAAACTATGCATATCCTCCCAAATACTTTAAATCATCTTGATTACTTATAATATGTAATATAAATACCATGTAATTTTTTTTTTTTTGAGGGAGTCTTGCTCTTTTGCCCAGGCTGGAGTGCAGTAGCACAATCTTGGCTCACTGCAAGCTTTGCCTCCCAGGTTCAAGTGATTCTCCTGCCTCAGTTTCCTGAGTAGTTGAGATTACAGGAGTGCACCACCATGCCCGGCTAATTTTTTGTATTTTTAGTAGAGACAGGGTTTCACCATGTTGGTCAGGCTGGTCTTGAACTCCTGACCTCATGTATTGTTTTGGGAATAATAACAAAAAATCTGTACATGTTCTTTACAGATGTAACTATCTTTTTTAAAAAATATTTTTGATCTGCAATTGGTTGAATCCATGGGCGTGGAACCCATGGATGAAAATTTTGTTAATATAGAACCCATATTACATAGACAGCTGACTGTGCATGAATGATCAAATCATCTGCAAAAGCAATATTGCTGCTTCTTTCCTATCTCTATACCTTTTATTTCATCTTCTAGCCTAATTATATTGTAATTTCAGTTCAATGTTGAAAAAAATTAACAATTAATTACAAAATAATTCCAGTTCAATGTAAGAGTGAGCATCCATGACTAATATTCAGGGTTAAATTGATAAACTTCTAGTTACAGTGATTAAAACCACAGGAAACATACATTACCAATAGGATCTGGGACAGCATTACAGATCCTCAGACATTAAAATGATATTAAGGTATAATATAAACACCCAAATGCTAATGCTAACAACTTAGATTAAGTGAACATATTCTTTGAAAGACAAGTTATTAAAACTAGATTAAGAATAAATAGAAATCCATAATCAAAACTTTATTACAAAGGAAACTCTGGGCCAGATAGCTTCCCTGGTTAATTCTATCAAACATTTAAGGGATCATTAATACTAATCTTTCACTCTTACAGAAAACAGAGAAAGAAGGAGCACTTCCTATTTAGTTTTATGAGGCCAGAGTTATCCTGATTCTAAACCATACAAAGACATTATAAGAAAATTACAAATGAATGGTCCTCTTGAACATAAACACAAAAATCATTAATAAATCAAATTTAGTAGTATATAAAAAACATTCACAAATAAAATCTAGTAATATATAAAAGGGCTAATATATCATAACCCTGTGGGGTTTATCTCAAGTCTTTAGCTTTAAGTCTTAGTCAAAAATATATTCCTTGGTGTATTAGTCCATTCTCATGCTGCTAATAAAGATATACCCACAGTTGGGTAATTTATAAAGCCAAGAGGTTTAATTGACTCACAGTTCTGCAGGGCTGGGGAGGCCTCAGGAAACTTACAATTATGGTGGAAGGGGAAGCAAACATGTCCATCTTCATGTGGTGGCAGCAAGGAGAAGTGCCAAGCAGAAGGGGGAAAGCCCCTTATACAACCATCAGATCTTGTCAGAACTCACTCACCATCATGAGAACAGCAGCATGGGGTTAAATGCCCCTATTAATCAATTACCTCCCACTGGGTCCCTCCCACAACACGTGGGGATTATGGGAACTACAGTTCAAGATGGTATTTGGGTGGGGACCCAGCCAAACCATATCACTTGGGAATGGGTATATGGTAACCTATAGTTTGCTCCTGTGGTACCTGTTAGCTTCAGCAAGTTAATAAAATTTTTCGAGGTTCTACATATTATTTATAAAGTTATTTTTGTGACTTCAAGGATCAAAATCACAGAAGAGAAATCTATTGTACCTACCTCTGTGCTATGAGCTGATTAATATCTTCGATGCATTTCTTATCCAGCTGGGAAGAAAATACATGAAATAATTAGAAAACTGTGAAACAGTGCATATTCTGAATAAATGCTGTGCGTTATGTGATTCAGAGTGGAATAGGTATTTTATAGTAAAATGGTAGATCACAATAGTCAGAAATAATACATGAGTAGGTGAATTGGGATCTGGACTCTAAAGCAGTAATTCATTTTCTCAACAATCTTATCAAAATGTACTTTGTATCATTATCAGTTATGAGTGTGTCTCATAATAAATTAGAAAAATGAGATTGCTTAAATTTTACATATATTAGAGTCACTTCCAAGTTATCCTCATTTCAACATCACTCTCATTATCACTGGTGTTCTTGAGTACGAGGAAAAGTCGTAAAGTTACAGACAGTGCTTGGAATAGTTCAAAACTGACATTGTGTCTTATTTATTATGCTTTTCTATAGGGTATTTCACCAACTATCATGTCTGCCATTCTAGATTTTGTTAATTTACTTGCTTTTGCTGTACTAAATTGGGAAAAGGATTACTTTGCAGACATTTTGATGTTGAAAAGCAGAGTAGCTTTAAAAATATCCCATCCCCCACACCAATATGTTAACGGTGTCTTCAACTGCCATCCTTGATTTTGGCCATCTTGACAGTAATTAGCAGAATTCAAGGGTATCTTGAATTTTCCCTCTAAGTTTGATTTTCTTGTGGTTTTATTAAGTAAGTATATCATGCCACTACTATCTTCTAAGGTTGACTTTGTTACAGCTTTAACAGACTTTGTGCAAAATACATCCATATGTAGAGGTGAAAGGTGTTTGTTTTAATTAGACATGCCCATGACATCAAAATTTATTATTCAAAAACTAGCCCATAATATCTTTAAGATCCCCTGTTTTAATTGTATTAATGACATACAAATTGGGAAAATGTGATATAATGGAAAAGCCATAAGTTTTATAAACTGAAAGTCATGAGTTCCCATCCAACCTTCTTAAGTTAATGGCTTTGTGTTCTTAAAGAAGTCATGGAAGCTTTCTGGATCTTAATTTCATCATGTATAAAATGGAGATGATAATATGTATCTTATAGTTAAAATTTCACCTAAAATTTCACTTCCTGATTCTACCACCTTAGTGAGATTCTTGGATATTTTTGTCTGTAGAACATAGCTGTTTTGTTTCCACCCTATACTCTGTTTGGTAACAGATTCTGTACACCTTGACCACAATTGGGCATAAGTTCAAAAATAAACAATCAGATTGGTTGGAGCACAGTGATTGGGGCACAGTCATGTGATGGTAGGATCCCCAAATAGATCCACAATGTCTTGTTTGTGAGAGTCTGAGGTTACACTCTGTGTACCCTGTCATCTAAGTGACCTAAAGTTTTAATATTATCAAAGTCCCTTAATAAAACAGTTTAGCTTAAGTTTAATCAGAAATGATTTCTGTGTTTTACACTCAGAAACTGTCATTTGCCATATGTCTCCATAGTGCCCTTTGCTCTTATCTTTATAAAATGGATCATACTTGTAATTAATGTTCAACATTTGTTTCCTTCATCAGACAGTACATTCTATAAAAACAAGGAATATTGTCTACCTTGTTCCTGTTTCCCAGTGCTTATTTAGCACAGAGTCTAACATCTAGAAATAGTTAATAAGTAGGTAGATGAAAGGTTTATATCAAGTAGCTCTCACAGTGCTTAATAAATATGAGTTCCTCTCCTAGCACCTTCCCCCTTTACTTTTTTTCTAACACCAGGAACAAATCTCTTTTTATTTGTATAAACTTAAGGGGTACAAGTGCAGTTTCATTCCATGGCTATATTGGATAGTGATGACATCTGGGCTTTTACTGTTAACTATCACTGGAATAACGTTCATTGTATCCATTAACTTACTTCTTACCTCTCACCCTCCTCCCACTCTCCCATCTTTCCAAATCTTTAATGTTCACTTTTTCCACTCTCTACGTCTATGTGTAGACATGTTTTAGCTTCCACTTATAAGTGAGAACACGCTATGTTTGACTTTCTGTGTTGTTTCACTTAAGACAGTGGCCTCCAGTTCCATCCATGTAGATGCAAAAGACATGATTTTATTTTATTTTTTTGTCTGAACAGTATTCCATTATATAAATGTACCTCGTGAAAATACAAATACTTTAATACCCCTGTGTCCTTGCCCTTCAAATTATATACACATATCCTTCCCCCATCCACCACCCCAATCATTGATTCCAGAGGGCACTTCCACTAAAGTTTCTCTTGCGATGAAGACATTCAGAATACGCTTTGAGTCAAAGCAAGGTTGGTGTCTGTCTTGAAAGAGTATGACAGAATGCCCACCCCATTTACTGTGCAGATATTTTTAAAGAACTGAGGTGGTTTCTGCTGAAGCCTTGCTCTCTGCTGCATCTTTCCTGTGGCCATTGCTATGCCAGCGTGAGAAGGCTGGCCCAAATTATACTGCCAAGGAGGTCTTGTAAGAAAGTGAATATAATGGTCCCACAAAGGGGTTGAACCTCTGACCCTGTTCTTATTAGCAAGCTCTACCCAGCAGAACTAACTCTAAAGTGCTTGCTGAATTTTTCTGAGATAACTCTTGATGTTTTATTTTTAAAGTCATGTGGCTGACCCAATAAAGAAGCTAGCTAGTTAACTTAAAAATGTCTTTATGCCATTTTTAGAATACATGGGGCAAAAGGACTGTTGCATTGGTCAGTATTTGTAAAGAACATTTGGTTTGTAAGAAAATGAATGCATTGCTATTCCAAGGGACATACAAGACAACTCCACGTTTCTCCATTTTTGATCCTGGGAGGTGGCTTTACAGGATAGTTATTGGACTGTAGAATCCACCTTCTAGTTAAGTATGTAATCAAAATTAAAAAGATGGCTATACAAATACACAGAGATTTTAGGGATATCCACACAGAAGAAGCTAGCTATTTTAAGAAAAAGATATTTTTAATTATGTACCTATTATATGCCAGGCACTCGGCTACACATATTTATTTACAGTATTTTTGTTTTTCCATTATACATGTTATTTTCCTCATTTTATAACATGAGTAACTGAGGCTTAGAGAGGTTTAAATAATGTATTCAAGGTCACCTTGAAGTCTGAAAATTGGTTACCTACTCCTATCTTATGAATTTTTACCATCCATTCAACAGTACTGGCCTTTCTCTCTATTAACCTGTTAACCTTTGTATTTATGAGTAATTGTGGCATTTGAAGTCATTGAGCTTCTCCTTTGAAATTAATCTTATCAGTTATGAATACACAATATATTTGCCTTTCACATTAACAAGTTCTGAAAATATCGGTAATATTTATTAATATTTAATCAAAATGTCATTTAATTTATTTCGTCTTCCTTCCAGTGTGACAGATGATGATGATGATGATGATAATGATGATGATGATAATGATGATTCCAGGGCACCACCTTTCTTCAGTAGGTCTGGATATTTTGCTTCGGTGGTCCTGGGTGATGTAGATGAATTTGCATTTTTAACAAGACTTCTGCTCAACCCCTGTTCTAGCCCTGCCAAGATTATGAAGCAGGAAATACCAGAATACAGAGAAGCACTATGCTGAGGGAAGAGGGGCTAGGCTGTTTCTCTCAGTGCATTTAATTGTAAAGTTGGAGTTAAGGAGCATTGATATTTTGGAAACACAAGGAGTTTGTTTAAATTCTAATTCTCTCTTGTTTTAGCTGCATAAACTTGGGCAACTTCATTTCTCACAGTGTCAATTTCCTCATCTGTAAAATGGGCCTTCTAAGGTTGTTGTGAGGTTAAAAATAAGATACTATGCCTGGCACGTGGCAAATATTCAATAAAATTTAAAAAAATTATTACAAAAATTGTGCTTCATACATGAGACAGCATAATTTCATAGTAGATTCAGACAGAAAACAGAATGAAATTTAGAACAATTTTGGGAAAATACATGCATATACTATTCTTGGAAATAAGAATTTTATTTCATTCTAACAAATATTTTTTAAGTGTTTGTTTTTCTGTTTTGTTCTAAGCACTGTGCTAGGCACACAGATATTTTGTGAACATACCTAAACCTTGAGGCTGATATGCAGGTAGGCAAAATGCTTCACTTGTTTCTTTTATTGCAGACACAATATTGGGCTGAGAAAATCATGACTCTGATCTAATATAGACAAATTTAGGGTGTTCTAAGTTTCCAAGACTTTAAAATATGAGTAGATGATTAAATGAGAAGATCTCTTATTTTCTCCAAGCGGAAAAATAAGATAGCCCATGTTGGTTTGCCCAAATTTGAAATTTTAGGAAAGTACAGAACTTTGCCCTAACATTTTTTCTCTTCATTGCCCTTGCATGACTTCAACTCTTTGATTTAAATCAAGTCAATTTATTTTGTGAGGATTTTAATAACATATTAATTATGATCAGATTGGCATCTAATGACTAGCTCCCTGAGACTGACAGACATTGGACTATTTATATATAATCTCTGCCCTTTCAGTTTGACCTACTTTGACAGTTCAATTAAACCAATTGACTTTTAAATTTTGTTTATGAAATGGCTAGGTAACACTGAATTTGTGGGGTACTTAGCATTTGTATAACACACCATTTAATATGTTGCCTTAGTGTTATTTCTGGAGTCTAGGAAAATACTACTCTCTGATAGGAAAATCACAGTTGAGTTGCAAGTGGAGAAACTAAGTGTATTAGTACATGTGTGCATGTTTGTTTGGAATATGTGTCTGTAATGCACACACATCATTTACTCACAAAATATGGAAGAGTCCTTTCTGTATGTAAATTGATTGTCTGTAGTTTTCAATTTCATCTCACTTGAATTGGTTTATGTGCTTGTTTAAGTATGTTTTCATCTAATGTTCATTCGTTTGTTCAACAATCATTAATTGAGCACTTACTGTGCATCAGCTGCTATAAGAGACTTTGTAACTCTCTATGTACAAGTCCCAGGCCTTGTAATGATAGTGAGGTAGGCTGGAGAAGTACAATTTCTGTGTCCCCTCCTTACTTATAAGCCCCCAGTGAGATGCAGTATATGACACAGGATACGAGCTGTCTCTTGCTAAAGCCAAATTTTCTAGGTTTGTATCCTAGCTTTGCTACTTATCAGCTGTCACTAGGCAAAGTGGTTAACTTCTGCTTCATAACTTAATTCTCTTCATTGTTCTGTGGTTCATGTGCACTAGCAAATACACAAAGTTTAGAAGGGCTCATGAGGAGCTCAGTGCATGTCATCCATTACTGTTACTAGTATTGCTGTCACTGTAAACTAGATATTCAAGAGATGGGATTTTGATATTATTACTTCCAAGACCAAAGATACAGCCAGATCCTGCCTTCCATTTACGTTGTCTCCCTGTGGAATTCTGGGTTGAGAGAAATATACACACAGAACAAAGGAAGAGTGAATAATATTGAGGAAGTGCTCAATAATGTCCAAAGTAGGGCACTGTGGTGAAAATTGGGTTGTTAAATGAAGTTTAGGTATTTACTCACCTTTTCATCTCTGAGAATAGGAAAAAGAAAGAAATATAAAGATTGTAGGGGGACATATTCTTAAGTCTGTGGTGAGAAAAACTGAAAGAGAAAGATGCTGGTTGCGCTAGGTATAGTTACTAAAATAATGGTAATCAGAGTGGCGGGCTTAATAAAAAATGCTGCCTAGTTAAAAAAAATGGCTCAATATGAGATGTCAACCAACAATTTAGCAACTTATTTCTATCTGCATAACTGTTACAAAAAGACAGGCAGAAGTATAAATGTGGGGGAAAGATACAGAAATATTCCTTACCTGGGCTATGTTCAGGACTTCATGTCAAATCACGTCCAGATGTTATAGTCTAAGAATTTGAAGTCTAGCATGGACAATAAAACAAACCACATAGTTCACTATTGAAAACATGAGTAAGACATTTTTCCATAAGAAAAAATCAAACAAAATCATGTAGGTGTTCTGAGCAGAGTTTCAGCATAGGCAATCTAGACTTCATGGAAGTGGTGACATTTAATGAAAGTGAAGGTTTACTAAGCACTTACTTTGTATAAGCATTGTGCTGCATGTTACATACACATTATCCCATTTTATTCCCAAAACTGCCCTATAAGGAAAAACTATTTTCTCCATTTTACAAATGACACAAGAAGGCTTACAGATAATAAGTTATTTCTAAGGTCTATATGTAGTAACTGCCTGAATCTTGTTCAAAACCAGGTGGTCCGGCCACCATGTATGAGTGCCTAACCTCTATTCTACTGTCTTTTCCCACTTTTCCCTGCTGCTTCCTGCCAGAACGAGGAAAGTTCCTGTCAAAGGAATAAGTGAATGTGTTAATAGACAGTAGATATTAAAATTTGTTTTATAGACTTCCATTAACGAACACTTTGAACAAGGCCTAGGGGCTGTTGATGGAGACTTTAAGAGTTACTTACAAGGCATGATCACTTCCACTAAATGCTTATCCTTCACGGGAGGACAAGACAATGAATAAATAATGCTAGATGAATAGTGCAAAGGGTAAGTAGTGAACATTTAATCAATGCTTTTTTATTAAGCACCTACCAGGTGCTAAGTTAATGGAATTGTAAAGCCTGACTCTAAAGTATTTTTACAATTCATTAAGCAAGATAATAAATGTATATAAACAACTATAACAGAGGGCAGGATGTGGAAAGCCCTAGCAAAGAGGATTAGGAAAAATGGGGCTAGGGATGATATAAGAATTAGAAAAGTAGGAATGTTATCCACTATGCCTGGAGCACCTAGTATGTGCTAGCACTCTACTTGAGAGTTCACATTTTTTTTTTTTACCCTACTCAATTGTATCACAACGTAATTAGAGCATAGATATTTACTCTAATTGTATGCATCAGGAAACTAGAGTACATACAGGTTAAGTGTTTTAGGTAAAAGCTAAAAAACAGAGAGTAAGCAGCACAGCTCTCCAACTGGCAAGCCTCTTTTCTTTTAAAGCATTTCGTAACATTTGATGAGATGAGGAAGAGACACAAATATAGAGCAGTTTGGTAGCAAACTCCAAGATAGTCCCCAGATATTTTCATCTCCCAGTATTCACACTTTGTGTAGGTTTCTCTCACAGAGGTTGTGGTTAGCTCTGTGTGACCCATAGCATATGGCAGAAGTGACACTGTGACTTCTGGGACTCATAAGAGATTATAAGAAGCTTTGTAGTTTTTGGTATGATTTCTTACAAAACTTTCTCTGGGTACCCTTGGCTCCCAAATTAAGAATGTGATTACTTTGAGGCCACTACTCTGGAGACACTAGATGGAGAAGCCACATGAAGAGATCATGACACTACATAAAGAGAGAGATGCTCAGCAAGCGGCCAGCTACTCCCACCGTCAGAAAACCTAATCATTAGAGTTGATGCCCCAGACATTGTGGAGCAGACAAAAGTCCACCTCCATGAGACCCACCCACACTGAAAATTCTGGAGCAAAATAAGTGATGGTTGTTTATTAAGCCACTAAGATTTTGGAATAATTTGCTATACAACTGTAGATAATTAGAACAGAGACTAGGTGCATATTAGTTATCTATTGCTATATAACAAATGACCCCAAAATCAGTAACTTAAAACTACATCATTTTGTTACCTCGGTTTCTGTGTGTTTAGAATCTGGTCATGGCTTATCTGGGGCTTCTACTTCAAGGTCTCTCATTAGGCTGCATCAAGGTGTTGGCTAGGATAATAGTCGTCTCAAGGGTCAACTGGGAAGAATCTCCTTTTTAGCTTACTTAAATGGTTGTTGGCAAAATTCACCTTCTTAAAGAGTGTTGAATTAAGGAGTTAACTTCTCACTTGTTGTTGGCTAGTGGACTCCTTCCACTCCTGCCCCACCTGCCTTTCCATATAACATTCAAGTCAGAACAAGCAAGCAAGAAAGCAAGCAAGTGAGAGTGACAACAAGATAGAAAAATTACCAGTAATACAGAAGTCAAAATGTTTTGGAACCTAATCAAGGAAATGACATTCCATTGCATTTTCTGCATTTTATTAATTAGAAGAATGTCACAAGATGTAGTTTTCACTCAAGAGGAGGGGATTACACAAAGACTGGAATACCAAGAGGCAGGGGTCACTGAGGACTATCTTACTTCAGGCTGCTATAACAGAATATCATAGACTGGATGGATGGCTTACAAAGAAACAGATATTTATTTCTCACAGTTCTAGAGGCTGGAAGTCAGACATCAGGGTGCTGGCATGATCATGTCCTGGTAAGGGCCTTCTTTCGGGTTGCAGACAGCTGTTTTCTCATTGTATCCTCACATGGTAGAAAGCTGAGAGAGAAAGCAGGCTTTCTTATGTCTTTTTATAGAGCCATTAGTTCCATGAATAAGGGTTCAGTTCTTATGACCTAATTACCTCCCAATTGCCTCACTTTCTAATACCATCATATTAGAGGTTAAAATTTCAACATATAAATTGGAGGGAGCATGAATATTCAGTGTATAGCAAGGACCATTTTAGAAATATTAAAATATTTTTTAAGAAAGAGAATTAACTCTAGGTTTCACTCAGGATTCTAAAATGTAGCGATGTATAACATAGGAAGGATAATTATTTTAGTCTCTCTGACTCTTTGCTTATTCATCTTTAAGTGTTGAGAATAGTTCTTAATTAACAAAATTATGAATATTAAATGACAAAATCTAATTGCAAATATCTATAAGCACATCTGGAATATATGGGGATCTGATTTTGAGACTATGTTAAAAAGTTTAGTTAAAGAGAAAATCATAATTCTGGTAGAAATTTTTAAAGTATAAATAAGACATTAAAATCCATGCATTTCTCATCTATCTGTGAGCACGGAAAAATACCATCTCTATTCAGAGACAAGAAAGAAGTAAGTTCTAGTTTTTCAGTTTTCAAAAGTCTTCCCCTTCCATTGCCTCCATGTGTGTCTTGTAGAAAGTAACTTATTTAAAGGATGCTGTCTTCATTTCTTGGTCTCTGAATTTAACATTTGGCAAGGTGGTAATAATGCCTCAGAAGAATATTGAGCCAATACAGAAGAGAATGAAGCAAAATCAAATATTGGTTTTTCTAATATTTGAACAACCAGTGGTCTGTGGCATAAACACCAGAGTCTACAGATAAGATATTTTGCTTTGTTTAATTCTAGAGTGAGCCAGAAACAAAACCAAGAGTACAGGACCCCATCCTCACATGTTGCCCTCCTGGCTCAAGTGCACAATGGAAATATACATAAGGGACTTTTATAGGATCTAGTATTGATTTTTGGTGAAACAGGAAAGCAGGCATAGGCTGCAAAAGAGGCCAGTTAAGCAGATAACAGGCATTTGAGTGTCAACTATGGGTTGGACATTCAGGATACAAAGGTGTTGGATGAGAAAGTAAAACAATAAATCATCAACAACAATATAAGCTGTAACAGAAAGTGGACAGGTTATAGTAGAGAAAGAGTCTGAATGAAGTGATGTGAACACATACATGGAAAAGAGTTCATTCTACTTGAGAAAATGAAGAAAACTACCAGAAGACCCAAAATACAAACAAAAAGAAATACTGTATTCATGGAAGCTCTCATATTAATAATGCTAACAATTCATATTCACCTATTCATTCTATAAATTGAATATAGTATCAATACAAATTTCATCCATTGTTTTCTTACTGGATAAATTTTATATGAAAAAATTAATATACAAGAGATTATTTGATTCATGGGGAAGTTTATTACTACTAGATGTTAAAATGCTATAAAGCTAAAATAATTAAAACAGTATAGTGTTGTCATGTGTATAGACCAAGCAGTAAAATACCACATACATTTAAGAAACATAATCAACTATACATGAGATTTTAAGTATAAGGTAAATATGACATTTCATATTGGTGAGGAACTGATAGATTATTCAATAAATGTTGTTGGAATATGTAGGCACCTGGAAAAGAATGAAGTTTAATCCATAGTTCACATCTAAGTGACTCCAGACTTAAACATGAAATATAAACACTAAAAAGATTGGTCAACTTTTAAAATATTTTCCATAGTATAACACGATGTCCAGAGGTGAAGAAAAGTAAGAAAAAACATAGATAAATTCCACTAAAAAGTTTTCTGAAATTTATATTGGAAAAACACAATAAATCCATAAGACAGTCTCAGAACTCTGGGGAGCATTTGCTAATCATATCACAGACAATGGTTCTAAACCCTGTAAGAAATAAGCCAAGAGTTCAGGAAGCAAATAAGCAAAAGATATGAACCAACAGTTCACAGTAGAGGAAATATGACTCTTGCTTAAACACACAAAATCTTTTCAACCTCACACTTCATAAAAGGAATGTAAACTAAAATGGCACAGAGTTTTCATAGTTACCTCTCAGATTGGCAGAGGTCAAAAAGCTTGATTGTATACTGTGGATTGCCACACTGTAGGGAAACAGGCCTTCTCATAATTCACTAAGGGAAGTGTAATTTGGTACAACCTGTATACAGAAAAATAATGGCAATCTATACAAGCCCTTTTCAAATTTACTAAAGGGAAAGCCTTCAAAAAATTCAGTAGAATCTGTGGAGATTCTGGGTGCACTTCATTCATGGCTTCAATTTACTTTTGTTGGAATTTTAAAAGAATCAAATAGTTTCAGAAATGGTACGGATGGCACTGGTTCTTTCACGCATGAATTCACTTTGTAATAACCTCATCCTCTCCCAAAGCACCTTGTTCTGTGCATTTTAACTATTAAAATTCTCTTGCTCAAATTGAGGCCAACACTCCCAGCCTTCATTCTGCACTCTGAAATTGCTGTAGATTTCAAATTCTACCAATTCACATTAATAATATAATGCTAGAAAAGAGATTATCAGTCATCTATGATTTAATAAACAGCTTTTTTTTTCAGTCTTCACTTCAGACAAACATGTCTAATGTGGCTTTTTCTTGTGGGAAAGTGGGTCTAATCAAAGTTCCCATCAGTCTTGATTAAGGAGAGATCATTATTCCATCTCCCCTGTGTTGCTAGTGAGTGCACAGAGCTTACTTCTGTTTCAAGGCTTCTTCATACAAAGCACATGAAGAAACCTCTAAGAAATGGGAGGCTCAGTTTCACCTGAGGCTGGATAAGGGATTTGCCCAGGGCAGTGCTTTAAATCAGAGTTTTTGCAATTTAGCAAGATGTAGCTATGATGCTACCCTGGGAAGAAGCACATAATGAGCAAGTAGAAGTACCTCCTTTATGGCTACAGTTATCCTGGTGTCTTTGATGATGAGAACAAAGAGATGCAAATGAAAACTAGGGACAACCATCTGTCTATAAATGTTTCTGGCATCTGGGATCTTTTTCCTCAGTGTTAGTATCAAAGTGATAGGTTGAGCAAGAGCCACACAACCAGTTGTCCCTCAGGTGTGCCTGTTCATCTGCTGAAGTAACCAGCCAGACATGCTTCAGAGAAAAATGGAAAACATAGAAAATTGATTTTACTGGACTCCTATGGAGGTGGGGCATGAGGGTATATGATCATATGCAGAAGACTGGCAATTTATTTTCCCCACATGACACAACTGAAAAACTGAAAATGCTGACTGATAAAAACATAGATAAGGAAGATCTATTAGCAAGCCATGATGTCTTCCTAAACACATTTCTATTATTAAGGTCAATTGTTGAAGTAGGTCCTCATCATTAAATAACTGCCCAGTCTGGCTATAAAAATGTCACAGGTAGTGTTGAAATAAGACAGTGTGCTCTTAATGTTTCCTTCTTGGAACCTTGGAATTTAAGTCTCAATCATGAATGATCTGTTCTTAGCAAGATGGTATTTATTGTCAAAGAAAAATTACATAGGACAGGATTAAACAGGAAAGGAAAACTTTATTCATGGCTATTGCAATATGGATATTCAATTCAACTACCCTCAAACAAAAAGTAGCAGAAGTTTGAGGACTAAGTGAGCTAGTGAAAAGTGCTGAAGGATGTTAGGGGGAGGCTGGTCAATGTGATGAGGCCATCTGTTTCTTTTGTTTTGTTTTTTTTTTCTTCAAACTTTTATTTTAGATACAGGGAATACATGTGCAAGTTGGTTATATGAGTACATTGCATGATGCTGAAGTTTGGCATATGAATAATCTTGTCAACTGGAGAGGCAGCATACTACCCAATAGGTAGTTTTTCATCCCATCCTCCCCTTCCCCCTTCTAGTAGTCTGCAGTGTCTTTTCTTTCCATGTTTATGTCCATGGGTGCTCAATGTTTAGCTCCCTCTTACAAATGAGAGCATGAAGTATTTGGTTTTCGGTTCTTGTATCCACAACTGTGTCCATATTGTGACAAGGGATAGAATTTTGTCCTTCATATGGCTGCATTGTACTCCATGA
Organism: Homo sapiens; assembly: GCF_000001405.40. Taxonomy (NCBI): domain Eukaryota; kingdom Metazoa; phylum Chordata; class Mammalia; order Primates; family Hominidae; genus Homo; species Homo sapiens. The sequence continues at coordinate 29,582,537 of NC_000011.10, read as the reverse complement.
TGGATATGTACCACATCTTCTTTAGCCAATCTACCAGTGATGAGCACCTAGGTTGATTCCATATCTTTGCTATTATGAATAGCATGGTGATGAACGTACAAGTACATGTGTCTTTTTGGTAGAATGACTTAGTCTCCTTTGGGTATATATACAAAGTAATGGGATTTCTGGGTCAAATGGTAGCTTTAAATTATTTGTGAAATCTCCAAACTGCTTTCCACAGTGGTTGAACTAATTTACATTCCCACCAACAGTGTAAAAAGATTCCCTTTCCTCCGCAGCCTCTCTAGCATCTTTTATTTTTATTTTTTATTTTCTAATAATTGCTATTCCATCTGGTGTGAAATGGCATCTCATTGTGGTTTTGATGTCCATTTCTCTGATGATTAGTAATGATGAGCATTTTGTCATATGTTTGTTGGCAACTGGTATGACTTTTTTTGAGAAATGTCTATTCATGTCCTTTGCCTATTTTTTTTAACTTTTAAGTTCAGTACCTGTGCAGGTTTGTTACATAGGTAAACTTGTGTCATGGGGGTTTGTTGTACAGATTATTTCATCACCCAGGTATTGAGCCTAGTACCCATTTGTTATTTTATCTGATACTCTCCCTCCTCCCAGCCTCCACCCTCCAAAAGGCCCCAGTGTGTGTTATTTTCCTCTATATGTCCATATGTTCTCATCATTTAGCTCCCACTTATAAGTGAGAACATGTGGTATTTGGTTTTCTGTTCTTGTATTATTTTGCTAAGCATAATAGCCTTCAGCTCCATCCATGTTCCTGCAAAGGACATAACCTTGTTCTTTTTTATGGCTGCATACTATTCCATGGTGTATATGTACCACATTTTCTTTATCCAGTCTACCATTGATGGGCATTTAGGTTGATTCCATGTCTTTGCTATGGTGAATAGTGCTGCAATGAACATATGCATGCATTCGTCTTTATAATAGCATGATTTATATTCCTTTAGGTGTATACCCAGCAATGGTATAGCTGGGTTGAATGGTATTTCTGCTTCTAGATCTTTAAGGAATTGCCACACTGTCTTCCACAACGGTTGAACTAATTTATGCTACCACCAACAGTGTTTAGGCATTCCGTTTTCTCCACAACCTCACCAGCACCTGCTATTTTTTGACCCTTTAATGATAGCCATTCTGACTGGTATGAAATGGTGTCTCATTGTAGTTTTGATTTGCATTTCTCTAATGATCAGTGATGTTAAGCTGTTTTTTCATATCATTGTTGGCCGCATGTATGACTTCTTTTGAAAAGTGTCTGTTCATGTCCTTTCCCCACTTTTTAATAAGGTTATCTTTTTTCTTGTAAATTTGTTTAAGTTCCTAATAGCTGCTGAAGAGTGGACTTTTGTCAGATGCATGGTTTGCAGAAATTTTCTCCCATCCTGTAGACTGTTTGTTTCCTCTGTTGATAGTTTCTTGTGCTGTGCAGAAGCTGTTTAGTTTAATTAGATCTCATTTGTCATTTTTTGCTTTTGTTGCAATTGCTTTTGGCGTTTTCATCATTAAATCTTTGCCTGTGCCTATGTCCTGAATGATATTACCTGGGTTGTCTTTCAAGATTTTTAGAGTTTTAGGTTTACCAAGAAAAGTTAAAAAAATAGATAGTATAATATATTCATGTTTCTTATAATTATTTCTAGATCAAATTTAGGTTTCATCACTTCAATATTGTAAAACTAATACACTGATTTTTTTCACTTTTTGTATGGTTTTGTTTTTACATTTAGATTTCTGATCAATTTGCATTTACCCAGCATATGGTACAATGTGTGTGGTATAAAATTCAAATGTATCTTTTTTTCTCAAATGACTATCTCTTTGTTCTAATACAATTTCTTAAAATGTTCTCTTTCCTCATCCTTAATTTGAGATTATATTCTTTATAATATTAAATTACCACATGTACTTTGGCCTGTTTCCATATTTTCTATTATATTTTCTTGGTCCGTGTTTCTGATAAAGTGACTGATAGACATTTAAGGTATTTGACTGTGTCTGCTGAATAGCTACTTTGCATATAAAATCACAGCAAGGGCAAAAACAGAACCAGTGATAGGAAGGCATTTCCTCATAAGAGGACCTAAAAACCCCGTGTTTCCATAGTTCAATGGCACTGAACTTCTGTTGCAGAGCACGAAAGATCCCTCCACTCTTCTTAAGTTTGAAGTTTCTGGCCGAAGGCTCTAGATGCTGCCTTAGCAAGAGGCTCGATACTAGAATTGATTTGCCATGGAAGTCTAGTCACTTGAAAAAGAGAAATATCATCCTTCATACACAATGCTTAATGGACCAACTAAAGGACATACCTAGAAGTCAAGGTTCTGTGGCTTTTCCCCATACCCTGAAAGAATATTTATAAATTGTTTATTTATTAAAATGGAAAAGATTAATTTACATAAATTAAATAATTGTTATTTATTTGTGCTTATTTATAGAAATGAGACCTCTGTCTGCTACCCAGGCTGGAGTGCAGTAGCACAGTCATAGTTTACTGCAGCCTCGAACTCCTAGGCTCAAGCAATCATCTCACCTCAGCCTTCTTAGCAGCTAGGACTGCAGGCACATATAGGCATGCTGAGATAATTTTATAAGATTTCTGTAGAGATGAGGTCTCACTATCTTGCCCTGGCTGTTTCTGAACTCCTGGCCTCAAGCGATCCTCTTGCCTTAGCCTCCCAAAGTTCTGGCATTATAGGTGTGAGCCACTGTGCCAGCCCTATATTCATTTTTTTGATGCTGATTAATTCTATAATAAATACAAGCAATTCCATATTTTGTTGTGTTATAGTCATACAGAAACCAGTGGAATAAATGGAAAGCAAAAGAGGGCTTCATAGTTTCCAAGAGTCACAGAAATTGGATAAAATCATAGAGAAAATTTGGATCTCTGTTCTGAAAACCTGGGGGAAATGATTTATGTGGGAGAAACTATATCAATTACCAAATTTGAAGGAGCGGGTAAAATAGAGACAAAATAAAAAGATCAGAAGCCATGTGAATGAGAAAATCAAGAAAGTTGACAAGGAATAAGGCAGAAGGCAGGTGAGAGAGCTGGGGTAAAACTTGGTCAAGTGGAACTTCTTTAGTTATTGGGTCAGTTGGAGGGGAAGATGGAGAATTGGAACGGAGACATTCAGCCTTGGGTCTTACACTATTCTCAAGTATTCTTACCATTCTACAGAGCTTCATCATCTACACCCCCAAAGAATAAGAAATATAAAACCATGATAAACTTTGAACAGCTGTAGTCTAGAACTGACTCATACCATTGACCATGATCCATCCTGCATTATCTCATTCTAGAAGATAGTCTATAATAGCAAAGTCACCAAAGGTCATTTTTTTGAATCTCTCTGCTGTCCCATTGAAAAAGTATCTAGCACTTCTTAAGTGTTACCCCGCCAGGCAGGATGCCTGCTGTGGCACTGAGATAAAACCTCTTATCAACCCGGTCTTCTTTGTAGAAGTGGGCCTGGGAATGCTTACAGTGGGCTGCAGTCAGAGCAGTCAGACTCAAAGGAAGCCTAGAAGATGTCAAAGGGCAGGCCAATGTCATGGCACTAAAGTATGATAATGGTCTAACATCTCTCCTGTATGAGGAGAGGAGGATCCAGAGTGACTCAGAAGAGATAAGCTTAGGCCTGAAAAGAGGAGATTACCTTTGGGTTCTATCAGAAGCATGATTGTCAAGGGTCAGTGGAATGAGAGAGGAAGTGGAGCCAGCAGAAATCAAAGCAGTTGTGGAGATAAGCTGGTGGTTTTTTTCTATACTATATTGGAGTGTCTTTCTATGCTGTGCTGGGGAGCAAGAAGGACAAAGACGTTGGCATGGATGAATGAGAGATGCAATTTAATTGTAGGTACGACACACACTGATCAAGAAAAACAGACCCCAGGACTAGCGCCAGGGTAGAATTTGTAAGCTCAAATGTGTTTGGTTGATGGATTGTGGGGACATGCAGTGGGTCTCAGGGAAGGAGTAGTGGGAATAGGAGGACCCTTGAAGTGCTCCGGGTAGTGAGTAGCTCTTTACCAATTGTGTAGCAGTATTTCAGTATTTATTTAGTTACTGGTACAGCTCTATTAATACATAAGGAAGAATATTGATATACATGTTATGTTGTGCTGACATGCTGTATTTATGAGTAAAAAGTACTGCAGAGGGGCTTGAGTATTATTATATCCTTGTGTCTCAAAAGATATTGGCTGTAGGTGAAATAGGTAAGCGATTTGATTAAAAATATTCCAGATCAAAGTTGTATTTTATTCTCCAACAGCAGAAGCTTACAGTCCCAAAATGTATAAGGTACTAGGTAGAATTGACAGAAAAGAAGTTCTAGAAAAAATCTAGATTCATAGGTCAAGTTTGCGCAACACTTCATTTCTCAATAGCACTTGGAAACTCAAATCAACCACCATGATGTCTTAGAGTTATCAATCACAAAAAGCATATGAGTATTCATATTCCACCCTTTACTATATTGTAATAGCAAATATTTATGTTAAACTGCTTATGTGCCCACATTTTATCTGCTTTGATCCTCTTTAAACTATTGTGAACTGTTATTAAAATAAGAAAATAAGGGAGGTAACATTTATTTAAAACATTATTACTGTGGTGGGCAGTGTTCTAGGTGTGTTATATTCTCTGATTTTTATCATTGCAAGAACACACTAAGGTAGACATTTTACAGATGAGGATATCCAAGGAGTTGAGGCTTCTCTGTAAATAAGTGTCAAAACCAGGTTTTATAATTTGCTTGTCTGATTCTCTTTCTCTTACGTTCCACCAAAACCTAGAATATTTAGGGGTTTTAGTGGCCCATGAAACCTAGCTAGTTAAAGTGAACTCGACCTAGAATGTCTCTACTTCTTCACAATGTGCAGTAGTCGCTGAAAAGTGGAAACTTTTAGAAACTTCTCTATCTTTGGGGAAACTTGTTGGTATTTTGGGTTTATTTATTGTAAATTGTAAATATTCATTTATCATTCCCAATAGCAACACTTAATAGATCATCTCTTTGCCTATAAACTGAGAAGGAACATGCTTATAGTCGTAAAGAATGAACTTGCACAGGCTGCCTATAAATCCTTGACTGATATGAATCCTTATGACTTGAGTGAACATGAAGAACCACAGGGAGAAATACTTCCATTGGAAGAGACACTGAGAATCTAACCAAAGTAACAACATTGATGAGTGTACTGCTGAGCATTTATTGTTGTCTTAGCATATAATATTCCTGCAGAAAGTGGAAAAAAACAATCCCCATGGAACATTAAATTGAAAAGAACACTTGATATGATATAGATTTATTTGAATTAATGTAAAACAGGCTTGGCCCTATACATAACTGATTATATTATCTCTAATTCTAAGGTTGTACATTTTGCGCTATTTAATCCAATCACTACAAGTTGCATTCCAGAGAATTATGCAAAAATGTTGAGTAGTTACCTATGTGTAATAGCTGACAATCAATGGTTTTCTTTGGGGTAGAGGAGATGCAATCTATTCAAGAAAATACATCCTCCCCATCAAGCTGTTAGTTTATGTCTGGGGCCTTCTCTCTCTCTCTCTCTCTCTTTCTCTCTCATCTCTCTCTTGATTCTCATACCCTCCATTCTTTCACTTCACTTTGTGAAGTGAAATTGACAGTTGCACAAAGTGGGAGCCTCCATTCTCCTCAACCAAAGCCCTGTGGATCACTTTGCATTTCCTTACTGCTGTCTCATTTCACAAAAAGTTTACAAAATGTTCTAGGAAGCATCATTCCTGCCACATCACGTTGCCCTGCTCAAGTTCTGTGGCCACACTTTAAAAAAATCATTACCTCTCATGGAAACAGATTCATAATAAGCCTCTTGCAATATACCTCAAGTCCATGACACTTTGGGACTGACAACTATTCATAGATCGAATGTAAATAGGCAGCAATTTATACCTAATTAGATGTGAAGGTAAATCTTGGGTTGCAGGAAAATTTCCCCTTGCTCAGTATGCAGAGTCTATGTGGTGGCTGAGTAACTAATGTAGCTGCCATTTGTTAAGATTTTACGTATTTAATTTCCACTCAGACACTCTTAATTTGTGCAGAGCCTAGGGAATGACTTAAGACAGGGCAATTAATTGAAGCCTAGCATCTTTGAAAGAAAAAAAATAAGGACAAAATTGTTTACTTCTTTTCCTCTTTTTCAAAAATGTCTGGATAATGAGACTAGATCTTATTACTTTACCTCTCTTCAAGTTGCAGTATTCTGATTACATTAAAATAACCAAGGATGTGTCTTTTGTAACTAAGAAAATGTGATCCAAATAATAAGTTGCATCCGTTGGCCCATGCTAAGAATAATAAGTCTTTTCAACCCTCACTGAGTAAAATGACCTGTGGCTTTGAAGAATGGGGAAAAAAAAGTAATGTTATAGGCAATTGGGGAACTTTGATCATATACAGTCTAATCACTCTTGTTAAAAAAAATCTCATCGAAAATGAGAATGTTAAATTGCCAAGCTTCCACAGGACCTAATAATGATTAGTTCAAATGAATCAAAATTGCTGTGAATAATTGATTATTATGAGGAGAAATATAAAGACAGTCTGAGAAAATTAATGCAATGAATGCTGTTATTCAGCCCAAACAGAGGAAGGGAACATTTCTCTAATCTGATAGATTTAGATAGAATCTCACTTCTGTACATAGCTATTTAATCATATGAATTTCTAGATTTTGAAAAATTAAAATGGAAAAAGAACTCAAATGGCACTGGACCTAATTCCATCATGCCAAAGACATTTTGGAATCTCACAGAACAGTACTTTTCAAACTTTAAAGTGTACCCGAATTGCTTGGGGATCTTGTTGAACTGAAGATTCAGATTCAGTGGATCTGAAGTGAGGCATGAGATTTGCATTTCTAGTAACCTGTGATGCCAATGCTGTTTATTCTTGGACCAAGCATACTTTGAATAGCAAAGTTGTAGAGCGCTTGGGTCATGGATATGTAAATTAATTGCTACTGTAGGGGAATAAGCTAGTTAATACTATGTGCTGGTTTACACAATGCCTGATAATTGGTTGTGTAATAATATAGTCTCAATGAAATAGAAAATGATTTTAACAGTAGTGAAGTAGGGGACAGAGGAGACTTCTGTTCTAGTCTTGCCTTTACTACAAATAACAACAAAAACAACTCCTAACATGTATATAGTATTTTGCACTTTACAAAGTACTTTTACATAGTTGATGTCACTTGATTCTCTCAACAACCCTGTGAGTTAAGTAGATATTATATTTTCATATTCCAAATAAATTTCCAGAGAATGAGCGTTAAATAATTTGCACAATTTTACACAATTACTCAATAAGAGAGCCACAACAGACCTATATCTTCTGGTCACAAATTCTGTGCTATTTCTACAGACGAACAGGGTGATTTTGTATAGATCACATAACATCTCTTACCCTTTTCTCACCAGTAAAATAAGTGATTCAGGTTCAATCAGACCAGTGGTTATCAGCTCTCATGTGTAACCAAAATACCTGGGGAAAAAATAATACCAGTGACCAGCCGCATCCTAGAGCAATTGAACCAGAATATCCAGGATTGGAGTTGGGATATATTTTTAAAAATATTTTAAGCTGATTCTGATGCACAGTGGAGACTGAGAACCATCAAATTAGATATCCACTAAGTTGTCTTTATGCACAGGAATTCTGCATAGCTCTGGAAATAGGCTACGTCTCTATCTTCTCCAGGAAAATCTTAGTCGCAATTAAATCTATTAAGCATAGATTAGTCTACCACTGACTTTGTTAAAAATGTTAAATTATGGTTTAGCAACCTTTTACTATTTCCTGTCTTGTTGCATAGGCTTTAAAAATTTCTCTTAAAAAAGTAAAGACTAGTTTGCTTTGAATATCATGCTCTATGCAACATGGGTATTTCTGAATGTCCTTTTTGATTTCTGCATTTGGTACTGAATATTTAGAGTTCTATTTGGGCTTTCCTTGGGGTTGGTATCTAAACCCTTTTGGTTGTCTTCCACCTTGTCTCTCTTGTTTCATCCTGTGGCTACTGTCACTTCAGGATTTGGAAACAAAGTATCTTTACATATATACTTTTTTGCCTAAGATTTCTATATCAGAAACTGGTCGTGTAAACACCTTGAAAATATTTTCTTCTAAGACTTAAAATTATAGCACTAAGTCCCCCCCAATGTAAGTTCTTAGAAAGTTCGGGTTGTTGGAAGCAGATAGTTTTGTCTTTCTTATAGAGTCTATTTTACTTTACTATAGTTGGCAGGAGCTCAAGAAGACAGGATTAGTCAAGGGCTTACCCTAGTAAATTCCATTCTGTTGACCTTCTTTCAAAATTAAATAAGACAGAAAGAAAATGAAGGCTTTGAACACTTGGAAGGATCCAATGGGATTTCTGCCTTCCTAGAGTTATACTAAAATATTTGACAACCTGCTGTCGAAGTGGACTTTTAATGAAACCATTCCTTCTGGTAGCATTTTAATTCTAAGTGATATCACTGGGTCAGCAACGAGTCTCTGAGGTTCTATAAGAAGAGGTCAGCATTCATGACAGATACTGCAGCTTATTTAATTTTGGTAGTGAAAATTCCATCACATATGTAATATCCTCAAATGGAACTTTCAATAATATCTTGATTCTCAAACATTCTGACTTGGATTTTCTATAAATAGGCAGTTTATTCCATAAGGAAATAAAAGTATGACTGCTCCAAAAAAGCCTACAATATGGAATTATTGGGGTAGTAAGTGTTAAACCATCTTTTGACAACGTATCATAAATATTGGTTCCTTGATGTTTAGCCTGACCATTTAACCTTTCTTATATCATTTATTTGGGGGTATTCATGAGGTCTAGAGACACTTCTTTCATTTGATTTTACTGTGAGATTTCCAGACCCTAAGGAGACTTATCTGATTATCATTACAAACACACTTTATTTATTTTTTTTGAGACAGAGTTTCACTCTGTCACCCAGGCTGGAGTGCAATGGTGTAATTTCGGCTCACTGCAGCCTCTGCCTCCTGAGTTCAAGCAATCCTCCTGCCTCAACCTCCCAAGTAGCTGGGACTACAAGCATGCACCACCCCACCCAGCTAATTTTTGTATGTTTTGTAGAGACTAGGTTTCACCATGTTGTCCATGCTGGTCTTGAACTTCTGGACTCAAGCAATCTACCAGCCTCAGCCTCCCAAAGTGCTGGGATTACAGGCATGAGCTGCCAGGCATGGCAAAACACACTTTTACTAATCACAAGTAGAATGGTCCTGTGGCACCCCACTGCCTTTTCTAATTTCTGAATTTTCTTATTCATCTGACATTGTCTTTAATAAAATTGCTCCTGTGCCCCATGGACCTTACAGAAGAAATATTTTTTTGTTCTGGAGATTCCAGGTGTGTTTCATTTGTCTCCGTTCCAGACAAACAGCTCTGCCCAAGACCAGCTATGCCTAGATTCCAAGAAAATATTTGGCTATCACTGTTCTGGGGAGATGGTTACTGTGTTCAGCACGTATTAGAAATTTCTCCTGCTACATTAACTCCTTTATTTGGATCTTGGAACTTTATTTCCTAGTAGGATATTTCTTCAGTATGTAGCTATTTCCCTACAGGGCACAGTGTAGAGTTAGCTGCTGACATTAAATAATAAACCTTAGCAAATTTGTTGCTCTCATTTAAAATTGATGATATCTTATAAACTTTCTAAGAGCACTTGGTCGTTAGCATCAGAGCCAATTACTCATGTGAGCATTGAGTGTGACTTCCCAATTCAGTGTGTCAGTAACTTTCTTTCTGACTTAAGAAAAATACATTTTTTTTTGTAGTAAGCTTGAGGTTACAAGTTTTAACTCTTCCTGTGTCACTCTGAAGAATGTGTATACAATGTTTCAATATTAAACACAGTAGAAATTTAACTTTTCCAAGGGAAAATTCAGATAATGGAGTCTGATAATAGATGGTGTAACATATTTGTTCAAATCTCAAAATATTTGCCTTTTTGTAAGGGTTTAGATCAGAGCATAGCGTAGGTCAAAACCACCTTTTGATTTCTATGGTATCTGATATGGTTTGGATCTATGTTCCCACCCAAATATCAGGTTCAATTGTAATCCCCAGTGTCAGAGGTTAGGCCTGGTGGGAGGTGATTGGATCATTGCCAGTGCATCCTACATGAATGGTTTAATACCTTTCCTTTGCTGCAGTTCTCGTGATAGAGTTCTTATGAGATCTGATTGTTTAAAAGTGTGTAGCACTACCCGCTTCTTCCCCCTGCTCCAGCCATGTGAAGTTCTGGCTCCCTCTTTGTCTTTTGCTATGATTATAAGTTCCTGAGGGCTCCTTAGAAGCCAAGCAGATGTCAGCACCATACTTCCTGTACAGCCTAAGGAACTGGGAGCCACTCAAACCTCTTTTCCTTCTAAATTACCCAGTTTCTGGTATTTGTTTATAACAATGTGAGAACAGACTAATACAGAAAATTGGTCCTGAGGAGTGGGCATTGCTATAAAGACACCTGGCAATGTGGAAGCAACTTTGGAACTGGGTAATTTGTAGAGGTTGGAAGAGTGTGAAGGGCTCAGAAGAAGATAGGAAGATAAGGGAAAATTGGGAACTTCCCTGATACTTGTTGAATGGTTGTGACCCAAATGGTTATAGTGATATGGACAAAGATGACCATGCTGATGAGGTCTCAGATGGAGATGAGGAACTTACTGGGAACTGGAGCAAAGGTCACTTTTGTTATACTTTAGCAAAGAACCTGGGTGCATTGTGCCCCTGTCTTAGGGATCTGTGAAACTTTGAACTTGAGAGTCATAATTTAGGATATCTTGCAGAAGAAATTTCTAAGCAACAAAGTGTTCAAGATGTAGCCTGGCTGCTTCTAAAAACCCATGCTCATATATGTGAATGAAGAAATGACATAAAACTAGAACTTATAAGGAAACCAGAGTGCGAAAGTTTGGAAAATTTGCAGCCTGGCCATGTGGTGTAAAAGAAAATTCCATTTTCAGGGGAGGAATTCAAACAGGGTGCAGAAATTTGCATAAGTAAAAAGGAGCCAAGTGCTAATAGCCCAGACAATGGGACAAAGGCCTGGAAGGCATTTCAGAGAACTTTAAGGCAGCCCCTCTCATCACAGGCACAGAGGCCTAGGACAGAAGAATGGTTTCATGGGCCAGGCCCTGGGCCCCACTACCCTGCACAGCCTCAGGACACTAGGACACCACTCCCTACAACCTGGCTACTCCAGCTCCTGCTATGGTTCAAAGGGGCCCAGGTGCAGTTTGGACTGCTGCTTCAGAGGGTGCAAGATGTAAGCCTTGGTGGCTTCCAAGTAGTGTTAAGTCTGGAAGATGCACAGATTGCAAGAGTTGAGGCTTGGGATCCTCTGCCTAGATTTCAGAGGATGTATGAAAAAGTCCAGGCAGAAGCCTGCTGCAGGGGCAGAGCCCTCATGGAGAACCTCTACTACAGCAGAGAGGAAATGTGGGGTTGGGCCCCCACACAGAGTACTCACTGAGGCACTGTCTAGTGGAGCTGTGAGAAGAGGACCACTATTCTCTAGACCCTGGAATGGTAGATTCGCTGGCTGCTTTCACCCTGTGCCTAGAAAAGCCACAAGCACTCAATGCAAGCACTCGAGAGCAGCTGTGGGGGCTGAATTCTGCAAAGCCACAGGCACAAAGTTGCCCAAAGCCTTGGGAGTCCACCCCTTGCATCAGTATGCCCTGGATATGGGACATTGAGTCAAAGGAGATTATTTTGGAGCTTTGAGATTTAATGACTTCCCTGCTGGTTTTCAGACTTGCATGAAGCCTGCAGACCCTTTCTTTTGGCCAATTTCTCCCTTTTGGAGTGAGAATATTTACTCAAGGCCTATACCTCCATTGTATCTTTGGAGTATCCAACTTGTTTTTGATTTTACAGGTTTATAGGCGGAATGGACTAGCCTTGTCTCCGATGAGACTTTGAACTTTGGGCATTTGAGTTAATGCTAGAATGAGTGAGATAAGACTTTGGGCGACTGTTGGAAAACCATGATTGTATTTTGCACTGTGAGAAGGGCATGAGATTTGGGGCATGAGATTTGGGAGGGGCCAGGGGTGGAATTATATGGTTTGGATCTGTGTTCCTATCCAAATCTCATGTTCAATTGAAATCATCAATGTTGGAGGTGGGGCCTTCTTGGGGAGTGATTGGATCATGGGGGTGCATATTTCATGAATGGTTTAGCACCATTCTTTTTATGCTGTTCTCATGACAGAATTCTCATAAGAGACATGGTTTTTAAAAGTTTGTAGCACCTGCCCCCTCTCTCTCCCTTCCTCCTGCTCCAGCCATGTGAAATGCTGGCCCAGGTTTGCCTTGATTCTAGTAAACAATAAGAGAGCTGCCTGTCCAGAATCGGGGACGTCCCACAGGGAGAATCCTGTCAGTGTGGGATTGGGTGGGGGTTCAAGCCCAGGGGACTTGTGGAATATTCCTCTTTGCCTTTCACCATGATTGTAATTTTCCTGAGGCCTCCTCAAAAGCCAAGAAGAAGACAACATCGTGTTTTCTGTACAGCCTGTGGAAACATAAGCCAATGAAACATTTTCTTTATATATTACGCAGTCTCTGGTATTTCTTTATAGCAATGTGAAAACAGACTAATACAGTATCAGAGTTAAATACTTGATACGAGGACGAGGTAAAAAGAGACGGTCTAATTGGGCCAGTATATACTTTTTGCCCTTTCAGATTCATTCTCCAGCCATCTCTCTTTAATATTCTGCTTCAGAGGTCTGAGCTTTATGGACTACATGGAGGAATGTCACCTTACTTTCTGGCTTCTGACAGAGTTTGGCTAATAAGAAGCCCTGGAAAGTCATCAGAGGGAGAGAAGCAGAAGGTAGGATATGTCCCCTGGCTTTCTACCTGGAAGTTTGCATCAGGCTAGCTGAGTTTTTCCAGCAAATGTCACTGCTCCTACCAGGATAGTCTTCTCTACAGGACTCTCTCCAATCAGATGCTAGGTACCTCCTGTCCGTTGTTTCTTTAGGCCTTGGGGAGTTAGCAGCTTTGCAGTTAATAGCCTCATGGCTCTCATTCCTTGTAATTTTCTTGCAAATGTGACTGCTACCTCTTGCAGAAACCCAGCATGATTCACTTCTGTTAACATACTATTCGCTTGAATGAATGGGATATCTTAACTTTATGTTCAAGGTAAAAGAGACTATTAACTACACATGACTTCCAACATTTAAGAAAACTGGACATAAAAGCAATGAGTAATATAAGTGGTCAGTAATAATGAGAGGTGAGAAATTATATACTTGTAACATTCAAAGCTGATATTCAGTTGATATGCATTCATACATCCATATGGTTGATCATAACTGCCTTCCATTCTGATTGGCGTGGAATCTGTTGAGAAATATTTTGAATATAACCATGGTTAAATTGATACATATTACTCATGTGCCTTAAGCCCAGGTTTGCCTCAGTTGTAGAACACGATTGTGACTGTTCTACTTCCTGTAGGAATCCAGAATGATTCACTTGAGCTACCTGTACAGAATGGGGGAGGTCCCATAGGGAATATCCTGACAGTGTGGGCAGGCCAGCTGGGCGTTCATGCCCAGGGGACTTGTGAAATGTACCTCCCACAGCATAGTGCTGCTGAACAGCTGCTCTGATTTGATCTCTTTTGGCCAAGTTGAGAGCAGTTTCCAGAGCTGGGGATACCAGTCTTATCTTTCCCCTTTGTTTCTGGCTGTCCTCAGGGATATTTTTCCCTTTGGGTGCTTGTGATGCTTCCTGTGGGTTGAGGCAGAGACAAGTCTCCTTCCAGGAAACCTAAGATGTTGGAGAAGTTGGTTGTCTACCTTCAGATCATGTGTTCCAGTGTAGAAACCATGAGTCAGGAAGACATTTTCAGAGTGCTTGACGCCCAGAATATCAGAAGGTTGTGGGGAGGGGCATCATGGATATGGAAGTTCAATTCTCTTATTATCTGCTCAGAATTTTTTCACTTCTATGTGGCTATGAGAGCTGTCTCCTTCTCATATTCAAGTTCTAAGATATTGCTTGTGATGATCTTGGTGCTGTATATTTATTTTTTGTTTTCTGTGAAGCAAGAGTGAAGTCAGCTTGCTTCTATACTGCCATTTTGAAACCAGAAACTCCTTAAAATCCATATTATTGAAATTTTAATGTAATGATTTTCTTTTAATTCATAGCGTTTGTGGAGTGTATTTCAAATTAATTTTGAAGATTTATCATATTCAAATCTACTGGACTCAACTTGGTTCAACACCCCCCTGCAAGAAACAGTCCATTTACAAATACAGTTGATCCTTGAACAACAGTGGTTGTAACTGAAAGATCCACTTATATGTGGATTTTCTCTTGCCTCTGCCACCCCGAGATAGAAAGACCAAGCCCTCCTCCACTTCTTCCTCCTCTGCCTGTTCAATGTGAAGCTAATGAGAATGAAGATCTTAATATCGATCCACTTCCACTTAATGAATAGTGAATATATTTTCCTTTCCCTACATTTTTCTCAACAACATTTTATACCTCACTTTATTGGAAGAATATAGTATATAATACATGTAATATACAAATATGTGTGAATTGACTATGTCATGAGTAAGGCATCTGGTTATGAGTAGGCTATTAGTAATTAACATTTTGCAGAGTCAAAAGTTATACATAAACTTTGGTGCCACTAATCCCATGTAAGGACCCAGTTTTTCAAGGGTCAACTTCATTCTATATGTGAAAATGTGGCACATATACCCCATGGAATATTATGGAGCCATCAAAAAGGATGAGTTCATGTCCTTTGCAGGGACATGGATGATGCTGGAAACCATCATTCTCAGCAAACTAATACAAGAACAGGAAACCAAACACCACATGTTCTTACTTATAAGTGGGAGTTGAACAATGAGAACACATGGACACAGGGAGGGGAACATCACACACCTGGCCCTGACAGTGGGTGAGGGACTAGGGAAGGGAGAGCATTAGGAGAAATACTTAATATAGATGACGGGTTGATGGTTGCAGCAAACCACCATGGCATGTGTATACCTATGTAACAAACCTGCACATTCTGCACATGTATCCCAGAACTTAAAGTATGATTAAAAAAAAAAAAAGGAAAAGAAAATTAAAAGAAAGGAAAAGAAGCCATAGTCATGGCTTTGACATGAAGCCCACTGTAACTAGTTATAGAACAATTTCTATGCAGTAAGCAGTTACTGTGTTTCTTATTTAATTCTTCACTCAGCATATTTATGGTGCTCTATTATATCCCAGGTTTTCAGATAAGAAAAATAGAACTTGTTTTTCCATCTATTAAATAGATTTAGTAACTTGTTTTGTTTTAGTAACCAAAACAAAACCATTTAATTAGCATCAAAATGGGCTTTAGGGTTTTTCTAACGCCAACACCCATGCTTTCAACTATTAGAATAAACTGCTTCCCTGAACCTTTCTGTAGCTTAAAGAAAATCTTACGGTTCTGTACAATGGTGTTCAAAATTTTTTTGATGATTAATAATTAAAGTAGGAGGATTACTTGTAATTGTATTAGTGTATGCCTATTTCTCTGCAGTGTTTGTGTATTGGCTTGAAATATTTTGCAAATGCATATTAAATATGAGATATGGAGCAGAGTAGTCTAAGCATGACTGAAGGGGTGGTTGTAGGAATGTACAGAAAAGTTGTAGGTGAGGGGAAACATAATGAAATAATTGACAGGATTATATAATTAAATATCTAGATTTAAAAGAGCAAATGGATATTATCTGGGCCAATCACTTTCTTTATATCATAGTCCATATAATAATAAAATGGAAAACTGGATAAATTGAGTGGCTTCCCAATGGACATTGTGGAAAATCCTGGAAATCCTCAATATCTGAGTGCAGTTAATAAGAAAAATTTTCCTACCAGGATTCCATTACAGCAAAACTGAACATATTTTAGATTTGACAAAAAATTATCAAGCTTTTATCTTTAACATGTGAGAATAAATATCACAAAAGTAAGTTGAAATTTGGATTCTAAATGAGGTTATGAGCTAATGTTTAAAATGAAAAAAAGAAGTGTTCTTATTTTTAACTTTTATAGCTTTATTATAAAGTCATTAATTTTGTCAGAGTAAGAGTTTTACAAAATTTTATTTGATATTAGTTATTTCTCTTTTGAAGTACCTACTATGTCATCATTCATCTCAATTTTTTTCTTCAATTGTTAAGTGATAGAGTTCTACTAGATTTGAATTTTTATCAAATTCATAATTAAACTCAGCAATCATATCCAACATTCTATTCAGAGATTTTATAAAATTCCACATCTTTGCAAGATTTAACATTTCACTCTGAAATTCATTTGACTCATATTTGCATTATATAGCTAAATATAGGAGAGACTGACCTGTAGAAATGAGACCATGTATGGAAGATAGTATCTATTGTTCCCTTTGGAGCAACGTGTAAAAAGAGACTAGTTTTATAACTGATCAGTCATTACTTATTGTTTTTATGTATAACATTTGTTTCCATGCACAATTTTTTCACTGTAAGGAGTTGAAAACATTTTCTTGGACAATAAGAATTCCTTTACATATGTATGTGTTATCAATTGAATAATTTTGCAAATACTTGTTGAACACTTACTATTTGATATATAAAGATCAAATAGTGTGTGTGTGTGTGTGTGTGTGTGTGTGTGTGTGTGTGTGTGTATGCATGTTTGACATGAAGGTCTTTATATATCAAAATATCTATTAAAATGGAAATTTTAGATAATGTTAAATCTTTGAAAACCAAACATGAATTTTCAAAATTGTTGTCAGTGTATAGCAATGTCTCTGAATTTTATCTCTGCATTTCTATTTCTCAGTATATTTAATGAGCAAGCACTTCCTATTTTTATAGCTATTGCTATTAATTTTATAAATTAATAGCAATATTAATTTATAAATATTAAATTTAATATTTAATATTTTGCTGGTTGTGATATTAAAATAAGATTATTAATATTGACAGTACATAATACTTTTGTTTTGCTTAATTTTATAATAAACATATAAGGACATTTAAATATCTCTGATGTTACCAGCAGAAGTTGCTCTATTATATAGTACTTCCCTTCTCTTGTCCTCCACCTAAGTTCAGTTAAAAAGAAAAATAAAATCTTTCAAAATAACATGAGCACTTCCTCATGATCTATAGAATGATACTCACTAAATGAAAAGTATATGTCATAGCTTTCATTTCCTTTAAAGATAACAAAGTAAATTTCTAAATAGCTGAATATCAAAATCTTCTAAGGGGTTCATTGTTTTATTTCTTCTCCATGGCCTGCTTCAAGGATAAAGATATATATGCCTATATGTGTGTTTGTGTGTATGTGCCCACACATACACATACTTGTATAATACAAAGAAAATAAACATGTATTTAAATTTTCCTGACTTCTAAGCCCATGTTGTTTTAAAAAATAAAAGCTATTTGTAACATACATGTGATTGTCAAGGAGCATTTTAGATGAAAATGCTTATCAATCTAGATTATTATTTGAACTCTAAGCATTGTGTTGCTCATAGCCTTATTTTTCTTATATGTACATTCACCAAAGTAGAACTGGTCTTAAAGCATGTCCATTTCATTTTCATTGGAACAAATTTTCTTCTTTTCATTCCTACTAGCTCTTAAGGAATTCACAAAGCAGATTTTATATTCAAACAGCAGCTCATAAGTACAGGAAGACAAGGAAGTCAGTCTTTTCCAGGGCTATGGTCAGCTCCCTAGAGGGCTCTTAATTATGCATCTTGACTTTGGTAATTGAGTATTGTATCCATTTCTCAGCCACTTTATCATAAAGAATGGTGCCTAAGAAAATGTAGCACAGCATCTAACTATTGAATACCATTACTAACTCATTAAAATAATCTCATATCAGTGAATAAGAAGAGAAAAACCAGTTCAGCTCTGCTTTCTATTTTTAGATGGTAATTTCTGAGTTTTAGACCTATTTCATCTATATTAATGGAATTAGCATGTAGGAACCTGGATTTTTCTATCAGGACTTAGGTGGTCCCTCATCTGCAATAAAAGGACATATATATATATCCATGACATTCTTGAAATCTGTGTCCCTAAACAAACAAATTAACATTTTATTCTCAATAGACTCATTTGAAAGATAGAGCCTGTTTACAGAGCAGTAAGAAGGCCATGGAGAATATAAGCAGAGGGGCTAAGAGAAGAGGCATTTTATAGCTAATTGTTATTAGTTATATATACTACATTTTACAGAAATAAGAAAAAGATATATTTTCTCACTGTAACAAACTTACCTTCCTTCCATTTTGCCCTACCCCTCACTTACCTCTTTCAGTATATGCTTGGTCACAAGGAGATATAGCAGATGGGGTTTGAAAACACCATCTGTGCAGATTGTGGGAAGATGGCAGCAGTGATAGGGCATCATTTTTGAATTTCTTGAACTCCTGCATAAATACAGAAAAAAAGGAGCTAGATGGCAAAGTCAAAAAGCCATTGACACTTATGGCAAATCTAGCTACAAGTTATTCCCATAAACCTTAAGATACAAGTCATAAGGACAAGCCACCAATAGTTACAAAACGTTTGGTATCAGAAAGTAGAAGAGTTCAATGGGGAATACTATGGACCTAAAAACAAGAGAACCCCTAAAATAGCCAATAGGGATTTACTAGAATATTTGGTGGGCTAGTTTGCAAATGGCCACTGAAAATGAAGAGGTTTTACTTAGTCCCACAGCCAGTAAGTACATGGGGCCTTCAGCAAGTACTGGCAGGGCTCAGTCAGTCTACGGTTTGGGAACTCTCAAAACTTGACCACATGGGACTCCCTGCTAAGACATGGTACTCAGATAAGCTGCTGGATGTAGAATAAATACTAAGCAGGAGGGACAATAGAGATACAGAAAAGAGAAGGTACAGATGGAGAGAGAACAGAGGCAAGAAGCTTAGAAAACAAGCTGCTGTATTTTTTAACTACATGAAAACAAAAGAAGATTAATCTTTATGAACATAGAAAAGCTACCTTAAGCCGGGCACGGTGGCTTACGCCTGTAATCCCAGCACTTTGGGAGGCCAAGACGGGCGGATCACGAGGTCAGGAGATAGAAACCATCCTGGCTAACACGGTGAAACCCCATCTCTACTAAAAATACAAAAAATTAGCCGAGCGTGGTTGCGGGCGCCTGTAGTCCCAGCTACTAGGGAGGCTGAGGCAGGAGAATGGCGTGAACCCGGGAAGCGGAGCTTGCACTGAGCCAAGATTGTGCCACTACACTCCAGCCTGGGCGACAGAGCGAGGCTCCGTATAAAAACAACAACAACAACAACAAAAAAAAAAACAGAAAAGCTACCTTAAATTTGCTTTTAAAAAGTTCAGGAAAACTAATTTCACATGAAAATGTCTATAAGCTAAATAGTAAGTTTAACATAAAAAGAGAGAATAAGGAACAAAATATCTTTACAGGAAGCATGAAGAAAGTCATGACTATGAAACAGATAAAAACTGTAACCTGCTCTAAAAAGACACTGAGGAAATTATATAACATAAAAGAACAATATCAATCATAATTGTAAAAACTTGGATATGATTTGGTCAGACATGTGGAAAGAACTAGAAATGTAAAAAATAATTTCATAAATTAATACTGAATGTATAAGAAACCTAAGATTAAATGAACACAGTAATAATGCTCATTAATCGTCTTTTGATGAATGTAACAAATCACCCCAAAATGTATTCGAATGAAACAAAAAACATTAACATGCTTGCAAGTCAAAAACTGTGCATAGTTTAAATGGTGCACAGGATGTCTCACAAGACTTAAATCAAGATGATAATAACCTAGCTGAAGTCATCTCAAGGCTCATTGTGGGGAGGGTAAGCTTCTAAGCTTATTCAATGAATCCAATGAATATTCATTAATTCAGTCTTTCACTCTAAGCTTATTTATTCTATCGGAGGCCTCAGGTTCTCTTTGGCTGTTGGCCAGATACATGGATTCCTTGGTAGGTGGGCCTCTCCTTGTGAACAAATGAGAGAGCAAGAGAAGGCGATGAAAGTGGAAAGCAGTCTTTTTGTTACTTAATCTCAGGAGTGGCATCCATTGTTTTTGGTGCATTCTGTTTACTGGAAGTGAGTCACTAGGTCCAGCCTATACTCAACGCAATGGGATTACAGAGACATCTGAATACCCAAAGGGGAGGATCACTGGGAATCATCTTAGAGGCTGCCTATCATAATGCCTTACAAAAATCAGGAGAAAAAAATAAAAAAGGAAAAAAAAGACAAAAAGAAAATGACAAATATTGAAGATAGATGATGAAGATTCACCATCTGTCTTCAAAGAAAAAACCTGAAGGATCAGAATAAACACCAAAACCTATATATTAACAAAACTTTCCTGAATTAATGGATCTAGTTGTTAAGGATTCACAGGTTCTAACATCATTAAAAGAGAGTATTCATTTTATTCTTCTTGATGGAAGAGCACAATACAACCATTGTCAAATACATATCATTTATAATATTGTCTTTTCATTTCACTTATCTTCTAAAATTTCTATTTATCATAGCATTAAGTTCTGAACTCATAATGCCAGTATATTTTCTAATATACTTTAAATCATTTTTTTAGGTTTGTTACCTAAAACCAAATAGCATACTACTTGAGATAAAAGTGCTACACTTTGGAAAATACTTGTACAGCACATAGCAAGGGTTCCATAAATGTTGGGTTATCATGACAGAGGCTGGGAAGTGGTTATAAATGAATAAGTTCAAAACTAACCCTAATAATAGAAAATCCATATCAGAGTTAATGTCATAGATAGCAAGTCAGAAAATACATCCTGAAGTGCAAAAGTTAGCATAAAAATGCTGACAGTGTAGGGGGATTATTCTACTCATGTAAATATGAACTAATCAATCACTTATCTTTTTGGCCTTTGATACTATGTAGTAGATGTGAATGGTTTATGCTGAAGTCTGGTAGTATTAGCTTTCTCTAGTTTTGTGTCAGTTTCTAATGGGCCAGATGGATATGTTATATGCAATATTCACTCACAAATTATTTCAAAGAATTTGTTTTTCTATTCCAGAATAAGTGCTTAACATTGTAGTGGTAGAAATGCAGATGTTGCTATTAATAGGTACTAGCATATGCCACTTTCTTATCCAATTAATAGGTGAATATGTAATCATTTGTCAGGTAGTAGCCTTTGCCAAGCTAACACTTTCATCACCAATAATTTTACATAGTTAGTCTATAAATAGTTCTTTTGTGGAATTATGACAATGACTGCAGTGTAAAGGTATATGAATATATGCATACAATTATTTCACTGAAATTAGTCCTGAACAAGAAGGAAAAAAGACAGCTGGTTAGAGAAATGTGATTCTTGGAAGAAAATTGTCATGTCTTTCTAGAATTTCTAATAATGAAGAGAATAAATGCTAAATATAGAAAGTCACAGACTTTAGACTTCAGAGAATAGACAATGTCAATAAAAAGTAACTTAAATAAGGTCAAAGTCTTCTGGCCCCCAAATATAGAGGAAACTCATGGAGAACTATGCATAACAGCTAAGGCCCAATGTTTTACTGTAAGAGAAAACAGGACAAAAAGTACTTTTTTTCCCCTCAACAGCTGGCATCTTTGCAAGTCCCTGATCATTGGAATTGCTGGGACTTTAGCACTTGGCTAGATTATAAAGTGAATTGTTTAAAGACATTCTAATTTAAAACATGTGTATCTTTTTTTTTTACTTATTTTTCACAGTAGCTACATTTTTCTTCCATTTTTGAACCTTCTCTCTATGGAAATCTAGAAGAAATTAAGTCTTCACACAGTGCTCCCAAGTTCTACAGTTAGTTTACTTATCTGTTCCCATTCTCTATCTCTGGGCACCACAATAGGCATCTATACAGCAATGTTTGCAATGGCAAGATGTGAATTACATATGAATTTTTTTTTTTTTTTTGAGATGGAGTTTCGCTCTTATTGACCAGGCTAGAATGCAGTGGTGTGATCTCAGCTCACTGCAACCTCCGCCTCCTGGGTTGAAGGGATTCTTCTGCCTCAGCCTCCCGAGTAGCTGGGATTATAGGTACCTGCCACCACGCCCAGCTACTTTTTTGGGGGTTTTTTTGGTATTTTTAGGAGAGATGGTGTTTCATCATGTTGGCCAGGCTGGTCTGGAACTCCTGACCTCGTGATCCACCCGCCTCGGCCTCCCAACCTGCTGGGATTACAGGCTTGAGCCACCGCACCCCTCCTATATATGAAACTTAAAATGCCTCTCAACATTGAGGGGAAAGAGCTGCTCCAGGTAATCACCGCTCCGGTGTACCAGGAAGCAGGTCTACATCATGGAGATAAGAGTGGCTTTTCGGAAGCTGAAAGTGGAGCAGAGCTTTTCTTCATCCAAAAGCATGACCTCGCCCTTCTTTCATTATAGTCTAACAGCACTTGACTTCATTTTCTTCTCTAATGTACTTCCCCTGTAGTGTCTAGAGCTCTTGTGTAAGGTCTTCTTTCTTCCTGAGAAGATTGTTGCTCTCCATCACCACTTCTTGGAAACTACCTACTTGTCATTAAGGTCTTAAATGTTCCTTGAGTAATCTTATTATCCTAAAACAAATTAACTTCCTTTTTTCATATACTGCTGAATTCTACATTTCTGGTTTTGAACAATTTATTCAAATTGTGGTTAACTAATTCTTGATATAACTTTTTAATTTCATGTATTTTGCCTCTGTCAGAGAGCAAATGTCATGCAGGCACCAAATTGGTCCTATTTAACACCTGAACTACAACAGGGGCTAAACAAATATTTTTTAGTGAATAAGTAAATAAATTAATTAAGTGATATTCACCAGCTCAGTGGTAGACAGGAACTTTCTTCACTGGCAGATGTATTGCTGCAAGAAATGAAAGCAGAGTATAGCAGAAAGAGCATTGGATTTGGAGTCAGAACATTTCGGTTCAAGTGCTGGCTCTGTCAATTTTTAGTTGTGTTGGAAATAAGATACCCTAAAGGTTAGGTCCTTCAACACTAATGTGAAGACACTTTTCTCAAAGGGCTGCTTTTAATAACTATTTAGGTATTCAAAAATGTAGACAAGAGCTCTTTAGAATTAAAAAAATGGCATATAGTTCAATATTTTCCATATAGGCAGTAGCCTACACAGATTGGCAAATATTTGTTGACATCCCAAATTTAATTGATGAAATTATATAAGAAAATAATACATTTTTGCCGATCTAAAAACTTTGATTCAAATGCTAAACAAAGTGATAATAATAGTTACAAAACCTTCAAATTTCACAATAACTTGGCATTGTTCTTAACAGGATTCCAGAAAGAATGCTGCTAATATTCAGCAGGTTTCTGAGCTTCTTTATCTTCTCTACTTGCTATGAACAATGTCAATGTTAAAGGCCAGAAGTTAAAATTTGGTCTTACCTGAGATAAAAATGGCAAATTCAATCCATTTCAAGAAACAATTCCTCAGTATTGTCTTACGCATAATCGTGTGTGAGATGCTTAAGAAGACAGTAAAAAAGTGCAACACCTACTACTTTTAAAACAATCTGTGAAAGAGATACAGAGGTAGCTATGGGACAGGTCTATACTCCTTTCTATGCAAGGTAATGAACTCAGTTCTGCCCATCAGAGAAGCCTCAGAGGACTCATGCTGCCTCTGGAAGCAAAGTACTTTGATGGCATTGGTGGAAACCAAGGAATATTGGGCTCCTTGCTCTAGAGAGTAAATCTGTTTTTCTTTCCAGTCAGTTCTTCATC
Organism: Homo sapiens; assembly: GCF_000001405.40. NCBI lineage: Eukaryota > Metazoa > Chordata > Mammalia > Primates > Hominidae > Homo > Homo sapiens. The sequence continues at coordinate 29,558,602 of NC_000011.10, read as the reverse complement.
AGAGTTTACTTTTCCTATCTCACTTTATCACAAGGTACTATTTAAAGATGGTTTATAGGTTCAGCTAAAACAATATTCCAAAATGGTGACTCACGGGCCAAACACTGGAAGTTGTCTGGCTTGACTCTGGACTGTTAGAAATAAATAAATTTGATAGGCAGAGAACACACTGTCAAGTTCACTACATTTCCCACTATCCTCTAATACTTCTGCCCACAGCTTCACACACGTTTCCTGTCTTGCCCCAATGCAAGTATTGCTTTTCCTAAGAAATATCCTCAATTTTAGCAGTGACTATTAAGCATGGGGAACCATAATCAAAGGGGGGGGGTTGATTGAAAGGTAGAACTAACATTTCAGTGGATAGTGAATTTTTGATTGGAAGTATTTTTCATTTGAAATATATGTTTATACTTAAAGATTACATCAAAATAGGTAACCACCTATTACCACAACTAGCCAGATCTATAGAAATATTATATGAAAATTGGAACGAACAGGCTATAACTAGTCAATATTAGAAGCTTAGACTCATTGGTGTCTGGAAGATGTATGCATAGTAATATACACTTTACATTTAAAAACCACTTTATAGCTCATAAAGTATATGCATATATATTTTCTCGTTCTTGATATTTTGATAAAAATTTATATAAAAACTTTTTAAAAGTTAAAAAATACGTATCTTCAACCTGAAATGGATAAAATTTTATTTGTAAGAAATAAATTTATTATTTTGGCATATTTATATTTATTTTACTAAATTTAATATTTTTTAACAACCATTTAGAAATAAACGAATATTTCAGATAATTAGTGTTATGTAGGAGTCACTAATATGGCTGTACAATCAAAGGGCAGGATTACTATTGTTAGATGAAGGCCCTGAGAAGAGAGCCCAGGTCAGAATCTGGCTACAATTCCCTGGTAATTTGTAAAATCTCCTAGAAGAGGTAAGGTCCGAGGGAGGCCTGGAAACATGGGGCTCACTGTGGTCAGGTCAAGGGTGCAAGCCAAGTAATAGACCCTGGGAAGAAAATTGAGAAGACGTTGCTGCTTGGTGTTTTCCACTTCTAATCTTTCTATGGCCTATCTTCAAAAACTGATAGGAAAATAAAGATGAAATCTCCTTTAGAAGGAGTCTTCACAATTGGTCCAAGCAGAAAAGCCTAGAGTAGAGAGCAGGAACTCCATGCACACATGGTGAAGACAAGCTGAGTATTGATAAGGTATCTGGGCGAGGATCACCTTGATATTTTATCATCAGGTTTACAAAACATTATGAGTGATGACAGCCCTCAGTATGTGTTGGTGTTTCTGCAGTTGCTCTGCCCTGATGTGCACCATTGTCATTCTAAGATGTCTCATTAAGCGCTCCTGTATTGAATCTCCAGTTATATTTATCACCTAACATCCTTTTTATAGGTTTCTTTTATCATTTGCAGAGATGGCACTTTATTGCAGGGTGGGGAGGTTGGATTCCTGCAAACGTCTTTATTCTATTCTTTATTGCTTTCTCTGCCTGGATATAGAATTGGAAATATTTTTACTTCAGAATTTTGATGTCTCTCTCTTTCTCCCTCTGAAAGCTTGTAACATTTCCTCTGTTCCTAGTGTGTAGAAATTTCACAATGATAGGCCTTGGTGTGCACCTGTTTTCATCCATTGAGATTGGTATGTCCTCAGTGTGTCTTTTAAGTCACTCAGTTCTGGGAAATATTCTTGAATTATTTTGTTCTTTATTTTGTATCCTCTTGTTCTTTCTGTCCCCTCTTTCTGGAATTCCTATCGTATAGATCTTGAACCACCTGTATTGATACACTAATTTTCTTAATTTTTTCACTCCTATTTCCCATTTCTCTATTGATTCTGGGATATTTTCTCAAATTTATTTTCTAATACTTCTATTTTTAATAACTGTTTTCACCTATTATGTTTATAAATTATGAGTTATTGTTTGTTCTCTGAATATTTATTTTCTCTGGCATCATATTCTTTTTTACATGAATACACTATCTTCTCATTGCTGTGAGAATATTAATGACCTTTTTTTTAAATTTTCATCTGCCTACATTGATTTCTGTTCTCTCAAGTCACTTTAACATTTATATGTTTTGATCCCTATCTTTCATATTAGAAGCTTTCATCTGCTCTTTGGAAAACATTTTCAAGAAAATTTTTTTAAAAACCACAACAGTAAGAAAATATATAATATACAGAAACATTATATTTTATATATATGGAAAAGATGCTCAACCCCTTAGTCGCTGAAACCAAAATTAGGTACCACTGCACACTCAGTATAATGACTACATAAAAATAGATTGACATGGCCATACCACTGCACACTCAGTATAATGACTACATAAAAATAGATTGACATGGCCATACCACTGCACACTCAGTATAATGACTACATAAAAATAGATTGACATGGTCAACCTATTTCAAGAGGGTATGGAGATAATTCACTCTAACTTATCCTAGTAATACATGTATTTTGGAAAATGATTTGGCAGTTTCTTAAAATGTTAAACATGCATCTACCATATGTTCCAGACACTCCACTCCTAAGTTTGTACCCAGCAGAAATGAATGAAAATATTCATACCAAGACTTTTATAAAATTCTTCAAGAAACTTTTATGATAATAGCCAAAAACTGGAAAGAATCCAAATGTCCATCAGTGTGTAAGCAGATAAATTATGATACATCTATACAATGGAATACTACTCAGCAATGAAAAGAATTAACTATTGATGCAAAACTGTTGGCAACAGGTTTGAGACATCTCTTACACTGAGTGAAATAAGCCAGACAAAATGAGAGTATGCATTGTATTACTCCATTCATATAAAATGCTTAAAAATGCAAACTAGTCTCTAATGATAGAAAGACAATCATTGGCTTCCTAGAATGGGAAGGACTCTAAGAAAGAGAGTACAAAGTGGAGGAAATTTTTGTGAGTGATCAATTTTTTAACATGCATAAATACATATCTCAAAACACCAAATTATTTCTTTAAACATGAAATTTTTGTATGCAAAACTTATCTCCATAGAATTGTTCAACAATAAAAAATTATGTATAAACTTGAGACTCTACCTCAGCTCTTAATTCCTTCATACCTATTTCTGTGCCAATATAATGCTGCTTTAATTATTGTTACTTATGTTTTAATACTTGCTCAGGCAGACCCCCTACCAGACATTTTGGTTATTTTTAGTTTTTGCTATTAAAGTAATGGCAAAAACTGCAATGACTTTTGCACCAAGTTAGTATGTACATTAAAAATCCTAGAGGGAGGTTGCCCTTTAATTTTGAAAAAAATTGACAGCTTTATGGCCGTGAATTTTCTTATCCATAACAAGATTTTTACCACCTGTTTTGGTATTCATACATATCTTTCACAAATATTTTAAAAATTATTATTCTATAATGGTTTTACTTTTATTACATTCTTTGATATCATAAAGGTTTTTCTGATATTTTAGATATTTTTTCTCTATATACTTTTTTCTCTTATTGTTGCTAACTATTTCTTCCATTGGCCTTTGCATATCGATCTAATTTTTGGCATTAATAACAAACTGTAATAACAGTTCCAATAATTTCTTAGCAGATAAACAATCATAACATGAAAAACCAAAGATAGTAATAAACTTTCTTGACAGGTTGTCCTCTTTTTATAGTGTCTGGAAAGGTCATAATATATAAGCATTATCTGTACCTTGGAGATTTGGCCACAGTTATAATTAGTACTATAAGGTGAATTTTGAGACATTGGGAATTGATTATTTTTAGCTATATACTCTTTACAGTATTTAATTGATCTATTCCTTCTGTCATTTTTGATACTTATATTTTCTCTAGAAAAAAAGGCTAATTTTACCTATGCTTTTAAGCTTTCTTCTGATAAAAATTTTTCCACTATCATTTTCTAAAAAAAGAAAAAAAAACTCAAAGATACAATTTTTTAGCATTAACCTCAGTAGAAAGAGACATTTAAAATCTCGTCTTAATTCTACTAATCTTTTAAACAAAATAGCTTTCTTTTTGGTTAAGTAATTTTAATATTTGTTTAATGTATTGCTTATTTTATAGTTGTTTTTAGATTCTTGAATTACTTAGCTTATTTTTTTTACCCTCTTTTAAAATAACAACTATTCATTTTACTATGCAAAATGAATGCAAAATTTTACTAGGTAAATGTGCCAGGGATAATCTCAAAACAGATTTATAGCATCATTTGGCTGTGTTTTGTTTGTTCTTCATAACCATACCACAATAATGGCAGGAATTAATATTTCCATTTTACAATGAGAAGACATACTGTGAAAAGTTTAGTGGCTTTCCTGCCAACACTCACACATTGATGAATGTTCAAGCCAAAAATAGGACTATAATCATTCACTCACTGACTGGTCTACCAGTGCTCTATATATGAGTGTGAACTGTAAATACAATTAGGCCCAACAGCACGTTTTCAAGACAAGTCCATGCCTGAAAATATCCTTTAGTATAATTAATCACAGTTCTTGAGGTTTTGTTCTGTTTTTTCTCTGAGCAAGGGCTTCACTATAAAAAATATTTTTCAGGGTTTATTTGTTCTTGCATCTTAGGTGAAATATATTGAGGAACTTAATTAAACTTAATTTTCTTTCTAGGATAAGTTGGGCTATGATTAACATGGAGTGTCCACTTGTCTATTTGGGCCTTCAAGTCTACAAATATCCAAATTCACCCTGAGAACTAGATAATCAGATACCAACAGTTTGGGACCAAGGGTCAGGATGACATTATGAGTTTAGGCTTGAACTTCTCCATCAACTCCAAGCTTAGCAGTCAAAGAATAATTTTAAAGAATGGCAAAATGACTAAGATATGGTAAACTCAAAAGAAGAGAAATATCTCCACAGACCAGAAAGGGAAAAAAATGTCACAGTGATAAGTTAGTGATTAGAGACTGGAGCTAGGCCTGCTGGTTCTCAGTCTAGAGGAAGCTAGAATTTGTCTCCCACAGATTAATGAGAGCTAAAGCTCAGTGTGCATGGCAGGAGACCACAGTCAAGTTAATTGCCTGAAACTTGGGGCAGGTGCAGGACTCACCAGCCTACAAAATATGGTTGAAAGAAAATTATGGCTGCCCTTGGGGTAAGGCTTATGTAAAGTATATACCTACGATTTTAAAGGATTCAGACCAAGTCCTATACACAAGATCTAAAATTAATCCACCCTACATTTAGTAACTGATTTCGAGACTGCTCTATTATCAAGAGAGAACTGGAATTATGAGCCTTTATAAAATTGATCTTGGGGTAGAGTTCCCTTTGTGTCTCTGAAAGAAGGTGAGATTTCTGTGGCAAACAGAAAACAGGTTGGAGTAAGAAGGATGGAAGGAAGCTTGATCAAGGGAGTGAGGCTCTGTGCCTTTACCTCAGGCAGAGTCTCAGGAAGGTGATATGCCCCCACATAGGAAATTGTTGCGAAGTTCATTTGGCAGATGAGTTTCTAGATAGGTTGCAGTTATTTCCAAACCCCCACCTGAATAATGGACATAGCAGAGATCTTTCAGACCCAAAGAGACCAGAAGACAAAAGTGACCTTAAGACCAGTGATGGATGATCATTTGGAATGATGAGCATCTTAGGAAATAATGAGGCATAGCGTCCTCTCCATTTTCTCCCCTCCTCACCACACACCCAGTCTTGGAATTAAGTAAGCTCCTTAGGCACAATCCCTTAAGAAAAAGAGGCTTCAATTTTATTGACATTATTTTCTGCTGCTCTAATAAATTGTGAATTTAAAATGGAAATTATGTTGAACTACAGAAATATATTATCCATGTTGCCTACAAGGTTAATACCTGATTCTAACACAAACAATTCAAACAAGTAAAATATGTTGCTGTACTACTATGAGGTTAACAAAATGAACAGGTAAGACTGACGATCTAACCACTCAGGAGTACCAGGGGCCAGCTATGCCATTCAAACCCACTCCAATCCTGGCAGGGATTTGTCATCATTTGTTGGTGGTGGTTGCTCTGGCTTTAATCTTGATGAGAATGTCTCTGGTCCTCTAGCTGGCTGAGATTTTCAAAGGGGTAACAATGACAGCAATTCCAGTTATGTCCTCCTTGGGGGATCCATTTTTGTTGTAGCAGGGAGCCATACTTTTTGCATCTCATTTCCAAAGAAGGCAGAAGTTTCTTTCAGGCTAGCCCTTCTTTCATCATCTTTCCTGAGATGGTATAAGAAGAAAAATCAGTTTATATCAAGATTTGTGTTATTGTAGCAATTTTACTCAGTACAAAAACATCACTTAAAAAGTTATGGATGGGGTGTAACCGAGACCTCCCTCTTCTAAATCCTTTATAACCTGAGATTTAAAAGGAGATACCCAGTGTGAAACCCCCAAAGGGTTGATGATTTACTGAAGTGTCTTTACCAAGTAGTTCTAGCAAAAAGGCGGCATTGATAGCCATTAGACTTGACACAGATTTTCACTCTCCCCCTCTCAGCCTAAATCCAGAATCCCTTCTCCCTATGTCCAAATGTGCCTGGAAAGAGAGATTGGACTCCTAAGGACCCTTAGAGCTCTTTTGATATTACTTTGCCAATTGTAATTTAACAAATCAAGAAACAAAATGGGGAAACAAAGGAGCTCTGTAAGATTTTTAAAATCATGAATCATTTTATATTTCAATTTTCCATTTCATAGTATTATGCTCAAATCATTAATTGAAAACATATTGTTGAAATGTTAGAAGCTGAAATATTAAAATAAAAATTACCTTGGGTTCTTCCTTTCTCTTGTGATATTAAGTCACCATTGGAAAAAAAAGCTTTCTCTTTTTTTAACTCCATATTCTGGGGGAAAAGACGGTAGTATATTTCTAAGGCCTGAGCACATGTGTATGTATGGGAGGGAGGAGCATAAATATTTTGTGTTTCAAGCTGACAGAAAAAAAATTAAGCTTAATTGGTCAGAAACATAGGGAATGAAGGCTGATACTTGGAGTTGGGGGCTATTTTCAAAGCTCTCGCTTCCCAAGACTGGCAGGTAGAGAGCTAGGTATGATGAATTTGAATGGTCCGGGTGAGCCTGGGCATGTCAGCAGTGAGAATGAGTGCCTGAAGACCAGAAGTTTGTCTCCAAATGTTCTGGGTAATATAAACTCCAGGGTGCTTGGACAATCCTGGAAAAGGAGAGGTGTTCACTAACAGTGATTAATATGGGTAAATTGTCAACTTTGGCAAGAAACAGCACAGAGCTAGATAAAGAAAAATTGATTTCAATTTAGACTTAGAAAAATAAAGCAACATAAGCATTTGTGCACATTCATACCTAAGGTAAACAAAGTATCAAGCATATAACTGTGAATATCTACTGACAAATAATGTTTTTCAGAAAACTCCCAGGTTTTATAGCTCTATATTTCATTTGTATGAAGTATTCATTTCTCAGCTCTCAGTTCCCTTGAAAAATTGGGACTTTTCTTTGAGCTTAACATTTTATCTCTAACTTAACCTCCTTTGATCGGATTTACTTTTATTTCTGAAATAATATTTCTGCAGGCTCTTTGAGATCCTCATCTTTCTTAAAAATCTCTGAGTTCTTAAAATTGAGTTACAAACTATGGAGGGTGGTGGTTTGTTCACAGTGCCTTCTCTGCTAAAATTTTTGAATACTGTTATTTGGAAATGATTACTGTTATGTCCAAATGATACCCCCCTGCAAATTCATAGTTGAAACTTAATTAGTAATATGATAGTATTAAGAGGTGAAGCCATTTGGAGGTGATTCAATTATGAGGGCAGAATCCTCATGAATGGGATTAATGACCTTAGGAAAGAAGATCCTTGGAAGTGTTAGCTCCTTCTTCCATGTCATGATGCAGCAAGAGACACCGTCTATGAAGCAGAGAATGAGGCTTCACCAGACACTGAATCTGCTGGTGTTTTAATCTTGAAATTCACAGCCTATACAACTGTAAGCAATAAATTTCTGTTGTTTATAAATTACCCAGTCTAAGATTTTTTTTTAATATAGTGGCAGGAATGAACTAAGATAGAATTCATGACCTGAAACTGTGAAACTCCTAGAGGAAAACACAGGGGGAAAGCTTCATGTTATTAGGCTTGGCAATGGTTCCTTGGATATGACACCAAAAGCACAAGCAACAAAAGTAAAAATAGACATGTGGGACTGTATCAAACTAAAAGACTTCTGCACGGCAAAGGAAATAATTAACAGAGTGAAAAGGCAACTTATGAAATGGGAGAAAATATTTGGAAACCATCCATCTGATAATGGGTTAATATCCAAAGTATGTAAGAAACTTCAATGATTTAATAGCAAAATAATTCTCCAATTAAAAATGGGCAAAGGGTTTGAATAGAAATTTCTCTAAGGAGGACATAGAAATGGCCAACACGTATATGAAAAGATGCTCATTTCGCTAATCCTCAGGAAAATGCAAATCAAAACCCGAATGAGATATCACTGCAAACCTGTTAGGATGGCTACCATTAACAAAAACAAAAGATAACAAGTATTGGCAAGGATGTGGAGAAATTGGAACCTTTATACACTGATGGTGGGAATTTAAAATGGTGCAGCAGCTATTTTTGGACTATATTTTCAACAGTATGGAGCTTTAAAAAAATTAAAAATAGAACTACATTACATATGAACCAGCAATCCCACTTCTGGGTATTTATAAAAAAGAATTGGCCAGGCACGGTGGCTCATGCCTATAGTCCCAGCACTTTGGGAGGCTGACACGGGTGGATCATGAGGTCAGGAGATTGAGGCCATCCTGGCTAACATGGTGAAACCCCATCTCTACTAAAAATACAAAAAATCAGTCGGGCGTGGTGGCACACGCCTGTAGTCCCAGCTACTCAGGAGGCTGAGGCAGGAAAATCGTTTGAACCTGGGAAGCGGAGGTTGCAGTGAGCTGAGATCATACCACTGCACTCCAGCCTCGGTGACAGAGCAAGGCTCCACCTCAAAAAAAAAAAAAAAAAATTGAATTCAGTATATTGAAGAGATATGTGCACCTCTATGTCCATTCCAGCATTATTTACAGTAGCTAAGATGTTAAAGCAACCTAAATGTTCATAGATGGATGAATAGATAAAGAAAATGTGGTATATACATATGATGAATTGCTACTCAGCCTTAAAAATAGAAGAAAATCCTGACATATGAGACAACTTGGATGGATCTCCAGGACATTATGTTAAGTGAAATAAACCAGTCACAGAAAGACAAATACTATATAATTCCACTTATTCGGGGTATTTAAAATAGTCAAACTCATAGAAGCAGGGAGTAGAATGGTGATTTCCAGGGGCTGGAGGCAATGGGGAAATCAGGAGTTGCTATTTAATGAGTGAGTATAATGTTTCAACTATGCAAAATGAATGAGTTCTAAACATTCTACTGTACTGCATTGTGCCTATTATTAACAACACCATATTTTACACTTAAAAATTTTTAAGAGAGTAGATCTCATGTTAAATGTCCATACCATAAATCTGAAAAAGTAGGATACCATGAATAACAAGTAGGCTTGAGTATCTAGGTTGTCATTTCAATTCAGTGTCGACATTAGTAATGTGGACTTTGCATACCTACCAATGCCTCACCTCTTCTGTGAAGACTAAATTGTCCCAGCCAGCTTACAGGAATTTTTCATTGCTATGAAATTTCCCTGACTCTTATTATCTGTATCATTCATTCTGTGGTATTATTTGCTACATTTTCAGTAGCTTCTTTCTATGTATAACTTTTAAAAGTCTTTTCTTTTTTCTTTTTCCTTTTTTTTTTTTTTTTTTTTTTTTTTTTTGAGATGGAGTCTCACTCTGTCTCCCAGGCTGGAGTGCAGTGGCGCGATCTCGGCTCACTGCAAAATCCACCTCCCCAGTTCACACCATTCTCCTGCCTCAGCCTCCAGAGTAGCTGGGACTACAACCGCCCGCCACCACGCCTGGCTAATTTTTTGTATTTTTAGTAGAGACAATGTTTCACCGTGTTAGCCAGGATGGTCTCAATCTCCTGACCTCATGATCCGCCCACCTTGGCCTCGCAAAGTGCTGGGATTACAGGCATGAGCCACTATGCCTGGCCAACTTTGAAAATTCTTGAGGGACAAACAACCAAGAATCTACTTTTTTCCATCTCCCTTATTTAATCTTGCCTGTGTAGAGTTGCAGCATTTTGATTGATTTATTGCATACATAATATCTATTCAATTTCTGTTAACTTCCAAGATCATTGACTTGATAAATCTCAACTAGATAGTAGAGGCATTTCTTGCAATTGATGACAGATTTTCAAATATCTTTAAGTTAATTTTCTATTATTTATAATAAATAATTTTAACTCTTCTGGAGAAGGAAGTGTATGATATGGTTCATCACATTAATACTTAATTTTAAAAACTGGAAAGTAATATGAGGTTTCTCTGAATTCAGATTCCTAAATGATCTCTAAATGATATATTTTGCTTTATGAAGTTTTTGTCTGTTACATGAATATTCATAAAGTAAGTAGGTGAATGTTTCCTATTTTATAAAGTGTTCATTAGAAGTATTTTTTAGAAGTACTTGTTCCCTAACCATTTAGGGAACTAAATCATCTAATTGTGTTGTTTAGTTATGAAAAGATTTTTCACTACTAATATATTTTTTTCAAGATTCAGGTTTTCTATTTTTCATTATTTCAGGTTTGGTGACTATGATGTAGTCACCAAAACATTATACTGGGAATTTATCTGTCACTCTTAAGTTTTTAATATTATTTGTATAAAGTTATTCATAGCTCAGATTGATACTCAGTAACTTTTTGATGAATGAATGAATGAATCAATCAATAAATCAGTGTTAGGCTCAAGCACCTAGAATGAAGTCTGTATTCATGAACCTATACTTTAGACTCATAACTGAAACAGCATAAAATTAAATCATAACATTGAACAAAAAGTAATGCACAAGTAAATGCATAAAGAATGAGCCCATTTATAAAATTTTGAAAAATTAGCAAAAGTAGACAACATATTCTAAAAATCATAAGACAAGAAAATTATTATTACAAAATTCAGGCTATGGTTTCTTTTGTCCATGACAAGAAGGATGCTTTAATGAGAGGGAAATAATGCATTTTAAAGATGAGAGACTTTTTGTCATGATTGTAATACCATTTACCTAAATAGAAGGTAGATTAACCAGTGTTAGAAGTGTGGCAATATTTTAAATGTCAATGTTATGTAATATTTTCTTATGTGAATATAGCACAAAATATGTTTCCATTGTACTGTAGATAACTTAAATAACAATGTAAGTAATATTTATTGGTAATTATGACTAAAGAATATATTTCAATTTTTACTTTTTTTCTTGAAAGTTAATGTAAAATATGGGGAGAAATGAGCTCATTTTTGAAACAATTAGAAAAGGCAGTTATTCTAACATAATTAAAATACTAATTATTTCAGGACATGTATTTAGTTCTTTTTATGTATAAAAGACTGAGTTAGGCACTGGAGATTTAAGGAAAAATGTAGAGAAACAATTTTTAACCTTTAAGCCAGCAATCCCCAAACTTTTGGGCACCAGGGACTGGTTTTGTAGAAGACAAAATTCTTCCCAATGGGGGCAAAGTGGGGATGGCAGGCAGGTGGTATAGTTTTGGGATGAAACTGTTACACCTCAGATCATCAGGCATTATTAGACATTAGTTAGATTCCCATAAGGAGTGTACAACCTGGATCCCTCGTATGTGCAGTTCACAATAGGTTTTGCACTCATAAGGATCTAATGGCTCATCTGACACGAGGCAGAGCTCAAGCAGCAATGCTGGCTGGCTCACTGCTTACCTCCTGCATGTGACCTGGTTCCTAACAGGCCATGGACTGGTACCAGTCCATAGCCCAGGGTTGAGGAACCTTGCTCTAAGCATATAGTCTAGTTAAATTTCAGATAAATTATAGACAGTACCGTATAGTTTGGGCTGAATTATATGAAATGAGTGATATTTAACCATATTTGGCCGATAAAAATATCAATGTCATCCCACACAGAGAATTACTGAAGTTAAAAGTAAATTCACTATGATTAGAACATGGAATTTTTTACTGAAAGTGAGGAACCTGGAGAGAAAAACTGGGGTAGATAATTTAATTTTTTTGTGGTATATTCACAAAATTGAATGTCACACAACAGTAAAAATGAGGGAATTTTTGCTACACACATCAGCACTGATAAATCTCAAAAGCATAATATTCTTTAAAAAGGTAAAGCACAGGAGAAAACATACCACAACATTCAATTTTTATAAAGCTTAAAAACAGAAAACATGAAACAAAATATTGCTTTGTAATGCATTTATAGCATAGTTTATTTTTCTGTATTATTTTCATAATAAAAGTAACACATTTTATTTCATTTAGTTTTTAAAATAAACATGTTTGTTTTAATTGAAAAATATTCTAAAGAAGGGAAGAGTAAAAAATTAATTTTAATATACCCTCACTTTTTCCCACTACCTTGACTCCAGTGATGTAATCAACTATTCAGACCAGATGAATATCTTTCTGCTCTTCCTCTAAACACATGCACACATATGTAGTGTTTGCACTTTATTTTTATATATTTTATTTTGTTATTTTTGAATACATATGACATACTAAAGAGTGCATATCTAACTTGGTACACTTTTTAAGGAATATGTGCAAAAGGAACAAACATTTCCCTCCACATAGTTTAGGAATGTGCCCTCCCTTATACAGCCCCTTCTCCTCAAACCAAAGAAGCCATAATTCTAAAATTTATGTTAATGATACTTTTACTTTTCTTTGTAGTATTTAACCACATATGTAGGTATCCTGAAGCATTGTATTTCCTATTTTCTTGTGATTCTTTTTTTTTTTTGGAGTGTGCCATTTCATCTAAATTTCAACCTTTTCATATTATTCTCTATTATCTTATTATCAGGATATAAATGCCTGCTTCATATGTGCCTATACCTTGACTCTATTTGTATTATTGTTTATATGTGCCTTCCGTTTTCTTGATTAATGTTGCCAATTTTTAAAACTTTATTAAGTTTTTCAATTCTTGGCCTTTTTTTTTCTGTAAAATATACCATCGTTTCAATGTCTGTTTTTGTCTTTTTTTTTTTTTTTTTTTTGCTGACATTTATTTTACTTGTAGTCATTCTCTAGTTTTTTTCCAACTGATTTTTTTTTTTTTTTTTTTTTTTTTGAGATGGAGTCTCACTCTGTTGCCCATTGTGGCATGACTTGGCTCACTGCAACCTCCGCCTCCCAGGTTCAAGCAATTCTCCTTCCTCAGCCTCCCAAGTATCTCAGATTACAGGCATGCACCACCATGTCTGGCTAATTTTGTATTTTTGGTAGAGATGGGGTTTCACCATATTGGCCATGCTGGTCTCAAACTCCTGACTTCCTGATCTGCCCATCTGGGCCTCCCAAAGTGCTGGGATTACAGGTGTGATCCACCACACCTGGCCTCCAACTGATTTTTTTAAGTTAGACACTCAGATCAATTTTTTTAACCTTTCTCTTTTTTTCCTAATTTAATCACTAAAGGTAATCATAAAAGTTTACATCATACATGTTTGAGATATATATATATATATATATATATATATATATATATATATATATATACATATAATTGCTTTTATCCCCAAAATGTTCTAATTTTTATTATTATTTTCCTTGTCTCCTGTATTATTTAGAAGTGTTTTTTGTTGAATTTTCTGAATGTATGCACAATTTAAAGTTCTTTTCATTATTGACTTCTAATTTATCTGCGAGGTGGTTAGAGAATATGATGAATATGACACCAACCCTTTAAAATCAGTAGAGCTTTACTTTATAGCCTAGAACATGTTCAATTCTTTAAATTGTTTCATTTATGCCTGTAAAGAAGGTGTACTTTCCACCTTCTTGGAGGCAGTGTTTTGCATATAGTTATTAGATACTTTTGCTAGTTTGTTACCTAAGTTATTTAAATCCTTTAAATACTACTGTTCATTTTTATCGCTCAACCACACTAAAATAAATGTTTGAAATATTTGTCCCAATTATGATTAATTTGCAAATTTGTGTTTTTAATTCAATCATGTCTTTGTATATTTTGAAACTGTTATTATAATTTATATTTAAAATGTATATATTTCCTCCTGAATAAAAGCTATTATGTTTTGACTCTCTTTATCTCTGGTGGTGGTTTTTGCCTTCAGTCTTTTTATGTATATTAATAGAGCTATTCCAATTTTTCAGTATTTATTAATTTTATTTAAAAACTTTCTCTTACTATCTCTTTCAGAGAGTAATTGTTGAATTTTTTTTTAGTCTTTTATGTTCAGCCTTTATTTCAGGTGTGACATTTTAAATAGCATGTACTTGGATAATTTTTCTAATCCAATCTGTCTACTTTTGTCCCTGAACTGTACAAACTAGTTGATGTTACATTGTTCTGACGATAAACATTTTTTATTTATTTATCTAACAAATTAATTTCTTATTTGTATTTGTCCTGCTTCTCTCTCATATTTATTTGAGTTGTTTAGTGTGATTTGTTTTCCTTGTATTCCCCTCTATTTCTCCACTCATTTAGAAGTTATGCACATTTTCCCATCTATAAAGGGGTAAGTCTAGCAGCATTACGTGCATATGTAATTTAATGAAGTTTATAAATATCATTATCTATCCCCTTTACAATAAATGACTCTCAAAAGGCTTTAAATCTGATTCCTTTACCCTTCACTTAGAGACAGTTGATTTTTTAAAAGAAATTGAATTCTAAACTCATAAATTAAAAATTGTTATTATAGTATGCAGCCAATATTTACTTAGATTTACTTAGAAGTTTACAGTTATCATTGTTCAAGCTTATTTCTTTCATCTGATATTTCCTTCTGGTATTCTTTCTTCAAGAACATTTTATAAATATTCTTTTAATATAATATCACCTATTGGTTATGTACGCTCTCAGGTACTTACTTTTAGTATAAAAATGCCGTTATTTCTTCTCAATCTAGAAAATAATTTTACTGAACATAATAAATCTAGATTGATACTCATTTTCTCTGAAAACAAGGTGTCACCCCTCTGTTTTCTGTTTCCACTCTCACTGACTCTGAGTCACCTATGAGTTTTCTTTGTCAGCAATCTTTTTACTTGTGCTACTTTTAAGACAGTTTAACTCCTTTCAGCATTCTGAAGTTTCACTAGGATGTATCACAGTGTGAATTTATTATTATTTAAAAATTTGTTTTGGCCTCTGTTGAGATACCTGGACTTTAGAAGGTTTGTGTTCAATCAATTATAGAAAAATTTTAACAATTAAGTACTCACATTTTATCTCTGATTCATTGTCTCTTTTTGTTCAATAGCTCTGATCAGATGTATGTTTCTTCTTCTCACTGTATTTTATATGTTCTATAATATCCCTTTTATCATTGTGTCTTTCTGAACTGTATTCAGAATACTTTCTTCAGTTCTACCTTCCAAATAAATACATTCTTTTCCTTTAATCCGACTCTAATCAGCTGTTTGGTTTATTCTTCACATTTAAAAACAAACAAAAAAAGACTTGTTTTTTCAAGTCAGAAATTTCTTAAATCCCAATTCTCCCCAAACTACTCCCACCCACACACATATTTTCCCCAAGATAAGTCATTTATCTTTATGTACCATTCTGATCTGATTATTTATTAGATATAAGACATATGTGACATTCTGAAATTTTACCAAATTACTTTGTAGTTTGAAACTAGTGATATTTGAATTCCATGCCTTCTTTATTGAATTGCTGTCTCATTTAGCTGAAGCACATCCTTTTTTTCTGAAAAAAGAAAAGGATATTTTGATTTACTTTTCAATTATTTATATTTCCAAACTTGATCTCGGGGAACTCCTCATATTTTGATATTTGACCTTCAAATTGATCCTCTGTCTTGTGTCTTTCCTCTCAAATATCCTTTTTTTCTTTTTGTCTTAATTTTTAAGTGATGTACAGGTTTTTATCTCATAAATCATGTTTTTAATTAAAAATATTTATTTTAAATTTCTTATAGGTGTTTCATGCTTCTTGATACTTACTTATTCATAGTGACTCTTCTTGTTTTATAGATTTCTTATCTAAATATTGTTGAGGATAAATTAAGTATATGTTTTAAAGCTTTTTCTTGTTCTTGAACTAATCTTTCCAAGGCATTTTTTTTTTTTTCGCTTCATAAAGAATTTTCTTTTATATTACAGAATGTATCAATGTCTGGAGAGTCTTGCTTTTTCATCCAATATTTCATAATAAAAAATAAAAAAGTTATAGGGAAAAACTGACTAACCAGCAATCCAAGTATGAGAGTAATGAGGTAGCGAAACATCCTTTATTCTGAGGGACTTCGAGATGTGAAACTGCCTTTACTCATACGCACCTAAGTCTACTAAGTCTACCCAGCCTTTCTTAATCATCTCAAGACTCTTTTTTTTACTTATACTTGATTCAATTGTCTTACCAAAAATATCCTTTCCCTCACAATTGTTTTTCTCTCTCATGGCTTCAATATAGTATTTCATCTGATACTATATGCATACTAAATAATGGCCACATACTATATGTATTCTTCCAGCAAGGACAAGATGGTATCCATTCTGTACATAGCTTTTACGTAACCTACCTACTGTTAGCATCAATCGCACCAACACCGTACCTGTAAGTCTTAAATTCTGGATTTCTCTAGCATTCTGAAAGGATATTCATCCTTCTCTCACCTTTAAAGT
This sequence comes from Homo sapiens, assembly GCF_000001405.40. Taxonomy (NCBI): domain Eukaryota; kingdom Metazoa; phylum Chordata; class Mammalia; order Primates; family Hominidae; genus Homo; species Homo sapiens. The sequence goes on along the minus strand of NC_000011.10, from coordinate 29,541,777 downwards.
CCCTTTTATCTCTATTATTTGCTGTAGCTTTCTATGATCTCTTTTATAACATTTGTATTTCATCTTCTTGGTGTCTTGAGGAAATTTGATAAAACATTTTGTCTTTAAAGCTTTCTTTTGTCTTTATTTTTGTTTGTATCTACTTATTCCTTTATTATTACTTAGTTGAATTTTTACTAGGGGAGGGGAAAGCATGTATAGTAAATTACTCTTCTCATCCAAAAAGCTTAGTTTGTTCTTTTCAATGCTTGTATCATATTCCATAAAATGAGTATTTTTAAATTTTATCTAAAACATTCTCTTACATATATATTTCACATCTCCACATTTTTCAACTTCAATCGTGTGTGTGCATATGTATGTGTGTGTGTGTAATTTTACATTATTTCTGTGATATACTATAGGAGAACATACCATAAATGAGATTGTTTTGTTTCTTGCTATCTTCTGTAATGTTCATTTGACAAACCACAAAACGAGTACTTCAGCAAAATATTTTATCAGTTCACATTTCCAACATCAATGTATTGGAGATACGTTTACTCACGCTGTTGCCAACAATGAATAGTACTGCCCTTTATAATTATTGCCAAGTTGATATAAATGTATTTAATTATTGCTTAAATTGTTAATATCATTAAATTGTTAAAAACTATTATTTAGCATTTTCTTTACCACAAGTGAGATTAAACATCTTTGCACATATTTTGTGGACATGACTTCCTCTTCTGTGAGTTGCCGTTATTCAATGACAATTTTATTATAAAAATATTTGTCTTCTTCCAAATCATTGGAGAGATTTTTCAAATAGTTACTATAATAAATTTTATTTGTCATATATTTTATTGTAAATATTTTCCATTGCTATTATTTTTCTTACAACTTCTATAAGGTGACTTTTGCCCACTAAAGGTATATTCTTAAAATGTATATATATGTCTGGATTCTGGGTACACTGTTAAAGACAAAAAGGTCTCCCACTCACAAGTTTTACAAAAAGTCTATTTTCTATAGACTATAATGTTATATTTTGGCTTAAAATGTCTTAATTATTTATTTTAACACTTAATGTATGTAGTCTTACATTTCCTATATTATGTGAACAACAAAATCGATTTTATTTTCTTTCTAGTGAGAAGTCATTTATTCTAGCAAAACTTATTAATTTTCCTTACTTCCTGTGACTTAGACTGCCTTCCTTGTTACATATTAAGTTTTCATATTTACTTTATTCTCTTTACTACTTCTAAATTCTGTTAAAACAACCTATTAATTGATTTCTGAGCCATTTATTATATGGTTTTGAATTTAAGGTAATCATTAGTATCAAAAAGCACATCCTTTTTAGTATTTTTTAATTTTTAAAAATGTTCATGAATATTTGAAGATGTTTACGTTTCCATGATAACTACATTAATTTTACCCAGTGCTTTTTAAATTGAATTCTGTGAAGAATTGCATTCATTTATATTTAGAAACAGTACATTCAGAAAGAAAACAACCAGCTCTTAAAGGTCCTCATAAGCATCTCAAGGAGTTTGCATCTTTTTTTGAGGTCAGTGTGCTTAAATGCATTTCTTGAGGTTGAAAATGCTTTGAAAAACAGAAGAAAAATAGTCATATTTGAAATTACAGACATTACTTTGTTTACAAAGTGAAGGGTGATTGAAACAAAGGAAGGCAAGCTCCGAAACAGGAAGTTCAGTAATGCAGCTGTTACTATCTTCAAGTTAAATATAAAGGGGGAGAATATGCCTAAATGAGGAACACAGCAGTATGGATAGATAAGTGGACAGATTTTAAAACTAGTAGGATTTAGTGTTGAGCGAGGAATGAGTGAAGCACTGGGATTTCCAGCTTTCATAATTTGTTCACCACATCCAGGGACCAAAAGTTAATACGCTATCTGTACTGCGTGAAACACAATGCAAATCCAGAGCACATAATACTATGTAAATGTACTTATGACAGAATTATGCTAAATTTAAAATGCAGTATGCAAATGTCATAAGCATGTTTTGTAAACAGAAACAATAAACAGAGAAAATAAAATATATCTAAAGCTATCACGTCAAAGGAAAACCATATATCTAATTTAATTTACAGAAAATAATAAAATGATAAGTAATTAAAAGTTGCTCCTTTTTTACTATTGTACGTAATAATTATTTTTTAAAAATACCATTTTTTGAGCATTTGCTTGAGCAAATGCTATGTGCCTTTCACTGTGTTGACTCCCACTAATATTATTTACTTGCCACAAACTTCCCTTTAAGTAGGACTGTTTCTAGTATCCTTCTTTCTATTTATTTTCTTACCAGTTAAGGAAGCTGCCGCTTACAGAGATAAATCACTTGCTGAAAGTCATTTGTTTCCTAGGAAGTGACAGAGCCAGAACTGATTTGGAAGTTAACTTTCTTTTTCTTGTATCCTTCACTATATTGTGCTTATATTCAGTACTAACTACTGTCAATTAATAAATAACATCTTTTGGTGCCTCAGAGGAGAGACAGTAATTATAGAAGAACAGAAAATATATCCAAAAACAAAACAATACACAAAAGCACAATACATTATTTCGAAGACCATTACTTTAAAGAACTCCTAACTTCTATCATCAACAAAAACAACTGATAGTTGTTGAAGGTTCAAGAAAAACTTCTTGGTTATGTATTAAAATCTATGGGCCTATGCTGATATTCATGTTCTGACTACATCTATCAATAGCAATAATGCTTGTTTTGGTTATAAAAATTGTAATTATGAATGTGAATGTCTCATTTTCAGCCAAGAATACCATTCTTCTTTTATTTGGGATCATTTGGGTCACTTGGAGAGCTCCAAATATGAGAAATCACTTTCTTTCATTCATGATTCTTTTGTACAAAGTACCACATTCTGAACCAAGTACCACAGGATATGTCTCAGTACAACTGAGCCTCCAAAGTCCATTCTAATGTTGTACTTGATGACCTCTTTCTCTCTTGTCAATAAATATAGATGAAATCAATTGTGAGGCAACTGGGTTATTCAGGGAAGCAAACATGCTAAATATAGCAGAGTATGATGGTAAGGCTGAGAATTTAAGAAAATAATCTAGTTCATGCACATTTACATGAAACAAAGCCTAAGTCTGTCAATTAGAATGAGCTGAAAGCCAAAGTTGTGCTGAGTGCTCTCAGCACAATTAGCATTTGTATTTTTAGTAGTAGTCCAGGGCCCATGAACAGTGCCAGCATCACTTAAGATAAACCTGCTAGTCAGATAATCTGTGCTAAAAATAGTTAACTGAAGAAAAGCAATTTCTCTTTTTGACACATAGTCAAGTACCTTCTAATACAGGGTGATGGGTTTTTGGCAGTAAGAGTAGTCAGAAAAAAAGTGTTCCACAGTGAGAATTCATTCAGTTGGGTTCAGCAAGTAGAAGAAAACACAAGGGGTTATTATATTGGAGAGTCAGACATTGTGGCCAAAGGACTTTGAACTTCACAGAACACCCCTGTATTTCAATTCCAGCTCTAATTCTTGTTAACTAGATGAGCAAGTTTTAAAACCAATTTTAGACCCAGTTTCCCCAGAAAGTGGGATTAAAAACAGCTGCCTCACAGAATTATTGTGAAGAAAATGCTGGCACAGGACCTGCACATAGTACCAATAAGCACTGGCTTCCAACTCCTCTTCATCCTTCTTGCCCTTCCATCACTTCTGTTCATTCCCAATTAATATTATGGCTAAGGTAAGAGAAACCACATTCAAATTATATCAAGGCACCATATACATTGTCAATTTCTCTTGCTCCAGAGGTTGCCTTCTTCTTTCTTCCGCAGTGAACTCTGCTACACACTCCCCACCCCCAACACACCTGTCATTTGCTACCCATGCCACTCATCTCATAGTAATCTGCTTTCCCTGTCCTATTCACCATCAGTACTTTTGTTAGATAAGATATTTTGTGATCAGGGGTTCAGAGGAAGAAGAGATTCATTTGATGCCTCAGTGCAATAAACAATTAGGTCAGGGGCTATAGAAATATTTCCTTAACTCAAAAGCTCTGAAGAATATTGTTCTCCTTGTTCTTAGCCTCTAAAGCAGGGGTATCCAATCTTTTGGCTTCCTTGGGCCACACTGGAAGAATAAGAATTGTCTTGGGCCATACATAAAATTCACTAACACAAATGATAGCTGATGAGCTAAAAAAAATTGCAAAAATTCTCATAATGCTTTTTGAAATTTATGAATTTATGTTGGGCCACATTCAAAGCCATCCTGGGCCACATGCAGCCCAGGGGCCATGGGTTGGACAAGCTTGTTCTAGAGCTAGAAAGGGTTTAAAGCTCAAGAAGTTTACTACTACAGTCTCTAGTCAGGTTTGGAGACTGAGAATCTCTCAGCCTAACAGGAAAAAGAGAAGTGCTAATGGCATATTTTTATGGCTGACAAATGTTGAGCATGCAACATAGCTTGGGAAAAGATCTAGAATAGTCATTAAGAGTCAGAAGTTCTAGCCCTCACTCCACCCATGTTTTATCTGTGTAACCTTGAGCAAGATAGCTGTCTCCAAAGGAAAAATAAAATGTACATTTGGATTCAAAGATTTCCAAGAAAATGATTTTTTATGATTCCATACATAATTTTATTGGGAATTTATTTTATTTTATATAAAACACAAACATAGCACTTATAATCACTGTTGCAAGAGCTTTATACCTATGAACTTCTTTACCATAATAGCTCTATAAAGTAGGCACTACAATTATCCTCATAGTATGAATGAAAAAACTGAAGCCCATAGAAGTTTGGTAATTTGACCTAGGTCACACAGGTTTTAAGAGGTAGAGCCAGAGTTAGAAAATATCAGATTAGTTGCAGCATCTCTCTTTTTAACCACTATACTTGGTCATACTTAAAAGTAAGATGTTTATGTATTCATTTATATATTTTAGATATGCATTCTAATCACTGTACTGAAAAGGAACATATTTTAACTAATTCTTTCACCTACCTACTATGCCAATGTCTGGGGCTGCCACTGACCCTAAGTAATTATCAGCTGTGATGAGGAACATCCACAATTCTTCCACTGTTCTAGTCATTCATTCTTCTTTTTGGAAATGTGAGAGAAAATCTAACATTCAAAAATAATTAGCCTGTCTTTTCCAAGATCACAAAGGTCAATTTGCAGGTTAATAGTTAAATGCTTTCTTTTAATCACAATCCTCAAGAATAAAACCAATTATTTAAAATGTCTTTGAAGTGACTTTAACAGCAGATGTTTTTCCCTCAAAGAAACTTTTTTTTTTTCTGATGCTTTTCATGAATCAAATGTACTATACGGTACTCATCCTTTGAGGTGGTATGTTTCATGTCACCAAGAACCAAGATGTCCAGGCATAGACACGCGGTGGTTTGCCTGTCCATTTATTTTTATTTATTTATTTTCAATGTCTATAACTTCTTTGGTAGAGATGGGTCTCCCTACATTGCCCAAGCTGTTTTTGAACTCCTGGCCTCAAGCAGTCCTCCTGCCTCAGCCTCCAAAAGTGCTTGAGTTACAGGTGTGAGCCACCATGCCAGGTTGATCCCTGTGTAGGATATAAAGGTGTTCTTGTTCTGCTCCTCAAAATGTCTTAAGATATAATGATGAAAGAGAAAAGAGGGCATAGTATCATGCAAAGGCCTTTTGCTTAATCTTGTTTCTTCAAGAAGCTCTCTGATTCTCAATTTTCTGATTTTAAAATTGGAAATAATGACCCTGAACTCAAAGAGTTAATCTGAGGATTAAGAGAGATTATCTATGTAAATTGCTTAGTGCAGTATCTGAAACATAATTCAGTGGCTCACTAAATAGTAATTCCTCTTTACTCTCTTCTGTCACCTAGGACTGACCAAGATTTACATATATTCATTGAAATAATGGAATTCCATGATTTGCCCTGATTCTGCATCCACAACTTAGTTGCATTTAAAAAAATTACAATAGCACTAGACTTCTGTGTCATCAAGTTAAAATTGTATTGATCAACTAGTAAACACTTCACTGTGCTATGTACTGAAGATAATAATAAAATTATGAAATCTAGGTAATGTATACATTGAAGGAGCTAAAAAAATCCTGTTGAAAGACAAGGCTACCACTTTCTCTCCACTCCCCACAATCCTCTCTCTCTCACACACACACACACACACACACACACACACACAGTCCACCAACACAATAGTACCAGAAAGGAATATAAGGTAGTGGAATGGTTGGTCTTGATTACAGTCACTGGCAGGGTTTTTGCAATGGAAGTGGATTATAAGTTAGGCCTTGAAAGGTTGAATTTTTAGGGGCAAATAGGAGCAGGGAGATTTTTATATTGCAGAAACATCATCAGCTGTAAGTATGAAGATAAAAATAGGCATACTATTGGGATCAAGAGACTAGTCAGAATAAAAGTGGCCAAAACTTACGTCTGAGGCATGGGGTCCAAGGTTTTAGAGACATTAAGTCCTAGAAGTTAAGCTGAGAGATCAGGAGTACATGTACTGGGAGACACTGTAGATCCATTAGCTATTAAATCTACATGGTTTTTCAAGCATTGGTGCCTCAGATCTGGGAATTAATTTGATAAACCACAAAAACACAACTACTTCATACCAAAAAAATGAACTTAATTTTTAGGATTACTTTTGGTTCTCTCCAGCATTTGGGAGTCAGCACACATATACTCCACTGAGTCATCCACTTGCTCATCCATGACTCTTCCATTTGTAGAGCTCCTGGGCAAAACACTACCAACATTGGTTTGGGAACTATTATTTATAGTCCTGAGCTCAGCAGCATCTGAGGAAGAGGGGCCAACTGGGACATGGTCTTTCTTATGTTCTCTGAGGTCAAGGAGTACCAGTCTTTTCAGTGGAGCAGTAAAAATGATACCCAGGTTTTCCTGTCACTAGGTATGGGCACTGCATTAATTTCCTAGGGCCTCCATAACAAAGTACCCCAAACTGGATGGTTTCAAACGACAGTAATTTATTGACTTGTATTTCTGGAGGCTAGAAATCTGAAGTCCAGACATTGGCAGGGCCATGCTGCCTCTGAGAATGGTAGGGAAGAATCTTTCCTTGCCTGTTTTAACTTCCGGTGTTTGCCATCAATCCTTGTTGTTCCTTGATTTGTAGATGCATCTCTCCACTAACTGCTTCTATGTATGTCACAGGGCCATCCTTCTCCTGTGTGACTGTCTGTATGCATCTTCTCTCTCACAAGGATACCATTCATATTGTATTAAGGGCCCACCCTATACTCCAATATGACTTCATCTTAATTTGACTACATCTATGAAGACTCTATTTTCAGAAAATATCATATTGACAGGCACCAGTCATTAGGACTCCAACACAGCTTTTTTTGAGTGTCACAATCCAACTCAAAACAGAAACAATTAACTGAGAGATGGAAATAAGCCTTATGTGGATCAATAGAAACAGCTTTGCCTGAAGCTCAGGCATCTTGGGAATATGCTAGTAGTGGTGGAAAATTCCTGAGCCTCAGTTCTATCCTTCCACACTTACTTCTGCTTTTGAGAGCTGAGTTTTAGTTATAAGGTATATTGCTTGACTAAAAAAACTGCACAAGATTATGTGGAGATTTGAATTTATACATCCATTTCAAATTCATCACTACATTTGACTTTCACAACAGAATTTGTAAGTCACAAATTATTATTGCTGATGGTTTAAATAAAACTTGTTTTCTACACCAGAGTCTGAACTAATTGAAAAATGAAATAAAATTCTAAGCAGATCAGCATGTTATTGCCTTATCGCCTAATTATAGTCATCTAAGAATATCTATCATCCAGCTTCTTAAAACTGATAGACTTTCCCGCCCCTGGCAATTGGCTCTTCAGTGAGGCCTCTCTAAGGGAAAACCTGGTCCTTTTTACAGCCTCTTCCTAAAAAGAAAGGAGAGGTGCTGAACAGAGTGCATTCATGTTATTCTCCATAAATTTACCATTCAAATCACACTATTCCAATTTTTCTGGAGCAGAACAAGTAAAAGGGTAGAAAGAAGCTAGGAATGTTACCCTAATTGTGTTCTCATCACCTGCAAGGAAACATCAAAATTAGCAAAGAAACGTTTGTTCCCACCATTGATTACTAACTTTTTTTTTTTCAAATAAGAAAAATGAGGCTCAATCAAATACAATGATTTACTTAAGCTTTTTGGGCTATCTGCTAATTCTGTAAATTGTTCGATGCACCATCATTGCCTTCTCTTTGTATTATACACATGTTAAACATAATATGGTCTCTTTATGTTATGCTTGTCATATGGACTCTGTCAGATATGATTTTTATACCAGCAACCCCTGCTATCATGTATCTTGGATGATATAATTAATTCTTAGAAATCATGCTTTGCCATATTTTCCCAGTCAAAATGTATCACATGGCATCTTGAACTACAGTTGAACTCTGTAGTGCTCAGAATAACTGACTCTTGGGAAAATAAACCCTTTCTATTATTTTCAGAACAAAAGTTGAACCTTGTCAAAAGAAGTTAAGGATGTTAAGTTGCCCCTTTGCAGCAGGAGTCTAATTATAGCCAACAATTGGTAATGATTCTGTGAATATTATAGCCATCAGGTCTCATGTCTACAAAATCAACTTGTAAACATACTAAGATACCAATCATGCTTAGAACTGTCTCTTTGGTATTTCATAGCACTTAACACAATCATAAATTATAAGTATGGTATTTATTTTCTTGTCTATGTCTTGCATGAAAATGTAAACTCAATTAGGACAAGAATCACTTTTGTCTCTTTCATTCTTGTTTCCAAGCACACTTTTAGGCAAATTAATACAAATAAAGTGATTGAAGAAATATATGAATAAAACATTGTTATTGTTTATACATGTTGAACAATATAATACTTTCATATTTTAGGTGATTTACATATCTTTGAAGGTCTTAAGGCACTAAAATTTTTCTGACAGTTTTAATTTCCTTCCTCTTAGACATAAGAATTTAATATTGAGAGTAACAGCGTTTTATGGAGATACACATCTCTTGTCTCCACTACTACTACCACTGTATTTATCTTCCAATATACCATGTTCTGTTTGTTTTCTTTTTTCCTAATTCTAAGCATAGTCCTAGTCCTGTTTGGGATTAATCCATTCATGCCTGAAAACAAGCATTTGCAGATACTTGACTCAATTAAGCTGGTAAAATTTACCGAATGTCTACAACATTTCAGATACTATAAATAAAGTATTATCTGCTAATATTTGTATAATGCTAGAACAAAAGTTGGAAAAATATTTTTCCTGTCATTATTGAGTGTTATGGCCTTGGGTATTATCATTAATTTCTTTCAAAAAATAAAGACACTAAGATCAAGAAAATCTGGTTTCACAACTTTCTGTTCCCACTTGGTTCACACTTCATTATTAATAGGAACTTATATACTATAGTAAGCTGATTAAGAGAATTGACTTTGGAGCTTAAGTGGCTTCGATCTGCCCTCTGGCTAGCATCAACACCTGTTTGCTCTATGACTTCTCTGAACTTTGTTTCTTCACCTGTACATTGGGAAAGTTTCTTTAATTGTGACCCTTTATAGAGACATGCATTTATAAGAGATGATCAATTACCTTGGGGTTATTCTGCTAGTAAGTCAGTGGTAATCTGACAATTGTTGAAGCTATATGGCAATAGAGTGAAAATGTCATTACTTAGGGCTCCCATAGCAATTTCTAAGAATTCACTTTCTACATGGATAGCTTCTTGTGAATGTAGCCTGTCATGTTGTGTGGGTATTTCCCATGACAACATCTGTAATCTTTTACCTTTCCAGAAGCCCCTGTACTTGCTATTCTTATTCCCATTTCAACTCACCATCACAAGCATTTTGTGCATGAACTACTTTATGCAGACACTACTTTCTTTAGAAGGGCCTTTTATGCTTCTAACCTTGGTAATACATAAAAATTCACTGCCAGCCAAGGTTTAATCTTCATGTTATACAGACAGCCATGCCCACCAGACAAAATATCATTATAAAATATTGTTCTGTCAAGGGGTAATATTTTATCGTTTCTTGAGTCTTTCCAAAATTTCTAGTGTATTTGTTTGCCCTTGAAACTTTCAGTGAATAATAAATATCATCCTAGAATATAACCAATAAACATGTAAATTTTCCACTGGGCAAAAAGAATGTAATTTCCCTAACTATGAGAGGCACGTTTTTGATTAAATGATCTTTGGTTCCTAGGATCTAAAATATAAGAATGGATAAAGTCAGGGTGGGCCTCTTATGCTGGGACCTTGGAGCACTAAGCATTATGCAGAACTCTGTTCCCCCTTTCTCTTTCCTCCCTTCTTTCTCATCTTCACTATTGCTTTTCTCCCAGACAGATACAGATGGAGGCAGTAGCATGGTAACACCTCAAAATCAAGCATCCAGCAGCTGAATCCGAAAAACACAAGGAACAAGGTAAGATGCCAAAAGAAAAGGACCCAAAACAGAGTTCGTGTTTTCCAAAGGTTTTCAATTATATCCTTATCAGTCTCTGCAACTTCATTTGCTGTCCCCATTAGTTAGTTCCCTATTGGCTATGTTTGCAAGGTCATCATTTCTTAACATTATTTAAAAGACTTTAAAAGACTTTAACTATGTAATCTCTTTGCCTCTGGAGGTAACAATCCTAGTTTGTGTTATAAAGAGCATTGCATTTTGTTTTCCCTACAGCATTTTTAGATCCCTTATCTCATTAGGCCTTCATGACCCTTTGCAGCATATAGGACAGGAAATTTTGTTTCAGGTTACAAAATGAGACTTGGAGAAGCAGAGTGACTTACATGAGGCCAGAGATAATAAGGGCCTCAGCTCCTGTTTGCATCTGTAAACACACCTTATATCTTAAGGACACTCAAGGGGATTCTCAGAAAGCTCCTTAAAGTGATATGTTCAGAAAAGCATCCACGTAATCATGGTTCCATAGATTGGTCTGGGTTTCTGTATCTGGGACTGGAAAGGTCTGAGAATCTCTGGCTAAAATATGGTCACATTGCATTTGCTCTGCATTTTCCTAACTGGGCAACATGTAGGTAATAACTGCATCTGGAAGCATCCCCCAGATGAAATTGCAGCAGCTTGGGGGATGATTTATTGTCATTGTGACAGTCCTGTCTGATGGTCCCCAGAACCCCAGGAAGGAGTGTTTAGGCCACTGTAGCAAAAAACACTGGCACCCAGGAAAAGTCAGAAATTTCCCTCACTGTTTTAGATTTTCTCACTGCCTAACATACCGTGGAATAATTTTAGCATTCAATATCTGTCTTCAATGAAGGGATGTTATTCAAGAGTTGCTCTGAATGTTATAGAGGGAGCTATGATAATTGAGCACATACAGGTATCAAGTATTCAGCTTGATGCTTTAAATACATAATTTTATTTAATATTAGTAAAATTATAAGAAGTTGTGTTTGCCTACAATTTATAATATGAAAATTGAACTAAGGAGGTGACCATTTAGTATAAGTCAATCAAGTTTAAGATTAGCAAGGACAAAATTCTATTATAATCTGTTGCCTAAAATACAAGTTCTTCTCTCAACCAATAATGGTTTATTAAACAAACGGCTCTTAAATCTAACTATGTATCTATATATTGAATTTCCTGCCATTTTTTCTATGAAGCATCCTTTATTTTCCTACTTCAGCTTCATAGCCAGCATTATATTTTCACAGCTCCAAACTTTATTGCTACCAATCACATCACCATTCTTTCTCTACATTAGCATTTCTTAATGTTTGAGCTTTAAGCCTATGAGTCAATATAAGAATCCATATTTCTCCATGTATTTTCTCCATCAGTGGACCCTATTGTTGGAATAGTTTCATATTGGGTTCTGCAAAAATGTAACATTTCACTATCGACTTTTGAGGTTATAATACTGTAAACCACATCTCTAGATAGTTATGATAATTAAAACTTTGGTTGATTCGACTCCTATTATGTGTTTTCTAACATTATGTGATGTAATATTTGCAACAAGCCTACATGTTAAGCAGTATTATTCACAATTTACAGGGGGTAATCTCAAATTCAGAGGAGTTAAACAATCAGTCAAAGTTGCATAGATAGTAAATGATAAGGCTTCCATCTGAACACAATTCTGGTCAACTTTGACATCCATTGTTGTTCAGTGCTAACTTCAGGTCTTAGAATCATGCAATGTTTTCATGCAAGGGTGTGTCAGGATCTTCTTTGTTTTATAAATATTAAGTTCTGATATAGATCCAAGCTACAGACAGAACTTTAGCTCAGAGGTTTAAAAATCCCAGAAAATATGTCATGAAACTCAAAATTTTAATAATATTAAAATATTTTAGTAAGGTAATTCTATTTTTCATCAGAAGCAAGAGATAGTACAAGAGTAGCTGATGCAAAATCACACTGCCAGCAAAAACAATTCTAACTCTTTCTAGATAAGCCCCTGCAATCAATATGTTATTAAGCCAGAAAAAATATCTAGCAATGCAGGGAATATAAGTTTACATTAATGGCCAGGGTCTTGGTCCAGCCTGCTTACACTCAAAATTTATCTTGGATACATTGAATGAATGCTTACTATGAGAAAATTGGCTGTTGAGAACAGGAATCTGCCTCAAAATGTTAAGATCTATTTATAAGCTTAGCTAACATTCAGGTATTTCAAGACAAGCATAAACTATAAATCCTGGATTATATACATGTGGTAGAGACAAGAAAAAGTGTGAAAGATGAAGCAAGCTTTTGATTATACAGGGACAAAAATTACTCCATGATAGAGTTGGAAAGGACATTAGAGATAAGTGAGTCTGACCTTTTATCATATTTTATACAGTATAATAGTAATACATTCTTAGGAAAGAAAACAAAAAAACTGAAAAGAAAACCAGGAAAAATAACTCACCTCTAGTCCTAACACTCAAACACAAACACAATATACTGTGCAGTATTTTTGTTTTTTCTTTCTATGAAAAACTATTTTAACACAGTTTAAACCACATTGTATATAGTTTTATGTATATAATTGTATAACTATATATAATTTGTACATTATGTTTTACTCAATATTATATCATGAACATTATTCTATGGGATTATATAGTATTTCAAATGATAGGCCAAGTGAGATGTCTCATGTATGTAATCCTAGCACTTCAGGAGGCTGAGACAGGAGGATTGCTTGAATCCAGCTGTTCAAGCCAGCCTGGGAAACATAGCAAGGCCTTGTATCTACCAAAAAAATAAAAATAAAGTTAGCCAGGCTTCATGGCACATGCCTGTAGTCCCAGCTACAAGGAAGGTTGAGGTGGGAAGATTGCTTGAGCCCAGGAGTTCAAGATTTCAGTGAGCCATGATTGTACCACTGTACTCCAGCCTGAGTAACAGAGTGAGACTCTCTCAAAAAATAATATTAATAATCATTTTAATGTCTAAGTAGTATTCTACTTGGTGAAAAGATCATAGTTTGCTTAGCTAATCTCTTAGAATTGGACATTTTTACTATTTCCCATTTGGGACCATCATATAAAATTCTATAACAATCATTTTCAAAATAAAGCTTTTAGTTTCTTCACGTTAATTTTTAAAACTAGGTTCCCAAATGTGTAATTACTAGGTAAATATATACATATGTTCAAATTGCTTTTCAAATTGTTCTATTACTAGTAATGAAAAGAAAGTCTCATTGTCCACACTTTCACTAGTATTACAGAATACAAACACCCATACACCTACACATGCTGTTGTGGGAATCAGAGGACTGGAGAGACCAAATGGGTGAAATAAAAGGATTTATCGAGGGCACTCAGGCCCAGAAGATTCACATCCAAAAAACTGAGCCCTGAACAAAGACAGGGCTTGATTTTTATACATGCAACCAAGGGATTGGCCATCTAGTGGCATGAAATGTACAGGGCAGGCAAGCAGGCTTACAGAAACAGAACAAAGGTGTGAATCATACAGTGACAGATTGTGCAATTCGAGGAAAAACAGGAACTTATCAAGCTAAGGCAGGGTTTACAGCTGGTAAATGTCTTACTCAAGCATGTCTTGTGACCTTGTTATTTTACACAGAAGAGAAACAGGAATCTGTAAAACTTTGTGAAGTAACCTTGAGTTTCACTAAGAAAGGATTTACAAAAAGGGAGTGGGGAGCTGGGAGAGGAGAAAAACCTGTTTTCTCATCCTTGCCCATAACTGGGAGGAGAGGGGGCTCTGGAGCACATTCCTTGAGGGCTCTGGTTTTGCAGATAATGTTATTAAATCCTTTTCAGAGCTCGGCTGCCTATCTCTAGGTCTTGGAGTGAGTCAGCCTAGCAAGAGAAGACTTGTTCCTTTCTTTTACTTGTTTTTTCTTTTTACATTTTCTGCTTCATTCCCCCCTTTGATGCTTCTTATAAATGAAGTTTAATAGAAAGCATCATCATCTTTAAAATTTATCCTTTCATGAGGCGCTAGTTTCCTATTAAGCAGGGGTTGATATTTAGTTAGAACCATTAGTTGGGTAGTAGTTTGCCTGGTTACAAGAATCTCAATAGCTGACTGCATGTTCCTAACAAGGAGGGGCAAAAGACAAGGAAGTATGAGGCAGCCCCCTAGTATGGCCAGAACTATTCCTACTAAGGTTTTAAATCCTTCAAGAGATGAAAACCAGCCTCCAAAGAGTGAATCTGGAGACCATCATTTCCAAGTCTGCACTGGGACATGGGCTAATTTCTGGATTCTGGCAGAATCCAAAATTGTTTGACAACATTTCTGTTGTCATCAATCTCTAGACAGCAATTAGTTAGGTTGAACTTTCCACATACTTCTCCTTCTTGAGCTAGGAGGTAGTTGATGGCCAGTCTATTTTGGTAGATGGCATTTCTCATTTGTGTAGCTTGCCAGGCTAGCTGATTTAAGACCCTTGCAGCATCATTAGTAATTAGCTCAAGTACTGCCTGTAACCTTATGATGTGGTTGAGCATATATATAGGGGTGCAGTATCCCCATGTTCCATATTCTGCCCAGGTGGCTGGGCCATAGTATTGGATTATTCTTTCAGGGGGCAATTCATTGTCTTTCCACTTCCCTATGGTTATGCCGTCTCCTGTGGTTATGCCCCTCTTGCTTTTCCTTTTAGTTACATCATAGATGGGGTACCGTAAGACTTCCCCTTGCCTTAGCAGGATTAGAAAGAAAGAGGGCCTAATTGTTCCAAGTACACAGGCCCCTGACCATTTAGCTGGCAGTTGTCAATATGCCTGTGGCCCACAGTTCCAGTAGAGGCCAGAGGGTGCCTGCCAGGTATTGGAGCTTCAAGCTGGTACCAGGAGTGGTTTAAAGAAGGGAAACGGGAGAATGGGCCTGGGTGCGGTGATTTGGAGTCATTCTTTTTGCATCTCCATAAAGTTTTTCCTAGTATCTCATTGTAATATTGCTGTCCTAGGCAAGTTAATTCTCCTACTGGGTCTGTAAAGGCTTTTCCCCAGTGCACAATGCAGAATCTCTTGATAAGAGAGGTTTTTAAGAGCCAGGTGCTCAAGCTTGTGAGTGTTGGTTCGGGGGAGGGGATGGTCAGAGTAAAGTTACTTTGAGGCATTAGCTCCTTTTCCTCCCATGGTGACTGGTCCCCATGTTTGTTCCCCCACAGACGTAACATGAAGAGATGGGCAAGCTGCTGGTTATGCTTTCTGCCAGTTGGGTGAATAGTTTTTTGGCTATGGGAGGGGGTTCAGGCAATTTCTGGTTGACCTGCTTATAGAATGACTTGAAAACTCAGAATTGTTGGGTTGAACAGGCCCGAGCTTTCTTTATAATACATAGAAAATTATTTTTTAAGATAGTTTTTCCCCTTGGATTCTTGGTTAAATAGTAATGTCCTATTGGTGCTCCTATTCCTGTAGTCCATATTTGTAAATTTGGCTTCAGGATTTTGAAATTTACAAGATTGCAAGCATTTGTTTTACAGTTTAGGTCTGCTTGGATGTGGGTAAACATGACCTGCTTTTGTTTAGTGGCCAATGTTGCACAGTCCCAAGTGGAGCAAGCAGGGGTGTTCTTAATTTATACCACAGGTTGCTACAGGGCAATGAAGTCTTTAAATGTTGCCTGGCAGATATTAAAGTACAGATATAGTGACATACATAAGGCTAGTTATTCCCTGGGTCACAGATTGAGTAGGTGGTCTGATTGTGAGTACAGGTTCCTAGGTGGGTTCCAGTACACTCATAATGAGTATGGTACAATAGAGTTCTCGTTATAGCGCTCCCTGACCGTGTAGTATGAGTACATTGGGGGCATCCTTCAAATCCTTCCAAGAGTTCTCCTTTTAACATAGATAAGGGGATTAGTAAGAACAAGGTAAAGAGTGACATACTTATACCCAGCAGGGACAGAAAAGGCTTTCTCCTGGTGGAGGAGGCTGACTAAAGTGGCAGAACAATAGAAAAACAACTAGTATTACAAGGAAAACTATTAGACCTAAGATTTCTAACAACATGACTTTACTCCAGCTTCAGCTGTGCATAGGCTAGTCAGCTCCTGGGGTGACTAGAGCAGGGCAGTTGTCACCTCAAGCTTCAGCTGTGTGTAGATTGGTCAGCTTCCAGAAGGACCAGAGCAAGGCAGTTGCTAGCTCCATTGGCAACCTGGTCTCACCGTAGGATCAGCCGAGTGGGATGGTCTGGTTCCTGTTGGCTGGTCCACTAGTTCTGGGCTGCTGGTTTCAGCTGACTATGGTGGATCCAAGGTAAAATTCCTCCAACTTTAACAGCTGTGGGAGTGGACAAGATTACAGTATGGGGCCCATCCTATATGGGTCCCAAAGTGGTTGGATTCCATTTTTTAACCCAAACTGAATCCCTGGGTTTAAAGGGGTGTGTTGGGTCTGTCAGGCTTATGGGCATTCTTTCCCATACCCAGCCATGAATTTCTTGCATGGCTATTCCTAAAGCCTTCATTTGCCTTCTCAAGGATAATTTCCCTAGTTCACGGAGATCACAATTAATTTGACCTATGATTGGGGGTGGCTGGCCAAACAAGATCTCATAGAGTGCTTGACTCGGAGGTGCACCTGACTCGGAGAAGAACCATGGGAAGGACCTGATCCCATCTCAGATGGGTTTCTTGGCAATATTTTTTCAGTAGCTTTTGGAGTGTCTGGTTCATGCGTTCTACTTTTCTTGAGCTTTGTGGCTGGTAGGCTGTGTGTAATTTCCATTTTATTTTTAACAGTCATATTAGTTCTTGAACTATTTCAGCTACAAATACAGGCCCATTGTCTGACCCCAGAATCAGGGGCAGTCCAAATCTAGAGATAATGTCCCTTATTAGCACTTTTGTTACTTCTCGTGCTTTCTCTGTTCTGGTGGGGAAAGCCTCAACACATCCTGAAATGGTGAAGATTAGTACTAACATATACCAATAGCCCCCTGCTCGAGGCAGCTCAGTAAAGTCCATGACTAGGTTTTCACAGGGTGTGGCTCCCATTTCTTGAATTCCCGGGGGCTGAGTGGGCCCTTGCCATGGGTTATTCTGGACACAGATTAGACATTGTTCACAAACAGCTTGAGGGATGGTAGTGAGCCGTGGCATATAGAAATGATGTTCCAGTAGTGTTTCTAGTGCCGTTTTTCCTATATGAGTTCCTTGATGGAATTGCTTCACAAATCTAGGGGCCACTGTTTCAGGGATGGCTAGCCTCCTATTGGAGAATTTCCACCATCCTCCTTTAATGTAACTTCCAGTATCTTTGGCAAACCAGGCCCTTTCATTTGGAGAATAATTTGGGACCTCTAGAAGCGGAGGCTCTGGGAGGAGAGGTAAAGCTATGGCTTCCTCTTCACAATGTAGGGTAGCCATTGCTACCTCTCTGTCCACTTTTCTGTTTCCTTTGGCCTCTAGTGTTCCTGCTCTTTGGTGCCCCTTGCAAAGTATAACTGCCACTTTCTTTGGGGCCAATACTACATTTAAAAGCTGTAGAATTTTTTCTTTATATTTTATTTCTTTACCCTCAGCAGTTGTGAGTCCTCTTTATTTATATATAGCCCTATGAACATGCAACATGGCGAAGGCATATTTGGAATCTGTATAGACATTGACCTTTTTGTCTTTTGACACCAGAGAGCTCTTGTCAGGGCTATTAGCTCTGCTTTGTGGGCTGATGTTCCAGTAGACAGACTGAGCCTCTATCACTGAGTCTAATGTTACTACTGCATACCTGGCCTGTCAGACCCCTTCTAGTACAAAACTGCTTCCATCTGTAAAGTATTCTACATCTGGATCCCTGAGGGGTTGGTCTGTGAGATCCCTCTGGCTTGAGAATACTTCGTCTACTGCATCTACACAACAATGAAGCGGGGCTCCCGGTCCCAGTTCAATTGGGAGCAAGGTAGCTGGGTTTAGGGTATTTACTGTCTCTAGAGTTATGGGAGAATTCTCGCATAGGAGCTGTTGGTATTGAGTCATTCTCAGATTTGATAACCAATGGTGTCCTCTCTGATCCATTAAAATTATAACCAAGTATGGTACTGGATGGTCAGTTGCTGTCCCAGGGTTAGTTTGTCAGCTTTTTGTGCCAGTAGGGCTGTGGCAGCTAGTGGTTTAAGGCACAGAGGCCATCCTAGTGCCACGAGATCCAATTCCTTGGATAAATATTCCACCGGATGATACCATGATCCTATGACTTGAGTTAGGACCCCTATTGCCATTCTTTTTTGTTCATGGACATACAGAAAGAAAGGTTTAGTTAGATCAGGAAGTCCTAAGGCTGGGGCCTGGGTTAAGGCTTCTTTGATTTGTTTAAATGCCCTATCTTGGTCAGCCTCCCAGAGTAGGGGTTCCCTTCCCCCTCTTTTGTGGCTTCATATAAAGGCCTGGCCATCAGTGAGTAATTTGGGATCCAAATGTGGCAGAACCATGCTGTCCCCCAAAATTATCTTATTTGATGCTGGGTAGTTGGAGTTGGGAGTGCACAAACAGCTTAGTTTGGCTCACTGCCTAGCTATCATTCCCCTTGACTCACTTCGAAGCCTAAATACTGGACTCTTTTGGAACAGATTTGAGCTTCTTTCTGAACACCTTATATCTGGCTTTCCACAGGAGGTGGAGGAGGTCTTGGATTCCTTGGAGGCAGTCCTCTTGGGTTGGGTCTGCTGGAAGCAGGTCATCTATATATTCCAGCAAGGCACAATTGTCATTTGGCTAGGCCTTGAGGTCTGAAGCCAGTGCTTCTTCAAAGATTGTGAGAGAGTTTTTGAGTGCTTGTGGGAGTCTTGTCCAGGTGAACTGCAATTCGCTCCATTGAAATGCAAAGATGGGCTAATTGGTGCCAGACGAAGACAGAAGAATGCATCTTTCAGGTCTAGGCAAGCAAACCAGACAGCACTTGCTGAAATAAGTCCCGTTAAAGAATATGGATTAGGTACCACTGGGTGGATGGTCACTGTAGCCTCATTCACAGCACATAAGTCCTGCACCAGCCTCTATTCACCAGATGGTTTCTGTACCGGCAGGAGAGGAGTGTTCCAGGGTGACTGGCATTTGACTATGATTCCATGTTTGAAGAGTTGCTCTAAGTGTTTGCGAATGTCCCATATGACTTCTTGGAAAAACGGGTACTGGTGAAACTGAACTGGGGTGAAACTGAACTGAACTGGTGAAACTGCCCCTGGTTTCAACTCTACTACTCTATTACTCTACTACTACTGGTGCCTGATTTTTAGCCAGCCCAGGTGGGTTGTCTTCAGCCCATACTCCAGGAATTTTATTAAGTAGCCCATACAGTTCATTTATTCCTGGTTCTGGTGACTCTTTTGTGTATAGTCTCCATTTGTCAGTCTGCGGGATGGTAAGGATTATTACCATGGCCTTTGGGAGTGTCAGGTTTAAAGTCATAGCTACTTGTGGCCCAAAAGCAATCTGTGCTTACAGTTTTTGGAGTGGGTATTTTCCCAGCAGGGAAACTGGGCAATTTGGGAAGTATAGGAACTCATGTTGGACTTATCTTCCTATGACACACCTCCTTGGTTGACAAAACGGCCTTTTCTCTAGGACCCCTGTAGCCCCAACAATAGTTGTATGGTGTTTGCATAGTGGCCTTATGGGCTAGGTCACCACCAAATGTTCAGCCCCAGAGTCTACCATAAAGTCCACCAGTTGGCACCCCACTTCCACTGTGACCATGGGCTCCTGGGGGCCTATGGTGATGGAGCCTGGTCTGGCCTAGTCTTCATATCCTCCAGTCCCTTCCAGCATGATCAGGTTGGTATCCGGTTCCCTCAGGGTGTGGCAGCCCTTGGCTGGTGGCCTGTCTCACAGCCTTGGCTATCTTCTTCATTGTCCTCTGGATGCTCATTTTTCCTGTGTCCTCTCTTTTCACATTGTGCACATTGATTCCTATCTATCTAGCCTTGGTGGGCTTCCAGTCCTCTGCCCAGCCTGGCCCTTTCTGTGCCCACGTCTGCATCCCCTGGTGATGCCAGTTTCTCTTTCTGTGCCCACGTCTGCATCCCCTGGTGATGCCAGTTTCTCTTTCTATGAGGGCTGCCACAAGCAGATCAGCCTTTTTCCTAAGTCTCTGATTAGCTTCCTTTTTTGCCCCTGGTCATGGTTGACGTACACCTTGGTGGCTACTTCTATAAACTGAGTAGGATTCATGCCTGCAAAACCCTCTGGCTTTTGCAGCTTCAGCCTGATGTCTCCCTGGGCTTGTCCTACAAACACTCTATTTACCATGCACTGATTTTCAGTAGCCTCAAGGTCAAACAGAGTGTAAAGCCTGAATGCCTCACAGAGTCAGTTCCTTGAAGCACTTCTGAGATCTTTCCTAAATTGATTGGCTTATTTTCGCCTTCCCTTAGCCCTTGCAGAAGTGCTTCTTGGTACTTCTGCAGGTGCTGAAACTGGGTTGCATCATTTGGGTCCCAGTGAGGGTCTGCTTCTGGGAATAGGTCTTGAGCATATGCTTGGACATTAAGTGTGCCTTCCGGCATAGTGGCTTCTAGCCAGTGGAGGGCTGCCTGGGTCACTCTTCAGCACTCTTCAGTATTTAACAGCATTAGAAGGACTTGCTTGCAATCTGGCCAGGTTGGATTGTGTGTCAGGAAGATGGACTGCATTAGATCTATGAGGGCCTGTGTCTTCTCCGTGTAGGAGGGGGAGATCAGTGATCGAGAAAGGCTGATAAATGAAGGTTTGTTGCCCCCTTTGAATCTGGCCATGTTCATCATAATAGAGGGGTCCCTGTATTTCCTGGAGGGGTATCTGCAAAGCCCAAGTACGGCCAGACTGGAGACGGCTTGTCTGATCGTCCTGAGTTTCCTCCTTGACCCCCTGGGGTGGGGGCTCTGGTTCCTCCCTCTGGGGTGAAGCTTGGGGTGTGTCATTCTCTGAATCTGACTCCACGCTGGCCATTGGTCTCGTCAAATGGGGGATAATGGAGTACAGGGAGGAGGGATTTCTGTTTCCTCCGGTGGCTCCTGTAATGGTGGTTTTTCCTGCCCTTTAGGTGATTCCTCCTTTATTTCCACAGCTGCCGGTGAAGCTGACTTGACTTTCACTTTAGGCTCAGCTCGGGCTACGAGCATCTTGCAGTAAGACACCAGGCAGGGCTGGAATCATGCAGGTTAGTTTTGGACCACATTTAGCCACAAGTCAACGTAGGGAAACTTGTTTGGGTGCCCTGGCTGTCCTCCGACACTGGTTACTACCTGATGTACATGGCCAATTGTTCCTTTATATACTGTCCCTTCGGCTGGCCATCCGACTTCAAAAGAAGGCTATTTTATTTCACACAGAGTTTTTAACCTCTAGGGGGTCAACTGGGTTCCATAATCCCCCTTGTAACATTTTTAAAGTTCTTTAACATGAATTCTAATGGGGTGGGTTTTGATGACTTCCCTCCCATTTCTCCCAGTTACAGTGCAACACATTCTCTCTCTCTCTCTTTTGCTTCAGACGGATTAGACCACCCCCCTCGCAGGAGTTTTCAGGCACTGCTTAGCTTTGAAGTGTTTGTTAATCTCCCACAATTACTAAATTGTGGGGCACCTCCCCAAGCCATATGCAGATCACCGCTAGTCCCTGTTGGTCCCACAATTCACTTGGAGTGTACAGTCTATGCTAAGAGACCTGTGCCCCCCACACATCACTCCCCGCATTGAATCCTCCTGGAACTGCCTCTTTCATAAGCAGTCACACACTTCCCAGTTGCTTTCTAGACCAACTTTGCAAACCACTTTCACATCCTGGGTCGGGTGGGGTGTAAGTTTCCCCAACTTTGCGAGCCAGTCTCGCATCCTGTGTCGAGCTACTAGTTACACCCTGGGAAGTGATCAGGCTCCCCTTCCATCCTTATGGGATGGGTCCTGCCTTGGGCCCCAAATCTTACCATGGTCCTGAAGCACACTGTCCCAAGAATCGTCCTACAGCCCCTTAGATTTCGTTGCACTATCAGGGAAGGGCACTGAGTTGCAGGACAGCCAATCTCCTCTCTGCGTTGAAGTTCTTCTGATGGCACCAGGGGTCATGGGTCTCCCCTTGCCTGGGGTTCAAGTCCCACAGGCAAAGGAGACAGTAAACCTGTCATCTCCAATCCCACAGGAGCCCCCAGAAAAATACTGCAGGAATCAGAGGACTGGAGAGACCAAACAGGTGAAATAGGGTGATTTATTGAGTGCACTCAGGCCCAGCAGATTCACATTGAAAAAGCTGAGCCCTGAACAAAGACAGGGCTTGACTTTTATACATGCAACCAAGGGGGTAGGCCATCTAGTGGCGCAAAACTTACAGGGCAGGCAAACGGGCTTACAGAAGCAGAACAAAGGCAGTTAATCATACTGTGACAGGTTTTGCAACTTGAGGAAAAACAGGAACTTATCAAGCTAAGGCAGGGTTTACAGCTGGTACCTGTCTTACTCAAGCATGTCTTGTGACCTTTTTATGTTACACAGAAGAGAAACGGGAATCTGTAAAACTTTGTGAAGGAACCTTGAGTTTCACTAAGGAAGGATTTACAAAAAGGAGGGGAGCTGGGAGAGGAGAAAAACCTGTTTTTTTGCTCCTAACTGGGAGGAGAGGGGGCTCTAGAGCACATTCCTTGAGGGCTCTGGTTTTGCAGATAATGTTATTAAATCCTTTTCAGAGCTCTGCTGCCTATCGTAGGTCTTGGAGTGAGTCAGCCTAGCAAGAGAAGGCTTGTTCCTCCCTTTAACTTGTTCTTTCTTTTTACATTTTCTGCTCCAATGCAAAACACACAAATTTGATAGGCAAAACCATTTTGCTTTACTCTGTAATACTACTCCCTTTGGACTCAGGCAACCTTGTATAGGTTGTATGAGGGCCTGGTTATACTTACGGGACCACTCTGACATTCTTCAAGACTTACCTCTCTCCAAGAGACAAGGATTTCACAGGGCCAAGTGGAATTTCCACACCAAATCCATGTTACCCCTTCTCGACCATGCTCTGAGTATATTGCACTCTGAAATATCATGCTCAAATAAACGTAAACCCATTTCCAGAGACCCTAGGGGCCCCCATCGCAGGCTAGTACTCCTAAGGACTAACTGCCCATGGAATGGACAATAGGCAGCTCTTTGTGGAGACAGTGACATGAGAAGACAATGGTCATGTGGTCTCAGATGTATACACACATCTACTGTGGCTACCCACTGGAAGAAGAAAAAGCAAATCAAATGAGTTGGTTGTGATTGCCATTCTCCATGCCATTATGATCCAGAACAAAACAGTGAGGAATATGAGAATTCTAAACTCAAACTTGGCCTTACAGACCCATGTGAAGATGTATGTATCAAAGTAGAAAGACAAAACACATTATTCACAGTTTATTGCTTAGTTTATAACTCTGAAATATTTAGAGACATTATATAGATCTCCATTTGTGTTCTTGCCCTGGGCCCTACCGATCACAGAGGCCTGACTGCTTTTATAGATTAAATAGATGATATATTAGGGCTGCCTATTTTCCCAAACTTACTAACTTCTATAAAATAAATAGAGAAAGCCTAGGTGAACACACAAATAAATTCTACCAAATCTTTAACAATTTGATAAAGACAGTACAAAAAGAAAATTACAGAAAAACATCACTTATAAGATGATTAATCTTCATAGATGCATGAGAAAAACAAAATAAAACAAAAAACTTTGACATATTCTACACTCCTTGCTGATTTCAAAACAAGAAAACTACAAGAATGAATTGATGGATACTTCCTTAGCCTGATAAAATGCATTAACCTCATTCATAAAGCCAGCATCTTAAGATACTAAGAAATGGGGAAGCCCTAGCAACATTTTCACTAAGATCAGGACAAAAATGTACCACCATATCTGCTACAATTTAATATTGGATTAATAGCCAATGCAGCTATATAAAAGAAATCAATAACCATTTTCAGATGACATGGAAGTGTTCTTAAGAAACCTTAGGGAAGCAATAATAAAACTAACATACTCAAACAGTAAGAGTTTAATAAGGTAGCTGACATAACGTAAAGAAATCTATAACCTTAATAAAATGATAACCAGTTAGGGGATTTAATGGTAAAGAAAATCATACACACGATAGAAATAAAAAAGAAAAATTTTACAAATAAACTTAACAAGGAATATATAAAACCCATATGAAAAATATTTCTGCTTTCCTTAAATTATAAATTCACTAAATATCAGTAACTATATCACAAACTTTCTAGTTACTAGGGCTTATATGGCAAAATAACAAGAACAAATAATTAGGAAAAAATTGAAAAAGAAAGCAGTTAGGGACACTAGACTTACCAGATAGCACAATCTAGTAAACCAATGTGGTATTAGAACAAGAATAGTCAGACACACCAGTGGAATAGAATAAAAGTCCAGAAATAGTCCTAGGTACACAGGAATATAGGTGGCATCTTAAATAACTAGGGAAATATAAACATTTTCTAAACAGTTCTGAAGAAATGGGATTACTATATCAACAGAATAAAATTTGGTTTACACTTCACATTAAACACAAAAATAAACTCCAAGTAGATCAGGGAGCTAAATGTAAAAATGAAACCATGAAAGTAATAAAGTAATAGCAGAAACCTGAGTTAATTTCTTTATAAACTTGGTGTAGAAAAGAATATTGATTTTGAGTCAAAATGGAGATGAACTAAATGCAACTTCATAAGATTAAAACAACGAAAACCTTTGCATGGCAAAAAATTATAAGCAAAGACAAAAGAGAAATAACAAACCAGGAGAAAATATTTATAATATATATCACACATAAAGGGCTAATATTTCATACGTATTGGTCCATCATAAATCAATATATGAGATATTAGTCCTATTAATTTATAATTAATATGCAAATGGTACTCTTTATCCATAATATATACTGCACATATTATATACGATGTATAACATATTATTTCTAATATATATTTGAAAAATATATACTTGCAAATATATATACATATATGTGTAATATGTATAAATGTCTATTACACATCTATAAGTCTATATGATATACATTAATATGCATATAGAGTTGTATATGTAGCTGTATTTATATACATATGTGTATATTAATATAAATATTAATATGTAAGTAATGTATATGTAGACATAAATTTTTTAACATTTGGGGAAAATTTTTATTATTTTTCATATAGTTATTCAGTTTCTTCAGGATTATTTATAAATGAATTCTTTTAAATTTAGGGGAAAAACTCAAATATTAAATAATAATGGGCCAAAGAAATGAACAATTTACATAAAAAGTATTAAAGATGTCAAAAAGATGTTCAACTTTATTTATAATCAGAGAAATGTGGTTTGAAATTACACTGGAATATCATCTTGAAATTCTCAAACTGGAAATATCAAAGCTTGACAACCTCTTCTGTTGGCAAAGCTGTAGGGAAACAGACATTCCCACAAGTGGCAGGTGGGAATACAAATTGGTACACCACTTACGGAGGAAAATTTGGCAAATCTGTCAAAACTACGTACACGTTCAACCCAGTATTCAATTTCTTGTCATTTACCCTATAGTACACATTCAACAATACGAAATAGATCTATTCAAGGTTTTTGAATCATTGTTTGGAATTACAAAATATCAGAAGTAACCAAATGCTCATGTACGAAAGTTCGGTTGTGGCCTACCCAGACAATAGATTATCATGTGGCTTCAACAAGTAATGAAAAATGACACTATGTGATTCTAGGATATATTGTTGAGTGAAAAAAAGTGCAAAGGCATATAAGCATGTGTTTAATATTACCTATTGTGCAAGAGAGAGAAAATAAGAAAAAAAACAGGAAAACATCACCATGGACACTCACATGAAGGATAAACCAGAAACAAATGTTTGTGTTTATCTCTTGGGAGAGTTTGAAAGTGAAGCGGAGGGATTTTGGTGCAGGCCTGATACTTTTTTGTTATCTTTTTGTATAATTCTTACTTTGGAAACATGTTAATGATTTGCATACTTAAACGTAAATAATGGATCCACAAAGTTGTTGGGGGAGTACTTGAAATAGAAGCAGAAACTCATAAGCCTAATTGTGTTTCAAATAAATAAAGTCATAACACTTGAGTGTGACAGCTAATTAAAAAAATAATTTTTGAACATTTTTACTATATATTCTTAGACTAAAGCTTTAAAGAACTGTAAACAAATATTGAATTCTAGTTGGTAGATTTGTTTGTAGCTGTGGTATGGGTTGATATTTCTGAAACAACTTTTTGTGTATTCTAGGAATGAACAAGTAAGTAATTTTAAAAAGTTAAGCATAAGGAGAGAAGCCTCAAATTAAGCATGTGGTATTGGATTCAGACTAAAGGTATCAGTACAGATTCACGGTTTTTCAGATAGATTAGATAGACACGTATGTTTTTTCATGTGTGCATGTTTCTGTATTACATATATTTTCTAGCTATGTCTCCCCAGACAGGTCTTAGAAACTATGCCACCTAAGTAGCAATAACTACACCTAGCATCCAGGTCAGGGTTCTTAATTATAAGCACATAAATGGCAAACAAACAAAAAACACCTCTCTTTTTTATAGTAAAATGCTATTCTTATAGAAGAAACAGTCAAGTTAGAAAATTAAAATTTGGCAACCATCACGCTAATTTATTTAAGCAAAATCATCAAACTGATGGGTAAAATTTAATGAGAAACAAGATATTTACATAATCTCAAAGTATCTTCTCAAAAGTTAATTATCAATAACAAGAGAAAAATCTAGTGACTATAGTGGAGATATTGTAGACAGCACTTTAGCCAACAGATCAAATTTAACATCACTATTAATGGAACAAAATAATACTGTGGACCTTCAGATATGATACACTAAGAAAGTCACTTCATCACCATTGGAATATTCCTTCTGAAAATGAGTCACCTAAATCTTCTTACAGGAAAACATCAGTCAAGCCCAAACCAAAAAACACTTAAAAACAAAAGACAAAAACAAAAAAACCTGTTCTTTACTTTTCAAAAATCAAATTTCATGGAAGACAAAGATCTGACAAATCTATTCTGGACTGGATCCTGAAATACAATGAAGGACACTGATTCTGAAGATTAGAGAAATTGGAAAAAGATCTGTAGATTTGATAATAGATTGTGCTACTCTTGGTTACAATTATTTTGATGACTGTACTGTGCTTATATAAGACAATATGTTTGTTCTTAGGAAATTTACTCTGAAGTATTTAGCAGGGAAGTGGCATTCTGACTGCCCCATTTTGTGAATTTATTCAGAAAAAATTACACATAAACACACACAAAATGAGGGCAAATGTGACAAAATGTTAATACCTGCAGAATCTGGATGACAGTATTATACGGTAGTTCTTTATGTTATTCTTACAGCTTTTCTGTAATATTGAAATTATTTGAAAGTAAAAATTATAATAACAACAGAAGAACAAATTACAAGGATATTGATATTCCAGCAAATAACATTCTTCTTTTATTTTGGATTCTTGCAAGTTGGGTTTTTGCCTCACTGAGCATCTGTAAATACTGGAACATGGTACCCAGAAGTGAAAGGGGAAAAATACCAATGTCTGGTGTGACAAAAAGGGTGAGATTGTTTCTCAGCCCCCTTAATGACTGCCTTTCTTCAGATACTATTTATATGGGACAGCAAGAGCAAGAATATACTCTTAGCTAAGGGCCTATTAAAAGTGGGCTGAATCTAAGAATTGATATCTCATCACTCTACCACACCATGTTGGCCCATAGGTAATGGCAGAGTTGCAAGGTATGTCACCTGAGGTAGAATACAGTGTTATCCAATCATCTCAAATGACCTTCATTTGTATGCTGTCTTTTGGGAAGCACTCATTTATAATTATAAAGTTCAAATTGGGAAAGGTTGAGTCAAGGCTTTCTTTCTGAAATCTCAGTACACCAACTTATTCAGAGGAATAAGTGTCTGGGGCCTGTCTGTTCTTGGGGAAGCACCAGAATTATCACAGTTCTAATTAAAAAGAAATCATCCAAATAGAATCTATCAGGGCCTTGCTCTGGACTGAGCCTGTGATCCTAAAGAAGGACAAAATTAATAACTTTACCACTTGAAAAATAAAAACCATAAAGGTGTTCCCATCACTCTGGCCACAGGCAGTGTATTTCAAAATGAAGACAAAGCTATACCCTAAAATAAGTGTAAAGAATTTAGAGCTATGATTTTTAATAATTATCATCTCAAAACTTTAAATAATATCAAATATTAAATTTCTTTTCTTTATATTTTGCCTATGCTTGTATTGGCCTAAACTTACGGTTAGCCACATACCAGCCTGGGGAAAATGGAGCTTCCAGGCAAAAGATCCTCACCATAGCGTCTGAGGAAGGAAACAACGGTTCTCATTTTTCTAAGATGTATTAGAATCATCTGCAGTGCTGTTCCAATTTACTCATTCTCTCTGAGATCCTTATTCACACACATCAAAATGAGTACACCTGATCTTTATTAAGAAAGACTACCACTTTTGAGGCGCCGTTACCAATGGGTTTGTGTGTGATTTCTCAGCTGTGTAAATGGTGAGAGGTGAGATGGAAAGAGGTTAAGGTTTATTGTTCTAAAAATGCCTTTTTAATGCCAAGGAGAGTGTAGATGTGTATTCATGTTTGGTAGATTTTCTTATAGATCTCATGATATTTCTTGTAAGATTATCTCATGATATTTCTTGTAAGAGTCCCTCATGAGATGTCCAGTTAAGCCAGAAAATACAGTAAAATGAAGGTGATACCTGAGTACTTAGAATAAAAGAGGATAACGCTGAAGACACCTTTGCAAAAATCATAACTGAGAAAATTATAAGAGTCAAACAGTTCTGACCTTACCGACTCTGTCTTACTTCTTACCTCTAAGCTGTCCTTGTTCATTCCTGGGTGTAGGACTTCGGCAGGAACTTAGTTAATAGTTTAATTTTTGAAACAAAGATGATACCAGCCATTTCCCAAAACAAACCCCCTTCTTGCCTGAGGACCAGACTGCCTTTGTAGGATTAACAAATTAGCCACAATGGTTTAGGAGTCATACATCTAGAGGCCACCAGATTCTAAACTTTCCCAACTGTTCGTAGGGATAATATCACCGTTGTAAAACCTAAGATTGGTGCTCCAGATATTTGTCAAATCCTGCACTTGATGGAGCAGCTGGCGCCAACCAGGTCAATAAACTGGCTCGTCTTGTGACCTCCACTCAGAAACTGAATCAGCAGAAGACAGCTTCCACTCCCTATGATTTCATCTATGACCCAACCAATCAACACTACACGCCCCACTTCCTGGACCCTTCCCACTGAATTATCCTTTAAAAACTCTAGTCTCTGAATTTTCAGGAGATTGATTTGCTTAATAACTCTGTCTCCTGCATGGTGCAGCTGGCCTCACATCAATTAAACTCTTTCTTTATGGCAATGCTGTGGTCTTTGTTTGTGCAGAGGGCAGGAAGAACCCATCAGTTGTTTACAAGGCTTCTTTAAGATTTAATATATATGGAAACAACAATAAAAAAGCATACTTAGGCTTTGATAATAAAAATCCCTCTGATTTAAATTCTTTCTGACCCATTGAGAGCCTTCTCCTGTAATGTTGCTTTGCCAGGCTTGCACTTGACCTTTGATCTCCAGTAACAGAGGCTAACTCCCTGTTCCATCCATGCTTATCCTGACTTTTAAACTTGACTTTTAAACTTTTGAGAATTGGAAAGTAAATGACTTTATACTTACCATGTTATAGTTCATTATTTGTGTTTCTGAGTAAGTATTATTTAACATGAAGTAAAAATAATACATGATGATTTTCTCTAAACTTCCATGCTTTTTCCTGTCAATGTTAAATAAAAAATTCCATGAATTTCCTCTTTAAGGAAATAAATTTTTAATGATTACTCCAGTTGTGTGATCATAGTCAACAATTAAAAGAATTTCATTGACTATGATTATAGGCACTGAGTTTCTTTCTTAAATACTTCAAGTGATTCACTAACCTGCACTCTCTTGTGAGTTAAATCCAATTTGAGCCAGATTTTTTTAAAAAGTGAGAAAGAGACTGTGGATCTTAGTGCCTGTTCTAGTGTCAGTTTACAGATATGAGTCTGTGTGTTGGACAATCTTCTAAGAAAAAAAATAAAATGTTTTAACATAAAACATCAGAAAAATCAATGTAGCACATTGTGTTTCGTCTTTCATGTTGTGAAACTGTCTTCACCTCTAAATCCTTTAGCAGAAAATTACCTTTTCCAAAACAAAGGAAATGTAGTGTCATCTATAACCACAGTCCTTTTCATTGGGCTAATAACAACTTTTAGATTACTAGAAAAAGACTCTGCTATTGTTTAAATAGGTCAAGTGAGTACTAATAATTCTTAATAGTATGTGACAAAGCTTGCTTTAGACACGAAAAAGAAAAGAGTTTTTCTGCAATTTGACTTGTAGAATGTAAGGTAAGTGTAAAGATCCCCTAGAACTATTGCCATGACATCATTCTCATTCCTGGGTCCCTTCGACTTTTAACAAGCAACACTGGCAGCAATTTTGAATCAGAAGCATTGAAATTATGATACACTGATCACTTACGGCTGTAACCTTACTTTGCTTACAGCAGCTCTGTACATGTTGCTGAGTAATTATTAAAGCTGTTATTTTTGGTTCTCTTTTTCCATCATGAGTTTCACCTCACAGTGGAACTACTGTCAAAATGTCATAAAGATCTTCCTTTCTTTTTTTTTTTTTTTGGATACTGAGTTTCACTCTTGCTGTCCAGGCTGGAGCACAATGGTGAGATCTCGGCTCACTGCAACCTCCTCCTCCTGGGTTCAAGCCACTCTCCTGCCTCAGCCTCCTGAGTTGCTGGGATTACAGGGGTCCGTCACCATGCCCAGCTAATGTTTGTATTTTTAGTAGAGACGGGGTTTCACCATGTTGGCCAGGCTGGTCTCAAATTCCTGACTTCAAGTGATCTACCCGTCTCCGCCTCCCAAAGTGCTGGGACTATAGGCATGGGGATCTTCCTTTCTTTACAGCAAAGTTTTATGTTTCTCTGCTTCCCTGGCATATATAAGGATTTTCTTCTGAAGACAGACATGAAATAAAAAGAAAAGAAAAAAGAAAAGTGAGAGACATAAGAAGGAAGGAAAGGGAAGTGGAGAGGAGGGGAGAAGGGAAGGGGAGGGAAAGGAAAATTGGGTAAACACAGAAGATGAATAGAATTTGGTTCTAAGTTCATTCTGAATTTTGTCATTCCAAAATAGCCTCATAAATATTTGCAAATGAAAACTTAGTCCTATTCTGGAGAAGTTGTAGGACTTCATTCATTTAAAAAATAATCGTAAAATTAATAGTAATAAAACTTTACATTTACCTGGTTTTACATTTACATTTATTAGTTCATTGACACAACAAGGATTCCCAGTTAGAAATTTGTAATAAATTGTCAAATGGTTTTTCATCTTTTATATATTTTCAATCTAATAGATTTCAGGAGATGGTCTTTTATAACAAATATCTACAAATTTAGATAGCATACCAATGAAATGTTGCAATAGCATGGTTTCGTGGATAAATTGCATCTATACATAATGTTATTTATCCAAAAATGTTTGGAGAAAATCCAGGCCAGCGATTCACTGACCCCAGATTCCTTCTTCATTTGCCTGTATAACTGTATTCGTGCAATTCATTCTCATAGGACACCCTGTCTCCCTACCACCATCTCACATATCTTTACTTGAAGATACGTGAGATGATATATGTAAAGAATTTAGCACAATACCATAGAAAATAAAGATAGAAATAATAGAACGTAGACAGAGAAATAACAATGTTACCTTCCTAATGAGGACCACCATTTCCCACCATATGATGTTTAAAATTTCTTTTACAATAAAAGCCCACTTTGTAACATTATTAGCAAGTAGTGTTAATTAAATAATTTGTTGCTTTCTTTCAAGCCAGTCTGTAATAAACCTGGTATCCCTACAAATTTTCCATTGCCTTCCTCATCCTTCAAGGCTTAGATCAAATTCTACCTTTTCAGATTCCATAAAAGTTAATCTTACTGTCTAAATTCACAGTGTTACAATGGCTCTATTGCCTGAGCCATCCTCTTTCTCTTCAGTATTAAAATCACAAGCTCTGAAATCAAAGTTCGAGTCTAAGATGCTCTAAGGTTTGAGTTGAAGGTTTGAGTCTAAGATTTTCCACACATTGCTATGTGATGTCAGGCTTTTAAACCCTTTGAACTTCCATTTCCTCTTCTGTAAATGGTGGTAGTAATATTTATTTGAAGATATGTGAGATGATGTATGTAAATTATTTAGCACAGTACCATAGAAAATAAAGATATAAATAATAGAACATAGAGAAATAACAATGTTACCCTTATCATCACCATGACTAATAGTCTGGTTTTACTAAGCTGGAATGCCATATATGGGCACATATTATAATATTTAAAGGAAGACCCCAAGCTGTCCATCTTCTTTGCATGAGATTGTCTTTGTTTCTCAGTACATATCCAACCTCAGCTACACAGTTTTCACAGAATACACATAGCTACTTTAACCAAGACTTTCCAATATCACCACAATATCTGCCCCGAAAGCATCCTTTCCTGGTATTAGAGAGTAGCTTCAGTTCCTCCCTTTCTTCCTAATAAGGACCACCATTTCCCACCACACAATGTTTAAAATTTCTTTTACAATAAAAGCCCACTTTGAACACTATTAACAAGTGGTGTTAATTAAATAATTTTAATTTGTTGCTTTCTTTCAAGCCAGTCTGAAATAAACCTGGTATCCCTACAAATCTTCCATTGCCTTGCTCATAATGGTTAGTATAATAAATATTTTGCTTTCATGACCATTGGCCCAACTAACAAGTCTTCAGTTTTACTTTGTCTCTTCTAGTACCTTCTCTTGGATGTAATTGTTAACAAGCAGTGAAATGACCAAAGATGAGATTCAGAAATGTGAGGCCAGTGGCGTGGATAAGCCATATTACAGGAGAGAAATCCCTGAGTAATTCACAACTGGGCTTGTTTCCAAAAAAAAATTGAGCCTCTATTTTATTTCTTGACTCTCCATTAGGATGGATTTCTACTTCAGGAAAAATAATTCAAATTTTAAGAATAAAGTTATAGCACATTTTTTCTTCGGACCCAATATTAGACCTAAGGGATAAATTCTTTGTTCCACTGTGAACAACACAGCACCATCCACACTCACATATCATTGATTGTGGACTGTACACTTTGCTAGTCTGATGTCAGCAGTCAGAGATGGAGGCCTAATTGGAAAAAAAAAAAAACACGAAAAATAAGAAGCATCTGATAATTTTTATGGGATTAAATTGTCATTCAGTTGCTACCAAAATAAATAAAAATAATATTTTTAAAAAAACTACCTACTGAGATTTTAGTTAAAAAGAAAGACAGAGAAAGAGTTAAAATGGCAGTCTGCTATTTTTTCCTATAAAGTTATAAGGCTTAATTCAAAAATTTTCTGAAATTTATAGTGCCAGAGGCTAAGCTAAAAATAATTTCCCCTCATTAGATCTTGCAGTTTAACCTCTGAAGTGGAAGGTCTGTGACAGATACATCAAGACTCCAACTCACAAAAGCACCATTCAAAAAGGAAAAGAATAAAGAGGAGCTGTTGCTATTAAATGACCCATAGAGAATCAAAGAGACAAAGAAGACTATTTCTGTAGCTTTCTGGGACTAAGCATAGTGTTGCTGGGCCATTCCAGGTGGATCACTCCTGTCAGCTTCAAATGTATCATGTACTAAATGAGCATGAAATTTTATATGGAAGCAAAGCTTTGGAAGCAAACCTTACTAGATAATGACAGAAATCTTGGGGGAGAAAAGAAACATAGGATTTGCTTAATAACCCTAGTGAAAATTAATAATCATTAATTGTCTCCTTTGCCTATCACTGAACAAAGCTTCTGTATAATTTCTGTAGAATAGAGAAAAACAATGCCACAAATACTTTACTCCAAGCTACTCCTGAAATTCTGGAACTAAGGAGGAGGGGTGGGCTTAATTCCTGAAATAAAGACTTCTAAATTTCAGTATCATTTTTATCTTTTTTTTTTTAGTTTCATGATCCCAGAAGGTAAAATGCTTATTACATTGTTCTGGATTCTCCACTCATACTGAAGAACAGATCCTAATATTTTGTGTTATATTCTTAGTCATATTTGTGATCATATCATTAATAAGAGAAGAAGAGAAGAGAACCCAGGTATTAGTTAGCATTCAATTAGGTAAGCAGAGCTACTATCGGTAATATGGAATAAGGGAATATAACAGGAATTAGATCATCCACAACTGTGGAGGCCAGTGAAAAAGTCTATGGAAATTGCCTCTCTGTCTGGTAGGAGCTTGAAATGCCATAAATCTGCAGAGCCAGTAGTTTGCAAGAAAACCTGGACATAAAGTTGAAAAGAGTGAGGACAAACTATAATCCATAAGGACAAATTGCAAACAGCACTGTCTTTTAATGCCTACAACCTTGTTAATCTGAGCAATCTGCAAAAGAAGGTGGCACCCTTACACCTAGCTTAGGACTCAAATGGAAAGACAGACTTGGTGAAAGCTGAAGGAGCTATGGATCCAAATGCTTCCCAACACCAACAAAATGAGCCAGTAGATTAATAAAGCTATGTGTGCTCTACAACAGCCCCTAGCCCTATATCTATGTTCAGAGCTAAATTGCTGCTTCACTTTTGCCTCCCAAATCTCACGCAAACTTCTTTTGGAGCCAACCCTAAGAGAACCATCCAGGGAAGAAATTATTGATATTGACATAGCTCAAAAGCTACCACAACACATATTTTTTCAATATCACATTTTCTAGGCTCTGCACCAATTTCTATTCCATTTATCCTTTATATTAAAACAAATATCTGAGAAATTATTTTACCTTTGAGAAAAGTAAGGTTCAGAGAGTCCTACTAATTTTTAGAAAACTTCCTGAAACTGGCAGAAATGAGATTCAATTTAAGACCAAGTATTTTGACTTTAGATTGTAATTAATCTTTAAATTTTCACTTATTAACATTAGACTATCCCCATCTGAATACTTTTACACAATGAATCAGTAGCACATGGCATATCCATTCTGGGTTAAGAGAGTTCACTAAATGAACTATTTAGAAAGATATGTGGGTAGGGATTAGGGAAACCGGCAAAGGACGGTACGTTTCCCATACTGGCAATAGTAAGACATCATTACAAACTCTAAATCTGAAGACAGAAGGAAAGGACGGCAGTTACTGTTACCCAAAGGGGATAGCTATATGAAAAGGGCTACTGTATAGGAACTGAAGCTTTTGGTAAAAGGAACAGCCCATATTGCCAAGAAGGCAACAGAGGTAATAAATACCCCAACCTTACTCTCCTTCAGCCTCCTAGTACTTTTGCTCTATACTCATGACTTCTCTTCACACAAGCTAACCAGAAACCAATGAACTAAGGAGTCTTTATATGCAATCTATAGAAGTCAGTATCCTGGGGACAGAGGAGGATGAAGAAGACCAGGGTGGCCAATAAAAAATAGCTAGCATGGATAAATTATTCCAAGAGTAAAGCATTAATAAAGATTTTAGAGAAACATTTTGTTTTACACAGACATAAACCAATAGCACATTTTCCTGGGTAATAACTAAACTTTCTTAATTACTATCTAACAAATCATCTCTATGCTGTTCCTCATGGACCATTTTTCAAATTCTGGTTTTATGATGAGCTGGTAAAGAGAGCCAAGGTAAGATCAAACTTCTGCTAGAGTTTCAGCTTCTGGTGGGAATGTTTCGGCAAAATTGGTGGGATGGTGGCTGGCAGGGGAACAATCCCTTGGCCCATGAGTAGATCATCAAAGCATTTGTTTCTTTAATAAAACATCAAAGGCTACTGCATGCTGTAGGGTATTTGTGAGACTGAAATTAAGGTGAACTTCAAGTGCTTCACAGCAGAAAATAAGAAAGGAGTTATTTTGTGAATCTTTTGAATTCTTCCTGGTAAGAATTTCCCCCTTATTTTCTAAATATTCATTTATGGGTTTTTCTACAATGCAGAAAGATATATTTTAAGGTCTGAAGTTGAGATTTTCTTTTCTGTTACTTGGAAAAGATTTGCTGGATGTTGAATCAGAATCTCAGCAGTACCTGCCCAATGTCTGTGGTAAGTCAGCCTCACAGGTAGTAAGAGGAGGAAGATACAGCATCTTTCTACTTCCTGTTAAAATTGGAGCCTAGGCTCTCATCCATCATGGAGTTGATTGAAAGGAAGAGGACAGTTTAACAAGGATGGAAACTGTTGCTATGTTAACAGCTTCCTTAGGCTCCAGTTCCAGCTTAAGACAGTGTCTATGCCAGGTATTAACACAACTACGCAACCCAAATTCATGGTATATAATGGAAGGAGAATGAAGAAACTGAACCTTCTAGGTTTTGGTCCAGAATGTATTATTTATGCAACTCTGAGAAAATTGTTGAATCTCTTAAAACTTTTGTTTCATCACCTATACAGTAAGAACCTCTTGTTGCTTAATTTGCTTTCTGTAAATAATTATTGAAACTATATACATATATATATATATATATATATATATATATATATATATATATATATATATATATATATATAGCACATCAGAGGGTAGACAGTTCAAATGAATGTAACTTGGGAATTCTGGAAAGATGGTGACTTGAATGTTTTTAGGATGCCCTCTCCTCCTTGTCCCAACCTAATTAACAATCATCTTTTCTGAGCTGAGTGGCTGTTAGGGCCAATAGGAAGGCCAGGCATGAAGTTATGTGGGTGTCTTCAGGTTCAAAAGAAGAGAAGAGAAGGCTAGGCACGGTGGTTCACGCCTGTAATCCCAGCACTTTGGGAGGTGGAGGTGGGTGGATCATGAGGTCAGGAGTTTGAGACCAGCCTGGCCAACATTGTGAAACCCCATCTCTACTAAAATTACAAAAATTAACCAGGCATGGTGGCGGGTGCCTGTAATCTCAGCTACTCGGGAGGCTGAGGCAGGAGAATCACTTGAACCTAGGAGGAGGAGGTTGCAGTAAGCCAAGGTCTTGCCATTGTACTCCAGCCTGGGCAACAAGAGTAAAACCAAAAAAAGAAAAAGAGAAAAAGTATAATAAGCAGGTTATTGTAGGTGAAAGTTTAACAATTGTCTCTACTTACAGAGAACATACCAGAGAAAGTTACAGAATTAGGACTCTAAGGAAAGACAGCAAATATAAAAAATATCAATGAGAAGCCAATCAGGCCAGTACTAAAATTGGTGTAGGAACCTTCCAGGATAGGGTTATCTAAATCAGAGAGATGAATAAAAACATTATTTTTTGAACAGAAGTCACTGATTTCATGTATCTTACTGTGGGTGACTACATATTTCAGCATCTAGAGGAGTATATATGAAGAACAAATATATGCTCCAGAAAACTAAGGGAAATTAAAAGGACAAAGGCATTGAGTTCCAGCAAACGAATGTGACTTCTAGATATGTTTGAGGAGGAATGGACCTAACTAAACAAGCAGATTAAACTGTGAAAACTTAAGTCAGACTTCTCTGAAAGGAACCGGAAAACAGACTCTACTGTTGCCAAAAGAAGTACAGCAGAAACAAAGGCTGCTCAAGGCACATCACAGTAGCTGAGGTAGGCAACTGAAGAGTCTTTAGGGGTTCATGCCAGATGTATTATCCCTCAGTAGGTGCCTAAAATACAGATTTTAGGAGCAACTGCAGCTTCAGTTCAAGAATCTGTGAAGGGTGATTTTCCAGCTGAAACAAATGAAAGATGATTGCAAGGTTCCCTAAAGAGCTGGTTTCACAGGCCTAAAAATTCCAAATTAAATGGCAGTGTCAGTAGGAACTTTAGCAACCAAGTGAAAATCCTTGCTCACTGGGGAAGGAAGAAGCTCTGTGTACTAGGCAAGATGGGCTAGATTGTGCTGTGCCAACATTTGGTGCCCAAACAAAAAGGCTTACTTTGTGCTAATATATCATGGAAGAGGGAGGGCAATTGTTCTACACTGACTTTTATGGATCCTGAAACAAGAGGACAAAGTTGTTAGTTTCTCTCCTTCTTTCTTTCTCTCTCCCTTCCTCTCTCTCTTCCTCTCTCTCTCTTTCTCTCTCTTTCTTTCTTTTCTCTTTCTCTCGCTCTGTCACCCAAACTGGAGTGATGTGGTATGATCTGAGACCACAGGAATGCACCATCATGTCCAACTAATTTTTCTTTTTAAAAAAAAACATTTGGGGCAATCTGCTCGGGTCCTCTTCCACGCTGTGGAAGCTTTGTTCTTTTACTCTTCACAAAAAACCTTCCTACCGCTCAAAAAAAAAAAAAAATGTTTGGTAGAGACAGGGTCTCACTATGTTGCCCAGGCTGGTCTTGAATTCCTGGGCTCAAGTAATCCTCCTGCCTCGGCCTCCCAAAGCACTGGGATTACAGACGTGAGCCACTGAACCCGGCGCTAGAGTTTCTGTTAGTGAGTTTTCATTGCTTCAGGCTGGGAATGATTTACATCATTTTATACTGCCCACTGGCCAAATCTAGTCACCTGATTCTCCTTAACTGGAAAGCAACTGGAAAATGTTATTATGTATGTGCCCAGGAAGGAGAGGAAAGTCCAGTCTGGGCGAACACTAGTAATGTTTGGCATACCATATTGCTAGGGTCATCCTACACTCAAAGTAGCACTGGTGAGCCAGGATCATAGAACCTAAAATGAAATAAAAATGGAGAATGTGTGAATTTTATGGAAAAAAATTAGAAAAAAACACACATCAATAATAAACCATGGTGACGAAGGCTACCATCATTGCAAATCACCAAATGCCACCCTCTGAGAAAAGAAAAATGATGAATAGGTGGATTCCCTACTACCAACAACTACATGGTATATACATTCTACCAAACTAATTTCTTGACCAATTTGAATTTATAGGTCATGAACTTCACACAAGTATCATAGATGGCAAGTGTCATGGAGGGGAGGAAATCAAGAATAATCTGTGTTTGCCCCTTTCTCACTCAGCAATGAATCACTCTTATAGCCTTTGTCAACATGAAGTACAGGGCTCCAAAAATTTAACTGTCTAGACTGCAGACTGGTTTATTTAAAAACTTTTATTGCTGTGGAATTACTGGCATGATTATTCAAAAAACTCTGGATTCTTTAACAAATAAGACTATTAAATATTTTAAATTGTACTAATTCAGTTTGCAGTTGCTAAAATAGTCATAAATTTTTTAGTAGTGCTCATTTCATATTGCAGCTTTTGAAAAAATGAAGTCTACCAAGTTATGAGGAACATTTTTGGCCGTGATTGAGAATAAGGAATTAGGTGGAATATTGTATTTTTTAGACTTCCTTTTTTTTCAAAATATTATAGCAGGTTATTTTTCAACTATCAATTATTAACATTTCTAAACTATAAAATATTATGATAATGAACAGCATATACCCACTCTTATATCCATTCATACACCCATTCAACACTCATTCATACCCACTCACACTCCCATTCAACACTTGTTTATGCATTGTGCTCTTGCTCTCCTCTTGCTCATTTGCTATCTGTCTTCTATCTCCACCTTTCAAACTCCTTGCTGACCATTTCGATAAATGTTGCAGAAATCATGATAATTAACTAATACAAATTTTTCGTGAATGAAGACATACTCCTGAAAATCAAATAAAATTATTATACCTGGAGAAATTGAAAATAATCTATTATCAGGTCCTTCAAGCTAGTATCCAGTCAAGTTTCCAGTTTGCATTTGATTGAAATCTCTTTTAATCTAAGATAATTGTCTGTCTTCTTTCCCTTATTTTTTCTTTTCCTTTTCTTTTTCTTTTTTTTTTTTTTTTTTTTGAGACAGGCTCTCACTTTGTCACCTAAGCTGGACCTCTTGGGTTCAAATGATCCTCCTGCCTCAGCCTCCCATAGAGCTGGGACCATAGACACATGCTATGCCCAGATAATTTGTTTTATTTTTTTGTAGAGACAGAGTTTCGCTTTGTTGCCCAGGCTGGCCCGAACTCCTGGGCTCCAGTGATCCTCCCACCTCAGCTTCCCAAAGTTCTGGAATTACAGGCATGAGCCACTTTGCCAGGCTTGTCATTTTTTTTTTTTTAATAGCACTCACTTTTAAAGAAATAAGACCAATTTTGATTTATTTTAATAGATATTTCATTGTTTCCTTAAGGGTCATTACATCTCTTTATATATTACTTTCTTTTAAAATGCAAGTTAGATATAATAGCTTGATTATACTCAGGTTAACTATTTCTTTTGTCAGGAATAGTTTTAAGAGGTGTTTGTTTTATGATACATCAAGCAGGATATATAGTTAAATAATTTTACAATTAGTGATGGTAAATTGGGTCATTTGTTTAAGGTGTTTTCTGCCAAACTTCTCTATTGTAAAAATAAACGTTTCACTTTGCAATTGTCAAGTAATTTGTGTGGTGATATTTTGGCAGCATACAAATATTTTGTCCACACAATTTTTGCATCCTTTTATCATCCAGTGAATGATCTTTGCCCCACACAATTATTTTACTTGATGTCAAAAAATGGTGGTTTAAAAAATCTGTTATACATTATTTATTAGCTTTCATACTTTTCTTTAACAAAAGTTTCCTTTTCAACTGTTAATGAGCTGCATTTTCTCATGAAAAAGGAGGGTAAATAATTAATACTTCATCTTCTTTAATTTATTTAGAGAAAGAAATTCATGTGACAGTCACCTTTGAGGATAGAATACATATATCCTTGCTCTTCCTTTCTCTTGATATTTCCCCAAGAACTTTTTATTTACTCATTTTTTCCTTGTCTTTCTATTCTCTAAACTGTTTATTTCTATTTTGTTACTAATATGTTTTTATAATGCTTAATTTTGTTTTATTTTGTTCTTTTTAAATATTTACTTTCACTTTCTTGTTTTTACTGATATAATTTTTTAAGGTTATGCAGTTTTATCGGAACATTTCTTTTGCTAAATCATGTTTATTCCAGAATATACTATTTTTATTAACATTACTTTATACAATTTCTTAAATATTCCCTTGTATTATATGTTAATATCTAAAGGGAAGAGACCTCTGTTTAATTTTCCTATTAGTTTTTGTTTTATTGTATTGTAATCAGATAATTTTGTTTATATCATTTTTTCTTGATACAATGTATTGATATTTTGTTTATGGTATTAAGTGGTAAATTTTTATGACTGCTATCACTATACTTTGAAAGCAGGTATATTTTCTATTTATTGGAGGTACACCTTTGATAAATATTCTACCTTAGATTTTCATTATTATGTTTCCTTAAGATCCTCTACATCCTTATTTAATTGTGCTCCTTTGACTTAGTTGAATGAATAAAATTCTGTTAAAATCCCCTTCCATTAATGTATTTTTATTTTTTCTTTCACATTCTATAATTTATTCTATATGAAGGTTGTTGCAGTGTTATTTAGTGCTTGAATATTCATAGCTATTTTATCTATACCTTCATTGAGAATTGTGGTCTTGAACATTAGAACATGTATATTTGATATTGTTTAGTGCTTTTTGGTTTGTAATCTACCTTGTTAAATATCAAGGTAGATTTTAATGCTTCTATTTAAATGGCATACATTTGCACATCTTTTTTATCTTGTCTTTTTAAAATAACTTTACCTGTTGTACATAACTAGGCTTGTACTTTGTTTTATAAGCCAATCAGAAACTCACTTTCTAACGTGTGTGTGTGTGTGTGTGTGTATGTGTGTGTGTGTATATATATATATATATATATATATATAATCAGTCATTTTGGGAATCTCAATTTAGTCAGATAACTTTATGATACACTTACTGTGTATTGTGTTATAATTACTGTGTATCTTTGTCAATGTAGTCTGTTTCACTACTACTGTCCATTGGCTCATTTCTCTCTGTCTTTTTCTTTCTTTCACTATTGTTTAATTCACCTTCAGCTTACTTCAGCTTCTATTATTTGATTTGTCTGTTATAAATTATATCACCAGACTCTCACCTTTCCCTATGAAAACTTCCAGACTCTTATACTTTCTTGTTTTCATCTCCAATCTCTACCTAGAGTGTCATTTCTAATTTGTCAGAGCATTAAGTTTTATGTATTATTGTCCCACTGTTATCCTCACTTTTTTGACAAATAGATTCAATTCTTTAGATATATTTGAATATATTAATCTATAAATAATAATTTGTATACAAATACATACAGTTAATTATTAAAATAATTTTATTTTTCTTAAAAAAACTCTTGATTGAATGAAGCTTATTTTTAGTAGGTTCCAAGAAAGGCTTGTTGGAATAATTTTTTTCATAACTTTTCTGCATTAATGCATATTTAAATCTGGTTGATTGTAGCCTTAATACTTCATGGATACTTGGCTGAATATAAAGCAGTTGTCTCAGATTGTTTATCCTTGGCATTCTTAAACACATTTGTTTCTTTGAAGTTCTCTTGTTCTGTGTGTTGACATTAAAATGTCTGAGGCCAAATCAAATTTATTTTGTTTTCTCATTTTTTAATGTCTTTTTTTATTAGATGCACACATGAGAGTTATTTTTATTTTCCGTTTTCATTGAATTGAAGCTTTCCTGACATATGTCGTAGTTAAATGACTTGAGAAATTTTTCCTGCTACATGACTGGATTATTAGCTATGTAGATAAGAAAATTCTTTTATCTCAAGAATGTTTTCTCAAATTAAAGTTTCAAATACCAGTTCAATTTATTGTTTTGTTTTTCCACTTCAGAAGTTTCAATTATATACATGTTGCTTATCCATTGCCTCTTTTCTATGTGTGATCCTTTTTCATCAGCACTTTCTACCTTCATCTTTATTTTTGTTTTATTTTAACCATCCGATTCCCAAACCATATGCCTTTCTTTGTACACTTGGTCATGGCTTTTCTTTCATTTGATGTCGTATAATCTGTATTTTTTAGAAGATTCTGGAATATTCTTCCAGGTCTTTTTTGAGTAATATGAGCTTCCATTTCAGATTTCTGTTACTTGTCAATTTTTATTCTAATTTTTTAATCTGTGATTTAAATTTTCTTATTTCAGAATTTCTTAAATGTAAAATTGCTTGATTATATTTACTTTATATCAGAGTGCTGTGTAACATTACCTTCTACTCTGTAGTTGGTTGGTGTATGTTTTTGTGTGTGAGCTTTTACCTGCTGA
Source organism: Homo sapiens (assembly GCF_000001405.40). Classification (NCBI taxonomy): domain Eukaryota; kingdom Metazoa; phylum Chordata; class Mammalia; order Primates; family Hominidae; genus Homo; species Homo sapiens. Next base: position 29,497,966 of record NC_000011.10, on the reverse strand, counting down.
AGCATTTTACCCTCTCTCTTTTTTTTCTTGTAATCTCGTAACATTGCAGAGATTCTAGAATCTTTTTACTTTTCTTCATTTGTTTTAGATTTTTTTCTGAACGAATAATGTCAGACAAATCACATTTGTAGTTTTCTCTATATACTTTTTATGCTGTATGTCTGGGAGATAAAAATTCTATTTCATTATATTTTCTTATCTGTACAGTTCTGAGGAGGAGGTTTACATAAATTAGCATTTAAATATGGTCCTAGAGAGTATTTTCATGTATGCAGTGTAGTGATTTTACTTTAAATAGGGTGGATAGAAAAGACCTGTCTGCTAAAGTATCTATTGGAGAAAGAAACTAAATGCAATAAAACCATAAGTCCTTTGGTAACTGGGAGAACATTTTAGACAGAAGAAACCATAACTCCAAAAACTCTGAGGTATAATCATGCTTGATATATCAATGTGAGAAATGTAATCATCTAGTATAGCTATGGCAGAGAGAGCAAAAAGTTAAGGCAGGATCATTTAAAGTCTTAATGAAGATTACAAAATAATATGTATTCTGAACTCAATGGAGTATATGATCAAAATTAAATTTAAAAATATTCACTCTAGATTATTTTTGGAGAATGCATTTAGCGGGATAAGAGCGGACATTAGAAGATCAGTTACAATGGACATTTCAGTAGTCCTAACCTGATGATGGCAAAGTGGTCTAAGGAAGCGGAAGACGAAGTGATGACAGAGTAGAGCAGAGCAGGTTTAAGTGCAGTAACTATTAGTTTGGTTTTATTGTTTTAAGTCTAAACATTCAAATGGAGATGTTAGGAAGTTGAATTCTGAGGTCCAGGAGAAAGATCAAGAATAGAGAAAAAAATTTGATAGTTTTCCTGGGTACACACTGGAGGCAAAATGACTGACTTAATACTTATCCTAAATAGAGTAACATTATTTCTAATTTTTAAATATTTGGACCCCCAAATTCCTTTTGGAGAATACTCTTTCAGGGAAGGGATTGTTGCAGTTGGTTTTGTGTTTCCACATTCTAAGTATTGCCAATTTCTATTGAATATATGTAGAAATTATAAATGCATAGAAGAATTTTGCATCTATAAAGCCAGGGATTAAACCTGAAGAAGCCCTTTAATATTCAGATGTCATGAGGGGTGCAAAGATGAATCAAAATCAGATCCTGATTTTAAGATGTTTAGGTAATTCCACCATTTATCGGGGTGGAATACCATTTCATGGTTACATAATGAGATGATTAAGGTATTAATTAAGCAGAAACAGTAGTATGCTTTTACCACACAGAGAGGTTTGTATGTCTTTTAATTTTTTGCTCATGAATTAGAAATTCAACTTTATGAATCTTAGAGGGTTTTATTAATTAACACAATTGAAGTAAGTAAAGCAATATGCCAACATCATGTGATAGGACTATGCATTTATGAAAGCTTATGTATTTCAAGACTCTCCTGGCTTTGTAATTATTTTCTGGTCACCTCTATTTTACCTTAATATTCTTTCCACCATCACGACAACCCCTATCCATTAATAAGCAGTATAGCATTATGGTTAAAAGAATAAGCTTTGAATAACTACTTAGTTTCACACCTTTGGACTCATTATATATAGCTTGTTCATTTACAACATGAGTATAATTATAGTAATTACATTATAATGTTGGTGAGAAAATAAAGGAGAAAATACATGTAAAACATAGTGTCATGTACTTGATATCCAGTGTATATGTAGTTATTTTCAACAGTATTGAGCTACCTTTTTCTTTATAAATATTTCATTTTACCAATATAGCTGCTTATTTTCTCTTTTACATAGCTCAAATTACTCTCCCTTAATAATTTATTAAAAATATAGCAATTCTTGGTTTGGGTTGCAAGTAACTGAGTAGCTTCCATTAATAAGGAAAATTTGTTGGAAGAATATCAAGTAGTTCACAAGATTGACATAAATGTTTCCAAACCAGGTTTCGAAACAGACATGAATCAAGGAAGGATAGGCTATTGAAAAGTCAGGCAAAAGGTCACAAAAAGTTTAATTAAGCATGCCATCACCAAATACGTATTACTGTAAGATTGCATCATTTTACTATTTTTCCATAATTCAGAGTCCTTGAGGGAAAGTCTAAGTGGCCAGGTCATCTGTCTGTGTTCTACATCACTGGGTCTCAAAGTTGGCTGAATATTGGAATCACATGGATAGGGCCTTGTGTTAAAATACTGATGTCTAGGTCTCATTTGCAGAGCTTCTAATTTAATTGGTGTGAAGCGCAACCTAAGCAATAGAAATTTTTTGAAGCTCTTCAGATAATTCTGATGTGCAGCAAAATTTGATATTTACTCTTCCAGATGGTTAGAGTCCACTTGCTGAAGAAACAGAGGAAATATTCAAATAACTCCTACTTATATATTAGTTAATTGATTAATAAATTATCATTTTTCAAATATAATTCATACTCCTTTTAGAAAGTTAAAAAAAAACCATCTTATGAAAGTTACCCATAATCTCCTATCCAAGGATAACTTCTATAAATGTTTTCATTTATCTCCCCCGATATTCTACTATGTGTGTACACACACATCTCGCACACACATACATGATTGATTTCATGTATTTATACATATCTTGTTCCATAATAGTTGAAGTTTCATGGCTGCTATGTCTCTAGAAGAGATTTTTTTTTCGTTGTTGAGTTGTGCCTTTTAAAGGCCTCCAAAGGTTAAGGATTAATTCAGCTGATGAACTGTGGATATTGGTAAATTGACATTTCAAAGGGCAATGACATTCAGCTATGCTTTAAAACTCACTATCTCAGTGAATTAATATTTAGGTGTGTGAAAAATCAGTTTCCCTTATGATCAGCCACATCAGACTTTATGGATTTTTCTCATTCGCCTCTTTCAGGATCTTTTTCCTTTCATTCTAGACTTTTTGCTTAAGTGCATTTTTTTTCTTTTTTTTTTAACTTTTTGAAATGAGAAATGAAAGAGATCTAAAAATTGGTGCTTTATTAAATTTGTAATTGACTCTATAAATAAAACAAGTAAGTACTTTAAAGTGTTTTATAATTTATAAAAACTTAAATTATATATTTTTAAAAATTATTTGTGTATAAGCAGCCCTAGATAGAATATTTCTCACCCATCTTCAATGCATAGCCAAGATGTTAAATTCACAATCAGTATTCAACTAATTTAGGTTTTCCACATTTGGATAGCTTAAATATGTAAATATAGTTAACGCCCTCACTATACTCTTACTCCACAGAGAACCCTTGTTCTTGAGATGTCTGTCATGAGACTCTAGAGACATTTTGAATTGTTTATGCAGTAACTCTATATTTTATGAAGAAAAAACATATAAATGGTGAGAGTGAGGAAGGAAAATATGTACTCAAAATCTAAGCTAAAGCAAGTACAGGCTATTCCTTGTTCTGTTTTGTTTTGTTTTTTTGAGATGGAGTCTCGCTCTGTCGCCCAGGCTGGAGTGCAGTGGCGCCATCTCCGTTCACTGCAAGCTCCACCTCCTGGGTTCACACCATTCTCCTGCCTCAGCCTCCCAAGTAGCTGGGACTACAGATGCCCACCACTACGCCTGGCTAATTTTTTTGTATTTTTAGTAGAGATGGGGTTTCACCGTGTTAGCCAGGATGGTCTCGATCTCCTGACCTCGTGATCCGCCCGCCTCTGCCTCCCAAAGTGCTGGGATTACAAGCGTGAGCCACCGCGCCCGGCCCAGGCTATTCCTATTTATGCCGGGGCAGACATACAATATACAACAGGAAGCTAGACTAAGGCACATTTTGGACCACCTCCCTCAACTCCTCACTTGATAGATAAGGAAATTAAAACTCAACAGGATAAACTACACATCTCTTATTACGTATATTGTTAATAATGAAACAGAACTACAATCTCAGTTTCCTAATTTCTAATTGAATAACAATTCCAATATACTATAGTGGCAACTCTATATTATCACAGATCTGTATTCTATTTGCAACACTGGAAAATTTGGACTGACAAACCAGTTGTACTCATTAATTTAACACTGAACTATTACCTGATTGCTTTGAAATTCCAACAAAGAAGACAGAAGGAAGAGGGGGAAGGAAGCATGTTAACGGTGATTCAGTATATTGGTGAATAAGCAGTTACCTATACATAGTCTATGCATCTTTTCTGAGATACCTTAGTAGCTGAATATTTGATGACGAAAAAATTGCAATGTTCTCGGTACATATGAAAATCAGCAGTATGAATAACGAAATGGCAACAAGGCAACAAAGCAGCATTCTTAGGGAACCTGTTAACTAGGGGGAGATTTGGTGGTTGTTACCTAGTGGCTACTACTCTAAGACAACTCTTAGCATAGTGTGCAGCGGATTCTGGGTTAAACGAGAGAACCAGGTTAAACTGACTTACCAATTCAGAGACATCAAAACTGAGCCTTCATGGATGACCTCTTCCAAAAATGTAAATGCTATCTGCCTCAATTTTTTTTCAAATTTTATTTTCTCCAAAGTGTTATAAAATTTTTATCATTGAAATTAATTTTTCAAAGCCCCCAAATTCAAACTTTATTAAACCATAACTTTTTTTGAAACAAATGCTATGGTTACAAAACGACACTATAATATTCATTATGGTTGGACAGAAAACATAAGCTAGCCAATGATTCATTGCAGATTGAATAAATTAAAACATTCGGTCCCCAAAATAATAAAAGATAAAGAAAAACTAAAGTCTCTAAGAAAGAACAGAAATGTGTTAACACCAGTTCTATATAGTACTGAAATATATGAATACAAAACATAGGAAACAGATGTTTAGTGCTTTGGAATTCCAGAATCATGTTCTTTTGCCCCTTTTTGCAGTAAAAATACTCTTTCCCTGTTGCATCCAAATATTTCTTAGTGGGTTTGCCAATCTCCACATGTATCATCCCTTCTCGCCATTTTGATTTGCTTACTGTGGGCACATGACAAAAGCCAAGCTAATAGAGTCCTCCGTTGGAATTTTTTTCCCAGTTCCTTTTCTTCATTGGAAATGAAGTTGTAAAGCTAATGGCCTCTGAGGAAATAAAACCGCTATCCAGGGAGTAACCAAGAGGGTGTGAGAGAGAGGCATGCTGGATCCAATTTTAATTACAGTAGTCCCTAAAGCTGCATTGATTCTTCCTACATTACTAGACCACATCTGGTTTTCAAAAAACTAACTTGTATATTTTAAAATATTAGTTTATTCATTTATTCATTGATCAAGTGCTGTTCTGTAACAGGTTTATTGAATAATGTGTACTTGATAAGATAAATTTGCGTTAATGTTCATATTTTTTCTTCTTTCTCACCATTAAACTTACTCTATGGACTCACTCTTCTCTATATCTAAATAAAAGTGTGGGCAGATCCAAAAGCCTTTTCAGTAACTCTTGGATAATAAAGTGTCCAATCTAATCTCACTTAATTTAAAATGTAGAGTTTCCCTTTTCCCTCCATGGTTTAGCCTGGTTCAGCTTTGAAAGCCTGAAATACTGTGGAGAGTAATCAGTTTTTTTCTATGCCTCATTTCTTACTGCCCACCTTTCTCACAAGTATTTCTGACACCTTCCCTGTTGGGATAGGAAAAAAATAATAATTAGAGGGAAAAAAACATGGTTTTACCTGGCCATGAGGTTGAAATCTGATATTGGTATCCTTTAAATGTGAAAACAAGTCTGTCAGTACATTTTTTTTTCTTGAATTGCTTACATGGATTTTTTTCTAAAATTCTCCTTAGAATTTAGGAAACTCCAAGTGCTTACCTCATCATAGATTATGCCTCCTCAGGCATAATCTCATTTTGACTCTCTGATTTTGACTCTCTCATCAGCCAGTGGGCTTCTCATAGCATGATACCCACTGTGATTGCACATAAGCACAAGGTCTTACCCCTCCCATAGTTAACCCCTCCCATGAGTGACCTACTAGAGTATTAAGTCACGTTAAAGACAAATGAGTTAAGAAAGCAAAGAGCCACTAAACTTGTCATTTAAAGTAAGTGCACACATACGTTGAGGTCCTTTTGCCTCTCTAGGACATTGTCTTGAGACAGGTTCCTTTTAAGACAATTCAGTGATTCACGTCCACAAAGATCTCATTTGTTTATTCCTCTGAATACACACACACACACACACACACACACACACACACACAGCTTTTTGTACACAGAGATATGCAGTTCCCTTGTAATGCACTTACCTCTCTTTGCCATGCTTGTCAACAGAGACAGCCCTAGTTGCAACCTCTGTATTAGTCAGGGTTCTCTAGAGGGACAGAACTAACAGGATAGATGTGTATATAAAGGGGAGTTTATTAAGGACTATTGACAATCAAAAGTTGAGGTCCCACAGTAGGCTGTCTGCAAGCTGAAGAGCAAGGAAGCCAGTCTGAGTACCAAAGCTGAAGAACTTGGAGTTTGGTGTTCGAGGGCAGGAGGCATCCAGCATGGGAGAAAGATGTAGTCTGGGAGGCTAAGCTGGTCTAGTCTTTTCACGTTCTTCTGTCTGCTTTTATTCTGGCTGCACTGACAGCTGGGTGTGCCCAGGTTGAAGGTGGGTCTGCCTTTCCCAGTCCACCAACTCAAATGTTAATATCCTTTGGTAACACCCTCACAGACACACCCAGGAACAATAGTTTGCATCCTTCAACCCAATGAAGTTGACACTCAGTATTGACCATCAACCTCTTATTTTTAGATAATTTCAAGGAATTTTAGGTGACAGCACTACATTCCCTAAATTCCAAGGAGCTGATTTGCCAGTGGTCCTCTTGGAATCTTTTGAGTCACATTATTGATTAAGGAAGAGAGAAATGTCAGAGCATTCCAACAACTCCCTAAAATATTTCTTTCTCTTGACTCTTCATCTGTTTTATACCCATGATATGATTAACGGCCTAAGGCTTACATGGGCAATCTCCAGCTTGGCTTTAGAAGACAGACTGCTTAACATATTTTATACTGTTTTCCACCTTCAGACACTCTGCCCAAACTCTGACACCACACAAAATATTGCATTTAACCTTTGTTTTACTAGCAAGAAAATAATTTGAATATCATTTGTTCAGGTATTCATTTATTTATTGATTATCTATGTGACAGACACATACTAGGACCTTAAACAGTTTTAGACAGTGTGGTCCTGTTTTAATCCCTGCGATGATAGAGGGCTTTGCCACTTCAAAGAGAATAAGGATTTAAGAGTACTGTTATTTTACTCAAATTATGTTTCTTTGTTCACTCTTAAATAATGTATGGCTGAAACAGGTAGACAACCCGGAAGTATGATTTGAAAGACAAAGCCATGCAGAAATGGGTAGGTAGAAGCCCCTGAGGTCAAATTTGGCTATAGTCTAGTGTTCTTCACCATGCAAACTGCTTAATTTTTGTTTGACTGTCTTTAGATGGGATATATAATCCCCAACTGCATAGTTTCCAAAAATATTATAGTATTCACAAATTTTGTTTCCTTCCTGGCCAAATAAGCCTTGGATTTTTTTTGAAATCTTTGGGCAAACCCTTTACATATAAAAGGAAAACTCACACCATCACATCTTCATCATTTCCTGAAGACCCTGCCACTAACTTGAAGAGATTTCTCAATATTGTAGCTATACAAACATTTGTGTTCAGACATAATTTACTTGATAGTTTTCATCACCCCTCTAAAATGATGTAGAGACAGTCAGTGAAACCTGAAAATTCCTGGGGAATTGCCATTTTAAATAAATAAACTCTTCTGAAAAGAGCTGAAATGGCATCAATGTTGGAATGATGTGCAACTCACTTTAACAATTCAAGAGCCAAAGGTCATCATTTTTCCAGTTTTTCTCCAAATGAACCTGAGCTCTAGAAGATAAATATGTGCCATTTGGAAACAAAAGGAAAGACTATTGGTTATTCTATGTGTTTTGAGCAGGGTTGCCATTCTTCCTTTTCTATCATGGACTTTATACTTTTGTTCAAGCGCCAGTCACAAGCTAGAGTAGAAGATAATTATGAAGGCACTTTAATGGAACTACCTGCAAAGCATACCATGTGAGGGTACACAGAACATAACCTGATGGAACCAGCTATATTATGTCACCTTGGTGGGTATGAGCACAAGGTCTTACTAAGGTTAACCCTTCCCATGAGTGACCGACTAGAATATTAAGTCACTGTATTAGTCTGTTCTCACGCTGCTAATACAAACATACCTGAGACTGGGTAATTTGTAAAGAAAAGAGATTTAATTGACTCACAGTTCAACATGGCTGGGGAGGCCTCACAATCATGGCTGAAGGTGAAGTGAATGAGGAGCAAAGTCACATCTTACATATGCTGGCAGGCAAGACAGCATGTGCAACGTGCAATGGAACTTTTTTTTTTTTTTTTTTTTGAGACAGACTCTGGCTCTGTCACCCAGGCTGGAATGCAGTTGTGTGATCTCAGCTCACTGCAACCTCTGCCTCCAGGGTTCAAGCCATTCTCATGCCTCAACCTCCCAAGTAGCTGGGATTACAGGCACACGGCACCACGCTGGGCTAATTTTCATACTTTTAGTAGAGACAGGGTTTCACCATGTTGGCCAGGCTTGTCTCAAACTCCTAACATCAGGTGATCTACCCGCCTGAGCCTCCCATAGTGCTGAGTTTACAGGTGTGAGCCACTGTGCCCAGCCAGTAACTCCCCTTTATAAAATTATCAGATCTTGTGAGATTTATTCACTATCACGAGAACAGTACTGAAAAACCCGCCCCCATGATTCAATTACCTCCCACCAGGTCCCTCCCATGACACATGGGATTTATTACAATTCAAGGTGAGATTTGAGTGGGAACCCAGAGCCAACCCATATCAATCACGTTAAAGACAAATAAGGTGAGAAAACAAAGAGTCACTAAATTTGTCATTTAAAAACAGTAAGTTATGTTTGTAAATTTCTGCTTAATTTATAAAAAGACAGGAACATTTGGTAAACATTTTAAATAATAGGAAAGGGATTAAAATGAAAGTTAAAATATCTCTGTCCTGCATTAGACCTCCCCTACCATTTCTCAGAGGTAACTGCCACTAACCATTACTTATCAATTTCTGGTATATTATTCCAACAATCTTTAGCATTTATCAGAATGTTATAATTTTTAATTATAAAAATATATAAGTTTTAATTAAATGATATAAAATATACATGATATAATTTTTAAATTTTCTTTTTATTTTTGCTTAATAATAGATCTTAGTAATCTTTTCAGATCAGCCTAAGCAATTTGAACTCATTATTTTAATGGACCATAAAATAATAGCTAACCAGGAAATCATTTCTACATATCAGACTTTTTGTAAAATGCTTTATATATATTAACTTAATCCTCAAAGCAGCCATATGATGTATGAACAATTATATGCCAATTGAAATAAATGAAAGAAAAGTAGCAAGCAGAGGTAAAGTAACATGTTTAAGGTTATATCACACAGGTAGCTGACCTTCAAAGCCAGGGAGCCTGGATCTTGCACTGTCTTTAGTAATAGTCTTTTATTATTGATCCCATTAATGGACCATCAGTTTGGGGTGTGTGTGTGTGTGTGTGTGTGCGTGCGTGTGTGTGTGTGTGAAAGAGAGAAAGAGAGTACAAGCTTGTATTTTGGTATTACAAACAATGTAGCCATGAGCCCTATGGTATATCTATTGGATTAAATTTCAACCATTGGAATTGCTGGATCAAATTTGTATGCATTATATATACAGCATATGTGTTAGTACATATATATGTACACATATATGTACGTATGCTATGTGTATATATATATGTATATACATATATGTACATATATACATACACATGCTATGTGTGTATATGTACACACATGCTATATATAAATTTATATTTGTATATATATAAAAATTATATGTGTAATTTGATTACATATGTATAACTTATCAAATATATCACAATTCCTATGTGTACACACACACATACATATATATGTACACACACACAAAAAAGTATCCCAAATATCATACCATTGTACCAATTAACACTCCTGCTGGGAACTTTTGCCATTATCAATGGCTTTTAAACACAATTTTGAAATATTTCTAATCTGACAAATAATAAATTATAGGTTTTCTATTTATTTCTATTTAATTTCAAGCAAGGTTGTGCATCCATAGAGTATATGTGATATGATGAGAGGAGCCAAGTGATATCCAACTATATTACAGCACATAACCACACTTAGCAAAGCTAACTGAGCTCCTGAAATCAATGCATGATGCATAAAAAGCTTGGAGGTTATTTCATAAATGTCTAGTGCTGTTTCTCTTTGTTTGCTAAGTAAAGATTTTGTTAGAAAAACTACCTACAAGAAAATGAATTCATTTACTTAAAAGCAAGATTTCCAATTAAATTTTTAGCCTAGGCATCTTTGGCTACTAAGGACTGCTTACGTTCTGTCTGCTTCTCTCTCCTGCTCTGATTCCAGAGCACATGCTTGTTGTGTCTGCTCCCCTGCAATGTAACCCCATGACATATTGCACCTAAAAGGATTTAACAAATGTAATTTCATTAGAACAAAGACCACTTCTCCAGATGGTTCAAATCAACCATGGGCACTTGGAAAGCTGATAGGAATAAAGACCTGCCTGAACTTTTGAAGAAGTAAACTGCTAATACTTTCTTGGGTCCAATCTGATGTTGTGAGCAACAGAAGCAGTTGGCAATCAGAGTGAGTTAGGACAAAAGTCTAGATCAAACTGATTCTTCCCAAGATGCCCAAGGCATATCTGACCTAGGACAACTGTTCTACACTGGAAATTTGAAATATGAATTGCTGGATCAAAGGCATATGCATTGTATGTGTGTGTGTGTGTGTGTGTGTGCCTGTGCACACGGGCATGCTACATATACAAAAATGATATATGTAACTTAATTACATATGTATAACTTAATTACATATATGTATAATTATGTCTACACACATAAAATTTATATACGTACATATATATACACATACATCACTCACACACACACACACACACACACATATATATATATATATATAGAAAAAAATGTGGTGTTTCCAATTGGAAAAGTAGAGCTTAAATAACTTTCTAATTGGTTGCATTTAACAGAGAGATGGCCACATTTGGGTAGAAGTAGCCTGCATTGAGATCCATTTTTTTCTAAGAATTCCAGTGTTTGTATATTCTAATACATATATGCCTCTGGCTAATGGCCTTGTGGTTGCTATCTACTTAATAAATCCATGGCTGCTTTCTTCTTATAGTAATTGGCTTCTTGTTTTAAACTTCAAGTTTTATTTCAGCCTCTCACCATTTCATGAACAAATAATAGATGACAAGGATTTACATAACTAAGAAATGATTTTGAGTTTCAAACTATTAAGCCTTCCACCCATGCCTGGTGTAGGAAAGATTGACTAATAATCCTTGCTGTGCTGCTGGTGGAATTACTGAATAATTCAAATAAGAGATTATTTAAAGTAATGTTGCTGAAAAGAGGAGGCTGGGTAAGTGACTTGTTGATTCATTAGCCTGTAGTTTCTTACTGCTGCATATTAAAATAGTGAAGCAAGAAAAATGTCATTTTCTAATCTCTGTAAGGGATTTTCCTTTTTAGGAGATGTCACCTGAAGGTGTTAACAGCCAGAGCATTTTGTCTTGTTATGTTGTTAGATTATTTCAATAATTTTTCATTGTAAAAGATAATTTCATTGTTAAGCAAGTAATCACTAAAGATTTTTTAAACAGAGGAACTGCATAAAAGTTTATGGAATTTGTCCCTTCACAAACTCCAATAAGCCTCATTGTCCCGTTTGCTGCTCCCATGTTCTCTGCAAAGCTACCATACTTTCCCTAATAATAATAATAATTACCCTCTTTACATACAATGTGTTTTTGCCATTTTAAAAGAACATTCATGTGCATTATCCTGATTGGTGTGCCTAACTCTTCAAAACAGGGATCTAAAACTCCATGTTCCACATACTTTTACGAAGCAAAGTTCTGAAATATTCATCGCTTCTCTGTGAGTCAGTCAAAATAGAATCTTTACTCCTCACATGATAGTGAGTAAAACTGTTATGCGACACGCAGAGTGGGCTGTATTTATTATGAAAGGTCTTACTATAACAGGGCTCCCTTTATATGACAAGTCAGGTCATAGCAAAACACTGTTAAATGTTGTGGTAATGATAGATTTTAAAAATATTTATTGAGTCTATTCCTTGTACCAGGTAGTGTACTGAGACCTTTGAAAACATTGTTTTATTAACACTCTCAAAAACCAAATGAGGAAGATCCTATTATCATCTTTGATTTTTAGTGAGAAAAGTGAGAGTCAAAAAAATAAATATCGCCTTCAGTTAGAGGTGACTGAAGTATTCTGGAAATAAAAAAATGAGATTTTTCTTCTGCTATTTATACTGTAATATCAACTCACAATGAATGAGAGCTGAGAGATGAGGATATTTTGTAAAGGGAGAGTTGTTCCTGGCAAGCAAGAATTGACTACTCTGATGGAAAACATGAATATTTCTGAAGGAAAAAGAGGTCAATCTGCCAGGAGGTTGATAATAAAAGTTTAGACATAGAAGCAAGCAAATGGAATGTCCGTTCAATGAACATTCTAAGGAAAGAGAAAATTAAACAATGAAATTTAAATGCAGCAGTCTTGTTAACGAGGGCACCCATGTTGTAGAGGTGGATTTATTAAACTTCATAAACCTGATGGTAATTAAAATTCTCATCTAGTGTTCCTTGTTCAGATTCCACATAGAATCCTAATTATGGTTTGGTTTCCCATGACATCTACCAACAGAGATAAAATAATAAGGACTCATATTTTAAATGAATGACAATTATGTTTTAAGTAGAAAATTAATAAGTCAGCATTCTGATTTTTTACTTCAGTGTCATAAGTTTGTTAATGCCAATGTTTTCCTGAAAATTTTATTTGCTCACTCAAGTTAGTTTATTGATCTTCTATACTTGAGGGGTAAGCATTGAGCACTGAAGAGTTCACAAAGGTATTAAATTAATTACTACATAATAAAATTTCCACAAACAAGGAGAAAACTTCCTAAAATCATGTGCCTTTTCTTAGCCTCTTGTAAATAATGATATGTGAGCAACTAATATATTTCTGGCATTGTGCCAGATTCATCTAAGATTTATATGAATGCTAGTTGAAATATGTTACATTGTACATTTTAGAAATAAGGAAATTGAACATCAGATATACAGAGAAGGTTTAATTTCTTGTGGTTGAATGTATATCGGACTGGGTGCCTCAGTGGCATACCTCAAATCAATTATATTTCAATCATAACTCTTTAGTGTCCTTGAATTCTGCTCTTTCAAACCACTGCATGCATCCTCACATCCACAAGTCTGGCATCAACTTTTTTTAGTGACCTACAACAGAAATTTGGTTGTCATTCTCCTTACCATGCCTGAAGCTTCCTTGCCAGACTCAGGAATGTTTAGAGAGTAGATAAGAAATCCTAATCTTGGGGCACTTGGAGAGGAAAGGACATCTAAATTGAATAAGAGGTCTATCATAAAACTTGAAGATTCATCTGGAAGGTAGATACTTCTGGCATAAGAATGGTTAATGAATGAGTGACCAAAAAGAGGAAATAGCTCAGAAAATATGAGTGTGAGAGAGTGTGTGTGTGTGTGTAGAGAGAGAGAAAGAGTAACTTTAAAAACATTATTTTTCATATACATCCTGTTTTATAATTCTCAATCCTGGGCCTGTATGTTACCAAAATTTTAGTTGCTTATTGAAATTAGCTACTAAAATTTCCTTAAGGAGAGAAAGAAAGGCTGAATGATTCACTCACAAAACAATTGCCACTGTGACTGAGTCGTTCTGATGCGGTGTTTTGCCATCTTCAGTTACCACTCAATTTTTCTAGAAAAAGAAGACCTATATTCAGTCACCAGCAATAACTAGGCAACAAATTGGATCTCATTGCTCAATAAAACTCACACACCAGCCAATATGTGGCAGTGGTTGTGCTTAAAAACCAAATAAACTGGTGATTTATCTAGGTATTTTTCCTCTTTTAGTTACTCCTGACATACACACACACACACACATACACACACACATATGTGTATATATACATATGTATGTATATATACATATATTTCTTTATTATGTAAATAAATATACATAATAACAAAAGGGAAGAAGGAGATAGTATGTGGCCAATTGCTACTTCTATATTTACATCACAGAGCTTAGTTTCTGAGTAAATAAGTCTAAAGAATTTTCATACTAAACTCTGGAAAGAGATAAACATTCGCTACTGAATTTTGATAACATTTAGATAAAATTGCTGCAAAATAACAGATACATTTTCATTTTCAATGGATATTGGCCTTGGCTGTTTATCAGTAACGGACTTGCTGGTGAGAAATCATGTATTCAATTTATTCAACAATTGGTTATTTAGTGCCTAGCCTGTATCAAAGGCCAAAGCATGACATTAGGGATACGTCATAAGTCTCAACCACCAAGATACCTGGACCTAGGCAGGGATATAAATGGAAGAATGAACAATTAAAATTCAACGGGATGAGTTCTGCTTCTATTTAAGATCCTAGTCCTACCACTCCTAATCTGTGCAACTTTAGGAAAATTGCTAACCTCTCTCACTCTCAATTTATCTCTATGTTTATGACAATTAGAGACAGTTAGAGGAACGGGTTGAATAGTGACTCCCAAAAAGATATGTCCACATTTTAACCTCCAGTACCTGTGAATGTTACCTTACTTAGAAAAAGGATCTTTACAGATTTAATTAAGTAAGGAAATTGAGATCATCTGGATTATTGCAGCGGGTTCTAAATCTGGTGACAATTGCTCTTACAAGAAACACGGCACAGTGGCAGATGAGGATAAATAGGCCAGGTGCAGTGGCTCACACCTGTAATCCCAGCACTTTGGGAGGCCGAGACGGGCGGATCACTTGAGGTCAGGAGTTCGAGACCAGCCTGGCCAACATAAGGAAACCTTGTCTGTACTAAAAATGCAAGAAATTACCTGGGCGTGGTGGTGCACAACTGCGATCCCAGATACTCAGAAGGCTGAGCAGGAGAATTGCTTGAACCCAGAAGGTGGAGATTGCAGTGAGCTGAGATCATGCCACTGCACTCAAGCCCTGGGCGACAGAGTGAGACTGTCCAAACAAACAGGGTAAGTGACCATGGAAGCAGAGATTGAAAACATGTGGCCACAATCCTAAGGAAATTTGCAACCACCAGAAGCTGGACAAAGAAAGGAACAGAATCTTCCGTATATCCTCAGGAGGAAGTGTAACCCTGCTGATACCTTGATTTTGAACTTTTGGCCACCAGAACTATGAGTGAATACATTTCTGTTGTTTTATGCAACGAAGTTTTTTGGTTATTTGTTACAGCAGCCCTAGGAAACTAATACTGCTAGAAAAGTCCCCCACACATTATCTGATGCTTGGTAAGCATTTAACAAATCATATATAGGGTGATTAGGATGATGATTAAGTTGATCATTGTACTTTTCTTTTAAAAATCAACAGATAAAAATATTTATTCAACATGTACAGTCCTATACAGACCTGTTTTTAGATTTTGACAGGCTTATAGGTACATTTAAAAAATATTTACATTAACATGCCTTCCAAATCTGTTGGCAATTTCATCTAGGACATTTATTATCTATATATTCACACACAGATTTACCTACTAAATAGGTTTTATTTTGCTTTTAGTGTAAAAAGTGAGAGAGAGAGAGACAGACAGAGACAGAAGATAGATGAGAGAATTAAATAATTATTTAGCAATTATACATACATTAGAAAAACTCACTTTGAATGTCAATACCTGGCACACTGACGTAGGCAAGGACAAGAATAACATTGGCAAGTACAACTCACTGACTCAGAGAGTAAGAACTGATTAGTATAGAGTCAAGAAGAGATCGTTATAAATATAATTAACATTGTTTTCCATGGCCTCATGGAAATTCTTCAAAGTTGCAACACATTCAACTTCCAGTTGCTGATAAGACCAAGGCAAGACATGCTATCAAGGCCACTGATATCTCATGTTAGACTGGAGGAAATTTTTTGTATATATCTCAAAATTTATGGGTATGAGATTTCAAAGATTGGCCCTAAACCTTGACATTCAAACCTGAAAGCTTACACGATTACAATGTTTTGTGAAAATAATACCTGCTAGCAAGGAGATTGAAGTGAACTTTTTGACTATTTTTTAAATTAAAATGTTTTGGTGTTTTTGTGTGACACATTATGAGTATGCTAGTTACACTTACAATAAGTGATGCAGGTGTTTTTGAAGAACAATTGTTATTTTGCCATGGAAATTCCTTAATGAAGAAATTGGTTTCTTGAAATTAGAAACAGGATTATCTATAAGAAAAAATCAGACAGGAATATCTACCTTAAATACATATTAGGAATCCTATAACTTTTCAGAACCTTTGCCCAAATAATAACACTTTCACAGAATTCATTTCAAGGACTCAAAGTTTAACACTGAAACAGCTTTAGACCCCCAAGATTTCCATTACAATATGAGGAAAGCTTTGACCCACTCACTGTTTAACACTAGGGTAATGCTTATACAGTGACACTCAAGTTTGTGATTATATTTGAGAAACTGGTGGAAAAAAAAGAATTTTAAAAAGGAAGTGTTATCAGATATCAATTTGAATGAGTCACTGAGGATGGAGCTGGAAAATAACTCATTCTATGGGGAAAACAGAGCAAATATCTCAAGCTTCATCATGTAATAAAGTCTTAGAACCAAAGAGAAGGTTAATTCTAAATCTGTCATTAGAGAATACGCTTAAGTCTATTCACATGGGCTTTTGTGTGTATTTCCAGGATGAAGATCATTAGTTAAATTAAAGCTGATACACCTCTCTGTTATCAGAGCATAACAAACAGTACTTTAATGTATCACAAGAAAGGTATTCCTTTCCACTGTACTATAGGTTGCTGCACTAGTCTAGTATCCATGGATGCTTTTGGGAATTTATGATGGACTCTAGTAGGCTACTGTGCACCTAGAAAGTACTCCTAAAAAGTTACATAATTTTGCAATAAAATATGTAACCATTTAAAATAATTGTCAGAAGAACTTTTAATATAAATGAAAAAGCTTTCTGCAATCATATATTTAAATAATATCTCTAGGTATATCTTTCTGTTTATTATTGATGCAGGCTAAAACACTAAATAGATTTTAAGCAAATCTAGAGGTAAAAGATGAACTATATGGAGCACCTAAAATTAGTTTTGAATTGCTATGTTTAGCTCCTCAATTACTTTCTTATTTTATATGGTTTTATCACACGAATATTTTAAATATCTCAATAAAGTTCAGGAATTTACTTAATTGAATTATTTTAATTAATTTATTTGAGACAGTATCTCACTATGTTGCCTAGGCTGTTCTCACCTCCTGGGCTTAAGCAATCTTCCTGCCTCGGCCTCCTGAATAGCGGGGATTACAGGTATATAACACTACGTCAGCTTATTTTATTTTGATGGAAATTTTTGGTAGGAGCTGAAAATTCCAAATGTTATTTAAGATTTTAATTAATTTATTCAAAAAAATCATCATTTTGTGACTATGTACTGTTCTAGGTGCTATGGATACAACAATAAATAGCATTTTAATATAATATTAGGTAGTAATAAATATTTTGATTGAAAAAAGGTAATAGGGAATGATAGGTATGGTCAGAAAAATCAATCATGTCTAAAAATAACAAAATGATTATTAATTTTATTTTCATCTGTAGTACAGTATATTTAAATACATTATGCCAAATAGCCATCCTGACAGTAGACAAATTTGGTTTTATAGCATCTCTTAGCTCTTAATTCTATAAGCTGAAGAAATAAAAAATTTGAGAAAATTTGAACTGAAGAAATACTGCGTGTATGTGTGTCTGTTTTAATATGTATTTGAGTATTTATGTAACAAATGAAACCAGCCAGCCAGCCATTCTAAAAGCGACAAACATCTACACTAAAGCTTATATTCAAGAGCTAAAAAAGTCTTAAATTTCCTGAATTTAATGCAAAAAGAAACGGCTGCTTAAATATTCATTAGGAAAAAAAGACTTTAGGACACATGCAAGTGATTTACAATAAAACCAATGTTTGGCAACCATTCTGAAAAACTTCACTCATTAAGCATTTGTTTATGTCCAACAGGAAGAATATTTGCACACCCAATGAGGTGTCAGTCATCTTCCAGGAGGTAATAAAAGGGCCCTAGGGTGAGTGGTGTGAGGAAGCCAATCATGCACACCTTTTCCCAACAGCCAATTCTTCCAATCAGGTTTTTTGTTTTGCTTTTGGACAGCCAGTTTTTGAACACTTACTAGTATACTATTGCCTACTGTTGCAAATTGAGAGAGGCAGAAGCTTTTACTGGAATTGAATCCAAACTCTAGAATGAGGTACATGTGACTTCAGATCTGAGAAAACATTACATATATATTGAAATGTCATGGACAGAGAAGGCAAATAGTGGTTTCAAGAAAACCTCAATTCAAATGTGCTAAGGAATGTAACTTTGAATCAATGTCTGAATTATTCCACTATTATCAATACCTGAAAAGATGAGCCTAAAAGCATAAGCTATATCAATGGAAAGGTTGTCATAATCTGTTACTAATTCACCAAAGCCACAAAAAATCTTAATGAGGATAGTACATTAAAGAGATGGTAGGCTACAAATGCACTAAAATGAGGAACAATAGTAGGCAGGAATAAGCACTCATCATTTACATTCCTCTTCACTTTCAATTACCTACTGTTACTTATGAGTGTAATATTTGCCATTACTAGTGATAAGTCACATTTTCCATTCCAGATTGCAAGCATAGATTTGTAATTGAGCTGTTTTTCATGAGATAACTGTATGTATTGTGCTCCAGGGCGAGTGACAGCAAGGATTAAATCACAAGATTATGAAAGAATAATAATTATGATATAAAACAAGATTATTTACAAAGCAGAAAAATTGTACAGTTCTGAATTAGCTATTAAAAATAAAATTATTGCTAATCCAATTATTTGTATGTATTAAGTGTTTTGGATGGCTAATGATTTTCATGAGAAATATTGGATGATACATCTAATTTTAGGTGAAAATAAAAAGATCACAAATTTTATATACATGATAATCACATCTTAAATAAAATTACATTTAAAAAGTGCCAAAAAATTAAAATTTGTTACGTGCAAAAACTTCTGCTCCTGGTTATGATGCAGTCAATGGTACTAGATTAGTCTTCCTGCCACAATCAACTATAAACTTGAACAGACTGTGTATGGTGCCCATTGTCAGGCAGTGGAAAACTGGCAGCATGAGGCTATAATTTCTAAGAAAAGTGAAATGCTGAAGGTAGCACCTATGTTTGCCTTGACCTGAGGGAAATTTCATAATTCCAGTGCAGCAATTCAAGCAACACTGAAATTCAGAGCTCCAGAAGGCAGAGATTAGAGTTCAGAGAAGAGCTAAAACAACTGGATTTAGGTAGGTAAAGCACAATAAAGGAAAGATATATGCAGAGGTAGCTCCAGAATTCAGTGTGGGGATTCTCTACAAGTCCTTGGCTGAGGACTGGACTTCTCATACCTAGGAGACTACCAGAGACTTATCAGAGAGCAACTACTATATGACTGTGATTGGAATAAAAATACTAAATGCTGAGTAGCCTTTATACCCATGGGGATTGGGGTCCAGCCAGAGGAAAGAAACCTTAAGTCCTTATTAATATCTTTAGCATCCCATTCCAGTTGAGACATAAAAACAGCTTTCATAAAGCTTAATTCATAATAAGGATTATGCCCTAGAGTGACATAAATTCTATTACTCCCCCGTGACTAAGACTAAAACTAATCTCTGAGAAGACACACATGGGAACACAGAGTTTGAAGGGTAAATTTTAATAAATTAAAGAAGCATGGTAAGCATCTTGGGTTTTACCAAGATTATTCAAGTTCAAGGTAAATATTTAGTAATTGCACTACTTACTAGAACAAAAGTCAATACTCTTCAGAGAAAGACAACAGAATTTCTGGTCTCTGCAGTAATTCATGATGTTCAATATATAATGAATAATAATGAATAACATAATGAAACAGAAAAATACAACCAATAGTTTTTAAAAATGACAATTGGTAGAAACATAAAGAAACTAACCCCATAATGGCATGAAACTGGTTACAGTAGACAAGGACTTTTGAAAGAGCGATGATTAAGTATGTTAAAAAATGAAAATATGTTTAAAGAATTGAAAGAAAACATGATATTAATAAGTAACCAGATAGGAATACCAACAGAAAATGAATACAATCAAAAATAATTATATGAAAATTCTAGAATGTAAAAATACTATAATTGAAACTAAAAAAAAAAATTACTGGATGTGCTTCACTGCACATGGCACATGGCAGAAGAAAGAGAAAATGAATGTGAAGCTATATAAAGAAAAAATAGCCCTCTAAAGACAAAGGAGTACCGACAATCTCTGAATTAATATCAAATGGTCCAACGTAAATTCCATTTGAGTCTAGAAAGACAAGAAAGTGACAACTGGGCAGAAAAAAATTTAGAAAAATAATGAGGTCAAATATTTCCCAAATGTGACAAAAAACATTGATTTAGAGGTTCAAGAAATCAACTCCAATCAAAATAAGGACAAAGCTAACCACACTAAAGCAAATTACACCCTAATTTCTGTAAGCTAAAGATTAAATATTTAAATCAATCAGAAGAGAAAAACAACACATTGCATGAGGAAAATAACAACATGAATAACATTTAACATCTTATTGGGGGAAAACATAGACGGAATTTCAGGAGACAATGAAGTAATATTTTTAAAATGCTGAAAGAAAAAAGTTGTCCATCAATCCAAGATTTATTACTCAGCAATTAAAAAAAAGATAGATAAAAAAGAGAGAAAGAGTTTCAACAGACAACCAAAAGAAGCAATACTTATGAATAATGAACGCAAGAATATTTATGGTCAAAGTCATTCACTTTCAAAGAAAACAGAATTGGTTTATGTTGTTGCTATTTTAGGCTATCAGATGGACAAAATATGCAATATTAAAAGATTGATAATCCTTAATATTGGTGAGAGTTTAGGAAAATGAACACTTTCTTATAGAGATTGTATTATCTAACATTAATGTTTATGTAATTTGTGAGGACATTTGACCTACATTTTAAAAGTCTTAAAATATTTTAGAAATTTTGGTTAAGGTTCTCCAATTCAGTTAGATTTTTGCTAAATAAATTGTACATATGAATAAACAGATTCATAGTGGTAATGTTTAGAACAAAATAAAATACTGAAAAAAATTTAAATGTCTCTTAGAAGCAGATCTAACAGAGTATACACTAAAATACAATCTAGTAAAATGTTAGAAATGTATCTACGTTTCATTGAATCAAAAAGCAAATCAAGCCTGGGCATGGTGGCTCACACCTGTAATTCCAACACTTTTGAACAAGTAGGCAGGAAGTTGGCTTAAGCCTAGGGAAACAGTGATAACTCGTCTTACAAAAAAATCATCCTGGCATGGTAGCACATGCCTGTAGTCTCAATTACCTGGGAGGGGAGGCTGAGATGGGAGGATCACTTGAGCCCAGGAGGCTGAAGCTGCAGTGAGCCCAGATTGCGCTACTGCACTCCAGCCTGGACAACAAAATAAGACCCTGTCTCAAAAAACAAAACAAAAAACTAAATCAGCAATATATACAATATTGTCTCATTTTGCTTGTTAATGTTTCTATATAAATTCAGCAAATATAACTAAATATAAATAGGAATGTTTGTTTTTAGAGAGAAAAAAATCAGTTAATATCTTTCCACTTCACAAAAATTTGTAATCAAAGTTTAGTGTTGCCTTTTTGTTATATAATTTTTTGTTCTATTTTCAACATTCAATTTTGTTCTATTTTTTGTTCAAGGTTATGTAATTTCTTGTTCTATTTACTTAGTTTTCTATGTCTTCTAAATTCACCACAATGCATATGTACATTTTTTTTTAATTAGAAAATATAGGCTGGGTGTAGTAGCTGACACCTGCAATCTCAGTAGTTTGGGAGGCCAAGACAGGAGGATCACTTGAGGCTAGGAGTTCTAGGGCAGACGGGGCAACATAGGGAGACTCCATCTCTAAAAAATAAAATTAACCAGATGGCCAGATGTGGTGGCCCATGCCTCTAGTCTCAACTCTTCAGAAGGCTGAGACAGGAGGACCAATTGAGCTCAGGAGTTCAAAGTTGCAGTGAGCTATGATCACACCACTTCCTATCCACTGTGGGCAACAGAGCGAGACCCTGTCTGTGAAAAGAAAGAAAATATAAAGTTTGTTAAAAAGTAAAGCCATTTCATATCTTTCCTCTTATTTTCATCAAAATGAGTAAACAATTTACCTATGATTATCTGCAGGTATATTGGCTTTGGGATTGGAAGCTTCTGTGAGGTTTCAACTGTGTGTCTAGGATCATTGTGTCTATGTGTCTATGATCAGTGCCCAGAACACTAGCAAATGGACATAAAGATAACTTAAACATAACTTACATTCCTTTAGCTAAGGCTTTCTCTAGATTTATGAAATAAAAGTAGCATAAAGTATCCAGTCTGGCTGTTTTGCCTAATTTGAAAGTAGATAATGCTCCTCATGGCCAAGTTAATACAGAATTCTCCACTGTGATATATTCTATGGGTAAAATGGATGAAGCAACTTTCAACTGTCTGTTCAATCCAAATGAAACAGGGTATATATTTTAAGACCTTTATGTTAAGGTTTGTCTAATTGGAGCTTCAAGGGACAGATACTGTAGTTCCTTTAATTTGCAAATCCGAAGGAAAATATCTGAATATTGTGGTTCCTTTTATTTGAGAATCTGAAGGAAAGAAAATGTAATCACCATTATGGTAAACACTGTTATGGTTACCCTATGCAGTTTTTAAAAATGTTTGCTATAACCTTGTTGGAGAGGTATCATTTTTATTTTAAAAATAGGAAAATATAATAATAGATTATTTGACTAAGTCAAGTCATACTTCCAGGAACTGAAAAAAAATGAAATTGACATTGTTTTTTTTTCTTTTTAATTTAAACATCACTGATTTTTTTTTTCCTCAGGGAAAGACTAGAAAAATGATTAGTCTGATTATAATTTTCTACCTTTTTTGAAATGGGTAAACAGTCTACCTGATTGAGTGACATAAAAATAGCTCTTCATCTTTTTTTTTTTTTTTTTGAAATTTCCTTCATTGTTCCATAAAGCAAGAGGATCAAGTTCTCTTAGAACTTATCTGAAACTCCTTCTGTTTTGGGAGAACTCACTCACCTAGGGCATAAGAATCTAAAGCGGAAGTTGTTTTCAAAATGTAAAAGAAAAGGTCACCTTTTTTAAAAAACTATTTCTAGAAGATCTGGAAAATTGACTGAATGAGTTTCTAAATATGTTTAAGAGAATAGGGAGAATAAGAAACTTCCTCTAGCCAGCAATAGTCAATGTTCTGTCTTTAGGTTAACCAAAGGCATTGTAGCATATGGAAAGAGCAAATATATCAAACTTAGAAGCTGGCTCAAAGTGAGTCTATTACTTTCCTAGTTTTACAATCTGTACATTTTATTATACTTTTAATCTTTAGTTCCAATATATGTAAGATAGAAACAATAATGTATACTTAAAAGATATATAACAAGATGCATGTGAAAACATCTTCATTCTATATTAGATGCTCGATAAATGTTTTTCATAATAATCTGAGAGGATAAGCCCTTCTGTTCTATAAGATTGTGATTGAAGAAAAGACTGTTGTCAGAGACTAAATTTAGTTTTAAACAGAGAGAGATAAGTTGTTTATATGTCTAACAACAGACAGACACCTCATTTATATGTTGAACAAGCTGGCTCCACCAATCAGAATAACTGTATTATGCCACGGTAACAATCCCCTCCACCAAATTTCAGTGGCTTTTACCAGCAAAGATTTATTTATTGCACGTGTTTTATGTATGTCATGATTCTGCTGGAGCATGTGCTCTATATCTCCTTGTGGGCTACTGGAGCAACCACTGTTTTCAATGTTGCTGGTGACCATGGCAATAGAAAGGACACAGTATAGAAAACTGGATGTTAAAATATGAAGCTGGAAATAATAGACACTGGGGTCTCCAAAAGAGGGGAGGTTGAAAAGGGGATGAGGGTTAAACAATTTTCTATTTTATACAATGTGTTCCCTATTTGGATGATGGCTGCATTGGAAACCCAAACCTCACCATTATGCAATGTGTATCCATGTAACAAACAAACAAACATGGACTCCCTGAAACTAAAATTAAAAAAATAATAAATATTTTGATTCTAAAGACACAAATCACTTTTGCTTACATTTCTTTAGCTAAAGCATATTATGTAACCACATTCAGCCTTTATGGGTTATAGAAATTCTACATTCAGAAAGCAGGAAGCCAAGGAATATAATTAATGACTGGCTTTGTTTTTGATTTTATTATAGTAAATAGTACATGCCTGACCTTTTTCTGAAATTCATACCACCCATAAATTATCATTTGTTGGGTGTCTATCACTAAAGTTTATTTTTGCAAGCCACTTTATTGAGGTAATGATTGACATATAAAAATTATGTGTATTTAATGTATACAACATGATGAATTTGGAGATACATATAAACCTGTGAAACCATTTCCACTATTAAATCTATAAACATATCTGTCACCTCTCAAAGTTTCCTCCTGCCCCCTTTATTATTTATTTATCTTTATTTAGTTTTTATGGTAAGAAAACTTTACAATCTACCTTCTTAGCAAATATTAAGTATAAAATACAGTATTGCTAGCTATAGGTACTATGTTGTATAGTGGGACTCTTAAGACTTACTTATCTTGCATAGCTGAAATCCCTTTTGTACACTTTGACCATCACCTCCCCATTTCTTCTACCCCCCCCGCCCTCCAGCTACTGGCAATCACTATTCTACTCTCTGCTTCTATAAGTTTGACTATTTTAATTTCTACACGTAAGTGACATCATACAATATTTGTCTTCTTATGTCTTCGTATACGGAGTCTGGTAGGATTGGGTTCCAACTCTATAGGCTTCATTTAACTTAGTCACGCTGTGAGGGTCTTATCTCCAAATACAATAAAAGGGATTAGGGCACACTCATATGACCTCATTTAACCTTAGTTACCTCTTTAAAGGCCCCATCCCCACATACAGTTATATTCTGAGGTATTCATTGATAGGGTTTCAACATATAATTTGGGATGGGCCCACAAGTCATAAACACCATCTTTTAAAGCCCATAAACACCATCTTTTCAATACTTTCTATGTTAATAAATTCAGCTTTGTATTTCTGACTTTAAACCCCACTCAGCAAAACATAAACCCCTGCAGTTAACCAAATGTAACATCTTAATTAAGTTATAATAATCTATACATAGTTACTCCAAGGCAAAGTTAAAACAAACAAACAAACAACCTGGTATAGAGTCCACACATATTTTTTTTCTTTCTTTTTTTTTTTTTTTTTTTTTTTTTGAGATGGAGTCTTGCTCTGTCGCCCATGCTGGAGTGCAGTGGCGTGATCTCGGTTTACTGAAAACTCCGCCTCCTGGGATCAACTGATTCCCCTGCCTCAGCCTCCCAAGTAGCTGGGATTACAGGCATGTGACAGACACCATGCCTGGGTAATTTTTGTATTTTTAGTAGAGACAGGGTTTCACCGTGTTGGCCAGGTTGGTCTGGAACACCTGACCTCATGATCCGCCCTCCTCGGCCTCCCAAAGTGCTGGGATTACAGGCATGAGCAGCCACATAGCTTTCTTAGCATGCCCTTTGTATGATCCCAGACCTAAGTCCAAGGGATTTATCAATGATACGCATCCATCTTCCTAAGGGGAATACTACTGCCAAGATTTCTGCGTATTGTTTAAAATGTCTCTGGAAAAAAATATCTACTGTAATTGTAAAGTCTAATACAAGTTTTCTCTGTAAGGTATAGATACAGAATATATATAGTGTTACATGGGCCTCTTTCAAATTCCCTCCTCTCCAATATCTTTCTCCTTTTCTTTCTACCACATATTGATTAAGTCCTAAGTGCTTTTCATTCTACATTTATATTGTCTATAAAATTCAGCATCCTTTTAAAATCACTACTCTTTCTTATTATGATTCACCTCGACTATTAAAATCACATCATCTGATTTTTGATCTCTGACTTCCAATGTTTTAACCAGACAAATTATAGTCTATGTTGTTATTAAAACGTATTTCCTTTAGAAATTAAATATTGTCACTATTCTGCACAAAGCCTGTTCTTTATGAGCTTTTTTAAAAAAGCAATCAAAGTTTCCATGACATTGAAACCCTTCCAATATATCTCAATTTATGTTTTAGTTAATTCTTAATTTAGCCATGATGTTGCACTATTGAAACTTTAAAAAAAAAAACTTTCCCAGCCTTATTAAGGCATAACTGACAAAACCTGTATATATATATTTAGTGATTGCAACATATTTTGATATATGTATACATTATTAAATCATTAAGCCAAAAGAATTAACATATCCACCACTTCATATATAACTACATTTTTAATTTTAATTTTATTTTTAATTGACAAGTAATAATTGTCTGTATTTTGGGGTATAACGTGATGTTTCAATACATGCATGCATCATGGAATGATCAAATCAAGGTAATTAGTGTATCTATCACCTCAAATATTTATTATTTGTGGTTAGAATGTTTAAAATGTTTTTCTTTAGCTATGTTGACATATACCATACATTGTTATTAACTATAATCACCATGCTGTGCAGCATTTCAACAGAATTATTTATTTTTTTTCTATCTAACAGAAACTTTGTATCCTTTGACCAGCATCTTTTTTTTTTCCCCCCCTGTCTACCCTCTTTCCTGCCACCACTCCAGCTCCTGGTAACTACCATTCTACTCTTTACTTCCCTGAGTTTGACTTTGTAAATATCACATATAAGTGACATCATATTCCATTTGTCTCCTTGTGGCTGACTTACTTCGCTTAGCATAATGTCTTCTAGATTTCTCTATAGTGTTGCATATGACAGAACTTCCCGCTTTTTTTTTAAGGCTGAAAAGTATTCCATTATGTATACATACCACATTTTTTATATCCATTCAGCCCCTGATGTGCACTTGGGTTGTCTGTATATATTGGCTCTAGTGAATAATGCAGAAACATTCATGCAATGGGAATGGAGACATTGCTTTGTCATACTTGTTTCAATTTCTTAAGATATAGACCCAAAAGTGGGATTGCTGGATCATGTGTTAATTCTACTTTTAGTTTTTGTGAAGAATCTCAATAGTGTTTCCCAAAATGACTGTACTAATTTACAGTCCCACCAACAATGTACAAAGGCTACATTTCCTCCACATTCTTGCCAATACATGTTATCTTTCATCTTTTTGATAATAGCCATTCTAACATGTGTGAGGTGACATCTCATTACGGCTTTAATTTGCATTTTTCTGATAGAGATGTCAAACATTTCTTCATGTATCAGTTGGCCATTTGCATATCTGTTTTAAAAAATGTCTATTCAGTTCCTTTGCCAATTTTTAATAGGTTTATTTTCATGTTATTGAGTAGTTTGAGTTCTTTGTATATTTCTTATATCAAACCCTTGTCAAACATGGTTTGCAAATGTTTTCTCCAATTCTATGCATTGTTTTTTCACTCCGTGAATTTTTTCCTTTGCTACTTTTAGTTTGATGTAATCTCATTTGTGTATTTTTGCTTTTGTTATCTGTGTTTTGGGGATCATATCCAAGAAATCACTGCTAAGACTAATGCCATGGAGCATGTTCCCTGTATTTTCTTCTAGTAGTTTTACAGTTTCAGGTCTTATATTTAAGTCTTTGATACATTTTGAGTTAATTCTTGTATAAAGGGTGAAATAAGGGTCCATTTTCATTCTTCTGCATATGAATATCTAGTTTTCCCTCCATGATTGTTGAAGAGACTGTCCTTTCCCCATTGTGTATCTTGGCACCTTTTTGTCAAAAAATCAGCTGTCAGTAAATATTTGAATTTCTGGACACTCTATTCTGTTCCACCAGTCTGTGTGTCTGTGTTTATGCCAGTACCCTACTGTTTTGATTACTATAGCTTTGTAGTATATGTTGAAGTCATGTAATGTGATGCCTCCAAGCGTTGCTTTTTGCTTAACATGGCTTTGGCTATTTGGGGTCTTTTGTGGTTCTCGCCATTTGAATTTGATTCTGTTTTTAATAACCTATGCCTTCTTTCCCTAATTTCCCTAAACATTCTGTGTTTCCTCTCTTCTGTGCCTTTGCTTAAGCCAGTTGTTCTCAAAGTATGGTACAAAGACCACTTAAGTTCCCTAAGATACTCTGCAAGGTTTTCAAGACTAAAACTATGTACACAGTAACATTTAGATGCTACTTGCCTTCTAAAATCTTAATCTTATATCACTGTATAAAGTGGAGTTTTCCAGAGACTATAAGATATGTAATATTGCAACACATTGAATGCATAAGATACAAAAACCCAGCCACCTTATTAAGATAGATAGACATAAAAGAGATTTGCAAAAAAAAAAAAAAAAAAATGTAAACAATGATACTTTTTTCACTAAATGCTTTGGTTTTGTAAACTTTTTTTTAATAAAAATATGTTGTCTATGTCTACATGCATGGGCTTATTAGTTTATTTTAAATTAGTAAATGAGTATTTTAAAATATCAGTTTTAATTCAAAATATGGAAACATCAATGAGTATAGTGCACATTTTAACAAATCCTTTCTGATGCTAGGTAAGTTTCTGAGTGTCGAGGGATTCTAAGACCTAAAAGTTTTAGTTCTACTGACTTAATGTGTTCATTTTCATTAAAATATATTTTCTTATGTGGTACATTTACACCATGGAATACTATGCAGCCATAAAAAGGAATCAGGTCATGTCCTTTGCAGGGACAGGGATGGAGCTGGAAGCCATTATTCTCAGCAAACTAACACAGGAACAGAAAACCAAACACTGCATGTTCTCACTTATAAGTGGGAGCCGAACAAAGAGAACATGTAAACACAGGGAGGGGAACAACCCACACTGAGGCTCATTGAAGGGGCAGGGAGAGAGACAGCATCAGGATAAACAGCTAATGCATGTGGAGCTTAATGCCCAGGTGATGGGTTGATAGGTGCAGCAAACCACCATGACACATGTTTACTTATGTAACAAACCTGCATGTCCTGCACATGTATCCCAGAACTTAAAATAAAATTGAAAAAAAATATTAATTTCTTAATTTAAAATTTTGATGTTGCATTATTATATGCAAAATATATAAATTTTAAATATGAAAAAAATATATATTTTCTATTCTTTTTCCTTGATGCCAGAATTCTATATGTCCTTTAAGAATCAAGTTGAGTATTACTCCTATAAAAATCTTAGATCCTACTTCAGCACTGTGAAATCATGCTCTCACCATCCACCATGCATTTACATTGTTATTCAATTTTACTATACGTATAGAGTGATTTCAAAATCGTTAACCCACTTCCCCACGGGAAATGAGCTTATGAATTAGAATACAGATTGTATGTACAGTTCCCTTTGCCTTTAGTACAGATTTCACTCATTTTCAAACCTACTCAGGTCAGCACCTTTAATCCCTACTCCTATCATTGAGTTTGCTTTATATAGTTGTAACAGTTAGATTCTTTTTTCACAGTCTGCATTTCATCTTGGGATTCTTCATCCTTTTAAATAATTTATTAAGTTGTATACATCTAAATTTGATTTTTGTTGTGTAAAGTTTTATGGGTTTTGAAATATGCATAGTGTCATGTATTTACTATTAAAAGTACCATGCAGAATTGTTTCACTTACACTAAAATCCTTGTGCTTCTACTATTCAACACCCCACACATACTTTAAACTCTTGGCAAGCTCTGATCTATCATCACTGCAATTGTGCCTTTTTCAGAATGTCTTATAAATGGATCAGTAGGTAGATTTTCAGACGAGCTTTTTTCAGTTAACAATGTACATTTAAGATTCTCACATGTGCTTGCATGGCTTGATAGCTCATTCCTTTTTATTGATGAGTAGTATTTCACTGGGTGGGACAGTTTTTTATTCATTCACATATCAAAAGACATCTTGGTTGCTTCCAATTTTTGGTGATTATAAATAAAGTTACTCTAAACATTTCTATGTAGCCTTTTTTTTTTATTTGTGTAGACACAAATTTTAAAATTAGTTTGATGCATACCTAGGAGCAGGATTGCTGGGTGGTGGTAAGACTATGTTTAGTTTTGTAAGAAACAGCCAAACTCTTCCAAAGTGTCTGTACCAGTTGCACTCCTACCAGCAATGAATGAGAGTTCCTGTTTCTCCATATCCTTACCAGCATTTACTTCAGTTATTTAAAAAATATTTTGTCCATTCTAGTTGGTATGTAGTAGTATCTCCATACATTTAAAAACAGGCTTACTTTATAGAAGAGTCATGGTGCTAATGCTTTAAAAATTATTTGACAATTTTACTTCTAGTATCTCTTTTGTCTAAAACCCCAATTTTAATTAATAATATGGGAATTAGTCACAATATGCAATTATATGAAATTCTGTAATGAATATGACTTTGTATCTGCATATGTATGTTGACATGAAGCTGCTATTAATCATATTCAGTTAAGTCAGGCTAGTAGGCTTATGGATTTAATTAAATATAAATAAGGTAAGTTGATTTTATTTTTTCTCTGATATTCATCAATTAGAATGGAAGACACTGGATATGAACTCACTAACTTATAAATATTGGTTTATTTTCCTCCAGAGTCATAGACAAGTGCATGTCCTATAAAATTATTGATGTTAATGTGCAAAGTTGCTACTGAATCTGAGACAATAGGCAGCTATAGAATAAGTAGAAAACAGTGATATGTGATTTGTGCTGCAATATGGTCACTTATTTTGACATTCACTTCAGTTATTATTTCAGATTAATATAACTTGATAACATTCTATTGGGGGCTTACAGGTTAATCTGAAGTTTGTATAATTTATGGCGAAAAACATCAAAAATATTTTAAGTTCAAAAGGAAAAAACTTTAGGCTGATTGTGGAATTAGAATTAGTAGAGTTTCAAATAAAGAGTGATTGTAGTCCATATTTTTTTGGGTAAAGGGATAAACCCATATGAGATTTGGGGGAAGCTTTTATTTTTTTATTAATATTTCGCTATTCTGAGTTTCATTACTAACATGTCAATAAAGTATTTCTACAATTCTGTTATGCACAACCACAGGTTGCATTTCTTATAAAAATGCTTTTAAAAATGTTATCAAGTCTTTAGAAATTTGTCCAATCTGATGCTGTGAAAGAGATGATAGGATGATTATATGAGAGAATCACTCAGTATGGGGGCAAAAAGGCCAACATATCCCAGGCCTACCAGCGAAGGTTAGCTCTATTTTTTCTTGCTTCCAAATCAGAACAAGAAAAGTCTCTTTAAAATTGCTATGAAAAAGTGACAAACAATGCACATAAAAATTAAGAATTTATCTGATAAATATTGATTAAAAAATCAAAAATAAAATATTAGCAAGTAGAATTTAGTAACCCATTAAAAAACTAATATATCCTGGCTAAATGGATTTAATACCTTGAAGGTCTCAGCATCCCCTTCTTGTTTGGTGAGTTGATTACATGCACATGGACTACAACCTATGTTGCTATAAAGCTGTTGAGCATTAGATTTTACACACCTTAATAACTAAGTGATAGTTATACCTCCTGATTTATACATTCTACATCACGTATCTGGTTAGAAAGCAAACAGGAGAAAGAATAGCGCAATCTACAAAATTTGGGCTTCGTTGTCATAGAGATAAGCATTTGAATCATGCAGTGCTGCTTATGTTCTTGAAAAAGTTACATAACATCTTGGAGCTTCATTTTTCTACCTGTAAAACATATATTCCGATATTTAATCAAACTGATTTTTAGTTAAATAAATGGAAGGACTAGCACTTTGTAGTCACCTAATAAATAGTCTCCCCATTCCCCAGTTTGGTAATCAATAATCAAATCTCAGGAACTTTACTGTTGGGCCCCTAGTGACTCTTCTGTCTTGCCAAAATTATTTAGGATGAGAAAAATAATAGCAAAAGTAGTATATGAAATAATCACCACCACCTCCCACTCCCAAAAGAAAAAGGCCAAGAAGGCTTTATAGAGGAATTCTATCACATCTTTCAAGTTCAGCCAATATTATATCTATCTTCAATGATAGCCAGATTGGAGCATGCTCTGAACATTTTTAAAAAGGGTTATTTTAAGTCTCTTCAAAATTGTTATGAAAATGTGACAAAGACTCAACATAAAAAGAAAATTATGGATTTGCTTAAAAATACTGATTTAAAAATCACAAATAAAATATTAGCAAATAGAATTTAGTTACCCATTAAAAATTGATATATCCTAGCTAAATGTATTTAATAACAGGAATGCAATATTGGGTCAATATTAGGATATGTATTGATATAATACATTACATGAATTAACGTATTAAAACATATGATCACATGCTTACATGCTGAAAATACATTTTCAGAATTTTCACACATATTCTTGATTTTAAAAGTCTAAATACCAAAAGGATTTACTGATATTCCCTCAGTATTATAAACTATGTTTATCTCAAAAGAAGCACCAGTTTCGGCTGGGCATGGTGGCTCACGCCTGTAATCCCTGCACTTTGGGAGGCTGATGTGGGTGGATCACGAGGTCAGGAGATCAAGACCAGCCTGGCCAAGATGGCGAAACCCTATCTCTACAAAAAATTAAGAAAAAAAAAATAGCCAGATGTGGTGGTGAGCGTCTGTAATCCCAGCTACTTAAGAGGCTGAGGCGGAGAATTGCTAGAATCTGGGAGGCGGAAGTTGCAGTGAGCCGTGATTACGCCACTGCTCTCCAGCCTGGGAGACAGAGCCAGACTCTGTCTCCAAAAATAATAATAATAAAAAAAGCACCAGTTTCATGCTCAACAGGGAAATACTAAAGTCAGGAATAAGATAAAGATTCCAGCCATCATCCATACTATAGGTAACCTTTTATTATGGTATTAGTCATTAAAAGCAGATAGATGTTAGAGGTATAAGAATTGAAAGAAGGCAAAATGATGACTATTTTCAGATGAGAATATTGTATACTTGGAAAATCCAAGAGATTCAACTGAGAAAGAAATGCTATAAATGATAAGAATTC
Source organism: Homo sapiens (assembly GCF_000001405.40). Lineage (NCBI taxonomy): Eukaryota > Metazoa > Chordata > Mammalia > Primates > Hominidae > Homo > Homo sapiens. The sequence continues at coordinate 29,464,526 of NC_000011.10, read as the reverse complement.
AATAAGGTTGTGAGCACGCACTTTCTAAAATATTTCATCCTCTCCTGAATTTTGAAAAGGTTTTTGGTTAGATTTCCTTTGGTGCTTTCCAGAGATGTTAAATGCAAGCTACAGCTATAAAGATATATGTAAAAGCAGATTGAGGTATAGCCCTGGGCTCCCACCTCTTCTCTATGATCATCATCTCCATTCTGAGAGTGTGAATATTTAAACACTAAGAGAGGATGAACATGTTGCCAATATTAACAGTCAGCTACTTTGTATGGCTTTACCACACTGGGTTTCAAATGGAAAGTGGACTAATCTGAGTACCGTGAAAAGGAAATAAGCACCTAGCTATGAAGGATGCAGGAACCATTAGCTGAAGAAAATGAATCTACTTAATTTGATTTCTTAGTTTCATCTCAAATTCCCTCACATTCTACATGAAATTAAGAGTAGAGAAATTAAGTAAAGTGGTTGTGACACTTCCTTCAAAAGAGTTCCCTTAAAAAGACCTCTAAAACAAAATCGTTTTTTCAATTATTTGCAGAATGCTTCATAGATCCCATAATTCTTGCTGAAGTTGCAAAAGCATACACCAAGATATAGAGACAAATATCTGGGGTAAAATTATATAAGTATTATAATAGGCGTATATATCGCTGCTAATACAAGAAAATGCAATGTTGGTTGTGATAAAATTAGGTGCCATGAACAAGAGGTTCCTTATTTTCTCTGTATCAGTCCAAGGTAAATTAGGAAAGCAGACTGGATTAAAAGAACTCTTGCAGAAATTAAAATTTGTACAATTTTAGGGAAAATTAGGGAATTTTATTCAACAGAAATTATTAGGTTGTTTCTCATTCAGAAAGGCATTTAAGAATATATATTAAAGTTACTCAAAAGAACTTAGAGAAGAACTGAAATAACACATTCTTTAAGTTAAATATTTTTTAAAGTCTGATTCAAAAGTAGAGTCACCATCTACTTGAAATATATTATTATGCAGGCAAGAATCAATGTGCCTTTCTTCACTGTGAATTTCTAACATTTAAATTTCTAGTTATGAATATGACCTCTTCTACTTTTTTAAAACATGTCACACTCAGAGACAAATCCAGGTACTGGGAGGCCTCAAGCATATACAATTTTGAGTTCATCTTTGAGAAAAGGTGTGCAAAATTACAAACATACAAATGGGTTTGAAATTGAATATTAATGTAAAATAATAAAAGACATTCCAACGAATTTCTGTGGACTAACACAAGTCCCTTTTTTCTGAGACCTCTTTAAGCAATTTACAAGTACTCCTTAGACAGAAATGCTTTCTGGTTGCTGCCTGATTTATCCTACCTGAACACTATATAAATCTTAGCAAATCCCAGCACTCACAGAGGCAGAAGCAATTAGGGATACTGAAGCTTAAGCTTCATCAGGCTCATGGTAAATTTACCTCTGGTTCCATTCTAAGCCACTCCAGGTCATATCAAACTAACAAAGCACAGCAAATTCAGTCCTTATTGCATTTCCATGTTTTCCAAGTATTATGCATTGAGACCAAGTTTAAAATAAATTGATAGCTCCCCTTTTAGTTACGTAGTCCTCTTAGAAAAGTGGTTTTCAGCATTAACTACACATCAGCATGATCCCAGGTAGTTTAAAATACCAGTGCCTAGATCTCACTCTAAGAGATCCTGATTTAATTTGTCCTTGCTAAGCATCCATGTCTTTTAAAAGCTCTTAAGTTAATTCTAATGTGTAGTGAGTCAAGAATCATTGGCTTAAGGAGTTACAAGATTATAAAATATTTATCATACTTGGCCAATAAAATCTGCATTCTGGCTGGTAGTTAAAAATGTACAATACATTTATCTCTTTCAGATTTCTGAAAGTATTAAACCATATACAGATACTAAATGCCCACTTAACAATGCCTCAAAGAGAGGACAGAGAAGAATCACAAAAATAACTTAGAAAATGCTAACTTTCCTTTTTCCTAGGAAAAGAGGGATCAGACAAATAAGAAAGGATGTGATACATATTGGTACATTTTTGTAGACTATAATAATAAGCCAAAGAAAAAATTAAAAATAAATGAAAAAGAAAAGCATCAAGCAAGGTAATTGTATATGAGTAGATGTTAAATATTCCTGGATGACTAAAAATTGCTAGTTGTAGCACATCTGTAGGTGGGGGCTTTTTTTTTTAAGACATCAAATTAAAGATTCTGACGGTGTGATATGTTATGACATGATAAGTTCTGTCATTTTGATTTCCTATCTTCCTTCTCTGTTGTATTTAATAGAAAACATGAATTTTCCTGGACACTATTGTACCAATTATCATTCAGCCATTGTCTTCTAAGGGGAAGAAAGAATGACAAAATAAATGAATAAACTGCTGATAGTTTAGAAAAGTAAATATTTTTCTTAAGATAAGAAAAATCCATTTGCCCTACTTTAAATAAAAATAGAAAGTGTCAGTTTGAAATTTAAAAAAAACCCTATATTTTGATATTCAATGTGAGCTAAATTCCCTTTAGCTCCAGAGCTGGCAATGGTTGAAAGCAAAAATTGTGTTTATACAGATGAAAATAAGTTGAGAGTTGGAAAAAATGACCTAATTTAGTTGTCTTCAAAATTTCTTTTTGCTCTGGAATTTTTCCTTTCAACAAAATCTTACCCAAAATCTGAATATGGAAACAGGAATAGCAGAGCTGGCCTGGGAGAGCAGGAACTCGGGGAAGTTCCTATACAACTCTTGATGGGTTGGGATGAAAGTGCCTCATGACTTTCACCTTTCCAGTAACACTTGTAGCACATTTTCAGAACCACGAGCGGAATGTGAAAAACAGTTTAAAACCACTAATCCAGGGAATTCAGATTTCAGATTCTGCTGCTAACAATATCGATTTATTTGTTTTTTAAGAGCAGATGATCTTTTCCACTAGTATCAATAGATATAAGCAAATAATGGTTTGTTTTCCATCCTGCTAATGTGCAGACTCTGTGGCTCTAAAGCCATTGAAATGTGGAATATAATTGAATTCATGCTACATTTACTGAAAAGAACTATACTAGAAGCTGCTGGTATCAAGAACTAAGTAAAATGAGAGAGCAGGTAAAAAAGGATAAATATCTTTTCATCAATTTTATTTATTAATTATTGTTTGGACATCTATGGTGTGCCAACATGATTCCAGGCACTTAGGAAACATACATGACCTCAACAGTCAAATTTGCAAGCCCTCTAGGGATCTCACATTGTAAAGTCATTGGCTCTTACTCTGAGTGAAATAATGATCTACATGAAATATTTGAGTAGAGGAGTGATATGCTTTGACTTTTGTATTACGAAGATTATTCTAGCTGCTGTCCTGAGATTAGACTGGTTATTAGAAAGAAGGTTAAGCATAGAAGCAAGAGAACCACATTTAGAAGGCTATTTGTAATAATAAGTGAGAAAGTGACAGTGATTTGGACTAGAGAGGTGATGATACTTGGAAGTATTTTGGATTTTGAAAGTAGAAATAACAGAATTTGCTGGTCGATTGAATATTTGGATGGTATAAGAGAAAGGAGATTTCTTCGAGGTTTTGGATCAGGGAAAATGGAATAATGGACTTGGCATTAACTAAGATCAATTGAGCATCTTTGGGGAGGAATATCAGAAATTCAGTTTTAGACATGTTAGGTTGTGATATCAACTAATCATTCAAGTAGAAATGTTGAGTGAGTTGGAGTAATACATCAGCAGCTTAAGACATAGGTCTGGAATGGAGATATATATTTAGGAGTCAACTGGACAATATTTAAAGCCCTGAATTTCATAATATCACAAAAAGTGTTAATATAAATAAAGAGAAGAGAATAAAAGAGAAAAACCTTGAGTCAGTATTAAGAAATTTTAAAAGTTTAATGGAAGAACTGGCATTTTCGATGGGTCTTAAATGTTGGTTAAAGTTTTTACGGGTAGTCACATCAAGACAAAAGCCTGTTTTTGATGATTTGGTTTCAAATAACTAATTATATAACTGATTGGGTGAGGGACTGCCTTTCTCATGTTTTCACTGTTTAAGCATTGGCTTTGGAAATTCTCAAAGGATGGCATTTACCCAGATCATGGTATTTTCAGTGAAGTAGTATAGGTCATCTATTGATTTAGCACTCTTTCTCTCTGTCTCTCCCTCTGCCCCTCTCAGTCTCTCTGTCCCCCCCCCCGTGTATGTATGTATGTGTGTGTGTGCATATGTATATGTATATATATGTGCATATGTATATATATGTATATATGTATATATATGTGTATATATACGTACATATATATGTGTATATATACGTACATATATATGTGTGTATATATATGTGTACACATATATATGTATATATATGTGTACACATATATATGTATATATATGTGTACACATATATATGTATACACATATATATATGTGTATATATATATATATGCTCAATTCAGATTTTAGTTAGATTTTAGTCAAGAAGGAGTAATCTCTAAGCCAAAATTAATTTTTACCATATAGGAAGACACATTTCCAACTCCAAATTATCTAAGGCCAATTCAGATGCCTACTAGGATTTTAAGTTGCATTATCATAGTGCTCTAAAGTTGCAATACACATATAAAACTAATCTTTCTCTTTTTGTGAACTATTTGTTCCAACAAAACTGAATTCTCACTTCTCCAAATGCACCCATTGCTGGCCCTTGAATGTTTCTGTTCATGTTACTATTATCATGGATGATGCTTTCCTTTCTAGTTTCTCCATTTCCAAATTCTATTAACTTTTTTTGCCATTGCTAATATTCTACTTACTTCCAGAATCCTTTACTGTTCCCTCATAAAGGAAATAAATGTCTCTCTCTTTTTTTTTCTTTTGAATGACTAGTCTTTATCTATGCTTCATTCATGGTATACATGAATGTCAATTTCATACAGGAACTTTTCATGGTAATGACTAACCTACAAGAATGCCAGTATTTTGAGGAGAGGACATAAGAGTTAATAGAAATAAGCATAAACCCAGGCATATGGGAGATACATCAAAAATATATTAAAGTAAAAATGACATTTTTCAGAATGTATTTGTGAATTAATATTTGGCCTTTCCTCATTAGCTGGGTCTTTGTGTCATTTACATGAGTTGTTTTTCACAGCAATTACAACCAGAATATAGATGCAATGGAGGATGAGGATTAGTTCATCAGGCTAATGATTTGACAGAGAAAAGATTGTTACAGTGGTTATTTTAATTGAAATATGAAGAAAAGGACAATCACGGGCAGTGGAGTGAATCCTGTTTCACTGAACACTTACTGCAATGTGTCTAGTACTTTATAGCTGGTCCTCTTTAACCCTCAAACGTATGTATAAGCTATGTGCTCAGTACTTTCATTTTGCAGATGAAAGAGATGAAATTCAAAGAGGTAAAATGACCTTCCAAAAGTCATACAATTAATGTCGTGCAGGGACTTAGGTCCTTTGATGCTCAAATCTATGCCTTTTCCTTTTGCATCACAATGCCTCCCTTCATCTTAGGCTTTTATTTCCAAATTATAAATTCAATAAAAATATTTTGAAGGTTTCTTATATTTAAATGCAATTTTATGGAAAATTCAAAGTCAAGCAACTCTGCAGTACAAGGTCTAGAACAACTGAAGGTGATCTGAGAGCCTTTTGAGAAGGACACCGAAGGCATCAGGTCAGAAAGCAAAAGAGCAAGACGCCATGGTACCTGGAAAGCCTGAATAATTATTTAAATAAGCCCTGCTTCTCTGCTCAAAAAAGTCACTATAGCATGGAAAAAACTACTTGTAGTTAGAAGTAATAAAATGGTCCTTCAGCAGTTGACTTGTTTTTCACACTCCTTTCTAGGAAATATCTCTAGAAGCACCAGAGTTGTTTTGATTTTAAATGTGTTTATTTTAATAAAGCTACTTTTAAAATAATCTTGCAGAACAGTCAGCTCTGAAAGATAGAGCCTGCTCTGTCAGAGCCCTGAGATTCAAAACAAAGCCTAGCAGTAAATTGATAATTCAGAGAAGGGATAAAAATAGAACCTTAGATCCCTCCTGGGCATTAGTACCATATTATTTTTCGCTAAAGAAGAGAGAAACTTCTGTTACTTCATAGTCTCTCCATCAGCAGCTGAGATCAAAGGAAATTTTTTTTAAGTTAGCATGGGAGATGTAGTGAGAAATTTAGCTGTTGTTTGCTTTCAATTGGTTGAGGGCTCAGGCCAATATGAGATATTGAGAGTAGGAGAAATTTCCTTTTTCTGAAAACTCAAACTAGAGAAGTAAGTCATTATTTTACTAAATGCATTAAAGGCATACTGTGTGCTGAGCCCTGTAGTAGATAAATGGGACACAGAGATAAAGGCAACAGCCCCCATCCTCAATGGGGTCAGTCTAAGTGAGACAGAGATAAAAGTAAAGGTGGGGGTAGGGAGAAAGTCGACTAGAGTTGAATTAAACTGTCCAGGTTATATAATACAAGGCTAACATATTGTATGAAAAGAAACACTTAACACAGTCTTGAAGGACAAGGAGGCCACTAAATGCTTAAGATATGTTTACGAAAGAAACTATTTAGCTGTCAGGATTTCACACTTGAAGGAGTTAATGCTGGATCTGCTATCTTGAAGCATCTTAGAGACCAGGGGATCTCATCCTAAACTGGAATAGAATCACAGATGCTGTATTAGTCCATTCTTATGCTGCTAATAAAGACATACCATAGACTAGGTAATTTATAAAGGAAAGAGTTTAACTGACTCACAGTTCAGCATGGCGGGGGAGGCCTCAGGAAACTTACACTCATGGCGGAAGGGGAAGCAAAGATATCTTTCTTTATGTGGTGGGAGCAGGCAGAAGTGCAGAGCAAAGAGGGAAAAGCCCCTTATAAAACCGTCAGATCCCTTGAGAACTCACTCACTATCATGAGAACAGCAGCATGGAGGTAACCTTCCCCATAATTCAATTACCTTCCACTAGGCCTCTCCCATGACACATGGGGATTACGGGAACTACAATTCATGATGAGAGTTGAGTGCGGACACAGCCAAACCATATCAGATGGTAAGACACAAGCTCCATGGGTGTAGCAATAGCATCTGTATTTTAAAAAACTCTTCCAGATGATTATAATGTTCAGGTAGGATGGAAAATCATTGTTTAAGTCAGACAGAGGAAAGCCAGATGGAAATGTTTTCCTGCAAAGAAGAGACAGGTAGGTAGATAAAATACTTTATTTTAGTTACGGTTCTAGGGAAATTGGGAAAAAGACAAAAGGAAAAGGAAAAATAGAAGAGGGTGAGGAAAGACAAAGAGAAAACATGAATGCATATTCTTACTCCTGAGACAATGGCAAGATTGCTGCTGCCTCTTTCTCTTTTTGAAGCTTTATCTCACCAAACAGATTACAATATCAGTTTAAAGTTAAACCCAAGTTTATTCCACATGCCCACCTCTTCTAGTTGTAAGAAATACAATCTATCTCTCTTAACTTTCCTTCACAGTAGGGATTTACCATAGATTTGTTTTTGTATTCCTTCCAGCCATTCCTCTCTCATCCCAACTCCCTGGGCATTAACATAGCAATTGGAACTCATACAGTCCTCTCTCAAATGTTGAACTTTTTGTTAAACACACACACACACACACACTCTCTCTCTCTCTCTCTCTCTTACTATTTATAGAAAGAGAGAGAGCAAGTAGCCACTTATTATGTACTATGCCTTAACATTCTGAGAAGAGGTTATGCATGCATTAGATGAACAAAAAGGGCATAAACCATATTACTATGGATTGAAGATATGTTGAAGTCCTAATCCCCAGTAACTGTGAATAGGACCTTATTTGGAAATAAGGTATTTGCAGGTATAATCACATTAAGCTGAAGTCCTTAGGTTGGGCCCTGATCAAATATGACTGGTGTCCTTAAAAAAAAAAAGGAAAATCAGAGACAGACACACACAGGAGAGTGTCATGTGACTACAGAGGCAGGCAACAAAGTGCTATTCTGGCAAGTCAAGAAACATCTGAGTTCTACCAGAAGCTGGAAGAGGCAAAGAAGGGTCCTCTCCTGGAAGCTTTGGAAGAAGCGTGGCTCAGCCCTCAGCTTGATTTAGGACTTCCAGACTTGAGAGCTGTGAGAGAATAAATTTCTGTTAAGTCACCAAGTTTCTTATACTTAACAATAACCTTAGGAAACTAACACACTTACCTTTCACCTGGTGGGAAATGAATATCATCTACCTTATTATATGGTGGATGAAATTCATGGAGTTCTATACAAAGAAGGAATAAAACAGATAAATAGTTTTTTTCTTTTATAACCCATCCTGTGGAGACACAATCAAATGATCAATCGCATAATGTAAGATATTAGTTAAGTGGGAACTTACAAAGGTATCATGGGAGCACATAACAGTGATTTCAAATTCAGTTGGTGGGGAAAGCAAGTAAAGTCATCCGTGAGGAAGAGCTATTTAGGATGAAAGATGAAAAGAAATCAGCCAGAGCAAGCAGAAGAGGGAATGTTTCAAAGAAAACAGAAATGTGTGCATGGGTTTAGACTTGAGATATTGACAGTATAATTGAGGAGGACACAAATGTGGTTGTAGGCTGAAGTCTCTTCACAAGGGTAAAGGATATAATTTACTCACCATGATTTTGGCCATTGTTTTTTGTTCCTTGACTTCTCCTTGAAATTCTTTTTGCATCTCAACTAAGACCAGAAGTTCCTTGTCTTTCATTAGCTTCATTTCTTTTGCAAACTCAGATCCAGGATTCAAGTCCTGTGAATGGATTCTAAAAGACTCTGGTATTAAATATAACCATAGTTTGAAAGGGGAACATGAGACTTTTTAGCTCCTGCATTTAGTTTGCCATCTCGGGGTATGTTTATAAAAGGCTGGGGGAGGACATAGATAAGACATCTGGAGAAGGCTCAAGACAACTTTTCTCAAATTACAACTTGAGGAAAAATACGAGAGATATTCAAATATTCTATAATCAAAGGTATCATGTTCAAATAAGTTTGTTGAATGACAAATTCTAAAAATAACAGGGTTTTTTGTTTGTTGTGCAGTAAGAATTCTCAGAGATTTTGACCACTTAAATAAATTGTGAATCTCCAAGATAAAATTATGGTAAACAGTACTTCCCATTTTTTGTGCTTTTTGTTTGTTTTCTAAAGAACATTTTTCTGGGTGGAGCAGATATTTGTTGCTTACTCACTTGCTCATTTTTATGTTTAAAGAAGATAATTTGGGGTAAATCTATACATGGATTAAAGATCTTCCTCACATCATAGAAGCCAAAAATACCTGACATTTTTTTTTTTCCTCGAGAAAAAGCAGTTGGATTTTGGTGAAGTGACTTAAGCTTGGCCAATAGGATTCTCCTACAAGAAACTCTGAATCGGGAACCAATGATAAAAGAAAGCAAGCAGGACAATATAGAATTTTCCTCTGCAGTGCTGACAACATCTGATGACCACTGAGTGGTAGTAGTGGTAGTTAGTATCCAGTGGCAGGCAGTAGCTTCCCACTCACAAGGCTGTTCGGCAGTGACCTTATAGTGCTTCTAGCCACTATTGGATCTGGCCATTAGCCAAGGCAGAACCTCAGCCCACTGTCAACTTAGGTGCTAATGACTGTCCCTCAATACCTTCCTCTTTTCCTTTATATAGTCAATTTCTGTGGATTACAATAAAAAATATGTTTAGAGAGCATGTCAAACAGCAGTACTGCAAGGAACATATTTGGGGAGAAAATAGCTTAGGAAGACATGTTATATATTTCAATTAATACCAATGGCCACGTCCTTTCTACTATCTCTCACCAAGGCCCAGATTCTTTCCATAACCAGTCTCTTTGTCTGTTTCCTGGTGGTTTAAGGAAGGAGGATCTATGTCACACATTCCTGAAGGCAGCTCTCACAACTTTCTATAGCATGTCTGTTTCAGGCCAACAAACTTTAATCATAGAGCAATTCTAACCTTTCCCCCTATGCTTCACCTGTTCTTATATTGGCTTTATTGAGAAATAATCAATTTCTCTGTGACATAGAATGTTATTCTTACTTCTGTTACATAAAAAAATACAGTAGGGTATTTGCTATAGAGTTGGTGAGACTCAGGATGGAATCCTACTTTGACATGTACTCATTATGTGAAAAACAAAAGTAAATGTCAGACCAATGTTCTTCAAAATGTGTTTCTTTTCATTGCTTCCATGAGCCAGTTCATGGTAAAATATCTTATCTTCAGCTCAGACATGGGGAGTATTGCATCCAAGTTCTCCAAGTGTTTGTGTATGGGGTTTAGCATTTCTGTTACTTAATATAAATATTGCTTTAGGTTAAATTATTTAACTTCCATAAGATTCAGGGACTCACGTGTAACATGAAATGCTGCAGTGAGGATTCTGTTGCAAATGCCAAAGACCTGGCCTACACTGGCTTAATCGGACTTTCTAAAAAATGTTACATAACTGAACAGATCAAAGATAGACATTGAATTCAGATGAGGCTTGATCCAGGATTCAAACAACATTGCCTGGATCCAATTTCTCTCTTTACTTTGTAGCCTCACTTTACCCTTTTCTGACTAATTTTAAGCAGTTTATTCTCTTAGATAATCAACCCAAACCAGCAATTCTTAGGTGTATATCTCAGTTCAGGCACAGAGGAAAATAGGAGTGCTTCCTCCTGAGAAGTTTCAGGGAAAATACCTTCATCATCCATATTGTTTATGATCTGCTGATTGGCTCAGACTTGTCTCATGCTTCACTTCTACCATCCACCCACAGAAAGTTAAAGAACAAAGTGGAAAAGAGATAGCTTCCCAGAAGGAAACTGAGGTTTTTAAAACAGGGTCAGAATGAATGAATGTTAGCATGCAAAAATAGCAGAGAGCCACAATATCCTGGAATTTTCTATGGCTTATGTAAGACACTATGGCAAAATGATCAGCACATAGGTGAACTGAACCATCTCAATACAATATTTGATATGGTTTGGATTCATGTCCCTGCCCAAGTCTAATGTCCAATTGTAATCCCCAATATTGGAGGAGGGGCCTGTTGTAAGGTGATTGGATCATGGGGGCGGACTTCTCCCTTGCTGTTCTCGTGGTAGTGAGTAAGTTCTCATGAGAGCTGATTGTTTAAAAGTGTGTAGCACTTTGTCCTTCTCTCTCTTCCTTCTTCTCTGGCCATGTAAGACATGCCTACTTCCCATTTGTGTTCTGCCGTGACTGTAAGTTTCCTTAGGCCTCCTCAGCCATGTTTCCTGTACAGCCTGTGGAATTGTGAGTCAATTAAATCTCTTTTCTTTATAAATTATCCAGTCTGAGGTAGTTCTTTATATCAATGTGAGAACAGACTAATACAATATTATTACTCTTTCAGTGCATAATGTTAACATGTGTTCTATATTACAATACTAACTACTCATACCAAAGACAAGCTGTGCTAAAATTATGCCACAAAGCTAAAAGACTAACCCTTTCACATACCATGTGATCTGTGAAAAGGTAAAAAGTCTTCTGTGGTCATGAAGAGTAATCCATCTGATTCTTCTTTTTAACGTTTAGTTTTGTAGAATCATACTCTTTGTCTTCTCTCATGTGGCTAGCATAGTAAGAAGGGTCTAGGGGTCTCCTACTTGGAGGTATCCACCATTCCATCCACCTTAGAATTCTATCTTGGAAACTAGAGAGGGGCCCAGAGGAAAGAGGTCTGAGTCAATCTGCTTGTCTATTTTATAAAAAAATATTCCTGTGGGTTCCATATTATCTCTTCCGGTTGGCTAGGAAACTATGCTAGGGTAGGTTGTCTAATATCAGTGACAAATATAGGGTGTTCATAGACCTGAAATATCTTCTGGGTCTCTCTCTGAGGTTTTCAACATTCAAGGATATGGCCATTTTTAAGAAATTTCAGATTCCAGTTATGTCCTTCCTGGGCATCTTCCCAACCACCTGAAAAGTTGACCCCTCCTCCTTCATGAGCAGAGACACAGGGGCAGAAAGTGACTCTTTCTTTACATCCCCCAGGCTTTCCTCTTAACTCCCCTAGATACTCTGTGTTTCAGTTCTGAGCCAATTAAGTAAAGAGATCTTGGCAGTGTCTGTCTGATTCCAGACTAGGAAATGAGGCAGGAAGAGGAGACAAGTCACACTGAATCATTTTGCCTGAGAAAATACAGCTGATCACACAGAGTTTGCTCACTGAACTGAGATTTTGCTACCACAAAGATCTTTGTAAGTCTATTAGTCAGCTTAAACTGCTACAATAGAACACCACAGACTAGGTGACTTTAACAACATAAATTAATTTTCTCTCAGGTCCGAAGGTTTCTGGGTCTTCATACAGCCTTTTTTTTCTGCACACAAAAAGAGGAGGAGAGAGAGAGAGAAGGAAAGAGAGAGTGAGCACTGTTATCTCTTCTGCTTATAAGGACATTAGTCCTATTGGAATAGAGCCCCATGCTTACGACCTCATTTAACTGTAGTTACCTCTTTAGGGATTTAACATATGAATTTTGGAAGAACACATTCAGTTCATGACAGTAATTAACAAGCAAAGCCTTGAGGCCACTCAAAATCTATTCTGGTTACATGTCATTCTTCTGCTTATCTTTGTGTGATGACATGTGACCACTGATCAAGATGTTATAGAATCAGAAAAATATGACCTAAAGAAAATTTTGATACCTCTTCAAAAATTTATGGCAATTTATGACATTTCCCAGGAAAGGAACCTTATAAAATACCTATTGATGATATATTCTTTATGGAATAATTTTTCATCGGCTGATCCTATAGTCTTTCTTCACCAAGAGCCAAAAACTAGGAGCAATGCCATCACATCTATGAGATGCTTTCAACTCTTCTGTGTGGGGTCAATGCCAACATGGCTATGATATGCTTTAAATTCTGATTTCTGACTGGTACTTTTTAATACTGAGGTCTTTATTAAATCAGTGCCATCTTTCTCTTCCCTTCACTTGCCTCTCACCTTCCCTCCCTCCTTCTCTCTCAACACCTTCTCTATACGGCCATCATATTTTTCTTTTACTCAATTAAAATGAATGCATTCTAAATTAATTATTATCTTTTTCATTTTAATTACATAATTACTTTTACTTTTAGATTTACTACTTTGTTTACAGATACAATCTGCATGCTTGTGGTTAATTTAGGAATGAGTATTTAGTAGGAAGCCAGCAGGGGCTCCTATGGGAGAACAGCCAGCCTTTTCATTGTGATAATAGGCTCCAGAAAACAGCAAACAACTATATCATTGGAAAGATCTTTATTCTTAAAACATAACCAAAAATTCAACAAGTCCTGATAACTATCTGACTTTATTTCTCAAGATTTTTATTATTATTCAAATAAGAAAGAAAATTAGACGTTTTGAGATCCTACTATGTGCCAGGTGCTAAAAATACAATAGGACAAGACATCGTCCCTCGCAAAAAAGGATTATCACAATCTACTGGGGGAGATGAGCATAAAGGTATTGGCTGTCAGGTATTAGATGGGGTAAAATCATGGTAGGAGTATCGGAGATCTGAGTATAGATATTGAAGGGATAGAAGGAAACTTTCAGAAAGATACAATACCTTTTTCTAAAAATACTCATGTAAGCAAAGAATACAGCATACATTCAATAAATATTTGTTTGATTAATTATAGTAGGTTCAGATATTTCAGTAGAATAAAAGATTTTAAAAATCGTATGTAGTGCTAAAACACTAAAAGTTTAATGTTTTAGTGTATTCCTTAATTTTTTCCCAAATAACTCAGTGGGTATGTTTATATACTTTTTAAAATTATGTAAGTGAGCCCATTACATATATATATATATGTAATATATTTGTAAATACTGATTTTATTGAACATTTTGTCAGAGCTTTTTACTGTTTCATTAAGTAATCTTCAAAAACATTCTTGATATTTGTTAAATGTACCATTATATCCAATAGTTTCTGAATAACACAACAGTGATTTCATGGTATTATTTATGGGTGGTGTATTGCCTATTCTCACACTATTATAAAGATATACCTGAGACTGGGTAATTAATAAAGAAAAGAGGTTTACTTGGCTCATGGTTCTACTGCTGGCCGTACAGGCTTCTGCTTCTTCACATAGCCAGCAAGAGGAAGAGAGAGTGAAGGAGAAAGTGCTACACACTTTCAATCAACTGAATTTCATGAGAGCTCACTCGCTATCACAAGAAAAGCAAGGGGGATATCCGCCACCATGATCAAATCACCTCCCACCAGGTCCTTCCCCCAACTTTGGGGATTATAATTGAACATAAAATTTGGGTGGGGACATAGAGGAAAACGTATCAGCTACCATATTCCCATCTAGAGAGGTGAAGTGACTTCCCCAAGCTGATGCAGCAAATGATGAAGGCAGGATTGCCTGATGCCTTTGTCCTTAAGGACATATGTGTCTGTGTGTCCCAAAGGACATGCCAGTTACTTTCCACTACATCTTTTAAGTCTTTATTTTGAAAATAAGTTTCAAAAGTGTGCTGGAAGTCTTTCTGTCAACCTATGATGAATTTTGCCCTGCTGCCTGACTTTCAATATTTTGAAATATTTAAATATTTCAAGTATTTTGCTTGGAATTTGCTGGCATTTCCCTTTGAAAGCAAGCAAGCTTGGGGTATGAGAATACAGGATTCATTTGCCTTATTTTGAATCTTGGCTTTTCCACTTACTACTTGTGCCATCTTGGACAAGTTATTATACTTTTCTATATCTCCAATTCCTCAGATTTAAAATAAGAACAATAGTTCCTAATTCATATGGCTGTTATGAGAATCAAATGAATTTATTTATATTATTTTTCTATTACTGTGTAACAAATTACCAAATATTTAAAAAATTTAGAATCTTCAAACCACACCCAGTTATTTTCTCAACATTTCTGTGGGTCAGAGGCATGGCATGGCATAATTCAGTTCTATCATTTGGGTATTATCCCAAGGCTGAGATCAAACCACATTCCAGGCTGAGCGCTTTGCTAGAGGCTCCAGGGAAAAATCTGCTTCCGAGTTCATTCTTGCTAGCAGAATTCAGCTTCTTGTGGTTATAATACTGAGATTCCTGTTTCCTTTTTGGCTTGCTGCTGGGGGTCACTCTCACCTCCTAGAGGCCACCTATATTCCTTGATGCACTGCCTGCTCCATCTTTAAACCAATGATGATATGTCAAGTAATTTGTATGCCTCAAATCTTTGACTTCCTTCAGTTACTGGCCAGATAAAAAATTCCTCTTTTAAAGGGTTCAGGTGATTTCATCAGGTCCACCCAGAAAATCTCCTTACCATACACTCAGTGCCATACTGTAAAATATAACCTACTCACAAGTATAAAATCCATCAAATTCATTTCACAATTCATGCCCTTATGCAGGATATGTATGCTAGCAGGTGCAAAATCTTGGAGAATATATTAGAATTCTGCCTACTGTATTGTGTTTGTGAAGCACTTAGAAAATTTACCACTCACTTAAGTACTTAATGGCTGTTGGATATTGTTATTTTATACCTTAGGAACTAATATATAGCATTCTTCAAAAAGTAGAATCATTAATATTTAGAATTGATAGTATATGGTAAAATTAAAACCTGCACACATATTTTAATTTTCTAAGGAAAAAGTTTGAATGAAGACTAAAACAATTAAGCTTCAGCAAAGCATAAGTAAGATATTGTCTGAAAGGCTACTTTATATAACAGAATCTAGAGCTGTTTGGGTTCTCTCAACCATGTGCATCTTCTGCCGTCTTCTGGTCCTTTGGAGCATGGCAGGCGAATTATTTTCTTTAACAAGGGAGAAAACTAAAAACAGGCCATTTTTCTGTATGGATATCACAGACTCTTTGTTGATCTTAATTTTTGAGTATTCAGTTCAAAATTTTCAGCATTAATTGCCACATGCATTTTAGTTAATGTTTTCAAGTAAGTAGCAAGAGGATATTCATTACGCACATGTTATTGTCTTGAATGTCCTTCAGCCACAGGCCCCTTAATTACAGGTCTGATTTGCAGCTGCTGCTATGGGGCCTATTTTAAGGCACATAGGTTGTGTAAGCAAACCAGACTAAAATGAGTCCATCAAAATAGTGGGACCATCAGTCTACCAGAGTGTCATGAGTCTCCAAAAAGGTTACAGAAAGTTAAATACTTTTTTGAGACTTTCAGAAACTTCCTGTGATGAAATAAGTTCTCACTGTTTCCATTTACAACTGTTCCTGAAGTGATATTTTCTCAATGATTTTGTTGGAATTAGGTAGATTTGGACAGCTGTTTCCATAACTTTTTCAGTGTCACCACCTTCATGACAGTTCTACTCAATATATTTATCTGTATTGTTGTCATTTGTGTATGTTTCATTGCCCGTTTTCTCATTTTCAAATTGAAATTCCTTAGGCCTGGCTCAACAACTACATTTCCCTCATAGCTCCAGGACAATCAGTCTATGAGGAAGTACCTGGTTAATATTTCTTAAAACTGTTAATGTGATGCTTTAAAAGGGAAAAAAATAAAAAAAGGGTTTGTTGTGGATTCTTCTATAATTACAGAATGATAAAGTAAGGAGAGAAAGTTAGAGTCTTAACTTCTTATCAGAAATAAGAAAACCAAGTATCAAAAATTAGGATGCTATGCCTCAGATCACATAGCATCCAGGATATTTCTCCCTATTAACTAATTTCCCTGGATTATAGTGAACAGTTTTATTTTATTTTATTTTATTTTTATTTTTTCATTTGCTTTGTTTGTGAGTACTTCACAAACAAAGTTTATACTCTGGGGCTGTATCTTTACAGGTTCCCATTCATTGTATGGTCCTGTTCATATATTGGAGCATTTGCTCCAGAGAATTAAAAAAAAAATTCAAGGCAGATAATGCCAGCTTGCTTATGAACTAGTTTGATAACTAGTGTATTAGTCCGTTTTCACGCTGCTGATAAAGACATACCCAAGACTAGACAATTTATAAAAGAAAGAGGCTGAATTGGACTTACAGTTCCACTTGGCTGGGGAAGCCTCACAATCATGGTAGAGAGCAAGCCCCATCTTATATGGATGGCAGCAGGCAAAGAGAGAATGAGGAAGACACAAAAGTGGAAACCCCTGATAAAACCATCAGATCACATTATTCACTACCACGAGAACAATATGGTGGAAACCACCCCCATGATTCAATTATCTCCCACTGGGTCCCTCCCACAACACGTGGGAATTATGGGAGTACAATTCAAGATGAGAATTGGGTGGTGACACATAGCCGAACCATATCATTCCACCCCTGGCCCCTGCCAAATCTCATGTCCTCACATTTCAAAACCAATTATGTCTTCCCAACAGTCCCCCAAAGTCTACACTAATTTCAACATTAACTCAAAAGTCCACAGTCCAAAGTCTCATTTGAGACAAGGCAAGTTCCTTCTGCCTATGGGCCTGTAAAATCAAAAGCAAAGTAGGTATTTCCTAGATACAATGGGGGAACAGACATTGGGCAAATACAACCATTCCAAATTGAAGAAATTGGCCAAAACAAAGGGGCTACAGGGCCCATGCAAGTCCAAAATCCAACAGGGAAGTCAAATCTTAAAGCTCCAAAACGATCTCTTTTGACATTGTCTCATATTCAGGTCACACTGAAGCAAGTGTTGGGTTCCCATGGTCTTGGGCAGCTCCGCCTTTGTGGCTTTGCAGGGTAAGCCTCCCTCCTGTCTGCTTTCATGGGCTGGTGTTCAGTGTCTGCAGCTTTTCCAGGCATAGAGTGCAGGCTGTCAGTAGATCTACCATTCTGGGGTCTGGAGGACAGTGGCCCTCTTCTCATAGCTCCGCTGGTCAGTGCCTCAGTAGGGACTCTGTATGCAAGCTCCAACTCCACATTTCCCTTCTGCTCTGCCCTAACAGAGGTTCTCCATGAGAACCCCACCCCTGCAGCAAACTTCTGAAATCTAGGTGGATGTTCCTAAATCTCAATTCTCGACTATGGGTCTGTGCACCCACCGGCTCAATACCATGTGGAGGCTGCCAAGGCTTGGGGCTTGCACCATCTGAAGCCATGGCCCAAGCTTTACACTGGCCCCTTTCAGCCATGGCTGGAGTGACTGGGACGCAGCGGACCAAGTGCCTATGCTGCACACAGCTCAGGGAACCTGGGCCTGGCCCCGCAAAATCACTTTTTCCTCCTAGGCTTGTGATGGTAGGGGCTGCCGTGAAGGCCTCTGACATGCCCCGGAGAAGTCTTCCCCATTGTCTTGGGGATTAACATTTGTCTCCTCATTACCTATGCAAATTTCTGAAGCCCACTTGAATTTCTCCTCAGAAAATGGGATTTTCTTTTTTATCACGTTGTCAGGCTGCAAATTTTTCAAACTTTTATGCTCTGTTTCCTCTTTAAAACTGAATGCTTTCAACAGCACCTGAGTCACCCCTGGAATGCTTTGCTGCTTAGAAATTTCTTCTGTCAGATACCCTAAATCATTCCTCTCAAGTTCAAAGTTCCACAAGTCTTTAGGGCAGGAGCAAAATGCTGCCAGTCTCTTTGCTAAAACATAACAAGGGTCACCTTTGCTCCAGTTCCCAACAAGTTCCTCTTCTCCACCTAAGACCTGGACATTATTGTCTGTGTCGCTATCAGCATTTTGGGCAAACCCATTCAACAAGTCTCTAGGAAGTTCCAAACTTTCCCACATCTCCCTGTCTTCTTCTGAGCCCTCCAAACTGCTCCACCCTCTGACTGTTATTCAGTTCCAAAGTCACCTTCACATTTTCAGGTGTCTTTTCACCAACGCCCCACTCTACTGGTACCAATTTACTATATTAGTCCATTTTCACGCTGCTGATAAAGACATACCCAAGACTAGACAATTTACAAAATAAAGAGGTTTAATTGGACTTACAGTTTCAGTTGGCTGGGGAAGCCTAAAAATCATGGTGGAGAGCAAGCCCCATCTTACATGGATGGCAGCAGGCAAAGAGAGAATAAGGAAGACACAAAAGTGGAAACCCCTGATAAAACCATCAGCTCTCATGAGACTTATTCACTACCACGAGAACAGTTTGGTGGAAACCGCCCCCAGGATTCAATTATCTCCCACCAGGTCCCTCCCACAACATGTGGGAATTATGGGAGTACAATTCAAGATGAGAATTGGGTGGTGACACATAGCTGAACCATATCAACTAGTATCACAACTGAAAAATTAACTTCCTATAGCAGGAACCCAGTAGATTTTAAAACTCTAAGAAAATAGGTGTGTGTTCGGGGAGGAGGATCCACTTGAGCAGGAATACCCAACACAATCCCTTTCATGGGACCTGAGTCTCCCCTCAGCAACTGCTATTTTGTAATGAGAATATTTTCTTTGATTTATTTTGTGCAACAGGAGGCCCCTTAAGCAAATACCACATTGTAACAAATCTTACTTTCTTAAGTTCACAGATTGTCTCCAACAGTGATATGCATATTCAGTGAAAAGGCCAGTGTAAATTCCTTAGAGTATAAGCAGGTTGTAGTTAAATTCCAATTCTGTTTTAAATACAAAAACACTCACATAGACCAACGGAACAGAATAGAGAACCCAGAAATAAACCTGCCTACCTACGATCATCAGATCTTTGACAAAATCAACAAAAATAAGCAATGGGGAAAGAACTCCCTATTCAATAAATGGTGCTAGGATAACTGGCTAGCCATATGCAGAAGAATGAACCTGAACTCCTACCTCTCACCATATGCAAACATTATCTTAAGATGGCTTAAAGATTTAAATGCAGGACTTCAAACTATAAAATAGTCCTAGAATAAAATCTAGGAAATACCCTTCTTGACGTTAACTCTGGCAAATAATTTATAGCTAAGTCCCCAAAAGCAAATTGCAACAAAAGCAAAAACTGACAAGTGGGACTAAAACTAAAGAGCTTCTACATGGCAAAAGAAATTACCAACAGAGGAAACTGGCAATCTACTGAATGGGAGAAAAGATTCACAAATGCTGCCTCTGGCAAAGGCCTACTACCCAGAATCTTAAAGAAACAAGCAAAAAACAAATAATCCAATTAAAAAATAGGCAAAGGACATGAGCAGGCATTTCTCAAAGAAGGACATGCAAGGAGAAAATAAGCGTATGAAAAAAATGCTCAACACCAATATTAATCAAATTCAAATCAAAACCACAATGAGATACTAGCTTATACCCATCAGAATGGTTATTATCAAAATGTCAAAATATAGTAGGTGCTGGCAAGGTTGGAAAAAAAAAAAAGCTGATTTAGTTTGGATATTTGTCCCTGCCCAAATCTCATGTTGAATAGTAATCCCCAATGCTGGAGGTGGGGCCTGGTGTGACGTGTTTGAATTGTGGGGGCAGATCCCTCATGACTTTGTGCTGTCTTCTCAATAGTGAGTTCTCAGGAGATCTGGCCATTTAAAAGTATGTGGCTTCTCCTCCCCACCCTCTCATTTGCTCTTGCTTTTGCCATGTGTCATGCCTGTTCCCCCATGCCTTCTACTATGACTGAAAGTTGACTGAGGCTTCACCAGATGCCTGGCAGATGCCAGCACCATGCTTCCTATAAATCCTGCAGAACCAGGAGCTAATTATACCCCTTTTCTTTATATTTACCCAGCCCCTAGTATTTCTTTATAGCAATGCAAGAAGAATTTGATATAGAAAATTGGTACTGAGGAGTGGGGCATTGTAAAGATACCTGAAAACGTGGAAGTGGCTTTGGAACTGAGTACCAGGTAGAGGTTGCAAGAGTTTGGAGGGCTCAGAAGACAGAAAAATAGAGGAAAGTTTGGAATTTCTTAGGAACTGGTTAATTGGTTGTGATCAAAATTCTCATAGTGATATGGACAGCAAAGTCCAGACTGCCAAGGTCTCAGATGCAAATGAAGAACTTACTGTGAACTGGAGCAAAAGTCATGAGTGTCAAGCCTTAGTAAACAGCTTGGCTGCATTCTGGCCATACCCTGGGGATGTGTGGATGTTTGAACTTCCAAGTGATGGTTTAGACTGTCTGACAGAATAAATTTCTAATCAGCAATGCATTGAATTGGCTACTTCTAACAACCTAAGCTCAGATATGGGAGCAGAGAAATGATTTAAAGTTTGAATTTATATTTATACAGCATGCACAGCATAATAGTTTGGAAAATTTGCAGACTGGTTCTGTGGCAGAGAAAGTAAAAGTTTTTTTAGCAGCAGAAATTGGCAGGTTGTGAAGCATTGAGGCCTTGAAGGCATTTCAGAGACATTCATGGTAGCCCTTCCCATTATGGGCCTGGAGGCCTAGGAAGGAAGAATGGTTTCATGGGCCTAGCCCAGGGCCCCACTGCCCTGCACAGCCTTGAGAAACTGCTTCCTGAATTCAGACCACTACAGCTTCATCTGGGGCTCAAAGGGGCCCAGATGCAACTTGAGCTGCCACTTTGGATGATGCAAGCCATAAGTCTTGGTGGCTTCCACATGGTGTGAGGCCTGCAGGCACACAAAATGCAAGACTGAGTGAAGCTTGGCAGCCTCTGCCTAGATTTCAGAGGATGTATGAGAAAGCCTGGGTTTCCATGCAAAAATCTGCTGCAGGAATAAGCCCTCACAGAAAACCTCTACTAGGGCAGAGCAGAGAGGAAATGTGGGGTTGGAGGCCCCATACAGAGTGCCCAGTGGAGAACTGCCTAATGGAGCTATGAGAAGGGGACCACTGTCCTACAGATGGAAGAATGGTAGATTCACTGGCAGCTTGCAGCCTGTGCCTGGAAAAGCCACAGACACTCAACAACCTGTGAGAGCAGCCACTGGGACTGAAACCTACAAAGCCACAAGAGTGGAGCTGCCCAAGGCCTTGGGAGGCCACCTCTTGCACCAGTGTGCCCTGGATATGGAAAATAGAGTCAAAGGAGATTGTTTTGGAGTTTTAAGATTTAAGGACTACTCTGCTGGGTTTTGAAATTGCATGGGACCTGTAGCCCCTTTCTTTTGACCATTTGTTTTTTCAGAATGGGTGTGTTTGCCCAATGCAGACACCAACATTATATTTTGGAGGTAAATAACTTGCTTTTAATTTTACAGGCTTGTAGGTGGAAGAGACTTGCCTTGTCTCAGATGTGACCTTGGACTTTTTTTTTTTTTTTTTTTTTTTTATTATACTTTAAGTTTTAGGGTACATGTGCACATTGTGCAGGTTAGTTACATATGTATACATGTGCCATGCTGGTGCGCTGCACCCACTAACTCGTCATCTAGCCTTAGGTATATCTCCCAATGCTAGAAAGAGTTAAGACTTTGGGAGACTGTTGGGAAGGCATGATTGTATTTTGCAATGTGAGGAGAACATGAGATTTCGGAGGGGCCAGGGGCAGAATGATACAGTTTGGATATTTGTCCCTGTTCAAATCTCATGTTTAATTGTAATCCCCAGTGCAGGAGGTGAGGCCTTGTGGGAGATGTTTGTGTCGTGGGGGCAGATCTCTCATGGTAGATTAGTCTGTTCTCATACTGCTAATAAAGACAAACCCAAGATTGGGTAATTTTTAAAGAAAAGAGGCTTAATTGACTCACAGTTCCAAATGGCTAGGGAGGCCTCACAATCATGGCAGAAGGCAAAGGAGGAGCAAAGTCACGTCTTGCCTGGTGACAGGCAAGAGAGAGCATGTGCAGGGGAACTCCCCTTTATAAAACCATCAGATCTCATGAGACTTATTCACTATCACGAGAACAGCATGGGAAAGACCTGCCCCCATGATTCAATTGCCGCCCACCAGATCCCTCCCATGACACGGAATTATGGGAGCTACAATTCAAAATGAGATTTGGGTGGGGACACAGCCAAACTATATCACATGGTTTGGCGCTATCTTCATGATAGTGAGTTCTTGCAAGATCTGATTGTTTAAAGGTGTTAGCAGCAGCCCCCACACCACCCACTCTCCTGTTTGCTTCTGCTTTCACCGTGTGATGTGCCTGTTATCCCTTTGCCTTCTGCCATAACTGAATGCTGCCTGAGGCTTTACCAGAAGCCAAGCCAAAACCATGCATTTTGTAAATCCTGCAGAATCATGAGCCAATTAAACATCTTTTCTTTATAAATTACCCAGCCTCAGGTATTTATTTATAGCAATGCAAGAAGGAAATAATCAGGAATGTTTATACACTGTTGCTGGGAATGCAAACTAGTTAAGACATTGTAGAAAGCAGTTTTGAGATTTCTCAAAGAACTCAGAACTACCATTCAACCTAGCAATTCCACTACTAGGTATATACGCAGAGGAAAATAATTCATTCTATCAAAAAGACACATGTACTTGTATGTTCATTGCAGTGCTATTCACAATAGCAAAGACATGGAATCGATCTAGGTGCCCCTCAACAGTGGACTGGATAAAGGAAATATGGTACATATACCATGGAATACTATGCAACCATAAAAACAAATGAAGTGCTTTTCAGCAACATGGATGGAGCTGGAGACCATTATCCTAAGTAAACTAATGCAAGAACAGAAAATCAAACACCGCATGTACTCAGTTTAAGTGAGAGTTAAATATTGAATACACATAGACATAAACATGGGAACAACAGACATTGGAGACTACTAGACAGGGCAGAGATGATGCAGGGCAAGGGCTGAAAAGCCACCTATTGGGTACTGTGCTCATTACCTCCGTGACAGGATCATTTGTACCCCAAACCTTAGCATTACACAATATACCTATGTAAGAAATCTGTATATGTACCCTTTAATTTATAATAAAAGGTGAAATTATTAAAAAATACATACATACATACATACATTTATAATAACATTTGTGTGGAAGGTGGCATTTTAATTCCTCATAATATTTTATCCTCTGATGTTACATCTACGAATATATTCTGCTGCATGTCAACAGGAACTTTAAGGTTGCTAATTGGCTGATCTTAAAATAGAGAGGTTATTCACCATTATCCAGTTGGACCTGATGTAATCAAATAGACCCTTAAAAGTGGAAGAGAGAGGCAGAAGAGAAAGAGTGATGAAATGGAAAAAGGGCAAAAGATTCAAAGTATGAGAGGGACTTGTTCCACCATTGCTGGCTTTGAAGTAAAAGAGGGCAAAAATCAAGGAAGGCAGGCAGCTTCTAGAAGCTGTCAATGATCCTTAGATGACAGCTAGCATGGAAACAGACACCCTGTTTCTACAACTACATAGAACTGAATTATGCCAAATATATATATATATGTGTGTGTGTGTGTGTGTGTGTGTGTGTGTATAGAGACAGAGAGAGAGAGATTGAGAGTCTGTCTCTGTTGCTCTGATTGGAGTGCAGTGGCATGATCATGGCTCATTGTAACCTCTGCCTTCTGGGTTCAAGCAATCCTCCTGCCTCAGCCTCCCAAATAAAGTAGCTGGGACAACATGCATGTGGCACCACACCCAGCTAATTTTTAAATTTTTTGTAGAGATGAGGTCTCACTATATGCTCAGGCTGGTCTCAAACTCCTAGGATCAAACAACAATCCTCTTGCCTTGGCCTATCAAAATGCTGAGATTACAGGCATGAGCCACTGTGCCCAGTCCAAATGATATAAATTATCCTGGAAATAGATTGTTCTCCAGAGCCTCCAAAGAGGAACACACCCCTGTAGACATTTTGATTTTGGTCCTTTGAAACTTAGAGAAAAAAGCTGAGCCTTCCAGACTCTGACCTAGAAAACTGCAGTGTTGATAAATGGCTGTTGTTTTAAGCTGCTAAATTTGTGGTAAATTGTTACACAGCAATATTAAGCTAATACAAGTAGCTCTTAATGGTTTTTTAAGAGAATTGGTGGATTACTTTTGTCTAGGCACCCTAGTCCCTAAATGCTTTCTCCTTCTTGACAAGAATCAGTACTACACATAGATGGCCATAATAAAGAAAGCATGGTGATTTAATTTCTGGCAGATAGATTAAAACAACAGAAGACAAACTGGGTCCCTGACAGTTTTTTTCTACCTCTAAGAACTGCTAGTCAAAGTATAATTTTTCCCCCAAGCAGATGAGGATGAGCCCAGTTTCTTAGGTGAAGAACAGATTGCCCATTTTATTTCCTCATGCCCCTTCTTTGTTATCAACATCTGCCAACCACTTTGTGTATTCATTCTAACACCTCATTCTCAATCTTGGCTAGGAATCTTCTCTTTCATCTCCCAGCGGGTCTAAAGAAGATGAGAGGAAGAATTTGGTCTTGCTCCCATTACACTCCATCTTGTGAGAATGTGTCACTGGGAAATAGCCCAGTTAGGCAGAGATTAAAAATACTGATTATAATCTGAATCCAGAAAATAGAAAGTAATGGGATGGATAGATTCAATAGGATGGCTATGGATATTAATTAGGATTAAATAGAGGATACACATGGTACACATATTTGTTCCATCATTTGAGCAGTCATATGAATTACATATTAATATATTTTTTGTTTTTAATATTTATTTTAATTTTTATAACTAATATACTTAATTTTATTATGGTTTTA
Organism: Homo sapiens; assembly: GCF_000001405.40. NCBI lineage: Eukaryota > Metazoa > Chordata > Mammalia > Primates > Hominidae > Homo > Homo sapiens. The sequence continues at coordinate 29,438,970 of NC_000011.10, read as the reverse complement.
AATTTACAAAAAATTGGGCATTGGTACAGAGTACCATATATATCATGCCTCCCTCCCCACCAACACAGTTTCCCCTATTATTACATTCCCCTATTATTACTTACGTTAGTGTGGAGTATTTGTTACAAATAATAAATCAATATTGATATATTATTATCAACTAAGCCCACAATTTAAGTTCTATTATTGTGTTCTACAGTTCTATATATTTTGACAAATGCACAATATTATCTATCCACCACTATAGTATCATATAGAACTATAATCTTTTACAGAATACAGTATCATATAAAATGATATCATATAGTATCACACGCTTTGGATCCCCTATGCTTCACTTATTCATCCCTTCTCTTCCTCTCACTGAAACCCGTAGAATCACCAATCCTTTAACTTTCTTTATAATTTTGCCTTTCCCAAAATGCCATGTAGCCTTTTCAGGTTGGCTTCTTCCTTAAATGGCAATATGCATTTAAGGGTCCTTCCTGTCTTTTCACAGCTTAGTATTTCGTTTCTTTTTATCATTGGGTAATATCCCACTGTATGGCCATATCACAGCTTGTTTACCCATTTACCTATTGAAAGACATCTTGGTTCCTTCCAGTTTGAGCTTATTATGAATAAAGCTGGTATAAGTATTCATGTGAAGGCTTTTGTGTGGATGATATCTCCACTTTTCAAAGATGGGGTTATATGTCTGGAGGAGATGTTTCATGTTTCTTTTTCACTGAAGGGAATTTGGAATTTTAGAGGTGTGGTACTGCTGGCTTCTTTTCACTCCTTCCATCCCTCAGCCCCCCTAGAAATAGAAGAACTTATTTAAAATGTCCATATATGCACATGATTGACATCTCTTCCCTCTTCTTCCTCTTTAGCAAGGGTGTTCTTTCTGTGTGAGCAAGTCCACCAGCATTAGCAGACTTTTAGCTATGTCCTAAAACCTGACCTCTGTTAGCGATAAAGGTCATCTTATGCTATCAACATTTACATTTAATTATTTATTCAACTTCTTCAAAACCTAAGCAGGGAAGAGGAATACTATTTACCATGGGAATCTTCAGAAACTCCCACATAAATAAATCTCATCTGGCAAGTAGCAGAGCCAAAAATTAAATCTGAATTGGTTGGAATCTTAAATCTCTTCTTGCTACCACATCATATTTTTCCAAAGCACTTTTCACACTAGCTCCCCTAGTATTTATCATTACTCCTGGGGGGAAATGAATTTTGATATTCAAATAAACCTTCTAAAATTTAATTAGATAAAGTAACGCTGTTTTTTTTTCCAGCATGTTTACTCTCTAAGAAAATGGATATAATGTGCAATGTTGCCTAAATTTACATGGACATGGAACTCATTTAGAGAGTATTTCATGGGACAAATATTTTAGTTTCTGAATTTTTAGATCATTATTTCCAAGGCCCATCCATTTCAGAATGGTTGTTCACAATACCATTTCTGTGATACTTTAGCCATCTCATCTACAAAAACTCTTTAGAGCAGTATTTCTTATAGCATACGTCACAAAGCATCCTTCTATAAAATGGAGATACACGGTATGCAGATAAGGGAGTGTATTAGGCCATTCTTGCATTATTATAGGGAAACAGCAGAGACCGGGTAATTTAAAAAGAAGAGAAGTTTAATTGGCTCACAGTTCTGTGGGCTGTACTAGCATAACAAGGGCATCTGCTCATTTTCTGTGGAGGCCTCGGGGAGCTTTTACTCATGGTAGAAGGCGAAGTAGGAGCTTGCACATCACATGGCACTCCTTCACATCTCTTGTAGGAGTGAGGAGGGAGGAGGTGCCAAACAGTTAACCAGATCTCATGAGAACTCACTCACTGTTGCAAGTACAGTGCCAAGCCATGAGGTGTCTGCCCCCATGACCCAAACACCTCCCACCAGGCCCCACTCCCAAAATGGGGGATTACAATTCAACATGGGATTTGAGTGGGGACAAATATTCAAACTATATCATGGAGTCAATGGTAAAAAATGTTCAACAAAGTTAATGATACTTCCTTATTGCAGGACTTCTCAGAGTCTTTGTTAAGCTACTCTGGTATTTCAAATTCCTGTAAGAGAACCATAGAATAAACATTTGTCAACAATATTTCAAACTTTTTTCTTACAAAATGATCTCATGTTTTGTCAGAAACAATTTGAAAAACGCTTCTTTATAGCAAAATTACAATTTCTCCTAGTAGTATCATATATTCTCATCTCGTTGCAAAAGAGAAATAAATCGAAACTCTCAGTTATAGTGGCTTTTTTAAAAAGTGTACCATGGAGACAATTTGACCTTGATTGCAGATGATCCTGTGCTTAAACTATTCCTCTTAAAGAACCACTTTGGACTTGGAAAGTTCTTCTGCCTCCAGGGATGTAATGAAATGAAAGTTTCAATGGAAGGTCTGTGTTGCCAGATATGCTGAGAGCAGCAATGTGGGGGTGACGCTCTACCCTCTTTTGAGGAGCCTTTGTAATTGAGAGGTCAGAAGTAAATGGAAGCAAAAGCATCATTTTACAGCCCTATTGATATATTCTAGTCTTCCTCTTTACTGTTTCCATCCTAAGTGAATTGTAAATTTATTTATAGATGCTACTGGGCACTTTACAAGGTATTTCACTGCTTGCCAGTATCATTTTTTAACAACTGGCATTGAGGAGCTGGTTTAATAAAGCCCAGCATTAATTTTTTTTAAGTTAATTCATTTAGGTCATATCTGTAATAAGCAAAGGTTTTTGAACCTTATAAAAAGTATTCTCCCTTTTCAAATAATAATTATCTGTAGCATGTCAGAGTGATTCTTAAGAGGTAGAAAGGGAATGAATTAGAACTTAGTTTTCAACATTTGTGTTTAACACTTTGCAGGCATGTTTATTATCAATATATAGTATACCACAAGCATTTTCAGCATCAATTATTTGTGAGTGAAGTCAAAGGTCCATGATGTTCTGCATTCTGTAATTTTGCTGAAGCAGTAGGTTAAATTACTTGTAGAGAGACTGGTGTGTGGAGGCAAGTCACTTAGGTCATGCATATGACACCCCAGTATCTCCTCCCTATCTCTGGCTAGCAATGGGGTTGTGTGATGAGGCTTAATAAATGGTCCCCCAAATATATCTGCAACCCAATCCCTGGAACTTGGGAAGGTTACTTGATACAGCAAAGAGGACTTTGAATGTGTGTGTGATTAAGAATCTTGAGATGTGGGAAAATACTCCGGATTATCTGGTTTAGCTCACTGTAATCACAAGGATCCTTATAAAAAGGAGGCAGGAGGAGTCAGAGGCAGAGGAGAAGGTGATGTAATGACTGAAGGAGAGACTGGACTGCTGCACTTTGGAGTCACTGCCAAGAAATACAGGCAGCCACTAGAAGTTGAAAAGTCAAGAAAACAAATTCTTCCTGCCTAGAATCCAGAATAAATTAGCTCTAACTACACCTTAACTTTAACCTAGTAAAAATGACTTCAGACTTCTGACTTCTGCAACTGTAAGAGAATAAATAAGCATTGTTTTAAGCCACTACATTTGTGGTAATTTGTTTAGCAGCCACAACAAACCAAGGCAAAAAGGCAGTTGAATGAATGGACAGTCTCTGGACCAGTACTGCTAGAGATGAGGTCCTGGCTCCAGTATATACTAGCTTCAGACCTGGGAGATTTTGGCAGTAGCCCTTACTCTCATTTGCTGCATTGACTGTAATATTTTAGAAAATGTCAGTATGAACTCCAATCACAGAGAAGTTTTAATAATTAGTATACTGGAAATATAAAGTATTTAGCCCTGGGCTTAGCACAGAGTAAGGACTCAAATGTTACTTGTTGTCATTGCTAAGAGGCTATAAATAACATTATTTTGTTGTTAAATGGTTACTGAGAGAGAAAAAAACATTAAGACCAAAAATGCTTGTAATATGAGGATTTTCACGGAAAAATAAGTGCTTTTAAATGGCTGGATTCAATGAAGACCAAAGATCCATAGGGAAATCCTGTTTCTCCCTGTGATGTTGGTGTACCCTTTTAACCTTTCATGAAAAATCCAATTATATCCATACTTCATTTGAAATATATGCACTGTGGTGAATACATGATCTATTTCTGGCCTAAGTAACACATTTTAGTGAGGAAAGATAATAAGCAAGTAAACAAACAAACAGACAAGATAATTCAAAGAGTGGTAATTGCTGAAATGGAAACAAATTAGGCTAATGTAAAGAAAGTGTCCATTGGCACCACAGATGGTCTAGGCAGGTAGGACTTCCATAAGCTGAGACTTGAAGGATGAAAAGAGGCCAGGCATTGGTAGTATTGGAGCCTTCCAGACAGAGGGAAGAACCAACTTAAAGCAGGAGGGATTGGGGTGTGTGTGTGTGTGTTTGTAGGTTGGGAGATGCTCAGTGTTGCTGGAGCAGAGGAGTGAATGTGTAAACTGTAAGGGTAGAAAGCCACGGGATTATGAAAACATGCATAGATCATGGCATAGAGTTGGAATTTTTTTAAGGGCAATGAGAATATTTTGGAGGGTGTCTTAGTCCATTTAGTGTTGTTATAAAGGAATAACTGAGGCTAGGTAATGTATTAGGTTGGTGCAAAAGTAATTGCTGTTTTTATCATTGAAAGTAATGGCAAAAACTGCGATTAATTTTGCACCAAACTGAAATAAAGAGGCTTATTGGCCCATGATTCTGCTGGCTGGAGAACGGAAGATCTGGTGAGGGTGTCAGGCTGCTTCCATTCATGAAAGAAGGTGAAGGAGAGCCAGTTCGGAGAGACCACATGACAAGAGAGGAAATAAGACAGAGAAGTGGGAGGTACTAGGCTCTTTTTAACAAGCTCTCACTGGAAGTAATAGAGCTAGAACTCATTCACTCCTTCCAACCCATCTGTTCATGAGGGGGGATCCACTCCCATGTCCCAAAAACCTCTGATTAGACCCCACATCCAACACTAGGATCAAATTGCAACATGAGATTTTGAGGGAACAAATATGCACGCTATAGCGGAGAGTTTTAAACCACAGAGTAGTATTGGTATTTTTTTTTTTTTTTTTTTTTTTTTGAGACAGAATCTCTCTGTCGCCCAGGCTGGAGTGCAGTGGCACAATCTCGGCTCACTGCAGGCTCCGCCCCGCGGGGTTCACGCCATTCTCTTGCCTCAGCCTCCAGAGTAGCTGGGACTACAGGCACCCGCCACCTCGCCTGGCTAATTCTTTGTATTTTTTTTTAGTAAAGACGGGGTTTCACCGTGTTAGCCAGGATGGTCTTGATCTCCTGACCTCGTGATCCGCCCGCCTCGGCCTCCCAAAGTGCTGGGATTACAGGAGTGAGCCACCGCACCCGGCCGTATTGGTATTATTTATATTATATTTGAAACAATCACTCTAGTTAAAATGCAGAACATAGATTGTAGAGGCGCAAAAAGAGAAATAGGAAGTCCAATTAGTGGGTTTTGAGTTCATTCCAGCAAGAGAAAGCGATGGTAGCAGTGAAGACAGACATAAATGGAAATTTTAGCAATGGGTTTGGAAGGTAAAGTCAAAGCATTTGTGACGGGTGGGTTGTAGAATAGGAGGGAAAGAAGCAATCAATTTATGTCTACTAGATATTTGGATTAAGAAACGTGGGAAATAATATTTTCATTTTCTGAGATGGCAAAAGCTTTGAAGGTGTAAGGGTTGTGAGAGAGAAATTGAGTTTTGTTTGGCTGTGTTTAGGTGTAAGGTACTTATTAGACATCCAAGTTGAAATATTGAGCTGGTAGTTGTATACACATGTTTAGAGTTCATAGAATTAAGATATGTAATAAATAATAAAAATTTAGACCTTGTGATAATGTATTTCATAAGATAGTGATATGCTGAGGTGAGTTTGAAGTGGTTTGTTTTCGTTACTGTGTGCTTTAGCTTTGTTTTTTAGTTGTGTTTAATGTGGTGGTGGTATGGTAGTAGTATTCTCCAAAATGATTCCTACTCAAGCAAAATATCTTTTTGGAAACCAGAGAACTAAGGAAAAGATAAGTATTATTAAATTCCTGCTGCCACCTAGTGGTACCATCCAAAATTAAAAAGAGAAAAACTGGGAAACAATCTGGACTGTCGGTGGGACTCGATGGTACAGTTACTTTATCCAACCCTAGCTCATTTTACAGATGAGAAAAGAAAGACCCAGAGAAAGAAAGAAAGTGAATAGCCCCAGATCTCATAGCTACTCAAGAGTTGCTTAAATCTATTTTAATAATTTCTACACTGATCTAAAACTAGCTTTATCCAAATGGATTAATATTTGTTTCAAACTTTATTTCACAATTTACTTATTTTTGCAGCCATTTAGAAATATCTTTCATAACTGGTCTTTAAAAACATTCCCATATGTTTTCCCAACTCTCAATAACTAAAAGGAAGTCGATTTTGTTATTATTAGAGGATGCACTGAGAAAATAGAAGTATGAAATTAAGATATATTAATCGACACCTTGAATCAATGTTTAGCACCAGGCAACATACTTTGCTAAATATGTCTTAGTCCAGCAGTCCCCAACCTTTTCTGGTACCAGGGACAGGTTTTGTGGGAGACAATTTTTCCATGCACCAGGGGCGGGGAGATAGAGGGATGGTTTAGGGATGATTCAAGCGTGTTACATTTATTATGCACTTTATTTCTATTATTATTGCATTGTAAGATATAATGCAATAATGAAACAATTCACCATAATCTTGAATCAGCGGTAGCCCTGAGCTTGTTTTCCTGCAACTAGAAGTTCCCATTTGGGGGTGATGGGAGACTGACGGATCATCAGGCATTAGATTTTCGTAAGGATTGGGCAACCTCACATGCACAGTACACAATAGGGATCATGCTCCTATGAGAATCTAATGCCACCATTTATGTGACATGAGGCAGAGCTCAGGTGGTAATGCAGCCATGGGGAGTAGCTGTAAATAAAGATGAAGCTTCACTCATGCTCATCTCTTGCTGTGCCACTGGGTTCCTAAAAAGCTAGGACCAGTGCTAGTTCATTGCCCAGGGGTTGGGGGTCCCCTGTCTTAGTCAACCCTGTGGAAGGGGACAGCTGTGACTGAGGAAGTCTTACAGGCTGTACCAAATAGCAGCAAAGAACTCAGAATCTGGAGACAATAATATCCAGGATTTGAATTATAGGCATTGCCTAACAGTCTTGTGACCTTGAACAAGTTAACCTCCCTATGTATAGTTTTCTTATCTCTATAAAAAGTCAACCACGTGTGCTCACAGTAAGAAAATTTAAGTGATTTTAAAAATGAATTAAAGAGTCTCTTTTAAAATATAGGTGTTATTGGCTGGGTGCAGTGGCTCACGCCTGTAATCCCAGCACTTTGGGAGGCCAAGGCTGGCGGATCACTTGAGGTCGGGAGTTCGAGACCAGCCTGACCAACATGGAGAAACCCTGTCTCTACTAAAAAATACAAAATTAGCCAGGTGTGGTGGCGCATGCCTGTAATCCCAGCTACTCAGGAGGCTGAAGCAGGAGAATTGCTTGAACCTGGGAGGTGGAGGTTGCAGTGAGCCGAGATTGCGTCATTGCACTCCAGCCTGGGCAACAAGAGTGAAAACTCCATCTCAAAATCATAACAATAATAATACAGGTATTATTGTTATTTGGGCATGGCAAGGACAACAGTTCAGGAGACGATTACCTTTAAAAAGATAGCTTGTTATAGTCACAGATCACAAGAGGAAGCAGTATGACACACGACTGGGGCCACATGAGGAAGCACCAGGGTCATTTGGGAGGCAGAGGGAGCAAGGAGAAAATGTTGGCAAGAGTCTTTATTCTGGTCTCCCCAGGAAGAAACAGGCAAGGCAGGGTGATCAGGCTTAGGATTGTCCATTTTAAATAATTGTGGGGCGCTCCAGGGCATAGCGCCTGTCCCTAGTTTTCTGGTATCTGATCCTGAGGTGATCAGGACAGGAGAAGAGTGGCCTAGTTTGTAAGAGCAGCATAAAGAGGTGATTGCAGTTTGGATTCTGGATTGGTTGGTTTGCATGTGAAAGGCACGCTCCCAGGTGAGTTGTTCACTATTTCTAGAAATCGTCTAGCCTTGCGAGGGGCAGTATCTTAGGGGCCAGTATGGCATCAGATGTCAAAGCATCAGAAACATGTGATTAATGTAAGGTCTGTCTCATGGAAACCCAGAATAAATTGTGGCCATAATCATGACAATAATGATAATATAAAGAAATATTTGTATGATGCCTGCTCCCCAAAATATCAGTCTTTCCTGGACACACAAAAATGAACACGAATTTACACTGATGTAGTAAATATGAGAGTGGAGAGTCATACAAGGTGTTGTGGGTGTGCAGCTGGGAAAAAGGGAGAGATGGATTTAGTTTGGGGAAGGAAGGCTAAAAGAAGAATGCATGAAGATAATTCATAAATTGGTCCTTAGGGAATGGGTACGAACGAACACAATGAATAAAATTTGGTTTCAGGGTGAAGAAAGACATTATAGAAGGAGGTAATAATGCACAATGGCAAGGAGGGGAGAGTATATACAATATGAAGAGTGACCTGGAATTCACTATGGCTTGGAGAGAGTTTTACAATTAAAATAATGTTGTTTTTTATAATAATGAGGAAACTATAGAGGAAAATAGATTACGTTTACCAAATACTTACTCTGTGCTGAACCTTTGACCTGTACCATCTCATGTAATCCTTAAAAAAATCTTAATGAGGACAGTACTTTTGGTATCTCTCTTCACAGAAAAGAAAATTATCCTTTAGTAAGTTTCAGTGTTCTGAGACAGCAGTGGTGGAAGCTGCAAGACCTCTTGAGCTTTAGGCTCAGAAATCGCACTGTGTCACTGTGTCATCTTCTATTGGTCAAAGTAGAGTCACAGAGCCACCCCAAATTCAAAGGCTAAGGAAATGAAGCCCATCTGTTAATGAAAGTTACTGCAAAAAAATTGTGGCCATATTTTTTACTTACTACCAAAATAAGTCTATTATTTGCTCTCATTCACTGAAAGTAGGATCTCAAAACCAAATATAATAGGAAAATCAGGTACCAAATTCCCCTAGAATCCCTAAAGAGATAAAGAAGCATCCTAAGGAACCCACCGCATGTGGGATTATGTTTAATCCATTATAATGAACCCCTAAGGATAGAATAACTCAGTTTTTTATGTGTCATCATAATCATCATGACAAAATTATGAGGTAAGGATTATCAAGTTATTTTGCATAAGATAAAAATCTCAAATAGGTTTGAAATTATTCTTGAAGTTGCACAGCAGTCAAGTGGTTGAGCCAGGATCAGAAGCTCGATGTATATGAATCCATCGTGCTTACTTTTACCACTGCTCATAGGACAGCGTGGTGCAATAAGTAGTGAGGTTACAGGGAAGGTATTTGGGAAAGTGAATTCCAGCCTGGAGCACAGCGGAGCTGTATCTTTGACAGTAGGAAATGGGGGCCTGCAGCCAGGAGAGAGTTTTGTGATAGATATGTCTATTTTATCACTGTCAACATAACAGCAATATTCAAATTGCAGGAGTATATAAGCTTCCCAGAAATAAGTGTGGAGAGGAAGTGTAGGAAAAAGATAAGAAAAGAAAGTTAAAGAGGATACAAGGAGATTAGTTTAAAAAGGAGGAAAAGAGATAACAGAAGAAATTAGGGAATAGAAGAGAAAAGAGAATAGAAAAAGGTAACAGCTGAATGAGGGGGAAAAATGCCCTCATCAGTTAATGCAGGGAGGTACAGCAGAATGAGGAAGGTGATGACAGTAGTTCATTTAAAAAAAAAAAAAACATCAAAAAGTGGGCGAAGGATATGAACAGATACTTCTCAAAAGAAGACATTTATGCAGCCAAAAGACATATGAAAAAATATTCATCATCACTGGCCATCAGAGAAATGCAAATCAAAACCACAATGAGATACCATCTCACACCAGTTAGAATGGCGATCATTTAAAAGTCAGGAAACAACAGGTGCTGGAGAGGATGTGGAGAAATAGGAACGATTTTACACTGTTGGTGGGACTGTAAACTAGTTCAACCATTGTGGAAGTCAATGTGGCGATTCCTCAGGGATCTAGAACTAGAAATACCATTTGACCCAGCCATCCCATTACTGGGTATATACCCAAAGGATTATAAATCATGCTGCTATAAAGACACATGCACACGTATGTTTATTGCGGCACTATTCACAATAGCAAAGACTTGGAACCAACCCTAATGTCCATCAATGATAGACTGGATTAAGAAAATGTGGCACATATACACCATGGAATACTATGCGGCCATAAAAAATGATGAGTTCATGTCCTTTGTAGGGACATGGATGAAGCTGGAAACCATCATTCTGAGCAAACTATCACAAGGACAGAAAACCAAACACCGCATGTTCTCACTCATAGATGGGAATTGAACAATGAGAACACTTGGACTTAGGATGGGACAACACACACTGGGGCCTGTCATGGGGTGGGGGGAGGGGGTATGGATAGCATTAGGAGATATACGTATTGTAAATGACAAGTTAATGGGTGCAGCACACCAACATGGCACATGTATACATTTGTAACAAACCTGCACATTGTGCAGATGTATCCTACAACTTAAAGTATAATAATAAAAAAAAAACACACACAACTGTGGTTAAATAAAAAAAAGAAGTTTCATAGAAGAGTGTTTATAGGTCTCTTTATAGCATTTAAACTCTTGAGTCTCTGAATTTTAGAAAATAATGTGAAGTTGAGCCCTATATTCTCACAAAAGCTTATACATAAAGACTCAAGGATGTATATTAACCATTCCAGGACTTAAGTTGAGAAGAACCAAAAAAGAAAGAAAAAAATGTTTGCCATTAGCTGTAGACAAAGAGTTTTTAAGGCTGTGTCTCCACTGGAACCATGAAGAAGATAAGATAATACTTACTTTTTTCCTCTTTAAAGAATAATTTTCTGCAATTGCATTTGGGATTAAGTTAAAAAATAAAAAATAAAGAACAATTTCTACCTTAACTCTCAAATTTTGATTTGTATGAGAAAGAAACTGTTTGTAATTAGACAGTAATTACAAGCTAGCTGAAGGTCACTATTAGAAATTATCTCATGAGAAAAGAATAGTTCATGGCATTTATAGTTTATACTATGCTTTATCATATTATACTTTCCGTCTCCTTTTTTCTGTCCCATATACCTTAACGTGCATTACTTTTGAAGGCAAGAATTGTGTCCGTGTTGCTGTATCTCTAGCATTTGTAAATAAATGTTAAATAGATTAATAGGAACAAATAAGATTCATATACACATTTCTTGTTGGTAAATAAATGGCTTATCTAGGAAGATCTAATTTTCTAAACTAGGCAGTAGTGTCATCTAGCTACTAAGATAAGCTACGTTTATCTTGTGAGCGAGACTGGCACACATTTAGGTAAGCCGTAACCCCTATAAATCCCAGGGACACTAATGCCACAGCCTTGGTACTATTAAATTCAAAGAAGCAGTTCCGAGGAAACAGGTAGTTAAGGGTTCTTCTATCATTATAGTCATCACTGACAAACTGTTAAAGGGCATCCAATTCCTAGTCCAAGATAATGTCCTAAAATTTCTCTATCCCTTATTCATCACTCTAAAACTTTATGCGCAGCTGCTTGAAATCCTCTTTATCTTCACTCTATCCCTCCTTCGAACTCTCTTTAGCACTTGAACAAGTATTCCTCTTTTATACTTTCTTCAAAAGTCATGAAACGCCACTTTCTTACAAGTGACCTGTGGGAGGCAGTTATGCTTCTGTCCTCTGTGTGCCACCTATTTTGAATGTTTGTTCTTTTGCTCTGATAACTTTTTCTACAATAAATCCTTACGAGTAATTCCTAATGGATACAAATGATCACATAGGTACATTATTTTAATTCATAAAAGTAAAAGTTTTGCGATGGGTGTAAGAAGCAAATCCATTTCTCAACCCTCATATTCTACCATATTCCCTCATTCTACAAATACATTTGACATCTGTGTGGCAGACATGTTTCTAAATGCTAGGGATATCCCAGTAAATAAAATAAACAGATATCCATTCCCTTGTTCACCTTTGATCTTGTTAAGGCAAAGAGATAATAAACCAATCACATTATTTGGTACACAAAGGAGATGGTAAGTGCACCAACCTGCTACCGTCTGCTTATCTTGGTTTTACCATGCATTACAGGGAGCTACGTTACTCAAGTTCCATGGCCTTCTGGTCTTTAGGTGGGTTTACCCAATGTGAAACAAAGGAGCTCAGGAGTACAGAAACTGGAGTATTTCTCCTTCTACCTCTCTGTGATTCTGGGGACATCCAGCCAAACGGTCCCTCTTCTATGGTTCCAGTAGAGGTTTAGCTGAACAACCTCCACTATGGTTTTAGCTCCCACCAGAAGACCTGGATTCAGGGTTCCGGTAACATCATTCCCTTGCTAGGCCTTCTGGTCCTATGAGGTTGTTGTAGAAGTTTCTTGCTGTTGCTAATGCCCAGGCTGCTTCTCCAACCTCTTTTTGGCTTCTCAGCTCTTCTACAGCTTAGTCATCAATTCCTTATATTAAATGTTCTCTGTTTTTAAAATATGGTGTGACTTATTTTCTTATCTGAATCATACAAAGGCATTGGTTTTGGGAGGGCTGGATAGTGGCATGCAGTTTTAAACAGGGTTGGTCAGAGTAGGCTTCACAGGGAAATTAATAGTATAACAGGGGCTTGAAGGATATGTGGTAGTGAGGCACGTTGACTATTTGAGAGAGAAATTCCTGGAAGATGGAAAAGGCTTACAAAGTTTTTAAGGAGTTTCATCTTTGGTATATACTTGTACAGTGAGGAGGCCAGGGTGGCCATGCAGTGCTGAGTTAGAATGGTAGGTGAGATCTGAGAGATAATAGGAAGTCAGGTCTAATAGGGTCTCACAGACTATTTTAAGAACTTTGGCTTTTATTCTCAGTGCCATGGAGGAAGACTGCATTGTTCTGAACAGAAAAATGACATGACCCTGTTACTCTTTATATAATTATCTTGGCCATTGTGCTGAGAATAGACTATAGATGAGCAAAGGTGAAGGTAGGTAAACCAGTTAGAAATAAATTGCAGTAATCCATGAAAGCAGTGACTTAGGCTGGAAACGTGTGAAGTCATGTGATTCTGGATATACAATTTAAGTGGAGGACGATCTACTGAACCAAATGTGTAGTGTGAGAAAAAGTAAGAAGGCAATGATTTCTGATCTAAGCAAATAAATAGAATTGTCTACCATTAAGTGACATGAGGAAAACATATGTGGAGTAAATCTGAACGTGGGGTATAAAGTTAAGAGTTTTGTTTTGGGCATGATAGTTAATACAGCAGTTTAGATTTCAGGGGCAACCACCTGACTCTATATATTATAATTTCAGAGAAGAAAACCTGGCTGGGAATTATTAGCATGTAAATAGTATTTAAAGCCATGACACTGGGGATGATTTCATCCTAGCCGTGAGTGTAGAGAGAGAGGAGATAAGGTCTAGGAATTGAGCCTTGGGTTACATCAAAGCTAAAATATCAGAGAAAGAAGAAAAACCTGCAAAATAGATTGAAAAGAAACAAATGAGTAGGAAGGAGTGTGATATCCTAGGAGCTAAACAGACAAATAGTTTTTAGAAGAAGGGAGTAATAAACTGTGTGAAACGCTGATAATAGTTCAAGAAAAATGAGAATATGTGATTAGACTTAGTATATGGAGACTATTGGTGATGTCAGTAAGAGCAGTTTCAGTGGGGCAGTGGAGAGAGTTTAAATGAAGTGGATTGAAATAAATGGAAGGAAAAACATGATAGAAAATATTTTTGAGAGAAGTTTTTTGATAGATGGAAATAGAAAAATGAAATGGTAGTTGGAGGCCAAGTGAGGTCAGGGGACTTTATTTTTAAAATAGAAGAAGTAGCAGTATGTTTAAATGCTGATGTAATCATTCAATAAAGAAAGAAATGATGATATGGAAGAGAGAGGGGAACATTTTTTAAACTTTTCATTTTTATAGATTTAGGGGTACAAATTTGATATGGTTTGGAGGTTCCCCTTCCAAACCTCATGTTGAGATGTGATTCCCAGTGTTGGAGGAGGGGCTTGGTGGGAAGTGTTTGGGTCATGGGGGTTGACTCTTCATGAATAGCTTGGTGCTGTCTTTATGATAATGAGTGAGTTCTCACTCTATGTTTAAGTGGGATCTGGTTGTTTAAAAGTGTGTGGCACCTCCACACTTTCTCTCTTGCTCCTGCTCTCACCATGTGACATTGCTTTCTGCCATGATTATAAGCTCCCTAAGGCCTCACCATAAGCAGAGGCCAGCACCGGCTTCCTGGGCAGCCTGCAAAACCATGAGCAAATTAAACCTCTTTTCTTTATAAATTACCCAGCCTGAGGTATTTCTTTATAGCAATGCAAAAATGGCCTAAAACACAGTACAATTTTGTTACATGGGTGTTTTGCATGCTGCTGAAGTCTGGGCTGTTAGTGTTCCTATCACCCAAATAGTGTGCATTGTACCTGATAGGGAGTATTTCAGACCTCACTCCCTCCTGTCTGTATGTCCATGTGTACCCATTATTTAGCTGCTTTTTATAAGTGAGAACATGCAAGTTTTGACTTTCTGTATATGAGTAATTTCATTTAGAATAAGAGCCTCTAGTTCCATCCATTTGGAGAGAGGGGAACTTTTTTTTAATGAATTACAGTTATGCATCACTTACGGATGGACATGTATTCTAAGAGATGCATTATTAGGTGTTTTCATCATTGTACAAACCTCAGAGTGTACTTATACAAATCTAGATGGCATAGGCTACTACACACCTAGGCTATATAATATAGCCTATTGCTCCTGGGCTACAAACCTGTACAGCAGGTTACTGTACTGAATGTTGTAGGCAATTGCAACACAATGGTAAGTATTTGGGCATCTAAACAAATCTAAAATATGGAAAAAGTACAGTAAACATTAGGTAGTATGGTCTTATGAGACCACTGGTGTATATGGCCTGTCATTGAACAAAATGTCGTTATGCAGTACATGAATGTACTTAAATAGATGAAAGGGTGTTATATGGTGGAAATTTGGAGAATTGGCTTTAAATAGGAGCATGCATAATCTATGTGTATACATAGGAAAAAAGGGCAAGTGTATAAACACAAATGCTAGTATGTCAGTAGTTTCAGTAGTGGAAGTTTGTAGAAATTCTTCTCAAGTACTTCAATTTCCTTAATGAAGTAGAAACTCAAATGAGAATGGGGTTTGAAGAGAAAAAGGAATGCATAAAATAATCTTCTTACAAGTAAGTAAATGAGTGGACTGAAGAAATGTAGTTTTACTGTCAAGCAATAAAGGTTGGGCTTGAAATTTGTGGTAATGATTTTAACCTGAGTGGTCATACACATTTATCCAGCCACATCTAGCTATACTGATGCAGTTCTGAGTAGGTAAGGAATTGCATTTACCCAGGACTGTGATTTTAACAACAGAATAGAATGAACCTAGAGATAGAATCAAGGAGGTTGAAACAAATGCAAAGCAGTGTTTCAATTGGCTGACTATGAAATTCAATCTGTGGTAAAGATAAAATGAAGACACTAGGAGAGTGAGAAAAAGATGGGAGCATCAATGGAACTTACAAAGGAGGCTTTGTGAATATTTTGCCTCCCTTGATTTAACTGAAAACAAGGGAACTTTAAATTAATAGGAGGGTCTGATTTAAGAGCTCTAAATTGACACAGTATCTCAACATTAAAGATATTTTTAATCTATTAGAAACTAAGAGAGTTTTATTGTTTATATAGTCAGACAAAATGAAAACAAGACAAAAAGTAAGTAAATATAATAACATTTTATGTCATGTTTAGCTATTCAGAGTACTGGTCTCTGTAATCCTATTTTATTTTCCCAATGTCTTATCTCTGTATTGTAAAACTAAAGCTTAAAAGACTGGTGTCATTTAGGTTCCAGTAAGTTCTAGACATTCTCTAATCTGAATACTAAAATGGTGTAGACAGAGGGAATATGGCAAGACTCAATCCTGATTTCTTGTTTCTAAAGTGATCTTTGGAAACAAAATGTCCTTTGTGTGACTTTGAAAATTATCTTCATTCTTTCTCTGCCCTATTGTCGAAAGACATTTGAAGAACATTTTTAATGCCCATCTTCTGGGGGTTGTGTTGGTTCATCAGAAACCAACTTTTCCACCTACCTGTTTAATTCATTATATATGGTATTTATCCTGCTTTACATGGGAATTCTCAGACAAAAGTGGCTTAAAATAATTTTAAGTTGCTTTGAACTGTCAATCTAACTCTATTACTAATGGAAATGAAGAAAAGCCACAAAAGCAAGTATTTTGGAACATTTTTCAGCCAAAGCTGGTTAGCAATGAGAAACAATAATCTAAAAAAATACATAATTAAATAGAATAAGAAAATTACTAGAGTAGAGAACAAACTACTCGAATAGAATAGAAGCTTTAAAAACCAATCTTATTAGGACTTGTGTTTAGCTTTGTAAGTAAAAATGTGCTTAAGGCAAAAAAAAATTTAAAACAATGTATATGTATCTTTAGAATTTTACTTAAATATAAAGCATACAAATATGCATTTATTTGCCAGTCTTTTGCTGTAAAGCTAAAGTCTTTTATTTGAGTATGAGTCCACTGATTGCAGTGTCAATCATTTTTTCTAGTTTCAATTTTTTGTGAAGGATGTGAGAATGTTTTTTAATTGTGAAAAAATCTCTGAAGAAGTCTAAATTTTTACTATTATCTTTACTCTGCATTTTAGATTTCTTCCTTAAGACTAAATCAGTATCAACTTATTTTTTGCCAATAACTTTTATCAAGATGTCCTACTTAATTAGTGTAAAATAATATCCCTTAAAAATTTGCACATTTATTTCATGGTGTTTAAAAAGTACTATTTAATTAATTTAATTACATAATTAGAGCACTTACTATTGACCTAAACAGATAAAAAATGTGAATTTTTTAAATACACAGCTGGAGGTAGTTGAAGCAAGTAGCTTAAAAGAAGTCATTCATCACATTTTTACAGCAAACTGAGGGCATTGTTCGTAATGTTTTCCAGAAGGAATTAAGCATATTGGTTAATCCACAAGGCAGATGAAGTGCTTATAGTTTAAAATGGCTTCTGCTATTTTTGTACCCTTTGATATTTGTAAGGAAATTACATTAGAAAACTCAAGTTTCTGAAAATACCTATAGCAAAGACACCTGCTTGATAATTTTTTTTGTTTTTTTTTCCACTACTCAATCCCTACACTTTTTTTTTAAATTATTATTATTATACTTCAAGTTTTAGGGTACATGTGCACAATGTGCAGGTTAGTTACATACGTATACATGTGCCATGCTGCTGCGCTGCACCCACTAACTCGTCATCTAGCATTAGGTATATCTCCCAATGCTATTCCTCCCCGCTCCCCCCACCCCACAACAGTCCCCAGAGTGTGATATTCCCCTTCCTGTGTCCATGTGTTCTCATTGTTCAATTCCCACCTATGAGTGAGAATATGCGGTGTTTGGTTTTTTGTTCTTGCGATAGTTTACTGAGAATGATGATTTCCAATTTCATCCACGTGCCTACAAAGGACGTGAACTCATCATTTTTTATGGCTGCATAGTACTCCATGGTGTATATGTGCCACATTTTCTTAATCCAGTCTATCATTGTTGGACATTCGGGTTGGTTCCAAGTCTTTGCTATTGTGAATAATGCCGCAATAAACATACGTGTGCATGTATCTTTATAGCAGCATGATTTATAGTCCTTTGGGTATATACCCAGTAATGGGATGGCTGGGTCAAATGGTATTTCTAGTTCTAGATCCCTGAGGAATCGCCACACTGACTTCCACAATGGTTGAACTAGTTTGCAGTCCCAGCAACAGTGTAAAATCGTTCCTATTTCTCCACATCCTCTCCAGCACCTGTTGTTTCCTGACTTTTTAATGATTGCCATTCTAACTGGTGTGAGATGATATCTCATTGTGGTTTTGATTTGCATTTCTCTGATGGCCAGTGATGGTGAGCATTTTTTCATGTGTTTTTTGGCTGCATAAATGTCTTCTTTTCAGAATTGTCTGTTCATGTCCTTCGCCCACTTTTCGATGGGGTTGTTTGTTTTTTTCTTGTAAATTTGTTTGAGTTCATTGTAGATTCTGGATATTAGCCCTTTGTCAGATGAGTAGATTGCGAAAATTTTCTCCCATTCTGTAGGTTGCCTGTTCACTCTGATGGTAGTTTCTTTTGCTGTGCAGAAGCTCTTTAGTTTAATTAGATCCCATTTGTCAATTTTGGCCTTTGTTGCCATTGCTTTTGGTGTTTTAGACATGAAGTCCTTGCCCATGCCTATGTCCTGAATGGTAATGCCTAGGTTTTCTTCTAGGGTTTTTCTGGTTTTAGGTCTAACGTTTAAGTCTTTAATCCATCTTGAATTGATTTTTGTATAAGGTGTAAGGAAGGGATCCAGTTTCAGCTTTCTACATAGGGCTAGCCAGTTTTCCCAGCACCATTTATTAGATAGGGAATCCTTTCCTCATTGCTTGTTTTTCTCAGGTTTGTCAAAGATCAGATAGTTGTAGATATGCAGCATTATTTCTGAGGGCTCTGTTCTGTTCCATTGATCTATATCTCTGTTTTGGTACGAGTACCATGCTGTTTTGGTTACTGTAGTCTTGTAGTATAGTTTGAAGTCAGGTAGTGTGATACCTCCAGCTTTGTTCTTTTGGCTTAGGATTGACTTGGCGATGCCTGCTCTCTTTTGGTTCCATATGAACTTTAAAGTAGTTTTTTCCAATTCTGTGAAGAAAGTCATTGGTAGCTTGATGGGGATGGTATTGAATCTGTAAATTACCTTGGGCAGTATGGCCATTTTCACGATATTGATTCTTCCTACCCATGAGCATGGAATGTTCTTCCATTTGTTTGTATCCTCTTTTATTTCATTGAGCAGTGGTTTGTAGTTCTCCTTGAAGAGGTCCTTCACATCCCTTGTAAGTTGGATTCCTAGGTATTTTATTCTCTTTGAAGCAATTGTGAATGGGAGTTCACTCATGATTTGGTTCTCTGTTTGTCTGTTGTTGGTGTATAAGAATGCCTGTGATTTTTGTACATTGATTTTTTATCCTGAGACTATGCTGAAGTTGCTTATCAGCTTAAGGAGATTTTGGGCTGAGACAATGGGGTTTTCTAGATATACAATCATGCCATCTGCAAACAGGGACAATTTGACTTCCTCTTTTCCTAATTGAATATCCTTTATTTCTTTCTCCTGCCTAATTGCCCTGGCCAGAACTTCCAACACTATGTTGAATAGGAGTGGTGAGAGAGGGCATCCCTGTCTTGTGCCAGTTTTCAAAGGGAATGCTTCCAGTTTTTGCCCATTCAGTATGATATTGGCTGTGGGTTTGTCATAGATACCTCTTATTATTTTGAAATACGTTCCATGAATACCTAATTTATTGAGAGTTTTTAGCATGAAGGGTTGTTGAAATTTGTCAAAGACCTTTTCTGCATCTATTGAGATAATCATGTGGTTTTTGTCGTTGGTTCTGTTTATATGCTGGATTACATTTATTGATTTTCGTATGTTGAACCAGCCTTGCATCCCAGGGATGAAGCCCACTTGATCATGGTGGATAAGCTCTTTGATGTGCTGCTGGATTCGGTTTGCCAGTATTTTATTGAGGATTTTTGCATCGATTTTCATCAGGGATATTGGTCTAAAATTCTCTTTTTTTTGTTGTGTCTCTGCCTGGCTTTGGTATCAGGATGATGCTGGCCTCATAAAATGAGTTAGGGAGGATTCCCTCTTTTTCTATTGATTGGAATAGTTTCAGAAGGAATGGTACCACTTCCTCCTTGTACCTCTGGTAGAATTCAGCTGTGAATCCATCTGATCCTGGACTCTTTTTGGTTGGTAAGCTATTGATTATTGCCACAATTTCAGAGCCTGTTATTGGTCTATTCAGAGATTCAACTTCTTCCTGGTTTAGTCTTGGGAGAGTGTATGTGTCGAGGAATTTATCCATTTCTTCTAGATTTTCTAGTTTATTTGCATAGAGGTGTTTGTAGTATTCTCTGATGGTAGTTTGTATTTCTGTGGGATCAGTGGTGATATCCCCTTTGTCATTTTTTATTGTGTCTATTTGATTCTTCTCTCTTTTTTTCTTTATTAGTCTTGCTAGCGGTGTATCAATTTTGTTGATCTTTTCAAAAGACCAGCTCCTGGATTCATTAATTTTTTGAAGGGTTTTTTGTGTCTCTATTTCTTTAAGTTCTGCTCTGATTTTAGTTATTTCTTGCCTTCTGCTAGCTTTTGAATGTGTTTGCTCTTGCTTTTCTAGTTCTTTTAGTTGTGATGTTAGGGTGTCAATTTTGGGTCTTTCCTGCTTTCCCTTTTGGGCATTTAGTGCTATAAATTTCCCTCTACACACTGCTTTGAATGCGTCCCAGAGATTCTGGTATGTTGTGTCTTTGTTCTCATTGGTTTCAAAGAACATCTGTATTTCTGCCTTCATTTCGTTATGTACCCAGTAGTCATTCAGGAGCAGGTTGTTAGGTTTCCATGTAGTTGAGCGGTTTTGAGTGAGATTCTTAATCCTGAGTTCTAGTTTGATTGCACTGTGGTCTGAGAGATAGTTTGTTATAATTTCTGTTCTTTTACATTTGCTGAGGAGAGCTTTACTTCCAACTATGTGGTCAATTTTGGAATAGGTGTGGTGTGGTGCTGTAAAAAATGTATATTCTGTTGATTTGGGGTGGAGAGTTCTGTAGATGTCTATTAGGTCCACTTGGTGCAGAGCTGAGTTCAATTCCTGGGTATCCTTGTTGACTTTCTGTCTCGTTGATCTGTCTAATGTTGACAGTGGGGTGTTAAAGTCTCCCATTATTAATGTGTGGGAGTCTAAGTCTCTTTGTAGGTCACTCATGACTTGCTTTATGAATCTGGGTGCTCCTGTATTGGGTGCATATATATTTAGGATAGTTAGCTCTTCTTGTTGAATTGATCCCTTTACCATTATGCAATGGCCTTCTTTGTCTCTTTTGATCTTTGTTGGTTTAAAGTCTGTTTTATCAGAGACTAGGATTGCAACCCCTGCCTTTTTTTGTTTTCCATTTGCTTGGTAGATCTTCCTCCATCCTTTTATTTTGAGCCTATGTGTGTCTCTGCATGTGAGATGGGTTTCCTGAATACAGCACACTGATGGGTCTTGACTCTTTATCCAATTTGCCAGTCTGTGTCTTTTAATTGGAGCATTTAGTCCATTTACATTTAAAGTTAATATTGTTATGTGTGAATTTGATCCTGTCATTATGATGTTAGCTGGTTATTTTGCTCATTAGTTGATGCAGTTTCTTCGTAGTCTCGATGGTCTTTACATTTTGGCATGATTTTGCAGCAGCTGGTACCGGTTGTGCCTTTCCATGTTTAGTGCTTCCTTCAGGAGCTCTTTTAGGGCAGGCCTGGTGGTAACAAAATCTCTCAGCATTTGCCTGTCTGTAAAGTATTTTATTTTTCCTTCACTTTTGAAGCTTAGTTTGGCTGGATATGAAATTCTGGGTTGAAAATTCTTTTCTTTAAAAATGTTGAATATTGGCCCCCACTTTCTTCTGGCTTGTAGAGTTTCTGCTGAGAGATCCGCTGTTAGTCTGATGGGCTTCCCTTTGAGGGTAACCTGACCTTTCTCTCTGGCTGCCCTTAACATTTTTTCCTTCATTTCAACTTTGGTGAATCTGACAATTATGTTTCTTGGAGTTGCTCTTCTCGAGGAGTATCTTTGTGGCGTTCTCTGTATTTCCTGAATCTGAATGTTGGCCTGCCTTGCTAGATTGGGGAAGTTCTCCTGCATAATATCCTGCAGAGTGTTTTCCAACTTGGTTCGATTCTCCCCGTCACTTTCAGGTACACCAATCAGACGTAGATTTGGTCTTTTCACATAGTCTCATATTTCTTGGAGGCTTTGCTCGTTTCTTTTTATTCTTTTTTCTCTAAACTTCCCTTCTTGCTTCATTTCATTCATTTCATCTTCCATTGCTGATACCCTTTCTTCCAGTTGATCGCATTGGCTCCTGAGGCTTCTGCATTCTTCACGTAGTTCTCAAGCCTTGGTTTTCAGCTCCATCAGCTCCTTTAAGCACTTCTCTGTGTTGGTTATTCTAGTTATACATTCTTCTAAATTTTTTTCAAAGTTTTCAACTTCTTTGCCTTTGGTTTGAATGTCCTCCCATAGCTCAGAGTAATTTGATCGTCTGAAGCCTTCTTCTCTCAGCTCGTCAAAGTCATGCTCCCTCCAGCTTTGTTCCATTGCTGGTGAGGAACTGCGTTCCTTTGGAGGAGGAGAGGCGATCTGCTTTTTAGAGTTTCCAGTTTTTCTGTTCTGTTTTTTCCCCATCTTTGTGGTTTTATCTACTTTTGGTCTTTGATGATGGTGATGTACAGATGGGTTTTTGGTGTGGATGTCCTTTCTGTTTGTTAGTTTTCCTTCTAACAGACAGGACCCTCAGCTGCAGGTCTGTTGGAGTACCCGGCTGTGTGAGGTGTCAGTCCACCCCTGCTGGGGGGTGCCTCCCAGTTAGGCTGCTCGGGGGTCAGGGGTCAGGGACCCACTTGAGGAGGCAGTCTGCCTGTTCTCAGATCTCCCGCTGCGTGCTGGGAGAACCACTGCTCTCTTCAAAGCTCAGATGGAAATGCAGAAATCACCCGTCTTCTGCGTCGCTAACGCTGGGAGCTGTAGACCGGAGCTGTTCCTATTCGGCCATCTTGGCCAATCCCCGATAATTTTTAATACTTCCTAAACTTACGTAACTCTGGCTTTTTATTTTAAGAGGAATAATGTTTGATTTTTTTTTAAGAAAAATAATTTAGGGGACTTATACTTTACTAGGATGGAGTAAAAGGGAAAAGATTACCCTTCAGAGGAATTAAATTTACTTTAAAATTAAAATTAACATTACTTTAATTCCATAATTATGAGAACATTTACTATTGGCCTCCATTGTGGAAGAGAGTGTGGCAATTCCTCAAAGATCTAGAACCAGGAATGCCATTTGACCCAGCAATCCCATTACTGGGTATATACCCAAAGGATTATAAATCATTCTACTGTAAAGACCCATACACACATATGTTTATTGCAGCATTGTTCCCAATAGCAAAGACTTGGAACCAACCCAAATGTCCATCAATGATAGACCGGATTGAGAAAATGTAGCACATATACACCATGGAATACTATGCAGCCATGAAAAAGGATGAGTTCATGTCCTTTGCAGGGACATGGATGAAGCTGGAAACCATCATTCTCAGCAAACTAACACGGGAACAGAAAACCAATTGCTCCAGGTTCTCACTCATAAGTGAGAGTTGAACAATGAGAACACATGAACACGGGGAGGGGAACATCACACACCAGGGCCTGTGGGGGAGGTTGGGGGCTAGGGGAGGGATAGCATTAGGAGAAATACCTAATGTAGATGGTAGGCTAATGGGTGCAGCAAAGCACCATGGCACGTGTATACGTATGTGTGTGTGTATATATATATATGTGTGTGTGTGTATATATATATATATATATATGATTACCCTTGCACCTGAAACACTGCAAAATTAGAAAAATACATGAAACAATGATTTTCAAGACACTATACTGGGGATGGAAGGATAGAGATTTCTGAGAAATGAGAAATTAATAAAGTGAAAGCTAAGGTTGCCACAGTTTTCTGCCTGGAGAGAATATTCAGTAATGGCATATGAATGATGAAACCAAGTGGAGTCTGGCAGATTTTCTGAATTGAGAAGCCAAAGATAACTATAACTTTAGGCAAGAATTTGCAGAGAAGACTGCGAGAGAGAACAGAACTAGGCATACAGAGATGTTTTTCCAGAGAATTCTAGACATCATTCTCAGCTGTTTGGTATGGTTCAATTTATGTATGTATGTGAGAAGACTGAGTCTGAGAAAAAAACACATTTTAAAGGATTGGAGTACAGCATGCATCACTTAATGATGAGGATACATTCTGAAAAATGCATTTTTGGAAGATTTTGTCATTGTGCAAACATAATAGAGTATACCTACACAAACCTAGATTGTATATGTACTTTTATTCTTGAAATTTTTCATATGCAAAGCCAAATGCCCCAGAACCATTCCAGAATATCAATCATTATCCATTCCAAATGCCCCAGAACCATTCCAGAATATCAATCATTATCCATTCTTGTCCTGCAATGCCACTATCAAGTGCCATATATAATCAATGAAAACAATCAAATAATCAAAATAAACCAGAATGAACACAGATGTTAAAAAGAGTAGATAAGGACATGAAAATAATTTTTATAACAATATTTATCATATTAAAAAGCTAATGTAGTAACATGAGAGTTATTACAAAAAACTAAATTGAACTTTAAAAGATAAATCTACAGTATCTGAGGTGAATAATATACTGATTGAGAATTATACCCATTAAACATTGTGCAATAAAAAGATTAGTGAAGTGAAGGCACAACAAGAGGAACCATTTTAAATGCAACACATAGAGAAAAAGAAGAGAAAAACAAAATAAAGAGAGCACCAGTGAGTTTTAGGACAATTTCAAGTGGCGTAGTATGAGTACAATTGGAGTTCCAGAAGTGAGGGGTCCAGGACTGAAAAACTATTTGATAAAATAATGTCTGAAAAAATTCCAGATTAAATATAAAGTAAAACTCCACAGATCCATGAAGTTCAATTTACCCCAAGCACGCAAAATAGGAAGCTACATAAATGCACACCACTGTCAAACTGCTCCAAAAAAATGATAAGAAAACATATGTAAAAGCATCCAGAATAAAAATAGGCCTATATACAGAGATTTATACAGAGATTTTTTAAAAAATGAAGAAGGCAAGCAATTTCTTACTGGAAACAAATGTAAGATAAAACAACACTTACAAGTACTGAAAGAATAAAATTGCCCTAAAATTAGAATTAAAATTCCATATCCAGGTTGGGCGTGGTGGCTCACACCTGTAATCCCAGCACTTTGGGAGGCTGAGTAGGTGGATCACAAGGTCAGGAGTTCAAGATCAGCCATCTCCACTAAAAATACAAAAATTAGCTGGGTGTGGAGGCAAGCACCTGTAATCCCAGCTACTCGGCAGGCTGAGGCAGGAGAATCGCTTGAACCCAGGGGGCAGAGGTTGCAGTGAGTTGAGATGGTGCCTCTCCACTCCAGCCTGGGTGACAGAATGAGACTGTGTCTCAATAATTAAAAAAAAAAAATCCATACCCAATGAAAATGAAAGTACCTTTTAATAACCATGAAAAAATAAAGGCTTCACATAAATAAAACCTGAAAGATTTTATCACTAGCAGACCTGTACTACAATAACTCCTTTAAGCACAGAACTAAAATTATAGGAGATGGAAACATGGATGTATATAAAAGAAGAGCTCCAAAAATGGTAATGGCATGGATAAATATATAACTGTTTCTATTTAAATGTCTTCCAAAATAATTTACCATTTACATAAAAATAATAACTTATTGTGTACCTTATGGCATATATAAAAGTAAAGTATATGGCAGCAAGATTACAAAAGCTGAGGGAAGATACTGCAAGGTTGTTATACTATATATGAAATACTACAAAGTTACTTGAAGGCGTATAATTATAAGTTAAATATGTGTTCAATAAACCCTAAGTCAGTTGCTAAATTAAAACAAAAATTATAAATAATAAGTAAAATGCTTAAAATAGAATCATAAATAGACTGATTTTATCAACAAAAGGCAAAAGGGAGGGGGTAGAAAGAGCGATAAACAAATCACACAAATAGAAACTAATAACAAGATGATAGATGGAAATCTTAAAAATTACATTAAATGTAAATGAAATGTAAAACAATCTAACGAAAAGATAGAAGTAAAAAACAATGCCAGCAACTTTACTAATAACGTAACACTTAGAAACAACCAAGATGTCTTTCAGTAGGTGAAAGGATAAAGCAAGCTGTAGTAAATCCACAATGAAATATTACTCTGTGAATAAATCAATAAGCTATCCATCCATGAAAAGACATGAAGGAATCTTAAATCATACTGCTAAATGAAAGGATCTAAACTGAAATGGCTACACATTGAATGATTCTAAGTATATGACATTCTGGAAAAGACAAACTATAGAAAAAGTGAAAATATCAGTGGTTACCAGAAGTTGGGGAGAACAAAAGAGGGATGAATAGGTAGAGCACAGAGGATTGTTAGGGTGGTGAAACTATTGCTCTGTATGGTTGTGAAAGGAAAATAAACCTAGGGACCCCAAACTCATTGAGCCACAGGAAAAAGTTAAGCTGGAAACTGGGTCATGCAAACCTTCCTCCCCTTTTGGCTCCTAGATAAGATGGCTAAAATATGAAAAGCTACACGCTTCCCCCATATTTTGCCCACAAGGAAATTCCTAGTGAGCTCCAAGATCTTTAAGGCGTATCTGTTAAAATTTCACCATGGCAATGCACATTCATAGCTTATCTTTACAGGTGCAGTCACCTCCCCTGCCCACCAGACATAAACGATATCTAATTGGTCCCCTGCCCCATTTTGTCTATGTTATCTTATGTAAAAATGCAGATTATCTACATTTTTTCTCTGCCCCATTTGTCTATGTCATCTTATGTAACAAATGCAGATACACTGAGCCAGATGAAGGCATAAATGACTGTTTTTTCCCTAACCTCTCTTACATGAAAATTGTGTACTTCTCAATGCTCCACCTTTTCCCCTTTAAATTTGGAGCCCTCAAAATCATCTTCCAAGAAAGGCATAGTCCTGTCTCCCTGGTGTGCATCCTTAACTTGGCAAATAAACCTCCTAAAATGATTGAGACTTGTCTTGCCATTTTTCTCAGTTGACATGGTAGATACATGTCATTATACATTTGTCAAAACCTATAGAATATACAACACCAAGAGTGAATCCTAATGTAAACTATGAAGTTCAGTCAATAATAATGTATATAGTTTCATCATCGATTGGAACTAAGGTACCACACTAATGTAAGATATTAAAAATAGAGGAAATTGTGGGAGGTGAGGGCATATATGAAAACTCTGTGCTTTTCACTCATTTTTTTTTCGGTGAACCTAAAACTATTCAAAACAATAAAGGTTATTAACTTTTTAGACATTCCAAACTATAGGGTGCTTATAAGAATTATACTTTAAATCTTTGGGAGCCGAGGCGGGTGGATCACGAGGTCAGGAGATCAAGACCACTGTGGCCAACATGGTGAAACGCCGTCTCTACTAAAATACAAAAAATTAGCCAGGCATGGTGGCATGCGCCTGTAATCCCAGCTACTTGGGAGGCTGAGGCAGGGGAATTGCTTGAACACGGGAGGCGGAAGTTGCAGTGAGACGAGATTGCACCTCCTGCACTCCAGCCTGGCGACAGAGCAAGACTCTGTCTCAAAAAACAAACAAACAAAAAAAACAAAAACAAACAACAACAAAAACAACAAAATTTACTTTTAACCTATTCATAGCTTTAGATTTAAAGTATAAGTATGAAAAATAATATGCTATGCTGACATACACGCACGCACACACACACACACACACACAAAACTAGGATGGCTATAGGAACAACACACTTAGTGGATTTCAGATCCAAGAATATTACCAGGGATGAGGAGGTGAATTTCATTAAGATAAAGAGTTCTATTTATCAAGAAGAGATAACCATTTTAAATGTTTAAATGCCTAATGCCAGAGTTTCAAAATATATGAAGCAAAAATTCATAAATAAACAAAGAGAAATAGACAAATCACAATTATAGTTGGAGACGTCAATATCTCTCTGAAAAATTGATAGAACAAGTACACAGGAAATCATTAAAGATAAAGAAGACTTGGAAAACACAATCAACCAACTTGGCCTAATGTGTATTTACAGAACACTCCACACAAAATTAGGAAAATGCATTTCATTTTTGAGTGCTTTGCTTTTAGAACATTTATCATGCCAGACTATATTTGGTACAATAAAACAAATTTCAATAAACTTGAAAGGACTTAAGTCTTACAGAATTTAATCTCTGATACCATGGAATTAAATTAGAAATTAATAACAAAAATATCTCTATATAAAAATTTTTAAATCTTTGGTAACTAAATAGAACACTTCTAAATAATCCATATGTCAAAGAAGGAATCAAAAAGAGGTTAGAAAATAATTTTAACTTGATCAAAAAACTTACTTAGTATTTCAAAATTTGTTACATAACACTAAAGCAGTCCTTAATGGGGCGTTTATACTATAAAAATATCAGAAAAAAAGATACATCAGAGAAGCAGGAATATCTCAAACAACTTCAACTTCCACCTTCAGAAACTACAAAAAGAAGAAAAGTATATAGCCACAGTAAACAGAAGAAGGATAATAAGAAAGATCAGATAGGAAAGCAAGGAAGATGTTTCATTTGAAAAAATAAGGAATATTAGTAAACATATGTCTAGACTGAGAAAACCAACATGACATCAATTTCACTATAAGGAATCAGAGAGATGCTGCTGCTACCGATTATAAAGCTATCAAAGGGATAAGCAACAGATATCTCACCAAAAGGGAGCTACAGGTGGCAAAGTAAAGTACATAAAAAATGCTCATCATTGTTAGCCATTTGATATGTGCAAATTAAAATTGCAATGAATGAACTATCACTACACTTCTATTAGAACAGCTAATATTAAATATTATAGAGACAATACCAGATGCTAGCAAGTATGCAGAGAAACTGGATGTCTCACACATTGTTGGTAGAAGTGTAAAGTAGCAGAGTCACTTTGGCAAATAGTTTGTCAGTTTCTGAAAAATAAAAACAAACGAAACCCCAAAACTACACATTCATTTACCATACTACCTAGATATTACATCTGATAATTTAAAAAAAAGATTATATAAAAATTACCCACAAATGTTCAAAACAGCGTTATTTGTAATAGAAAAATATTGGAAATAGTGCAGATGTCTTTCAGAGGGTGAATGGTTGAACAAACTCTAATATACCCATAACGACAGAATATTATTTAGCAATACAGAGAAATAAACTATTAACAAATGCATTATGTTAAGTAAAAAAGTCAATCTAAAAGTGCTATGTGCTTTGTAATTTCACTTATGTAATGTTCTCAAAATGACGAAATTATAGAGATGGTAAGCAGATTATTGGTTGTCAGGGGACTGGGACAGGATGGATGGGGTAGGGAGTATGGATAAAGAGGTAGAACAAAGGAGTTCTTTGGCAGTGATGGAATAATCTATCTTGATTGTGGTAAAGGTTACAGAAATCTATACACAGGGTAAAATTGAATAGAACTACACATACACACACATGCAAATAAATTCAAGTTAAATGGTAAAAACCAAATAAGGTCTAGTTGAAATAATTTTCTGGTTTTGACATTGAATGATAGCTGCAGAAGTTGTTGCCACTGGGGAAAGCTGGGTAAAGTGTACACAGGACTATAGTTTTGCAACTCCCTATAGTAGTCTGTATTTATTTCAAATAATAAGGTTTTTAAAGATAATACAGGAATAGTATCGATAACTTCAAGGCAATACATTTGACGACTGAAATGAATAAGGTAAATTCCTTGAAAGACACTATCAAAGCTCACTCAGAAGAGATAGATGACCTAAATCATCTTGGAAAATATCACTCAAGAAATTGATTTTTTGGTTAAAATCTGTACTGTGGCCAATTGGAATTTATGTTAAGAGCACAAGGTTAGTGTAGCAATCAAATTTAATGAATATAATTCACCATATTAACAAATTAAATAAGAAAAAATGTATTCTTATTATCAGTGGTGCATAAAAAGTATTAACAAAATCCAACATCTATTCCTTTTGAAAATTCTCAGCAAAGTAGCCATAGAAAAAAATTTCCTCAACCTGATAGAGGGCATCTATAAAAAACCTACAGCTAATCTTATACCCAATATTGAGAGACTAAATTCTTTCTCCCTAAGATTGCAAACAAGACAAAATTTTCTCTCGCCACTTCTATTCACATTGTATTGGATGTTCTAGTCAGTGAAATAAGGCAAACTAAGAAATGGAAAAATAAAAAAAATTCACACTACAGAAAAAATATTTTATTTGCATAATTGTCTATGCAGAAAATCTGATGAAACCTACAATAAAATCACTAAAACTAACATAAGTTTAGCAAGATTGCAAGATGTAAGATTTTTTTAAAAAACTATTATATTTGTAGCAATAAACATTTGAAATGAAAATTATAAAAACAATACCAGTTACAATAGTACCAAAAATATTAAATACTTAGGGATAAATATGACAAAAGATATGTAACACCTGTAGATGGGCCACTCAAAAACCTTGCTGAAAGAAAAAGACCTAAAAATGTATATATTTGTTATGTTTATGAATTGGAAGACTCAGTATTAAGATCAGTCTGTACTTTCAGTGTATCTCCAAGCAAAATCATGGCAAGCCATTTTTGTAGAAGTTAAAAAACTATTTCTAAAATTCATATGGAAAATCAAAGGACCTAGAATAGCCAAGTCAAGCTTGAAAAGGAACAATAACTTTGGGAGCCTAGCCCTATTCTGTGCCAAAACTTAAAGCTACAGCCAGAAACACAGTATGCATTTAGTATAACAAATTTGTATAAAAGTAAATCAGCATAGCGGAATCTAGAAAATATTTGTATAAAGATATATTTTAGAATCACATTCCCCCAGATATTGCTTTTACTTTTTTTTCACTGCTTTAATAAGGCATAACTGAACTTGAAAAAGTCTACATATTTAAGGTAGACAATTTGATAAGTGTTACATAGGCACATAACTGGGAAACTACCGCCTTTCTCTATCTTCTATCTATCTATCTATCTATCTATCTATCTGATATCTACTTACCTTTAGGTAAGTGGAATTAAAACCACAATGTAGTATTACTAAAATGGCTAAAATTAAAAGAAAAAGATAACCAAACCAAGTGTTTGTGGAATGTGAAGAAAACGGAACTCTCATATATTCCTGGGGAGGAATATAAATGGCACAAAACTTTGTAAAAGAGTTTGATCATTTCAAGAAGTTCAACATATACCTATCTTATGATGTGGAGTTCCACCTCTAGAAATTTATCAAGAAAAAATAAATAGAATAAAAGATTATGTTCAAACAAAACATTGTACACAAATGTTCATAGCAGCCTTATTTTTAATATTCCCAAATAAAAATACCTCAAAAGTCCTTCAAAATATGAATCAATTTCTTAAGATGTGGTTTATCTGTATAATGGGATACTCCTCAGCAATAAAAAGTAATAAACTATGGACTCATGCTACAACATTGGTGCATCTCAAAATAATTATGCTGAGCAAAAGAAACTAGAGCAATGAATCAAAGCAACTACTATATGATTCCATTTACTTAAAAATCTAGAAAATTAAAACTAATTTCTAGTGATGGAAATTAGATCAATTGGTGCCTGAAGAGAGGAAGAGGTAGGGAGGATTGGGAATGAGATATCACAAAGAGGCAAAAATAGATTTTGGATGGTGCTGGATACATTCATTATCTTGATTATCGTGATAGTTGCCTAGGTAAATACTTATGTCAAAACTTACAAAGTTGTTCACTTTAAATATATGCTGTGTGTTGTATTCTATGTTTTGTATAGTATACCTCAAATAAAGCTGTAAAAGTAACAAATTTATTTGGAGAAATGTGATTCTAGAGAGATTTCTGAACTAGTGCTGTGTGTTTCACTGCAACAGGCTTCCTAGATCACTCACTGCCCCCTTTTTTTAGGGGGCAAGTTGTATAGGTTCAGTGATACATCATGGAAGCAAACTGGAGGGAGTCCCCTAGGACTCAGGGAGGTATCAGACTGCTCCTCTTTCTCTCTCTGACTCAATCCTGCTGGGTGCCATAATTCTTTCTCATCTCTGCTGTGCAGCTGCTTCCATCTTGTCTCTCTAAGGATTGACTTTTAGGCAGGAGTCTTAGATCTTACTCCCATAACATCAACCTCCTCTTGGTCCTTGGTTTCTACGACACCATTAGCATTCACAATGCTTTACAATCGTACATTTTCCACATCCAGCAGCAACTGACTGACTGCAGTCCTCTTGCTTTGTTTGGGTTCTCAAGAGATAAAAACCTATTAGTCTCTGGTCAGGCAGTTCCATAGGCTCTTAATCCAGTGCCCATTTGGGTTGGTGTAGAGTCATTTGGATCACAGTCTCTTTTACAGGGACTCAAAAAGCAGAATTTCTGCACAGATGAGGTTGACATGTAAAGCTAAGTCACTGGAGTAACTTCTACAGAGGAGTTGGACCATGATAGTTGATTAAATTTTTCCAGTTCTGGGAATTGTGATGCAACACGTTATTAGATACTCTATGTTTTTAAAGCATCCAAATTATAATAATTAGAAACACAAATTAAAGGAGCTTAAATCGTTAATCGTGACCTCCTGGTGTGCACAATTGTATCTGGTAACTGGTAAATGGAGTTTTCAGCAATAAATAAGCAGATGTCAAGAGAAACCCAATCAGGGCCTTTGCTGTCCTCCCTCTTCCCCATAGGACTGCTGTGTGCCATTGTGAGAGCAGGGTCCATTCATGTCTTATTCACTGAGGGAAATGGTAATGGACTTGGCAAATGCTGCTTCTCCCATCACCATCAAACTACAGTGACCTTGTGCCAGTGCACCCTTTCTTTTTATAATGAATGTTTTATTATAAATGCAAACGTATCAATTTTCGAAATTAAAACAATATAGGAAAGTAAATTGTATTAAGATATAAAGTGTTTCCATATTGCCATCCCACAGAGCAGCTTCGATTGATCTTTTGAGCATATTTCTTTCCAGTCATCTTCTATGTGTGTTTAACATTTTTGACCATAATGTAACGTTTGCATCTCTTTTGTTTTGTAGCTTTCTATTATGTCTTAACTATGTTGCCACTTTCCCTCTACCCAGTTTCAACTAGATTTGCAGAAAAGCAAAGAATTCTAACATATAGAGTATTCAGTAATTTACAAAGAATGAAGCATTGAAGGTGGGGAGAAGGGCCTTCTGAATTATATTGAATTTTCCATGCTTTATTGGGAAAAGTATTTTTGGCAGTATTGGGAAATGGATTCAAATCCCATATTTGGAACTTACTATTTAATTTCTTTTTGGTCCCATATTCTCAGCTACAGACTGGACATAATAATGGAATCTATGTTATAGAGGTCTTCTGATGATTTAGTGCTATGAAGCATAGTCTGGCTTCTGAACTCTTTTTTTTTTCTCCTAGTCACACAGATTATCTCTCCCAGTATGCCCTGCAGTAATCAAATGGTCATGTGACAGATTAGTGCAGAATGTGAGCAGAAGAGATGTATATTGGTTCCAGGACTGATTCATAGAAACTTCCCACATGACAACTTCATTCTCTCCTGATGAGCACAGTGACCTGGGAAGCTGTAGACTGAAGACAGCAGAGTTGGAAAATGGAAAGACATTTTATCCCTAAATGACCTCTTGGTAGAGAACAATCTTTTGATCAGAAATGCATTTTCTAGACTTTACGTTAGCAACATAAACTTCTATTTCATTAATCCACGGAGATTTTGGAGGCATATCTGTTATATCTGTCAGCGTTTACTTTAACTAGTATATACTTCCCTTATGGTTCTTGCAGTGAGTCCTCACCATGTTGCTATTAATTTCCTCTCTAGGCACATTATAGTATGGCTTTCTGACACTCTTGCTGAATGTGGAAGCTCCCCAAACAAGACTACCTGGAAAAAGAACACTTTGTAGTCAGAGATTACTGAAATCTTTAAAATATCTCTCTGTGGTCTTTAAACATATCATTCTCTCTGAATTTCTAAATACTGTGAGAGAAAACTGCTACCTTCAAGAGACCAGTCTGTGCTCAAATGACAGTGCCGCTTTGTAGTTTCCAGAAGCCACAACCTAGCAGGTCCAATCTTCCTAGTTGAGTGCTGAATTTTGAGAATTTTTCAACAAGGAAGGGTATGAGAGAATACTCTATCCAATAATTTTCATGCTGCTATTAGGGCCAGAGTCTTTTCCTAATTAAATGTATATCATAAAATAGGTAACAATCCTATCTCTTATCCTCCAGGGTGACCTGTGAAGTACTACCACAGAACACATTCTGAAAACTTAGGGCAACCACTTAAGTCCACTAACAGTAAGGTTAGAAGATATAGTTGCATATACTACTTAATGGCCAAGTAATTACTAGAATTTAGGCCTCTAGCTTCCTACTCCAGTGCTCTTGTATTTTGACTGTCCTTTGGGGCCTTTCTTTTCTGGGTCCACCTCTTCTTCCTTTCATTCACTTCTTATGTTTTTTCTTTCTTTATGTATAACTGAGAGTGCCAAGTAGTAAAAGAATTGGCCCATAAAAGTCATATTCAACAGTATTCAACAGTATTCACTAGAGAATGGGAGTTTATGAGATGTCCAATGGCTCCAAATGAAAACCAACCAACCTACCAACAACATTTTGACATTTGAAGCCCATAAGATGAGACACAGAAAAATAGGAATCATAACCCTTTCTGCAAAGGCTCTGTTCTATATCATCTTTTTATTCTTGAGTGCTCTTAAAAAGAACTATTGTCATTTGTTTATTCAAGAGACTAGACTATATTTAGCCATTTAATTCCTGCTATTTCTCTTTATTTCTATGAGTTCTCTAAAGCCACTGTCTCTATAGTTAGCACCTCTTTCTGCTTAGCATGTTAAAATCAATAAATGTTGTTAATTGACTAACAGGTTGACCAGTAACAATAAAAAAAAAAGGAAATAAGTAGCTGTAGGCAGGCATTTCAAAGACAAGTAATTTAGTCTCCATTTCACAAGCTGCTCACAGGCAGACATCCAAAGAAAAAATGACTTCGAATATATAGACCAGAAAAGTCTCAGGTTACTAGTTTTATGAACAAGTTTATATACACATCACATACATTCACATCTCTCACAATGATTCAAATGTAAAATCACAAAAACACAAAAATACTCAAATTCAACAGCTTTATGTCCACGAATCTTATACATCCATGCCTCCCTCATATACAATCACATACATTTTACCATTTGATTGGGGAGCAAGTATGAGAAACCAGCACATTTTTTGATTTTGGTTTCATATTTTTGTTTACAACTCTCCCATTTCCCTTTCCTGTCCCCATTGTGTAGCACTAAATATAATTAGGGTACAGAGAGCATAAAGAAATTTCCAACATGGAGAAAATACTAATTTTGGGATCAGGGCAGAAATACAAGGACCTCTTTAAATTAAGTGAAGAAAAAAATATATATTTAATTATATAAAATATATAATTATATTAGAAAATATATATTTACATATAATTTTATATAATTTAAAAATATACATTCATATATAATTTTATAACATAAATTATATGTTTTTATGTATGTATATAAATAAATTACTTGTCTTTGAAAGGTCTGCCTACGGCTACTTATTTCCTGTTTTTTCTATATATGTATTTTCAATATATATTAAATATATTTCTTTCATTTGATTTAAATATATGTGTGTGTGTGTGTGTGTGTGTGTGTATATATATATATATATATATATATATATATTTCCTTCACTTGCTTTAAAGAGGTCATTGTATTTCTTCCCTGATTGTCCCGATCCCAACATTTGTATTTTTGCCTTGTTGAAAATCTCTTCATGCTGTGTGTGTGTGTGTGTGTCTAAAACCTCAGGGAGGCTTCCTCAGTCACTGATTTCTGATCAAAACAGATTCTCTTCCAGAAGATTTTGCATATGCATTTAGAATCTCCCAAAGGAGCAAAATGATGCTGGTAAAATCCTTTCAACTCACTCCTTTTGTGAAATATGTTCTTTCGGAAAAAATAATTGAAAATGTAAACATAACTCTGAAGTTTACTTAAGAGAGAAACTGGTTTATAAGGCATCAAAGGACTAATTATATGCAAATGTTGCTGCTAATTACTGATGAGCCTCATCCACTCCATTAAACATCTCTCTAGGAGTATAAGAAGCACTATGTGAGCATTTGTAACTTCTAAGTTTAAAAATAATAAAATTACAATCCTTTGAAACCGTCTGAGTTAAAATATTGCACTTCAAATGCATCCTCTCCACATAGGTCAATAAGAATGGGTTAATCAATCATGGTTGAAGGAGTTAGAGAAGTATTGCATATCAGTATGGAAAGTAAATCAGATTTAAAAGCACTATTTAATATAAAGCACCAAGTTTTACACAATCTGCTTCCTGTCTGTACTACAAGCCTTACATCAGCCATTTGTAACTTTACTTACTGCTTTTCAACCAAGCAAGCTCCCTCTTCTGCCTATCCAATGCATCATTTTCATTTCATGCTCAGGGTATTTATGCAAATAATACCCTTTGCTTGAAATGGTCTTCCTCTCCTTTACCAAGTTAATGGTAATCATCCTTCAGATGTCAATTCAAACATCTCTTTCAAACAGAAGACACACATTATCCCAGAGTAGTCAAGTCCTGCAGATTAACTTGCACTATGTCTGGAAGGTCCTTAGTACTCCCATACTCCAACTATTCTTAATAAATTACATTACTATATTTTACATTCTCACCAGAAATGAATGAGTTCTATTTTCTCCACATCCTCACTAGACTTGTTGTTATCTGACTTTCTGATTCTAGCTGCCTGATAGTTGTGAGGTGATAAGGTGATATTTCATTGTGGCTTTGATCATTGTCCTGATGACTAGTCACATAGAGTACCTCTTCATGTGTTTATTAGTCATTTGTATATCTCCTTTGGAAAAATAACCATTCAGATCCTTTGCCCATTTAAAAAATTGAGTTGTCTTTTTATTATTGAGTTTGAAGAAGTCCTTATCTATTCTAGATACATGTTCCTTAGGTATAGGATGTGCAAATATTTTCTCTGA
The DNA here is from genome assembly GCF_000001405.40 of Homo sapiens. NCBI lineage: Eukaryota > Metazoa > Chordata > Mammalia > Primates > Hominidae > Homo > Homo sapiens. The sequence goes on along the minus strand of NC_000011.10, from coordinate 29,401,907 downwards.
ATTTTCACTTTCTTGATAGTGTCCTTTTAAACACAAGTGTTTTAATTTTATTGAAGTAAAAATTATCTATTTTTCTTTTATTCTTCACGCTTTTTGGTCCAAACACCCTTGTCAAAAATCAGTTGTTCATACATATATATGAGCTTATTTCTGCACTCTCAATTCTTATTCTTATTTATTTTTATTCTTTTTTTATTATACTTTAAGTTTTAGGGTACATGTGTACAACGTGCAGTTTTGTTACATATGTATATATGTGCCATGTTGGTGTGCTGCACCCATTAACTCGTCATTTAACATTAGGTATATCTCCTAATGCTATCCCTCCACCCTACCCCCATCCCACAACAGGCCCTGGTGTGTGATGTTCCCCTTCCTGTGTCCATGTGTTCTCATTGTTCAATTCCCACCTATGAGTGAGAACATGCGGTGTTTGTTTTTTTGTCCTTGCGATACTTTGCTGAGAATGATGGTTTCCAGCTTCATCCATGTCCCTACAAGGGACATGAACTCATCATTTTTTATGGCTGCATAGTATTCCATGGTGTATATGTGCCACATTTTCTTAATCCAGTCTATCATTGTTGGACATTTGGCTTGGTTCCAAGTCTTTGCTATTGTGAATAGTACCTCAATAAACATACGTGTGCATGTGTCTTTATAGCAGCATGATTTATAATCCTTTGGGTACATACCCAGTAATGGGATGGCTAGATCAAATGGTATTTCTAGTTCTAGATCCCTGAGGAATCGCCACACTGACTTCCACAATGGTTGAACTAGTTTACAGTCCCATCAACAGTGTAAAAGTGTTCCTATTTCTCCACATCTTCTCCAGCACTTGTTGTTTCCTGACTTTTAAATGATCGCCATACTAACTGGTGTGAGATGGTATCTCATTGTGGTTTTGATTTGCATTTCTCTGATGGCCAGTGATGATGAACATTTTTTCATGTGTCTTTTGGCTGCATAAATGTCTTCTTTTGAGAAGTATCTGTTCATATCCTTTGCCCACTTTATGATGGGGTTGTTTTTTTCTTGTAAATTTGTTTGAGTTCATTGTAGATTCTGGATATTAGCCCTTTGTCAGATGAGTAGATTGCAAAAATTTTCTCCCATTCTGTAGGTTGCCTTTTCACTCTGATGGTAGTTTCTTTTGCTGTGCAGAAGCTCTTTAGTTTGATTAGATCTCATTTGTCAATTTTGGCTTCTGTTGCCAGTGCTTTTGATGTTTTAGACATGAAGTCCTTGCCAATGCCTATGTCCTGAATGGTATTTCCTAGGTTTTCTTCTAGGGTTTTTATGGTTTTAGGTCTAACATTTAAGTCTTTAATCCATCTTGAATTAATTTTTGTATAAGATGTAAGGAAGGGATCCAGTTTCAGCTTTCTACATAGGGCTAGCCAGTTTTCCCAGCACCATTTATTAAATAGGGAATCCTTTCCCCATTGCTTGTTTTTGTCAGGTTTGTCAAAGATCAGATAGTTGTAGATAAGTGGCATTATTTCTGATGCTCTGGTTTGTTCCATTGGTTTATATCTCTGTTATGGTACCAGTACCATGCTGTTTTGATTACTGTAGCCTTGTAGTATAGTTTGAAGTCAGGTAGCATGATGCCTCCAGCTTTGTTCTTTTGGCTTAGGATTGACTTGGCAATGCGGGCTCTTTTTTTGGTTCCATATGAACTTTAAAGTAGTTTTTTCCAATTCTGTGAAGAAAGTCATTGGTAGCTTGATGGGGATGGCATTGAATCTATAAATTACCTTGGGCAGTATAGCCATTTTCACGATATTGATTCTTCCTACCCATGAGCATGGAATGTTCTTCCATTTTTTTGTATCCTCTTTTATTTCATTGAGCAGTGGTTTGTAGTTCTCCTTGAAGAGGTCCTTCACATCCCTTGTATGTTGGATTCCTAGGTATTTTATTCTCTTTGAAGCAATTGTGAATGGGAGTTCACTCATGATTTGGCTCTCTGTTTGTCTGTTATTGGTGTATAAGAATGCCTGTGATTTTTGCATATTGATTTTGTATCCTGAGACTTTGCTGAAGTTGCCTATCAGCTTAAGGAGATTTTAGGCTGAGACAATGGGTTTTCTAGATACACAATCATGTCATCTGCAAACAGGGACAATTTGACTTCCTCTTTTCCTAATTGAATACACTTTATTTCCTTAGCCTGCCTGATGGTCCTGGCCAGCACTTCCAACACTATGTTGAATAGGAGTGGTGAGAGAGGGCATCCCTGTCTTGTGCCAGTTTTCAAAGGGAATGCTTCCAGTTTTTGCCCATTCAGTATGATATTGGCTGTGGGTTTGTCATAGATAGCTCTTATTATTTTGAGATATGTCCCATCAATACCTAATTTATTGAGAGCTTTTAGCATGAAGGGTGTTGAATTTTGTCAAAGGCCGTTTCTGCATCTATTGAGATAATCATGTGGTTTTTGTCGTTGGTTCTGTTTATATGATGGATTACATTTATTGATTTGCATATATTGAACCAGCCTTGCATCCCAGGGATGAAGCCCACTTGATCATGGTGGATAAGCTTTTTGATGTGCTGCTGGATTCGGTTTGCCAGTATTTTATTGAAGATTTTTGCATGGATGTTCATCAGGGGTATTGGTCTAAAATTCTCTTTTTTTGTTGTGTCTCTGCCAGGCTTTGGTATCAGGAAGATGCTGGCCTCATAAAATGAGTTAGGGAGGATCCCCTTTTTTTCTGTTGATTGGAATACTTTCAGAAGGAATGGTACCACCTCCTCCTTGTACCTCTGGTAGAATTCGGTTGTGAATCCATCTGGTCCTTGACATTTTTTCGTTGGTAAGCTATTACTTATTGCCTCAATTTCAGACCCTGTTATTGGTCTATTCAGAGATTCAACTTCTTCCTGGTTTAGTCTTGGGAGGGCGTATGTGTCGAGGAATTTATCCATTTCTTCCAGATTTTCTAGTTTATTTGCGTAGAGGTGTTTATAGTATTCTCTGATGGTATTTTGTATTTCTGTGGGATCGGAGGTGATATCCCCTTTATCATTTTTTATTGCGTCTATTTGATTCTTCTCTCTTTTCCTCTTTATTAGTCTTGCTAGTGGTCTGTCAATTTTGTTGATCTTTTCAAAAAACCAGCTCCTGGATTCATTGATTTTTTGAAGGGTTTTTTGTATCTCTATTTCCTTCACTTCTGCTCTGATCTTAGTTATTTCTTGGCTTCTGCTAGCTTTTGAATGTGTTTGCTCTTGCTTCTCTAGTTCTTTTAACTGGGATGTTAGGGTTTCAATTTTAGATCTTTCCTGCTTTCTCTTGTGGGCATTTAGTGCTATAAATTTCCCTCTACACACTTCTTTGAATGTGTCTCAGAGATTCTGGTATGTTGACCTTTTCTATGTTTAGATTTGTTTTGATAAACACATACCACTATATTAAAATTACCTACAATATTCAGCACTGTACAGGTTTGTAGCCTAGGAGCAATAGGCTATACCATATAATCTAGCTGTGTGGTAGGCTATACCATATGATCTAGGTATGTATTAAGCTAAACCATATAGCCTCATTGTGCAATCATTTATACCATATAAACTAGGTGTGTAGTAGGCTATATGAAATAAACTAGCTGTGTAGTAAGCTAAACCTAGGTGTATAGTATGTTTTACTATATAATCTAGGCATATAGTAGGCTTAACCATATAGCTTAGGTATGTAATAGGATAAACCATATAGCCTAGGTGTGTGGTAGGCGACTATAACATAGATGTGTAGAAGGCTATACAATATAGCCTTGGTGTATAGTAGTCTATGCTATATAATGTAGGTATATAGTAAGCTAAGCCATATAGCCTAGTAGGCTATACCATATAACCTAGGTGTGTATTAAGCTATACCATGTAGCCTAGGTGTGTAGTAAAATAAACTGTATACCCTAGGTGTGTCATAGGCTACACCATATAGCCTAGGTGTGTAATAAGCTTATCTATATAGCCTAGGTATGTAGTAGGATAAACCATGTATCCTGGGTGTATAGTAGGCTACACCATATAACCTAGGTGGGTAATAAGCTAAATCATATAGCCTATGTGTGTAGTAGGATAAACCATATAGCCTAGGTGTATAGTAGGCCACACCTTATAATCTAGGTGTGTAATAAGCTAAACCATATAGCTTATGTGTGTAGTAGGATAAGCCATATAGCCTAGGTGTGTAATGGGTTATACCATATGATCTAGGTGTATAATAAGCTAAACCATGTAGTCTAGGTGTTTAATAGTCTAAACCATATAGCCTAGGTGTGTGGTAAGCTAAACCATATAATCTAGGTATATAATAGACTATCCCATGCAGCCTAGGTGAGGAGTAGGCTAAACTATATAGCCTAGGTGTGTAGTAGTCTACACCACATAATCTAGGTATACAGTAAGCTAAACCATATAGTCTAGGTGTGTAGTAGGTTAAAGCATATAGCCTAGATGTGTAGTTGTTTATACCATATAACCTAACTGTGTAGTAGGCTATACTATATAGGATTGTGTAAGTACACTCTATATTTACACAATGAAAAAATCACCTAATGACACATTTCTCAGAATCTATCTTCAATGTTAAGTGATGCGTGACTGTATTGAGTTATTGCTACTGGCTAGGCATTCGTCTGAGCCCTTAGGATACACTAGTGAATCAAAAAGACTAAGATTTCTTTTATTATTGGACTCTCATTTTAGGGGGAGTTGGGGAAACAGGAAATAAATAATAAACAAAACAAGTAACATATATAGGATATTCGATGGTAATAAATGCTCTTAAAGGAGATGGTACCAAGTCAGTGGGCTTATAAATAGGAATGTTTATGGAGAGCATGACATGTGGGCAAAGACTAAGAAATTGGCCATATGGAAATCTGTGGCAACGGGAGAGGGAACACTCCATGTGAAAGTCTGGCCTGTTAAGTAATAGTAGGAGGTAGGCTACAATGGCAGAACTGTAAGATGTGAGCTTGGAGAAGAGGCTCAGGGAGATTCTACCCCAAACTATGTTTGTCATCATAAAGTTCTTGGCTTGTAATGTGAGAGAAATTGAAATTGGTTTCTGAAGTGCAGTGGAGTGAAATAAGTTGATTTACATTTAATGTTGGCACTGACTACTAAAGGATTTCTTTAGAAAGTCTTCAGATTACATGGGTTCATATTTTATTTTATTTTATGTTTATAGTAACAGAAAAAAAATCAATCCCAGCCAACTAACTCTGAAACAAAAGGAGGTGTATAATTTTTAATAACAGAGATCTTTTTTGCAAAAGCACCATGACATTTATCATAAAAGTGGTCTCAGTTTGTTATCTCTTTGGAAGACAGCCAGGGTCTATCCTAAACCCACCACCTCTCCCCACTGTTGTACATGGATTCGGTTTCTTTTCCCAGGTGTTGATTCAAGACAGGGATTTAAGAGAGAGCTTCTGCAACAATGAGATTGCCAAAAAACTCTAATCCATGACCCACACTGCCAACCCCTGCCCTCTTTCTGTTTGGGTAAGGGTTGTAATTTCTCCAAAACTAAGAGATTGTTACCCAAATATATCCCTGACCACTTACTCACTGCTGAAGCCATAGATGTGACAGAGTTTTTCCTAAAGCTACCAGAAATCAAGTTGGAATTTTTACTTTTAGTTAAGATGGAGAAGATAAGGATTTCATTACCTCCCAAACAACTAGAATTTCTTACTAAAGCATAAATACATACTTTTTCCTCAAAGGCATTTGATAATTGTGGACATGAAGGAGTCTAAGAAATCTTAACTCTTGAGAGGTAAGTGCTCCATGGGTGATAACAGAAGATGCATTCACAAACAGGGCCAATTGCTGAGGCTGGGAACAGATCAGGTGGAGGATTGAGCTTGTCAGGGAATTCTTTGCTCAGAAGTAAATCTCTCAAAATGTTGACAAGCCTGCAAGCTGGTGTTTCAAATTTGAATCTAAAGAAGACTCAAATGCAAAGGCAATTCTCCATAATGAGGAATTCCTTTACAGTGAAACTTTGCTGAGTAAGCAGAGACTGAAAGCATAGCTGGAAAGCAGAAAGAGATCTGCAGTCTCGGTCTCCCAATTTCAATGTCTGATAATGTCAGTCCCACGGCCTTGCAGTCTTGTGGTCTCCCAGTCTCATGGTGATACCACACTCCTGCATTCTTACGGGCTGCTCTTTTGCAGTTTCACAGGCTTGAGTTCTCATTTTCTCTGAATCTTGTGGTTTTGTGCTCTTAAAATTTTATGGACTTGCAGACCTGGTATCTCTTAGTCTCAGTCTAGCAAGTTCAAGATCTAGGAAACTTGCACTCCACAAAAAAGATGCTTTAAGTCACCTTCAAACATCCAAAGCCAGAGGTGAAGCGAGACTACCTGAAACTGCAACAATATCCCTAGTTAATGCAATTTCTGCTAAGAACAAAGATATCTGTCCTTAGGTGGTCTCAAAAATTTGGAGTGAAGCCAGAGGTGAAGTGAGACTTTCTGAAGCTGCAACAATACCTCTACTCTACTTAAAGCAATTTCTGGTAAGAATAAAGATATCTGTCCCTTGATGATCTCAAAACTTTGAAGCTATTGCTTACTGGTGATTAAATACCAAGGTCCTAAAAGAGTGATTAAAGATATTACGTCCCTAATAACCTCAAAATCTACTGCTTAACTTTTATTATTTTTTAATGTAAAATGACCACAATAAACTTTAAAAATTATCAGATGCATGATGATATGGGATTACTATGACATGAGAAGCTGAATGCCCCTGTAGTACCCTCCCCTCCCTTCCTTCTTTCCATGAGGTTGACAGAGGAAGCATGGCATGCATTCTTGAGGGGAGCAAATACCTCCTGCACAGAAGCTTGCAGGAGGAAATGCCCAGCTCCATGGAAGGAGTGAGGAAAGAGGGTTCAGCATAGAGGGAGGCCAAAGCCCGTCACCCCCATCTCTGCAGCCCAAGAGTGAGTCCCACTAGTCCCACCTACCCTGGGCTACCCTATACCCAGCCACAGCCAACCAGGCTTTAAGTCCAGGAGCCTGAGCCCAGGAGCAGGCCACCTCTGGGTTCCCTTGGAAAAGAGAAAGGAGAGGAGAGGGTGAAGCACCTTGGAAAGGAGAAAGGAGAGGAGAAGGTAAAGGAGAGGAGAGGGTAAAGGTACACCTTGGGAAGGCCTAACAGGGAGCTCCATCACTCCAGCCTGAGAGTGTTCCAAGCCATGAGCCACCTTCCTGGGAAACCTCATAAGCCATCTCTACTGTTTCAATGGGACAGGGAGGAAAGGTGGCCACAGAATATTTTTTTCTTTTTCTTTGATAATTAAAAAACATCTACTTTAGGTGGAAAATTCTGTGCACCTGCATTATTCAAGGAGTGTTCTGTCTTTACCCACTCTACCTTCCTTTCTTTTGCCTCCTTTTAGTAAGAGGAAAGAAAAGTAGATTTCTGCGCAGGTAAAGAATTGAGGGACTCAACATAGTCTGATTCACCATACCCGCAGCAATAAGTCTAGGCAGCTAAACTACAACCTGTGCAAGTAATTGACCTAGAAAAGTCAGAACTTGGTCAATAACTGCCAGTGGTCTAATTTTTTGCTCTTGTCTTCTCAAACCCTTCCCAACTTGAGGCAACCAGAAAAACTCAAATATGCTCCACATACCAATCATATAAGAAGCCCCAGGTTCCTCATGCCAACAGCTTCCGATGAGTTCCGAAGCCTTCCTCTTTTAATATAAAGCTTTCCTACTGCCCTGCCTACATTGGAATCTCTGCCAAAGGCAAGTGATGGGCTCTGACTACCTTGCTCCAGCAACTTTGACTAGGTAGCCTGTTTTCATTTGCACTATGTTTATTTCTACAAAACCATTTTCTCTCCCTCACAAACATGAAAGAGGAGGGCAGAGAGGAGAGAAGTGCCCCTGGAGGAAGCCCATCAATTTAATCCATACAGTTTCTCCCAGGTAGGGACTGAATGGCAGGCTTGGCAGCTATGCCAGCTGCCCCCTCCTGTCTCCCAGGAGGATACTGGAAGGCTTTTAAAGATTCCACTCCTTTTTTGCCATGAAAGTGCTTGATACCTGCTTTAATTGAACTCTGCAGAGAGATCACCAGGGCAGTTTACACACCTCCACCTTCCATTGCATGAAGTGCCTTTGGCCCAGCAAGCCCTGCATGCAAAATGGCACATACTCCTTGTACATTTCACACACTGCCGTTTACCTACTGCACCTTCTCCACCTTAGGTTCCATGGTGCTCATGATCTTCATTCTCCATGGAAAGTGTGGTGGACACATTTTGGCCTTGAGAAATTATTTCTCTTTATCATTGCCTTGGCTGCCCACCACATAAGACCATATCTTCACTTGGTCTTTGGTTTCTGGTTATTTCAGGTTGTTTCAAGCAAACCTGAAACTGAGATTCCTCTTTTTAAGTTCTGGGATGCATGTGCAGAATGTGCAGGTTTGTTATATGGATAAACGTGTGCCATAGTGGTTTGCTGCACCTATCAACCTGTCACCTAGTTATTAAGCCCTGCATGCATTAGCTATTTGTCCTGATGCTCTCCCTCCCCTTGCATCCCCTAACAGGCCCCGACGTGTGTTGTTCCCCTCCCTGTGTCCATGTGTTCTCATTGTGAAACCGAGATTTCTGTGTATGCATTTGAATGAGAACTTGCTGAAGAAGTTCCCAATAGCTGGCCCTAGACTGGGGTCACATCATATGGCAAATTCTGCAAGTCATACATCTATTGGAGTATGCCAGTGAGAATGAAGTTTCCTTTGAACACACTCTGAGAAAGTTGGTTCTGTCAGAAACCACCACTACTGCAAAGGCTGTTTGTGAAGCATAGGCCAAAACCCAGGAACATCCTGGGGCCTTGCACTGGAATAGAGAGTTATTCTCCTGGGGTCAGGTCTGAGGCAGGATTATGCTGAACCAAGGCCATCTTAATTGTTGGTTGCTATGGTCTGAGTGTTTGTGTCCTCCCAAAATTTATATGTTAAAACTTATATGTTACAAGCAATGCAATAGTATTAAGAGATAAGGCCTTTGGAAAGTGATTAGATCATGAGAGCTCTGCCTTCATGAATGGGACTCATGCCCTTACAAAAGAGACCTGAGGGAGCTTGTTTGTCCCTTTGCCATTTGAGGACACAATGAGAAGGAGCCATCTATGAAGCAGAGAATGAGCCCTCACCAGACACTGGATTTGCTACAGCCATAGATCTTGGACTTCCCAGTGTCTAGAACTGTGAACAATACATTTCTGTTGTTTATAAATTACCAAGTCTAAGGTATTTGATTATAGTGGCTATAATGCACTAAGGCACTGGTGCAGGCTGAGAGGAACTGGGGACACTATGGTGGAAGCAGAAGCCATGGAGACCCAAACCCCGGCATAGTCAGGCAGTCTTTTCCATGCTGAGTGGATAACTCACCAAGGCTGGCCCTCTCCAAAAGTTGTAAATTTCTGCTTTGATTTGTGTTTGTGGAGAAATTGCTTTGGAGGGTTTTTTTTCTTCCTCTCCAGACCATGGAGGGGCCTGGCAGACCCACTGGCTATACTGTTGGTCTTCGTCCCTGACTCCTGGTCCTCCACAGGCCACTGATTTTCTGCATTGCTACTTTGGGTATTCTGAGAGTGGGAATTAAAGGTGGGAATTGGCAGGCTTTCTGGAACTCAGCTGTATGGGGTTGGCAGAGTTGCTGTGCTGTACTCTATGGGATGGAAAGGTACACTGCTATTGCTCAAATCAACTGAAAACTGGGCTTCAGAATGATGGTGCAGTCCTCCAACTCAGACCTCTTCTAGCTAAGGAACAGATAGGTGGCCATCACTTCATTGTACTCCTGGCCCATGAGTGAGTCCTGGGTCTCTTCCAGTATGTAACCACAGACACTGTCAACTCAGTCCACTGGAGTCCTAATAGTCAGGGAATGGCTCTACATCTGGCTTTAGTTTATTATCTTAATGGTCTACATTCATCCATCAATCTTTAATTATTTTCTCTAATATGACTCTCTTGCTGGGATTTAGAAGGATAAATTTCTTGAGCAGGTTTCCACATTCCATGGATATGTACAAGGGAATATGGTATTGCACTCTCAGTACTTCCTCTCACAGCTCCTTGAATTTCTGTGCATCAAAAGGCAGAGCCCCACTGATCAGTGTATATATGACTCCCAAGTTCTACACATCAACCTCAAGCCCATCATACCTTTGGCCCTGGAAGAATTTAGGGTCCCATGGGGGACTGCCACAGGAGGTATCCATCTTGTTGCCAAAGACAAATTTGCTACTTAAGCCAAAGTCTGAAATTTTGACTTTCACATCAGCATCCAAGAGCAGGTTTTCTGCATTTATGTCTCACTTCTGTTTAGAGTACTCCACATGCCATTATCTAATCTAATAAAATTAACTATCATATTATTTTAGTCTGTGTTCAAATTTCTCAATTTCTTGAGATGTCTTGTTACAATTGACATGCTTGAGTAAAGGTCCAAGCCAGGTATACACATTATTTTTCCAGAACAATATTACCATTCAAATTACATGTTTTACTTTTTATTTTGCATATAGTCTGTCTCCCTCACTAGAATATCAATTCCAGGCAAGCAGGAATTTTTGTCTGTTTTGTTGTTTATTCTATTTTTTGTTTATTATTCTATTTTGTTGTCTATCCTTCAGCACCTAGTACAGTTCCTGACACATAGTAGGCATTCAAGAAATGTGTGTAGAATGAATTAATTTATGAATTAATGAATAGATGAAGTTGACAACCTGGGAGTGATAGCCCTGGAAGTATGCTGTGTCAACATGGTAAAATTTGTTGCTTCCTTACAAGTTCTAAAACACTGGGCAACTTTACTTAGCCTCAATTTTCTCACATGTAAAATGAAATAATAACTCCAACTTTTCAGGTTTGTTCCAAGAATTAAACAAAATATGCATATGGTACCTGCCATAAATTGCATGGGTCTGTGCTTTGTGTCTTCAATAGTTGTCAGATTTTGTTGTCAATTTTATATTAATTTTATGAAAATAGTTTTTCAATTTTGAAGCTTTTCTTTTTTTGTACTCTGGACTATCTAAGCAGCTCTAGGATAATCTGATCTTTAAAGACTTCATAGAATTCCCCTCTGAAACTATTGGGACATGGTAGTTTTAATTTTGATTTATTTATTTTTATTTGAGGGGGAGTTACTTTATGATATTTTCTATTTCTTTTATGGAGATTGCTCTATTTATTATCTCTACCAATTTCCTAAGGAATTATCAATTTTATCTAGTTGGTTACATGTATTTACATGGAGTTGTTCAAAAGAGTTCCTTATGATATTTTAAATTTCTTTGATATGTCAGTTATGCTTTTTTACAGTGTTATTTTATCTAGCTTAAATGTTCTTTCCAATATTTGCACTACTGTCTACTTCTCACCATTTAGCCGAATGGTTCCTCCTCAAAGTTATCTTTACTGATCAATCTAAAGTGGCTTCCTTCCTTTTGTCCCTATTCTGTATTATTTCCTGCTAGCAATCATTATTTATGAAACTGACCCACAGATTTGTCTGTCTTATTCATCACTACGGACGCAGTGCCTACAGGACATGGCCTTATTAATGAGTATTTCTGAAATGAATGAATGCATGCATGCATCTTTTAGGTATCCAGAGCCAGGCGATAGGCTGTGGGGTTGGGGAGGATTGTTATATTTCTGTTGCAATTTTTAACACCATTCTTCAGGGAAGTGTTATATCACTCCTTAGTCTGCCATAGAAGAAGGAAATCTTTTGTACAGGTCTTAGTGGAACTTTGTAGTTAAAGTTCTGCTTTCTAAACTCAAAGGTGTTCATATTACATATTTAGAGAAGCATGAATGAGCTTAGTCTCAGAATGTGTAAGAACCTAAAACAAAGCTACCATTTGACTCATTAATCCCATTACTGGGTGTATACCCAAAGGAAAATAAATCACTCTGTCGAAAGGACACATGCACTTGTATGTTTATCACAGCACTATTCATAATAGCAAAGACATGGAATCAACCTAGGTGCCCCCAAATGGTTGATTGGATAAGAAAATTTGCTACATATACACCATGGAATACTATGCAGCATAAAAAAGAACAAAATCATGTCCTTTGCAGCAGCATGGGTGCAGCTGGAAGCCATTATCCTAAGTGAATTGCTCAGGAACAGAAAACCAAATACTGCATGTTCTCACTTATAAGTGAGAGCTAAACAATGAGTATAAATCAACATAAAGATGAGAATAATGGACATTGCAGACTACTAGACAGGGGTGAGAGGGAAAGGAGAATTGGTTGAAAAACTACCTATTTGGTAATATACTCACTTGCTGGGTGACAGGATCTGTACCCCAAACCTCACCATCATGCAATATACCCATGTATCAAACATGTACATATACCCCCTAAATCTAAAATAAAATTTGAAATGATTAAATAATGAATTAACTAATTTTACAAAAGAACATGGCTAGAGTAGTAAACCATGTTCTATAAGAACAGTAAGAGTGCTAAAGCACGATCACTTGAAGAGTGTAAGAACAATGTGTATCTGAATACGTATCAGATCCAGGAAACTCAGTAAATCTCAACTGAGTACATACAAAGAACACCATACCTAGGCATATTGATGAAAGCCATGCTAAAAAAAAAAAAAAAAAAAAAAAAAAAAAAAAAAATTCACGGGGCGGAAAAATAGAAAAATAAAAGGCTGTCTAAGAACAATGGAACATGTTCAAAATGCAGTAAAAAGAAAATCACCATCATAGAATTTTATAGCTAGTTAAAATAACTTTCAAAAATGGAAGCAAAATATAGATAATTCTAGATTGACAAAACAAAACAGGAGTTTTTGAAAGCTGGTCCTGGTCCATATGCAAAAAATTACAATTGAAAATTGAAAGGCTTTTGGTCTAAAAGAAAATAACACCAAATGGAAATTCTTATTTATTGGAAGAAATAGAAATAACTAGAAAAGTAAATACATTAGTAAATATAATTTTTTTCTTCTTCTGAATTATTTAAAAGTGAACAGATTCTTGATTTAGTTTTGATCAAGATGAATTATTCACATTGTACCTTTGTTCTCCCATGGATTGCAGCTAAGAAACTGAGAGAATAAACAGCAAATAATACAATTGTAGACATAAATACAAACCTAAATAATTATATTGATGTACCTCAAATAAGTGGCCTAAGCATACCAATTGAAAAACAAAAATTGTCAGAATAATTTAAGAAATCAACTACATGCTATCAACAACAAAATACAAAATATAGTAATATGGGTACCTTAAAAATAAAAAGAAAGATGGAAAAGATATACCATGAAAACACAGAACAAAGGAAAACTAGTGTTGGATTGGTTTCTAGCAGGGCATAATAAATTATCTTAAATTTAGTGGATTAAAACAAAACAAATTTATTATATCACAATGTCTGTAGGTCAGTAGTCCAGGTATAGTTTAGCTAAATCTTATGCTCAGGGACTCAATAATCTGAAATAAAGGTGCCTACCAGGATTGCAATCTCAGGTGAAGCTTGGGTTTCCCTTCCATGCTCACTGGTTTTGGCATAATTCAGCTCCTTGTGGTGGTAGGACTGAGGCTCTCAACATCTGAAGGCTACTCGCCATTTCCTGACACATGGTCTTCTCAACAAAATGGCCATTTGCCTTATTGAGGCTATTAGTGGACAATCTGCTGCTAATTCCTTTCTCTGTTTTTAAGGGTTTGCCTGATTTGTTCAGATAATCACACTTTTGATTAACTAACTAAAAATCAACTCTTTGAGGACCTTAGTTACATCTGCAAAACCTCTAAACTTTTGTCATAGAACATAATATAGTTTCATGATATTTGCTGCTCAGCCTCAAGGGAGGACATGATACAAGTGTGTGAGTCATTGAGAGTCAACCACAGATGGAATGACCATATAAACATCAAAGAAAACTTAAGAGCAAGAAAGACTTTAAGAATGAATAGGAACATCACACAGTGATAAAGGATCAATTTGCCAAAAAGACACGCCAATCCTAAATGTACGTGCACCCAAGAACAAAATACATGAAACATAAACTAATAGAACTGTAACGATCCACAGTTTTCTTTGGATGGTTCCACATTTTGCTTGGTAACAGAAATTCATTAAATTAGTATCATAATCAGATGTTTCAATATGATTATTTTATTCTTTAGAGCACAAAGATTGCTTTTTATTAATATCAAATCTAACCAATTAGGACACTGATATATAAATTTTAGTATCCTAATGTGTGTATATATATCTATATATATACACACAAAAACACATACATACACATAAATGTATATATACACATATACATATGTACACACATATGTATACATACACATATTCTTATCTATAATTATAAATAGACAAAAATATATATAACTAGATAAAAATATATAAATATTATATATTTATATATTATATACTAAATTATAAGAAAATGTTATATATTAACAAATATATAAGTATATATCTGATATATAGTATATATTACAACATATATTCATTATATATACATTATTATATATTACGTATATATTATTATATATTATGTGTGTATATATATTATAATATAACCATGATATTTGGGCTGTGGGTCAAGTCTGTCTCTTTGGTTATGTATAAAATTTATATATACTCTCAGCCTATAAAGATTAAGTAATCAAAAAGATACAACTATGAGGCTGTATTATTACATATATTTTATAAGTTCTTATATATTAATATATAATTAAATAATATATATTAGTATCCTAATTGGTGGGATTCTTTATAAATTGCCCTGAAGGGTTATAATCTATATAATATGTACATATATTTGTCCCAATGAAATATATCTAAATGTATCTAAGATTGGTGTGTGTGTATACATACAAAAGATTAGAGAAAGCAAATTGTTCAAATTTTCTATATTTCTCTTTCTATTATTTTATTCCCCCTATAACAAAACATAATTTCACCGGGATCAAAATATTAACTAAAGTTGTTTCTTATTTATGTATCAAGTACAATGGCCAATTGGTAACTCTTTGCAATAACTGTGTTCCTTCTATTCCCTTTTACATCCCTGTTTCTCTTAACTCACTGTTCTTTCTATGTGAAGCTAGACTCTAAGAGTGACAGCAGGTTAAAAATAACAAAGTCTCAGGATACAAAATCAATGTACAAAAATCACAAGCATTCTTATACACCAATAACAGACAAACAGAGAGCCAAATCATGAGTGAACTCCCATTCACAATTGCTTCAAAGAGAATAAAATACCTAGGAATCCAACTTACAAGGGACGTGAAGGACTCCTTCAAGGAGAACTACAAACCACTGCTCAATGAAATAAAAGAGGATGCAAACAAGTGGAAGAACATTCCATGCTCATGGGTAGGAAGAATCAATATCGTGAAAATGGCCATACTGCCCAAGGTAATTTATAGATTCAATGCCTTCCCCATCAAGCTACCAATGACTTTCTTCACAGAACTGGAAAAAACTACTTTAAAGTTCATATGGAACCAAAAAAGAGCCTGCATTGCCAAGTCAATCCTAAGCCAAAAGAACAAAGCTGGAGGCATCAAGCTACCTGACTTCAAACTATATTACAAGGCTACAGTAACCAAAACAGCATGGTACTCGTACCAAAACAGATATAGACCAAGGGAACAGAACAGAGCCCTCAGAAATAATGCCGCATATCTACAACCATCTGATCTTTGACAAACCTGACAAAAACAAGCAATGGGGAAAGGATTCCCTATTTAATAAATGGTGCTGGGAAAACTGGCTAGTCATATGTAGAAAGCTGAAACTGGATCCCTTCCTTACACCTTATACAAAAATTAATTCAAGATAGATTAAAGACTTACATGTTAGACCTAAAACCATAAAAACCCTAGAAGAAAACCTAGGCAATACCATTCAGGACATAGGCATGGGCAAGGACTTCATGTCTAAAACACCAAAAGCAATGGCAACAAAAGCCAAAATTGACAAATGGGATCTAATTAAACTAAAGAGCTTCTGCACGGCAAAAGAAAGTACCATCAGAGTGAACATGCAACCTACAAAATGGGAGAAAATTTTTGCAACCTACTCATCTGACAAAGGGCTAATATCCAGAATCTACAATGAACTCAAACAAATTTACAAGAAAAAAACAAACAACCCCATCAACAAGTGGGCAAAGTATATGAACAGACACTTCTCAGAAGAAGACATTTGTGCAGCCAAAAAACACATGAAAAAATGCTCATCATCACTGGCCATCAGAGAAATGCAAATCAAAACCACAATGAGATACCATCTCACACCAGTTAGAATGGCAATCATTAAAAAGTCAGGAAACAACAGGTGCTGGAGAGGATGTGGAGAAATAGGAACACTTTTACACTGTTGGTGGGACTGAAAACTAGTTCAACCATCGTGGAAGTCAGTGTGGCGATTCCACAGGGATCTAGAACTAGAAATACCATTTGACCCAGCCATCCCATTACTGGATATATACCCAAAGGATTATAAATCATGCTCCTATAAAGACACATGCACACGTATGTTTATTGCGGCACTACTCACAATAGCAAAGACTTGGAACCAACCCAAATGTCCAACAACGATAGACTGGATTAAGAAAATGTGGCACATATACACCATGGAATACTATGCAGCCATAAAAAATGATGAGTTCATGTCCTTTGTAGGGACATGGATGAAACTGGAAACTATCATTCTCAGCAAACTATCACAGGGACAAAAAACCAAACACCGCATGTTCTCACTCGTAGGTGGGAATTGAACAATGAGAACACATGGACACAGGAAGGGGAACATCACACACCAGGGCCTGTTGTGGGGTGGGGGTAGCTGGGAGGGATAGCATTAGGAGATATACCTAATGCTAAATGATGAGTTAATGGGTGCAGCACACCAACATGGCACATGTATACATATGTAACAAACCTGCACACTGTGCACAGGTACCCTAAAACTTAAAGTATAATAATAATAAAATTTTAAAAAAATAACGCACAGAGAAAATAGCTCTAAAGCAATGTACATATTTAATGTTGAAACCTCTGCCTCCTTGATTTCTTTTTCTTTGAATTAATTTGTCATCACTCTTCTATAATTTCTTTGAGAAGAACCTTACCAATACCATCATCATCCTCATTATTATCACCATTATTTCTAATCCTTCTTAAGGTTTTATTAAATACCATGCAATGTTCTAATGCTCGACCTGCGTTGTCTAATTTAATCCTCACAAAAAAATTCCCAAGTGACAGAGAACACTGAATTCTGACTCAGTTTTCTGGAAGGGATCAAATTTGGTGATTTTATACTGAATGGATGACTTTAATTTCCAATTATTTTAGAAACTATAGTTTCTATGACAGTGTAATTAGGGGTCCATGTTTACAAATCATTCTTAAGAAAACATCAAACTCCCTGGCAAGATTTATATTTTTGAATATGTATTCTCACCACAGAAATCTCTTTGTTTCATTTTCAAGAGAAGTAAGTTGAAAATAGAATATTTAGCCTTTTCTTCTATTATTTCTTTTGGTTTGGGAAAAGCTCCTAAGGTCAATTGATACACAAAGGAAGATCTGTAATCCCTGAGAGGCACCATTGACATGGTGCCATAGAGATGTGCCTGCAGAATCAGCAAACATCTAGGCATGGAATAAACACCAGAAAAACCATACCAGAGTTAAGAAGTACTACTCACTTATCAGTTGCTGTTGAGTCTTTGGTGGAAAAATCACTGAATTAAAGTTATTAGGCTGCTGTTGGTATTCCAGCTCAGTCACTTAGTTTTATCCTATGTGTACTTGAGCAAGGCAGTTTTCTTCTCTTGTTCTTAACTTTTTTCTCCATGAGAAGAGGTCCTCAATTGGAAGGGAATCTGATATAGCAGTAAGGGGACAAATTTTGAAGTCAAACAAAATTAGTATTGAATATAAACTCTGATACTTACAGGTGTGTTTTTGATAAGTTATATAATCCCTTTAAACCTCAGCCTATGCCATGGGGATTTATAGAAATGGAGTATTTCAAAATATATATTATATTTTGTGTATTTTATATAAAAAATAGAAACTCACTTTTTTGGTTAGTTTTGAGGAATAAATTAGAATATAGCAAAATGCTAAACATATGGTAGGTATCCAATAAATGTATCTGACATCCTCTCTGGCATAAACATTCAATTCTTCTTTCACTTCTATTCCAAGGGCAAAATGATGATCATCCTGCTAGAATATGTATATGTTGGTAGCAAATAGTATCAGAATAAATGAATGTACTTCCTAGATCTCAAGAGAAAAGATCTCCCCAAAGGACATCATACCGAGAAAAAAGGAGTTGCAGCTTCACACCTGTACCTTTTTGATTACTTAATCTTTATAGATTGATATTTTATATAAATTTTACAGATAACCAAAGAGACAGACTTTACTCACATAGGCCAAATATCATGGCATGAATATCTTAGCAAAAGCTGAAGGACATAAATTCCTGCTTTTTCCCAAGTTGTCTTCTGGTTGTTTGATGTCAATTTAATGACAACTTTCTCTTTTCCCAAACCTGTGAAGTAAATGAATAAATTTGGCTTAATTGCCAACATCAGATTTTCCAGCGTTCTAAAATCCAGCAGAAGTGGCCTTACTACTTCTTACCTCATTCTTTTTTTTATAAGTCAACTGTAATGACTTAAAATTTACATAAAATACACAGATATTAAGTGCACACTTTAATCGGTTTTGACTAATGTATACATCTAAATAAACACCACACAAATCAACATAAAGAATATCACTGTCACTGAAGTTGCCTCATACTTTTTCTCAGTCCATTCTCCCACCACTACTTCAAGCAACCACTGTCTAATATGTTTCTATAGTTTTGTTTGCTTACACTAAAACTTCAATTGAATGGAATAACACAGAATGTACTCTTGTTTTGGCTTCTTTTCCTCAAAATCTTTTTGAAATTCATCTTGTCAGCATCTTTAGTTCATTCCTTTATAATTCCAAATAGCATACAATTGCATGAATATACCACTATTTCTTTAGCTTTTTCTATAATTTAGCTTTTTCTATAATTTACTTACTCTTTGTTTTGTGTGCATGTGCATCTTAAGTTGAGATATATTTAAGACAACATAATTAACTATTCTGAAGTTTACAAGCCAATGGATTTTAGCATGTCCTCAGGTTGTGCAACCATCACCACTGTCTAATTCCAGAACTTTCTTGTTTTACATAAACCCTGTGACTATTAGCATTCATTCCCCATTCCTCTTTTCCCTCAGCCCCTAAAAGCACTAACTTATTTTCTGTTCCTATGTATTTGTCTATTTGTGTTATTTCATATAACTGGGATTATATAATGTGTGGCCTTTTACGCCTGGCTTCCTTCACTTAGCACAGCAATTTCAAAGTCCTTTCATGTCATAGCCTGTGTCAGTGTGTTATTCCTTTTTATAGATAAATATTTCATTGAAGGCCGTTATATGATAGTTTATCTGTTCATCAGTTGATGGATAATTGGGTTATTTCCACTTTTTGGCTATTGTGAATAAGCTGCTATGAATATTTATGTACAGGTTTTTGCATGAAATGTTTTTAACTATCTTGTGTATGTGTGTGTGTGTATATATATATATATGTATACTTACATAAGTAGTTGTAGGGTACTCTATTTCTTCATGTGGATTTGGATTACAGCTTATGGTTTGGATTACAGGATTTCTTCATATGGATTAGAATTTGACCTTTCATTCAAGACTGAATTACTTTTCTTTAGTAATTTTTGTAGGGCATGTCTGTTAGTGACAAATTCTCTCAACTGGTGTTTATCAGGTAATGTCTTAATTTCTTCTTCATTTTCTTTTCAGTCATCCCACTGCCTTCTGGCATCCATGGTCTCAGATGAGGAATTTGCTGCTAATATTATTGAGGATCCCTTGTATATCATGGGACACATTTTTCTTGTTGCTTTCAATTTTCTGTCTTTGGTTTCTGATAAATTAAATATACGTGTCTAGGTGTAGGTATTTTTGAGTTTATCTTATTTGAAATTCATTGAGCTTCTTAGGTGTTTACATGAATGTACTTCATAAAATGTTGGAAGCTTTTGACCATTATTCCTTCAAGTATTATTCTGTTTCAGCCTTCTTTTTTTCCAGGGACTTCCATCATGTGTATGCCAGTATGATAAGCATGCTGCACAGGAATCTGAAGCTCTGTTGAAGTCTCTGCATTCTTTTTCATTTTTGTTCCATATTAGATCATCTTAATTTGTCTATATTCAGGTTTGCTTATACTTTCTTCTGTCTCATCACATCTACTGTTGAGCCCCTCTAGCACTGAAATTGTATTTTTCAACTGCAAACTTTCCATTTTATTTGTTGAAATAATTTCTAACTTCTTGGTGTTATTTTCTATTTGGTGAGACATTGTTCTCATGCACTTTTTTAGTTATTTTACATTTTAAGGGGAGCCCCTCCACAGGCCAAAGCAATTCTGGTTTGGATAGGTGGACAATGTTGAGGCACAACCAAAAAAAATAAAAAGATATCATGGAGAAAACATGATACCTGAAAACATATGCATTATAGTTAATAAAGCATTAATGTTGGTTCATTAGTTATGACAAACATACCATAGTAATGCAAGATGATAATAACAAGGAAACTGGGTGTGCATCATACTCCGTATTTTTCATGTAAGTTCTCTGTAAATCTAAAACTATTCCAAAATAATATTCTTTAAATATATGAAAGAGACAGAGAGAAAGAGAATCAGGTGAGGAGTCAGAATGCTTATTCATGACCTCAATCAAGATAATCATCCTCTTTGGTTCTCAGTTTTCTCACTGGTAAAATTAGGGGGAGACATTATAGACATCAACATTTCTTCTGGCTATGAAGTGCTAGGAATCTTTAAATACATGCATTTTCAAAAATTCAGATACACATAATTTGAATATGGGTCATGGGCTGCTCATTTGATCAACATATGCAACAGAAAAGGCACTTTTAAGGGAGAAGGAAGCATAGTGGGCAACTTAATCATTCCTCACTTGGAGGTTTCTCTTTACACTGACTCTGGCTGCTGTGGTGCCATATTCATTCTCCTGTGAGCTTGCAACTAATTAAAATATGATATTATGTGGAATAACAACAAAAACATAACTAAAATATACTGAGCCCTTAATCAGTGCCAGACATTGTTCTACGTACTTAGTGTGTATTTTATTTCTAATCCTCACAACAAGCCTATTAGGATAGAGCTATTATTTCCATATTGCTGATGAAGAAATTTGACGTTATAGTTTTTATGGAACATACCTAAGGCCACCTAGGTTAAAGATACTAGATTCTAGGATAATCTGACTAATAGACAATAGAATGGATTACTAAGCAAAGCACTAAAACAATATTTTTAAAAATAAGATTAATATTAGACTACAGGGGTAAATTAAATTTTGTGTTCTTCAGGAAACTGGGAGAATACAAAATTAAGTAACTCAAGGCCCTTTCTAACTACATTTTATTCTTTTTTATCATAAAAGTGTTCACCAAAGCACTTCCCAAGAATTAATTGAGTATCAGTATTTGCAAGGCTTTGTTCTCAGATCTGTATAAAGAATAGTGATTAGTTGCACCTCAGGGACAAGTGGATCCAGATAAAAAGAAATATGACTGCTGAGGGAAGTGGTGAGGAAAATGCAATTCTGTACAGACTGTATGTTGTTGCATTGTGTTGAACACAGTATTTTGTACTCTGGACATTTCAGAAGAAATAAGTTTAGGAAAAAAATTTTCTTTTTTTTATTATTATTATACTTTAAGTTTTAGGGTACATGTGCACAACGTGCAGGTTAGTTACATATGTATACATGTGCCATGTTGGTGTGCTGCACCCATTAACTCCTCATTTAGCATTAGGTATATCTCCTAATGCTATCCCTCCCCCCTACCCCCACCCCACAACAGTCCCCAGTGTGTGATGTTCCCCTTCCTGTGTCCATGTGTTCACATTGTTCAATTCCCACCTATGAGTGAGAACATGCGCTGTTTGGTTTTTTGTCCTTGCGATAGTTTGCTGAGAATGATGGTTTCCAGCTTCATCCATGTCCCTACAAAGGACATGCACTCATCATTTTTTATGGCTGCATAGTATTCCATGGTGTATATGTGCCACATTTTCTTAATCCAGTCTATCATTGTCAGACATTTGGGTTGGTTCCAAGTCTTTGCTATTGTGAGTAGTGCTGCAATAAACATATGTGTGCATGTGTCTTTATAGCAGCATGATTTATAATACTTTGGGTATATACACAGTAATGGGATGGCTGGGTCAAATGGTATTTCTAGTTTAAAATTAAGTTTTGGCCAGTTGTGGTGGCTCACGCCTGTAATCCCCGCACTTTGGGAGGCCGAGGCGGGTGGACCACGAGGTCAGGAGATCGAAACCATCCTGGCTAACACGGTGAAACCCTGTCTGTACTAAAAATACAAAAAATTAGCTGGGTGTGGTGGTGGGCACCTGTAGTCCCAGCTACTTGGGAGGCTGAGGCAGGAGAAGGGCGTGAACCCGGGAGGTGGAGCTTGCAGTGAGCAGAGACCGTGCCACTGCAGTCCAGCCTGGGTGACAGAGCGAGACTCCGTCTCAAAAAACAAAAAACAAAAAAAAAGAAAAAAAATTAAGTTATATTCAGATCAGCATATCTAAATGTTGTACCACAATAAGGATAATTCTCCTCAAAATCTCAGAAAAACACATATCTGTATCTATTCCTTCATCTCTTACTTTCTTCAATATATATTTATGGAACACATAGCAGGTGTCAAATTTGGTGTGGACACATAAAACTAGGCACAATTCCTGTCATCAAGGTGAACAAAACTGCTCCCACTGCTTTGGGTGAACTACTTATTCAATAAATAAATATAAACTGAAAATTATATTCTGGCAGTCAAAGGCAGCACTATGGTGTTAAATAAAAATCAGATAGCTGCTTTTTGTGACAACAAAAAATGCTAAAAGCTATGAGGAAGCATTTTCGTGTTTTACACCTGAGAGTGCCATGAGTAGGTTTGCAATTCAAGAAAATCATGCTGAAAGAAACATGAAGGAAGGATTTTTTTTTAGGAGATCATTAAGGGAAGGGGCAAGGCTGGAATAGGTCAATAGTAATGCCACTACAATCCTTATTATTTTACTTACTCGTTTTAAATCGTCAATGATTCATATTCAAACACCAGATAGGAAATGAGGTTATCAATATTGCCATGCAAGAAGTGTTAGTACTTTACAATGGAATATCTGTAATGTGGTTGCACTAAAGTTTCCTATCTGAGCTTGCTTGTTTGACTTTGCAGTTGCAACAAAGAAGATAAGCTGTGGAAGCTAGGATTTCAGAAAATTTAGATTTAAGGACAAGTGCCAATCAAGGATAAAGCTGAAACTGCAGAGAGCCCGGCATTCAGATTTCCATTCTGCTGTACGTACTGAACTATCTTATTTCTCTTGCAAGCCAAAGATAAGTTTATAAACTTCCAGAATTAAAACTTTATTTAAAAGGTATAAAGGGAAATCTAGAAACATGCCAAAATAATGTCTCCAGCTTGCCTTTCAGTTCCAGTGAGTTCCTAAGCAGCCATTTTACTTGCTCTACATAGCTAAATAGCAGCTGATGCTAACAGGAAGCAAAAGCCTGGAAGTTGTGATGCAGAGATGGAAACTTTTTTCTCTCCAGCCTTTATGCAAGCCTGTAAATCAGTACAGCAGAGTCCTGGGAAAGGAAAATCTCAGAAGTTGCTTAGGTCCCAGATAGGGTAGGAAGAGAAGAAAGAAATTAGCAACACCTAGTACTAGTATCCCCCATTTTCTTGGCCTTCAAATAATTTAGAAAGAGCTTTGCAGGTTGGCAGGAGTTATCCCCACTTTTGACATGCATAGATTACAAACAGAGTAAACAGAAGGCTGGTGACTTATTAGCCTGTACAAATGGCAGACCACCCAATCTTTAACCATTTACAGAACTATCTCCTCTTTCTATACTGAATGGACAAAGACTAATTTCATAATTCCTAAAGTGGATAAACAGAAAAAGAAAGAAGATGAGAGAAGTTAAAAGAATTAGCTAATAAAATAGAGGTTTTTAGAAGAGAAAGACAACAATTTTAACAAAAAGTTAGGATACGAGTATACAAAAATAAAAAAAAATAAACTTTTGAACAACCCATGGATTAAACAGAATATTAAAACAAATTATGGATTATGAAATAAGAAAAAGAATAATATTTCCCACCAAAATCTATGAAATACAGCAAAAGATACCTTCAAAATAAATTGTATAGCTTTAAATTTATTCATAAATAAATAAAAAATGAAAAAGTTATTACTCATTTTACAAGGTAAGAAAAAATAAAATATTAGAAAGAGAAAATATACAAAGATTTAAAAAATGTGTAAAATATAAAAACCTAAACTAGCCTAAAGGATAAATAAATTCAAAATTTAGCATTTTTCAAAGACTGAGAAAACAGATAAACCTGTTGTGAACATGATTAAGGAAATAAGAGAATGGCTATGTACACTATGTCTATTTAAAAGAAAAAAAAAACAGGAATGATGTGGGGTACAGAGAACGATGAATGTTAGATACAATTTAAATATTTTTTTCTTAGTGCTTAGAGTAATTAATTGAACTGCCATTCCTGAAATTTGAATGACTAAAGCGTTGGAGGAAATGATTAGGGGTATGTTCTGAACCTGTTCATTATATATTCAAATGGTACTCTTGAGTAAGCATTTAGATACATAAATTGTGTGTTCACAATATTCTAGATTTCAGGATAAAAGGCCTGGTCAGAAAGATAAATTTGGTAACATATTTAATATAAATCATAAGCATTTGCATCAAAGGATTTGGTGAGATTACCAAAAGAATTAGTTAATTTGTAGTATATTTTGATTTCTGGGGCACTCCTATATTGAGGTAAAGAGAATGGGAAAGAACCAAAAACAATGGAGAAGGACTGGCCGCTTAGGTATGAAGACCAACAAGTGACAGAAGATTTTTTGGAAGCCAAATATAGCAAGTAAGATAGAAATTGAAAAATGACCATGTGACCAAGATTAAATCACTCACTGGTCAATTTTAAGTTCTCATCTTACTTCACCCACCACTTGACCCTCAACACAATTTGACTCAAAGAGATGATTTCTTCTTTCTTGAAACACTATCTGTATTTGGCTTTCAAGACACTTCTGTCTCCTGATTATTGAGTTGTAAATTTAACAAGTAAATTTAAATTTAACAGAAATCCATGTTGTTAATGACAGTGTGGAGGTTGGGGTTTGGGCGGGGTTACCCAGAGAATGTGAGATTTTAGATTCTCCCCCCAAAAAAGGATTTAGCTTACTCCAAGAACACGTCTATGCACCCCATAAGTAACTGTTGTTGGAGAGATAGAAGCTGGAAGAACAGTTGGCTTCCTCATAAAAATAATATATTAAGTATTGACCAAGTAGACCTTTTATTCAAAGAAAAGTGTAATTTAATTACAGGAAATACAGCAATGCAATCTAATTTTATTAATTAAGTGTATAGAGATAATATTATTAGATGATAGTAAGACATTTGTCAAATTCAGCAGTTATAAATAATAAGTTAGAATATGAAGAAATCTACTTAAAATGATAATGACTCTTTACAAAATACAATACCAAACATAACAAAATACAATACCAAACATAATTTGAAATGGAAACCAACAGAATCATACCAATAACAATCAGAAAATATACAAGGATTCTCATTATATTGTCACTCAATGCTGCCTTCTATATGCTATTGGATGAAATAGGCCTGACAATAAAATAATTAGCATAAACATGGGAAAAGGAAAAGGAAAACCATCTTGTTTAGAATGACTTCACCGTGACTTAAAAGCACTCAAATGCTATTTATTAAAAGCACTCAAATGCTATTTAAAAATATAGACTATATAAAAATTTTTTAAATGACTATATTTAAGATCTATGTACAAAAATCAATAGCTTTTCTCTATATTTAAGTACAATAAATAAAAATTAAAAATATTATTTATAACAGAAGCAAAACTAAAAATTTTAAACATTAACTATAAAAATATAGTTAATATTAACTATAAAAATATGGTTAATATTAACTATAAAAATATGGTTAATATTAACTATAAAAATATTAACTATAGTTAATGTTTATAAAAGCATGTTTTTATATAGTATATATAAACATATATAAACACTATTATAAACATAATATATAAATTATATAAACATTATAATGTTTATAAAAACATTAACTATAGTTTATAAAAACATTAACTGTAAGTATATAAGACTGGAAGAGCATTACTTATGGCATGAAAGCACAAGGAGCTTTGCTAACTCATTCCCCAGTAAAACTGGTGAAAGTAGGAAAAAAACAAAACAAAACAAAACTAAAGCTCCTGGAAATGGTCCCAAGGTCAAATAACAAATAAATATGCATTCAAGAGAGTCTACAAAAATTTAGAACAGACTACATTAGTAAAAATAATGTGAATTAGTTTAAACTTGAACATACTCTCAAAAACAGTAGAGTCTGTGGTGAAAGTCAATTGGGAGGATACTGTCAATCTAATAAAAAATACATAAAAGACCGCAGGCTGGCTAGTTTGAAGGAGAGAACTGAAGAATAGAAGAGCTGGGAGAAGCCTTCCCAGAGTCAGAACAAATATAAAATACTTAACTCAGAAATTGTTCCATGAAAGAAGCCGCAATTTAGTTGGATTAGTTAGTATATAAGTTCATATCCTAGGACAACGTTGAAAACAATAAAGCAAACTGACTTAGAAATTTGTGAGATTTAACAGCTGGGTGTGATCAGGGAAAGAATGGGAGAGAGCCCTATCAGTACTATTGTCATTCCAATGAGATTGTTAGCATACACAAAATTGAGCCTCCTTGAGGAACAGTATCAGAGTCTTAACACTGTAGAGAGGAAATAGACTTCAAAAAAATAATCTAGCCTGTCATAAAACATAATCATGCAAATAGAATTAACAAGCTCTGGGGGAAGGGGACTAATATTCAGAATTGCTGTAACATGTTATCCCAAATGTTCAGTTTCTAACAACATTTATGAGGCATGCAAAGAAATGGGAAAGTATAACATACACAGAATGATAGCAGGTAACAGAAATCACCAGATGTCTGTCAGATGTTGGATTTAACCACAACAAAAAAAAAGGACTTCAAAGTAGCTATTATAAATATGTTAACAGAATTGAAAAAAATTCACAATTAAAGAAGTAAAGGATGGTGTAATAATGATAATGTCAAAAAATAAAAAATAACAAAGATGAAGATTATAAGAGAGAACTACATGAAAATTTTGGAGTTGAAAAGTACAATAACTGAAATCAAAATTCAATAGCAGGGCTCAGCATTAGATTTGAACTGGTAGATTAAAAAAAGTGAACTTGAATATGGATCAATAGTAACTGTGTAAGCTGAAGAACAGTGGGGAAAAAAGAATAAAGACAAATGTACACAGCATCAGAGAATTGTGGGACACCATTAACCACACCAACATACAAGTAATGGAATTATCAGAAGAGGGGAGAGAAAAAGAAAAAGAAAATTTTTCTAAGAAATATGAATGAAAGTTCCCTAAACTTTAAAAAGCCAATAACCTATACATCCTGGAAACTCAGTGAACTCTAAGTAGGACGGATATAGAAGACCCATAACCAGACACATCATAGAAAAATTTATAAAAGTCAAAGAAAAGAAAAATCTTAAAGCTGGTGAGGAAAATAATGTGTCATTTGTAAGTGTCTCAAAAAGATTAACAGCTGACTTCTCAGAAG
The DNA here is from genome assembly GCF_000001405.40 of Homo sapiens. Taxonomy (NCBI): domain Eukaryota; kingdom Metazoa; phylum Chordata; class Mammalia; order Primates; family Hominidae; genus Homo; species Homo sapiens. The sequence continues at coordinate 29,373,927 of NC_000011.10, read as the reverse complement.
AAACAATGGCTATCAGAAGGCAGTAGAGTAACATATTCAAAGTCTTAGAGAAAATGTCAGTTAGAAATATTATATCCAGCAAAGCTATCATTCAGAGATGAAAGCAAAATACTTTCCCAGATGAACAGAAGCTGAGTGAATGTATTGTTAGCAGACTTGCTTTAAAAGAAAGACTAAAAGAAGTTTTTAAGGATGAAAGCAAGTGACCCCAGACAGTAATTTAAATCCTTAGAAACAAGAGCACCTGTAAAGGTAACAATGAAGTTATAAAAGGCACATTTTTCTTTTTTTCTCTTAGTTTACTTAAAGGCAATTGTTTAAAATGGTATTTATATAATATAGGGTTTGTAACATATAGATACGTAATATATTTGCCAACAGAGGTGAGTTGGAGAAAAAGTGTAATGGACTAAGAAAATGGTAGGATATGGCAAAGTAATAATTATAAAAATCTATTGTTAAGTTGTAACATTGATTAGATATATAGAGCCATAATAACACAAAAGTGGGAGAGGGAACAGATCAATGTAAGGAATAATATATCTTGTTTTAATTGAGCTATTATAAATATGAATCTCATTCTCACAAATTAAGAAATACATATTAAATTCTAGAGCATAAAACTAAAAATGCTACATTGTAAAACATTCACTCAATTAAAAGAAAAGTAGTAAAGGAGAAATGGAACAATAAGAAAGACATAAGACCTACAGAAAACAAAAGTAAAATGATAGATATATATCAAAATATATCAATAATTTTAAATGTGAATGAATTAAATAATCCCATCATAAGGTAGAGATTGTGAGAATGAATTAAACAAGTATGACCCAACTATATGTTGTCTGCAGGAAATACTCTCCTATGTGTCAGAAACACAAATAAATAAGTAAAAGAAAAAATAAAGTAAGGGAAAGTTTTTGAATTGTATTTATATACACATTAAATGATTTAAAAATAAAATTAAGAAAATTCTGTTTACAATAGCATCAAAAAAATAAAATTCTTAGGAATAAATTTAAGAAAAGAAGAACAAAGTTTATATTCTGAAAACTAAATTTATATTCTGAAAACTAAAAAATTGTGTTGAAAGATATTGAGGAAAATCTAAATAAATGGGAAAACAATCCGCATCCATGGACTGGAAGAATAAACAATGTTAAAATAACAATATTGCCCAACTGACCTATAGATTTAAGACAATCTTCATCAGAAAAACGATGTTGACTAGTTGACTTCTTTGTAGAAGTTGTCATGTTGACTAGAAAATTTATATACAATTTTAAGGGATCCACAATAGCTTAAACAATCTTGAAAGAGAATAACAAAGTTGGAGAAGCTACACTTCTCAATTTCAAAACTTACTGCAAAGTATCAACAATCAAAACAAGATGCATAGTAGAAGGATAGATGAATACAATAGAATTGAGAGTGCAGACACCCAGATTCATAAAGCAAGTCCTTAGAGACCTACAAAGAGACTTAGACTCCCACACAATAATAATGGGAGACTTTAACACCCCACTGTCAACATTAGACAGATCAACGAGACAGAAAGTTAACAAAGATATCCAGGAATTGAACTCAGCTCTGCACCAAGTGGACCTAATAGACATCTACAGAACTCTCCACCCCAAATCAATAGAATATACATTCTTTTCAGCACCACACCACACCTATTCCAAAATTGACCACATGTTTGGAAGTAAAACACTCCTCAGCAAATGTAAAATAACAGAAATGATAACAAACTGTCTCGCAGACAACAGTGCAATCAAACTGGAACTCAGGATAAAGGAACTCACTCAAAACCACTCAACTACATGGAAACTGAACAACCTGCACGCACCTGAATGACTACTGGGTACATAACGAAATGAAGGCAGAAATAAAGATGTTCTTTGAAAACAATGAGAACAAAGACACAACATACCAGAATCTCTGGGACACATTCAAAGCAGGGTGTAGGGGGAAATTTATAGCACTAAATGCCCGCAAGAGAAAGCAGGAAAGATCTAAAATTGAAACCCTAACATCCCAGTTAAAAGAACTAGAGAAGCAAGAGCAAACACATTCAAAAGCTAGCAGAAGGCAAGAAATCACTAAGATCAGAGCAGAACTGAAGGAAATAGAGATACAAAAAAAACCTTCAAAAAATCAACGAATCCAGGAGCTGGTTTTTTGAAAAGAACAACAAAATTGATAGACTGCTAGCAAGACTAATAAAGAAGAAAAGAGAGAAGAATCAAATAGACGCAAAAAAAAAAAATGATAAAGGGGATATCACCACCGATCCCACGGATATACAAACTAACATCAGAGAATACTATAAACACCTCTATGCAAATAAACTAGAAAATCTAGAAGAAATCGATAAATTCCTCAACATATACACCCTCCCAAGACTAAACCAGGAAGAAGTAGAATCTCTGAATAGACCAATAACAGGCTCTGAAATAGAGGCAATAATTAATAGCTTACCAACCAAAAAAAGTCCAGGACCAGATGGCTTCACAGCCGAATTCTACCAGAGGTTCAAGGAGGAGCTGGTACTGTTCCTCCTGAAACTATTCCAATCAATAGAAAAAGAGGTAATCCTCCCTAACTCATTTTATGAGGACAGCATCATCCTGAAACCAAAGCCTGGCAGAGACACAACAAAAAAAGAGAATTTTACACCAATATCCCTGATGAACATCGATGGAAAACTCCTCAATAAAATACTGGCAAACCGAATCTGGCAGCACATCAAAAAACTTATCCACCATGATCAAGTGGGCTTCATCCCTGGGATGCAAGGCTGGTTCAACATACATAAATCAATAAACTTAATCCAGCATATAAACAGAACCAAAGACAAAAACCATATGATTATATCAATAGATTCAGAAAAGGCCTTTGACAAAATTCAACAGTCCTTCATGCTAAAAACTCTCAATAAATTAGGTATTGATGGGATGTATCTCAAAATAATTAATAAGAGCTATCTATGACAAACCCACAGCCAATATCATATTGAATGGGCAAAAATTGGAAGCATTCCCTTTGAAAACTGGCAGAAGACAGGGATGCCCTCTCTCACCACTCTTATTCAACATAATGTTGGAAGTTCTGGCCAGGGCAATCAGGCAGACTAAGGAAATAAAGGGTATTCAACTAGGAAAAGATGAAGTCAAATTGTCCCTGTTTGCAGATGACATGATTGTGTATCTAGAAAACCCCATCATCTCAGCCCAAAATCCCCTGAAGCTGATAAGCTAATTCAGCAAAGTCTCAGGATACAAAATCAATGTGCAAAAATCACAAGCATTCCTATACACCAATAACAGACAAACAGAGAGCCAAATCATGAGTGAACTCCCATTCACAATTGCTTCAAAGAGAATAAAATACCTAGGAATCCAACTTACAAGGGACGTGAAGGACCTCTTCAAGGAGAACTACAAACCACTGCTCAATGAAATAAAAGAGGATACAAATGGAAGAACATTCCATGCTCATGGGTAGGAAGAATCAATATCGTGAAAATGGCCATACTGCCCAAGGTAATTTATAGATTCAATGCCATCCCCATCAAGCTACCAATGACTTTCTTCACAGAATTGGAAAAAACTACTTTAAAGTTCATATGGAACCAGAAAAGAGCCCACATTGCCAAGTCAATCCTAAGCCAAAAGAACAAAGCTGGAGGCATCACGCTACCTGACTTCAAACTATACCTCAAGGCTACAGTAACCAAAACAGCATGGTACTGGTACCAAAACAGATATAGACCAAGGGAACAGAACAGAGCCCTCAGAAATAATGCCGCTTATCTACAACTACCTGATCTTTGACAAACCTGACAAAAACAAGAAATGGGGAAAGGATTCCCTATTTAATAAATGGTGCTGGGAAAACTGGCTAGCCCTATGTAGAAAGCTGAAACTGGATGCCTTCCTTACACCTTATACAAAAATTAATTCAAGATGGATTAAAGACTTACATGTTAGACCTAAAACCATAAAAACCCTAGAAGAAAACCTAGGAAATACCATTCAGGACATAGGCATGGGCAAGGACTTCATGTCTAAAACACCAAAAGCAATGGCAACAAAAGCCAAAATTGACAAATGGGATCTAATTAAACTAAAGAGCTTCTGCACAGCAAAAGAAAGTACCGTCAGAGTGAACATGCAACCTACAGAATGGGAGAAAATTTTTGCAATCTACTCATCTGACAAAGGGCTAATATCCAGAATCTACAATGAAATCCAACAAATTTACTAGAAAAAAACAAACAACCACGTCAACAAGTGGGCGAAGGATATGAACAGGCACTTCTCAAAAGAAGACATTTATGCAGCCAAGAAACACATGAAAAAATGCTCATCATCACTGGCCATCAGAGAAATGCAAATCAAAACCACAATGAGATATCATCTCACAGCAGTTAGAATGGCAATCATTAAAAAGGCAGGAAACAACAGGTGCTGGAGAGGATGTGGAGAAATAGGAACACTTTTACACTGTTGGTGGGACTGTCAACTAGTTCAACCATTGTGGAAGTCAGTGTGGCGATTCCTCAGGGATCTAGAACTAGAAATACCATTTGACCCAGCCATCCCATTACTGGGTATATACCCAAAGGATTATAAATTGTGCTGCTATAAAGACACATGCAGACGTATGTTTACTGCTGCCGTATTCACAATAGCAAAGACTTGGAACCAAGCCAAATGTCCAACAATGATAGACTGGATTAAGAAAATGTGGCACATATACACCATGGAATACTATGCAGCCATAAAAAATGATGAGTTCATGTCCTTTGTAGGGACATGGATGAAACTGGAAACCATCATTCTCAGCAAACTATCCCAAGTACAAAAAACCAAACACCGCATGTTCTCACTCATAGGTGGGAATTGATCAATGAGAACACTTGGACACAGGAAAGGGAATATCACACAGCAGGGCCTGTTGTGGGGTTGGGGGAGGTATAGCATTAGGAGATATACCTAATGTTAAATGACGAGTTAATGGGTGCAGCACATCAACATGGCACATGTATACATAGGTAACTAACCTGCATGTTGTGCACATGCACCCTAAAACTTAAAGTATAATTAAAAAAACATAGAAAAGGTACAGTAAATTTTGAGTATAATAATCATATGAGACCACAGTCGTATATGTCATCTGTCACTGACCAAAGTGTCATTAGGTAGTGCATGACTATATTTGTAGAAGTGAAATGAGTCCCATATCCAGTCTTTTCTATGACACCAGAAATGCCTGTAATGATAAGGAGAATGATGGTAATGCTAATAACTGCAAGACATGCATAATAACCTTACTTTACATGGCATTTTCACATAAATAGTCTAAGTAGGTCAGAAATTGTGTGGGTTTGCTCTGCTAGCTTTATTTTTAAATGCAAACTATCTTAACTGGAATGTCAAGTGTTAATGGAGCAGCGCCTGTTATAAACAGCAACAAGCTATAAACTGTGAAGCTACAAAATTAGTAGCAACACTTTCATTCTCTGGGAATTTTGGATACATTAGGAACCTGTAATTACTGACTCCCATCTGCCTACTCTGTCTTGAGCTTAATTATGTATTTCAGAAGGAACGTTTTTCATGTTTTCATTTTTTGTATATATAAATATTTAGCTACATCTCTTATCATTTACTGCCTCCCTTTCCCTCTGCCTTTGCTATTTACAATCTCTCAAGCTATTTTTACTTCCAAATTTCAATCTCTTTCCTCAGAGTCAACGCGACAGCGATTGGAGCCAGGGAATTTGGTTCTGCTGGTGTCTCCATGGCATCTTTGCAGAGAGGTTATCAAACCCCAAACAAGTATTTAAAAATGGTAGGGAAGGGGCAAAGGAAGTTATAGTATCTTTTTCAACTTGAATGTTCAAAATACTAACACAGTCTCTAAGATCAATAATGTGCAGGCTCTTCCTGAGGCTGTAGGGTCATAAATAAAATGAGAAAACAATGGGTGAAAACAAGGTTCAATAAAGTTCTTTACAGCAGGGTTTAGAACAGTCTTTTAAAACACTTCCCTAAGAGGAAAGTACATCAGACACTGCCCCCTAGAATTATGTTAACAGTAAAAACAAGCCCTTTCTTGGGATAAAACATACTTATTATGAATAGTATTTACCCCAGTGATGTTTTGAAAACTGATGATCTAGTGAAAATAATTTTAATAATATAAATATATTGGATATATTGATATAATTTTGGTTACTGTTAGCTGCATCCTTAGTAACTTCGGTATTCCCTCTATTTCCATGAGACACTGGAGAGAACTACAAATATATGTTTGATTAAATTTGGCAAGGAAATATACAGTGAAATTAACTTCTATTTCATTCTTCTTTCTGGAAGAGAGAGACAATAAAAAGACATTTTGTTTTTCATTCCCTTTCACTGTTACCCTCTGGTTCTACTGAACCTTTATGCCTGATCACATTAAATTCTTCTTTACACCCCCCTCACCAGCCCCTAAGGATATCCTGAAGAAAACTCCACCCATGTCTATGTTCAGAAATTCAGCACTAAAAAACAGAGTTGTCTTTGAAGGCAGGATCGAGTATCTTATGCTTGAACACAAAAAAGAGTAGTCTAACTCAGGGGGAGTGAATGGCTCCCAGAGATCTGAGAAGACTTGTTTAGTTTTTGTGTTGCAAGGGAAGTTTATTTAATAGGAGATAGAGATGTGTACTTGCTCACAGTCCTTGTCCCCAGGTGAAGACACACCTATGTCATGTCCAGTTAAGGGAGGAGAGGCATATCTTACCCTATATAGCAATGAAAATGATAGAACTTAACCTGACCACTGAGTCAAGGTTAGCAGGAAGTAGCACTAAACATGGCCTATGAAAGACATAGTGCTAGTCCTATCGCCAGGACTAGAAAGTACACATTCAATGAGATTAAAATGCCACTCATTTTGTTTCAACTTTTAACATAAATAAATTATGACATTACTCACAGTGATCTTTAAAATATTGTGCATCATTTGTAATATTACTGCAAAGAAGAGATTAATTTGGGACTCCAGGACAGTGTGATAAGATTACATCTGCAGCAGGAGTGGGGTTTCCTTTGGCGCTGTACTGGGGATATTAGCTACTGGCCTTTGTATCTCAGTGGGGTTAGGCCAGCCTGACCACAGGCCTAAAAGCAGTAGAGATATACCCTCTACTGCTTTTAGAGGATTTTATACCCTCTACTGCTTTTAGAGGTATATCCTCTACTGCTTTTAGAAGATTGTAGGCGACTGGTTATGAGACCTGCAGCAGGGAGGTAGAACCAGTGACAGGGTCCTGATGGCAGCAACATAAGGGGCTTTTGGAAGGAATAGCAATAGTACATCAACAATATCTTTTCAGCTACTGATTATAAATGATGAAGATATCATATATTATGAGGTGTTTTATGTCAAAGTATAATTACTTGGTTTATTCAGATTTGAATACTTTTTTCTAGAAAAAGAATTCATCCTGTAATTTGGAGTCTAGAAAAGCTATTTGCTTAAGTGAAAAATATTGGGTCTGGCTCTTATGGAAAATTAGTATGAAAAGCTGGTCTGCTTCTGAACAGACTGAAGGTGGAGGTCGGGTAAAAACCACCTCTCTACCATTGGCCTCTTTACCATTGTACAGATTGGGAAACATGGTTGGATTAATTAATTGGTTGAAGTCATAGAGTTAACCCATCTGTGAGCAAAGACTCAAATCCACATATGATTCCAAAGCTGGTGACCTCTTCTCTACCTTAGTAGCTCCTAACCCTGAATCATAATAATCACTCCAGGAGCTTGTTACAAAATACCACTTCCTTACAGATATTTAACCCTAGAGACTATCCTTCTATAAGATTTGGTCCTGAAAAGCAATTATATGCAAAAACTCAGGTATTTGTGCTGATTAGGTTTGAGAATAACTGCCTTACTTTCACTGTCTTTGCAAAAAATGAACAAGCATTATTTTAGACAGAGCACAGTAGGATTAGGCAAACAAATGATAGCGAGCAAATCCCAAACACTGTGGCACACTTGGGGACATAAAATCAGTTTCTATGAGGACTAGAAAATGCAAAGCAGAAGAAGTCAGTCACAGGTAGCAGTCCAAGGTAAAAACTCAGGGAGAGAGGAACATTGTTGCTACAATTGGTGAATAACGGTAGGAATGAGGAACATTCCAGAATATTGTGTGTACAGATGTAAGGGAAGTATATAGTTAACTGGACTTAGTCTTCAGCAGACATGGCACTGCAATTCATTTATTCATGAGCACATTTTATAGACTTTCTTTTATTCCACAATTACTACTGAAGCGCCTATTATGTGTTATTCCTTCTGCCAGGAGATATTATAGTACCCAAAACAGATGTGATACCTGTCTTTTGGAGGGCATAGTAAAGCAGAAGTGATTTTCACTAAACAGTAATTAATTAATTACCACTTGTGATAAGTGTAACAAGAGGGAAAAGAACTAGGAGCTGAGATGGAGGATAATGGGGTGGGGACAGGGCTAATGAGCTTTAGAGGATGGAGGAGAGGCTTCTCTCATAAAGACTTTCTTTCTCTCTTCGTTTCTTCCTTTCTCCCCTTCTCCTTCCTTCCTTCTCTCTCTCTCTCTCTCCCTCCCTCCCTCCCTCCCTCTCCCTCCCTCCCTCTCTCTCCCTCCCTCCCTCCCTCTCTCTCCCTCCCTCCCTCCCTCTCCCTCCCTCCCTCCCTCTCTCTCCCTCCCTCCCTCCCTCCCTCCCTCTCTCTCTCTCTCTCTCTCTCTCTCAGAGAGAGAGAGAAAATGCAACTCTCCCAAGGGAAAATTTTTGGATCTTTATTTCAACACTCAAAACTGTTTTGTAATGTGAAATACAAGATAAATAACAAGAGTGAGTGATCCGTATAACTTGGACTTCTGCAAATATGCTTCTCCGTCTTACCTGGGGACTATTCAGGTTACAAGTGTATTCACATGGGAATGTCCTGTGGAAAATTTGAAACTGGGACACAGGTGTGAAAGACAAAACTGGAATTGAAAAACACTGATGGCCAAATTATTTCTTTAAAATCGTCTTAGTTCTGATTTCTTCACCCAATCTCAATAGACTTCTGGGAGAAATCTGACCCAAGTCATTTCAGACAGTGATGCTAAATAGGTTTCACCTCGACTGCCAATTCTTAACTGATGATAGTGACCCCTGGAGTAGTGTGTTTAGTAGCAGACTAAGGCTGTAACTGGTCTCAGCAGGAAATATTATATATAGGCACAATAGGGAAGAAGTGGCAATAAAGACCAAGCACTAGCAAGCCATCATTTAGCATTTGCTTTCAAATAGGCAGTGCGTCCCAGAAGAAAGGGCACAAGGTTAGTTAGGGAGAGAGGTTAGAGCTCCTGACAGCTCTCTGAGCCAAGTCTGTGATCTTGGTTATTTTATACTGTGAGCCTCAGTTTCCTCATTTGTAAAGGTGAGGGGGGAAAGCCCACCTTGTAGGGTCTCCAAGTAGATAAAATAATTATTGTGCTTATCTTTTGCAAATTCTTGAGAGCTAGTCATAAGTCAGAGTAAATAAGATAAGAGCTGAAGTTACTTACCCACTTAAAGTAAGAATAAAATTGGCTCTAAAGTCAGTTCTACATCCTATGGGAAATCTAGCATGCCAAGATGTCTTTAGTTTCTGAAAAACTATTTTTCTTATCTGTCTGGCTGTGATTTCTGGCTTCTGCATCTTGCATCTGTTTCTCTGTTGCTGCCCTGTCATTGACTTAAATGTTGAAGACGGCATCTACTACTTGAGCTCTTTACACACAAATTCATCTCCCGTGAGGCAGTCACACACAGGAGGCTTTTACTGGAGATTTAAGGATTAGAGCTAGGAGGAGCTTACATGACTAAGAGACACAGACAATATTTTGAATATCAAATTTAAGACATCTTTAAATTTACTTGGTTAATTTCTGCCAATTTCCTCTCAGGTATCCATACCCCTACTCCCTCTTCTCTCTCCTATTATTTTCCCTAGATCTAAATTATTGCTCTTTGGGACATCAACTTTTCTTTTCCACCATCTTCTTCCTTGTAATCTTCCTATCAAAATATTGAGGAGAGATTGGCAGGCACTTGAGAAGGCAAAGTTCTTAATCAGGGGTCCTGGACACCAAGGGAGTTCTCTTACAGGCTTCTTTGGTTACACTAACCCTAGAAAATCATATGCAAAATGTTGTAGGTATATGTATCTGTTTCTTCCAGAGAGGAGAATTTGGAGCTTTTGCAAGAATTTAAAAGGCCTCTCTGGTTCAGAGAATTCAAGTGCTGTGGTTGTACAGCCTTTTTTTGACTATGTTTTTTAAACTGTAGTAAAACACTGCACAGCCCTATTCAAGACAAAAAAATTGAAACACACAAATCTATATTATACATGACAGGTAAGCCTCATTAAATTAATGTAATACTGGTATACAATTGTTTATGTTCACGATAAAGATAAAATGAAATATGAATTTGAGAGACTACAAATAAATCTTGCTTCACTAAATAATCCACTTTAGGATTTATTTGAATAAAGATTTTCTTTGTGCAAGCGAACACTTTTTTTTGTGCATTAGTAAGTAACTGAATAGCTTGAAAAGATAATGGAGTGGTAGATCAGAACATACATTTAAAGTAATATACAAGGTGTAATATAATTTAAATTGTACCAGAAAGCAGTGTGGTATATAGCACAGGACTGAGCATTTGAAGACGTGAGTTATGGTAACCTTGGGCAAGTTGCTTAAACTTTCTGAGTGAGAGACCTCCCACTGAATATTAACAACATGCAAGAAAAACAATGATGATGATGTTGATGAAGCATCTCTAAAGAGAATGAAATCCAGAATCTACAAAGAACTAAAAAAATTTACAAGAAAAAAACAAACAAACAACCCCATCAACAAGTGGGCAAAGGATATGAACAGACACTTCTCAGAAGAAGACATTTATGCAGCCAACAGACACATGAAAAAATGCTCATCATCACTGGCCATCAGAGAAATGCAAATCAAAACCACAATGAGATATCATCTCACACCAGTTAGAATGGCGATCATTAAAAAGTTAGTTAGGAAACAACAGGTGCTGGAGAGGATGTGGAGAAATAGGAACACTTTTACACTGTTGGTGGGACTATAAACTAGTTCAATCATTGTGGAAGACAGTGTGGCAATTCCTCAAGGATCTAGAACTACAAATACCGTTTGACCCAGCCATCCCATTACTGGGTATATACCCAAAGGATTATAAATCATGCTGCTATAAAGACACATGCACACGTATGTTTATTGCGGCACTATTTACAATACCAAAGACTTGGAACCAACCCAAATGTCCATCAATGATAGACTGGATTAAGAAAATGTGGCACATATACACCATGGAACACTATGCCGCCATAAAAAAGGATGAGTTCATGTCCTTTGTTAGGGACATGGATGAAGCTGGAAACCATCACTCTGAGCAAACTATCACAAGGACAAAAAACCAAACACCACATGTTCTCACTCAGAGGTGGGAACTGAACAATGAGAACACTTGGACATAGGAAGGGGAACATCACACACCGGGGCCTGTCATGGGGTTGGGGGAAGTGGGAGGATAGCATTAGGAGATATACCTAATGTAAATGACGAGTTAATGGGTGCAGCACACCAACATGTCACATGTATACATATGTAACAAACCTGCATGTTGTGCACATGTACCCTAGAACTTAAAGTATAATAATAATAAAAAAGTCAACAGAAACATAGTTTTTAAGTTACAAGAGAGTTTTAAGCAATGTCTGGAGAAGGTGCTAGCCTATCAAAGAGAGTGGGCTATGCAGCATAAAGCTGGGCACATGGGGGCTCTTCATGAACACTTATGCTGGCTGGTCAATGAAGTATGGGTTTGCGCATTTATTTTAGGCAGCTCCTTCCCTACAATGATCATGAGCCACTCCTGAGCTTGACTGCAACCTCTGGTAACTTCTTAGCCAGCATATTAAAAACATGCCGTAGCAGTTAAGAACAATGAATGACTTCTGGTATTTTTGGAGAGCATAACATACTACTTCAAGAAGATATAATAATTGGTTGTCATTTCATCAGCTGAGAAAATAATTCTTTGTTCCCTGCTTTCAACAATGCCAGCTGGTAATATTATGACACATAATATAAATAACAATTTCTACTTTCTCTCGTGGAACTGTTTTAGAAAATTATTGTTAGCTATGTCCTAAATTAAACAGGAAAAATATAACTTGTCTCTTTGGGGCTTCTGTATGCTAATTATTTGGGAGATTGCTTTCCTTGAATTGCATCATGGTTGTGCTGTTCCTGCAGGCCAGCAGGAGTTACACCCAAAAGAATGGCTATGTGAAGGATAAACATTTTCTCAGACTTAGGCAGTGAGGCTCAAAGTGATTTAGGAATCTAATATGGACACTGAGTGTGACAGTGAGAGGCATGGCACCCCATCAAGTTGGTTTCTTCACTAAGTAATCCTAGTAAGACATCTGCAGGATCTCAGTGTACAGATTGGCGTTGCACATGGTAGACACAAATAAGATTCCAAAGAAGATGAAAGACTAACCTGTCAGTCTCAAAAACCTGTGACATTGAGAGAAAACTGTAAAATTGCTCTTATGAATGATGTGATGTGGAGCTATTCATTGATCTGTTTGTGGAGCTATTCATTGATCTGTTTGTGCTTTTAAAAGGCCCACTTCTAAAATTTTGCAAGGTCAGTTATATGAGTACAATAAGAGGTCAACATACCATATGTCTAAATATTTAAAAGTTAGTTATAAACTAGAAACTATTAAATATTTTCTTTTTTCTCTTATTTTAACAAATATAGCTTTGTGTAGCAAGTTCAGGTTTAAGCTAGGCATTCTCAAATTTCTCTGTGTTATTCAACTGCACTTCACCTTTTCTTCCCACCGCCAGCTCCACTGGACTGTGTGAGGGACCCTGTCTGCATGTATATGGACACCCCAGCCCTCATGTCAAAGTCCCATTCATACTTCACAACAAATGGTGGCCTCACCAATTGTGGGGTGGGATTCACTTTGAGGAGAACTGTCTCTGAGAAGATGCACATACCCTGGGCTAATTGGTCAGGATATTCTTGGGCCCCAGGTACCTGGACCTAAGGACTTACCCCATAGGAAAGGGAACTGGGCACTGGTGGAGAAGGGACAGAGAAGTGCCTTTCAAGGACAAAGTCCAGGAAAGAAGCCCTTCTTGCTCTGGCATAAGGAAGTTACTGTTCTCAGATAAGAACAGACTAGAAAACCAGCCAAAAGAAGCAAGGCAAACATGAAGGAATGAAGTACTTATACATGCTAATAGGGAATGAAACTTGAAACATTATTCTATTTGAAAGAAGCTGGAAACAAAAAGGACACATATTATATGATTCATTCATATAATCATCATATAAATTCATATAAATCATCAAGAACTGAAAATCTCTAGTGAGAGAGTGTAAGTTGTGGTTGCTTAGGGCTGAGAGTGTTGGGTAGAGGGATGGGAAGTGATGGCTAAAAGGTACAGGATTTCTTTATGAGATAAGGAAAATTTCTAAAATGGGCTGTGGAGATGATTGCATACATCTGAAAATATTATTGAGTTGTATAATTTAAATGAGTGAATTGTATTATATGTGAATTGTGTGAATAAAGCTGTTAAAGAAGCAAGGCAAATGCAGTTCACTACAATTAAATAAGTGAGCCACTTCTGGTCTGCAAAGTTAAATGATTATGCACGTAAAACTTAGAATCAGACAGAGTGTAGTTCATTTGCAGGCTTTGCCTTCTTTAGGTTTCATGACACTTGGCAATGTTTAAAATTATTCTGTACTCCATTTTCCTCATCTACAAGGTGACAATGATATAACTTCTGGCATAGTGTTGTGATGGGATTAAATGACCTGGTGCCATATAGTAACATTCTGTAAATAGTAGCTAATAATTATTATTATTAATAATAATCATTAAAATAATTATGTTTCTCATCCACTACTAGACACGGGTATATTCATTGAAGAGTAACATGAGGTTCTCTGAGGAATTCATGAGCCCTAAGAATGTCTATGCTAACAGCAACAATAATTCATGGAAGTCAGCTGAGAGAATCCAATTTACACAAGCTGTCAAGCATCAGTCACTGACCAACAAGACAGGCATCAAATCTGACTCCTCTTGTAGGCAATGATAAGAGGAAGTAGAAACTAGGTGAAGAGACAGAACCCCAAACGGATAATCATGACCACATAATGGAGGGTGGAACGAATGAATAAGACACTTGGGAGTGTGGGAGCACAGAGGAAAAACTCAAATTAGTCTAGAGACATTGAAGGGTCCTTAGAGCTGAGGTTTTTGAGCCACTCTATGCAGGATGTGTTGCTAAGAGGGACAATGTGATAAATGCATGGAAATGGAAAGCAAGATTGTTTGGAGAGCCACATGTGTTTCTGTGGTTTATCAAGGGTTGATTTTTATAGTGTGGGTGGAAGAGCACTGCAGATGAGGATGGAGGGGCAGGTTTTGCCACATCATGTACGTCCTATTTGCTGGCAAGTTGGGATTTTATTCTGTGGGTGATTAAAAGAGTTTTGGGGCATGGAGTGGCATGATCATATTTGTGTTCTGGAAAAATATCCCTCCTAATACTTATGGAGAAAAAAAAAAACAGCAAGGAAACTGGAAGCAAGTAAAACCAGCAGGAAGCCACTGATATAAGTCATGAGTAGATGGACATAGGAATAATTTGAAAAAATATTAAGTAGATACTATTAACTGAATTGAATTCAGGAACTAATGGTATAGATGTAATAAAAAATAACAGGTTTTTAACTTAAGTAATGGGAGTGGGTCATAGAATTCTGTAATAAAAATGTGAAAATCAGAGGTATGAAGGTATGAAGATAAACACGACCCTTAGTTTTCCTAGCACTTAGCCATTTCCAGTGTTCAAATGTAGGAAACAAGCAGGAATGCAGAAGAGATCTGCTTGGGGATCGACTGATTTTGATGTGAGCTTGCCCTGTTTTTCTTTTTGTGCAATCTTTATTGGTGGCTGGATGATCCTTATATTTACTCATGGGTAGGGGCTTAGTCTAGGTACTTGTATATAAAATAAATGATCCTTGAAACTGATCGCTCTATGATTTCCAGTGTAGTAAGCCTAGTGAGGTGTCTAATTGAATAGGATTGCTTTCTGAGTACAGGGAATGCCTGGTACAAATCACACTGATAAGAACACTGCTATGCACAAGCAGTAGGTGATGTTACCAAAGTGTTTTTTTTTTTTCCCTGAAGAAAGTTGATGGATGCCAGGGAAGAGAGTTCATATTTAAGATGGTGTCAAAATTACAATTTTTAGTTGCAAAAAATAGCATCCACTCTGGCTACTAAAAGCAGAAAAGGGATTTATTAAAGAGTATTAGGTAGTTTATAAAATCTCCGGAAGCCAAGAGAGGTAGGTACTGAGCCCTAAAGATGAAATCAATGTGCAACCCCACTTCAGGTACCATGGCACACCACCTGGGATGTCAAAGACTAGACACTACAAACACTGACACTGTCATCCATTAAGAATTGGTCACATTGGGATATTATCACCGATCCCACAGAAATACAAACTACTCATCAGAGAATACTATAAACACCTCAACGCAAATAAACTAGAAAATTTAGAAGAAATTGATAAATTCCTGGACACATACACCCTCCCAAGACTAAACCAGGAAGAAGTTGAATCCCTGAATAAACCAATAACAGGCTCTGAAATTGAGGCAATGATTAATAGCTTACCAACTAAAAAAAGTCCAGGACCAGACGGATTCATAGCCAAATTCTACCAGAGGTACAAAGAGGAGCTGGTACCATTCCTTCTGAAACTATTCCAATGAATAGAAAATGAATAGAAAATTCTCCCTAACTCATTTCATGAGGACAGCATCATCCGCATACCAAAGCCTGGCAGAGACACACACATAAAAAAAGAATTTTAGACCAATATCCCCGATGAATATCGATGCAAAAATCCTCAATAAAATACTGGCAAACTGAATCCAGCGGCACATCAAAAAGCTTATCCACCATGATCAAGTGGGCTTCATCCCTGGGATGCAAGGCTGGTTCAACATACACAAATGAATAAACGTAATCCAGCATATAAACAGAACCAAAGACAGAAACCACATGATTATCTCAATAGATGCAGAAAAGGCCTCTGACAAAATTCAACAGTCCTTCATGCTAAAAACTCTCAATAAATTAGGTATTGATGGGATGTATCTCAAAATAATAAGAGCTATTTATGACAAAACCACAGCCAATATCATATTGAATGGGCAAAAACTGGAAGCATTCCCTTTGAAAACTGGCACAAGACAGGGATGCCCTCTCTCACCACTCCTATTCAACATAGTGTTGGCTGTTCTGGCCAGGGCAATCAGGCAGGAGAAAGAAATAAAGGGTATTCTATTAAGAAAAGAGGAAGTCAAATTGTCCCGTTTGCAGATGACATGATTGTATATTTAGAAAACCCCATTGTCTCAGCCCAAAATCTCCTTAAGCTGATAAGCAACTTCAGCAAAGTCTCAGGATACAAAATCAATGTGCAAAAATCACAAGCATTCCTACACACCAATAACAGACAAACAGAGAGCCAAATCATGAGGGAACTCCCATTCACAATTGCTTCAAAGAGAATAAAATACCTAGGAATCCAACGTACAAGGGATGCGAAGGACCTCTTCAAGGAGAACTACAAACCACTGCTCAACGAAACAAAAGAGGACACAAACAAATGGAAGAACATTCCATGCTCATGGATAGGAAGAATCAATATCATGAAAATGGCCATATTGTCCAAGGTAATTTATAGATTCAATGCCATCCCCATCAAGCTACCAATGACTTTCTTCACAGAATTGGAAAAAATTACTTTAAAGTTCATTTGGAACCAAAAAAGAGCCCACATTACCAAGACAATCCTAAGCCGAAAGAACAAAGCTGGAGGCATCACGCTACCTGACTTCAAACTATACCTCAAGGCTACAGTAACCAAAACAGCATGGTACTGGTACCAAAACAGATATAGACCAATGGAACAGAACAGAGCCCTTGGAAATAATACCACACATCTACAACCATCTGATCTTTGACAAACCTGACAAAAACAAGAAATGGGGAAAGGATTCCCTATTTAATAAATGGTGCTGGGAAAACTGGCTAGCCCTATGTAGAAAGCCGAAACTGGATCCCTTCCTTACACCTTATACAAAAATTAATTTAAGATGGATTAAAGACTTAAATGTTAGACCCAAAGCCATAAAAACCCTAGAAGAAAACCCAGGCAATACCATTCAGGACATAGGCATGGACAAGGACTTCATGTCTAAAACACCAAAAGCAATGGCAACAAAAGCCAAAATTGACAAATGGGATCTAATTCAACTAAAGAGCTTCTGCACAGCAAAAGAAACTACCATCAGAGTGAACAGGCAACCTACAGAATGGGAGAAAATTTTTACAATCTACCCATATGGCAAAGGGCTAATATCCAGAATCTACAAAGAACTTAAACAAATTTACAAGAAAAAATCAAAGAACCCCATCAAAAAGTGGGTGAAGGATATGAACAGACGCTTCTCAAAAGAAGACATTTATGTTCACAGACACATGAAAAAATGCTCATCATCACTGGACATCAATGAAATGCAAATCAAAACCACAATGAGATACCATCTCACATCAGTTAGAATGGCGATCATTAAAAAGTTAGGAAACAACAGGTGCTGGAGAGGATGTGGAGAAATAGGAACACTTTTACACTGTTGGTGGGACTGTAAACTAGTTCAACCATTGTGGAAGACAGTGTGGTGATTCCTCAAGGATCTAGAACTAGAAATACCATTTGACCCAGCCATCCCATTACTGGGTATATACCCAAAGGATTATAAATCATGCTGCTATGTTTATTGATTATAAATCAAACTGTTATGTTTATTGCGGCACTATTTACAATAGCAAAGACTTGGAACCAACCCAAATGTTCATCAATGATAGACTGGATTAAGAAAATGTGGCACATATACACCATGGAATAGTATGCCGCCATAAAAAAGGATGAGTTCATGTCCTTTGTAGGGACATGGATGAAGCTGGAAACCATCATTCTGAGCAAACTATCACAAGGACAAAAAAACCAAACACCGCATGTTTTCACTCAGAGGTGGGAATTGAACAATGAGAACAGTTGGACACAGAAAGGGGAACATCATACAGCGGGGCCTGTCATGGGGTTGGGGGAAGGGGTAGGATAGCATTAGGAGATATAGCTAAGGTAAATGATGAGTTAATGGGTGCATCACACCAACATGGCACATGTATACATACGTAACAAACCTGCACGTTGTGCACATGTACCCTAGAACTTAAATAATTAAAAAAAAGAATTGGTCTCATTCACCATTCTGCTTTCCTGAGGTTCAATGTCCAAACACATGACTTCCTTGAGTTATTTAGTTCTCATGAAAATTTTGCAAAAGTGAGTGTTATTGTTAGAGTCTAGATGGAAATTTTCTATCCTTTTCCTTTGGGAAAGCTAGACTTATTATTTGGGAAAACTAAAATTGAGGGCTTTCAAAGATAGTAGGTAGGCTCAAATAAAAACATCATCCTAGCATAGGTCAACAGAAGCCAGTAAAGTCGTATGATACATATGATACCCATTTTAAAGTCATTAATTCATTTGTTCTATATTTTAAAATTGTTAATATAGTAAAAAGAAAATAGAAGTCCATCTACATCTTTGCCAAAATGCAAATGATTCAATTTAGGAATTTGGGTTCCCTTGAATTGCATGGCAGTGTAGCCTAAAACAAGGGCTTAGGGGTAAGAAACAATCTGAGGTTTGAAACTTCACTCCATCAACTTATTATTGGATCATCTTATTTGATTTCTTTATCCCCATTTTCATCTGTACAGTGAATGAAGACAAGAATGGTGCTGATATGAGGACTAAATGACACAATGAATGCAAAGCACCCAGAGAGAGTGATCAGAAGTCAGATACTCAGACTTATTCAGAGCTCTGCACTTCCGAGTTAGGAGAAGAATGATTTATCTTTTTGTGAACATCAAAAGCCCTGTGTTTCATCCTTCCCTTCAAACCTTTTCTTTCTGGTTACTGTCCCTAAGGATAGCAATAAACCATATCTGGAAGCCCAATTAGGCATGCACAACTTCTGCCTGTCTTAATTCTGCCAGTAATAGAACAGTAATTGTTCAGAGAAACTGCAAGGGAAATGGTGGGTAAGGAGAACAGAAAGTGCTCCAATTGATCTCAATTACTGTCGCGAAATTGAGTCTTCTGTCCGACATCTAAATTTAATGCTTCTTTTCCCTGAGGATCTGTCCCTGGTTGTTGCCTCCTATTGTATCTGTGGTTGGCCTGTCACCATCTGCATTGCCCTCTTCATCAGAATGAAGGAATTGTTTTCATTTACCTAGAATTTCCTCTGTATGCTTTTTTTGCTGCCTAGATCCCTGCTCTAGTCCTCTGACATTCATATCTGAATCTTTTCATTTTCTGTGGCTCAACACCCAGGGAAGAACTCTGTTGTGGTTTGGCATACAAAGAATTAATTTCCATTTATGAACAAGGAGACAATTTTTCAAAACCTAAACAAGATGAGTGTAGGCTTTGCCCAAAGGATGAAAGCATATTCTGAAGTGAATTATTTCCCTCTTTATTTGGGTGCAATTAGGAAAGTTAATTATGGGTAATTTTCAGCATGCATATGCTTTCACTTTGCTGATTTATAAGGAGGCATAAACATAATTAGGTGTGCATATGCATCCTCACAGTTTAATGGGCCCTGCATTCCCGGTAATGGGGAGGCTCAGCATGCTGTTGATGTGTCATTTTTCAGGTTAAGATATAGGAAGCTTTCTTGGATTGACTATCCCCAGGAAATTACATGGAAATGCAAGGTATATAGTTATATGAATTCAGAAGTAATGGTATCTTAGGATACATTCACCATCTGCTTTTCATCTTAAAAGACATTGAATGGATTTAGATGGATTTAGCAAATGTGTGTCCTTAAAGTAGCAGTTCCTTTTATTTAAGTTGTAAAGTACTCTGTATTTAGAAATTAACAAATTTATAGTGTTTTAGAACTAGAAGTACATAAAAAAGCATCCATTTAAGATGAGGTTGTTCAGACTCATTGAACCGAAGTGATCTTCCCAAGGTTATGTAGTTTTTGAGAAACCTGCAAATGAGTTGGCGAAAGACGAAAGAAGTAGATTTTTTTTAATTGTTGATGTAGCATCTGCATTTCCCTGGAATCCCAGCTTTAGTGCCAGCAGGACCAGCTACGTAATTTGCAGGGCTTAGTGCAAAATAAAAATTCAGGTTGCTTGACCAAAAATTAAGACTTTAAAGATGATAATCACAGAGCATTAAACCAAGCACAGAGTCTTTCTAAGCCCAGGGCCCTGTTTGACTGCACTGGTTGCACATCTATCACGATGACCCTGAGTACCACAATAGTATTAGATGACACAAATTTGGCCACTAAAAGGTAGTGAGCAGAATGACACCAAGATCAAGGTTGTGGAGAAATAATTGCAAACAACATTTCCATGAGCACTGGTCAGAGAACAAGAAGAAAGGTCAATATCACATCTGAGAAAGTTTATGTAATTGTTTTCAAACAACTGCTTAAATGCTAGAAACAGAGCTTGTCTGATTAATCAATAGACAATGGTATGTGAGTTATGCTTGAAAGACAGCAAAATTTCTGCAACTTTCTATTTATCAACTTCCTTCTTTTGGAAAACAAGCAAGAGGGTAAAATAATGAAGGCATACGGTATCTTTAGAAAGATCCAGTTATAATAAAGACAATATACATATATTGTGGGAATATCTGTCATATTCCAGGCACTATATTAGATGAAGAATGTAGAAAATCATATTCTTTCTCCTGAGGAGCTTTCTGTCCAGCAGAAAAGATAATCTTATAAAGTTACTTTCATGAAAATTAGAAAGTTCTGAGGAGTTTCAGTAGTAATTTCAGAGCTCAGATAAATGAAAACAGACTAAACGAGAGCTAATTTACGACTATTGTTCCCATACCGTATGCCAAACTGTATTAGTGAGTCCTCTCAAAGCAGTCCTGTGATATATGTATTAGTATCCTCAATTGTGAGATGTGTAGTCAGAGACTAAGAGAATTTAAGTTACTCATCCATGACCACAGATATTGTAAAGGAGAGCTTTGGAATGACATTGCAAGTACATCTGATTCTGTAAGCCAGTGATTCTCAAATGTGGTTCTTGGACCAACTGCATCAGCATCAGCTAAGAACTGCAGGAAATGCAAATCCTTGGGTACCACCCCCTATCTACTGAATTTGAATCTCTGGTGGTGGGGGATGGGTGGGCAGCAGTCTGTTTAGCAAGCCCTCCAAAGGATTCTGAAATTCCCTAGAGTTTGAGATCCACTGAATTACCTAATGCTCTTTTTTTCTGCCTTGTGCTGCTTTTTAACACTTACTGAGTGCTTATTATGAGTCCAGCATTCTGCTAGGTGTTTGATGTATTTTAACTATTTAATCTTTGTAATTATCTAGCTAAGGAGGTAGTGTGCTTCATTTTTAGATTAATGAAACTGAGGATTAGAGACACTAAACTGGAATAACTACATGCTTGTTTTTATCTGTCTTACCCACTAGTAAATGAGTTTCTTAAGAGATTTTTTAAAAGCCTGATTCATCTCTGAATACTTTGTACCTGCACAGGGCTCAAAAGGCAGTATGTCCTCAATAAGTGCCTAGTAAGTGAAGAATGGATGAGTGAATGTACCTGTCTAAGGGCAGACACACAGAAAAACAAACACTTTATATCTATTTGGTTTGGAAGCCAATCTCTTCCCATCAGAACGTGAGAAATGCTTTAGGAAAATAGTATTATTTCAGCTCCCTGTTCCCTTTGTCTCATCCATAGATTAATTTTTCCAAAAATTTTGGGAAAATCAGAATCCAAGCCTCATCTGTGCCCATGCTGGCATTCAGATATATCTGGACATGGCTATGGTATTGATGGGTTTGTTTCTTCAAATTTTGTTTGGGGTATTTGTGAACTCCCACACTATGCTACATGAGAGAGATAAATTATTAACAAAACATGAATTGTATGAGTCATTTTTATAGCATGGCAGGGGATTAGGGTTGTAGATATGTGCTATAGAGTTTGAAGGGAAGGAGGGGATGGACAAGATAGCACTGTGTCTAACTTTTAACCTGATTCCTGGATTCATGCATTAGTTCTCAAGAGAGGGATTTTACAAGGAGAAGTTGAAAGAGGGAGTTATTTCCCCGGGGACTCTGAGGGTCTGAATTAAAGTCATGCTTCTTCAATGCCTCTAGTGACTAATTTCAAGATAGGGTATAAGAAGGGGCATTGTTCCTCTCTGGCATGAAATATGAGTTGCCTCCATTTAGTGGTAATTTGATAATTTTATATTTGATAATATAGCTTTGGGTGTACTAGTAATTATCTCTTTGGCATAACCTCTCCCCAGTCTCAACATTATCACTAGCCACAGAAAGGGCCCACGAATCTCCATGTGCCCTCGCTGCTACCACTATTTTGAATGATCTTTGCACAGATAACCACCTGGCTTGCTCCCTCATTTCAAACATGTCTCTGCATAAACAGGTCTTCCATGACTCCCCTGTTTAAAAAGCTTGTCCTCACCTCCATCACTCTGCATTTTCTTACTCTGATGATTTATTTGTCATCACTGCATTTATCACAACCTGGCATATTGTATGTCTATTTGCCTACCTATGTATTCTCTGTCTCCTGCCATGTGAGCCCTAGGATAATAAGAACATTTCTGTTTTATTTACATTCTGTTTTATACAGTCAGTTGAACAGATAATATTATATAGGAGTTGTTTAACAAATATTTTTGGAATAAATTAATGACCCCAGTGCAATGAAGAATAGATACTAGCAGCAGTGCCAGAATCAAGGCGCTATCATCAATTGACTCTAACAAACAGTGTAAAAACATGGCATAAAGGTTAGTGAATCGTAAGTAACTCCTATGGTGGCCTTTAGAAGTGATTGGGGCAGACTTTTAAAAAGATGCTGGAGGTTATCCATTGTGTAGTTAAGGAGTAGTCTTGCAGGATTTCAATTATTACCATTAATGCAACTTCATTTGTATTTATATCTTGGTGAAGCCTGAAGAAACCACAGTGTGATCTTAAGTCCTTTCTATGATTAGTATGCATCAGGAACTAATGGTGTCTCTTGAGTTGGAGTCAATTGATGTATTTTTGGGAACATGCTTGTGCCATGTCACCTAGGGCTCAGTCTGAGTTCTCCAGGTATCATTAACTTTACGAAGACTTTGAATATCCAAATTGCTTTGATTTTAAACTCACCATTTATATTTTAGGTAAATTTAATGCAAATCTTCAGTTCAAGTGCACAGAATTTGTTTAAAAACCCTGAAGATGCTTTCATGATCTACACATCTGTCATTGCTGTTGCTTATCACCGTTCCTGGGAATCTGGCACTTCATCAGCCGTCTTTCTTTCCATGTAATGAACACTGTTCTCCCTGACTCAGGTGACCTTTATAACCCTAATCTTATATTTGTCATAATGCCCCTCACACAGCTAAGGCAAACCATAGTTGAATATCATTACAGGTTTAATAATAACAGAAGGGAAATTCAATAGGGAAAGTTATTTACAATTCCTACAAGATGCGGCTATTCTTAGAAACTATAGACAAAGACTTTCCCGTATCATAAAATTAGCTATCTGTCTGGAATAGCCCTGAAAATACTTAATATTTATATGCAAAGTTACTCTCAATCAATCACTCTTTTATGTCCGGTATTGATACCTCTTCTCAGGATGATTTACAGTGGAAAAGCCAAATTTCTCCCAAATTCTGCCCTTATGATGACCTTGTATAATGGCCACTAATAGTACAATTCATTATACTACTGTAGTCAAAATCAGCATAGTTCTCAAGATACATGGTAATCATTGTTGAATAAGTTATGACAAAGCTGAATTTAGCCATCGCTGGTCCACTTACTTTTTAGAATTTATTCTCCCTCTACACGTGCCCATAGAGATCACTGTATTTTCCTCCAGAGTTTTATCCTGTATGTAGATCCTGAAAAATTAGTTCTCATTGCATTGAATAATATTTTCTCATTTTCTTTGTTTTTTTTATCTTTTATTTTTAACATCTCATTAACAGAAAACTGCAGGAAATTCAGAAGGTACAAATGAACAAGCTAAAACATTTGTATTACTTGGTAATACAAACAGTATTACCAAATAATGACCACTCTCAAAATAACATTTGTTCTTTCTATTTGTATATATTTATAGTCATATTAAAATGGTTTATATTGGAATATCATTTTCCATTTCATAACGTAGCATTACTGAGACAAGTATTACATGTTTATGATTTCATAGGATTCCATGAATAGATATGATATAAATCATTTAATCTGTCAGCAGTAAGATATTTAGATTTATTCTAATCATTCACTATTATTTGAGAGCTGTCATGAACATTCCTGTAGCTATATGCTTAACATAAATTTCTTGGGAATTGCTGGGCTAAATTACATAATTTTTTAAAATTATGATAAATAATATCAAATTGACTTCCATGCCAACTAGGAATCCATGCGAATGACTATTGTCCTATACTTGTACCAACATTTTTATTCCTTCCCCTCTCCTTCTCCTCCTCCCCCTTTTTCTGCAATATTTAGAAATTTGAATAGTTAACCATGGTTTTTTAATTTTTTAGTTTGTATTTCTTTCCTAACAAGGCTTAATATTTTAAAAATATTAGTCTTTTGTACTTTTGTTATTTGTTTGGCTAGATCCTTTATCTTGTTTTTAGTAAAAGTATTTCTCTTTGTTTTCTTTTTCATTATTGAACTCTCCTTTCAGTGATGCCTAAAATGGAAGTTTGTTTCAGTTGTAGAAGATGAAATACTGGATAGTAAAATACTAATTATAAGTAATGAATTTTCTGTCATTTAATAGTCTAAAATGATTTTATGCTGTCATATTTGCTGAAACCCTTTGCCCACCTGGAGGGCTCCCTCCTGATGTTCCAATGACTAGTGGCATCCTAACCCTCTAACACGTAGATCAAGGTATATCAAGGGTGACTAACTCAGTCCTGAAACATCTGCTCTTCGCACTACACGATGAGACTCACAGAGAAGTAGCTCACTGCTTTTCCTTGAGCGGGCCTCATAAAAATTGTTTAGTCTATTTCTCTTTTGATTTTTTTTTTTTTTGGCAACCGCGTTGCAACTCTTCTGAGACTAGGGGCCACATCCTTGTTCTCAAAGTATTTGAGTGCAATATGACCTTCTAGTCCAATAAAAGTGTTGTGTGAGGTGAAATAATGAATAGTTTTTGAGTCTCTTTTCTACAGCACACACTGTCACTTTAAAAAAATTACATAAATTATAAAATATGTTTTATAACTATTTTTCCTCATTTTTCCGAAATGGAAACCATAGTTCAGAGAGATCAAACAACTTGTTCAAGTTACACAGCTAGTCAGTGTAACTTGGATGGGGAGAGGTATCACACCCGTATCGATGTGACTTCAGCACTTTTGTTCTTACGTTACTGTTTTCCCAGCCTTTTTAGCATGGAGCTTCCCTCAACTAGGCAGCGAAGTATACACTTGACAATTTGATTTGTTATTTATCCAGGAAGAGCAAAATCTTGTGAGAACAAGTGTTTTATCCATTTCTGACTCATTTCAATTCCAAGATAATATTCTAGCTTTTATTTCAGTGAATAATGCTGGTAAGTATACACATATCTTCAAAGCTGTAATTTATATCTGCCTAACCTTCTCTTCAGAGGGCACTAAAGATTACTGGTCATGTCAGCTCACTTCTGAGACTAGAAATTATATTACCATTTTCTATAAAAATATTGAAACATGCACAGGCACCACACCAAAAGAGGTTGTCATATCCCATTTTTAAAATTACAGCAAAGAGAGTGAGTTTTCTCCCTTCAGATACTGCATGGTCTATTCTTTTTTTTGTTTGCTTGACTGTGTCTTTTTTTTTTAGTATCATTTCAGCTTAGAGAAACTGGTTATCTTTCAGGATAGATTTTCTCTGCTGCTTGAATGCTCTGCTCACCAGGCATTGATGAGTTGGTTGTTATCATTATTACAGAAATAAAAAAAGGAACAGTGCAATGAAATAACAAACGATAGTCTGAGTGATTTGGAAGCTGAATTTTGGATGCTACATCAACATCAGGGCATGAGTTCTGGGAGGTGTGATAATATTAGTTATTAGCCTGGATCACAGGATTTATCTTGTTTCCTTATAACATTTAAATATTTCACTATACATTCAATATAATACACATACACAGACATAATAGAACTTGGCTGATAGAAAATTAATATTTTATTTGTATATACATATCTGATATAAAAATTATTATGTGCATTTATATTTTCCTTATAGTTAATATTGTTCAATCTCTGTGAGGCATTGGGGAGAGAAAAAAAGTCCTTCTGCACATTCTCTTGTATTCTCAGAATACAAGTAGGGGCTGTGGAGGGTTTTTTTAAAAAAATCTTTTCAGTTTTTGTATTTTAATTTTTGTAGATACATGGTCTCACTATGTTGGCCAGGCTGGTCTCAAACTCCTGGGCTCATGTGATCCTCTGGTCTCAGCCTCTCAAAGTGCTGGGATTACAGGCATGAGCCACTATACCTGGCCTATGGAAGGTTTAATTGATACTTACAGTTACTAGCACTGCAGATATTTGCTGTCTGGATAAATAAATGAATTAATAAACATAAGCATCGTTTGATTCCTTTCTCCACTTCACCTCCTCTGTTAATCAATTGCAGAATTTTGGTCTTTCCTTCTCCTTTTTGAATTGTTTTTCTCTCCACTCACAAGACCATTATGAGAATTAGGCACCACATCTGTCCTAGGGGAGAAGTCCTATCAACTCCAAAGTCGTCTCAATCCATCACCTGGCTTCAGACCCTTGCTCATATCACACTAAATGTTATCTATTTACAAAAGAAAATATTCATCAGATTTCTCCCTTGTAAAATATATTTTAAGTAATTCATTGACAAATAATAATTATGCATATTTATTATGTATAACATATTGATTTGAAATATGTATAAATTGTGGAATGGCTAAATTGAGCTAATTAGCATATGCATTACCTCACATACTTTTTTTTGGCGAGAACAATTAAAATCTCCTCTTTGAGCAATTTTCAGGAATACAATACATTGTTGTTAACTATGGTCACTATGTTGTACAATAGATCTCTTCAACTTATTTCTCCTATCTAACTGAAACTTTGTATACCTCCCTGCCCCCTCCAATTTTTTTGAAGTTTAAAGAAATGTTACTTTATTTTATGTACAAAGTATGGTTTCTTCCATTGGGTAAATGCATTAAATAATCTATTCAAGAAAAATAACTTAATCCAACTTGATGAACTGATGAAACACTGTTTTTTATTCAGTCCCCAAAGCTGAACAAGACACCTACAATACCCCTCCAGCAACTCCAGGCAGCTAAGATCTGCCATGACCTGTTTGTCTCTAACTTACTAATGTCACTACTGGGAACCTCATCTTCCTAGTTCAGAATTTCCCACACTTATATTTCACTAGACCTTTTGCCACAAAATGCCCAATAGTTAAATAAATATGAGAAAGACTGGATTAAATAGGTCTTCATATTGTAGGACTTTTCTGAGCTTTTTACTCTGCAAATTTATACGGTAAATTGGGGGCAGAACATATCATATTTCTCAAACTAGAATGACAATTGAGTACCCTCTCTGTGTTCCTTCTTTCATTTTGAGCAACACCTGTCAAATGCCCTGGAATTCTGGGAGAAACACTACTTTAGTCATTCTTCGGAGTGGTATTCACATCCCTACCTCATTCTTTGCTCTATTACTCTGCCTTGAATAGTGTCTCTGTGTCCTGCCTTTTCTCTCTGCTTGGATGAACTCTATGCTTATTTGAGAAATTTTAAAAGTTTAAGTTTGTGTTTATATTAAGACAGCCAAGCTACATAGGCAGCTAGGACTAGGAAAAGTGGACTCTGGTAATCATGTGAAGATTTTCATGGAGCAATAGGTTCTAGTGATGGAGGAAAATGCTAGTCAGAAACAGGACAAAAACAGGGAAGTACAATGTCATGCAGACTAAAGAATGAAAATGATTTCACTCTCACTGAGTGAAATCCTGTGACAAAGTTTGATGGTGCTAAATTATACACGCAAGCTGATAATTATGAGGATTACCTCATTAGAGTGGAGAAGTTTCAACTGTAATTGCAGGTGTCTTATTCCCTCAGGCTGCTAAAACAAAATATCCTAGATTGAGTGGCATATAAGTAAGAGTAATTAATTTCATACATTTCTGCAGGCTAGGAAGTCCAAGATCAAGGCACCAGCAGTAGCAATTGAAACTGAGAATCTTATACAGGGCTTGCATAAATAAAATAAAACTGATAAAATTTCTCTAAAAATAATTTGGAAGTAGGTATTAACTTAAATGTGGTCAGATTCTTTGATCCAGCAATTCCATTTATAGAAAACTTGTCTACAGAAAAAAGTAGCGATGTGTGTTCAGATTAATAGCCAAGGCTGTGTATTACAACAAATGTTAGAGTAGTAAAAAATTGGGCAATCCAAATTCCCAAGTATATGTATAATTATCGAAAGCTTTATATTCAATATGATTGGAAGTGTATTAGTCTGTTTTCACACTTCTATAACAAACTACCTGAGACTAAATAATTTCTGAAGAAAAGAGGTTTAATCAACTCACACTTCAACAGGCTTAACAGAAAACATGACTGGAGGCCTTAGAAAACTTATAATCGTGGCAGAAGGTGAAGGGGAAGCAAGCACCTTCTTCTCATGGTGGCAGAAGAGAGAGAGAGAGAGAGTGAAGGGAGAAGAGATACACACTTTTAAACCATCAGCTCCCATGAGAACTCACTCACTATCATGAGAACAGCCAGGGGGAAATCCACCCCCATGATCCAGTCACCTCCCACCAGCCCCACCTTCAACATGTGGGGATTACAATTCCACATGAGATTTGGGTTGGGACACAGAGCCAAAACATATCAGGAACAATTATAAACACATGCACATGCACAAAGGCAAAAGTAGAATGGGAAAAAATAATAGTTATTTCTGGATTGTGTCAGTATAGATGATAATTAAAATCTTTTGCTCCGTATCTTACATGTAAAATTTATCCATAAAATATATATATATATATATATTCATTTTACACTCATAAAAATTATTATTAGGAACATTGGCACTAGTTACTAGTCTCACTTTTTATATTTGAAAATACTTAATCTTTCATATAATCAGGGAATGTCATTCCCAGTTGTTTACAGATGCTGTCATACTTCCAGAATTCAGATTTCAGTGTCCTGGCCTAATATTTGTGTGGTTTTGAAGCCACTTACCCTCTTTAAACCTCAGTTTCCTTATCTGTAACAGAGAGATAAAAATAAGAATCACTTTTAGGGATATTAAGGGAGTCAAATGAAGTTAAGAGTACATAGTAGAGTGGTTGGCATAGAGTAAATCAACAAAATCCAATGTTATTGTGAATAACTTTAAAACAGAGACATCTACCCCAATATGTTGTTGTAGGAATTAAATAAACTAATATATTTCAAAATGTCTGTATTAGGACCTGGCATACAGGAGACCTTCAAGAAATATTAGCTCCACTCCTCTTTCTGTCCTGCCCTTTTCTCCTGCCTGTGGAGTGGGTATGCTCCACTCTCCAATGGAGCAGGCAGGAAGCCAGGTGCAGAGTGTGCTGCCACCTAGCGGAGCACTGCGTATGCACAGAGGCAGCCTGGTGGTGTTTGTTTGCTTATTTATGTATGTATTTATTTTTCAGGAAATCATATAAACCCGTTTGTCACACACCTACACAGGATTTCTGCTGCCCTTGCCCTCTGCCAGATTGGCTTGCTTTTTCTTCCTAATGCAATTTTGTAGAAGATTTTCACTTGTGAGGTAGCTGAACTAGAACCAATTACATTCTGTTATAAAGGGCAAGGAATGGAAAGCCACACCAGCATTCCTTCAGCTCGGTCTTTGTAGAGATGCCTGGGTAAGAAATAAATGGGACTCAGACTGTGATGGGGGAATCCAGGGGGTCTCCTCCCGCCGTGTGGTGCGTGTGATTCCAAGGAGCAGAGCTGCTAGTCTCGTGGTTGTTCCTCTTTTATTGGGTTTCCAAAGTGAAAGAGAAGGAAGCTGCAGTGACCTCCCCATCATGGTAGAGGACAGAGAGAAAGATGAGAACAGTGTAGACCACTCTGAAAATGGGGTTCTCCCCTCATCCTTTTTCTGAGAGCTAAGGGCTTGCTCAGAGTGGCTATATATCATGGAGGTCAGTAAACACCTCTCTCATCAAATAAAACCATCTCTCAATATTTCATGGAGGAAAGCTTGAGACAGAGAAAAAGCATGGACCTTAAACCCTGTTTTAGCCACTCTTTAGCAGTGCAATATTGGAAAAGTCACGTCACCTCTCTATGCCTCAGTTTCCCCAATTTTAAATTGAGAATAATAATGATCGCGACTCATTTGTAAGATGACATAAAACAATGGGCATTAAGATATGAGATAACATCCAAACACCATAAAGTTTGACACTTGGGGGAGTAATTTTTAAAAAGCCCCTCCTTTTCGTTGTAGGTTGCATTCATTTTCTATCTAGGCTGCAGCCTGGTGAGGGAATGGTGGTGGGGGCTAGGAACTGCAAAGAGTTGTTTCAGGGCCCTCGGGGTTTACCACTTGACAAATAATAGTTCTGTGATTATCCAGCCTGGCAAAGAGTCCAGGGTCCAGGCTGCAGGTAGGCAAATTAGAAAGCAGCAATCAAGTACTTGGTGTCTACTGTGGGTTATTTCATAGTTAACATGATTGGCTAGGTATCAGTGGATCTGGGCTCCAAGCCCAGTTCTTCCATGATCTTACGGTGTGCCTTTGGGTAAGCATCTATCTTAGACATTTATTTCTATGTCCAAAGAGGTTAAGTGAATTGTTCAATTTTACTCATCTGGTCAGGTCTACATTTCAAACCTTGTCTTTCTGATTGTAAATCCTGGTACACTCCAGTCACAAACATTTTGAAGCCATGTATCCCTTTAAATCATTTTGAAGTTGAGTGCCTGCCTATTCAGTTTACCATCGAACTAACCCTGCCAACACTAATATCCTCCTCACATTGCTCAAATAATGGAGATAGTTTCTAGAGAATGTGTCTGATTTAAATAAGGAGATTCTTATTTAAAAAGTTCAGAAATCACCCCGAATATCTGTTATTTAGTTACTCTATCTTAAGACTTTTTTTAGCCTACAACATGTTTTACAGCCAAACCTGGAAGGAAGGTTCAAGAAAACAATGTGGACGACACAAGGAGGATGAAGAGGCTCTTTGGGGTTTATATGGTTTAGAGATAGACATAAATTTGAATTTATTTTCTCCATTTTCTTGCATCTTCTCATTTCTTCTCCCTGCCCCCCACTCCAGCCTATTAGTCTAGAACTGCTTAAACCGCTGTGTATTCTGTCCCTTTTCTGTGGTCTGGAGTCGTAGGACCAGATTTTAAACCTCAATTCTGCCACTTACTAAATATGTAAGTTAAGGAAAGCCACTATACTTTTTGATCTTCAGTGATTTCATCTACAAAATGAGAATAATGCTAACTACTTCTGAATGCCTCCGTATTAAGTCAAACCTGGAGTTTACATTCCAGTTTCAGAAAAGTCATCTAATTTTCAATTATTCAGTCACTTCCTAGTTCTTAGTGCTTCTAAGCAATATGTAGACATCATTCTCAGTCCTCGTGCTTCTGACCTCTTGGGGAATTGTGAACAATCTTGAATTCAGAGATAATCCATTGTATGTGTTTGAAAGTTAGTAAAACTGAATCTACTGAATTTGCCTGCCTTTTTGTGGCTCACTTGGGACGTAGTATAGTATGCAATATTTTGCTCAGAATGGGAAAAAATAATAGTTATTTCTGGATTGTGTCAGTATAGACGATAATTAAAATCTTTTGCTCAGTATCTTATATGTAAGATTTCTCCATAAATATATATATATATATATATATATATATATATTCATTTTATTGTCTCTTGACGATATATTGTCAAGAGTATATCGTCTCTTGAAGTATATTGTCTCTTGAATGCTGTGATGTGTAATGACACCTCATGGTTGATCTACTGAGTTCATTTAGGCAGAATAAATTAATTAAAGTGAGTTTGGGGTGTGAGAACAGCAAATCCACAGTGAATTGAGATTTTTCTCTTTTAATTCATTGTTGCATCATAGGTCATGAGGATAGAGCCCTCATGTATGGGATTAGTGCTCTAAAAAGACCTCAGAACGTTCCATTTCTCCTTCTGCCATGTGAGCTGATAGCAAGAAGACAGCTGTCTATGAACCAGGAAATGAATCCTCACCAGACAGCAAATCTGCCAGCCTCTTGATCTTGGACCTCCCAGGCTTCAGAAGTTAAAAAAATAAATTTCTCTTGTTTATAAGCCACCTAGCCTATGGTGTTCTTTTATAGCAGCTCAAACTCATTAAAACACTCATTTTAGCTGTTTTGCTTTCAGCATTTGTATAAGTTCGCATAGAGCCCAGTTGGTCTCAGAACAAGGTGAGTATATCAAAGAAAATGGGTATTCAATAGGCTTTATGGTACCTGGGTTGGAGGGGAGGAAAGGATGCTTGATACTATATGGCACCGTGAAGTCAGACCATACTTCCATGTTCATGATGCCCTTATCTTTTGAAGTAGTAGTTCAAAGACGACCCTAGGAAACTGACCAGTCCTGCCACATTCAAGTAGGCTTCCTAGCTATTGCCAGATAAAGGACAGCCTGGGAAACAGGATCTCTTGCATCAAGTCATAGAATTCATTCACAACCTATTTGTTTCCTTTATTTGTTTTATCTTAACTGGTTGAACAATGAGGTTGAGAGATGGATGAAGGGCAAGAACTAGAAAGAGTATACAAATTGCTTTGGTAACTTCCAATCTCCTGAAGTTCAGTAATGGTAAAGAATTGATGTCTTGTTTTCTAATGAGTCATCAGAACAAATTCAGTAAGAGATGGACAAATAGTAGAGGGGTAGAGCAGAGACTGCTTCAATTCAGGACCACCTGGGCACTGGTGTTACTCTGAAAAGTGTGTAGCAGGGGCAGCCTGAAAAATCCTTATAACACATCTCTACATTAAAGCTGGGGTAGTAGCAATGAGGACAGAAACTATTTGGCTTGCTGACTTTTAAGGTATTTTTTTGCCTCTATAAGCTTGTAATCTGAAAGGTTTCCCACCAAGCATAATTTCAAGACAAATATTTATGAGGAATTTTAAACCTCCCCAAAGTCAATAACTTATCATATCTCCTCTCTCAAATTTAAATGCTCTGCAACATACAGAGTGATTACTCATATCTATGGGGTAGGAGAGACAGTCTAGTGTGGCAACCATTTCACTTTGGTAAGGTCTGACTTCTTGTTTTGATTTTCCAAAGATTGGCTGCCATGCTACTTTGCACCCCATGCTAATTCTTAAAAAATGTGAAATTATACATTTTGTTTCAAGGAAACTTATCATCTTATTCTTCCTTTGATATAGATTTATGTGTTACAGGGCTGCTGTCCAGTTTGGTGTTTTTCAGCCACATTCTAAACCATTGGTAGAATAAGGTTAAGTCCCTGCGCATGTGCCTGATCAATAAATCTATCTTCCAGATTTCTGTCAGAGATAGAAAAAGTTAATTTCCAATACTATTTTAATAATTAGACTGCTATGCACTTATTAGTTTTTAACAAATCCAAGGGAAGTATCCAAGGATGGTTCTAAAAAAGTAGTATTGGGCATTAAGTCCAAAGTATAAGATGTAGTAAAGTTAAAGATGAGAAAGTCAGTAACAAGGCCACCACTCAGGGATTGAAAAACAGTGTGAGATAATACTGATATGGTTTGGCTGTGTCCCCACCCAAATCTCATCTTGAATTGTAGTTCCCATAATTCCCAAGTATCATGGGGGTGACCTGGTAGGAGATAATTGAATCATGGGGACAGACTTTTCCTGTGCTGTTCTCATGATAGTGAATAAGTCTCATGAGATCTGATGCTTTTATGAAAGGCAGGTCCCCTGCACATGTCCTCTTTCCCCCCACCATGTAAGAAAGATGTGCCTTTGCCCCTCCTTCACCTTCTGCTATGATTGTGAGACCTCTCCAGCCATGTGGAACTACGAGTCCATTAAACCTCTTTCCTTTATAAATTACCCAGTCTCAGATACATCTTTATTAGCAGCATGAGAACAGACTAACACATATACTATGATTAGAAAGAGTTGAGCAAATCCTAGGATTCAGTCTGAAATGTTGAAGGAATGTTTGTTGGAGTCCTGTCTTGTGGGATTTCACCAAGGGAGGCTTCATGACTATGAAGACCTGGACAAGGATGGAGACAGACATGGACCTCCTCCTTTCCACAAATGTGGAAGAAAGAGTTTTGGAAAGACTCATTGTTCCAAAGCCCAGTTACCAATAGTCTGATCATTACAAAAGTCTCTTCAAGGTCCCTTGTCTTAAAGGCAGCACAGAAGCCTGGATCATAGCTGTCATTCATCTAGAAAAACAGCTTTGGTAGAACTCACATTAGCAGTTCAGGTGCCTCTCATCAGATCAGATTGGCTTCTAGTCATCCCTTGCCTTGTATTCTAGCCCTAGTGACCAGGCTTCTCCCTGGTTTCAGGGAACAACATACCATTTTGTACCTTATGTATGAATTGAGGCCTAATTTTATTTCTTAGTTCCAAACATGTTCTGACAAGGCTGAAGCCTGGTGTTGCCAATTCCATTCCTTTCCAAGGTGAAGATTCTTTGCCTCACTAGCTGATATGTTTTTGATCTGTGTCCTTGCCCAAATCTCATGTTAAATTGTAATCTCTAATGTTGGAGGAGGGGCCTGGTGGGAGGTGATTGGATCATGGAGGTGGATTTCTCAGGAATGGTTTAGCCCCATTCCCTTGGTGCTGTTGTCATGGTAGTGAGTGAGTTCTTGCAAGATCTGGTTGTTTAAAAGTGTGTGGCTCCTCTCCTGTCTCTGTCTTGCTCCTGCTCTGGCCATGTGATGTATTTGCTCCCCCTTCACCTCCCACCATGATTGTAAGTTTCCTGAGGCCTCCTCAGAAGCCAAGCAGATGCCAGCATCATGCTTCCTGCATAGCCTGCAGAACCATTAGCCAACTATACCTCTTTTCATTATATTACAAGTCTCAGGTATTTCTTTATAGCAATGCGAGAATGGACTAATACACTACCACTTCTAACTCAGTTTGGACTCATGATTTGTTCTCAGAAGTCTCTCTGTTGCTTTATAGAATCTTCACCATACTGCCTCTGTGACTCCCCACTGCCATGCTCAATCCACTTGTAGAGAAAGTGTCTTATTTTTCTAGTTCCAGCAATGCCATCCAAAGGTTTTCCTAGGTGGAATCCCTGACAGATAGCTCCCTCTTCCTTTCTCCTTTAGTACTACCTGGGAGGGTGATCATTATTTGCTTTCCTTGGAACACAGAAGTTGGAGGAGAATTCCCAGCGTAATTTGCCTCATACCTTAAGCCCAGATGGCTTTCAGCACTGTTTCAGAAGTAGTCTCTAGAAGCAGAAGTCAAGAAGTACAACATCCTTTGTATTAGCCTGGTTTCTCCAGAGAAATAGAACCAATAGAATGTATATGTATATTCCGTCTCTCTCTTTCTCTCTCTCTCTCTATATATATATACACACATATACATACATATGTATATATATATATACTACATACATATGTGCTTCACACATATATACATAATGTATATGTACATATATATACACATCTGTATCTCATCCAAAACACTTTCACAGAAACACCTAGAATAATGCTTAACCAATATCTGGGTTCTCTGTGGCTCAGTCAAGTTGACACATAAAATTAATTATCACATCCTTCCTCTATTATTCCAGAGGCTGAAAAATACACGGTGCACTGCTGCAGTCACTAAATTCAGGGTCATTAACATGAATATGATTTTCCAGGAAGGAACTTTAAATGCTTAGCCTTGAAGAAGAGGCAGCTTAAAGAGAAGAGGTCTTTCTATCACCCTTTCATGGGTTTTGGTCTGCATTTCCTTTAGCTATATTCCCTGAGCACCCACCTACCTCTCTTATCAGACCCTTTCCTTGCCCATCCCACAGCCTCCACCCTTGCCCTGTCCATGCCTCAGGTTTGCCACAGGGCTGGGTTGCTTCCTTACTCTTTGCTGAAAACAAATTCATAATACATTATAATAGTTACAACAACAGCTGTCTTCTCTTGCATGCTTATTGTATGCAATATTTTACATATATTAGCATGTTAAATCCTCATAACAACCCTGTGAGGAATGATGATGCCTATTTTGCAGATACTGTGAGAGAAAAACAAAAGAATTAATGAACTTGCTCAAGGCCACACAGCCATGAAATGGTAAAACCACAATTCAAACCCACATATGTCTGACGCCAGAGTCTGTGCACAACATAGTTACACACTGTGCTCCCTGCCCCGCAACCTCTCCAAATTATTTCACCAAAGGCTGAGTAGCTGGCTCAAATGGAAAATTTTATCTCTGATTCAGTCTGGTAGCTCAACACAGATCCGAACTCAGTGATCTTTTCCAAGCGTTGGCATAAACAGAAGGATTGAAAATCCTATGTGACTTCTCTGTGAGCAATTAAGGGGCTGCATTCCGTAGCATGCCATTCAGCGTTCACTATTCATCATCACAAACTTTCAGACACACTGAAGGTCACGATTGAAAACAGTTATTTTAAGAGATGGCATTGTTCTCAAAAACCACAGTAGGACCATTGCAAAATGATTTTAACTCAGATCTATATTCAGAGATGAATTCTTCTTTCAGCTCAAATGACGCAGGTTTGTTAGTTGGGGTGTGAGTAGGAGGTGGGGAGATAAAAAAGCAGGGGACAAGTATTCATTCTTATCCATCTCTTGCTCACCTTCTGATAGTTATTTATTTCCCCTGTACTTTTCAAACTCTTTCAAATTCTTTGCCTCAACCTAGCATCTCCATTTCATTTAATTTGTCATAGGAATATTTTTCAATAAGGGGAAATCTTTAAAGAAAATTGAAAAATATAAGACATCTGCATAATAAAATCTTTTGCAAAAGATGCAAGATTTTCTTTAGGTCATGCTTTCCTCTAATTTTTTTCCCTCCAGAATTATTGCAGGGAACGTGCTAAAAGCCTGCCCACCTTTCTCCTAGGATTTTGCTTTACTTTCAAACACTCTCTCTATTGTCACAATGTATTGCCATTGAAGATTTCAAGATTTGAGAAAACAAGGTATGAGAGGGAGAAGCTACAATATATGCAGATGATAGATGAGATAGGGTTGTAGATGGAATGATTGGTCTTAATCCTTTGCTTCTCTGAGGTAATAGTATAGATTAACCCTCTTGCTCTTTCTATGCAGTGCATTTTCCACCTCTTGCCTTTGGGCTTGCCCATGTGACTTGTTTAGCTAGTTGAATTTTAGCAAATATGTCATAAGCATTGTCTTTTTGCACAGGTGTCATCACCATGAGAAGGACATACCACCCCAGAATAAGGAGAGGCAAATGGATTAGACTTGAAATGAACCCAGAGCCTGGATTCAAGCACAGCCAAACCCAGCTTGGATCTCATAATTCCCAGTCCTGTGCAGAAGAACCGTGAGACCTACAATATATTTCCATACCTTCTTTCAAGAAATAAATGCTCAATTTTGTAAGACACTGAGGTTGAAGGTTGTTTGCTACACCACATTTTGGTGAAAATAGTTGACAGTGACACCAACCAAATCAAGAATAATCCCACAACACAGAGCTAGAGTACATGCAACTTCGGCATCTACTAGTATTCACTAAGTGCCAACATTGTGCTGGCATCTTTGCACGTTCTCTCATTTCAATTTTACAACAACAATAAGAGGTAAGCATTATGTAATCAATTTAAGTTTCAAAAAGATTAAATGACTTTATTAAGGCTCCATGGTTAGTAAGTTATAGAGCAAAGCCTGAATCTGAGATTTTTCTATTAGACTTGTTCTGCTTTGGAAAAACATTTTTTTTCTTTTTCAAGTTAGTCCTTTAAAGTTGAATTTGTGCATACTTTAAAAACAGGATAGACAAAAGTAGTAGCCGTACTTTACCATCTACTGCATTTTGGGTTTATATCATATTCAAATATTTCTCTATTTTTTTTTCAGTGCTCATGTTCACTCTTGTCGATAAGGATAGCTGGGATTACTCTGGCCATTTTACAGATTAGGAGACTGGGACTCACGAATATGGTCTTAATCTTCCCCTTACCTTTGTCAAACTTTAGACAGGTTTTTTCCTGACTTTAGGCCCCTGACCTCCTTCTTCTTAGATCATTTGCTTTAAAGAACTTGTGCTTGTGAATAATGTATCTCTCCCCTTTACATGGAAATCTTCTCAGACTCTTTTGCCAGTTTTACAACCCGGTCACCTCTTTCTCAAGGATCTGAGAGCCATTTTTTTTTTCAAATATAATCATCAAAAAAGACAGTGCCTGTATCTGCCAGTCTCTGTGGGAGAGTATGAATCTAACTTCCATAAGCAGCAATGAGCAAACCTAGATGGTTACATCACATTGAACAACCTTCCCCTAAAATCCACAGTGCTTTTCCTCGAGCTCTTGACCTCTAATGCAATAGTCTTGAATAATGTCTTCCTTGCATGTTTAGCTATCCAGTGCATTTTCTCTTTGGCATGAATAAAAGAATTATTCATTCAAGAAGACTCAGTAAATGATTATCAGGGTGTAGACACAAATTTAGTCACTGGCTTCAAATCTATCTTCTATTGCTTCTTTTGGTTATGCTCATTTGTTATTGATATTTATGGCTCTTTTTTATTTTTTCTCTAGTCTAACCTTTAGAAGGTTTTGTTTGTGTTTACTTGGCTGATGAGACTGTACCAAGGAACCTCAGACTTTCCGTTGTACAAGGGAGGCTTGGCCTCGGGTCCTTAGAGACTGTTGGAAGTCTCAGAGCATTGCTTTTTTGACACTATGGAAAATGAACCAAAACTTTTTATTTGAAACAGTTGCATGGGCTTCCAGATATTTTTAATTAAACATGCACTGTCTGAAGCCTCAGCCTTTGGCCAGCCATTTATCATTAAGTTATCTGCAGCTGTTGCAGCTGTCACTAGAATAAAACTTTCTCCTTTTATCCACATGATGGCAGTATAAGTTAATGTTCAACCTCAGCACACACAGCCTTCAGAATGAGTGGGGTTTTGTTGAGAATTGGCCACTCGATTCTCTCCCCATGTACCCGCAGCCTCCTGTAACTCAGCTCTAAATATTTCTCACTTCCCCCTTTTTAATCTTAAACAAAGCCAGCCTCTTCAGTTCAAAAAGGAGGTCTATGAATGAAAAATCCATATGATACAACAGTTTCATTATAAAAGACCCCCAGACAGAGGAGGCCAGAGTCCAGCTGCCCACAAAACCACATGCGACTAACTCTTGGTTCAGGGCTGCTGAGTAGTTGCCTATAAATAGCAGTGGTTGGTTACCCATTGTCAGCAACCTTGACCTAATCACTGTTAATCAATAAAGTCATTGAAGTATAATAGCCTCATTGGCAGTGAATTGGCTCAGGTTCAACATACAAGAAAATAGTTTTCATGAGTACTGGGATGGTAATTATTTAATCAGAGCATGGAGCCTTAAACAGATCCAGTAAGAAGAAATAAGTACAAAATCATGCTTGATACATCTTTTCTATACTTTCAGAAAAATAAAGGAGACAAAATCTTTCTGAAATTTGAAAACTCGGGTATTGCTTACAGACTTTAATTAGGAAGCAAAAAGCAAGGATACTTCTTTAACAAATATTTGGAATAGCATTCCTACTTTATAAAGGGAGGGCAGATTTTCAAAAAGTGACTTTTATTTCTCATATCTTTAAATATTAGATTATCTAAAGTACACATAAGTTGGCTGGGTGCAGTGGCTCATGCCTGTAATCTCAGCATTTTGGGAGGCCAAGGTGGGAGGATCACTTGAGGTGAGGAGTTCGATACCAGCCTGGCCAACATGGTGAAACCTCATGTCTACTAATAATACAAAAATTAGCCAGGTGTGATGGTGTGCGCCTGTAGTCCCAGTTACTCAGGAGGCTGAGACCAGAGGATCGCTTGAACCAGGGAGGCAGAGGTTGCAGTGAGCCGTGATCTCACCACTGCACTCCACCCCGGGCGATAGAATGAGACTCCATCTCAATTAAATAATAATAAAGTACACATAAGTATTATATCCTTCTGGGGAAAACATTTATTCTGCATTTAAGCTTTTTAAATTATCATAGTAATATGACTTCCAAAATTGGTAACTAATCAAGGCAAAGGTATAACTACAAACTTTTCCTTTTTAGTCGTTTTTTCTACTATTCCCAAAAGTAGAGACATCTTCTTCACTAATATTCCTTATCCTTTAGTTCCTTTTTTGAAGTCGTATTATAAATAATTTAAAAACCAATGCTATCTCTTGTTCCTCTTCATCTCCCACAGTGCTCAGCACAGGTTTTGACACTACTTCCTCTCTAAATGAACATTCATTAAATCTTTGCTTAACCAACATAGCATGAAAGCAAGTTACCTGTGATCTTCACCTAAGTGAAGGCCTAACATTTCCATGTCTAAAATTTTAACAAGGCCATGCTAAATATCAACAGTCTGCAAAATCTCTACCCGGATGTCCTCAACAAAATCTTAAAAAAAAAATAAATTCTTGGAAAGAATTTCCCTAAGATTACTATTGAAAGACCTAGAAATGGACAGAAAATATGATAAACTTTAGCCTTTCTTTCAGAAAATAGAGGAAAACCATTATGATATTACATGATAGAAACAATTTTCCTAATATTATTTTCCAAATTTCAAATGTGTGTGTTTGTAGGCTTGAGAAAAATGATGTATTTTTGAATGCAACTGGAGAGGTTTAACAAAGAAAGCCTTTTCTGGTCCCCATGGGGGGAAATCAGCTTTAGACTGTTAGCACACACATCTGAAAGTTCAATGAACTTCAGTTAGTTGCTATGCCAACCAGCAGAAGACCTGTCCAGATATGAATTGATAACACAAATAAAATCTCCCCAAAGATGATGCTTGTTTGGCTTAAGGGCATAGTCTTTGTAACAAACCTTGACAAATCACAAGTCTATTGGTTTGGAGGATTTATTTGGACCACTATCCAAATGTCCTTAGTGCGCTATTAAAGTACCTTAATTTTTTTTTTCCATAGGAAATTGAGCAGTTGCTTCCAGGGGGATGTAGACTTTACTCTTTTTTTTTTTGTATTTTTATCTTTTCCTTTCCTAAGTATAAAAGTAGCAGATACAGAGAGAATTATTCATAGTTTCTGATTATAAGAAAGAAAGGGTGACTAGACTAGAACCGTAAACCTTGGGAGATGTTTTAGATTCCACTCTCACATTGTGATATGAAGTTGGGCAATTAATCTTTGTTTCTTAATGTCACATCTCTCACTCCCTGCCATAGGCAGAGTCCCTAAGCTGTCTGTATAAAAAGCCCTTGATGAATGTATTTGGAAGAATTTCTTTGTAGGTTTTGCTTTGCCCTTCTGTTTGCTCTATATCCTCAGAGTGAACTAATTTGGATAATATAATAGTTTACACCAACATCTAAGGGATTGGAGAAGATAAAAAATGCTAACATACTTTTTCCGTGTATCATTCCATTATTGCCACCTTGAAAAAAATTTGGTTGTCACACCCCTCTTCAGGAATCTGGAGTGTGTCTATTCTAAGAAATAGAAAAGAGTGTAAAAAACATGTTGGGAATTTTAATGATAGATATTATTTGCGTGTTCTGAATATGCACTGTAATACATATGCCAAACAACACCAACCTATGAAATAGAGTCACCAATATTGTATTGTTTGTTTTGCATACTATGACCTAGACTCACTTGCATAATTCTTCCTTTAACTTCCGGATCTCCACTGTACATTAGCTAATTTTTCCTTTCACCTCTTTGAGACAGTCTCCTCTTTGTTGAAGCCAACAAGGAGATCCAACAAGGTGTGGAGCAGATATTATAAATAGCAGTGATTTTAAATTAGATTCCTTTTTTTTTAGTTGAGATTAGGGAACAGTTTCTTGCCAATGGGCATAAGGACTATAATTGTAAATTCTTGGAGAAAGAAAATTGATCATCTAAAATATTCTTGATGAAATTCACCTTCAGTCAATGAACATTAAAAAACGACAAGGTAAAAGTGGACGTACAGTTCTCAGTGGTTTTATTTTATTCTGAAACTTTCCTATACTTTGTTGGTAGATCAGTAACAAAGGTGTACCTATCCTTAATCGAATTAGTCTGTTCGTTCTGATTGTCAAAGTGGGTCTTATCTCCTATGGGAAAACCGTAGAACTATTTATCTTTGATTCTTATCTCCCAGAAAGAAAAACAAATCTCTTCAGCCTGAAGCGGATTGATTCTAGACTTATATTACAAGGAAAGTCCAGTACTAAGAGATATAGAACTTTCCACTTTTCTGTTTTTGAGTAGTAGTTTAGATTCAAGAACTCATTTGGAGATGAAACAAAGAAATATCTAAATTAGGAAAATATTCATAGGGTTACATATTCCCATAGGTAAATTGATAAAAGCCATGACTTAGAACATCTGCAAGTTGGTGAAAATTCCTAACCTGCCTTCTCTCTGCTATATATCAACCATCTTTGAGCTATTGAAGGGGAGAATTCTGAATTAAAGGATATAGTTCAAAAGTGTTACTCAATAAATATTTGTAATTGTTTGTGATAAGTGATACATTAGTTATCAATGCCATTATCTGTTTTGTAATTGTGGAAGGGGTTGGTGGGAAGCATGACGGTGGTCCTGGGAACAGTGACAACAGCCAGGGCAATGGGGACGTGAATGTCATGCTGCTAGAAGTGCTGAAAAATGTAGCTGTGCACAGACGCTCCTCATGGAGTATGGGTGTTTTACACCATTCCCAATATCTCATGGACTGGTATTACAAAACAAATTCTGTAATCAAGAGTTATC
Organism: Homo sapiens; assembly: GCF_000001405.40. NCBI lineage: Eukaryota > Metazoa > Chordata > Mammalia > Primates > Hominidae > Homo > Homo sapiens. The sequence continues at coordinate 29,330,542 of NC_000011.10, read as the reverse complement.
TGGAAAAGAACAATGCACACTCTTTTATTCATATTATAACTACACTGCACCGAACCCAGTGGAATATATCAGTGAGGGGCAAACCAATAATTTTGTAGAAAATAGTAATTTGAGGCTGGAATGGAACAATCTGGATGATGAACAGAAACTTCTGAGCATCTGGTGACCATGTAAGAGGGAGCTAAAGAGTCAGCAATGATAGTAATACCCGCTTTGGTTTTCAACATGCTCTATGCTGGCTCCCAGTTTCTGCTGAGGTGGTGCCGGTATCTGCTATGGAAATTTATGAGGAAAGACAGAAGAGGTGCTGTTCTCTCACCTTCACATTAATCAAAGGAGCTCTATTTTTACCTGTCTTATACATTGAGTTTCTATGAAGGATCTCATTTGAAGAACCAGATCTATTCTAAAAAATAAAAGATTACCTGCCATAAAACCCTATTGCTCATTGAGAAGGCCAGAAAGAGTGTTTCGGCTTTGTCTTTGAGTCAGTAAAACAATAAAAGGTGAACATCCATGCCTTAATTTTCCACAGCAATAGCTTACAAAGTGCAGTCCCTCAGCCAACAACAGTATCAGTATCTCCTTGGAAGTTTTTATAAATGCAAATTCTTGAACATTACTCCAGACCTATCTAAAGCAGAAACTCCAATAAAGCCCAGCAATCTGCATTTTAACAGGTTTTTAGTTGATTCTGATGCATGTTCAAGTTTGAGAACAAGTGTCCTAGAGCTTAATTTAGTTTACCAAGTAAAAGAAATGAGGTGGTATGAATAGAAAGTCACTGTCAGTGCAGTAGTGCACTTTCTAAGGAAAACCTCTTCCAAGTATTATATCTTAGCTCCAGTCTAAATCATCATAGAGAGAATTGGTTTTCAGTTTTAGAGAAAGGAAAAAATGCCTCCAGTTCTTCTATTCCTCCAGCCCCATAAATATCAGTCAAAATAAAGCACTAGCTTAACAACTTAAAACCATTGAATAACGCTTTGAAACTCTATCTCGGCCCCAAGCTGCTTATTTGAAAATAGGTGGAGCTAATTAAGAGACAATGGTAAAGTCACTGACATGTTACAATTTGCAGTGGTTAAACGCAGTCTTGTATTTTGTTTCTAACAGATTCATTAAAATAACTGTTGCTCATAAATTCCACTCCAACTAGGTCACCAGGTGATGCACATGTAGGAACAGTGCTAGAAGAAACTGCAGTCACAGGGAATGAGGCAGGATCATAGGTTGTCAGTTTCCTTCCCAGAACCAGGGCATTTGCCATATCAGTTACCTTCCTGAAATCATGACCCATGTGGGTGAGACTATGCTAGATTACACTGGAGTTACATTTGGACTTTTCGTCAATTCTCAACCCTGGCTCTTCTCATTTCAATGATGTTATGCCACTAGATGGCTCCAGAGTGTCTACCTGCACATGAAAGTCCAGAGATTTGAAAATTTGAGTGCACTTTGTAAGCTTTCCGCAGCCATGGTCCTCTGCAATTGAATTCCACTCAACCAGAGGTGATGTCTCATTTTCTCTCCTCCGTCTTTCAAGAGTGATGGTGTCAACAGAAAACATGAATGCCGCAGACCAATAAAGCACGTGTCTTCTCCACATTCCAAACTTTAAAGTCTAGCTTTGAGCAGATGATATATGAATGCTGAAAGTGGGAATAAACATTCTGTTTTATAGCATTTCATAACTTAGGTGGTTGTGGGTTATTAGAAAATGTAACAGAACAAAATGGACCAAAGATTTCCCATGCTCAAGCCTTGCTTAATCAGAGAAGCTAAGAGGTAAGTTATTAAGCCTGACCTGCCTTTTTTATATTCTGTTCTGGTGGTGTTGGTTAGTGTGGAAACTCAATTTTTGTTTGTTTTAGTTTTTCTAAGTGTAAAAGTTGGTTTTTTTTTTTTTTTAAGTTTGTGATATGAACTCAGTTTCTTCTAGGCTTAGCTTTCATTTCTAAATTAATCCAATTTGACGACAGCTTCTAAAATGAGCAATCACGCTTACCAAACTCTCCCATTGTGATAATGAATTGTTTCTGGGATGGATACTTGAAGTAAGTGGAAAGCAACCATAGACTGAAATTACCCATCCAGAGGCCTGAGAGAACATGGATCAGGAGACAAAAAGCCTGAATCCAGAAGGAAGAAGGCTCTAGGGTTGAAAAGGCACCCCGTGTCAAAGTAGGAGCTTCACTTTGGCAAACCAAAGCCATAAAGAATTTGAAGTTTGGGGATACTAATTTTATGAATAAGCAGAGGAATTCAGTCTGCAGAAAGAAGAATGGGATGTGTACAAAGAAAATATCATATGCGAGAAAAAAATTTAGACTCAGAAAGATACACAGTATAGGTATCTGAAAAGCTTCCAGTTCCTACGTGCACTGCTTATACTTCCTTCAACCAAATGCCACATGTGGTTTTCTGAGACTTTACAGCCACTCTTTCCCCAACTTTTTACATTTTCCTTGAGCTGACTGTCAAAGATTCCCGAACAGTCCTTTGTTCTCAATGAACTAAAATTTAGAAAGCATATTTTATTGTGAGTCAACTCAAAATACTAAATTCCTTATAGTTGAGTTTATGAAATAGGGGAAACTGTCTCTGTATCTTTGGTCCCGATAGTTTTTTGGTTCTTTGTCACCACTATCTCCTGACAGAATGATGGTATTGGCCTCTGACCTGGTTCTTTGCTACTCTCCACCCTCCCATAAGAGTAACATTTTTTTTTTTTTTGAGACAAGAGTCTTACTCTGTTGCCCAGGCTGGAGTGCAGTGCCGCGATCTCGGCTCACTGCAAGCTCCGCTTCCCCGGTTCACGCCATTCTCCTGCCTCAGCCTCCCGAGTAGCTGGGACTACAGGCGCCCGCCAACACACCCGGCTAATTTTTTGTATTTTTAGTAGAGACGGGGTTTCGCCATGTTAGCCAGGATGGTCTCGATCTCCTGACCTTGTGATCCACCCACCTCGGCCTCCCAAAGTGCTGGGATTACAGGCGTGAGCCACCGTGCCTGGCCGAAGAGTACAATTTTTAAAACAGAAATCTATTTTTTCCACTCCTTGATTTAAACCATCTTTCCTATAAGAAAAAGTAAAGTAAAAGCCTTACAACGGCTTTCGGGTTTTTGGCCTGGGTCCTGTCCATCTCTCCAATCTCATCTTAGAGTCCTATTTCTTCTCTTCATTCTCTGTGCTCTAGCCACCCTGGCCTTTCAAGTTCTAGGACAGACCATTTTCTTTCCAACTTCAGAATCTTTGAACACACTCTCCCTTTTCTGTTAACTCCTTCGCCCTTCATCTTTTACTTCAAATGCTACTTCCTTAGGAAGAAATTCATAAACCCCTACAATAAAAAGACTTCATTTTAGCACCCTGTTTCCTGCATAACACTTATCTCATTTTGAAGCATTTATTCACATTCACTTGTGTCTTGTCACCTATTCTCCCACCAGACTGCAAAATCTATAAAAACCGCTACTTTTTAGTGTTTTTGCTCACAGTTGCGTGCCCAGTTTCAGGAAGCTCACTATATCTTAGTTGAATGAATGAATGAATGAATGAATGAATGATTCTATGAGTACTTGAAGAGAAGTTCTGAGCCTTGTAGCATATTCTGTGGGAATTTTTTGTGGTTGTTCTGCTTGATATTTTAATTTCCTTTCATTATGATGCATACTTATTCTTTTTTGTGAATGTACGGCTGGTACAATGTGTCTAGTTTGCATTGTACAGTTTTTGGAAAGCCTTACATTTTGGAAGTAAATATATTTAAGAAACACATTCAATTTGAATAATGTTTCATTATAATCAAGAATCTCAGAGATATATTCATTTTTGTGAATTGGAGAACATTTTTACCTGAAGGTTGGCATGAGGATGAATACATGACAAGATTAGAATTGGAGGGTGTAGGCAGAGACAATGGGAATTCTAGGCTATTCCAAGGTTTTGAGGATGCTTGGTCCTTATTAAGTGAATTTAAGTTTGCTTGATATTTTTTCAACAACTACTACAAAAAAAATCTGATCACTTGAATAACTTCAAAGCACATGAAAGTAAAATAGGCATTGCTGGTCATTTTAAATAATTTTAAAAGTATTTCCACAACTTTTCTTTGAGGATGTGAAAAACCAAGAAAACATGTTCAATCATAGCTTGAAAAAATATAGACAGGTAGAAAGAATTCTCTTTGCTATTATTGAACTATCTTTGCTGAGCTGAACTTATACTTCACCAAGAAAGTATTCTGAATTTATTATTTTCCATATTGTTTTCCTTTGATTCCAGTTTGATCTGTGAATACCTTTTTAAAAATAATCATCAGCAAAAACAATAGGCATATGGATACTTACTTCCCCATCATCTTCAATTTCCACATTTCATCAAATAATTTTCCCTCTATTACATCCTTTAATGTGCTTTTTGGCATTCTAAAAACCCAATGCAATTTCTTAGCTTATAGTATTGCTGTATGTCTATAAGTATTGCTGGATGTTTTCTCATATTTTGGGAAATTTTTCTACTTTGATTTCGTTGGGCAAGTTACACGTTCACTTTCTACTTTCCCTTTGAGGGTATTTGGCATTTATAATGCTGAGTTGAACCTTATGATATCATATCTAGCTGCCAATATTTAACCATTTGCCCTACAGAAATGGCAATTTCATGTGGAACATCCACATATAAAAATAGCTAACATTTATTAGTTGTTATATATCAAATACTTATCTACTTACTTTTCACACATTATTTTATTTAAACTTCTCATTTTATAATCTAAAATATTCAATATAAGAGAAATTAAAATAAATTACCGGCCAGGCGTGGTGGTTCACACCTGTAATCCCAGCACTTTGGGAGGCTGAGGCGGGTGGATCACGAGGTCAGGAGTTCGAGACCAGCCTGACCAATATGGTGAAACCCCGTCTCTACTAAAAATACCAAAATTAGCTGGGGTTGGCAGTGCTCGCCTGTAATCCCAGCTACTCAGGAGGCTGAAGCAGGAGAATTGCTTGAACCCAGGAGGCGGAGTTTGCAGTGAGCTGAGATTGCACCACTGCACTCCAGCCTGGATGACAGATCAAGACTCCATCTCAAAAAAAAAAAAAAAAATTACCCTAATAAAATCACTATTAGGTAGGGAAGCTGGGTTGTAAACCTAGGTCTGCATCACTCCAAAATCTAAGGTGTTCAGCACTACAGTGTCTCTTAAAGGTGATATCTTATTTACTTTTTTCTTATCATTTTTTGAAGATCATTACTGAATATTCCTTTTCAGAGAAAGCTACTATTAATTCAAATAAAAGTGATAATTTCTCCATGGTTCACATACAAAATTCCAAATATATTTTCCAGAAGCTATACTTTAACAAATATCAAGGTGTTTTCAAACATTTGAAAAATATTTTTTTTGCTTTTTATTGGAATAGTTTGTCATTTTGTAGATAAAAATTTTCATGTGTTCCTAAAGCAATTTTTTCTTAGAAACAGTGGCCTGAAGCCTCTAGAAATAGGGCTTAATACCTAATAACTAAAAATATTTTGATTCTTCTTAGTTTGCATTAAAGGAAAATATAAATGTGTAGGGAAAATAACCATTCATGCCAGATCACTTGCCCTCACAAATCATCCTATAAATAAATCTGCGTTCTCTGTCTGCTACAAGTTTTTTAGAAGCGTTTAAAAGCCATTTTTAATTACTGAGAATGGGGTCTATGTGCAGCTTTAATAAAATTCCTTTTTAAAATGTGGAAACTGTAAGTTCAAAACCCAAATCAAATGTACTTTGTGAGCTTTGTAATATGAGATTGTATAGCCATCTGGCCCCCAAGCCATCTCTGCATATAAAACATAAATAACATTTTTAATTTAAGTAATAGATAAATCTGTTTCAAGTGCCTCAGCATCCATGCCCAACATTGTCTGCCAATCTGTTGATCCTAAATAATATTTTCAAGCTGTGGTAAGATTATTGGTGTTCTGAAGCAATCTGGAAATACCAAGTTCTTATGCCAGGAAATGGGTCAAAATGTAATCTCTTCATGTTATTGTTTTGATTTCAGAAATAGCTCTGTCCTTCACAACACTGGGAGCCTGTATATTTTCTTCTTCTCCTGGATTTGATTACAGCTGCCATTCTGCTGTTGCAGTGTAAACTTTATTAAATATCTACTTTTAATTAACCTCCTTGGCACTAGAACCTCTTGCTAACATCAGATCATTTTTGGTTTCTCACAACAGTTGCAGTTTTCTCCTTAAATAGTCATTCTGTAATATTCTGTCCTCATATAATTATCACAAAATAGTCCTGTACTTGTTCAGCCAAGAGAGACTAGACAGCATGAACTTTAGAGACAGAGATGTCTGTGTTTGGGTCTTAGGTCTGATGCATGGACCTATGTGACTCTGGGCAAGTTCCTTTCTATTTTCTGACGTCCTCATTGGTGGAATGGAGATTTCATGGGTTGTCAGGGCTCCTCACTGGATAAGCAACATCAAGTGCCTTCAGTACCCAGAACACAGTTACATGCTCTGAAGGCTAATTCATTCCCTTTCTGTTCAGGGGATACATAAATCACATAAAGAAATGGAAGGGACAATGCTTTTCTTTTGTTCTCTTATTCTCTCAGTTTTATCATTTTATCTTTCATTTTGGAAGAAGCTGATATTTTTTTCTTTTTCTTTTTCTTTCTTTCTTTTTTTTTTTTGCTTCAGTCTCCCGAGTAGCTGGGATTACAAGTGTGTGCCATCATGTCTAGCTAATTTTTGTATTTTTAGTAGGCATGAGGATTTGCTGTGTTGGCCAGCCTGGTCTCGAACTCCTGTCCTCAAGTGATCCACCTGTCTTGGCCTCCCAAAATGGTGAGATTACAGGCGTGAGCCACTGTGCCTAGCCTAAAATGTTTAATTGACAAAAATAATTCTATCTATTTGTGGAGTACAATGTGACATTTTAAACATTTTAATATATGCACATACTATAGAAAGATAAATAAAGCTAACTAACATATTCATCGTCTCATCTACCTTGTGAGATTATTTAAATGCATGCTTTTCACATTTTGAAATATATAATACAATATTAACTATGATCATGTTGTACAATAGATCACTAAAACTTATTTATTCTAAATGAAATTTGTACCCATTCACCATTATCTCCCCTTTCCCCATCACCTCTCACCCCAACCTCTTTTAACCACTATTTCACTCTCTGCTTGTATGAGTTCAAATTTTTAGATTCTACAAAAGAGTGAGATCATGCAGTGTTTGTTTCTCTGTGCCTGGCTTATGTCACTTAGTGTAATGCCCTCCAGGTTCATCTATGTTATTGCAAATAATAGACTTTCCTTCTTTATAAAAGCTGTATAGTATTCCATTGCATATGGAATATGTGATGGATATATTGCATATATTCCAGAGGCAATGGAAGACTACACAGCATTTATAAAGAAGGAATATCTATTACTATAATATAGATATTATAACATAGACTAAATTAATATATATTAATAATACACACACCACATTTTCTTTATCCATTCATCTCTTGATGGACACTTAGGGTGTTTCCATATCTTTGCTATTGTGAAGAATGCTGAAATTAACTTGGGAGTGTAGATAGCTCTTCAACATATTGATTTTAATTTTTTTCGAATATATACCCATGCACGGGATTGCTGGATTATATGGTGATTCTATTTCTAGTGTTTTGAGGAAATTTCATATTTTTTTCCAAAATGGCTGTACTAATTTATATTCCTACCAACAATGAACCAGAGTTCCCTTTTCTCCACATTCTTGCCAACACTTGTTAACTTTCATCTTTTTAATTCTCGCCATTTTATATCACTGATTGTTTCATTTGAGAATCGTACAAAATCAAGTTTGCCTTATTCTACTTTTTTAAAGATGCAGAAATGCATTTTTCTCAGATCATTCTCATTTAACAGTGGGATAAGCAAGTGCATTTGCTCTGTAAGTAGCTCTTTCATTTGACATCTGAAAGCATTTGTGATTTTCTTTTTGGCTTCTCTCTTCATGATGCTGGTGGGGATGAAAAGTCAGGATCCAGAGTTGAGCAAGGACCACAGGCATGTGGATGAGGAGAATTAACTATCTTGTCCAAGCAGCAAAATAAATCAATATTCTTTTACCCACCTATTTTTTTCCCTTTTAATAATTAGCATAATAAAGTCTCTGGCCAATACCATGCTTGCGTGATATATTTATGTCCATGATACCAGATGTGACTGACTTTTTTTTCATCCATTCGTGAATTCAAAGAATATTGTTGGCCAGGTCTTGTGCTAAGCAACTGGGAAACAATAAAAAGTTAATCCAATTTGAATCCTTGTTTCCAAGGAGCTTTCAGTCTGGTAAGGGAAACGAGATACACACTCCAGTGGTTTTCATGGAAAATAGAATGTGGGAATCCCAAGAGCAGTCCAAGGCACTTTTGATGTTTTGAAGGGAAAAGTTACTCTCAGTTGTAGAAAGAAAATGGATATATCTAGAAAATATTCCACATTGTTTGTATTTCAGTTTGGCCTTGAAACATTATCTCGAAACAGCTTAGAAGTGGTTTATGAGTAGTGATGAGGTTGAAGGGTTAGCTGAGAGGGTGCCCCCACCTATGTGAGTCATCTTTGGGTTATGTGTGCAGAACAAGCACATGCTATCTTATTTATATGATAGGGCACTGCCCAGCCAGCTACAAACCCAATAGTCCAGGAAGATATTGAATGAAATAGTATGTAACTCTGGTATAGTAATAAACTCAGATACGCCAATAATTGCACCCTTTGCTCTTCACATGGTCTGATCCCCAGCCACAAATGACAAATGTTATGAGTCTGTGGCTCTGATTTACTCTATTAGGCATATCTGTCATTCTAATGGGCTAACTAATGGCCTAAATTTCAGTGTACATCTCTACAAAACAAAAAAAGGAATTACAGGGCCTTGTCCCCTAACTTGTACCCTTGATCTTGTGTTTCCATTGAACTGTTTATTTGCAGGTTGAATAGTAACCTCAAGCAAATAACCTCACATTGAAGCTGAGTGTCTACCATCAGTCTCCTAACCTTCACCAGTCTTTGTGGCTTATGCCAATTTAGAAGGTGTATTTATTTAGACTCATTTATGGGGACAAATCGATATTACGGGGGATTGTGTTTGGCTCATGGGAGCCCTACTTGGTTTTGTCACTGCATTTCAGGATGAGTAGGTTTAGAAGAAAATCATATGTGGAATGAGCAATATAAGCAAATAATATATCAAAACAGAGGCCACATTTGAAAGGGGAGAGTGGACGATAATGTTGGAAAGGAAGCTTAATGGTAGAAGACTTTGAGTGTCAACTCTTCAAGGGAAGATTTGATGAACTTTTCAGTAAGAAGACCTTGAAGGATTAGTAAATGCATATAAGTGATAAGACCTGAAAGAAATATCAAAACTGTGTTACAGAAAAACAAGCCTAAAACTAAGATATGAAGTACTTGGGGAGAAAAATCAACAACAAAAAACAGCTCATATTCACTTGGTAAGAGTATAAACAATTTCCTAATCAAATGAGAGGTTCTCGTGTTGTTCCCTTTCCACTTTTGTATTTACAACACATAATGAATAAAATTTAAGAGTTTGTAATGAAATTTTATTTTACTAAGTAGCTGTCAGATATCAGCATTTATTTACAAAGTCAAACTATTTATACACATACTTTACAAGAATCAGTAATTAAGTCTACATGCTTAGGTCTATTTTGATAATTGTTTCCATGGTGTAGTGATTTTTTTTCATCTTTAGAGCTTCAGTTTTTTAGAGGGGCTTAATGTTTTTGTAAAGTGTCTTTTTTTTTTTCCAAAATGGATAACTTGTAGGTTATCATATAAATGATTTAATGAGTAAATTGGCATTTTAAATGACTTAATTTCTGGATCTCAAACAACCAAGTCTTTCATTCAGGAGCAAGATTACAAAATGTATTAATGTTACTCCTGTTCTGTAAACCCCTGGTCCAAAGTTTGTAACACAACAGAATTCAGTTATGTTTTTGGAAGCATTGGTCCAGTTGTATGGCCAGCACTTCGTGCTGTGGGTCATGGACCTGCTTCCAAAATGAGCACAAAGCAGAAGATTTTTGGATTAACCACTGTTTTGCAATAACTGAGTCATGGAGCTGCTCTTTAGATGGATTTGTTGGTGATAAGCTTATTTTAAAAGATTTTTTCTTTCTCCTTCTTTCTCTCTCTCTTGCTTTATTTATTAGCGTCTAAAACATGCTGGACAAATCATAGGTGCTCATTAAGTAGAGGTATGTTTGAAAAAAGGAACCTCATGTTTTTACAATTGTTACTACGTTGGAAGAGGTGCCTGCTTTAAGGAGGAGCTCTGCAGTCCTGGCAGGGTTTTGGACTCCCCCAGACCCCACTTCTCAATTATTATCCTCATTTTTAACTTAGGAAAGAGAATATCAGGCTTTCAATTAATGAATTCATAACCCAACTCTGCCATTCTAGCTATGAGAGCATGAGCAAGTTGGTTACCATCATCTGTGTATGGCTTTCTTTCAGCCTTAAAATGGGGATAGTAACATTGTTAGAACGGAAATAAATATCAAATGGAATGAACATAAATACAAGTGTCTAGTGTGTTGAATATAGAAGTACCAAATAATTCTGTGTCTTATGAAACAATATTTAATAATGAATATTAAGAACAGTATTTCATCTGTCAAGATGAAGAATTCACACTTGGAGAGTGAAATCCACTATCCTTCTTCAGCCAATGCATGCTAGAGATGTGCCACAAAAGGTTCAATATTTTCATAGATGTTCAAGTTTATCACCCCTTTAAAAATCATAAAAAAGCACAATGAACTAGGTCTCCTCACATACACTGTATGCTAACTATTTTGTTATGCCTAAAACTATGTAAATACACTGATATCTCTAATAGCTTAAAAGATATTCACTGTTTCTCTCTATGACTGTTTAAAAAATTGCCTTCAGTCTCCTAGGTAGCTTTGGATAAGAAGCATCTGTAGCAGTACATTTGGAAGGGAATAGTTCCCACCAGATTACACTGCCATTTGAAGAATGTTGCCTGACTAATTATGCTTGGGTTGAAGTGGTACTGTTGCCATATGTAGATTAAAATATTAATAGAACCTCAGAGTGCATCCTCCTTTCTGGCTAGCTTTAGGGTGTGGTCTATCATAAATTGTAGCAGCCCGGTAATGGCCAAAGCCCCATGTGCTAACAATGCACTGTTGTAAGCTCTAAAACCATTTGAGGATTACTTATCTATCACAGCAGAGGACATTTCTTGATCTCCTCACTTTTCCTGTTTACATTAGTCTTTCTGGAGTTTAAGGATCATCTTCAAACTCATTTGTGCATCAACAAAATGCCATGCATTGCCCTTCACATGGGTATAAAATCTATTAAAATGATTCCATACATCATTCTCTGAAATATTCAGTCTCAGATGTCTCTATAGAAATAGCGGTGTGCATGCTCTTATTTTTGACTCTGTGCAGACTCTTACTATACTTAAAAGCATGTGTTTGGAAAATTAGCCTAGAACTCTGGGGTGGGTATTTTACCACATGAAATTTAGTGAGTCAAAGGGAATCACATCCATCACTTGGGCCTAAGAATAATACTAAGAAGAAGTATCAATTGAGCACAATATTAAACACCTTACACAAAATATCTTGGTTAATTTTGGTAACAATCCTATAAAGTTGAGTATATTTTTCCCCGTTTTTCAGATGTGAAGTCTAAGTCTCAAGGACATTAAATACATAACTTGTAAAGGGCATGTCTCATTTGAATTCCAAAGCTCATACTCCTCTCTGTGGCATTATAGTTTCTGATTTCCATGACAGCTGGGCACAGCATACCTAGACATCACGTTAACTTCCAACTCTGATTCTATCCTCAACAAATAGAGGGATGTAATGATAATCCATTGTTGTACTGAGGCCTGTTATGCATGAGACTTCCCAGCCTATGGTTTGAATTGTCTATAGGCTCTTTCACTAGAATATTGGCTAAGAACATTGCCATGGTGTCCTCTAGCCCCAGAGAGCTGTATCTGAGGGACTCCTCCCCAGCTCACAAAAGCAATTAATTATTTCCAAACCAGCCCCCTCACGTTAAACTCTTGTACAAACATAATGAATGACAAAGGAGTTTGAATCATCCACAGTGCATCTGTGGAACTTGAGAAAACTTTACCACAAGACAGCACAAAGCCAACCAGGGTCCCTGATTAAAAGTGATTTCTTCTTTAATTGAAATGATCTCTATGAACAGCTGCCAGGTGAGTTGGGTGAGTGTGGGTGAGGCAAGTAGGAAAGTCTTCACAGCTGACACAGGGTTCATTTGTATTTATTTATTTATTTATTTATTTATGCTTGATGGGGGAAAAGGAAAGGCAAGTATATATTGCGGAGTAATTTATTGAACCAATGAAAATGTCATGAAAACATTTCAGAATTGGACTGTGTGGGAGACAAACATGACTTTAGATTCTGGGAGAGGCTCAGTATTCAGTTTCCACACAGGCAAATGGAAATTCTTCACAAAACTTAAAATAAGCAGATGAAGAATTTAAGTTACACGAATCTTAAAATAAAAATCTCTGGTATGATTAATTGAAAAGGAAGTTCAGTTACACATTATTTTTGGCTAAGAAAAAGATATAGAGTCATGGGCTGCATAATGACGTTTCTGTCAAGGAGGGATTGACTACATGACGGTGCTCCCATAAGATTATGATACCATATTTTTACTGCACCTTTTCTATGTTTAGGAACACAAATAACTAGCATTGTGTTACAATTGCCTACAGCATTCAGCACAGTAACATGCCATTATAGGTTGCAGTCTAGGAGAACTAGGCTATACCCTATAGCCTAGATGTGTAGTAGGCTATGCCATCTAGGTAAGTGTAAGTACACTCTGATGTTCACCCAATTGAATGGCCTAATGATACCTGACTATAAATATATTGTTGTTCATTAGTATCAGAGACTTGGCAATTCTTAGCTTGATTTTCCTTAACTTGAATAGGTAGTAGAAACTTAGAACTAAAAATGGCTGTAGAAGTTATTTCATTTGAATCTTTCATTTTATAGGAGAAAACGAGGCCTCTAGAGAAAAGACAAGACATATCCACTTGTATAAAATCTTTTGTAAAATAAGGAGGAATAAATATTAAATAGAGCCAATCCAAATGTTTTTTCTGGGTCACCATGGCGACTTCATATGTGTCCTGATTTTCTTGCTCTTTTTCAAATAATTTGCTGCTTGTGAATTATGCTATCTCATGTTGTCATAATTCCATTGTTTCTCCAGTCTAGGAAAGTAAAAGTAACCATTCTGGAGTAGTTGTGTTTCATTTTTTGTTTTCATGAAAGAAAACAAAAGATTTGGAATCTGTAGCTCTTTGTTGACCAGTTCATCTTCCCAGGCTAATGACCTATTTCATTACTTTTGAAGTAAAAACAGTGGAAGAAGCAGAGTTATATTGAAATTTGAATGTAATCATAATTATAGTTAATAGCTGGCATTTGTTGATAATTTACTATATTCTGCACATCGTACCAACTATGTGAGATGTGTGTGTGTGTGTATTCTCATAGTAACTCTATACAGAGTATACAGAGTTTTATATATATATATATACACACTATGAGAATATACACATACATCTCTATCTCTCTCTCTCTCTCTCTCTATATATATATATATACTATGAGAATATACACAAACACATACACTTTTTATATTCTCATAGTATCTCTATAATGTAGGTTTAATTGTTCTATTTTGTAGATGAGGAAACAGAGGCCAGAGAGGTGTGGTACCTTGGCCATGGACACACAACTGTTTACTAATGGTAGTTCAACTTATGAAGCCTGGCTGCAGACAGTGCATTTTTAATGAGTTTGCTCTACTACTTCTCCAGTATGAGCTCATTTTGCAGAAGAAAAAAAAAACGGATGTACAAAATTAAATCGTTTGCCAACATCATGGAGCCAGGAAGTCACTGGTCTGGGAGATGACCCTTGGTCATTCTCCTACTGCGATGCTGATCATCATGACATCCTAAGCACATCAGAAGCTGCAACAGAGTAAACAGAGCAAAAGAGAAAGGCTGGCAAGACAGGAACTGGGACCTTAGAAGGAGCATGTGCTATGAAAGTAGTTTCTTCAGGTGAACACATAGTTTAGGCTTTGGAGGATCCGTCCTAGATTTTGTCAGTGTATCCACCACAGGTGTTACAAGCTTGAGAAGACAATCAGTCCCATAAGGCACAAAGAGGCTTCAATCTGAGTTTCTTTAGTTATATAGGTCAAGAGATTCAGCATTTATTTTATCTTCATTGAAGGGCAGGTGTCAGCTACCTGAGTTCACAGATTCTTTAGTCCCTGTGTCCATATAAGACACATATGGTTGCTTCTGTTAAAACCCAAGACGTGTATGGGTCATTTAGACCCAGATAAACTGCTCCGTTATTTCCCAGCCATCTTTTATAACTGTATTTACATAGGACCAAGGTCTTCATGCCAAATCCTAGCTGCCCCAATCCAGGTGTAGTCCCAAACGGCAAATCAGGCAGACACAACATTCCACATTTATCTTAACTCTGTAGTTTCCAAGGAAACAGGGCTGTGAGAAGACAGACACTGAGTTTTCAGTTCTTTATCAGCCCAGGCCTGATATTAACCCTTTATACACAACTAGGTACACCAGAGTAATACTTGGCACTGTGCTGGCACTGAGTAGGCACTCTAGAAAGAATAAAAAATGAATGTGCATCTGAATGAAGGGATGTTCCAATGGATATTGCCTATCTCTGGATTATCATCTCACAGTAGCTAAATCCAAAGAACTGATCTATAAATCAAATAAAAAATAGAAGAGGAGATACAGTAATTAGCAAAATCATGCAGGGCCCCTGACATCATGAGGCTTACTGTCTAGACAGAGAAGCATACATTAAGCAAATATTTACACAATGACATATAAAATTAGGAAGGTTAAAGTGCTGTGAGAGAGGGTAGTGAATATATGAAAGGATGCAATAAGAGAAGATGGATTGTTAGAGGGGTCAGAAAAGTGCATCTGAAGAAATGCTGCATTACCAGATGTTGGAATGGGGAGTAGCAACCACTAGGAAGACACCACAGAAAGATTTCTCCAGGCTTAGAAATAGAATATATAAAAGTCTTGTTGCAGGAAAAAAATATATAGTGCATTCACTAAATGTCTGTCATTAGAATGTGACATCATAATTTACATGCAGTGCTCCTGAGATTTTAATGCATTTTACATATAACATTTTAATCAATCATTCAACAATTTATTTTTTAAATTGAGAGCATACTGTATCAAGCACTGTACTGACTGCTAAGGATACAATGATCAAGGCAGGTATGGTTCATTTCTTGAAAGTACAATTTAATGGAAAATCAAACATGATGATGGCAAGTATTGGGGATCACAGAAGCATAATAAAAGGCATATGACCCACATTTAGAAAAATTAAGTAAGTCTTGGAGGAAGTAATTTCTCAGTTGAGATGTGAAGATAGATTAAACACTGGACATCAGGGAGTCCCACAAACCTCTTGCATAGACTGAGGCAGACTCCTACTCTTGTGGTCAACAGTCCTGAAAATCACATTTTAGGCATATTCTTGGTTTGATTTTCCCAGTGAATGGTTTTACAGATGGTTAGTTTTATGCATTTAATGTTCATATGATAGTCTTAGGCTTAGCAAAACATATTTCCCAACTTTGTTCCTAAATATGCCATAATTATTTCACTTATTTCTATATATATATATATATATATATATATATAGAGAGAGAGAGAGAGAGAGAGAGAGAGAGAGAGAGACATATAGATATATGGATATGATATAAAAAGATACATATATAAAGAGATAGGCATATTGTCAAAAACACATTTCAATCCACATAATATGTCTTAGAAGTAGTCATATACAGACACTTCATTTTGGAAATGTTGAGTGACTGCCTGTTAAAGGCTGAGCCAAGACTAGAATATGTGGTCTGATGTTATAAATGTCTCATTTTCAAAGGAAGAAAGACCAGGCCCTTTGAAAAAAAATTGCCATTGATTGGGTCTTGTCTTTGAATTGCTTAGAAAATGAAGTTGCTAGCAGAGATGTTATGAAGGATTTGCTGGAATCAACTTTAGTGAGATTTTCTTGGGAGAAATTTTGCAGCATATTTAATCAGGCGACCAAGAAACAACAGCTGCTTGTGTATGAAGCATCAGTAAAGCTGCTAAGATTTATATAATCTTTAGTGTTCAACAGATTGCTAGCATTTATAGGACAGTCAATGTATGCCTATGCTCATATGCAGTCATTTATGCTACCTTTCCCACTATCGTTGAACAGAGGAGCTTCTGAAGAGGGAAGTGCTACGAAGAGAGTTGGAATAAGAACTAGAGGACAGAAGACTTGGTAATGGAGTTCCTGGAAATTGGAGATAATAAACTTTTCCCAACAGAAGGTGATGATGGCAACGTCCCCTTGCAACGGAAAAAAGTAGCTATTCAATTTTGCCTATAGGAAGGTTAACATCTATCACTACAGCAGTAGAGTCATTCTTCTGCTACTACTTCTTGTGGCAAAATCAGCGTAAAAATCTTCATAAATTCTGGCCTAAGAACATTGCTAAATCTAGAAGATTAGTAGCCACTTCATTAAAAAGTTCATGATTATTCAATGTCATTAGTTCTGATATTCCCTAAATAGAAAAAACTAATGAATCCATAATAAAAAACTTTAAGAGGCAGACATAAAAATATATAGAACCCAGATCTTAGAAATTATCCAGGACACTCCTTGCATTTTTAAAAGGAGCTTGTGGTCAGTAGAGATGTAGCTACAGCAGAGATTTTTATTTTGGAAATTTCTTGACTCTCGGTTTAGTGCTTTGTCCACCATGTTGCCCTGTCTCCAAGTCTAAGTTCCTCAGTTTGGCATTGAGAATCTCAAAAAATAGCTCCTTTATACTCTAATCTTATATCCTATGGTTTCCCATTGTATGCATCTTCTCCTCATATAGGCCATTCTCATGCCCACCTCAAAGATCTGGTTTTATACAGCTTCCTTTTCTTTTTATTGATAATTCCCTTCCTTCTCCAACATTCATTTCAAGATCCAAGTCAAAGCCCAGTAACCTGCAGTCATGTTCCATGACCTTGTATTAAAGATGATATGAACTTTATTCTGAGCGTACAGAAATTGTAGGCTCTGAATCACCACATATTAGCAGTGAATTTGCATTGCTTATTAGAGGCAGTATGATAGAGTGGAAAGGCCTTGGATTTGGAGTTAGGCAAACATAGATTTCAGTATGTATATAGATGTCTACCCTTTAATCACTGTGGAAGTCAATAAGTGTATCAGTCTGGACAAGTTCAAATTTGCTATAATAGTAAATAAACTTTGAAATCTCAGTGATTTAATGCAGGAAATATGTGCTTCTTACTCATACTGAGTCCAGTATGGATTGGGTAGTTCTTGACATTCTGAAAACCCCTCCAAGCAATGACTCAATAAGGCAGATGGTTTCCATTCTATTGGCTCTGCCATCTCCATAGGTTGGCTCCAAGTTATAAAGAAAAAAAGTTATGTAGATATTATACAAGTTCACAAATATCTTGTCCAGAAAAATGACTCTTTTTATTTTCATTTGCATTTCATTGGCTAGAATTGGTCAAATGACCCTGCCTGATGTCAAGGTAGCCAGGAACTGTAGCCTTCCTGTGCACCAGGAAGAAGAGAACTGGATATGGTTGAGCACTGACAATCTCTGTTACAAAAGTCATTTAAATTTTCTAAAATGCCCCTAGTTGTTTCTGTGAGAATAAAATGAGGTAATATATTGGAAATGCCCAGAATCTGGAACATAAAAGTTGCTAGATAAATGATAATTTATTTTCATTTCCTCTAATAGATCCGGTACTTGTTCCCTGTTTCTTTCTTTTGGTGCTGAGCACATGCCTGGGTGAATATTACTAAGTTTGTGCAATAAAATAGGATAGACCTCTGGTAATGTCCCCGTCATACCAAACCTTAAATTGGTCCCATCTTCTCTTCACATTTCTCTTGCTTCTTTCCAAGACACTGGATATCTCATTTTGAGATGCTTTAATGACTGTCTTAAAACTATGCTTCCAGTGTAAAGACTCTTCTTAAGATTCTACACATAATTATATATTTTATGTTGCCTGTCTTTATTCTTATCTGCCTTACTTGGAAAACAAAATCATACATGAGTTATTCTTTGTATAAATTTTTTATAATATAAGCCCTACACTTGTAATCCCTTGTCTTGCCTTCACTTCATCTTTCTTTGCTCTTGTGTTGTTTACTTTTTTGGCTTGTAATCTCCCACCTGTTTTTTCTTCAATTATTTTAATTTTTCATTTTCTCTCTGCATCTATGCTTCAGACAAAATAAAGAACAGTGGATCAAAACATCATATAGAATCACAACATCATAGAGAGGTGGATTTCACTGATACACTTATCAGGTTGCACAGTGGGCAAAGGGTAGAATACATGTTAGAATCACAACATCATAGAGAGGTGGGTCTTTGGTATTTTGCAGTTACAGTTTGGGCTGAACACAGTAAGCCATTCCTAATGATGAAGGGGTATACAATCTCCTTTTGAGCCAAAAGATAAGGATATTTTCCTAGCTTAGAGAAATTGCTTTGAGACTTTCCAGGAAGGACACTTTTTAAAGGCATCAATGCAGAAAATATAGTGAGAGAAGCCTTTAGTATTTCTGCTGAATAAAGAGCTCCTGAGCTCAAATCACATCAGTGATCACATTGGCACCTTCAGTTCAGAATGGCTGAGAGGTGACGAATGGCTCACAAGCAGAGTCTGCGATCTGTTACCTATATCCACAAAGACATGGTAGATTATGTCAGCATTTTCTTCTATGAGAAGCCTATTTTCTTTACATTCTCAACAAACAGAGTTGCCCTAAGGCACTCAAAAATTTATTTCTGAATATATCATTAGAAAGGATGCTGAGGGCAGGTTAATCTTCTGACCCAAGTTTTCGACACTGACTTTCAGAATTGGTTTGCCTCATAGGTGTCTGATCAAACTTCTCTACTGTCCTGACTTGTAAAGAAACAGGAAGTCTTCTCAATAAACAGGATGCCTACTTATTTCAATATAGCAAATAAGAATTAGGGCTTTGTGTAACTCCGATCACACAGCTCTTCTAATAATCTCTCTCCAAATGTTTCTGCCAAACTATAAAGTGCAGTTCTCCTAGCCAGATTCTCAAGGTCACTCATTATCTGGTTCCTGTCTACCTCTCTGAACCCATCTCCCACTACATTGCCCAACTTCTCATCCACTCTGGTCAGAGTGGCTTTCCTAGTAGGATGACTAAATTGTCCCTTTTTTCCTAGGATTTTTCCAGTTTCACCATTGAAAGCTCAGTATCCTGAGACACACTCAGTTTTCAGCAAGTGAGAAGGCTGCTCACTACACTTCCAAGATGTGTTGGAACATCCACCGTCCTTTCTCTGGGTCTTTGTGCTTGTTAGTCATTCTATGTAAATTGCTGTTTCCCCATACCTCTGTGTGATATGTGTTCTCACCTTTTAACTCTGCTCAAATGTCATTCTTTCCTTACCAGTCCACCTTAGAATAGCCTTGATGCCTAGCATTTGTATCTCCAAAATCTATCCTTGTCCTTTTTTTGACACCTATTATTATCTTCAATCGTGCTCTGTTTTAAAGTTTACTTGCTGGTTTCCTCTATGACAAAAGAAGTCCTCTGAGGTCAAATACTTAGTCTATTTTGCTTACCTCTGTATTCTCAGCACTTAGAAGAACACTTTGAACTTACTAGGTGCTCCACAATTATTATTTGAAAGAATGAATGAAAAAAATAGAAGAAATGTTATTTGTTATTTGATAATGAAAATAGTTAGTTTATTGTCCTTAATTTACTTTACTAGTGCTTTGTGGTAAATTTGGATAAATGATATAATTTGCACCAAATAGGAAAATTGAAATAATCAAGAAAACACTATCTTTCATAGAGGTGACTAGTAGAAATCGTTTCAAATTTTAGATAATAAAGAATTCATAAATTTAATATGGGCAATTTTTTTTCTCAAAACAATTTTGTCATGCTGGTAAAATGAATGACCTTTATTGTACGGTATTTCTGGAACT
The DNA here is from genome assembly GCF_000001405.40 of Homo sapiens. Taxonomy (NCBI): domain Eukaryota; kingdom Metazoa; phylum Chordata; class Mammalia; order Primates; family Hominidae; genus Homo; species Homo sapiens. The sequence continues at coordinate 29,310,273 of NC_000011.10, read as the reverse complement.
ACAAATGGTAAGAGTGAAGCCATATAAGGCATTGATATTGTATCCAGAGTTAGTCTCCATTCTGAGTCATATTTTAACCAGTAAGTAGCAAGAGGAAAATCCTGATTGTATGTAATCCACTGAGTGGAATGGCCTACAGTAGAGAGGTAAAAGGGGGAAAGAAAGTTATATACAGATACTTTTGTTCTAAGTGCCCTGGCAAGTTTCCTTTAATTGCAAAGCTGAGAACCTGATAAATTGATTTTAAAATGTGGTAATGGTAGTGATTAATCTCTTCCTCTCCATGGTTGCATAGCACCTGGTAGGAGCCTTTATCAGAGCACTTAACAATCTTATGAGACACTTTTGAAAGAGTCTTTCTCATCCAACATCTCAGAAAACAAACAGGGTTGATTCTGATACACTTTTGTTTTGTTTTTTTCTATAGTGCGTATAATTTGGAGATATACTTGATAAATGTAGGTTGAATTGACATGAGAAACTGAAATCAAATGAATAGAATGATAAAGATGAGAGTGTCTTTTATATGCTATTTTCATTTCCTTCGTTCTCTCACTTTAGACAGAATTCTAAAGTAAGTGGCAGGGGACTCATTACATAAATGGCTTCAAAAAGTCTTCACCCTTTAAATCAGAGTGTATGACATATTTCTATTTCCCCAAATTTTGGGAATGCTCAATCTTTGCAATCTTTTAAACTTTTTAGTTGTTAGGTGTATAAAAAAATTGCTGTATTGTATTTCCCAGATTATCAGTGAGATTGTCTTTTCATATTTGTCTTCTTCTCTTATAAACTATATTTTCATATATTTCACCCTCAGAAGCTTGTATGTTTTTCTGCTGGCTTGAAGGAGTTCTTTATGTACCCTGAAAATTAATCCAGAATTTCGATGATGCCTATGCTAACCTATTTTGTTTTGTGTTCATTTTTATAAGGGCAAAGCTAGTAGTTAATTTCTGAGACATTCTATGTTTTGTGCTTTCTTAGGAAACCCTTCCCTACAATAAAATTATAAGGTATTCTCCTACATTTTTCACAATATATCTCTAGTTTAGTTTTAGCTCTTTGAGCCACAGGAAATTAAACTTGGTATATGCCTGAATTACAGAATCTTGCTTTATTATTTGCTTAATAGTCAATTATCTGAACATGATTTATTTAACAGTAATTCTTTTTCTAAGAGATTGAAAGGCTGTGGATCTGGTCTACTCCTGTACTAATAATGCTATATTTTTCTTTTTACCTTTGGTAGAAGTGTATTGGATATACTTGATATCTTGTATTGGATATACTTAATAATTAAGTGTATTGGATATACTTAAATATTTTTCTTCCATCTGAATTAAAAATTGTCAAATTCTATAAAATTACTTTTTATATTTTGGTTAAAATGCATTAAATCATCAATTACTTTGGGACAAATATATGTCTATAAGAATGCATCTTCCTGTTCATGATGTTGATATGCTACTCAATTTATTCATAATATTTAATTTGATACATTACTTAATGTAAGTCTTGAATCTTTTATGTTAGGTGTATTTCTAGGCATTCTTTTTTCTCCCTCTCTTTTTTTTTTTTTTTAGAGACTAGGTTTCCTTCTGTCACTCGGGCTAGAGTACAGTGGCACTATCATAGTTCACTGCAGCTAGGAATTCCTGGGCTCAAGCAATCCTCCCACCTCAGTCTCCCAAGTAGCTAGGACTACAAGTATGTGACACCACACTCAGTTAATTAAAAATATATATTTTATATAATATATATTTCATATAAATATATATTATATATAAATATATATATTATATATATTTGGTAGAGACAAGGTCTCCCTATTTTCCAGGCTTGTCTCAAACTCCAGGCCTCAAGCAATCCTCCCATCTTGGCCTCCCAAAGCTTTGGGATTACAGGTATGAGCCACTGTACCCAGCCTCTATTTTTGATATTGCAGATAGGATCCCTTTCTGTCCATGAATTTATTTTTTAAAATATGGTTACTGTTGAAACATAGAAAAATTGTTAAATTGTAAAAAATTTATATTAAATGTGAATTTGGCCTCTTTACAGAATTCTGTCATTAGGTCTCACAAGTCTCTTTAGGTGACTGTAATATGATTTATAATAAAAACTATAAATTTGATCTTCCTCTCCTTTTCCTGGCACACAAGCTCCAAAAACCCTTGGAATCTCTGAAGTGAAAAGAGTCTTTTTGTAAGAGAATGAGATGACTGGTGGTTGGGGGCTCTTGGCTAGCTTCTGGATGGGGTCTGGTTGCCAGGGTAACCAACCAGGTGATTAGAGAGTTGGAATTTTCCTCACCTCCACCAATCCCAGAGAGAGAAGGAGGCTGAAAAGTGAGTTGATCACCAATGCTAATGATTTAATCAGTCAGGCCTATGTATCGAAGCCTCCATACAAAAACCAGAAGGACAGGGTTCAGAGAGCTTCTTTGTTGCTGAACACATGGAGGAGATAGGAGTGGGGTGCGCCCCCTACAAGAGGGCATGGAAGCTCTGCACCCTCCTCCATACCTTGCCTAAGCATCTCTTACATCTGGCTGTTCATCCTTATCTTTTTATAATAAATGAACAAACATAAGTAAATTGTTTCTCTGAGTTCTGTGAGCAACTCTATAATAATTGAACCTGAGGAGGGATTTATGGGAACCACCCATTTATAGGCGGTTGGTCAGAATCACAGGTAAAACAACTTGGGACTTTCCCTTGGCACTTCAGCTGAAGTGGAGAGGGGCAGTTTCATAATACTGAGCTCTTAACATGTGGAGTCTATACTCATTCGAGTTAATGTCAGAATTAAATTGAATTATAGGACATCCAGATGGTATTGAGAATTCGTCAATGTGCAGGGAAAAAAAAATACACATCTGGTCATAAAAGTGCTCTGTGTTGAGCATGAGAGTAGAAAAAGAAGTTTGGTTTTTCCCACCTTTTAGAGTAATGTCCTTGGTTTTATAAGTAGATAATCACATTGTATGCACATGGTCACAATTTTGACTCTTCCTATTATTTATAACTTTTCTCTTTGTCCCTTTGCATTGATTTGGACATATCAATTGTAATACTGACAAGTAGTGGTAGTAGCAGGAAAACTTGCCCTGTTCCTATTTTTATTAAGAAAGTATCACTTATTCCATTAATATTTATTAATCTCCTACTATGTAGAAACTATTCTATGTATCATTAAATAAGACAATATGTAACTTATATTCTAGTGGGAGAGACATACAATATATAATACACATAATAAATACATAAGTTATATAAAATATTAGAATGTGAAATAGTCTAATATTCTAATTCTAATATACATTCTAACATTTTATGTAATGAAAGTACAGCAGAGAATAAGTAAAATCAGAAAGATTGGGAGTGCCAAGTGCTAGTGGGGTGATGCAGGATAGACCTCATTGAGGAAGTGATCTTTGAGTAGAGTCTGGAGGCAGTCAGAGAGTTAGTCTTGTGGATATCAGGGAAGAATGCATTCCAGGCAGAGGAAATACCAGTGTTATGGCCCAAGTACAAGAGTGTGCCTGATGCATTTGAACAGCAGCCAGGCCAGTGTGTCTAAAGCAAAGCAAGTAACCAGAAAAAGAAGAGATGAGGTTAGGGAGGTCATGAGGGCAGGCCACATAAAGCCATGGAGGAAAGCCTTCGGCTATAAGTTGGCAAGGAATGGAGAACTATTATAATGCTTTGAAAGAAAGGTGACAGGATCTGACATTTTAAAGGATCACTCGAGCCAGGGGCAGTGATACACCCCTGTAGTCTCAGCTACTGGGGAGGTTGAGGTAGAAATATTGCTTGAGGCAAGGAGTTTGAGGTTTCAGTGAACTATGATCTGCCCCATAAATATCCAATGCACTCCAGCCCAGACAACATAGTGAGACTTCATCTCTAACAAATAAAAATGAAAAAATAAATCACTCTGGTTGCTGTTTGAAACTTAGGTGGTAGGGACCGAAACATTTGTAAAAGCAGGGATCTCCATAGAGGAGATTATTTCAATGACATATGATTAAGATAAAGCTGGTTCCAAGCCCAGGCAACATAGCAAGACTTAACCTTTAACAAATAAAAATAAAAACAAGAACAAAATAAAGTGGAGCACTCTGGTTGCTATTTGAAACTTGGGTGATAGGGCCTGAAGAGTTTGTAAAAGCAAGGCAACCACATAGGAGATTATTTCAATGATGTATGATTAAGATGAAGCTGGTTCCAGCCAGGGTGGTGGCAGGGGAAGTATGGAGAAATGGTCACAGCATGTAGATACAGGCATACCTTGAAGATATTGCAGGTTCAGTTCTGGATCTCAATGAGCTGAATATTGCAATAAAGGAAGGCACAAGAAGTTTTTTTAAATTTTCCTGTGCATATAAAACTTATGTTAATACTATACTGTAATCTATTGTGTGCAACAGCATTATGTCTTTAAAATATTGTACATGCCTTAATTAAAAATACTGTGTTGCTGAAAATGCTAATGACCATCTGGACCCTCAATGAGTTATAATCTTGTTGCTGAAGGAGGGTCTTGCCTTGGTGGTGCTGGCTGCTCAGTTGTGGTTGCTGAAAGTGGAAGTGGCTGTAGCACTTCCTAAAAATAAGACAAAAGTAAGGTTTGCTGCATAGACAGACTCTTCCTTTCATGAAAAGGTTCTCTGTAATATGTGATGCTGTTTGACAGCATTTTACCCTCAATAGAATTTCAAAATTGGAGTCAATCCTCTCAGACCCTGCCACTGCTTTATTAACTAATTTTATGCAATATTGTAAATATTTTGTTATCATTGCAACATTGTTCATAGCATCTTTACCAGGAGTAGATCTCATCTCAAAACAAAACAAAACAAACAAACAAAAAAAACAAAAACAAAGAAACAAACAAAAAAACCCACTTTCGTCCAGACACAGTGGCTCATGCATGTATTCCCAGCACTTTGGGAGGCTGAGGCAGGCAGATTACTTGAGATCAGGAGTTCAAGGCCAGCCTGGCCAACATGGTGAAACCCCGTCTCTAATAAAAATACAAAAATTAGCCGGACATGGTCGTAGGCACCTGTAATCCCAGCTACTCGGGTTCTGAGGAATGAGAATCTCTTGAACCTGGGAGGCAGAGGTTTCAGTGAGCCGGGATTGCACCACTGCACTCCAGCCTGGGTGATAGAGCAAGACTCAGTCTCAAAAATAAATAAAATAAATACATAAATAAACCACTTTTTTTGTTCATCCTTAAGAAGCAACTTCTCATCCATTTAAGTTTCATCATGAGATTGCAGCAATTCAGTCACATCTTCAGGCTCCACTTCTAATCTGGGTCTTTGCTATTTCCACCATATCTACAGTTACATTCTCCATTGAAGTCTTGAACCCCCAAAGTCATGCATGAGAGTTGGAATAAACGACTTTCAAACTCCTGTTAATGTTGATATTTTGACCTCTTCCCGTGAATCACAGATATTCTTAATGGCATCTAGAATGGTGAATCCTTTCCAGACAGTTTTCAATTTACTTTACCCAGACCCATCAGAGGAATCACTATCTATGGTAGCTATAGCTTTGTGAAATATATTTCTTAAATAATAAGACTTGGAAGATAAAGTTACTCCTTGATATATGGGCTGAAGAATAAGTGTTGTGTTAGCAGGCATGCAAACAACATTCATCTCCTTGTACATCTCCATCAGAGCTCTTGGGTGATCAGGTGCATTGCTAATGAGGAGTAATAGTTTAAAGGAATCTGTTTTCTCTCTTTCCAAGTGGTAGGTCTCTACAGTGACAGTAAACCTTGCTGGAAATAGGCTTGCTGTCATCAGGCTTTGTTGTTCTATTTGCAGAACATAGGAAGAGTAGATTTACCATAATTCTTAAGGGCCTTAGGATTGTCAGAATGGTAAATGGCAATTGTCTTCAACTTAAAGTAACCAGCTGCATTAGCCCCTAACAAGAGAATCATCCTGTCCTTTGAAACTTTGAAGCCAGGCATTCACTTTCCCTCTCTACCTATTACAGTCCTAAATGGCATCTTATTCTAATATAAGGCTGTTTTGTCCACATTGAGAAAGCTGCTTAGTGTAGCCACCCTCATCAATGATCTTAGCTAGATCATCTGTATCTCTTGCTGCAGGTTCTACATCAGCATTTGCTGCTTCACCTTGCACTTTTATGTTGTGGAGATGACTTCCTTCCTTAAACCTCATGAATCAACCTCTGCTAGGTTTCAATTTTGCAGCTTCCTCACCTCTCTTAGTCTTCATAGAATTAAAGAGATTTAGGGCCTTGCCGTAGATTAGTCTTTGGCTTAAGGGAATGTTGTGGCTGGTTTGATCTCTCCAGAGCACTAAAACTTTCTCCATATCATAAATAAGTCTGTTTTGCTTTCTTAAGCATTCATGTATTCACTGGAGTAGCACTTTTAATTTCCTTCAAGAACTCTTCTTTTACATTCACACCTTGAATAACTGGGACAAGAGTCCTAGATTTTGGCCCATCTCAGCTTTCAACATGTATTTCTCACTAAGCTTAATACTTTTTAGTTTTTTATCTAAGGTGAGAGACATCAAGCTTTTCCTTTAACTTGAACACTTAGAGGCCATTGCAGAGTTATTAAATGGCATAATTTCAATATTATTGTGTCTCAGGGAATAGGAAGGGCCAAGGAAAGGAAACAAACAAACAAACAAACAAAGGAATAACCAGTCAGTGGAGCAGTCGGAATACACACAAAATTTACTGACCTCTCATATGGAAATAGTTTGTGGCACTCCAAAACAAACAATTATATCAGTAACACCAAAGATCCCTGATGACAGATTGCCATAAACGATATAATAATAAAAAGTTTGAAATATTGTGAAAATTACCAAAATGTGACAAAGAGACATGACGTGAACATGTGCCATTCGAAAAACGGCACTGATAAACATGCTCAGCTTAGGATTGCTACAAACCTTCAATTTGTGAAAAAAAAAATGTAATATCTGTGAATCCAAGTAAAGCAAAGTTCAATAAACGAAGTGTGCCTATATTTTGATGAAGAGTAGGCAAGATGCTCTGATGGATTAGCAGTGAAAGAGGGCTATCAAAGCTGTCACTTGTAAATACCACTTTTTGTTCTCACAACTGGAATCCTGAATTTCAGTCAGCCGAGATGATGCATATCTGGAGGTGTGATAGAAGGTCATTTTTGATATGGTGGATTTGTGGTGACTATGGATAGTCAAATGAAATTGTCATGTATACAAGTTGGCCACATGGGTCTGGAGTATAGCTGAAGATACAAAATTGAGAGAGTCATTAGCATATCTGGTAATCAGAACTGTGAATATGGATGAAATCTTCATGAAAATGCAGTAGGAAAGAGAAGTGGTCCTAAGAATGAGTCATGGGACATTCTAATGAATAAAAGAGACTAAGAGGAAGTGACCAGTGAGGTACGAAGAAAACCAGCAGAGTATGGTGTCTTGGGAGCCAAGTGAAAAAACTGTATCAATGAGCAGGAGTATCAATTATGTCAAATAATTTTGATTTGAAATGTATTGGAAATTAAATCCATATTTCAAAAGAAACTTTATTGATTTTTTTATTACAGAAACTTCTCATGGCACAGAACCTGCCAGCAGAAAGATGAAGACACCTGTCCCTATCTGCATGTAGAGTCATAAGCAGTGATTTTCTAACTTGGCAGTGCTCCTTCGAGTTGACATTTCCAAAATCACCTAGAGGACCAGGAAATTCAGTCAGGCTGGCAGCACAAGAGGTGGGCCTGATCAAATCCCTCCTGGAAAATTATTATTCAAGAAATAAGAGAAAATGGAAGACGCTGGGCACATGTCCCAAAATACTATAGATAAGTTTTTGGAAGTAACTACTGATTTCCAAATATAGAAAGTTTTCGAGCTTTGATTTATTTCGACCTAGAAGAAAATTTAAAAAATAAAAAGTGACAAAATAAAGGCAACATATTTTCCTACTGTAACTCCTCATCCAGAATGAAGAGATTTGAAAAAATTAATCTCAATGATTCAAACACCTCTCCTAAAGAACATATTTTCCTCCATTATATAAGTATTTCAAGTGGAGGTTTTTAAATCTAAACAATCAGATTCCAAAATGACTGCTTGTTTTCTTCCTTTTCATGGCTGGGTAGCTTTCCTCCTTCTGTCTCGCTGTTTCTCTCCTCCCTCCCTCCCTCCCTCCCTCCCCCTTCCTTCTTTCCTTCATTCCTTCTTTTCAATAATTATTGAATACATAGAATATTCCTTATTCCAGGCCCTTAGGCTACATCAGTAAATTTTGCAGACATGGTCTCTGCCTTCATGGAACTTATAGTTTAGTAAAAGATCAATAATTAAATTAAAAGCTATACAAAGTATGATATAATTGTAGTGCTAATAATATATGTTATAAAATATGAGACAATATTATATTAACTTAAGTCTGTAAGGTCAGGGAAGACTTTTCCAAAGGCAACAATATTGAAGTTGAGATCAAAATATGAGTAGGATATAAAGTAATTCCAAATATGGAGCTTCCCAGACAATGGGAACAGCCTATGTGAACATTAGAAAATGAGCAAAACGAGGTCTAATATATCCTAGATTTATGTCGATAGCCAAAACTGTATCAAAGAGTGAATTATATTCTTTCCACAATCTTCTTTTATAATCCTATACCGTAAGAAAGAGACCCCTGTTAAACACAACAAAATATTTTAAAAGCACAAGTAACCCAAATGTATCTTTACCCAAAAACCTAGAAGACCTAGAAGCTAACAGAGCAAATTACAATGAATAATGCCCAGAGGGCATAACAGTCAAAAGCAATGAGCTATGAAACCCAAAAGCAATACAAGCTTAAACATGGGAGAAGTTTGGTTTTTCTCTCATGTAACAGTCAAAGCGTCATCCCAGGTTGAGATGGTGGTTCCACAGTGTTGAGGGCTCAAGTCTCCTTAAATCATATTGCTCAATGATTCCTAGAATATTGACTTGTTCTGGGTGTTTCAAAATCACTCATAATGAACAGAAAAGAAATTAGGGAAGTGAACAATATTTTTCTTTAAGGTGTACTGTCTAGAATTTTCCTGTATCATTTCTGCTGTTAAGTCAATACCAAGATAGACTTTGTTATGTGACCACATTTAGATTTGGAAATACAGTTGTTATTCCAGGCAGCCACATATCCAAGTGGAAAATATGAGAAAATAGGTGATATCAGATAATTGGGGAGAACATTCACATCACAGTGAGAAACAATGAAAGTTGTTATGATAACCCAAAGGACAGAAGAACGGGTGAGACTAGATTCCTGATCTTCAGAATCAAGCAGCATAAATGATACAGAAGAAAGGCAGTGTTTAGGGAATGAGGCAAGGAATTAAATTGATTCCAATTGGGGAATTATCATTATTGAAAAAAGAACAGCTGAGCTGGACTCTAAAGTGGGTGTCAGGATTTGAGGGGAAGAAGAGTTTGAGCATTCCAGGGAGCGGAAACAGCATGTTACAGAATCTGCCTTGAGGGACCTGTATGTGCTTCATGTGCCTAGTTCTGTAACCACACTTACTCTCTTTTCAGATGATTTAATGAATCATCTTAGCTACAATCTTGGTCAAAGAAATCAGTATTACCCATTTTAACTTAGAAGTGAATCCTGAAAGTTTTTGAATCACAATGAATGCATTCCTGAGTGGTGAGGTCTCATTCGATTGACCTAACAAAAAGATAAAGCCAAGATTCTTCTTAGAACCATTAATCCACAAAGTATGTATCCATAAACATAACTTTTCCTTTTATATTCTAAAGACATTCCCGAAGTAAGGTAAACAGTGAAGTAGGATTTGTAAAATAATCCAACTCAAGAATATCACAACTTGTAAAATTGGGATTAACTAAACTCTGGCTTGATGAGAAAACAGTAATAATTTTCATTAGTATAGCAGCTATAGTTTTTTTAAAAAGTAGTTTTACATATATTATCAGTTTATTCTTAATATAAATATATTATGTAGGTATGGATGAAATTGTTATTTCAATCTAAAGGTGAGGAAACTAAAGCTAAAAGACATTAAGAAATTACTCAATATCAGATAGAAAGAGTTTCAGAGATGAGAATCAAACCCAAGACATAACACGAGTATGCATGCATTCACTGCTGTGAGGAAATAAAACTTCCCATGGGTCTATTTTCAGGTGGAAAACTCAAAACTAAACAAAGGATTGGCTGGGTACAGTGGCTCACGCCTGTAATCCCAGCACTTTGGGGAGGCTGAGATGGGCGGATCACCTGAGGTCAGGAGTTTCAGACCAGCCTCGCCAACATGGCGAAACTCCATCTCTACTAAAAATACAAAAATTAGCCGGGTGTGGTGACAGGCACCTATAATCCCAGCTATCTGGGAGGCTGAGGCAAGAGAACTGCTTGAACCCGGGAGGCGGAGGTTGCAGTGAGCTGAGATCACTCCATTGCATTCCAGCCTGGGCAACAAAAGTGAGTCTCTGTCTCAAAAAAACAAAACAAACAAACGAAAAGCCCCCCAAAATATAAAGGATTAAATGCTAATTAACTAAGTACAATTCCCATTCGCTCTTTTCTAATCTTGCTGTCATAAAACGACCTAAATTTCCTTTTATTCTTATTGGCACAGAAGCTAGGGCCAATTAAGAAAAGATGATGTCATTCCTGAGAATTCTAGGAAAGTTGGGACTACGTTTCTCATTGTATTAATTTATGTATAAGTTTTCCCAAGAATGGAGTGCTAGAATATTCTGATATGAGATATAATCCATAAAGTGATAGTCTAATAATCCAGTTGATTTAGTTATGATATATTAAAAATTGTATTGTTACAAAAGACTGACAAAAATGTTATAATAATTCACCAAATTACTTTTAAATCAGATTATTGGAGATGATTATTTTGGTCAATTAATTGAAAATCTGAATTTTAAACATTTTAATTAAAAATCACTTAATATTTTAGTAAATAATGTACAATGTAATTGGAAACTCTGCTGGGTATATTTTAATAAATATTTTCAATTTGCAGTGCATACACACAATATCTAAAGGTTTGTTAAATAAGTCTTCTATATTCTGATTTAAAATATCCATTTGCTTAAGAAATCAGCACTCTTCCAGCTTGGAATCATTGTAAAGACAAATTTTTGCCAATGCAAATGTTTATTATTTAAATTACTAGAATTAATAAATTTGTCATGCATTGAAGCCACAATGCCTTTGAAGTATGCATGATTACTAACGGTAATAGTTACTATTCATTGAGTAAGTATATATGCCTCCCCCACATACCTGTGCACACACGTGTGTGTATATATGTGTGTGTGTGTATATATGTGTGTGTATGTGTATACATATGTCAACCTCACAGCTATACTGAAAAGTTTTATCACTCTCATTTATCAGATGTGGATGCTAATGATAAAAGTGACTTGGCCAAAGTCACACTGTTTATAAGTGAGAGAAACAAGACTAATCCCAGGCCTGTGTCATTTTACAACCTAAGTCTTTCCCACCATATAAGAATTCATCTCTATATATGTGCATAACTGTCTCTAAAAGAGTTATACCTTCAAAAGAACACCTATGTTGACGGCAATGTTGTATATGTTGACAAAGGAATTAATTACACAATTGTGTGCATTATACCTATCATTTGGTACATTTATTTTTCTTTTGCATTTTTCTTTGAGATGTAATTTTATAGTAAAATAATAAAACACTGTCTTCTAGAGCAATGTCTTTGTGACAAAGGATTTGGGCAATAATTGGGTTTGGATACTAATCTCCTAAGTTAATAGGGATGGACCCTCAAGATACAGCAAGCAATTGGCGATTGGAGGAAGGCAGCATATTTTGGGAAGATCTCATTTCTGTTTATTTGAAAGATGTGCATCTGGGTTAGATAAAATAGGGAATGAGTGGAAAAGGAAAACTTTTACTGATTGTCAGTGGGATGTGTCTAAATGCATTATCCCTCATTTAATTCTCAAAACAACAATGAACATTATTATGATATCCATTTTAAAGATACAGAGGAGTTAAGTGAACTCCTCTTAAGTGGCTAAAATTTGATTTACACATAGATCTGTTTACACAAAGTTATTGAGGGAAGCAAGGATTCAGGAGTTACGAGCAGTCAAATAAATTGACAGATAAATAGTGGTGTGCACTAAGAATTGACCCCAAGGCAACCGTACTACATTTCTTTGATATTTTACCTACTCGGGGTCTGAAACCCCTGTTATCTGGGGTGGTAATGTGGTGTTAAAACAAAACGAATGACAGAAAGGTTGGCTGCAAAATGATGTTAAAATAAAAACAGTCATCACTATGTGGGCTGCCACTACCACACGATGGAGTGTACTGGTCATTTGAGTAAGTGTCTCCTTGGCCATTGCTTTTTTTTTTCTTTTTCTTTTTTTTTTTTTTTTTTTTGAGATGGAGTCTTGCTCTGTCGCCCAGGCTGGAGTGCAGTGGCGTGATGTCGGCTCACTGCAAGCTCCGCCTCCTGGGTTCACGTCATTCTCCTGTCCTTGACCATTTCAGTGAACTTCCTTGGCAGTTCATTTCCTCCGTATTTAAAAATTGGAGAGGACTCCATGTTAACACATTTTGACAATGAAAAGGCATTTACAGACACTAGATGTTCTTATTTTAGGATTATAGTCCCCAACTTGTAACAGGGCCAGCCATTTTAAGTATACTACTGCTTTTCTACTTGTTTCATTGAGATTCATTATAGTTGTGACTGCTGTTCCATTAATTATATAGATAATAAAGGCTAAATGGGGTTTGATATATCCAAATTACCTTTGGAGCAATCTTGTTGAAATGCACTGGCAAAAACGAATAGTGCAAATATAAAATGTGAAAGATAAATTTCAGATTGTGTGTCCAGCCTTCCATTTACCTTTGGCAGTAGGCCAATCTGATTTAGTTTGGGTTTATTTAATCTTAATTTTAGGAAAAATTTTCTGGAAAAGAATCCAATATCATTGATACTAAGGTCTCTATTTCTCTGACCTGTTCTTGCTTGTAGTTTGTAGAAGTGGTTTTCCTTACTAGAATAGCATCATTTTTCATTATTCTGTTACATGCCAGCTTGTTTCAGACAGGGTGTAAATAGATTTCCTAGAATATCAATTGATGGAGAAAGAAATATGAGTGACTATCTTAAATATTTTTCCTGTCATTCAGAAGCTGTAGCCAAAGTAAAGCGGCTGTAAAAAATGGTAAGGTTGTTTGCCACCTCCCTTTGACTCACCACCTATTGAGAATAACCTTGCAATGTGACTTAGATGTCATGAAATAAAGTTTAGAAAGTTATTTGTTTAAAACACTGACAACTGGACAGTAGGCCAAGAGCCATAGACACAGATACCTGCCAAGCAAATTTGCTTTTTGAATCAGAAGCCAGCATCCAAATACACTGGGCCCTCTGAAGCATCTCTAATATTTACACAGTAATCTGATTTGGGAGCCTCCTCACTTCTCTCTTTTCCACTAATTTAGTCACCCTCTAACAACTTTGCAAATTCCAGCAGGGGTCAGGAACCCCAAAAGCAATTTGTCCTAAAATCACAGAGAATCAAGATGGAAAGCCTTCACTGGTGCAGCCAGGGCACACCTAGCGACTTAGAGGAGCAGACTGTTCACCATGGTGTACTTCCTATTCCTCTGTGCAAACCTGGGTTCATTTGCTTCTGGGGAGGCTGGCTGAATCACCTTCTTGGAAAGAATCATGGTTTGGATAGACTGTCCTGCTAGGAAGTTTTCTTTTCAACCAACATTTTGTTTTCTTCCGTTTCTGGTTATGTCTTCTTGGATTTTTTGTTTTGTTGGACCTGAGGAAAGAACCTGGTCTTAATGGTTATGCCTTCTTGATAAACCTGAATTCATAGCTGGCATGATGTTGGCTCTTCCTGTGCTACAAAGTCCTTGCACACATTTTGTATCTAGAAAGTTTTCTCCTTAGCTTGGGTCTTGAAAGTTGTTCTTTGCCTAGGATGTTTCATTAGTCTTTTAAATGAAATTCAAGTTTTCTTGAACTTATTATTGACCAACCTATATAGGTATACATTATTGCTGTTTCCTTAATAAGATTGAGTTACAACAGACCCTGTGACTGGTTGCGTTGTCACATATTAAATGTCTCCTCTGATCTCCTGAACATCTCCATTATTTTTTGTTTCAGATTTGCTCTTCATTTATGATTTCCTATTTATTAGGGATACCCTAATAATAAGTTATAGTTTCCATTTCTACACATTCCCAAGAGAATGAACTGATAAAACTGGAAGAAGAAGACACATTAGTTTTTAACAAAAGGAAGTTTAGAGAGAGCAAAAATGAACAACTTATAGAATTCTGGCTCCCACTATGTGCCAAACTCAGGGAATTGGGGGGAATTTCTTGGCAGCACCAAGAAGTTGGGAATATAATGGTGAATAAGACAGACCGTGTTCCATATCATTTAATTCTCATAATTCAAGATATTTATAACTACCACTTGTCCTCCATTCATCCCATTTATAGTTGAGCCATTTGTGCAAGATCATTCTGCTGCAGAGGTTAAATTAAACCTCAGATCTGCCTTATTTCAAAGAGTTCTATTAAACTTCATCGAGCTCTGTCTCCTTTCACTTCCAGGCAAACAAAGCTGGAATGTATTGTGCCTTCACGTTTCCATACCTGTTATGTATTGGTCCATAATAAAATTTCCTTCAGCTCTCATCTAGTCCTATATGTTTAGAGAAGCCTTTAAGCAATTGTTGCACCCAGTTGCCATAAGCTACTGCTAGGTTCCTGGCCATTTTATCCTTCTTCCTACATTTCAGACTTGATCACAAAAATAACAAAAATTTTCAGGGGAAATCAAACTTGCATTCAGGATTTATATATTATGAATAAATTATGGCTTATACTGTTTGCTAGCATGATTCAGAGTACCTACTTCTACGACATCAAACAGAGGTATGGAATAGAGTGTGGCAAAACCTAATGGTTACTGGTCAGTGAATCAGGATCTCTGGGTTCTGCACTTAGGGTGTGTGAAGGGGAAAATATCGTAATCTCAGTTGGTCTCAGATGAAGTGGTTCAATTATACTACCAATAATCATGGATCTCCCCCGGAGTAACTCTGTCTCTATAGTCCTAGGCCTGTATCCATAAAATAGGAAGTACACTTAGAAAATGTGACTGAAGACAATAGATTTGCCAAGTAACAAACAAAAAAAAGGAGAGACAAAAAGTAAAACAGAAATGGGCCTGGAGGAGTAGTCCTTAACATTTTGGCAGAAAGCTAGAATACCTCCTTTCCATTTTCCTGGAGCTTTGCAGGTATGGCTCCCTTCCACAGTGCTGAAACAAACATCCCCCATTATCACTTTAGCTGCTCTGAGATTGGTAACCAAGGAGGAAATGGAAGAAAAAGGTTTTGTTGTTCCTCTTTTGTCTTGGGTAAGAATAGCTTTTGAGATAAGAATACATTTATTTTTATTACCTTTGTTGATTCCATCATTTTGTTATTCAGTTATTGTGTACTTTTTATCATAAAAGACTTTGGGGAGAGCTTTGCAGCTTCTGTTAAATCATGAAACTAGTTTTAATTTAAGCTCAGTCCAAATACGATTTCTCAAAATAGAGATGTTTCTACCAACATATCATTTTTATTTCTTGTGTGTAGTCAAAATAAAAAGATTAGACAAATTTGATATAACAGTCATGATCACAGGTAAACATTAGAAAGGAATAAACTTTGCTTTTTCACTTGAAAATCCAAGTGTTTTCTTCACATGAATTGTAAGAAGATAAAACTATACTGACTTAAGGAGGGAGGCTAATGAGAATTTTTTAGCCCATACATGGGCCTCCTTTAAACTATTTTACTTTTAGTTGTCCTACATTATAGAAAGCTACCAGAAGATTTAGTTTATGCATATACAATTAAAATACAAATACAAATATATGTATGTCTGTGTCTCTACATAGACCTACATTTATTAGTCAAACAATAAAAGAAAATTTGTTCCAGTTATAAAATGCTCAAGCCAAATTTGTCACACAGTCAAGGGCTTACTTTGTTCTTTGAATCATCCCTGAATGACCTGTGTACAAATTACAAAACCCTAAAGAGTTAAAAGTGTTTGTTTCACAGGAAATTGGAAGAAATTTATGTGCGCAAGTGAAACTGAAAGGTCGAATGTGTGACTCACATCTATTGACAGATGGAATGAGCATAACATAAGCAGACAGTGACTAGAAAACAAGCCGGTTGTGTGAAAGTATTTTTAGAGACTAATTTCTACCCAGCTGTGTCATCTATGAATGGGAGAAGTTTGAGAAAGTTACCTAGGGATGTCTGAGCTTAATCAAGTGAAAGTTAATGATACTGATTTGGCTTAAATATTCACTTCAAACTTTGGTGTGCAAACATCAAATATACCAGTATTTGAACTAATTACCAGGGAAGCTGGATTGTTCCTTTATCAAAATGACATAATTGTCTTTATTAAGACCTCTCATGATACCTGAATTTTTAGCAACATAAACAATAATGGCTCACATTTATAAACTCATTTACAATTTGAATAGCATTTTCATATTCCTGTGAAGTTAGCAGAGCTAATATTACCTCATTTTAGAGTAGAAACATTGAGTCCAGAGTCCCTTAGTCACTAATAAAATTCAGAAAGCTATCAAATGGTAGACATAGTATAAAAACCAACATCTACTGGCAACTAGTATAAAAGTTAATGGTGAAGTCTCTGATCTCCTTCGTCAGACTTCCTGGTTACTAAATAAATATATAATTTTGGAAACTTTAACATTTTTATGCCTCAGCTTTCTGTCCTTACCATAAATCGTGAATAATAATATATGTTTCTCCCCAGGGTTATTCATTATTGAGTCCCTCCTAAATGTCATGCATTTTTCTAGGTCAGGGATAAAAATCCCTGTTCTCATGCAGTTTATGGTCTAGTTGAAAAAGAATAGACAATCAATCAGCCAATCAAAATAAGTATATTAGGTAATGATAGATGCTATGGTGATAAATAAAGCAGGAAATGCTTTATTTATGAAAAGTTCTACCCAAGGAGCTGTTGGAATTTTAAATCATTTTAGGAAATTGACACCTGCTTGATTAGTAACAGTATAGTCCACGAAAATTAATATTGACCTCTGTAGTAGGCCTGGCTAGTTAGAGTAATTTTATTCCCCAGGCAATATTGACTGACTAATGGATGAGAGCATAAAGCCAAAACGTTCCAATTTCTGTGAATTCGGGAAGTTGTACTGGAGCTACTTGGAAGATTCTGGGAAATCTGAATCTGGAATAACTCACGACTTAAGACTTTGGCCGCCATGTTAAGACCTTGTATAACCTGAAAATAAATGCCATAGAGAGACAAGCAGAATCAAGAATAGAGATGATGTTCTTATGACACTATTGGAGTTCCCTCTTAAATCTTAACATATTTACCTGAGATATTTTTTGTTAAGTAAGACAATGGGTTCGCTTTATTGATTACTTTGTTTTGAGCTTTGCTTATTATCATTTGCCACCAAAAAAGCTTGACCAGCATAAGCATAATGAAGGGTGGGCAAGATTTCCTGACAGAAGATGCATCTCAATCTCACCAAGTAGATCACTGATATCACTTGCAAGGAAGTGAATGCATTTTCCCAAATATGTGTCACTACAGCATGGTTAAAACTTCTTGGCATTTTCCCTTGGATCTCCTAAGTTATGTCAGTAGACATTTCAAGTTATTTAAAGAGGACTCAAAAATGAGAAAGTATTCGTGCTAAAATGGAAGTAAAAATCGTTAAATCCAACACCTTCGTGTTTTAGATTAAGAAACTGAGATTTATAAAAATTTAGAGACATTGTCCTCAAACTACTGAGTTATTTTGTAGCAAAACATATCTAAGCTTTCTGTCCTCTGATATATTGTTGTTTCCACTTCAGTATTAATTCTATCTATCTCCATTTTCTCCCATATTCACTTCCCTATCACAGCAATGTATGGCACTGTTTCTCTTGCTAAATTATATTTCCATAGAAGGAGGAACTTTGAAAAGAAAACACAATGAGTAACCGCTGATACCACTTATGTTATCTTTTGTAATATGGTATTAAAACTGACTTTGTGGTAATGTACATCTTCATATGACCTCCTTATCTACTTGATTAGCAATCAACTGTACCTTCTCTGTTATGTTACATTTTCTGCAAAAGAAAATTTTAAAACTCCCATGATTTTCCTTTTTTGCCACTGATTTCGTGGTTTTGGAAACTCATCATCTTCCTAAACAATAAGATATTTAACTCTGTCTCTTTTAGGTCCTTCAATCAAATAAAATATTCTTTTATTCTTTTGATTATGAAATAAGATATTTTTGATAGAGAAACAATATGAAGTACATTCTTCACCCAATGGTTGTTTGTCATGACACATACTTCTTTACACTTTTGAGACTCAGTTTCCTCATCTGTAAAGCAGAAATAATTATGCTTTCCTTTTTCCCTATCAACCGTCTATATTTGCTGTTGAGGTACATAAAAGATACACTATAGTGTATAGTGAGTTTATAAGTGCTATATAAACTCAATGCCTCATTATGATTAATCACTGAAGAACTGTTAATTTCTTTCCATTGTTTTAAAGTTATGAATGGTGGTTGAGGTCCTGATGAACCATTGAAAAACAGTGGAACACTTTAGTGTTTGCACAGAGTAAAATCTTCATGCCTAGGAAATTTTGATAAAGAAAGCCCTTTAGCTATTATTTTTTTCTAGCATTTAAAAAAATCTGTGCTCCTTAGAGCTCTCACAAGTTACTATAGGAGGTAAGGAGAAGTCCAATAGGACAGAGTTCCAGGTACCCCTGCTTCACTTTCAATCAATATAGCTCACTTTAATCAACTTCCCCCACTTGAGGAATTCTCCTGAGATATAGTTGTAAGAAAGAGCTTCTAGATATTCTGACACCACCCCCCCCCCACCGCCCCTCACACACAAACACACATACAAAGATTGAAAATTCTGGATGGAGTCTTTTTCATTTAAAAGATGAAAAAACTGAGGCCCCAAAGAGATAAGTAATTTTCCAAAGTTATCCAACTCCACTTCCATTGGCAAAGTGAGGATTAAAATCTAGGTTCTGATTCCCCTACCTTCACCATCTCATCATGCAGCATCTTCCTGTGACTGGGAAGTTTTAAGATTCAACAGTGCCACTTCTGGTTTTGTTTTATTTTGTTTAGGAAGACATGGTATTATATATGAACTTAATTATAGGATTGAACTTTTGGGACTAGCAATCCCAAAATTTTGGCCTCAAATGATTCTCCTCTCACCGTTACTTGCTTTCACCAAAATGTATGTTGGTAATTATGCAGATCAGAGCATCAATCTAGAAGTTTCTATGTAGAAAACATTCCTCCCAATTAAAACTCAGCTAAGTTATTCTTTTGTGGATCATCAGCAATTTCTTTCTTCTCTTTTGCACAAAAGATAAAATTATATAGAATTTAATTTTTCAGATTAAACCTTTCTTTTAACTTCCCCAGTCTCTCACTAGTAAGATGACCATAAGATTCATTGCCCAAATAAGGATGGTTTTAAGAATTTAAAAAGACACATTTCATAATTACTCTGAAAATACTGATATAAATTGGAGCTTTTCTAGGAAAACTGGTATGATCACCTTATCATTAACTATCCTACAGATATATTTGAAATCAGTTAGGGTAAAATATCTATTAATTGAATGTGACTTTCATTCATAAGTATTTAAAAATTGGTACTAAGTAATTTTTCCCCAGAAGAAAACCCCAAAATAATAGCAATACTAATTTCAGAACTAAAACATAAGAGAATAAGTGAATTCCTCTTTCTCTGTGTACACACACACACACACACACACACACACTCATTTTATTTCTGAAAATTATTCCTCCCCATTTTGTATATAAACTCTAAAAGCAATTCGTTCATTCTGAGAAGCAGGACTACTTTCTCTTTAAACAAAATTCTATGAAAGATTGCCCTTGATACAAATTAAATAAGTTTAAACAACGACTAAGATACACCTGATAATGTCCCCATAATTCCTCTTCAAAAGCATAACAAAACAAAGCCAAAAACTTTAGGAGACAACAGCAAATGATGTTATTGACATAAAATCAAAATGTATGAGTTAATGCTTTGGCTAAAAAGTTCTCCATAGAATTATCAACTATTTTGCTGATACTCATTTCACTTAAAGTACTTCATAAGTTTTAACAACTAATCAAACAAAAAGATATTCATGTAACTTAGTCTATCAGAATACATATGCAGTGTCACTCTTGGTGACTTGATGATTTTTTTTTTTTATAGTTCAAATGTTTTTTTAAATTTATTTTTCATGTAGTTTTTTTTTTCTTTTTCTTTAATTATACTTTAAGTTCTAGGGTACATGTTATCACTCATAGGTGGGAATTGAACAATGAGAACACTTGGACACAGGAAGGGGACCATCACACACTGGGGCTTGATGACTGTTTTGATACAAAACATATGAGACAGTAACATTTATGTGCACAAAGAGATAAGAAAAAAACACTTGAAATATTGTAGAAACATTGCCTGTCATAGCTATTCTCTACAATTAAACTTTTCAATGCAAACTGCGTGACAGTAAGAAAATTACTCGGTTTACTATTGCATTACCTAGTTATGGCATGACGCCTATCACATAGTAGGCACTTAGTAATCATTTGATGAACCGTTGAACACATAAAAACATGAATGAATGATCATAATTAACTAACACATATTTACCCTGTCTGAGGGTACCAGAATTGCAATCAGTTCTAGAGTAGTGTTGATTTCACCTAAGGAAAGACCACGTGTTGAGTTTTTCAAAGTCATGGCCTTGCAGTTTATTGGACATATTTCCAAATGTAGACAGTTACTTAATAGCAAGTTTCAATCTAGGGAACTCAGGTGAATTTTTTGTATGAAGAGTAGATTAGACCTGGATGTTTTTTATCACAGACTACTTTAAAAAAATGTTTTCTTTGCAAACAGGGACAATTTGACTTCCTCTTTTCCTAACTGAATACCCTTTATTTCCTTCTCCTGCCTGATTTCCCTGGCCAGAACTTCCAACACTATGTTGAATAGGAGTGGTGAGAGAGGGCATCCCTGTCTCGTGCCAGTTTTCAAAGGGAATGCTTCCAGTTTTTGCCCATTCAGTATGATATTGGCTGTGGGTTTGTCATAGATAGCTCTTATTATTTTGAGATACATCCCATCAATACCTAATTTATTGAGAGTTTTTAGCATGAAGAGTTGTTGAATTTTGTCAAAGGCCTTTTCTGCATCTATTGAGATAATCATGTGGTTTTTGTCTTTGGTTCTGTTTATATGCTGGATTACATTTATTGATTTGTGTGTGTTGAACCAGGCTTGCATCCCAGGGATGAAGCCCACTTGATCATGGTGGATAAGCTTTTTGATATGCTACTGGATTCGGTTTGCCAGTATTTTACTGAGGATTTTTGCATCGATTTTCATCAGGGATATTGGTCTAAAATTCTTTTTTTTGTTGTGTCTCTTCCAGGCTTTGGTATCAGGATGACGCTGGCCTCATAAAACGAGTTAGGGAGGATTCCCTCTTTTTCTATTGATTGGAATAGTTTCATTGGCCATCAGAGAAATGCAAATCAAAACCACAATGAGATACCATCTCACACCAGTTAGAATGGCAATCATTAAAAAGTCAGGAAACAACAGGTGCTGGAGAGGATGTGGAGAAATAGGAACACCTTTACACTGTTGGTGAGACTGTAAACTAGTTCAACCATTGTGGAAGTCAGTGTGGCGATTCCTCAAGAATCTAGAACTAGAAATACCATTTGACCCAGCCATCCCATTACTGGGTATATACCCAAAGGATTATAAATCATGCTGCTGTAAAGACAGATGCACACGTATATTTATTGAGGCACTATTCACAATAGCAAAGACTTGGAACCAAGCCAAATGTTCAACAATGATAGACTGGATAAAGAAAATATGGCACATATACACCATGGAATACTATGCAGCCATAAAAAATGATTAGTTCATGTCCTTTGTAGGGACATGGATGAAGCTGGGAACCATCATTCTCAGCAAACTATCGCAAGGACAAAAAACCAAACACCGCATGTTCTCACTCATAGGTGGGAACTGAACAATGAGAACACATGGACACAGGAAGGGGAACATCACACACCCGGGCCTGTTGTGGGGTGGGGGGAGGGGGGAGGGATAGCATTAGGAGATATACCTAATGTTAAATGACGAGTTAATGAGTGCAGCACACCAACATGGCACATGTATACATATGTAACTAACCTGCACGTTGTGCACATGTACCCTAAAGATTAAAGTATAATAAAAAAATTGGAACAAATATGTATAAAACCTAATAAATAGTTTTGTTCAATCTTAAAAAAAAAGAAAAGAATTACCTTTTTAAACTGAACTTTAGGAGTAGACAATAAACTGACTATGACCCATTTTTAAATGTAAAATATCCCTTTTCAACTTTTGTTGAATTTTCTTATTTGAATTATCCAGTTACCTTTAGAAGAATCATCTAGGTTTCCTTAAATAATAAAACCATGGAGATAATAAGACATGCATAATATGTAGTGAAAGAGTTAATGTATAGCCAAGATTACTGCTAGAAATAAAATGTCTGTGTACTTATGTGTTCCAGTATGCACATCCGGGAAAAACAACTGGTTAATTCAAAATCAAGAAATGGTGTCTATATATGCTTTGAAGCATAATCATTGTTAATTTAATAATGACCTGGTTTTGATTGTGTGAGGGATTAAACTGTGTCTTATTCACAGCTGTATGCTTAGTAACTAACACAATAAATATTTATCAAATAAATGAGGAAAATGCTGCCTGAAGCAGCCCCAAACCACTTCTCCCTCTCCCCAAGACTGTTATTTCTGCAAGGAAGTGTAACATGGATAAAATGCAAATGTAACTACAAAAATTAAAATGCTTAATCATTTTGAGTATAAGTGATTCTAAAGAAAGCAAGATATCATTTTAAAAAGTGAAGTTTGCTTATCTATAGATGTACAAACAAGGCCTTAATTTTTTAGCTATTACTAGATTCATTATAATTTTTTACTACTTTGCTTAGTCTTTTTTCCTGTCTATATATAATTGTATATAAGCCTATGTATCACTTCGAAACCCACAAGTCCTCAAGAAAATAATTATAGCTTAATCCTTTTGATGCCAGCATTTAAACAGAGCATTGGTATTTTTATTTTTTTAAATATGAATTTGATAGTAACTCTTTATATATCAATTTATAAGTATAAACACCCACTTTTAGAATATATAGAAATAAAAGCACTATATATTATTATTTCAGTTTCTTAATATTATCTGATGTTTTCAACTCTTCTTACTATGCAAATATATTGGACTTTTTCTTTATGTTGAAGAATATTTTTGAATATGATGGGAAATATGAAAACACAAGATGTTGCATTACAGAAATGTTCTATTTAAAGCATCTTTGTGGATTGTAAACATCATACTCCTTGTATGTTTTTGTGTTAAAAATTCTGTTCATAGTGACTGTACAAGGCTATTTTAACAACCACTTTTTCTTTTCTCTACCGTAAGTCTTTGAGATGCCTCATATCTACTATCAAATGATATTTGAAAAGGGATATGTCTATCTGACACCAAGAAGTTTGATCGTTTTAATTAATTTTCTGGGTGATTCAATTACAAAGCATTCATTTAAGAAAAAAAAATACATATCACATGAGCTTGTCCAGTGCCTAATCTCTGACCAGGAAATAGAAGGGAGGGAAATGATAGGAAAGCTTATAAGGAACTCAAGTCAACAAAATTGTGATTGTTGGATTAAATAATCATTTTAAATGACTGGAATATAATTGATTTACCTTGTCAGACATAGTTAAAAATAAATTCTAAGTATTGCATGCTCAGATGTACACTGATCTAATGTACATTCATAGCTTGCGTGGCATTGTTCAATAGAGAAAACTTCCTCAAATATTTTTCACAATAGGGTTAGTGAGAAATAAACTTCCAAGTTATGTAGCATGTAAGTTATTTATATAACAGAGGAAATTAAGAATGTTTCTGTATTTCTAAAGGCCCAAAAAGGAGAAGATGAGGGGGATGGATGGAAAGAAGTGTTTTGAATAGTGGAGGTAAGGGAGGTAGAAGCTTCCATCCAAGAAAGGAAGTTTTAACCTCTTCTTAGATTAAGGAGGAGACAGAGACAGGGTGGCTGGTGGCACGTCCCTGCATCCCAGATGTGGACTATCAGGCCAATAGGAAAGATTATGTAAGGGTCATCTCAGAACCAGCTTAGATCAGAAGTTTTGTTTGTTCTGGTTTTTTTTTTCCAGCTTAATTGAAGTATAATTGACAAATTAAAATTATATACTCCATGTACTGCATAAAGATGTTTTGGTCAATGAGAGACTGTACATATAATAGTGGTCTCAGAAGATTTTCATATCGTATTTTTATCATACCCTTTCTATGTTAGATATGCTTAGATGCACAAATACTTACCATTGTGTTACAATTGCCTGTAACCTTCAGTAAAGTGGCATGTTGTACAGGTTTATAGCCTAGGAACAATAGGCTATACCATATAGTATAGGTGTGTAGTAGACTATACCATCTAGGTTTGTGAAAGTACACATGATGATGTTTGTGCAAAGACAAAATCAACTAAAGACAAATGTCTCAGAACGCATGTCTGTAGCTGAGCAATGCGTGATTGTATATTTAAAGTACTCAAAGTGATGTTTTGATATATGTATACATTGTAAAAGGATTACCATGATCAAGCTAATTAACATACCCATCACCTCATATAGTTACCTTTTATGTGTATGTGTGTGGTAAGAATACTTAAGATCTACTCTCTTAGCAAATTTCAAGTATGTAATACATTACTGTATACATGATGACCGTACTCACTATGCTGCATATTAAGTCTCAAAAATTATCACATATTTAGAAGTTTCTATCCTTTGACCAATATCTTTTCATTTTTCCCACTTCCCCAACTCCTTGTAACCACCCTTCTACCCCGTTTCTATGACTTACACTTTAATTTCACATATAAGTGAGTTCATACGGTATTTGTCTTTCTGTGCCTGTTTTGTTTCATGTAGCATAATGTCCACCAGGATCATCTATGTTGTTGCAAAGCTGGAAGAACATCAGTTTTCAAGAGCCAGAGGGCAGGTACTGTCAATTGACCACAGCATTATAGGGTAACAGGAGCAATTTTTAAAATGATAGCCTCCATCAATTAAGATTTCAGTCACCTCCATATTTAAATCCTGGTAAGAAGATAACCCAAATTTACTCAAAGTGAAATTCCTATATTTCACTGGTGAGAACTCTGAGGTATTAAATCTACTTTAAAGAGAAAAAAAAAACTATGATATCTCCTGCTTCTTCTGATTGTGGACTGAAATTCATACCTCCTACATATATTTACATACATATCTACATCTGTACTTTTCTGGAAATATGGTCAAAAGGTAGATATACAGAGATATTTAGCCTTGGGTAATAAAAATATAGGTCACTATTAATAATAAAGATTCCTCAGAATATAAATGTAAAAAATACTTCTGTTCCTGAAGTTGTTTTCTTGTCCTACTGTGAGTGCAGGTCATAGCTATTTCACTTTAGACAGACCAGAACTATTTATACTATTTCTTTAGAATTTTTTTTCATACAGTGTATTATTTATCTCCAACTCAACTATCCCAAGGCAGTTTTATTGCTCCAGGGGAGCCATTTGTCTACCAAGGGTACCAAAAAAGTAGAATTCAAATATCATACAAAATCTGCAAAAATATAATTCCGTTAATTGATATATGCAACATATCATTTGCCAAACATAATGTAAACATATTTTTAAATTCTAATTTGGAGAAACACTTAAAGGCAGGAACCCTGTTTTGTTTAGGATTACATGCTCAACAGAGTATCTTTCATGAGTGAATTAATTCAAAATTATTCTATGTTGAAAAATAATAAATTACTTTCTACATTTCCAGAATGTTAAAAATGCAGGGACTCATTTTATAAAAACCAACACTAGCATTACTGTAGATCTTTGCAACCCTTACTTTTTCACATGTGCATTGTTTGACAACCTGAGGCTTCTTTATACACCCAACACTGGGACTTCCACAGGGCAACTCCCAAACGAACATTTAACTGTCCCATGCAGGTGTTGTTTTCTCTGGCCAACAAAACAGTTTGATCCATGTCACCAACTATGGCAATGGTGTCTGTGTAATTAAGTGTTTATGTTTTGCCTTTAAATTTAAAAAAATAAAGGAAAAACAAAGGTAGAGGCTAGAAATAAAATAGTAGTTTCCCTTATCTTAATACAGTAGAGACTAAGGTGAAAGTCATTAGGCTTGCTGAAAGAGGTGATTCTTTAGCCTTGATTGAATTCTCACTAAAGTTATGATGGTTGACAGTATTTGATTTTGGAATTAAAAGAACAAATGAAAGCACATGTATGAAAATTGTTTCTAAATTTAAGTAAACATTCTATGTTTTAATTCTGAGCACGTAAAAATTCTGTAATGACATGCACGTCTGCCGCCTACTTGACTTTACTACATGCTTTTAAGTCATTGAGAAAGTCGAAGCTGCCAGTTTCTCAAACTATCTACCTTAATCTAGTACACGCAGTGTCAACACTGTGGGTGTTGAAGTCAGGAAACACTTGGCTGCAAATTCTGATTCTTCTACTAATGTGTTATGTTGGCCATCCTCAAGAGTGTCTATGTATAAAGTTTGCAAGGAGTTGTGGGGATTCAAGGAATGTTTTTAACTGCCTTGCATCCTACTTAAATGTGAGTCAAGACAAGTATTGTCTTTGCACTAAAGGCTTACCTGTGTTTCAGTGTGAATAGAATCTCTTCCTTCTTTCTTTCTACCTATCTAAATGCCACTCATTTCGAAGAGATTCAGGATCATCCATCTTCCTTTTGAAATACATCTCAGACTAAACATACACAGGCACATAAATCTTCTGTATTTGTGTGCGTGTGTGTGTGTGTGTGTGTGTGTGTATATATATATATGTTTATATATTGTATCTATTTTAAATGTTCTCCTTGCCACTTCTACAATATTGTCTATACATTCATTCACAGAATCAAAATAAAATATTTTACTTAACTGTTATCTTTGAAGGTTATATGTTTCTATAGCTTATCTTACCAAAAAGCCTATTAGTTCTTTGAAGGTCATGCGTGTGTCTTAGCCAATGACTTGTCTTAGGCACATTGGCTGACGAAGCCTAGCATTAAACCTAGAAGTCAGAGACCAAAGTCAGCTCTTCAAGATGCAAGGACTTTCTGAGGGAGGCAGAGGAAAGGTGTTCTCTGTAGACATTTTTATTCACCAAATTATGGTGATTTGGCCAGAGGTGCATGTAGATAATTCCTTGAGTTTATTATTGAGGAGTCCTTGGAGTATGCTATCATTTTCAGTACAGTTTGTACCCAAATGTAGATACCAACCTGAAAAGAAGGGTTGACTAATTCAGTGAGAAAAGTTACAGTTAAAGTAATTTTCAAAAATCCTGAATTTTCTGGCTTATTTATCCACCCAGTCCATGTTGAGAGGAGACACAGCTAGGATTCCATTTCATCTGCCCAAAGCAGGGGACCTGGACAAGGAGGCAGAGACATGAGTTTAGATCTGAATATGAGATGACTCAGCCCCAACCTCATCCTTGGCTTTTGTGGCAGTGCTTGAGTGACTCATTTTTCTGGCACTGTCTTTGTTAACTCCTGGGATCAAAAGTGTCCTGTTTACATAGCCTCACGTATGGCTACTCACTCTGCTTTTTGTTTTAAAAACACTGTCGGCTTCCATCCTCCAACTGTTTGGTGCTGTTCACTGATGAGGAAAATGACTTGGTTATGCTCCCCCTCCCACTCAATTACTTACTCCTCTTCTTGCCAAACATCTGACCTTTCTGCTCACCTTTTCCCCTATTTGGTCAAGGTAAAGGTATATGTATATTTTATTTTCAAAGAATGTGTTAGAGGCCTTGATTGTTTACATTGGTCCCTGTAGCATGTTCTTAATATGTAATTATTTCCTAAGATATAGGAGTGGATATTAACGAATTCCCAATTCTTGCAGTCTGAAGAGTGTCATTATTTTTTAAAGAAATGTTTCCTATTTTTCAATTCAGATGCCATACAAACTTCAGAACTCTATCTACTAAAGTAATATTCACTCTGGGAATGAGTAACAAGCTGGCAGCAAGGGGGTCTCTAAGGATGGCACCATTAAACAATCTAGTCAAGGAAATAATTAAGATCCCTCCCCCAGCCCTCCCCTCACAACCTGCTCTCCCCAAAGCATTCTGAATTTGTAGTTCCTTGCCCCCACACACACCCTAATGGAATAAAAATGACAAGCAGGAAAGTGCTCCAAGGCCCACCCACCTAAAGCAAACTACCTCTGATCATTGTAACTCACACTCATCCAACATTGGTCTTTGGGGACTCTCTCCCTATTGAAAAGTCATTATTCAGGCCCCCTGTCGCAGTGTTTCCAAGGTAAAGAATAGCTTTCTCCCTGACGCTTTGGACAAGCTGTCCTGATTCAGCAGGAGAAATCTGAAAATCGTGATGTTTGGGCACTTCCTAATCCATTATTCAAATCCATAGACACTCCTAGCATTTAGACAGGAGCCTCCTCCCTGCACCCTCTGGAGAGAATCACTCATTCAAGTGACTGATGTAAAAATCAATCCCTTCACTCTTTAAAATATGTCATTTATTCCCCTTTCTGGCTTCTTTTGTATTCTGATGGCTGCCAACTGCAATTGGTTAAAGGTACAACTTAAATAGCACCAGGTGTTTGTGGCTATTGGATACCCTGATGTTCTAAAATCCACACCATCACCCCTCTCACTGTTACCACCCCCAATAGCCCTTTAATTAAACTGCAAACTGTTATACTCTATCAGAATAAGAGAGTGCAAGTGTTAATGACAGCCTGGTTTCAGCATTAAAATCTGAGGAATAAAGCTGCAAATGTGTGATCACACAGCAACTCTAAACAACCCCTGTGTTGTAAAAGGAACATAGATTATTTATAAAAATTAGGCTTCTGCTTAATTAATCTTCCCTGTAAATATGGCTCATGGAGGATAGCAATGGTCAAGTACTGTGTCATTGTAAGAGTATTTACACACAGATAGCATCGCACTCATACATACAAGCAGGCAGATGCATGCACACGCGCGCACACACACATACACACACACAAACACACAGAGCTTTGATAATTGCTAGGATGCTGTTTAGCATACTTTCAAAGAGTCAAAAAATAAAAAGAGTAGAGTGGAGAAAATACAGCTATACTCTTACCTAACCATGGAAAATACCACCTGCTAATAAATGTGAAACCAGGGTGGTGTTCTTCGGTGTGAATCTAGAGTGAGTCATTTCTTTGTCTCTCTCCAGTCCAGCTCCAACAATGGAGAAACCTGTGAGAAGTTGCTTTAGAGCACACACAGAAAATGTCTTCCTGCTTAAGGACCTCAGGTTTTGTCTCGAACTTGTTTCTCTTCACACCAGCCTCAGTCCCTTTTCCCTGATCACTCTTTAACTGGAAAAGTTTATGCATTTCTAAAGAAATGATGGAGGACCACATGATACCACCTTTTCAGTTCTCTCATACTTTTTACCTGATTAATTCATTTATATTTTTATGAGAGTGATCAGTTCTTGCTGGAGGAAGAGTGCTGCCTTCTCAGCTAATGACGGTATTTTCTTCTTATCCTTTACTGCTACCAACTTGTGTTAAAATAATTAAATGTCTTGCGTTTGCTTCACTGACCAGCATTTCTCCTAGCTGACCGGGAAGAGTAGAAGCCCTCCTTAATTCTGGGAAATTCCCAAAGGGAAAGAAAAGCTTATATGTAATATTTATTTCCTGAGTACAAAGAATTCATCGGGTTGTTCTTCATTTCACACACAGGCTTTACTGAAATGAAACAATTGTATTTTCTAGAGAGGAAAATGTAGATGATAATAATGGAATGCTTTAATTACACTCATTCCATAAAATAGTGCCCTTTGTGGTGATCTAGAAACTCCTGAAATGTGAATGTACAGGTTGCCTGATTAAACTAAGATGGGTATTGTGAGAATGTGTGAAGCGAGGCTGCATAGGTGTAAAAACAGACACAAGGACAGTCTTGTGTTTTCTAACCCGCTATGCACCATAGTCAGGTTTCTGTTGCTGTTTGCCAATATCAGCTGAATGTCAATGTCAGCTTGCTTAGTTAAATAGTTCTTGCTTATAGGGATTTGTGAATGTATCATTATTTTTATGACTAATTTTTAAAAATCAGACAATTGAATTTATTATTTTTCCTTTACCTTTTAAAGTGTTCTATCCACTTGACTATAAGGTTCAACCTCAATGTCCTGTAGAATTTTATCATTTTCTATTTTAATATCTTACCACACATTTTCCTTATCTGATTGTAAACCTAATTCTTCTTTAATAAAGGTAATTTATGTTGACCAAAATAATGAACAAACACAATCACATACTCTTCTCTGATTTTGTTGTACTACCTAACTGGCTAATAAAATAATAGGCATGGGCACTGTAAAATCACGTAGTTAAGTTTTTGTATCTTTTTGTTGTTATTTCCTTCCTAGAAATTTTGCAAGAGCTGCCTCCCTTTCATTGCTCCTGTATTCTAGGCTTATTTGGTTGCTTCTGGACTTATTTCTTACAAGTCATATTTTCCATGTGGAAGTTTCTTTTATTTAAATAAAAGAAAACCAGAATAGAAAAGATAAGGGCTTAGGGAATTTGGTTGCAAATAGAAGCTGAAAAAAATCTAAAGAATCATTTTAGAAATGGTTAGGTAGCTAAATTTGGCAATAGTGCAGAAAACAGGGATTCTCATTTCTTGTTAATGGAAATAAATCTGTTACAGTGTTTCTGAAGACAAACGTGACAACCCATTATTAGTATATCGAACTTGCATACCTCTTGATGTAGCTATTTATCCTGTACAAATCAATCCTAAAGGAGGAAGGAAGGCTTTTTACAATTATATGGCTATAAGGATCTTATTGTAGTTTACATCTTGTAATAATAAAACAGTGAAAGTAAATTTAATGCCCAGTCATAGAAAATGTATTAAATTATAGCAGTCTCATATTATGCAATATTATGCAGCCTTGAAAAATATTTTTAAAATATTTTTCCGTGAAAAATATGTGATGTCATGGAAAGATAAACATAGTATATCTTATTGAAGAAAAACAGTTTACAATGTAATATTATTTTTCAATCCAGTTTTGTAAATAAAAAAGATTACATTTGCATAAATGAAAGGACAGAATGATATAAGCAAAAATAAAATGTTAGTAACAAGTATTTTTCAATACACATATGAACACAGATTTATTGTTATTCATATCTATATTTTAAAATTTTAAATAAAAAGTCATATTACAATTATAATAAGAAAATTAAATTTTTAAGTGAGAAAAAAGAACTGATTGAGTAGCAGAAAGGTTATAAGTTTAGGTTTTTAAGATATAAATTGTTAGTATGACTTATTTGTCCCTTTTTATCATAAGTATACATATACTATTTCAATTGCAATAATTATACACTAAGCCATCTAGCTTCAGAGTATACTAACATACATTTAAAACTGTAATGTTAAAAAAAAAGGAGAAAATGGAGATACAGCATCACTTATTAGCATTTGACCCTATTTAATTAAAACGTGCAGATACGCCACAAATATCCCATATGCTTATGTATGTATAATTTTTAATTGGAAATACATTTCTGAATTCCCCATCCTCTGTTTGAAGCAATTGTCCAGGTTTCTAATTGCCTAGATCTCTTTTCTTTCTTTTTACTCATTTAAGTCTGGGTACAATTTTTAAACATGGCTCCTCCTTTGCATCTGAGTGGCTTATTGGTTGGCATCCTAAGCAATGAGAAAAGCATAAGCAAGGCATCTGCTATTGGAGAAAATTGAATGAGGAAACAGAATCATATTTGGTTGTTTGGATTAAGGGTTGATGTGGAGATAGGGTAAAGGATAGATCTGAAGGAAGATCCTAACTCAATTTGTTCCATTACTTTCATAATAAGATCCAAAGTGAGAAGAACCATGGCTTATTAATATCCACATCATGGACCGTCTGAGTTTGGATCTTATCATTAAAGTAACAGGTTTAATCCTCAGAGTAATTAGATCCTATTCATTTTCTAAGAATATCATGTTGGCTACAGCAAGGAGAATCCTTTGATGATTGAACTGAGGAGAACCTGTAAGGCTATTGTCTTCGTTCATTAGGGCTTTTATAGCAAGAATACATAAACTGAGTGGTTAATAAACAACAGATATTTATTCCTCCCACTGTGGAGGCAGGGAAGTCTATGATCAAGGCACTGACAGGGGCAATCAATGTCTGATGAGGACCCTGTTTCTGGTTCATAGATGGTGCCTTCCAGCTGTGTACTCACATTATGGAAAGGATGGGCCATTTCTCTAGGGATGCTTTTATAAAGGCACTAATCTCAGTCGTGAGTGTTCTACCCTCATGACCTAATCATCTCCCAAAGGCCACACTTCCTAATATCAGCATGAAAGTTAGAATTTCAACATATGAATTACAGGGGCAAGGTGGGGAATGGGCACAAACATTCAAACATAGAAGCTATTATTTAAATGTAACTTGGAAATAATTGGACCCTTTTAAAGCAATAAAGATTGAGGCAAGGATATAGATATCAGTGAAATTAAGAAGTGTAATGATATGCTTTTGCAACCCACCTGATGTGAGATGATAAGGGAGAAATTTAGATAAAATTGCCAGTCATCTGGCTTAGGTAAATAGTGTGGATAAATGGAAGAAAATCTTTCCATAGTCTACCCATTTTATACATATAATTTTTAAATGATTTAGTATTACATACCCTCTTGATTTTTGCCTCTAACTTTTGCTAACACCCAAAACTTTGTATATTTCAATATCTACTTTATTTATAAAGAAAGCAAATAAAATAGACTAACCAACTGTACAATATTTGTGTTCCATAAAATATCTAAGTTATGGGTGCTTTGTAAAAAACACTTGACTTACCCCTCTTTGACTCTTCATTCACCTCCCTGGGGCAGCTACTCCAAGCTTTCTCTGTTTCCCTCAAATGCTAAATGAGAATTTCCCAAATGTTTTTTTTTCTCATTAAATTTTGTTTTAATGGTTCTTAAAACTCTGCGACAGATTTTTGGTTAAGTTGTTTCCATTAAAAATACCGATTTTTAAAATGAATAATTTAAAATGACCACATACCAGAAAAAACCAAAATGGTCCACAAAACATTCTTTCCTTCTGAAGGTTTAACAATGCATTGTTATAATTAATCTGTCTGTTACTATTAAATTTAAATGATCAATTGAAACAAACAGTTCTGAGAATGTTTTCTACCAATGACTAAGACTAGGGTGGCAGGTATTAGGGATAACATCTGTTTAGCTTTCTGAGCTTTCTGAGCAGACTTGCAGACCTTGCCAGCTCCTTGGCAATACCTTGCCTTCTTGTCCACTGCTTTGATGACACCTTTGATGACCTTGCCTTGTCCACTGCTTTGATGACACCCATAGCAACTGTCTATCTCATATCACAAACAGCAAAACAACCCAGAGGAGGCCAGTCAGAGAAGTTCTCAACACACATGGGCTTGCCAGGAACCATATAAAGGATGGCAGCATCATCAGCATTTAATAATTTAGGATCATCTTCCAACTTCTTACCAGAATTGCAATCAATCTTTTCCTTCAGCTCAGCAACCTTGCAAGCAATTTGAGTTGTGTGACAATCCAGTACAGATTCACAGTGAGCACTGATTTGGCCTGGTTGGTTCAGGATAATCACCTGAGCAGTGAGGCCAGCTGTTTCCACTGGTGGGTCATTTTTGCTGTCACCAGCAACATTGCCACAATGAACATCTTCAACAGGCATATTTTTGACATTGAAGCCCACATTATCCCCAGGAAGATCTTCACTCGGAGCTTCATGGTGCATTTCAATAGACTTTACTTCAGTTTTAACATTGACTGAAGCAAAAGTGACCACTATGCTGGGTTTGAGAACACCAGTCTCCATTCAGCCCACAGGGACAGTACCGATATCGCCAATTTTAGAGACATCTTGGAGAGGCAGCAAAGGGGCTTGCAGTTGGATGAGGTGGACGCAGTATGTTCACGCTCTGCTTTCAGTTTATCCAATACCCAGGCATACTTGAAGGAGCCCTTTTCCATCTCAGCAGTCTCTTTTTCAGCTTTTTCAATGTTTCTTTTGTCAGTGCCACCACATATGTATATCAGATGGCCAGCAGTGGTGGACTGGCCCAGATCTGTGTGTCCAGTGATGATGATGTTGATATGACTCTATTCTTTTCCAATTTGGCTTTTAGGAGTCATCTTCAGGACACCTGTGTTCTGGCGGCAAACCCACTGCAGAAAGTCCAAATTGTTTCTATATAACACAAGTTTCAGAGGATGCTTTGTAACAAGAGTTCCATGGAAAAACAAGTTTGACAAATACTGTATACATGATGAAATATGGTGACATGCATGGCAACTTTTAGAGAAATTCTTCTGTTACAGATATTGGCTTATCTCAGTGTTTTCCGAACTTACTTAATTTCAGTTCTTGTATATGTATGTACATGTGTATATATGCATATGTGTATAAATATGCATGTGTATATTTAAGTGTGTCTATTGGTTAGGGTTCTCAAGATACAGAATCCATAGTACACACATACATAAACATACACACATACACTCACACACATATATCCTACTGATAATGATAGGTAGATAAATGGACTGATACATAGGTAAAGAGAGATAGAGATACAGACAGAGACAGAGGTAATGATTTTAAGAAATCGGCTCACTTGAGTACGGGGCTGGCAATTCTAAAATCTGAAGACAGGCTAGCAGACAGGAAAATCAAGCAGGGGTTTTAATGTCACATTTTTGAGGCAGAATTCCTTCTTTGGAAAGCTTCAGTTTTTTCTCTTTAGGTCTTCAATTCATTGAATGAGGCCTACCCACATTATTGAAAGTAATCTTGAAAGACAACTGATTATAGATGTTACATCCAAAAAACACCTTCATAGTAACACCTAGACAAATATTTAACCGTCACTGTGTATGTGAATGTAAATAAAACTTACATCTACCTTGTGGGAACCATTATTCTGAAAAGCATACTTTGTAAAATACAACTCAAATCCAGCTGCCCCTTGACAGTGAAAGTCAGCTTCACCTGTTCAGATCAAAAACTTGCAATAGAAAGTTTTTATTATTAATATTGTCAATCTCAAAACATTTCTCTATCTTCATATTCTCATTTTTGTTTTCTTTATATCTCTTAGGACTTACTTTTGCATTCTTTTCTATATCCTTAGAAATTTATAAAGGGAGTGACTAGTCCTACTTTCTAAAATGCTCTGATGCAAAATTTTATAAATGTTCAGCCTGAAATCTTTAACAAGTAGGTTACTTTGTAGAAAAAGTTTCTTATTTTTTAACTAGGTTAAAATGCATGAGTCCTACCTGATGGTCATAGGTATTTTCTATCATGTTCTATCAGAGAGCAGGATCTAGAGAGAATGGGCCACGCTATATGCAATGGTTCAGTTATTCATTCCTAATAACAAACCACTCAAAAATTTAGCAGCATAATATGACACCATTTTATTATACTCTGTGGTCCAGAATTCAGATTAAGCACACCAGGGATAGTTTGACTTTGCTCCATAACATCTGGGACATGAATTGTAAAGTCTAAGAGATAGGGTGACTGACGTGCTATGAGTTCAAACATCTGAAGTGGGAGGATACATATCTAAGTTGGCTTCTTCACTCACATGTATGCCCCCTGTCCTGGGGTTACCCAAAGCTTTCCTCAGCTAAATAATCTATTGACCAGAGTCACTACTCCTGAACTATTTATGTGGCTTAGGCTTCTTACATAATGGAGCCTGACTTCTTAGATGGAACATCTCCAGAGGGAATGTCTAGAGATGAGCTTTCCAAGAGACCAAGGCAGGAGCTACATGGCCTATGATTTAGTCTCAGAAGTCATATGACATCACTTCTGACAAATCAGTCAAAACAGCCACAAGCCCTCCTGGATTCCCAGGGAGGGAACACAAACCTTGATCTTGAAGACAAGGCTGTCAAAGAATTGAAATCTGTAATTTAAAGCTTCCACATATACTCTTCATTGGCATTAAGTTTGAGGTAAGAGTAAAGGTTAACTAAGGTGGAAATTTCAGGAAAAATAGGTTATTGTGAGATCATGAAAAGTGTAAAGATCCTGGATACTTTTAGAGAAAAGGACTAGAGAGATCTCTCAAAATAATATCTAATCTGTTCTTGTGAATGTCTTGGCTATTGAATTTTCATATGCTATAAATGATAAAATACAGTATTTCCAGCCCATCCAAAAGCCCTGAACAAGTTCACCAAATACTACTAAAACGTGCTTTAACACTAGGAGTTCAGCATCAAATACTGCATTTAAAATGCCAATTATCAAATTATTTAACACTTAATGAACTCAGATATCTGTACAGTGGGTTCCAATGTTGTAGAGTACCAGATCTGAATTAGGTTTTCTGTCTTCCCTAATTGCAAAGCTGTTTAAGAAATGTTTATATAAACAAGCAATAAGATAATATTAAAGATGCTAAAATTAAGTAAATTGAAACTGGTTGGTAGTGTCCCCAGACCTGGCAGAAGAAATACCAGAGACCCATGAAGAATAGCATCTTGGAGGAAAAGATGAGGATAACAATGATTCAAACATGCTAAACACAAAGAAATAAATGATATCAACTGGAAAAGCACAACTAAGTTATGACTGCAGACAACTCAATATCCTTTTGCCTGAACTTGAGGGCAACTGAAATATTTTTCTACTGTGACCATGTGAATCCATTAGAGCTGATTTTCATTTTAGATAGTAAATATTCAATAAAAACATTTGCAAATCTTTAGAATTATTTTAAAATATACATATTGAGGTATGTCTATATTAAAACCTGGTTTCCCATACCTGGGTCTTATAAGGCAAATTAGCATATATGAGTTTTGGGGCAAGATCGTCTCCTAAGTTTTTCATTTTAAAAATAAGAGTAGCAAGAATTTTCTCATGAGGATCCTCTTAGTGTTTCTACAATGTCTTGGCACATAGCATATGCTCATCAAATATTCCCCACTTAAGCAACTCTCTCTTCTCAGGTTTTAGTTTCCCTACTAATAAAAAGAAAGGGCCAGGCGCAGTGGCTCATGCCTGTAATCCCAGCACATTGCGAGGCCAAGCCGGGCGGATCACGACGTCAGGAGATCAAGAGCATCCTGACCAACATGGTGAAACCTGTCTCTGCTAAAAATACAAAAATTAGCTGGGCGTGGTTATGCATGCCTGTAATCCCAGCTACTCAGGAGGCTGAGGCAGGAGAATCACTTAAACCCAGGAGACGGAGGTTGCAGTGAGCTGAGGTTGCGCCACTGCACTCCAACCTGGTGAGAGAGTGAGACTCCATCTCTAAATAAATAAATAAATAAATAAATAAATAAATAAATATAAATAAATAAATAAAAAGAAAGAACATGATGTCTAGCACTTGTTCTTCTGGAGTCCAGGGGAATGAAACAAAGAGGTAATTCTTGATGAGGACAGACTAGTGATGCTCAGTGGGGTGATTTTGCTGCCCTAGGAGACATTAGGTAATGTCTAGAGGCATTATTATTTATTTATTTATTTTTTAATTTTCAAGGAAGAGGATGGTGGTGCTACTGACATCTAGTGGGTAGAGGATGGGATGTGGCTAAACAGCCTGCAAAGCACAGAGCAGCCCTTACAACAAATAATTATCCAGCTCCAAATGTCAATAGTGCCGAGGTTGAAAAACCCTTGATTAGAAGGTTCTTGATAGGGAATCTTGATAACATCAAAAGCAAATTTGATTTTACGAATCTGTGATTCATTTCTATTGGCATAGTTTTCTGGTCCAAAAAAGATAAATGAATCTTGATTTGAGTCTCAGTTCTGCTTGTTTTCAGTCTCTTTCAACATCACAGCTTCAATACCTGCCACCCACCAAGAAGGCTGGTGGTGGTATGCAAAGAGGCATTAATTGAGTTCTCTTTATGTACCTATTAATTCGTGAATGAAATAGATGGAAACCAACAAGGCAGAAAATGGTTGTTAATGTACATGCCAATGTGCTTAATGATCCAGGAAACAAGTTCAACTGGGGCTTGTCAAATGAAAATTATTCCACTGGTTGACCTGTCCATAAACACAAAAAGGCTGAGAGACTGCAGGAGCCTGGCCAAATACTAACACTAGCTGAGGAATTACTTCATTAAATAAATGAATGGAAATCCCAAGTAATGAATCTTTGATAAAAATTATCTGCTCATGTGCTGGTGTAAGAAGCAACTATGCAGTTACTCTAAGCAGAACTTATTTGGAGGTACTACTGGCTCTGTATGTGTCTTCCAGCAATTATTTGAGAAAGTACATAGGTTCAAAAAACAGGACCTGGGTTCAAATTTCACCTTTACTACTGACCAACTTCAATTTGTTACTGGGTAAAATGAGGTTAATATTAATGTGTCATGCCACACAGGGTTATTAACAATATTAAAGGATGTATTAAGTGTAGAATGCTTAGCATTTCTCATGGTTCCGGCCTATAAAAAAGAGTTAAATAAATGATACCACCTCACATATATCAGGTGCTTGATGAAAGTTAATTCTACCCTGCTCTTTCAGAAACTCTCTCCCCTCAGGACCCAAATAATTAATTTAAGATCTTCAGATGTGGCTGGAGCATTCTAAATTATGCTGAAATAAGCGATGCATTAAAATATTACTATTCAATAGTTTTTTTCTTATTTCATCTGTTGAGAAGTGTGTGATTTTTGTTCACCCACTATGTGTTGGAAAGATCCTTATTAAATAACTAAAAGATAAATGTTTTGTAAATTCAATTTTGTGTAGGCTCAGAGACATGATTTTATAGCACTGTACTGGCCTAGTGGAAAAAGCATAGGTTTTTAAATTCCAGAGATGAAATTTCAACTTTAGCTTCACATTTTAATTAAATCTGCAGCTGAAATTCCATAAGTTCTCTGAACATTTCACTCATAAATTGTGGATAACATTTACTTCATAGTGTAATTGTAAATACTACAATAGATAGATAATTAGAGTATTTTCTATAGTGGCAAACATAAAATATTACATGCTTTTTCTCTTTGATTGCTTTGGAAAATGAAAGAAGATTATTAAGTGTAAAACTTCTAAAATAACAAGTGATCAAGTAATCAATTGATCAATTCTCTCTTCCTCTTTAGATGTATTTAAAGCATGCTCTTGGCCAAGCACAGTGGCTCATGTCTGTAATCTCAACAGTTTGGGTGACAAATCCAAGAGGATCACTTGAGGCCAGGAGTTCCAGACCAGTCTATGCCACATAACTAGACTTCGTCTCTAAGAAAAAAAAAAAAAAGGAAAAAAAAGATAAAAGAAAATTAGTCAGGTGTAGTGGTGTGCACCTGTAGTCCTAGCTACTTGGGAGGCTGAGGCAGGAGGAACACTTGAGCCCAGGAGTTCAAAGCTGCAGTGAGCTATGATTGCACAGCTGCACTGGAGCCTGGGTGACAGAGAGAGACCCTGTTTCTATAAAAAAATTAAATAAAGTAAAATAAAAAAATAAAATGAAGCTCTAGTTACCTCATATTTTGCAAGTTATCTACAAGATCAAAATCAATCATTGGATAAGTTTATACTATGCCAATGTGGACAACCCATAGATTTGGTGAATCCAGAAACAGGCCCCCAAAATTCAGAAGCAAAAACATAGTATCTTTGAAAAAGAGCCCATCAATTGACTAAACTTTTCACATTGCAGCCAGATGTTTTCACATCCTAATGACCATGTTCAGTCTTTTTTACAATTTTTTTTTCCTAGTCTTTTATTCAATTAATACACTGGGATGGTTTTATATTTTTTTCCTTTTTGATGACTTCGAAAACAAACATGGGGGTAAGCATAGCAAGAAAGAAGTGATAAAAAGTGAGAGAACCCACATATAAACTACGGGGTATCCCACACGAAGAACGGCAGAAAAATTCAAAATACCTCCCAAATGTGGAAGTGAGAATATGGGGGAAAGCTTTTAAATGTTTACATTATATTTTCTGCGCATCTTAAGCCCATTTTATGCAGACACAGCGGAAAAACATGGAATTTGTTTTAGATAATTGTAACCAAACATTGGCCAGGCGGGGTGGCTCACGCTTGTAATCCCAGCCCTCTGGGAGGCCGAGGCGGGCGGATCACGAGGTCAGGAGATGGAGACCGTCCTGGCTAACACGGTGAAAACCTGTCTCTACTAAAAATACAAAAAAATTAGCCGGGCTTGGTGGCAGACGCCTGTAGTCCCCCTACTTGGGAGGCTAAGGCAAAAGAATGGCATGAACCTGGGAGGCGGAGCTTGCAGTGAGCCGAGATCACGCCACTGTACACCAGCCTGGGCGACAGAGCGAGACTCTGTCTCAGAGAAAAAAAAAAAAAAAAAAAAAAAGTTGAGCAAGCCAGCAAGGAGCCAGTTGTTATATTCTGGCCAACAAGAGAGGTGTACAGCGGATGATGGAACATTTGCCGTGTACTTTTAGGAGAGGTGCACATCAACTATGCCAGAAGAGACCTAAAATGACCATGTGTAACTGGATCAGATTTGTTTTTTCTCATTCTCCTTTTCCTTTTCTCCCTTCCCCCCTTCTTTGCTAGATTGAGGCTGGGGAGAAGATACACAATCTGTCCCAGCATCTGTCACTCTGCCTACCCTTTGTTCATTGTTTTCCCGTTCTCCTTTAATCTTGTGACTTGTAAAGCAGTTTTTACAATTTTTTTCTGTCCTAAAAATAACTTACTTTATTAACCCAACACATTTATGTTAAATAACAGGGCCTCAGCAAAATCTCATTTCCCACCTCTGCCTTCTTATTAAAAGACATTGGAAATGAGATGGAGTAAGTATGACTGTGCTCAGAATCAGCAAATGGAATTACGTGAGCTCAAAGTCCAACAGAGCTGGTTTGAAATCCTGGAGTTAATACTTAATTGCTGTGATATTTAAGCAATTTTATTAGCCCGCCTAAGAGTTGGCCATCTTGTAGCAATACTTCCTTTATCCAAATTTCATTATAATGAATTAAAAAGAATGAATGTAAGTAGAATTGTCTTATACTTATGAAAGATCAGATACTAAATTTAAAAGAAACTGTATTTACTTTGTCCAGTAATAAATGATCAACTTATTTTGTGAATCCAAAAATATTTATATCTCAACGGTAGTGGAGCTGGTCCCTGAGGAGTTGAGAAAGAGAATGGTAAGTCACCTAAGTGTGTAAGACTTAAGGAATTAACAACTCAGGTTATTTATTTTCAGGTTATATATCTTAACATTTTATTATCTATCTACATTGGTTTAGTTGTTTGCCCTAAGTGAAGATGTAAATACTATATTTTTCAATTCCCATACCACACCTCACAAAAACAGTAGAGAAATTTCTAGACATGTATAGCAGATTAAATATATATACACACACATCAACTGGCACTATATATATATATATACACACACACACACACACACACGCACATATATATACACACACACACATACACACATATATATATATACACACACACATATATATATACACATCAAACGGCACAATGCTGCATTTGTGAAGGGAAATGTCTTTAGTAAAAGGAGTGCCTGGCTACGTAAGTTTAAGTTGAAATAATGTATTTAAAGTACTACATATAGAAAGTATACATAAAATTCAGAGAGAAGAAGTTAAAAGAGGAGCAAGGATGGGAAACGGTACAGTAGAAATCAGACCGGTAAATTTTCTACAAAGCAGATAGGTAATTTCTTGTGGTAGACTAATGGAGGGCATTTTATGAAAAAGAAACATTTAAGTTCTCTTTACTGCTCAAGGAAAATACTCTCCATCTCAGAACCTCAGCAGAATCTTCTATGCATCCTGTACCTTTTTTCCATGATTTACACAAATGTCACAAAGAGGCCAATTTTCACATCTGAGCTGGCACTAACCAGAAAGAAGAAAGAGCTATCTCATGCAAGTGACAGAATCCAGCAAGGTTAGTATCTCTTTTCATTTTATTTTATTTTATTATTATTCTTTAAGTTTTAGGGTACATGTGCACAATGTGCAGGTTAGTTACATATGTACACATGTGCCATGCTGGTGTGCTGCACCCATTAACTTGTTATTTAGCATTAGGTATGTCTCCTAAAGCTATCCCTCCCCCTCCCGCCACCCCACAACAGTCCCCAGAGTGTGATGTTCCCCTTCCTGTGTCCATGTGTTCTCACTGTTCAATTCCCACCTATGAGTGAGAATATGCGGTGTTTGGTTTTTTGTTCTTGCGATAGTTTACTGAGAATGATGATTTCCAGTTTCATCCATGTCCCTACAAAGGACATGAACTCATCATTTTTATGGCTGCATAGTATTCCAGTATCTCAAAACAAGAAAATATTCTGAGAACTCTTGAAGAAGATATTAGACTTCTCAGATAAAGTGAAATGTGGTCTCCAAGCCATTTTAATTAAATACTGAAAAGTCAGAGAGACCTTAGCTGGCATCTAGAATGCAGATACAATTCTTTGGGGTGGGGTGTGTGTGTGTGTGTGTGTGTGTGTGTTTTAGACATGCGGTCTTACTTTGTCACCCAGGCTGGTTTGCAGTGGCATTATCATAGCTCACTGCTGCCTCAAATTCCTGGGCTCAAATGATCCTCCCGCATCAGCCTCCCCAGTAGCTGGGACTACAGGTGCACCACCATGCCCAGGTGATTTTTAAATTTTTCATAGAGATGGGATCTCTCCATGTTGTCCAAGCTGGTCTCAAAGTCTTGGGCTCAAGCTATCCTCCTGCCTTGGCCTCCCAAAGTGCTGGGATTACAGGCATGAGCCACCATGTCTGGTCTCTTGATAAGTTTTTAAAGTAGAAAATTCATTCTTTAAAGCAAGATAATCTCATAACAAATATGATTAGAGTCTGTAGTGACAGAGTTTTAATTCAGGAGTTCTATAAAGTCATTGGAGATGTAGATTCTTTCCATTTTTTTCTGGATGGCAACCTCAGGATGTTGGCCATTTCCTTAAAGTTTCATAATGGTTGTTCATTTTTATCAAGCATTAAAATGGCCTGTAACTTCTCTAAACCCTGAAAGAAAGATCTGAATCACTTTTGCTTTCAAGCGATATTTTATTTAAATAGAAACAGTCTAATGAATAATATGTAACAATTGAGAAGTTCATTTTGCTTGCCCAAAGGATTGCTTTGGTACCATTTATCCAAACCTGAAAACACAAGGTTAAAAAAGTTTTTTTTTTCCCATCAAAAGTTTCTAATTTTATTTTGAGAAAAGATAACACCAAGAAAACAATTTTAACTACAGAAACAATGGTTAGCATAAAAAATTAATAATCAAAAAGATACACCATGTTATAAGTACTTAACAAACTTATAAACTATTTCTTCCATAATATTCTCCATATTTTAAGTTCATACATGTTGATATGATCAGATTTACAATTTTTCAAAAAAGATGGGGGAAAAGGTGTGATCGTCATCAGCTAGATGTGCTCACTGCATGTTTTCTGTAACTATGAAACGTCCAAAATGTGACATTTGGTTCTCCAAAGGTAAAGATCAAAATCAAGAGAAAATATGTACTTAATACTTAGGAAATTACTAAGTTTACTTGTAACTAACTTCAGTAATATTTTAATTCAGGGTCTTCTGGAGAAGGAAAATAACAAAACAAAAAGCAACTTGATAACGCATTGCTAGTCACAGTAATAAGGCCAAAGGAACACCATAGGAAACACCCCTGCAGCTTAATCAATGATCAGCCCTGGCACATAAGTCAAAGATGCACTCAATTGCTCCAAATTAGGAATAACTGACGTCAAGAACTGGCTTGATTTCTTGCTGGTTTCACACCCTGTTGCCTGCAGTGACAAAGTAATAAACAAATTCTGTTCCTCCCAAGACACAAACTTTATTTTGTGTGCTTTTTTTCTACTTGCATGCCTCCCTAATTACGCCACTGGCAAACAAATACATCCAGAGAGACTTTAACAGCAAGGTTAATCTCTATGTTGTTATTAGCTAGAGATGACAATAGTGTAGTAATTAATCTTGTATCATTCAGTTCTTATTCTCTGTGCTACTCAAAGTACATGATGTTATGTATACTACTGCACCTAATGAGAAAAATAGTTATTTCATATACTGTGGAACCAAGTATTTTACACTTTTAAGTCTTATTTTTTTTTTGACCTATAAATTCCTTTGTAATAGCTCTGCCCATATCTTTGGATATATCAATTATAAAAACAAAGTAATGATTTCTTTTTGGAATGTGACCTTTTGGGACAGCCTTTTAGTGACACCAAATGATGGTAG
Source organism: Homo sapiens (assembly GCF_000001405.40). Taxonomy (NCBI): domain Eukaryota; kingdom Metazoa; phylum Chordata; class Mammalia; order Primates; family Hominidae; genus Homo; species Homo sapiens. Next base: position 29,265,510 of record NC_000011.10, on the reverse strand, counting down.
TTGAGGGGAATGTGAGAGTCACTGAGTTTGTAGTAACAGGGAAATGATTATAGCTTTTCCCCAAATATTTGTCTAAAATTCAATATTTAAATGTATGTCTTCCCTTCCCTTCTACTACCTGAAGAAGAAATGCATTTAAGCCACTAATTTGATATATTTTTAAAAAATCATCATGTAGCCAAAGAAATCGTATGCTAGAGGAGACAGAATAATACTGTACTTATTTTAATGGTTACTTCTTTAGAAGTTTCTCTCAAGTTGCTGAACAATATTAACCTCAGCAGGGGAATACACTGTGTTCCTTGTTCTTCAGTGTAGCAAGGAGGGGTTGCTTTAGGAGGGAAATTGTTGATATGAATTAAATGGAAATAGAGTGTTCCCCATAAACCATCCAGAGTGATTCCTCTTCCTACTTCTGACCTATGGAATTTAAATCACGAGCCCAGGAATCTTAGAATGGGATTATTTATCTTTGGAAGACTGATTCCATTCCCTAATTTTTGAAAGAGGTATCTTAAGAAAAAGCATTTTGAAAAAAGACAGGAGCTAGTACAGAAGCTTGCTTGAGAGTCTGAAATGGTCTTTCTGAGAAAATGTTAAGTATTGAAAGTTAGAGTTCTAGACAGAACTTCTGGAATATCTATCAGTTGGAAAACACTATGCCATTCTCCATATTTTTACATGACTATTGATGATATTGCGATATTAAATGATTCTGAGTTGTCAAACTGATTGTACTATCAGTATCTGTGACCTGTGTTTATACCCTCATCAAACTGAGCTACTTAAGGTCAGGGTTATCTCATTCATATTTATATATTTCTAAATTATTATCATTGTGTATGAAACATAGCCAAATAATAATTATTTGCTGAGTGAATAAGTGTTTGAATCAACAGGGGAAAGTTTGGTAAATGTTAAGTAGAACTTTCATGTTCAGCGTAGCTGATGTATCCCGATTCTTGGAAGGCTCAAAAGCCTTATATAACGTATGTGGAAACTCAGTCAGAGTGTTGACTAACCAGAATGCTTCATTACCTTGCCAGATAACAAGAGTTAGACAGATTTTGCAAACTGGTGACCCACATGCTACATTTGGCCACAGGCATGTTTTGTTTGGCCTAGAGAGGCTTTTTAAAAATTTCAAAGTAGTTGCCAACATGTAAAAATTGGTAGTTTTCACATTTTGAAGATCCAGATTTCCTAGTTCTCTTGGAAAACTCAGAATAACTGGCAGTGCTGGGCAATGTTTCTCCATAGCAATAGTTGCCTGGAGCCCCAAGACTACCTCACAGTTGAGATGGGTCATGAGACCCCAAGTTCTCCATAGCCTCGTTCTGGCAGGCACTCCTTATTTATCCAGGTTACCTGCCTGTTTTGCGTAAGCATCTAAGTTTTCAAATGCCTCAGATAGAAGCTATATCTCTTTCTCAAAAAGGGAAAGTGGTAGTGGAGAAGGGAAGACATGAGAGAAGTCCAATTTTGATTTGTGCTGTATTCATTTAAAAAATCCAATCTAACCCTTACTCAAACTGTTTTGTTTGGGAATTCACTTCAACACATACATTCATTCCATCTCTCTTTGCTACTAACCTAGTGAAGTTCTCCTGTACATTTAGCTTGAGCTATGCAGAAATCTCCTATCTGGCGTTTCTATTTCTTGTTTCTTTGCTCTACAAATTATTCTACAAGATAGGTCTTGCCACAGGCCCTCAGAGATTTCCCATTACTGAGAAAATTAATTGATAGCCTATGGCTTGCATTCAAGTTCTTTCATGATCTGCTTTAACCTATGTTTGTAACCACTCACTCATAATATCTTCCCATGTATAGCAATGGAACTATCCACAGTTTACACATCATTTTGCTTACATTCTTTTATTTATCCATAGGATTTTCTCTTGACCTCTCAACTTAGCATGCCTAATACTATCATAGTTCCTGGAAATTTTTTACCACCTCTCAGCCTAAAATATTACTTTAAAAAGTCTTATAATTATTTATAGATCTCTAATTGAATCACTATTTTCTGTTTTGCGTTATAGTCATTTGTATACAGATCATATGTAATAACAATAATGAGAATTGTTATTTTTAACTATTCTTATTTTTAAAAGAGATAGAAAACACTCAACCAGCATTAGTTACAAGCCAAGCACCATTTAAGTCTTTTGCATATATTAACTCATTCAGTAATCATAACTTTCCCGTGGGATTGGTACTACTATCATCCTCATTTTATACAGAAAAAAACTGGAGACGCAAAGCAGAAAACTGTCTTGTTAAAGAACAAGGGGTAGAGACGACCTGATTTCAGATTTTATATGCTTTACCACAAAATCATAATTCTCATTAACAAAGCCCAAAATGTGCCAGATACCACTGCTAGGAACTTTATTAAGACGATCTAATGTGATCTTCCATATAAAGGAACCATCCACAGAGGCCATTGTTTGCCCAAATGCTCATAAATTTAGATGATAGAGTTTGGATTTGAACTCAAGTCTGGAACCACGAGTCTAAATTACTACAAGTTTCTTGAGAGAAGTTTATTGTGTCTGTGTATCCAAATATCTAGCATATTTTAAAATGAACAAATAAATAAACAAATGAGCAAACAAATGTATAAACATCTAAAAGTACCCTCACTCTTGGCTGGCTGAGTGGGATAAGATGGCGAATTCATCTAAGTATTTTCACTTAAAAACTTTGCACCTCACATCTCACTATTCCATTTCTAATTTTTAGCAATATGTAAAGATTACAATGGGGAACATTTATGTCCATTGGCTTTCAATCTGACTTGGATTTAATGCTCTTTTATTTCACTCAAATGCTGGGAGGTTGAGAGGGTATGCTGGCTTTACAGTGTCATCTTAATCATTCACATCTACTAAGGGAACAAAACCATTTCACATAATTTTTGAGAAGACATTACAGTTAATGGGTAAATATGGGTAAGTATATAACAAGTCAAATTTTGCTGGCACGAGTTCAGCATAAAAAAATCAGAAATCAGGAACAGCATTCTTGTTGATTATCCACATTGCCTTAAGACAGGACTAATAAAAGAAATATCAAAAATAGTATCATCAAGAAGCACAGTTGTCCAAGATGTACAAAATATAAGTTCTTCTAACAGTCAGTTACTCCCTGGCTGCCTAGAATGATAAAAGTAGCAATGTATTTCTTATGATTTTAGACTTCAGAATAACTTTGTTCACTATAAATATAAGAGATATTTGAGCCATTCTTAACAATTGGCATAGTATAAGTTAACAAACTATGATGGAGAGGGATTGATTTGGTTTAGAACAGTACTTAGGCATGCTGGTATTAGGGATGTAACACTGAAATAAGGAGAGCAGGCATTGTGAAGATGATGCATAGTTTAGTAAGCATTGCCATAAAGCTGACAAAATGCATGAAAATCATCAGAAAGAAAGTCAAGGAATGCCCTGCCCCTGTCTGAATGTTTCACCTGCAGTCCAGAGCTCTTCTGAAAACTCAATCCCCACCTGCCTGTGATATTCTCAGGCTCTCACCACCTATGCATTCCACCTTACCTCAGCCTGAAAGTTCAGCTGATGACCCAGAGATCAGTCCACCCTTCCACATCACAGCCAGCACTGAAACTCTGGGGTAGCCTGACTCCAGTCCAGCCCTTCAGGACTCATACACACTGTCCAGTAGGCCAACTAGGGGCCTGAAAACTGGGAAACCACTTACCCCATTGCAACTCTACTGGCACCTGACCCCTTTCCCCAGTGCCTGAAGTCAGACTGACCCTGAAGTCAGACTGACCCAACCAGCCAATACCACCACAACTAACACCCACTCAACGTGCCCAAAGATAGAGCCTGCTCCTTTACAAGAAGCAGCAGTGCTATCGCATTGGAGAATAGGTGGACCATAAAGCAATCTGTATCATGTAACATGATGAAGTTATGCCCTGAATCTATTCCCACAGAATCACCAAACAGGTGTTTCCTGTGGTTCTCAGCCACACTGTAGTTTGGAGATAGACTACAGTGTGCGTCTGAACTGGGAGTCACAAGCCCTGGAACAGGGGTTTGATAGAGAAACAGAGCAGGCTCCTGCCTATCTAGGACAGGGAGCTACTGCAGCCACCTGACCTTCCTGCAGAGACCTTAGCACACTTCACCAGAAGCTTCTCCTAGCCATTCTCATCAGGACTGGCTCCTGTACTTGACATCAGGGCATTCATGGGCAAGACAGGAGCTTCAGATTTGCCCAGTGGTGTCTTCCCAACCCCACAGAACAGGAAGCTCAGGGCACTAGGCACTCCACTGTCCAGCCCTTCACCTGAAGCAACAGAAAATGACTCACAGTAAACAAAGCTGAGGTACATACCCATCTGCTAGTGTCACAGCTAGCTCTTACTCACAAGCTTCATCTACTGGCCTGTAGGTTGAAGTGCACAGCCCAATATAAAACCTGCCAACAGAAAGTACATAGGGCTATAGAAGTAAAATCAAAAGACTCTACCCAATACACTCCTCTTCAGGTGATAAGCAACCAGCATAAGAATTCTGGCACCATAAAATATCTGATTGTTATGACACCATCAAAGGACCATTCTAGATCTTCAGCAGTGGTCCCTAACAAAAAATGGAAACTCATAAAGACAGATCAAGAGTTCAAAGCACGGATTGCAAAGAAGCTCAATGAGATTCAAGACAAGGCTGAAAATCAACACAAAGATATTTCTAAAGCAATCCAGAAAATAAAGGAAGAGATAAACATCTTTAAAAGAAATGAATTAGAGCTACTGGATATAGACAACTCACTTAAGGAATTTCAAAACACATTGAACTTTTTATTAATAGGCTGGACTGTGGAGAAGAAAGAATTTCAGATCTTTAATTACTGGTCTTTTAAATTGACCCAGTCAGACTAAATTCAGGAAAAATAACTTAACAAATGAACTAAATCACCAAGAAATACGGGATTATGTAAAGCCAGCAAACCTATAAATTATTGGAATTCCTGAGAAAGAAGGAGAAATTGTACACAACAATAGTTCAGGAAAAATGTTTCTAATCTTGCTAGAGAGGTAGACAAAGGGAACCTCGTCAGACTAACCATTGCCTTCTCAGCAGAAACCTTACAAGCCAGAAGAGACTGAGGACTTATTTTCAGCATTCTCAAAGAAAAGAAATTCCAGCCAATAATTTCATATCCCGCCAAACTAAGTTTCATAAGTAAAAAAGAAATAAAATCCTTTTCAGACAAGCAATTGCTAAAAGAATTCATTATCACTAGACTAGCCTTATAAGAGATCTTTAAGAGAGTTTTAAACATGGAAATGGAAGAACAATATGTGTTACCATAAAATCACACTTAAATACATAGCCCTCAGATCCTGTAAAGCAACTATACAACAGAAACTGCAGAATGACCAGCTAACAACATCATAGGACCAACATTTCACATATCAATATTAACTCGGAATGTAAACAGTTTTAGTGCCCCACTTAAAAGGCACAGATGGTCAAGCACAGATTAAAAAAAAAAAAAAGATCCATCCATCTGCTGTCTTTAAGAGACCCATCTCACAAATACCACCATCCATAGCTCAAAGTAAGGAGTTGGAGAAAGACCTATCACACAAACAGAAAAATAAAAAGGGCAGGGCTTGCTATTATATTAGATAAAACAGACTTTAAACCCACAATGGAAAAAAGGACAAAGAAAGGCACTACACAATGGTAAAGGATTCAATACCACAAGAAGACTTAATTATCCTAAATATATACACACTCAATATTGAAGCACTGAGATTTATAAAAGTAGTACTTCTAGATCCATGAAAAGGCTTAGACAGTCACAAAATAATAGCAGTAAACTTCAACACCTCACTGACAGAATTAGATCACTGAAACAGACAACAAAGAAATTCTGGACTTAAACTTGACACTTGACCAATTGGACCTAATAGACATCTACAGAACACTCCATTCATCAACCACAGAATATGCATTCTTCTCATCTGTACACAGGACACACTGTATGATGGATCATATGCTCTAATCATAAGGCAAGTCTCTATAAAATTCAAAAAAATCAAAATCATATCAACCATAATTTTGGACCACAGTAGAATGAAAATCAAAATCAATACCAAGATCTCTCAAAACATATAAATACACAGAAATTAGACAACTTCCTCCTGAAAGACTTTGGGGTGAAGAACAAAATTAAGGCAGAAATAGTTTTTTTTGAAATAAAGGAAAACAGAAACACAACATATCAAAATCTCTGGGATGCAGCAAAAGCTGTGTTAGAGGAACACTGATAGTCCTAAACATCTACGTCAAGAAGTTAGAAAGATCTCAAAATAATCTAACATCACCCCATCACCCCTAGTGGAACTAGAAAAATGAGAACTAACCCCAAAGCTAATAGAAGAAATAACTAAATTAAAATCAGAACTGAATAAAGCTGAGACCCATGACTCCATACAAAGCATCAATGAACCAAAACCTTGTTCTTTGAAAGGATAAACAACAACTATAGACTACCAGGTAGATTAACAACAAAAAAGGGAAGAATCATGTAAATGCAATCAAAAATGATAAATGAGACATTACACCTGATCCCATAGAAATACAAAATATCCTCAGAGATTATTAAGAATAACTTTATGCACACAAACTAGAAGATATAGAAGACATGGATAAATGCCTAGAAATGCACAACTTCCTAAGACTGAATCAGGAAGAAATTGAAACCCTGAACAGACCAAAATTGAGTTTGATTAAACAAACAAACAAACAAACAAAAATTACCAACCAAAAAGAGCCCTAAAACAGATGGATTCACAGCCGAATTCTACTAGACATACAAAGAAGAGTTGGCAGCAATCCACTGAAAATATTTCAAACGCTCGATGAGGAGATAATCCTCTTTAACTCATTATATAAAGCCAGCATCAATGTAGCAAAGACACAACAAGAAAAGAAAACTACAGACCAATATGCCTGATAACATAAATACAAAAATCCTCAACAAAATACCTGCAAACTGAATGCAGTACCACATAAAAAACTCACCATGATCAAGCAGGCTTTATTCCTGAGATGCCAAGTTGGTTCAGCACATGGAAATCAATATATGTGATTCACCACAAAAACAGAATTAAAACAAAACCATATAATAATTTCAATAGACACAGAAAAAGCTTTCAATAAAATTCAACATCCCTTTATGACAAAAAAAAGTCAACAAGCTAGGCATTGAGGAAACACCTAAAAACAATAAGTGCCATCTATGACAAACTCACAGCCAACATCATACTGAATAGGCAAAAGCTGAAAACATTCCCCTTGATAACTGGAACAAGAGAAGTGTGCCACTCTCATTCATGCTGTTCAACATAGTACTGGAAGTCTTAGAGCAAACAATCAGGCAAAATAAGGAGACAAAAAGCATCCAAAAAGTAAAAGAAGCCAAATTATCTCTCTTTACTGATGATATAATTCTATACCTAGAAGAACCTAAAGACTCTGCTAAAAGGCTCCTGGAACAGATAAACAATGTCAGTAAAGTTTCAGGATACAAAATCAATATGCAAATATCAGTAGCATTTCTATTCACCAATAATGTTTAAGCTGAGAGCCAAATCAAGTACACCATCTCATTTTCAATAGCCCCCACAAAAGAAAACACCTAGGAACATGTCTAACCAACAAGGAGAAAGATGTCTGCAATGACAACTACAAAATACTGCTAAGAAAGCATAGATGACACAAACAAATGGAACAATATTTTATGCTCCTGGATTGGAAGAATCAATATTATTAAAATGGCCATACTGCCCAAAGCAATCTATAGATTCAATGCTATTTCTATCAAATCCCCAATGCCATTTTTCACAGAATTAGAAACTACTATTTTGAAATTCATATGGAACCAAAGAAGAGCCTGAATAACCAAAGCAACCCTATGCAAAAAGAACAAAGCTGTAAGTATCACACTACGCAACTTCAAACTATACTACAAGGCTACAGTAACTAGAACAGCATAGTATTAGTACAAAAACAGACCCATAGACCAACAGAATAGGATAGAGAACCCAGAAATAAAGCCACACACCTACAACCATCTGATCTTTGACAAATTCAACAAAAACAGGCATGGGGAAAAGACTCCCTATTCAATAAATGGTACTGGGATAACTGGCTATCCACATGCAGAAGAATGAAATGGGACCTCTAGCTTTTACCATATACAAAAAATTAACTCAAGATGGATTAAAAATTTAAATGTAACACCTAAAACTATAAAAGTACTAGAGGAGAATCTAGAAAATACCTTCTGGACATCAGCCTTACCAAGAATTTATGACTAAGTCCTCAAAAGCAATCATAACAAACACCTGAAATAAAAGTGAAACCTAATTAAACTTAAGAGCTCGTTTGTGCACAACTAAATAAACTATCAACAATGTAATAAGACAACCTACAGAATGGGGGAAAATATTCACAAACTATGCATCCAACAAAAATCTAATATCCAGAATCAATTTAATATAATGAACTTAATTCAAGAAGCAAAAAACAAACAAACGTAACAAACAAAAAAGCTGACCTCATTTAAAAGGGGCCAAAGGACATAAACAGACATTTCTGAAAAGAGGAGATACATATGGCCAGCAGACATATGAAAACATGCTCAAAATCACTAATCATTAGAGAAATGCAAATCAAAACCACAATTAGACACCACCTCCCACTAAAAAAATAACAGATGTTGAGGTTGGGGAGAAAAGGAAACACTTATATATCTTTGGTGGAATGTAAATTAGCCACTGTGGAAAGCATTTTGGAGATTTCTCAAAAGAACTGAAAACAGAACCACCATTCAACCCAGCAATGCCATTACTGGGCATATACCTGAAGAAAAATAAATCGTTCTACCATGAAGACAACTGCACTCAATTACAGTACTACTCCCAATAGTAAAGACATGGAATCAACATAGATGCATATTAATGGTGGACTGGATAAAGAAAATGTGGTACATATAAACCATGGAATACTTCACAGCCATAAAAATAATGAAATTATGTCCTTTGTAGCAGCAGGGATGTAGCTGGAGGCCATAATCCTAAGCAAATTAATGCAGGAATAGAAAACCAAATACCACATGTTCTCACTTGTAAGTTAGAGCTAAACGTTTAGTACACATGGACACAAAGATGGGAATAACAGACACTGCAGACCATTAGAGGGCAGAGGGAGAGAGAGTGCAAGTTTTGAAAAACGACCTATTGGGTACTACCCACGCCAACTGGATGATGAGATCATCCATACCCCAAACTTCAGCATCATGCAATGTACTCATGCAACAAACTTGCACATGTACCCCTTGAACCTAAAATAAAAGCTGAAATAAACAAAGAAAAATGCCAAGGCAATGGTGGTGTGTTTTCCAGTTCTGCATAAGATTACACAGGAAAGAGTGCACTAATGTCTAAGTCTGTGGTGGTTTGCATGTGAGGAAGTTCACTTCTCTTTTTCCTACCATCTTGGTCTTTCAGTCTTTAGTCCCACATGGGAATACATTTTATTTTAGTGCTTTGCAACTTGAGCTCAGAACTAAAACATCTTGTCCTTCCTGACTTTCAACCCATTCTTAATTATCCAGGTGGTAGCCCATTGTCAACAGAGTGAATACTTTTTTTACAACGTATGCCTATAGTTCGTACATGGTTCTCTTTATTATTTTTGCTGGTAGTTTTCCTAAAGGCTAACAGAGAGCTTGGGGGATTTATCCTGTGTGACACACCTGTTGTCTTTTCATCACAGGTTCAAATGTTGCCCAGTCTCTGGGGAAAAGCAAATCAGCAGCAGCAGATGCTGTTTTCATTCTACTCATTCCAGTTTTGACACAATTGTTCAGAATATGTGCCAAATGTTAACCACTAGCTCACTTTCTTTCCAAATCCATGGTAAGGTTTTCAAAACTGTACTCTTCATTTAGCAATATTTTGTTAAAGCTATGTTCCCACCATCTTATTGGCAGAAGAAGGAAAGAGAGCTAGTAAGAATTCCTTTTTCTAACTGCAATGGTCTTCCCCTGGAATTCTATAAGGTTCTATTTTATGCAAAAGTATATATTTATTTTTTAAGAGGAAACAAACTGGCTTGTAGAAAAGTAGTAGTACCACCTTAAGCATGAAATTCAAGGATAAATTGAAGAATATAAATACATTTGTGTAAGAAATAAGACAATATCACAACCTCATCAGCTCTAGTATGATCTTTTGTTGGATATGCCTAGTTTTGATCTTTGCCTTCCATATTCCCTGCTTCCTCTCCATGCTGCATACCCCAGGAGGGGCTATTCCAGAGGAATTATCCTCAGGGACTGCTTCAGTTAACTCATTTGTCACCTAGTTTCTGGTTGAGTGCAGCCAATAGAAAGCATAGGTATGGGATTAGTGGGTTGGAGAACATTTGGTTGGGGTATTTATTTCCATTGAAATTTTCTCTTCATTTATCATGGGAAGATAGTTGCATCCCTCTTCTGAAATGGTATTTGTAAGATAATGGCTAGATTTACATAATAAAATTATTTACCTCCCCTGTTAAAACATATGCACCATTTTCTCAAAACCTTGCCTTCACCTGTTTCATTGGAAAGTTATTTAATAAATAAATTAATGACCTATAATGGCACAGTCCTTTCTCTGTTATTAATTAGTTTGGTGGCAAACAAACAAAAAAAAAATGGAGAATGACCAGTTAACTTTTGTGGGAGTGGAGGTCTCATTTTCTCAATGTAAAATGTAACAGTGGAATGGAAGTTAACTTTTTGGGGGTGTCTCATTTTTTTTTCAAATGTGAAATTTAATTATAAGAGGAAGTTTTCTAGACTTCCTAGCATTTTGTTATGGGTCTTGACCAGTCCCTATGCATTTATGTAATATAAATCCACGTGCCATGCTAAAGCTATCAGTAAAGAAGGGCACAAAGCTGAGAATATTTGCCTTGTATTATTCATGAGAAAATCGTTGGTTGAGGATATTTCTTGGTTAGAGTTGTATCTTGGCTTTACTTCACAGATATACTTTATACATATCAGACAACATCTGACTGACTTTATTATAATATAATTTGATTATAACATTATGGATCCAATAGAAAAACATTAAATAATACCAGAAAGAATGAGAAAGATAGTCTAGGTTTTTTGAGATCTCTTAGTAATTCTTATAACAACATTGATTGGTAAAGGTCAATTTTCCATAGGTTACAAAAATATAGCTCTATAATCAAGACTGACAATAGTCTTCTTCCTAAAATAGATATACTACTAGATAGGTTTCAAATTAATTTTACCGGCTTAGTGGTTTTGTTTTGTTTTGTTTTGTTTTGTTTTGTTTTTAATTATTTTTGGACAAGATCTTCCCCTGTCACCCAGGCTGAAGTGAGGCATGATAATGGCTCACTGCAGCCTCGAACTCTTAGGCTCAAACAATCTTCCCACCTCAACCTCCTGAGTAGCTGATACTACAGGTGTGCACCAACATGCTTGGCTAATTTTTTTTTATTATTATTATACTTTAAGTTTTAGGGTACATGTGCACAATGTACAGTTTAGTTACATATGTATGCATGTGCCATGCTGGTGTGCTGCACCCATTAACTCGTCATTTAGCATTAGGTATATCTCCTAATGCTATCCCTCCCCACTCCCCCCACCCCACAAGAGTCCCCAGAGTGTGATGTTCCCCTTCCTGCGTCCATGTGTTCTCATTGTTCAATTCCCATCTATGAGTAAGAACATGCGGTGTTGTTTTGTCCTTGCGATAGTTTACTGAGAATGATGATTTGCAATTTCATCCATGTCCCTACAAAGGACATGAACTCATCATTTTTTATGGCTGCATAGTATTCCATGGTGTATATGTGCCACATTTTCTTAATCCAGTCTATCATTGTTGGACATTTGGGTTGGTTCCAAGTCTTTGCTATTGTGAATGGTGCCACAATAAACATACGTGTGCATGTGTCTTTATAGCAGCATGATTTATAGTCCTTTGGGTATATACCTAGTAATGGGATGGCTGGGTCAAATGGTCTTTCTAGTTCTAGATCCCTGAGGAATCGCCACACTGACTTCCACAATGGTTGAACTAGTTGACAGTCCCACCAACAGTGTAAAAGTGTTCCTATTTCTCCACATCCTCTCCAGCACCTGTTTTTTCCTGACTTTTTAATGATTGCCATTCTAACTGGTGTGAGATGGTATCTCATTGTGGTTTTGATTTGCATTTCTCTGATGGCCAGTGATGATGAGCATTTTTGCATGTGTCTTTTGGCTGCATAAAAGTCTTCTTTGGAGAAGTGTCTGTTCATATCCTTTGCCCACTTTTTGATGGGTTTGTTTTTTTTTCTTGTAAATTTGTTTGAGTTCATTGTAGATTCTGGATATTAGCCCTTTGTCAGATGAGTAGGTTGTGAAAATTTTCTCCCATTTTGTAGGCTTAGTGGTTTTATATACATATATTTACATATAAGTAAATACATAAATTTAAACATAAATGTTTGTGTTTTTGTTATATAAAAATATATTTATTTATATATAAACAATATATAACAAATTCATGTGTTCATATATACATAAATATGTAGATATTACAAATATTGTTATATATTTTATATATTTATAAATATTGTATTATATATAAATTTTTATATATTGCTATATATTTATATATTTATAAATATATATACATAAATGTATATTTATGTGTATGTGTATATATATATATATATGAACACATAAATGAATTGGTGGTAACAAAGCAGAATATAAGTCTCTCCCTTTTACCTGAAAAGTTTAACTATCTCTTTCAACTTATTGGCTAATAGTTTATAGAGCTAAAGATGTTTCTCTGTTACAATTTATTTAAGATTTACAGCTTTTATGATAATCTAAGCCAATAATCATTCTAATGCTTCAGCCTCTTTTAAACTGTCTTTGTTCAATGATTATATTCTACAAGCTTATGAAAATAAAGTTTGAAGAGAACTCAAAATCAAAGTTTCCAGTGATGAATCTTTTAGATACAATATACATGATTTTCTGGAAAAATGTGAGATCAGTGTCATGTATAATCAATAAAGTAAGCCAATTGAAATTTGATAAATGTCAATTTGGTCTTCCAAATTCAATGGGAAGAATTCATTGGGAAACATATGGAAATACATATCTGGTATGCTGGAGAGGTCTCTTTAAATGCTGTTCAAATTAGTAAATGTTTATGCTTATGACTAAGAGAAAAGTCATGTATTATAAATGAAATATGAATACATTCATCAATTCTTTGGCGTCTGTATTTGTCCGTACTCACACTGCTATAAAGAACTACCTGAAACTTGGTAATTTACAAAGAAAAGGGGCTTAATTGGCTCATGGTTCTGCAGGCTGTACAGGAGGCATGGCTATGGAGGCACCAGGAAACTTACAATCATGTCATAAGGCAAAGGGGAAGTGAGCACATCATCACATGGAAATAGGAGAGACAGAGAGAGAGAGCACAAGAGCGCGTGAAGGGGGAAGTGAAACACACTTTTAAACAACCAGATCTTGTGAGAACTCACTCACTATAATGAGAACAGCAAGGGGATATCCGACCCCATGATAAAATCATCTCTCACTAGGTCCCTCCCCCAACACTTGGGATTACAATTCAACATGAGGTTTGAGTGGGGACAGAGAGCCAAACCATAACACCATCCATTTCTTTTGTGCATCTCAAATTGGACTAATTATTTGATCACGTTTTTAAACCAAAGTATAAACCCAACCCATCTTTTAGAATGGTAGATCATATCCAAATCAGCAATATTAGTTCTAGATTAGATATAATTTTAGTCATAATACGTTAAATTCCTTTCTCCATGTTCTAGCCCAGTCATCTTGGTTCAATTTCTTAACCTCATTAAGCTTCAGTTTTGTCTTCTATGATTGGCACAACATATAGTGCATACTTAACAGAATACTTTAAAGATTAATTGAGAAATGGACACAAAGCTCAGAGTACAACACTTGGCACATAACAGATATTCAAATATTGGTTTTGTTGCTGTTTTTGTTTTTCATTAATTTGGTCCTAGTAATAGAATAAGATTTGTTTTTAAATAGTTTATTTTTTAGAGCAGTTTTAGGTTCATAGTAAAATGTAGTAGAATGTACAGAGACTTCCCATATTTCCCCTGTCCCTACACATGCACAGCCTCCCCATTATCAAATTTCCTAACAGGGTAGTACAATCTTTACAAATAATGAAACTACATTGACACATCTTTATCACCCAAAGTCCAAAGCTTACATTAAGGTTTATCCATGGTGTTGTACACTACGGGTTTAGACAAATGTATCCACCATTATAGTATCATACAGAGTAGTTTCACTGCCCTAAAAATTTTCTGTGCTCTGCCTATTCATTCTTCCCTCCTTCCTAATTCCTGGCAATCACTGGTCTTTTTAACCATCTCCATAGTTTCACCTATTGCAGAATGTCATACAGTTTGAAATCATATAATATGTGGTCTTCCCAATTTATCTTCTTTGACTTAGTAAGATGCATTTAAATTTATTCCACATCTTTTTATGGTTTGATAGCTCACTTTCTTTAAGCACTGAATAATTGTGTGGATATATCACAGTTTATTTGTACATTCATCAACTTAAGGACAACTTGGTTGCTTCCAGGATTTGGCAATTATGAATAAAGTGTCTACAAACATTCATGTGCAAGTTTTTACATGGACATAAGGTTTTACCTCCTTTGGTAAATATTGAGGAGCACAATTGCTGTATTGTATGATAAGAGCATGTTTAGTTTTGTAAGATACTGCGATACTGTCTTCCAAAGTCATTGCACCATTTTGTATTCCTTCCAGCAATGAATGAGAGTTCCTATTGTTCCACATCCTTGCCGTATTTGTTGTCCATGTTCTGGATATTGGCCATTGTAATAGGTATGCAGTGATATACATTGTTGCTTTAATTTACATTTCTCTGATGGCATATGATGTAGAGAATATTTTCATATGCTTATTTGCCGTTGTATTTCTTATTGGGTAAGGTGCCTATTTAGACTTTTGGCCCATTTTACAAATCCGATTTTCTTATTGTTGAGTTTTAAGAGTTTCTATATTTTGGATAACAGGCCTTAATTATATATATGTTTTGGAAATATTTTCTCCTAGCCTGTGTCTTCTCTTTCAGTGTCTTGACAGTGTCTATTGTGGAGCATATTTTTAAAAAATAATAAAATGCAGCTTATCATTTTTTCATGGATTGCTTCTTTGGTGCTGTACCTAAAAATTTGTTACAAAACCCTAGGTCATCTAGATTTTCTCCCATGTTATCTTCTAGGAGTTTCATAGTTTTATATTTTATGTTTAGGTCTGTGATCTATTTTGAGTTAATTTTTGTGAAGGGATTAAGGTCTTTGTCTAGATTCACTCTTTTCTTTCTTTTTATGCATATGGAAATACAGTTGTCAATCATCATTTGTCAAAAAAGACTATCTTTTCAACACTGCATTGCCCTCGTTCATTTGTCAAGGATCAGTTGACTACATAAATACGGATCTATTTCTGGACAGTTTATTCTGCTCCATTATTCTATTTGTCTGTTCTTCTGACAATACATACTGTCTTGATTACTGTAGATTTATAGTAAATCTTGAAGTGAGGTAGTGTCAGTCTTTCAACTTTGTTCTTCTTTTTCAATATTGTGTTGGCTATTCTGGGTCTTTTTCTTTATATATAAACTACAGACTTGGTTTATCAATATCCACAAGATAACTTGCTGAAATATTTTTTGGAATTGCAATGACTCTGTAGATAAAGTTGGGCAGGATTGGCATCTTGACACTACTATCTTCCGAACCACAAACATGGGATATCTCTCATTTTATTTCATTAGCGCTTGATTCATTTCAGAGTTTTGCAGTTTTCCTCATATAGAACTGGTCTATCTTTTGTTATACTTAAGTGTTTTAGTTTTTTTATGATCATATAAATGGTATGGCATTTTAATTTCAACTTCCACTTGTGCATTTTTAGTAAGAAAGACATTCACTTTTATGTATAATCTTGTCTCCTGCAACCTAGCTATAATAATTCATTAATTCCAGGAGTTTTTTGTGAATTTATTCAGGTATTCTACATAGCCAATCATGTCATTTGTGAACAAAGACAGTTTTATTTCTTTCTTCCCAATCTGTATACCATTTTTCTCCTTTTCTTGTCCTATTGCATCAGCTAGAATTTCCATTATGATGCTGAAAAGTACTGATTGTTCCCAATTTTAATAAGAAAGTTTTGGGTTTTTTACCTTTAAGTCAATGTTAACTGTAGGATTTGATATTTGATATTTGATATTCTCTATCAAATTGAGTTTGTTCCTCTCTAGTCTCAGTTTACTGAGAGTTTTTTATTTAGTTATGAATGGGTGTTGGATTTGTGAAATACTTTTCTAGCATTTATTGATAGGAACATGTGAGTTTTCTTCTTTATCCTGTCAATGTGATGAATTACAAATTGATTTTTAAATCTTGACTCAGCTTTGCATACCTGAGATAAATACTATATATGATGTGTAATTCTTATTATACATTGTTGGATCTGATATGCTAATATTTTGTTGAGAATTTTTGCATGTATGTTTATGACAGACATTAGCTTATAGTTTTCTTGTAATTTTTTGTCTGGTTTTGCTGTTAGGATGATACTAATGCCATAGAATGAGTTAGGAAGTATTCCCTTTGATTGTCTCTGAAGGATATAATAAAGAATTGGTATAATTTTTCCTTAAATATTTGGTAGAATTCATCATTGGACCCATCTGGGCCTGACACTTTTGTTTTGGGAGGTAATTATTGATAAAATTTATTTAATAGATATAACTGATTCAGATTGTCTGTTTCTTCTCTGTGAGTTGTAGCAGATTGTATCTTTCAAGGAACTGGCCCATTACACCTAAGCTACGAAATTTGTGGACACAGAGCTGTCCATAAAAGACTTTTATCCTTTTAATATCCATGAGATATGTAATAATGTCCCTTCTTTCATTTCTGATATTAGCAATTTTTGTCCTCTCTTTTTTTCATTTAGCCTGGCTAGATGCTTTTCGGTGTTATTGATCTTTCCAAATAACCAGGTTTAGATTTCATAGATTTTCTGTTTTCAATTTCATTGATTTCTGCTCTGATTTTTTTTTTTCAGCTTAATTGGATTAATTTGCTCTTCTTTTTTAGGTTTCCTAAAGCAGAAGCCTAGAGTATATTTTAGATCTTTCTTCCTGTCTTTTATGTACATTCATTGCTATAATTTGCCCTCTAAGCACTGCTTTCATTACATCCCACAAATTTTAATCAGTTATTTCATTTTCATTTAGTTCAAAATTTTTTTTTTGAATTTTTTTTTTTATTATTATACTTTAAGTTTTAGGGTACATGTGCACATTGTGCAGGTTAGTTACATACGTATACATGTGCCATGCTGGTGCGCTGCACCCACTAACTCATCATCTAGCATTAGGTATATCTCCCAGTGATATCCCTCCCCCCTCCCCCCACCCAACAACAGTCCCCAGAGTGTGATGTTCCCCTTCCTGTGTCCATGTGATCTCATTGTTCAATTCCCACCTATGAGTGAGAATATGCGGTGTTAAATTTTTTCTTGATATTTATTCTTTGACTCATGTGTTTAGAAATGTGTTGTTTAATCCCCATGTATTTTGGAATTGTCCAGCTATCTTTCAGTTATGATTTCTAGTTTAAATCCATCATGGTCTGAGAGACACATTATATGATTCTTTTAAATTTGTTGGGTGTGTTCTATGGTTCAGAATGTGGTCTATCTTGGTGAATGTTCCATGTGAGCTTGAGGAGTTGTAATCTGATGTTATTGAATGAAGTGGTCTATAGATGTTATTAGTATTCTGTATGGATGGTATTGTGTTCTTACTGATTTTCTGCCTGTTAAATCGCTCCATTTCTGATAGAAGGGTGTTGAAGTCTCCAACTATAATACTGGAGTTATAGATTCCTTCTTGCAGTCCTGTGTGCTTTTGCCTTGCATTATTTTGATGCTCTGTTAGAAGGGATATGCATGGTTAAAGATTGTTATGTCTTTTTAGAGAACAGACATTATCACTATTCAGTGCCCTTCTTCAGCCCTGATAAGTTTCCTTGCTCTGAAGTCTGGTCTGTCTGAAATTAATAAACTTGCTCATGCTTTTATTTGATTAGTGTTTACATAGTGTATCTTCCTTCATCCATTTTCTTTTCATCTATATGTGTTTTCATATTTAAAGTTGGTTTCTTATAGATAACGTATGGTTGGGTTTTATTTTTTGATTCACTCTGACAACCTCTTTTAATTAGTTCACTTAGACCATTAACATTCATTGGTTAGTGACATAGTTGGATTATCTGTTGATGTTTTCTATTTGTTTCCCTTGATCTTTGTGCCCATTTTTATCTTTCATTCTTTTTCAGTCTTTCATTTTGAGCATTTTACATGTGTTCATTTTTTCTTCTTAGTATATCAATTATAGCTTTTAAAAACTTTTTCTAGTGATTTCCCTAGTTTGCAATAAACATATACAACTAATACAACTAACCCAAGTCCATTTTCAAGTAACACAATACTACCTCACTGGCAGTGTGGGTATCTTATGGAAACAAAATAACTCTAATTCTTTCCTCTCATCCCTTGTATCATTGCTGCCATTTATATTACTTATACATAAGCACATAGATTATAAACACACAAACACATAGATTATTACATTGCTATTATTTTGAAAAAAATGTTATATGTTAAATAATTGAATAATAGAAAATTTACAAGTTTTTATTCTACATTAGCTAATTTCTTCTCTAAGTATTTGTCTTTATTTATATAGCTCCAAGTTTCTGACCTATGTATTTTTCCTTCTCCCTAAAGAACTTCTTTTAACATTTCTTACAAGGCAGGTCTACTGACAACACATTTCCTCAATGTTTATTTTTCTGAGAAGCTTTTATTTCTTCTTCACTTTTGAAGAATTTTTCTGGGTACAGAATCCTAGGTTGGTGGTGCTGTGTTGTTGTTTTTTTTAATTGTTACTGTTTTTCTCTCCCAACTCTTTAAATATTTTTACTTCACTCTCTTCTTGCTTGCATGGATTCTGAGAAGGAGTCAGATGCAGTTCTTATCTTTGTGCCCCTATAAGTAAGGTGTTTTTCCCCTCTGGCTCCTTTCACAGTTTTTTTTCTTCATCTCTGATTTTCTATAGCTTGAAAATAATTATGCCTAGATGAAGTTTCCTGGCGTTTATCCTGCTTGGTGTTCTCTGAGCTTCCTGGATTTGCAGATTTGGGTCTTATTTCGAGAAAAAAAATTGTAATTATTGTTTCAAATATGTCGTGTATTTTTTTCTTCTTCTCATTTTAGGCTTCCCTTTATGTGTATGTTACACCATTTCTAGTTGACCCTCAGTTCTTGGATATTCTGCTCTTTATCTCAGGTTTTCTCTTTCTTTTTGATTTTTCAGAGGTTTCTATTTTCAGAGATATCCTCAAGCTCAGAGATTTTTTTTCCTCAGCTGTGTCCAGTCTACTAATAAGCCCATCAAAAAATTCTCCATTTCTGTTACAGTGATTCTGATCTTTAGCATTTCTTTTTGTTTCCCTCTTAGAATTTCCATCTTTTTGCTTACATTGCCCATCTGTTCTTACATGCTATCTACTTTATCCATTAGAATCCTTAGCATATTAATCATGTTTTTTTAATTCCCAGATAATATCAATACATATCTCCTATCCGAGTTTAACTTAGATGCTTGCTTATTTTTTACAAACTGAACTTTTTGCCTTTTAATGTCGTTTAACATTTTATTTATAGCTGGACATGATAAATATACTATGTAAAAGGAACTGCAGTAAATAGGCCTTTAGTCACATGGTGGTAAGGAATGGGGGAAAGGAAGCATTCTATAGTCCCATCGTTAGGACTTAATGTTTTAGTCAGCCTGCACCTCTAGATTGCGAACTTTAGTATGCTTCTCATTCCTGCCTTAGATGGAACATGTTGGCTGGAGCCAGCTAGAGTTGAGTTTTCCTCCAAGTTAGTTAGGCTCTGATAAAACTCCAGCAGTTTAGGTTCTGGTTAAATAGTATTGTCCCAGGGCAGCCCTTGTAAGGAAGGAAAAAATGCTGTGGTGTATTTTAAACTGATCCTTTGTTCTTTCCCTCTGCTGGAAGCATGAAGGGATTTTTCTCTGATATTTACAGTGAGAACCTGGTCAAGTTCCTGGAGGTAAAACTCAAAAAATGCGTCCCTCCATTACTGGATCCCCTGGAGTTTTTAACTCTCAAAAGTGTCCATGCTGAACTTCTAACAATTCATCAATTACAGTTTAGGTTTTTTAATTTGGGCACTGGTTCACACAGAAATCATTGCTTGTGGGTTTTGTACAGGTAAGTTGAGATTCTCTGTATTTGCTTCTCTGTCCCTCCAATTTTGAGGGCAGTGGTTGGCCCTGTGACCTTACTTCTCTGGCAAATCTGAAATGAGTTGCTTATTTTTCAGCCTGTTCTTCTTTCTACTGGTTGTTAGGATGGAGTGGAACGTTCAAGCTTCTCACATACCAGACTGAAAACCTAAGTAGACTTTTAGAAATTGAAAATGCTTCTATTTCTTTACTAGTCTGGAAACCCAAGATTATTGAAAATTCTTAGTGTATCAATTTACTCATTTGATATTGAATAGAATGTGGTTTTCTTCTTGGCCAGGAAAAATGTAGCACATTCTGTAATATATCTTAGGGGAAAATTAGTTCCAAGGGAAAGATCTGTCTTTTATTCATAAGGAAGGTCTGGCTAGCATTTGGGCTCTATGTAAAATGTGTTCATACATCTCTAGCTAGGACAAAGTCTACACAAAATGTTAATAGCAAACTGCAAAGTCATGGCAACTGTAGGACTTCCACATAAATATGCAAAATGTTCTTGAAAGGCAGAATATTTGGGTGGGTTTAGATTCTTGAAAACAAGACCAAAAAAATGTAATATCTTTATACCTTGCAGATGCAGATGGGTCATGGGAATTTGATTTATATTGCTAGAGAAAAGGGTAGTGGTAGGATTAGGTTTTTCTCTATTGATTACCTCTGTTTAATTAGACTGCTTGAAAGACTTCTCTGTGAGGCATTAGAACTCCTTTGGAGTTGCTTAATTTCCTCAGGAAAAAAAAAATAAACTTAGTAGATGGTGCCAAGGAATTTGCCTTAAGTTCAGAAAAATTATAAGAGCTCCAATATGTAAAAATAAAAAAATACACTATAGAAATAAAGTGTTGGACCTTCTAATTTTGACAGGATTGTAGGAATTATGGATTTTACATTTCTGAAGTAGAGGAATAATCAGATGATGAGTTACTCATGGGTTTTTTCTCATAAGCGAAGAAATAAGAAAAGGAAGCAAACACTTAATTCACTGCCTGTGCTGGGATCTGAGATGCTAAATTTAATATTACTCATTTAAACTTGTAAACAACAATGTGAGATAGGTAATATTATCACTACAAGAATATTACTAAACATGGAAAGATAAAATAACTTGCTCAGGGCACATAGCTAGCAGCTGACTGAACTGGTATTCACTTGAGTTTATAAACTCTTTCCACTGATAAACACCACAGTACAGTCAGAGACAGTACAGTTCAATCTCCCTGAGGAAAACATTGGTAAATGCCAATTGGGTCTTCTAAAGCTTCTTTGGGAAACATGGTGTCTTCGTTTGTTTTGTGCTCCTATAACAAAATACGAAAGACTGGGTAATCTATATTTAACAGAAATTTATTGACTCACAGTTTTGGAGGCTGAAAAGTTTAATATCCAGTTGTTGGTATCTGGTGAGGGACTTCTTGTTGCACCTTCCCATGGCATAAGGCAGAAGGGCCAGAAGGCAAGAGGGGGCCAAACCCGCCATTTTATAATGGCACCAATCCCACCCATGAGGGGAGCCCTCCTGGTCTAATGACCTCTTTAAACTTTCACCTGTTAATAACATTATTATGGCAATCAAAGTTCAATAGGAGTTTTAAAGAGGATAAATATTCAAACTGTAGCTTTCCACTCCTGGTCTCTCAAAACTCATGTCTTTCGGACATACAAAATGCATTCTTTCCATTCCAATAGCCCCAAAAGTCTTAACTCATCCCACCATTAACTCAAAATCTAAGTTCAGAGTCTCATCTGAATCAGATATGGGTGAGATTCAAGGCACAATCCATCCTGAGGCATATTTCCCTCCAGTTGCGAGCCTATGAAATTAAACAAGTTATGAGCTTCCAAAATGCAATGCTGTAACAGGCATGGAATAAACATTCCCATTTCCAAGAGAAAAATAGGAAAGAAAAAAGAAATAGGCCACAGGAAGTACAAAACCCAACAGGGTGAACAATCTAAATCCTAAAGCCTGAAAATAATCTTTGACACTATGTCCAGCTTTCCACACTCACTGGGATAGGGATTGGGTCCCCAAGGGCTCAGAAAGCCCAGCCTCCATGGCTTTGCTTGGCTCAGCAAAATGAGTAGCTCTCACAAGTTTTCTTGTGCCTGTAGCTCTCCCCAGCTGGTGTTGCACATGGTAGCTTTACTGTTCCAGGGTCTCAAGGGGCAGCTTCACCCACGTGGCTCCAGTAAGCACTGTCCTAGTGGAGGTTGTCTGTAGTGCCCTCCTACCACAAATCTCTGTCCCAACCTCCAGGCTATCTATGACATCCATTGAAATCTAGGTAGAGGAAGCCATGTCCCCACAGGTCTTGGATTCTGTGCACCACAAAATTAGTACCACATGGACACTGCCAAGATTTACAGTTTGTAACTTCCAGAAGGGCTGCTCAAGCCACACCTGTACCTGCTTGAGTGATAGTTGGGGTAGATGAAGAGTACCAGAATGCAGGGAGTGGAGACTTGAGGTACCCCTGAGCAATGTGCCCCAAGTTCCTTAGTGTACTTTTGACCTCTCTTTTGGTATAGTTTATTTCCTCAGGCCTTGTCATTCTGGGCCTGTGGTGGAAGGGGCCATCCTGGAAATCTCAGAAGTGCCTTTGGGGTCATTCTCCCATTATCCTGATGAATAGTCTCTGGCTTTGTTCTTCTATCTGTACTAATCTTATCAAATGGTCACTGAGAGTTATCCAAATCTTCATGCTGTGTGGTATAGCTTGGAGGTATGTCCATGCCCAAATCTCATACTGAAATGTAATCCCAATGTTAGAAGCCGGGCCTGGTGGGAGGTGATTGGATCATGGGGATGGATTCATATGAATGGTTGAGCACCATCTCGCTTGGTACTGTCCTCACAATAGTGAGTGAGTTCTCATGAGACGTGGTCATTTAAGTGTGTAACACCTCTTCTCTCACTCTTGCTTCTGCTCCAACCATGTAAAATGCCTGCTTCCCATTGACCTGCCACCATTATTGTAAGTTTCCTGAGGCCTCCCCAGAAGCTAAGCAGATGCCAGCATCAGGATTCCTGTACAGCCTGTGGAACTGTAAGCCAATTACACCTTTTTTCTTTACAAATTACCCAGTCTCAGGTATTTCTTTATTCCACTGTGATTCCCTTTTAATTATAAATTCTCTCTTTAATTTTTCTCTTCCTATATTTTACTCTATGTGGTTAAAGAAGCCAAGTAGCACCCTGAACGTTTTGCTGCTCAGATATTTCTACTTTATCAGTCTTAAATTCTGTCTTCTACAAAACCACCAAATCAATGGACACAATTCAGCCAAGTTCTTTACCACTTTTTAAGAAGAATGGACTTTGGTTCAGTTCCCAATACCTTGCTCTTCCTTTCCATCTGATACCTCATCAGAATTGCCTTTGCCATCCACATTTCTACCAATATTCTGATCATGGCCATTTATGTAATATCTAATAGGTTTCAGGCTTTCCCTACAGCTATTTTCTCCTTCTGAGCCCTCACCAGAATCACCCTTAATTATTTGTTCATGGCAATCTAGGTCTTTTCCACCATTCACTTTAAAACTCTTTGAGCCACTACTCATTACCAGATTCCAAGCTGCTTCTACAGGTTTATATATCTGGTACAGCAACATCCCACTTTTCTGGTACCAATTTTCTTTCTTAGTCCATTTGTGCAGCTGTAACAGCATGATATAGACTGGGTAATTTATGATGGACAGAAATTTATTTGTTTACAATCCTAAAGGCTGGGAAGTTCAGTATCATACTGCCAGCATTTGGCAGGGGCCTCCTTGTTCCCGTGGTAGAAGGCAGAAAGGCCAAGAGAGGGCAAGAGAAGGTCATACTTCTTTATAATGGCAGCAATCTCACCTATGAGGATAAAGCCCTCATGGCCTAATCACCTCTTAAAGGCTCCACCTCTTAATACTTTTAAAATGGCCATTAAATTTTCATGAGCTTTGGAGGAGATATTTAAACCATTGCCCATGGCTAATAAAATAAATGTGTAACACATACATATCACTAAAAGTTGTTCAGATTGGCAATTTGTATGACTAGGAGAAAAGTGTATTCTCAATAACACCCATAGAACATCCCTTTTTATCATTCTGGTAAAGAAATCTGGTGACCAGAAAAGGAGACCAACTTTAGAGAACAATGATTGAGGAACAAAATTAGTAGCATGGGTAGTTCTGAGGCAATCCAACTACCTGCTTCATAAAGAAAGGGCCCTACTAAGCATGGCTCTACCTGTTTGCTCAGGAGGCTTTTGGCTATAAGTGACAGGAAATTAAAATCAAACTGGTTAAAAAATTTAGGAATGTTTTCACTAATTTAACAGAAAGTTGAGAAGTGATCTGATGTTAAAATGGACTTAATCAAGTGGCTCTGGCTCAATGTCCTATGAGTTGCTTGGTTCTGCCCTCCTCAGTGTGCTGACTTCATTCTTAAATGGGTGAGAGGATGATGTCTTTGCAATCGACATCCACTCCTCACAAAAAGCAGAATAATAAAGGTTCTCTATTCATGCATCTTTCTTGAGAGTGCTTGCCCAAAAGCTCCCAGCAAACTCTCATTTTGGTTGATTCCAGCTGGGCCAAGTCATTTTCTCAATCTATGGCTGTCGCCAGAAGAAGGAAATGTTAGGTAGACATGTCAAATGGGAACACCACTGGACAAAATCAGGATTCTTTTGGGAAGGAGGAAAGGATTAGATGATCAACATTTTTTCATTGCTGACCACACAGAACACTGCATATGTCCCAGAATGGTTTGAAAAGAGAGCTTAAATTCAGTAAATTTAGATGGAACTTATGATCAAGGTGAAGATGTAAAATTAGCACTAGAATTTGAAGCTGAACAAAATACATAAGGCAGAATTTATAAATTCAGAAATGAGATCGTTGCTACAGAATTATCACCTGGTAAATACAATTTATGATCCTGAAATCCTCTCAAAATTAAGATGACAAATTTTTCATAATTCTTTTTCTAAAACATGATAATCCACTTTATCTAATTTGCTGATTATTTAATGTTAGATTTTAAAAATGATAACTTTACAGATATTTTCAATTTTAGAAAAATTCTAAATATCTAGAAAGAGTTTAATTATATATGAGAAGTTGAATATAATTCAACTTCTTATATATAATTATTTATATATAAATATATATATTTATACATATAACTTCAACTAAGTAATGAAATCATTACTTATCTTACCATCCCTGAGATAAGCATTGTTAATATTTTAAGTATACCTTTAATCTATTTTTAAATATATTTTTATTTTGAGATGGAGTCTCACTCTGTCTCACAAGCTGGAGTGCAATGATATGATCTCTGCTCACTGCAACCTCCGCCTCCCAGGTTCAAGTGATTCTCCTGCCTCACCCTCTCGAGCAGCTGGGATTACAGATGTGCACCACCATGCCCAGCTAATTTTTGTATTTTTAGTAGAGATGGGGTTTCACCATGTTGGTCAAGCTGGTCTCAAACTCCCGACCTCAAGCCATCCTATGCCCACCTAGGCCTCCCAAAGTGCTGAGATTACAGGTGTGAGCCACCGTGCCCAGCCTTTAAATATATTTTTCTTTACAGAGCAATTTCAGTCACACTTTCTATTTGTTTATTTTGTTTTGTAAACTTATTATAATCATTTTTTCATACAATAAAAGAATTAAATATATATTTAAATATATTTTCTAATTTGTCTAATTTTCTAATTTGTCTCTTTTATAGAGCTATGGTTAGAGTTTCAACACAACAGAAATTGCTTTGAAGTGGTAAACCTATTTCCAAACAATTTCTTGTTGCAGTAAGGTATTGCCACTTATGATACCATATGATAATAATATGATACCACAGGGCAGGTCCCATGTTCTAGCTAAACTTTTCTAAAATTCTGTTAGATTTTTTTCTCTTAATAATAGAGTGGAATATTGGCACTTTTATCTCATAAACATTGATTCTCATTCATACCTCCCCTGAAGTTTGGAAACAACGAAATGATAAGCAATAAATTCCATATGCATCATGTTTGAAATATCTTATAATTTACTAACCAGAAAATAGTTTCTGAACCAAACTTGTTAATATAAACTCATTTTCAATTCAGGACCCACCTATATTTTCATAAGTATATTCTATCTAAAAGAGTTTTTTGTAAGGCAATTATTTGATACATCACACTCATCTGGGATACATCATCCAAAGTGGAGTAACCATTATCAAGACAATGCATTAATCACACTGCTTCTCCCTACCATACTCTAGTTCTTTACTTAATTCTGCACCCAGTCTCTGTTCTTTACATGTAAGCAGTAAGACATATCTCTGGAATCCTAGTATTTTTTAATCTATTGTAGAAAAAACAGATTAGAGTTTCTAATGAAAATATTTAAATCCCCTTTGATTCTCATACTAATTATAGCCATGGGGAAACTGTT
Source organism: Homo sapiens (assembly GCF_000001405.40). NCBI lineage: Eukaryota > Metazoa > Chordata > Mammalia > Primates > Hominidae > Homo > Homo sapiens. Next base: position 29,238,522 of record NC_000011.10, on the reverse strand, counting down.
TTCAAAAATAGTAAAATGAAATTCTATTAATATGGTTATCCATATATTGTCACCACAGTTATCTCATTCTACCTTGCATTGTAGATATTTTCTTAAATTTCATCTTCCCTGCTTGACTATAAACAACTCTAAAGCAGTGGTCAGGTATTAGTTATTATCCCTACTCTCCTATTTCTAATAGTGTTCTACAGTCAAAACAGCATTTGTTAAATTAATACAGATAAAGGACAGAGGAGAAAAATTCATAGCTACACAAGTTTATCTCAAAAGTATTTATGATTCTCTATCTCTTACTTTAAGACTCAGTAGATCTACTCAAATTCCAAATTTAGTTTTCCTGATTTATTTTTAGCATCCCTTCTAAATCATTTTAATTGGAAACAAAAAGTCCACCAACTTTTGAAAAACAATTTGAGAACACTTAGAATAAGGCTGCTAAAAATAGAATTAATCACACTATAATGTATGAGACTTCAACATCTAGCTCTAATGAAATAATGGAGACTGGATTTATTTTTGAAAACAGAGACACAACGGAGAAAATCAATAAAAACAAGACTTGATCCTTTGAAAAGATCAATAAAATGGATGAATCTTTTGTCCAATTGATAAAGAAAAAAAAAAAAAAAGGCCGGGCGCGGTGACTCACGCCTGTAATCCCAGCATTTTGGGAGGCTGAGGCGGGCGAATTACGAGGTCAGGAGATCCAAACCATCCTGGCTGACAGGGTGAAACCGCGTTTCTACTAAAAATACAAAAATTTAGCCAGGCTTGACGGCAGGAGCCTGTAGGCAGAGCTTGCAGTGAGCCGAGATGGCGCCACCGCACTCCAGCCTGGGGACAGAGCCAGACTCCGTCTCAGAAACAAATAAACAGACAAACAAACAAACAAAAAACACCCAACAACAACAAAATGGAAGCAACATATTACCAACACCAGAAATGAAATAGACACCTTTACTATTAGCTCCTACAGTTGTTAACAGTATAAGGTACCGTAATGAACAAATTTCACAAGTTTCTTGATAGATACAAACTATCAAGTCTTCTTAAAGAAGAAAGAGATAATCAGAGTAAAGCTAGACATACTAAAAATGAATTTGCAGTTAAAAAGCTTTATGCCAAGAGAATTCCAGGTGCATATGGTTTCATTAATGACTCCTCTCAAAACTTTAAGAAAGAAGTAATTTCAATTCTAAACAAAATCCTCAAGAAAATTTAAGACTTTCCCACTTAACTCATGAGATCAGCGTTCCCCTCATAAAAAAATTCAACAAAAATATTACAAGAGAGTAAATGTAAAGAGCAACATCACTCATGAACATGGACACAATACCTAACACATTGAATACAGGAATATATTACTATATTAACACAATACAGGAAAAAAATCTATATGATCATTTCAATAAATATGAAAAATTATTTAACAAAATTCACTACCCAGTCATTACACTAAAAAAAAAAAAAAATCCTCAAACTAGGATTAGTAGGAAATGTCCTCAAATTGGCAAAGCTCATCTAGGACAAATTTGTAGCTAATATTAAACTTAATGGGAATAAATGGAATCATTACCTTTGTAAGATCAGATCCACGGTAAAATTAAAACAACAGCAGCAGCAATAACAAAAGATTATGTTGGAGGTCATAGCCAATGTAGATGAAGAAACAGAAACACATAATTAAAAAATAAAACTATATTTGCAGAGTGAAGGTCACTTTCATAGAATAAACTAAGAAATCTACAAAAATGCTTCTAGAACTAATACATAAATTTGACAAGGTTACAGTATAAAAAGTCAGAATGGGAGTAATATTTGCTAGAGGTACTATATCCAAAATATGTAAAGAATTTTGAAAATTCAATACTAAGAAAACAAACTCTGAATTTTTTAAAATGGGCTAAAGAGTCTAGTAGAAACTTTACCAAAGAAGATATACAAAGAGTAGATAAAGTTTATGAAAAAATGTTTAACATTGTTAATAATGAAAATGCAAATGAAAACACAATGAGATAGGACTACACACTCACAAGAATGACTAAAATTATAACAGACAAGCAACTGACAAAACCAAGTGCTGACAAAGACTTTATTAGCTCTAGTTCTAAGAATTAGAATAGCTTCGAATTACACAAACGAATGCAATTTTCATAAGTGTGGTCTCAGATTATGTAGAGGGGTCAATAGGAAATGGTTCTTCAAAGTCTGTCTCCAGTGGGTGTATAATATGGGTATTTGTAGATTTCTTAGTTTATTCTATGAAAGTGACCATCACTCTCCAAATAAAGACAGTTTTATTTTTTAATTATGTGTTTCTATTTCGTCATCAACATTGGCTATGACCTCCAAAATAATCTTTTGTTATTGCTGCTGTTGTTGTTTTAATTTTACCATGGATCTGATCTTACAAAGAGAATGATTCCATTTATTCCCATTAAGTTTAATATTAGCTATAAATGGGTATGATGGGTATGATGTCATCTCCAACATAGTGGCTTTGCTGTTTGCTACTATCAGAGATAGTGCTGGCATTTTCAGCCCCAATTGATTTCCCTCACTCATCTTGTCATGGCAGAGACTTAGAAAGTAACCCCTCAATACACATTCATACTCACACCTATAGTACACTAAAGGGGCTATTTGCAAGAGCAATCACATCTGAGTTTTTGTCTGCCCAGGCAAAGTTTCGAGCTTGGTTAGAGTCCCTGAATTAGAATCATAAAAACCATTGTCACAATTTCGAAGACAGAAGAGATAGCCTGTGCTACTATTGGAAAATTGCTTTCACTATGACCCAGATCTCATTAGTAGCACTATATAGACATCTTCTAACAGCCATTTCTCCTGCCTTGTTCCAACCAGACAGCACCTTTGTTGGCAAGTAAAAAGAAGACCAAATTCTGACCCCGACTTGTTTTTTACAAATTCCACTAGCTGGTTTTCATTTTAATATCTATTTCCTATCACTTCACGTAAATGAAATGTGCAGAACAAACACTCTCCACTTTTTGGATGCAATTTTATCTGTAATCTTTAACTTCTTGCTGCTCTTTCCTTTTGTTTCTAGTCAGCATTCCTGGAAACTCACAGATTGATATACAGATCTGCACTGTTGAATAATTGATTCTTGCATTTGGAAACTATGTATTGACATTCTAAGTTTTATACTGCCTATTCAAAGAGAAATAATACCGTTACTATCCCTAAGAATCCTGAACTGTAGTAAGGGACACAGACATAGAAACAAAAAATTATAAGACCAGGCTGCAAAGTTCTAATAGGTACTTCTAATAATTATGCTAATAGACAAAGAGCTATTGGACCACAACAGCTAGTCCAATCCACAATAGACTGAGGGAGTTGGAGGTTTCATAGTGTAGGTAGCAGCAGAGGTCTTGAAGCATGAAGTAGTGGGAATTGTTCTCCAAGCAGAAGGAACAACTTCTATACAAATAACAAATTAGGGAAGTACCTCTAGTATGTTCAGAAAATAGTGAAAGATTATGTGGCTGGAGCTCAGGGTACATTTGTTCATTCATTTATCCTACAGTATTTATTGAGCAACTTCTGTGTAAAATGCATTATTCTATATTTTCATCACAATAGTGACTGAACATAAAAATCCCTGTTTTTCCTGCTGTTATGGAGTTTATATTCTAATTGTGGGTGAAAAACAACAAAAAAAATAGAGTATATCTGATGGTAAAAAGCTCTATGGATAAAATTAAAAGAAGGAAAGTATATAGCTAGGAGTGTTGGGCATAGTGAGCAGGATGGTCAATGAAGACGGTATTGATGAAGTGACATGATCAGAGGCCTGTAGAAAATGAGGGAGAAAGTCAGGTGGATATTTCGAAAAACATGCCAGGCAGAGGAAACACAGTCTAAAAGTTCTGTGACTGAAATATGCTTATTGCATTGGAAAAATAGCACAGGGGCCAGTATGGCAAGAGCAGAGTGAGAGAGGGGGAGTAAGAATAGAGTGAGACCGGATAATGCCAGATAATGAGGGCCTTGGATGCAGTCGGAAGGAAGACCCTTTTATTATGGAAGAAAGAGGAAGTTACTGGAGAGTTTTAGGCAGAGGTATTTACTGATCAGACTAAATGATATAGTTGTCCTATGGAAAACAGAATATAGATGCAAGAACGTCTTGCTAGGCAAAAAGCAATGGTAGCAGCAGTGGAGGTGGCAAAAAATCTTTGGACTCAGAGAGTGTGCTGGTCTCAAGATACAACTTGGGGATTTTTAACATTTTAATGGCATTCTAAGTAACAAGCGTTGATGAGAGCATTATGCAATTTGAGAGAATGGCAGTCAATTAATAGAGAATATGGTAGAAAATAGAGATGAAGTGAAGTTTGGCTCTAACTTTAGTCTTTGGCCAGCATCCCATCAAGAGTATGAAATCAACTAGGGGTTTAAAGGCAAAGAGTGACAAGACTTGATAAACTTTATTTTAAAGAGAAAATCATTGGCAAGGGGATTCAGAGGAGAGGAACCTGGAGAAAGGAGATAAATATATTGCAATGGTCCAGATGAGAGATGGGCAGGGTTAGTAGTGATGAGGAAGAACTGCTGCATCCAGGCATTCATTCTGAGGTAAGATTACAGGCTTTGATAACTGACCGCATGTGGAGAAGCTACTGTAGAGAAGTAATTTGCAAATCACTTAGTTTTCCATGGACATATCCTAAGGACAGTAATCAGGATGAAAGTGGGAGGCAAAAATGTTGAGGCTTTTAGTCTCTAAAGCCATAAAGAAAAACTTTTTATTTTTATCTATTTACTATGGTGATAAACATTATTTTTTGAGAAAAGTCTTCTTTAGAAAATGTTTGAAACTCACTTGAGTAGATGATAACTCCAGTGGATTCTAGCTTAGAAACTGTGCTTAAGGTGACATCACTGACTAACATCATACCTGGGGTAGATGACAGAGAAGTAGACTTTGGTTTTGCATAGTGTTAGATCCAGTAGGCCATTATGCCAGAGCATTCCTTAGTAGTAAGGAAGACTATCAACTGTAATCCTAATACGATATTTTCCAGGTGTTTCCTCAAGAAGTGTCCCTGCCTTATTGTTGGGGAAAAGAAAAATGACAAGAGGTAACCAAAGATGATTGTATGAAATCATATGGAGGAAATGCTTTCACTGTGGATCTCCTTTTCAAATCACTGATACCTGTCCTCATAACCTATAAAGTTATTTAACAACATGAGTATCCATTTAATCAATGTTTTCATCTCATTTGATAGAATAAACAAGTTAACTACCAGGCTGTGTTAGGCCATTCTTGCATTACTATAATGAAATACCTGAGACTGGATAATATAAAAAGAAAAGAAGTTTAATTGGCTTATGATTCTGTAGGCTGTACAAGAATGACACTGGGATCTGCACTCTTCTGGGGAGGTCTCAGGGAGCTCTTATTCGTGGTAGAGGGGGAAGCAGGGGCAGGCATATCACATGGTGAGAGAAAGAGAGTGAGGGGAGGTGCCACACAGTTTTAAACAATTAAATCTCACAAGAACTAACTCACTATCTCAAAGATAGTACCAAGCCATAAGGGATCCGTCCCCATGACCAAACACCTCCCACCAAACCCCACCTCTAACATCGGGGATTACATTTCAACATGAGATTTGGTGGGACAAATATCCAAATTGTATCACATGCCAATAGAAAAGTTGGGAAAGAAAAAGTAAAAAGCAAAGTGACACAGAAGACACATTTAAAAATTTATCAATATGTGTGTTTCATTATTCCAACATATGAAAACATAGCCTTAGGGACTTTTGCAAGGGACAAGCCTTATTCAGAAGGAATTATTAAAATAAAGAAGTGATATTGCTTGCTCTCTTGAATAATATGAGGAATGCAATTGGGAAGGAAAGAGTAGGGTGATGGATAGGACAAGAACTGTTGTAAACATTTCCAGTGATATTTATAAACGCAGCACATACCTAGAATGGTCCTTCAGATAAACCATTTGGAAATTAGAACTTTAATAGTTTCCAGTCTTCAGGTATTTTAATTTCTGTTGGATGATGGTGTGTAAGGCATAATAAAATCTGAGTCATCCTGTGCCATCTAGTAAGGCAAAGCTTTATAGCAATAGTGGTTTTCAACTATGGCTGCGTGTTAGAATCACCTGGGGAAGCAAAAAGAAAAAAAAAAAAAGAAAAAAAAGAAAAAGAGAGAAAAAAAAGAAAAAAAAAACGCTATGGAGTTGGGCCCAACTCCAGAGCTTTGAGGTGGGCAAAGATCCCAAGATGCTGCTAATCTTCAGTGAGGTTTGAAAAAACTTCCCATTGAAGCAACTTCTTAAGTAACTTAAATTGTGCCAAGTATTTGGCCGGTTTGGTTGCAGCTGTTCTCCATTTATTACTTCTGATGTTAATGATGTCAAGGTGAAGGATTTTCCTAGTTTTATCAGGGAGTTGGAGAGGAGGGAAATGCACAGAAGGGCACTCAAACCAACCTTCAGTATTTTCGGTGAGTTCCCTTCATGATTACAAACCTGAACATCTAAATGCCAACACCATTATTACCTCTGCCTTCCAGGTCAGTGAATATGTTGGTGTTTTATGTGCACAGATGTGGCATGAAGCAGGCGGAGAGAACAGATTCAGAAAGAAGGGATGTCTCGTGGCTTTCTGAGACCTGAATTTTCATCTCCAAGGTTAGAAGCAATTTCAATCAGTTGGCCAACTTTCCACTGATTCAGACAACAGCTGATGCCCCTAACTGATCACATGAAGGCTTATTCTTTGGTATTCAGTATTTGTGGAAGGAATGTGATCAACATAAAGACAATGCAGCTAAAAAGAATTATTATTGGTATGTTTCCTTTGGGAATTTTTTGTTGCAATAGAAAGAAATATACACTTTATTACTTTAACATGATCTGGCACCCGTGTCCACTCTGATTTCACTTCCTACAACTCTCCCCTTCATACTTTAGGCATACTGGCCTCCTTGCTGTTTCTCACACATAGCAAACATCCTTAGATTTTAAAGTGTTTAGCCATGTCTCTGTTTAGAACTACCACCTCCTGATGCCTTTTTCCTCAAGGCTCATTCCCTCACTTTCCTTTGGGTGTGTCTTCTTGAAAGTCACCTTATTGGAGACTATTTCCCAGGCCATGCTATACAAAATAGCACTTCTCTAATTCCCAACGTTTCCTTTCCCCATTACATTGGTTTTCTTTTTTCCCTAACACAATAATATTTATCACCTGACATGGCAGATATTATTTTCCTCTTATTTTATTCAATGGAATATCAGCCCCACAAGGGCAATGACTGTGTGGTGTGTGTGTGTGTGTGTGTGTGTGTGTGTGCATGTGTGTGTTTACTGTTGAACTCCAAGTAGTGGCACATAGTAGGCATTCAATAAATATTTGTTGCATGAACAAAATAAATATTCGAACTGTTTAGAAATAATAACCTGTGACTGTGGCAGATTGTCCTTTTTTAAAAATGGCCATAACAACGTCTCCCATCCCACATATTCTTTTTACAATGTGGCTCAGACACTTCTCCCATCAGAGGCAGGGTCAACATTTCATCCTCTTGAATCTGAGGGACAGAAGTGACACCATGTGCTTTCAGAGTTAGGTCATATAAATCAATACATTCTCCACTAGGTTCTCTTGAGATACTGAGATACTTGTACTTAGAACACAGACACCATGTAGTAAGAAAGTCCAACCCACCCAGAAGGAGGCCCATAGCCATGGCGGAGTCCTCAAGTAACAGCATCAATTGACCAGCCTTGTGAGTGGCCCTCCTAAAACCCAATTGTTTAGCTCCAATCAAGCCACCCCAGGTTATGCTGGTTGAGCTGTCCTCGCCAAGGGAAGAGCTGTCCTTGCCAAGCACTGGCAGCATTTCAGGTTTATGAGCAAAATAATTTATTGTTATTATTTTAAGGTGCTACATTTGGAGTTTTTTTATACAGGTCATTAAGACACAATTTGATTGTTAGTGAGGGAAGTACAATGAATGCAAATCATCAGTATTACACACACACACACCTCAAAATGAGCACTGATATGACACCACAAGTGGAAAATTTACATTAACCTCATGCGATGGGTTGCAGTTAAAACTTGGTTTCATGCACGAAATAATTACATGTGCTGTACAAAATTACCTTCAGGCCATGTGTATAAGGTATATATAAAACATAAATGCATTTTATATTTAGATTTGGGTCTTGTCCCCAAGATATTTCGTTATGCATATGCAAATATTCCAAATTCTGAAAAACTTTGAAATCTGTAATACTTTTTGTTGCAAGCATTTTGGATTAGAAAATACTCAACTGTATTCAGAAATCTAGCTTCAGTGTTATATATGGGCTTATATAGTCAGTGCTTTTTATTCACATTTATATCTACATTTCTATAAATGAAAACATAAATGCCTAGTTGTAGATGTGTCTTATATAGTGAACACACACATACATAAAAATATTACTTACAAAATGGTGCAGCTTCTATGAAAAACAATATGACAGTTCCTCAAAAATTTAAAAGTGGAATTACCATATGGTCCACCAATTCAATTTATGGATATATACTCAAAAAATTGAAAGCATGGAGATGAATAGATATATATATACAACCATGTTCATAGCAATATATTCACAATAACCAAAAGATAATAGCCAAAATGCACTAGCAACCCAAGTATACATTACAGATATGTGCATAAACAAAGTGTAGTATATACATAGTGGAATATTATTCAGCCTTAAAAAGGAAGGAAATTCTGACACATGGTCCGACGTACATGAACCTCAAAGACATTATACTAAGTGAAATATGCCAGCAATGAAAGGACAAACACTGAAAGAATGCACTCATATGAAGTACTCTGACTAGTCAAAATCATACAGACATAAAGTAGAATTGTGAATTCCATGGGCTGAGGGTAGGGAGGAATGAGGACTTATTATTTAACTGGTACAGTGTTTCAGTTTTGCAAGAGGAGAATTTCTGGAGATGGATAATAGGAATAGTTGCACAACAATGTGAATGTACTTAATGCCACTGAACTGTACGCTTAAAATGGTAAACTTTGCTATGCATATTTTATGCAATTAAAAAATATTGAATGCAAACACAACATATCTGTAGTGTTGTGTCCACTTCCTGTATGGTAAATATTTATACACATATCTCTAATATGATAAACATAGTCACACCTATCTTTAGTATTTTATATATCACATACTTTCAACATTAAATATAAATTCATATGGATATTTTCAGTGTTAACAAGTAGGACTCACAACTGTATTTTATAATATAATATTTACTCACAAATATTTTATGGATATACCTGTATATCACGGGATATATTCACACCTATGTTGTAATGTATTATATATAATGTATTTTCATTGTATACATAAAATATTTTGTATCACTGTATATTGAATATTTACATAATATATATACATACAACACACACATTACATATAAAATATCCACACACCATTTTCATACATCCACATAGAATTTCTGTATGTTGTAAAAATGCCCATATACATCTGTAGAATGGCAATGTAATATATATGTTGACAATTTTCTTACGTTTGGACACATATGGTCTCTGAAATATTTGATAAATGCATGAAGCTTCATATACGTGTGTATATATATGTGTGTGCATATATATATTTATATATATCTCACACAACTTTGCCTACATTTGCAGTTCTGTAACACATTTTTGGCAATCACACATTGCCAGACTATGCTAAGTTCAGCATAGTCATTCTCCAAAAGTGGACACACACACACACACACACACACAACACATACACACATATCCCCTATTGAATACACAAAATAGAGTTCTGCACACAAACAGCCACATTTCTAGTGTTGTATGTACACTTGCAGTTCCAGTGTTGTTCACACATACATGGGTATTTCTTTAGTGTTGGATATACACATATGAATCCTCAGAGTTTTTCCTACATATAACACATACATGCACACATACCCAGGAATGTATACACATTCCCTGTATATCCATAAATTTTTGGAAATGCATATGCATATACATCTCTCATGTTATACACAAATTCACACCAATATCCTCTATAACATATATACACAGTCATCTCCAGGCTTTTATACACACACAAATACACAGGTAACTAATCTCATATACACACAGACGGGCTGTGTCATGAAACTCTTTTCCTCCTGTGATTTGTGGTATCAGCCTCATTACTTTATAATCTTAACTTGTGTACATATAAATTTTTTTGCCCTGCAGAAAAGGTTTTAATTTAATCAAAACCTTGGAGATTAAATAATTAAACCTGTCACCATCCACAGTTTTCATTGCTAATTAGTCATGGTGAGGTGCCATTTTCATAGGATGCAGAGTTCCTAAATTTAGCAGCGGAATATTACATTGATCACACACAAAAACAGCCTCGAGTCTCTGGGGATCAACTGCACGTCAGCGAGTGCGTTGTGGTTGAGTCCACCCTTCACCTATTAAGGGGGTGCTCCTGGAATTGTCGGGAACAATCTGCTTGTTCTCTGGCTGCACATAGCAACCAAAAAAAAAAAAAAAAAAATCTGCCATCCTTAACCCTTTGAGGGTCTCACACTAGCAACTTGGAGAAAGATGATTCTCTTGATTAGCTCTGGGCTGCTTGCCTGTCTCCTTTGCTAAACTAAAGAGCCCGTGTCCTGCAGAAAGACAGCTGTTTCTCTGTCCACAAGCACAGGCTCTCTTGCCTCCCTTTCTCGTAAGATGGAGAAAGGGAAATAACTAAGCATGTTTCCTTCTCAGTGGATCAGGTTAGGTGATTCTTTTTGCTCTTCTTCGAGGAAAGAATAAGTAAAATGCATAATGTGAGGCTTTCAAACATCCTAACTGCTGTATTGGTGTGTATGCATATTCTGAGCCTGAAGAAAGGTCTTCTAAACATCAATATTAATTAACACAGTCTCAAAATTCCTCCGAATGCTCTTTAATTGGGGTTCACCCTAGAGGTGTGCATCCTCCTGTACCTGAACGAGGGAGGGCTTTGGGGACAAGCAGACACAGAATTAAAACCAGTTTTGTTACTTAACCAGAACCATGATCTCTTAATTTTTATTCTAGCTAAAACCTGCTTTCTCATTTGTAAAACAGGATGTTATCAGCATAAAGTAGGTTTCCACTGATAGTTTATTCTGTTCCCCTTACAACCATGGTGTGTTGGAGAAATGCCTTTCTTTGATATTTTCTCAAGTGTTTCTACCTCATTGAGATGGAGAAATTTAACTCTATTCCCTGACTGCCATCAACACCATTTAGTAATAGAAAGGGCTCTTCAGTGCACGGGGTAATTGGGAATAGTGACAACAGTTGAGCCACCAATCATAGCTTAGGTTCATAAATTAAAGTTTGTAGGTGTCTTAATTTATCTTGTGGATAATAGCTACTGAAGATATTTTAAAAACTAGATATTTCTGGATGTCAATGAGGTATTAACACATAAGAGAGGAGACATTTTTTATGTTATTTTCTTCTGTTGCTAGATACCAGAAGCATCATGGGAGTGGTGGCGTAAGGATACTGAGAGTAGATAGAGAAGGCACTAAACTCAGAGAGAGGCTAGAAAGGTGGAAGTGGTATTAGTTATTCCCTGTGTTTTCTCCTCTCACATTCTTTTGCAATATGTCTGCTTTTGAGTGTGATGGTGTTGCACACTTCCTAGGTACTCAAACCTCCATGCTTAGCATTCCCATGGCACTGATCAGTTGTATATATTTTCCCCACTTTTCCTACAGTAGAAGTCATTCAGTGAGCTGCTCTCTCACCTTCTGGTAAAACCCATTAATGCTTCCATATGAATGATTGCAGTCGACTACGTGCCAGGCAGTATTCTAAGCCCTGGGCCTAAAACAGTGAGCAAGATATTTAAGGGTCTTGACCTTATGCAACTTTCATCCAAGTCAGAGGGAAGTAGAATATAGACATTAATAAGATAATGCTAGAGAGTTGTAAGTTGCTACTAAGAAACGAAATAGGCTGGGCATGGTAGCTCACACCTGCAATCCCAGCATTTGGGGAGGCCGAGGTGAGAGGATCACAAGGTGAAGAGCTCAAGACCAGCCTGACCAACATGGTGAAACCACTTCCCCACCACCCCCCACCCCCAGTCACTACTAAAAATACAAAAAAATTAACCATGAGTGGTGGCACACACATGTAATCCCAGCTACTCAGGAGGCTGAGGCAGGAGAGTCGCAGTGAGCCAAGATTGTGTCACTGCACTCCAGCACTCCAGTCTAGGAGGCAGAGAGAGACTGTCAATAAAAACAAAAACAAAACAAAACAAAAAAAACCGAAATACTAAAATGAGTAAGTGAGATCGGGAGGCAGTCAGAGGCTGGATCATGTGGGATTTACGGTATTGTAGGCCATAGCAAGAACACACTTTTTTTTTTTTTTTTTTTTTTTTGAGATGGAGTGTCACTCTGTCACCCAGGCTGGAGTGCAGTGACATGATCTTGGCTCACTGCAACCTCTGCCTCCCGAGTTCAAATGATTCTTCTGCCTCAGCCTCTTGAGTAGCTGGGACTACAGGCACGTGTCACCACAACTGGCTAATTTTTTGTATTTTGAGTAGAGATGGGGTTTCACCGTGTTAGCCAGGATGGTCTCGATCTCCTGACATCACGATCAGCCCGTCTCAGCTTCTCAAAGTGCTGGGATTACAGGCGTGAGCCACTGCGCCCGGCCAAACACACATTTTATTCTAAATGGCATAGGGTCCTCACTGTAGGCTATAAACAGAGTAGTAATGTTGTGAACCAATTTGCATTTTTAAAGGATCAAACAGAGACTACATGGAACACTGAGAGTAAAGGGATAACATTATATCTAACAACAAAAAGGGCAATTTAAAAAAGCATATCGGAAAGGGATATGGAATGACATTGGACATTGAGGTATCATTGGAAATGGAAATTTGGAACCAGAGTGTTATCCAAGTAAACTATTAAGGAATAAATGGATAATCCACTTCTAAGAACTAGAAGTTGATTCTGATAACACAGATAATTCTTACGTTTATAGAGAAGAAGAGACAGAAAGAGGTGGGGCCAAGATGGCCAAATAAAAGCAGCGGCCTTCGGAGGCTCCCATTGAAAAAGATCCTAATAAGCACGTGAATCCTTCACTGACAACAAAGGTATCCAGGTTCTCTCTTCAAAATTGACTAGAAGGCTGGCATGACCCACGGAGAGAAGGAAGAACAGTATGGTGCGGTGGCCCACCGGAGAGTCACACAGGGCAGGGAAAGTCCCTAGGGGACTTTCCCCAGCCAAAAGAGGCAGTGACTGAGCATGCTAACCAGGCAGGGAAACTGTGCTTTTTCCACAGAACTCCACAACCCAAAGATCAAAAGATCCCACTTGCAAACCTAGCATCCCAACACCAGAACCCGCAGATTCTTACAGCCTCTCAGCTAGAATCTGCATAAGCCTAGGGAAATCCCAGAAGCAGGGGCATCCAGTATCGGACTGCAGCTTCCTGCTGTCTAAGTGATTTGAGCTCCTTGGGGGAGGGGCAGCAGCCAGCACTGGGACTAGCAACTGCCTAACAGGCTAAGCTCCCTGGGTTGGGGAAGGGTGGCACATATCTCTACAGCTCTAGGCTGTGCTTTTCCCCAGCTGGAGCCAAAGAGGCTGGATGGCTTAGTCCAAAGACTTGTCTCCCACAGCCCAACGCACTGGCTGTGGCAGTCTGTGGCCAGAGTGACTCTTCAGGCCTGACCCTGACCCATCCTTCCTCACTGGGTGGGGCTTTCCCTGCAGGAACGCCAATAACTCCAGCCAGAAGCTCAGGGACAGTACCTGGATCTTCCTGGGCCTGAGCCCCTGGTGGGAGGGGAGGCCACAGTCTGCAGACCAGCAGATTTAGCCTTTCCTCCTGGTAGTTCTGATGAATCCGGGCAGCCCAGACGATTGGGTTTCCCCCCAACAAAGCACACCCCCTCCACCAAGAGACAAAGTGCTTCATTAAATGGGTCCTGTTCCCCGTGCCACCAAACTGGGTGAGACCCTCCAACAGAGGTTGTCAGATAATCTATACAGCAGTGATCCTACTGGTATCAGTTTGGTTCCCTTTAGGTCAGAGGTCCCAGAAGAAGGAGCAGGCACCCATGTTTGTTGTTCTCCAGGCTTTTTGAGTGACATCTCCATGCACAGGAGTGAATCAGATGAATAGAGCCTGAAGTGAACACCCAGCAAACTGCAGCAGCTAGGTAAGAGGGACCTGACCATTGGAAGACAAACAAGCAGAAAGCAACAACAACAGGATCAACAACAACAACACAAAAGCCCTCAGAGAAACCCCATCTGAGGGTAAGCAGCCTCAAAGACTGAAACTAGACAAACTCACAAGGATAAGAAAGAATCAACAAAAAAATGCAGAAAACCCAAAAGGCCAGAGTGCCTCTTCTCCTCCTCATGATTGCAGTGTCTCCACATCAAGGGAGCAGAACTGGACGGAGGATCAGATGGATGGATTGACAGAGTAGGCTTCAGAAGATGGGTAATAGAAAACTATGCTGAGCTAAAAGAGCATGTTATAACCCAATGCAAAGAAACTAATAGCCTTGATAAAAGGTTAGAGGAATTGCTAACTATTATAACCACTTTAGGGAGGAACATAAATGACCTGACGGAGCTGAAAAACACAGCACGAGAACTTCATGAATCATACCCAAGTATCAATAGCCAAATCAACCAAGCAGAAGAAAAGGTATCAGAGTTTGAAGATCACTATGCTGAAATAAGGCATGCAGACAAGAATAGAGAAAAAAGAATAAAAAGGAATGAACAAAGTCTCCAAGAAATATGTGACTTCATATAAAGACTGAACCTACAATTGATTGGAGTACCAGAAGGAGACAGGGAGAATGGAAACAATCTGGAGAACACACTTCAGGATATTATCCAGGAGAACTTCCCCAACCTAGAAAGACAGGCCAACGTGCAAATTCAGGAAATGCAGGGAACACCATTAAGATACTCCGTGAGAACATCAACCCAAGACACATAATCATCAGATTCTCCAAGGTCAAAATGAAGGAAAAACTGTTAAGGGCAGCCAGAGAGAAAGGCCAGGTCACTTACAAAGGGAAGCCGATCAGACTAACAGCAGACCTCTCAGAAAGAACTCTACAAGCCAGAAGAGATTGAGGGCCAATAGTCAACATTCTTAAAGAAAAGAATTTCCAATCTAGAATTTCATATCCAGCCAAACTAAGCTTCATAAGTGAAGGAGAAATAAAATCCTTTCCAGACAAACAAATGCTGAGGAATTTCGTTACCACCAGGCCTGCCCTGCAACAGCTTTTGAAAGAAGGACTAAATATGGAAAAGAACAACCAGTACTAGCCACTGCAAAAACACACCAAAATATAAAGACCAATGACACTGCGAAGAAATTGCATCAACTAATGTGGAAAATAACCAAATAGCATCATGATGACAGGATGAAACTAACACGTAACAACACTAACTTTAAGTGTAAATTGGCTAAATGCCCCAATTAAAAGACAGACTGGCAAACTGGATAAAGAGTCAAGACCCATCGGTGTACTATATTCAGGAGACCCATCTTACATGCAAAGACACACATAGGCTCAAATTAAAGGGATGGAAGAAAATTTACCAAGCAAATGGAAAGAAAAAAAAAAAAGTAGGGGTTGCAATCCTAGTCTCTGACAAAACAGACTATAAACCAAAAAAGATCAAAAAAGACAAAGAAGGGCATTACATAATGCTAAAGGGAACAATTCAACAAGAAGAGCCAACTATTCTAAATATATATGCACCCAATACAGGAGGACCTACATTTATAAAACAAGTTCTTAGAGACCTGTAAAGAGACTTAGACTTCCACGCAATAATAGTGGGAGACTTTAACACCCCACTGTCAGTATTAGACAGATCAACAAGACAGAAAATGAACAAGGATATTCAGGACTTGAATTCAGCTCTGGATCAAGTGGACGTAGTAGACGTCTACAGAACTCTCTATCCCAAATCAAAAGAATATACATTCTTCTCAGTGGCACATGTCACTCATTCTAAAATTGACCACATAATTGGAAGCAAAACACTCCTTAGCAAATGCAAAAGAACTGAAATGATAAGAAAGAGTCTCTCAGACCATAGTGCAATCAAATTAGAACTCATGATTAAGAAACTCACTCAAAACCACACAATTACATGGAAATTGAACAACCTCCTCCTGAATGACTCCTGGGTAAATAATGAAATTAAGGCAGAGATAAAAAAGTTCTTTGAAACCAATGAGAACAAAGAGACAATGTACCAGAATCTCTGGGACACAGCTAAAACAGTGTTAAGAGGGAAATGTGTAGCACTAAATGCCCACATCAGAAAGCAGGAAAAATTTCAAATTGACAACCTAACATCACAATTAAAAGAGGTAGAGAGGCATGAGCAAACTAATCCAAAGCTAACAGAAGACAAGAAATAACTAAGAACAGAAAAGAAGTGAGGGAGATAAAGACATGAAAAACCCTCTAAAAAAAAAATCAATGATTCCAGGAGCTTTTTTTTTTCTGAAAAAATTAATAAAATAGATAGACCACAGATAGACTAATAGAGGAGAAGAGACAGAAGAATCAAATAGACAAAATAAAAAATGATAAAGGGGATATCACCAATGGCCCCAGAGAAATATAAACTACTATCAGATAATACTGTAAACAACCTCTACGGAAATAAACTAGAAAATCTAGAAGAAATTGATAAATTTCTGGACACATACAGCCTCCCAAGACTGAACTGGGAAGAAATCAAATCCCTGAATAGAGCAATAACAAGTTCTGAAATTGAGGCAGTAATTTATAGCCTACCAACAAATAAAAGCCCAGAACCAGATGGATTCATAGCTGAATTCTATCAGAAATTCAAAGAGGAGCTGGTACCATTTCTTCTGAAACTATTCCAAACAACTGAAAAGGAGGGACTCCTCCATAACTCATTTTATGAAGCCATGATCATCCTGATACCAAAACCAGGCAAAGACACACAAAACAAGAAAACTTTAGGCCAGTATCCCTGATGAACATCTATGAGAAAATTCTCAATAAAATACTACCAAACCAAATCCAGCAGCACATCAAAAAATGTATCTACCATGATCAAGTCGACTTCATCCCTGGGATGTAAGGCTTGTCCAACATGGGCAAATCAATAAACATAATCCACCACATAAACAGAACCAAAGACAAAAACCACATGATTATCTCAATAGATGTGGAAAAAGCCTTTGATAAAACTCAACGTCCCCTCATGTTAAAAACTCTCAATAAACTAGGTATTGATGGAACATATCTCAAAATAATAGGAGCTATTTATGACAAACTCATAGCCAATATCATTGAATGGGCAAAAGCTGGAAGTATTCCCTTTGAAAACTGTTACAAGACAAAGATGCCCTTTCTCACCACTCCTTTTCAACACAGTATTGGAAGTTCTGGCTAGGGCAATCAGGAAAGAGAAAGAAATAAAATTAACCAACATGATTTTATATTTAGAAAACCCCATCATCTCAGCCCCAAAACTCCTTGAACTGATAAGCAACCTCAGCAAAGTCTCAGGATACAAAATCAATGTGCAAAAATCACAAGCATTCCTTTATACCAACAATAGGCAACTAGAGAGCCAAATCTTGAATGAACTCCCATTCACCATCACTACAAAGAGAATAAAATACCTAGGAATACAGCTAACAAGGGATGTGAAGGACTTCTTCAAGAAAAACTACTAACCACTGCTCAAGGAAATAAGAGAGGACACAAACAAATGGAAAAGCACTCCATCCTCATGGATAGGAAGAATCAATATTGTGAAAATGGCCATACTGCCCAAAGTAACTTATAGATTCAATTCCATTCCCATCAAACTACCATTGACATTCTTCACAGAATTAGAAAAAAAAAACTATTATAAATTTCATGTGTAATCAAAGATGACCCCATATAGCCAAAAAAAACCTAAGCAAAAAGAACAAAGCTGGAGGCATCACGTTACCTGACTTCAAACTATACTACAAGGCTACAGTAACCAAAACAGCATGGTACTAGTACCAAAACAGACACATAGACCAATGGAGAAGAACAGAGACCTCAGAAATACCACTACACATCTACAACCATCTGATCTTCAACAAACCTGACAAAAACAAGCAATGGGAAAAGGATCTCCTATTTAAAATAGTGCTGGGATAACTGGCTAGCCATACGCAGGAAACTGAAACTGGATCCCTTCCTCACACTTTATATAAAAATTATCTCAAGATGGATTAAAGACTTAGATGTAAAACTCAAACCAATAACAACTCTAGAAGATAACCTAGGCAGTACCATTCAGGACATAGGCACAGGCAAAGACTTCATGACTAAAACACTGAAAGCAATTGCAACAAAAGCCAAAATTGACAAATGGGATCTAATTAATCTAAAGAGCTTCCGCACAGCAAAAGAAACTATCATCAGAGTAACACAACCCACAGAATGGGAGAACATTTTTGCAATCTATCCATCTGACAAAGGTCTAATATCCAGAATTTGCAAGGAATTTAAACATATTTGCAAAAAAAAACATCGAAAAGTGGGCAAAGGTTATGAACAGACATTTCTCACAAGATGACATTTTTGTGGCCAACAAACATGAGAAAAAAAAACCTCAACATCACTGATCATCAGAGAAATGCAAATCAGAACCACAATGAGATGCCATCTCATGCCAGTCAGAATGGTGATTATTACAAAGCTAAGAAGCAATAGATGCTGATGAGGCTGTGGAGAAATAGGAATGCTTTTACACTGTTGATGAAAATGTAAATTAGTTCAACCACTGGGGAAGATAGTAAGGAGATTCCTCAAGGATCTAGAAGCAGAAATACCATTTGACCCAGCAATCCCATTACTGGGTATACACCCAAAGGATGATACATTATTCTACTATAAAGACACATGCACATGTATGTTTATTGCAGTATTATTTAATGATAGCAAAGACTTGGAACCAACCCAAATGCCCATCAATGATAGACTGGATAAAGAAAATGTGGTATAAATACCACCATGGAATACTATGCAGCCATAAAAAGGAATGAGATCATGTTCTTTGCTGGGACATGGATGAAGCTGGAAGCCATCATCGTAAGCAAACTAACACAGGAACAGAAAAACAAACAACACATGTTCTCGCTCATAAGTGGGAGTTGAACAATGAGAACACATGGACACAGAGAGGAATGACACACACCAGGGCCTGTTGGGGGGTGGGGGGCAAGGGGAGGGAACTTAGAGGATGGGTCAATAGGTTCAGCAGACCATCATGGCATGTGTATACTTATGTAACAACCCTGCACGTTCTGCACATGTATCCCGCATTTTTTTACAAGAAATGAAACAATAAAGAAAAAAACATATTCAGAGAAATAGATTCCTAATGGTGAGATATTTGACAAAGTGAGATGTCTATGGAGTAGATATCTGGAAACAAAGAAGCCCTCTTACAGCCACAGAAATAATATGTGATAGTCAACTTTCTTTTGACTAAACTCATTGAAGAGGCCGTACACAAGGAAGAGGCAGACATGTTTTCTCTTTTGGAACCTGTCTACTTATCTCTGGTGAAGGAACAGTACTCTTCCCACCTTCCATTTTAGGGCTGGTCTATATAATTTGGTATGTATGGGAGAAGGTAGCAGACTGGGTTTTTTCTTTTGACTATTAGTTTTCCCTTCTTAACAGAGTACACTGTATTGAGAGATAGAACAGACACAAATCGGATGTCTGTTGAGATATAAGTAAAGGAATCTGTTTAATATAGTTAAGTTAAAGTCTCAGAAGATGGTAGTAATGTTGGGGTGTTTTTGAAGAGTTGTTAAAAAACACTTTAATTATTCATATTCATCAACTTGTTTATTCACTCTGAAGTCATACATTGTGCTCCTACTCTAGGTTGAACATGTGTAGACAATGAGAATTCAGAAATGAACATGGCACAGTCCTTACTCTTACGGGGATCACACTTTGGTAGGAAGATGTAAAGTAGAGATTAACATTGCCAGAGAATGGTGTGGGACTTTGTCCCTGGCTCACGAAAGTAAACCTAAAATAGTCTTCATCATAAGCATATCTTTGTTTAACTGGAGGCCTTGGGCCATGCCAGATAGCCTATGCTAACAATGTGATTTGTGACAATGGGCCTTGGGCCACATTGTATCAGCTCCATCTCTGAATGGGCTGGAGACTAAGATCAGTCATGAGGGTGGTCATCTGTGTCTACATGGCTGATTCACAATAAAAACTGTGGACTGAAGGCTCAGTTGAGCTTCCTGTTTGGCAATACTCTATGCAGGGAGAAGTCAGTGCTCTTTGCACAACCCCAGTAAAGAACAACTAGAAGCTTGTGCTTGGAATTCTCCTGTACACTGCCCCATGTGCTTTTCTTGCTGCTAATTATAATCTGTATTATTTTATTGTAATAAATCCTAATATTATGATGAATTTTCTGAGTTCTGTGAGTCTTTCTAGCAGATCATGGAACCTGAGAGTGATCTTGGGGACCTGCAGAACCCTCAAAAGAACAGGCATATAAATGGCTGATTATAGGGCAGTTATTAACACAGCAATAAGTACATTCCCTGGTTCTATAGGGTGCAAAGCAAGGGCACAAACCTAATCTTAATGGTCTGAGGGAAATTTATTAGAACAAGGAAAATACAAAGTGAATCTTTAATATGAGTAAGGAAGAGGAAACGTTATTCTAGACAGAAGGAAAAACAAAAGCAATGTTGGGGAGGAAAGATGGAAACCTGGGAAATTGCAAATAGTTTTAGATAATTGAATAAATTGATATGAGATATAATGAGAGATGAGAAAAGAATGAGAGAAGGCAATAGTAGAGATCTTTGACATCTCTTGTCCCACATGTGATAGGAAGGTATTCATTATAGGATGTTATGAATGGAAGTAGCACATTCTGATATCATTTCAGATGGATCATTCCTAGCAATGGTGGGAAGTAAAGATTTGACACAAAGAGATCACAAAAGAGGATACCATAATACTTTAAGTTAGAATGATGAGGGTTTTGATAAAGACCATGGTCCTGGGGTAGAAAAGAGGCAATGGATTCAGGAAACACTGAAGATAAGAAAGCAACACATCTTAAGATCTAAGTAGATATGGAGATAAAAAGGAAGGCTAATCTATGATAAAATCTTTATGTTGGGCTTGGGCTATTGGGTAGAGGATGCAGATACTATTTTCTGAGATAGAAAATGCGTAGGAAAAGCATGTTTCAGAGGAAGGAGATGTTCTACTTTGGAAGCGTTAAATGTTAAGCACCAATGGTCTGTCAAGTAGAAATCTTTAGTGACACTTACGTGTACAGATAAGGAATTTAGACAAGTGGTCTAACCTGCAGAGCACATCAAAGCAATGTTGACCTCAAAAAACATTTTCAAAGTTCCATTTCAAAGAATAATTAAATAACAGGTCTTCAGCATTAGAAATCAAACATCTCTGTTAAAAATGACTGTGGAGTGTGTAGAAAGCAGTTACTTGAAATGTGCAATATATTGTAAGCATTAATATGGTATATCTCAACTCTAAAAAAAGAAGTTAGCAGATTTTTAAAAAACTATGTTCATAAGTGTAACATATGAGAGAATAAGGATGACTCAGGAAAGATTATTCCCCATACCTAGCAAAGCAAAATTCGCACTGTAGTTTCTGCTGGAGTAAAAGTTATCTCACTGTCCTACCCCATCTCTTCCAATGCCAATGAATTTCTTCCCTGAAATTCTAGCAAATTCCCATTTAGTGAACAAGTATGGTATAGTGAAAAGAGAGCAGTTCTTGAGTCAGGAGGCCTAGGTATTAGCATTAGCTGTCAGATGTGAAGTTGCAAGAAGTGAAAGGCCTTTCTCTGTAAGTACCAGATATTTATATCATAGGAATTGAAATTTGGATCTTCAAGGAATAATTCTTACTGATTAATTAATTCAAATAACCCAGAACTTCTGGACTTCCCATGTTATGCATTATAATTATATAATCTATGATTTGACCATGGGCAGTGCTGCTTTTCCTTATCCTATCACATTTTGTATATTTGATTATCTGAACTTAATATGTGATTTCATTTGAATCTTGGGGACAATGCCCAAACTCTGACTCTTCTTCCCCTGCTTTAGGATTTCTCAATCAACTATAGTACTCATGGAAACCTTATCCCTTATGAGATCTGGTCAGTATGCCAGTTGAAGCACTCTCTTCCTATGTGACCTGGGGTAAATTACATTGCCTTCCTTAAATGTTTCTCATCAGAAAGAGATTTGGACCAGAATTATTGAGATCTCTTCCAGTTCTATCATTTTATGAGTCCATGACACGGGCAATAACATTTGAGCTGACACTTAAAAGATAAATTTGAGTTTTGCCAGAGAGAAAAGGAATACAATAATTTTGAATAGAGAAGTATTAGGTTGATATGATGTAAATAGTATATACATGATGGTGTAAATAAGAGCTAGTGGTACTGAATTACAGAACCTAAATAAAGGATGAGTGTGAGATGAATGGAGACATGAGGGACTTGGCCAAAAGTAGAATATGAAACCCTCTAATCATCAAAGATCCAGATAGGAACCTGATTTCCCATACCAATCAATAGTCAGAAGTCCAAGGGATCAAGGCCAAGAATTGCACTAAAGAAAGACACCCTAATATATTTCACACCACTTAGAGTTCAGTGGTCAATTCAACCTGAAAAACAGGCATTTAATGTATTCCACCTGAAAATGCAGAATGCATTTTACCATTTTAAAGATAACAGAATTTCTGCAGTAAAAAACCCATAGCTTTGTTTAGCTCAGCATTTCCCAAATTATTTAGCCTTATAATACCTCTTCTCTATTTATTTGCATTTCACCAACTAATACACTAGGGCATGTCCTCTTTTGGTGTGGTGGAAATCTGAAGTTTAGGATCTAGGGCATTTGAAATGTCAGGAAATGTAATTAAGTATCAGGTGCTAAGGCAGAGAAGGGTCATTGCCTTGTTGTTCAGGGCTTTCTCTCAAAGGAAAACTCTTAAAGATGGGAACCCACCCAAGTGAATACTTCCCAAAAGAGCCTCTGATTCTATATCCTCTTTCCTTATATCTTCCAGGTTAGGGATGTAGTGGCAGTTCAGTGTCCTAGAATAGGAAGTGGCATCAGCTGTTTAAAGAAAGGGCTTATTGAGTATAAAGTGGCAGGTGGAGTCCTGATAAATACATTTCAAGCTACTTTAGGCAGACCACACAAAATAGCTGCTTTTTAAAAGTTTTAAAGTTTGCTGGCCTTTCTCTGTGCGATGTACTAACATAACAGGTTTGACTCACCAGGAGATGACGCAAACAGCACTGGGAGTTTAAAAAGGCACTGCTTAACCTTGCTAAGAAATGCTGGTTTTAAGAACAGGTGGAATATTGCTTTCTGATCCTCGACCATCAGCCCAGCAAGGACGAGAGATGTTTTGATGAAGAACAACAACAAAAAAATACTTCATTGGGCAAATAAATCTGGTGAATATTGACAGCACTGAGGAAAACAACTTGACTTAAAATAATCCTTTTGTATGTAAGTAAAGGTGGCACCATAACTGAAGGAATCTGGAGATGCATATTGTATGAAGAGACCATTTCAAAGCATCTTTTCCCATTGACATTTTAAAGAAATATTTTTAATCTGCTCTTGTAAAATCTAGTACTCATCCTTTATCACCAACAACTGAAACAACAGGTTGAAGTTGCACATTATCAATCTGGTGACTCAAACATGAATAGGACTTACTTCTATGTGTTGAATGAAGTGCTTGAGGTAAGAAACAAAGATAATAATGACCTTTGAGGGCAAATACTGAACTAACTATTGGAAAGGGGGAAGTGTAGGTTGTAAAAAGATAAACACAATGCCATAGATTTATTGAAAAATAATAATTTCACAATGCCCTACTATGTGCAGAGCACCTGGGCAGATTTAAAGAAAATGAAGTAGTAGAGAATTTAGTTTCTGTGGTTTCAGTCAAAGCTGATTTCCTCAAGAAGAAGAAATCCACTTGAGCTAGGTCAAATAATGGGGTTCCATTGACTGGAACACAGAAGAATGATATATAACACCAAGGACAGAAAACAAAGTACAAATCAGCCTTCTGGAAACAGGAAACTGTTAGGAACAAAAGAAACACCTCTCTGTGTGGCTAAAATTTATCTTTATGCACCTATGTCATAGTCTTCATTCTCCTATAAAAACGGGTAGCACATGACTTTGCCTTGTAATGGTGCTGGTTCCAGCTTTGGCTTCATACAAACATTAGGTCAGAGGAAAATGCATCACAGTCTTTCATTTGAAATTCTCTCTTCAGAGAAAAGATGATGGTTTCCGGACAGAAAATAGACTGAAGGACTTTGGGCACGGTGCCTATCTGTTTCCAGACAGCAGGGGCTGAATTGCAAATGTGCCTGGTTTGGTCTCTAATGTGTATCCCTGGTCTCTCTCTGGACTATGAAAGGACTAGGTCTTTAGAAAGAGATGTAGTTGGGGCCACTGAATATGACCATTGAATATGTCTATTATACTGATCCTTAGAAAGCTTATATTCACATCAGAAAAGAAGACAAAAATAGCAGGGAAATAGATGTTAACTACTAGGTAACACAGATAATAACACCCTATGGGATATGAGCTATACTTCAAGAAGGATCTGACTTTGGATTTGGAGAACAGGAGGCGTTAAACAGATACAGAAAAATGAAAGGGAGAGTATTTTGGAGACAGGAAATAATATGAGACTAGTCATATATCAATACTAATGAACAAAGAGTCTTAAGAGAAGGTATTGTTTCATTTAGGTAAAGCAAAACTTTTTTAGAACTTTGTCTTTTCTGGATAATGCAATATACATTATAAATATTACATCAATTCAAAAGTATTTCTTGAGCATCTGCTTTGTGCCAGATACCATTCTAGGGACTAAAAACACATGAGCAAAACAAAGTCTTCTCCCCCAGGGACCTTTTATTTTAGCAGAGGGGGATAGAAAATAAAATTATAGTTTTTCAGTGTTGTTAAATGGTATATAATATGATTAGGCTTTGTGTCCCCACCCAAATCCTTTCTTGAATTGAAATCCCCAGGTGTTGAGGGAGAGACCTGGTGGGAGGTGACTGGATCATAGGGGAAGTTCCCCCCATGCTGTTTTTGTGATAGTGAGTGAGTTCTCATGAGATCTGATGGTTTTATAAGTGTTTGGTAGTTCTCTCTTGTTCACTTTCCTCTCTCTCTTGCTGCCATGTGAGAAGGTCCAAGTTTGCTTCCCATTCACCTTCCACCATGATTGTAAGTTTCCTTAGGCCTCCCCAGCCATGTGGAACTGTGAGCCTATTAAACCTCTTTCTTGTATAAATTACCCAGTTTCAGGTATTTCTTTATAGCAGTGTGAAAATGGGCTAATACAGTATATAATGGTTAGTTAAATGAATAATATAAGCATAAGCTTTATCCTGCAAACCATTTTCCTCCAAGATGTAGGAAATCTGATTATATTGGTAATTATTAGTTCAATCCTCACATTTTCACAAACTAGAGAGTATAATCTTTTCTGAAAATTCCAGTTAGAAATAGGTATAACTCTTAATGACCTTACTGGAGTCATATCTATTCCTCTCTTCTCTCTTAAACCAAGCACTGTAGTCAGGAGAATAAGGTGTAATGATTTATGTGTTTATCTCTCTATAGTAGCTATAGTCATGTGGGTGTCTTTCATCCATTTGCTGGATAAAATAGGAGCTTCTGGCTCCCATTTTAGTAGATCCTCTTAATATGAGAATTCTTCCTGGCTCAGCCTTGAGATCCCATCTCATCTCTAGCTATGCTTACTTCATATGCAATTTCATTAAATTTGAGGGTTTTAAATAATGTCTTAATATTGCTGACTCCAAACCTCATCCTATCATGCCAAGCTTGCATTTTCTTTAACTTTTCCAGCTGTTTTATGGACATCTTAAATATGAGTTCAAAACTGCATTCTTGACATACCTCTGTCTCTTCATATAAATAAATGGTCACACTTTCTACTCAAATAACCAGGCAAAATGAAGGCTATTCCTTTGGTTTGTACTTCACTGAATTTTCTCTTCTCCTACCAATTCATTAGCAAATCTGTTAACTGTAACTTCAAAATGTATCTTAAATTTATTCATTTCTCTCCACCTGTAATGCCCCATGTTGTTGAAAGCCACAGTCACCTTTCACTTAGAATATTGTTAAAACCCTGTAATTGTTCCCTCTGTTTCTACTCTTACTTTCCTCTAATTTACTTCCCTCCAACTATAGTCACATCAATGAAGTCATATCATTTTCCTGCTTTGAACATGCCATGGTTTTCCTATGACACTCAGAATGAAATTCAAATCCTTTTGCCTGGTTTTCAAAGCCCCTGCAGCATTTTAGTCGGGTACTGTGTTCAACTGAACACTGATCAGAAGGGAACGTTATTAGAGAAGGAAAGCACAACACCATAAGTTAATAGAAATAAAATAAATAAGTAGATTCATGGTGAAATGTACTCACCTGCAAGTCACTCTAAAAAAAAATTAGGAATTACAGAATGTTTACCTTCTTATGATCTCAGACCCTCAGACGGAGAGGCTGGCCAAATTAGTCTGAGTTATCTTCAAAGGTTGAACTGCTCATGCTCCACATCTTGTTGCTTTGGTGATGAAGTGCCTGTATAATGATATTTATTCAATAAGTAGAAAAGCCACATGCAAATTCAAGGGAGATCAAAGCATGGTCTATGTAGCTACTCTTTGGGGGAAGGTATATGGAAGGGTTTATAGAAGTACTGCACCAAAAAAAAAAAAACAAAACCATGAATGGGAAAATAACGTAGAGAAAACCTAACGCTTTAACAGCACTCACCCTGACCTTAGTCAGATACTGTAAATAAACTTTTTAAGCATCTGTGTTGCCATTCTACTCTTATCTGATCTATTGCTCAATAAAACTACACCTTGGAAGGAGTAGAGTAGGAGTGAGTAATTTTCTCTGATTTTGAATAACATTCAGATTTCACTTCATACCCCTTTGTAGGCGTCCATATAATTTATTGTCCAAATTAGGCCACAATTGAAAGTAAAAAGGGGTACTAAATACATTGCAACAGGTATAAACTGGGTGTATTCAAGGGAAACAGATATATGTATGGTCCCATAATTATTCTCCTCTTTGGTTAATATGTTTAGATGCACTTGTTTTCTTCTGATTCTTCAAAACATCACATTCTTTCTTGTCTTAGGCTATTGTAGTTAACTGTTCCTTTACTTTGAATACTTTTCCTCTAGATTGTTACATAAAAAGCATCTTTTGGACATTTATACCCTAAATCACCCTAATATCACCTTTTAAAATGGTCTTCACTGGCACCCCAATCTAAAGTTTCCTTACGTCATTATCACATATCATATGATGAATTTTTTCATCATATGCATATTATAACTTTATTTTTCGTATGTCCTTTTTGGTTATATCATCCAAAACTTACATTCTAAGTCTCCCAACCAGCTGAATGGACCCCTCCTCTCAGCCAATGGGATTTCAAAGAATCCTAGAAACAACTAGTTCAGGCCATGAGGGGAAGGAAAGCTTGGACATGGCTCATTCTACTTTCCTCCCTTGAATTCAGCCGCAGCTGACCAGTGTTACTACAAAAACAGATATCTTAAGACTGACAAAACAGATTCTTTGCAGCGATAAGATACCAAATTCCAACCTAACTCTAGTATAGCATCATATGACAGATAGCAGGCCCTGATGAAAATTGAAGTATTTTGTACCCAAATATATTTCTTTGGCATGTTTTAAAATGATGCTGAGAAACTATCTCTTGTGGGGAAAATCCACATTCTGTAGAGAATTTCCATTCCTTTCCAGGTCTGTTTCTGATCCTGAAGAGGTTAGCACAGAATGCAGCATCTTTTAAAGGTCTGAATAGAAAAAACTTGCCATATATTGCCTCTGGGGGTGGTCACCTATGATACTTCATATACTTAATAAGAACCTTGGTCTCTACAACCCGTTATCTTAAAGCAGACACTCCTTTCTATTCATTCCAGGTCTGTAGATAATAACTTTCAGGTGTTTCAACCAATTGCCAATCAGAAAATCTTTTAATCCACCTATGACCTATAAGGCTCTTCCCACCCTTTCGAGTTGTCCCACCTTTCTGGACTGAACCAATGCATATCTTACATGTATTAATTGAATTGATTGCTGTCATGTTGCTAATTGAATTGATTGTTGCTAGTTGAATTGATTGTTATCATGTTGTTTTTATATGTTTTCCATATAAAACCAATCTACAACACAACCACCTTGAGCACATGTCTTAGGATCTCCTGGGTCTGTTCATACTGGTCATGGTCCTCACATTTGGCTCAGAATAAATCTCTTCAAATATTTTACAGAGTGTGGCTGTTCTCATTGACAGTTTGTTGAATAGATCTCCAAACTATAAAATAAATTCCTAAGGGCAGTACCCCAGCTGTCAGAAGACTAAGAAGTATTTAATGTTTTGAAATAAATGAGTGAATAATTGAAATTAAGTAGTTACTATCATGTTGGGGTCATATTTAAAACAATCATTTATACTTAGTTCCATAATTTTTAGATTTAGTACCCACACTTTTTTTATACTACAAATTCTTATGATTTTTATTTTTTTAACTATCTCTTCTTTGGCTGAAATTTATCTTGACTATTTTTTTTAAGGAAGAACATGTTTGTCCTCATATTTAGGCCTTGTATGACTTTTTTGCTTTTTATTTCCTTCCTCCATGAAATAAAGTTTAATTGAGTATAGAAACTCTCTGGAGGTTGCTCCATTGTCTTCTGGAGTTTAAATTTAGGGACACAAAGACTTTATTTTTTGGCCCCTCCAATTTTTCTTCCATTGTAAGTAATATGTCCCATTCTCATTTTCATTTTCTAGCCTAAGTGGCTGCAGGCTAATTTCTTTATTCTCGATTTTCAAAATTTTCGCTGGGCCATTTGTAAGCATTGCTTACTTTATATAACCTTTGCAAATGGGTATCTGTGATTTAGAAAGGGTCTTTTTTGGCTCAGAAAATCTTGACTTTATTATACTTTAATTACCATTGATAAAATTTCTGTGAATAACTTTTTTTCTTTAGAATCACACATTATATCAATTCAATTTCTTCACTCTGTTATCCCATTGCCAACTCTCTGTTACATCAGTATTACTTTTCTTACTATTCTTACTCTAGTTAGTATTTTACCTCTTTATTTTAAAGGAACTTCGCTGACTTATTCTTCACATTGTGTTTTTGTTGTTGTTTCCTGCAGTGTAGATTCTGGGCCTTCTATTTTCTAATGTTCATTAAAATCCTGAATTTTCAGCTCCTTTATATTTTCTCTGCATAAGTCTTTTTTATGTTATTACCTTCTATATCTAAGCTAGCTCCTTTTATTTCATATTATCCAATTCTTCAACCTTTATTCAAATGCTATATTTTATTCATAACACACAGTGGAAACATTCTAAAAGGTATGTGTTTTTACAGTAGATATTTCTCAAAACTTATGTCCTTCCCTTGCCTCTTAAGTGCCACCATCATTTCTTCTAGTACAATATATTCAAACCTGGGATATTAACCTAGTGGTCTAAAAAAAGAGGGTGACAGAAACTGAAGTAAAAGTAGAAAGAAAAGACCAGTGACCTGGAAATCTCTGATTAGACAGATTAACTTTGAAGAATTTTGAGGCAATGTGGAGATTTCCAAAACCTTTTTAAAATGAAGTTTCTCTAAGTGTGAGTGAAAATAGTGAAGTTGAAGTAAAAATGGAACAGAAACCTCAGAGTTTCTAGAACAGTGGAGGATCATGAGGAATAAAATAAGTTGTGGATTCTTTAAAGATTTCTCCAAATTCAAATTTCCAGAGTCATGGCAGAGATCTTTGTTCCTGGTGGCCTTAACTTACAAAATAGAAAGTAAAAAAAAAAGTAGACAATGAGGTCATATTCAACAGACGGTAGTGGTAGGATTGCTATCTGGAGATCTCAAGAATCTCCTGTGGGCTGCTAGTTCCAAGAAGTTCAAGTAAGGCGGTGCTTCAATTTTCATTTCAAGGAAACATTCATTAATTGATAATAGATGCACTTTGCCCTGAATAATTTTCCTCTGCATCTTAAAATGCTTCACAACACATATCATACCTTAGAATTTATGGATAGGGATTTAAAATTATTTTTATAAAGCTTCCCAATAGCTGTAGGTAAGTTAAACAACTACTACGTAAGTTTGTTATAATCTTTAGTGGTCACAGTTTAGATTGTACAAACCCTTTTGTTGGTTGTGTTAAGTAATTCATCCAAACAGCATTCCTTCAATAAAAAAAAAAAAATTAAGTGGTTACTGTGAGAGAACTGCTATGCTAGATGCTTTTGAAATGTAAATAGAGATTTCTGCCCATTAGTTGATCACAGTGTATTACAGAAGGTAGGAAAAGCAGGACAGTGTGACTTTTAAACTGCAAGCAATAAATTCCATAGAGACAATGACATTCATCTTCATATTCTTTATAATAATTTGTGCAGTACCTGGAACATAAATAGTACTCTATAAGTGGCAGAATTATATCAATTCCCTTTGTTTAAGCTTGATCTCTAAGGAACTAATGTCAGCTTTTTGAGGCTATAGGATTGATTTTATATTGATATATTTAGTATTTTCCTACTAGCAAATGATTGGGCACACTGGAATTGTTTATTAGGTATCTATTTATGGATTTAATGATATTCCAGGAAATTAATTTCTTTAGGAGATCATTCATATAGCATTCAAAGTAATCTGAGACACTATGTCCGATGAGCACACCTACTAACATAAGCTAAAAACCTTGAAAGAAATGATTAGATAGCTTGCCTTTGCTATTTTCAAATATTCAGCTTAAAGTGAAGGTTCTGTGAGTGTGTGTG
Source organism: Homo sapiens (assembly GCF_000001405.40). NCBI lineage: Eukaryota > Metazoa > Chordata > Mammalia > Primates > Hominidae > Homo > Homo sapiens. The sequence continues at coordinate 29,207,381 of NC_000011.10, read as the reverse complement.
TATGAGTGTGTGTGTGTTGAGAACAAAAAATCGATTTCTTTATCAATGTTCAAGTCAATAACAATACTCTATGTTGTTATTAAACATTGCTATTAAATATAGTTACCAACATATAAGTTAAATGTAGTCAATAATATGTTGTTTTTAAATATAGTCACCCTGATGTACAGTAGATACCTTGAAATTATTTCTCCCATCTAACTGAAATTTTGTGTCCTTTGACCAACATCTCCCCTACCTGCACACCCTCCAGGTTCTGGTGAATGCCATTCTACTCTCGGTTGCTGAGTTTAACTTTTTTAGATTTCACATATAAATGAGATCATGACCACATTTGTCTTTCTGTGCCAAGCTTATTTTGCTTAACATAATGCCCTCCAGTTTTATCTATGTTGTTGCAAATGACCAGATTTCCTTCTTTTAAGTCTGAGTCCTATTCTATTGTGTATGTATACCACATTTTCTGTATCCATTTATCCACTGATGGACACTTAGGTTGGTTTCATATCTTGACCATTATGAACAATGTTGTAATAAATATGGATGTAGATATCTCTTCTACATATTGATTTTGTATCTTTTGAATATATACCTGCTGGTAGGATTGCTGGATCATATGGGAGTTTTTTTTTTAATTTTTTGAGGAACCTCCATACTGTTTTCCATAATGCCTATCCTAATTAATATGAAGGTTTTAATTATTAAAAAGCTATTATGAGAAAAGTAGAAAATACATGAAATAATTATCTTTGGAATGTGAAATCAAAACACCACATTTGGATAAAAGTGTTAGTGCTTTTGCCATTGTTAATTATTGAGAATGTGTTAATGGTGGTGGTGATGAAGCACGTGATGGCAATGATGATTGTGATGTTAATTTAGTGCTAGTGCTAAAATTAACAATAAAAATGATGTGGCAATGTGGACAATGACGAGGTGCTGCTGGTGGATATTACTGGCAATATGGCAAAGATATTTGTGATAATAATAGTACTGGGGAGGTGATTAAATGATGACAGATTATGTAAAGGTGGTGGCAATGGGTGATTGCAATGAGAATAAGGAAGGTGATTAATACAGTAACTATAAAGCTATAGGAGTTGGAAGGGCAAAGTGAACTGGACAATGTTGGTCTTGGTTGTAGCCAGTAGACACTAACAAGTAATAGATGGAGGAATACCATCAATGCCTTGAGGTTAAATAAATCATTGAGAAGTTTGCATAGTCCTAGAATCCAGAAATAACTAAGTTTGAATTACTTGCTAAATAAGCAGTTTCTGCACTAAGACTTGAAAATAAAGTGAAAATAAAAATATGCCACTTCTTGCACATTTGCAATTTTGAAAAATTCTCTGTAAAAAGAATTTCAAAAATTGACAGAAACCTAGAATTAATTCAATTAAGCTTAATTTTTAGCTGAATTAATAGAGAAACAAAGGAGGAAGTGACATACCATTATATCTATCTATGTTTAAAATTTAAACATTACAACAGATATTCATAATTTTAAATCATTATTTGTCTTAAGCAGGTAAAAATGTTCAAATATCTACCTTAAAATTCAATTTAATGAATAATAATACTAACGACAATAAAACTTCCTGAGCACAAAACTGCTGTCTGGAATTGTTCAAGAGCTATGGGAAGACAGAAAATGCATAGCTAAGAAAGACCAAAGATGTTAATATAAAATAAACCCTGTGCACTAAGCTTGCTTTTTAAAGAAACTACTGGCACCACTGAATGAATTTTGATAGAGTGCCTACTATGTTCCCAGCACTGCCCTAGACACATAAAAATATAGACATTAGTAAAAATAAATTTCCTCTAAATGAAATGAGATTAATTTATAAATAAAACCAAGACAGATAATGTATATTAGATTGGAAGTTCTTTGGATTAGGATTAAGATAAAATGTTTGTTTTGGCTATAATCCACCATGAGTCTGTTTATAAAAAGTTCTCAGTTTTCTTATATAGACAATGTATATAAGAGCACTTGACCTGCCTAACTCATAGAGGTGTGTCAGTTTTAAGGAATATTACACATGGACAAATTCTTAGACATTTTAAATCATAGTACAATTTTTAGGAACTAAGTGATAGAAGCTAATTTCTCTTCCCCAAAGTTTGACTCTCTGAATCAGTCCAGGTTCTCCAGATCAATAGGATAGATTATAGACATATAGATAGATTAGATAGATAGATACATAGAGAAAGAGAGAGATAATAGATAAATAGGTAGGTAGGTAGGTAAGTAGGTAGATAGATGATGAAAGGAAGGTTTATTATTATAGAAATTGGCTTGTGCAATTAGGGAGGCTGGGAAATCCCACAATATGCCATCTGCAAGCTAGAGAACCAGGAAAGCTGATGACCTAGTTCAGTGCAAGCCTGAGAACCAAAAGAGCCAATGGTGTAATTCTCAGTCTAAGGCCGAAAGCCTAAAAACCTGGGAAGCCGCAAGACCTGAAGTCCAAAGCTTTGAGATACCTGGAATCTGATATCCAACAGCAGGAGAAGATGGGTGTCCCAGCTCCAGAAGAGAAAGAAAATTTGCCTTTTCTCTGTCGTTTGCTCTATATGGGTCCTCAACTGATTGGACTGTGCCCACCTTAATCAGGTGAGAGTAGATCTTCCTTGCTCAATCCATTGATTCAAATGCCAATATATTCCAAAAACACCATTACAGACATCCCCAGAAATAGTGCATTTCCTAATATCTGAATATTCCTTAACTCCAGTCAAGTTGATATTTAAAATTAACCATCATATCATATGAGGAGAAGTTTTTCTTAAGTCTATGCTTTGACTCTGTTTCCTGCTTCAGTCTTACCTCCACTCAGAGGTTGGAGTGACTTATCCAACTGGTAAAGTTTGCAGAGATACATTTGTGTTGTCTGATTAGCTTTGCCCTTCTTGAAAGCAAATGTTCACAAGGAACGTATGTTCTTCACTCCTTCATGCTGTGAATCCTGCCTGGGCAGACTCAGCATGCCTACTCCAGTATGGTAGTAACTGATACTGGGTGCAGAAGTGCCTGATTCTTGGGTTTAGTATTACCAAGGCCAATTGCCATCAGATTAAAGTCATATGCTCATATTCAGCCTCTATCAGTTATAAAGGTGATATATTGGCACTCATGTTTAATTTTCGATGTTATCTTCATTTTTTTCAGATGCAGGTAGGTAGAAGGAGAATGTGATTTTTTGAAGGCCCTTTTGGAAATCCCCAAATTAACCAGGAATTGCACCATAATTAATATAATATAATAAATTATTAAATTAAGCCAGAAAATTCTGCTATCTCAAATATATTACATAAGTGAACAGTGTAGGTATTATGGTGTAAAATATTCCACTCAGCTAAAACCAGATGTCCAATGAATAAATCAAGCTTTCCCTTCCAAAGAAGGAACTCTCCAATAGATTCAGATGGCAATCAGTTTTGCAGGAGATGAGAGTGGTGACATTTGTGTCACACATTTGCCATCATTGACATAGACAGTAGGCACACTAAATTAGAGTACTAAAAAAGGAAAAGGGAGCATTTGCTCTGAAATATACTTCCATGACTCTGTCAATGCAAATCAACACCTCATGCAAGACCTCATATGGTCCAAGTTACAAATGGGCTCTATTTGGAGATTTTTGAGCTTGACAGGAAAGTCAGGTGGTAGCTGTCTGAAAGGAACCTACCACTCCACAAGTGAATACAAAGATTCAGTAACCCAGAGCAGTTTCTTGGCCTCCATATGTATTTTCCAGTGACTCTAATGATCTGGGGACACAATTAAATCCAATGCAACAGAACTAACATAATTGTGTTTTCTATGCTTTAAGAATAGCTGTGGGGAAACATGTAAGACATGGACTTGACTCCAAAGATCCCACCAGTCTAGCAAGTAATTCCAAAAGGTCACCAAATGATTATATAAATAATTATTGCAGATGTCATATTGTGGGATTTCTCAACCTCCCTAATTGCATGAGCCAATTCCTGTAATAAACCATCTTCTCATCCATCGGTCTATCTATATATTATCTATCTATAGTATAATAAATGCAACAATAATTTTGCAGAAGCTACAGAAAGAGCATAGAAAAAATGATTTACTCTAAAAAGGTTCATATGTTGGACAAGAGAGATGAAAAGCATTAGAAACCAAAGAAGTAGCAAATGCAAATGCTTGCAGTGAATAAAACAGAATGGCTGGCATCTTCAGGGAGCCACATATATTCTAGCATTGCTAAAATGTAAAAAAAAAAGCAATGAAGTTGGAGAGGAAAACAGGGTCCAAGTTATAAAAGGATTCGCCTGCAATCTTAAAAGATTCGTAATTTATTCTGATATGAGGCAGAGCAATTTGAAGGATTCTAAGCATAGAGTTAATATAATATTTTCATTTTATAAGGATCATAGTTAAGGCAGCATAGAGAATGGCTTGAATGGGGTAGAGACTATAAGTCGGAATATGATTGAAAGGGTTATAAATTATGAGTAATGAATCTCTCCCCCAATGACATTACCGTCTCTTCTTGTTTACAGTTAGTTTTAAATACATACTAATCCTTTTTGTTTACTTATTTGTATTTTTAAAATGTGGATGAGAAGAGAGAAGGAAAAATTATCTAGTGATTTTATTTATTTGTTTATTTAATTTATTTATTTATTGTGAAAGGGCTAAGACTGGGCTTGGAAACCAAATCGAACTAGAAGAAAAAGTAGCCAATGGGGTATTAAGACCCCTTCAGGGACTCCAGCAATGGAGTATCCAAACTATTGTAGTTTCAAAAGTCGATCTGTGATCATCTGATCAGTCAGTGACTTGTGATAATTCGACCTATGAAGTGTTCATCCTGACGTTTAAACAAGGAGCTCACCATATCATCAGGTTCCAAAAAGTAATTAAAGTGACATTCTTATGCAGAAATGGATTTCTGAAAGACCCCTACCTCATGCTACTTTCTGTCCCAAATGAGTTCTCCAGGTAGGCAAGTCTCCTCCATTGCTTGCCTTACCCTTGAAATTTGCTGCTATCTATGGAAGCATTTGTCTTCCTATGTTATTTGTATAGTCATCCCCAGGGTGCCCTGATTTGGCTTCTTATCAGCTAGGCTTCATTTCTAAATGTTTCTCCTGGCTAGTCATGGCCTTCTTTAGAGTCGTTATATTGCTATTGTGATTATCATATCAAATTATTATAATGTCCAATAATATATGATAGAATTATTATAGTGATACTATATAGTATTTTAATGATACAATGTTTTCTGTTAGGTAGCTCTGGCATAAAGAAAAGGGCACAAGGTTTAAAGTCAGACTTATCTGAGGTATAGTATACACTAATTTCTTTTTAGCTGTATCATTTATGCAGAAAATACCACTGAATGTATTTTTCACATATAAATTGAGAATACGAATACCTATCTCAGGGGAATTACGCCAGGGGAGCTGAGGAGTTCAGCATAGTACCCAGCACTCTTTAAACATTCATAGGGTCATTTTACCTGAAACCTTTCCCCAGTGGGATTTAAAAAAATACTGAAAGCACTATGTTGAATGCTATGAAAAGAAAGCATCTGAATTATTATAGCAGTTAATGCTCTACTGAATATTACTCTGTATTTGAATAATCTACTCTCAGTTCCAAGATTTAAACAAAAAAAAACAACTCTATTTCACAAGAAATATCTTATTTATGTTCATGTTTTCAAGGCTTTAGAAATACCTCATATTTTTAAAAACATAATTGTTGACTGCAAACAGGTGGTATTGTTGGCTATAGAATTATACCTTTTACATCATTCTTTATTTTTAGGATACTTGTTAGGAGGTCATATCACTAAAACATAGTGCAACGATAGGATAGGATTTTGAAAATATTCACTTATTTCCCCAATTGAAAAGATAGATGGGAGAATACTAAGCACATCTATTTGTTCACAGAGAAATACTTGACTTTGCTATGAGACTTGCAACTAGCAATAAGGAAATGCTGTGAATTTCAACTGAAAGAGGCCCTGGGAGATTACAAGAAAGGTAAATATGACAGAGAAACGCGAGCAAAAGATTTGCCAGTCAGCTGCATGCCTTTTTAAACCATTTCAGGAACATGACATATTTCCCTCTTCAAATTGGATTGTTTTGAAAACGTTAGGGGTCTCTCTCTCTCTTTTTCTACCCTTTGTTTGAGCTCATCTTAAACTCTCCTCTTTGATATCAAGTCTGTTTCGACTTCCTGTTAAGGGAGATTGGGAATTGAGAGCCAATGTATGGAAAATTCTGGCTATCAAAAAGAGAAGCTACAAATGGCCCCAGAGCCTTCCCAGCCCATAATGCTCGGGATGAGCATAAACAGGAAAGCAGCTTGGATGACAGCGACTGACTCACCGTGTGCGCCTGGGACTTGTTTTGCAGTTCACCTGGCAGGTGCAATTATGTTGGCAAAGAACGGGATAGAAAAATGACCTTTGAAGGTAGCTCTGGGGTGTGGGAGTTATATGTGGAAACCTTATTAGACATCGGAAGCAGAGCTTCTGAAATAATAATCCAAGTGTAAAATAGCACCTCTGCATAATTGTAGCATAATACAATAGTTTTGGCAGGAAAATTTGAAAGAGATACCGAATGAAATGTGAATTGAAATTTTACATTTCTACAGGAAGTTCATTTAACTCCCTGAGACTTTTCTCATTTAAAAATCCAAGAAATCTGGTTGAATTTTAATTAGCTGCATTTGATGCTAAGTTTTTTTTTGTGCATCAGTAATTACTGATTTTATTAGTAAAACCAAATATTTGGTTGACCTAATCAAACAATATATATTGTATGTCAGCTACAGAAAATACACTGGATTAGGCAATATGATATTATAGAGGTAAAATACTTATTTATAAATCACCTATTTGTAAATTTCATTCATCTAGGTCCAAAATTTATTTTGCAGTAATACACGTATCCTACTTCCTTAATAAAATAGAAATAGAAATATATTATCCAAATTATATTGAAAGAAGAGGAATAATTTGTACCAATATCCTAGCAAATGTTAACTATTGTTTTTGAACATTACATTTTATTCTGGTCTTTCTGACACGTCTAAGGTAAAGACTGTAACAAATGATAATGTCATTTCCATGACCTGACTAAAGAAAACATACAAGATTTTCCAGTAGAGGCCAGATTTTCTATGACAATTAGTTCTTAAAAGATTTTACTCTGTGTTGCCCTCTGTATAAGAACAAGAACAAGACAAATTCTCAAACCACATATAATCTAGTGGCTGAATTGAGTAGTTTAAGAGTGCAGAATCTACTCTTAACTACTCTACGAGGCTCATATTTCTGCTCTACAGCTTATAATTAATGTCTTTATGTTTTAGTTTTCTCCTCTGTAAAACAGAATACAGTAATAATAATAATTTAATAATTACTGTATTTGTAGAGTGCTCACAATGTATTAGCTTTTGATCTAAATATTTTTATATATTAACTCATTTAATTCTCGCAACAGTCTGTGTGGTTAGAATGATCATTAATGCTCATTTTACAATAAGAAAACTGAGGTGAAAACTGATTAATTAACCAACACATATCACAGCTAGCAAGAGCTAGCAAAAGAGATTTTGGTAACTACTTCATGGAGTTATTGTAACATTTGTATGTGATGTGTTTAGGACAATGTTCAATATGCAGTAAACATTCAATAAATGTTAACTATTATTTTCATTATTATAAAGAGACAAAAGAAAAATCAACTTAGAATACAATTCGATAATACAAAATACATCATACATTCTCGTTTCCAATATACTGATACTAGTTGAGAAAGAAATTACACTGCTCATGATAGTAAACAAGAAGTTGACAGGACTTGAGCTAGCCCTTGGTAACTGAATTGAATTTTGAAAGGCAAGGCAAGGTGGTCATTGTAGAGAAGGAAAACAGAATGATCAAGGCTCAGGGGCACAAAAATCACAGAAGGTTCTTCAATGATAGAATGGCATAAAACATAAGGATAAGAATGTATTCCAGAGAAGCACAGATAACTTGAAATACCAAGTTAAAAGGTTTACATGATTCTGAGGCAGTAAGGAGCTCCTGAAATTTGAAATAAAGTTGACAGTACACAAAAATAATCTAAGAAGATTAATTCAGTAAAGCATAGAACGACTATGGGTAGGGATGTGATAGCTGGGTATGTGGGTGAAATGAGGAAAATACAGCCAGATTGTATTATGATATAAAATATGATATTCCCAAGGTTTAATGTGGTACCCTATGTCAGAGTTTTGTGGGAGGTTTATTTTTTTGTTTTGTTTTATTTTACTTTTACAGTCACAGTATTCATTTACTTTCTCATTTGTATTAGTAAAAGTCCCATAGGACATAGACGGCATACTAATATTGAGGATAGTTTAATAAAAGGACTATTTTAAAAGGACTATTTAAAAACTATTTAAAAAGTTTAATAAAAGGACTATTTAAAAAGGACTATTTAAAAAAGGTTAAGAAAAATTAGCAACAAATTGTGTAGTACTCCAAGCTTAGATGCAACAAAGAACGTACATTCAGGCCTAAATTATGAAGGGAAATAGTTACTAGAACCTGGTTCAAATGGTGGTAGTTGAGAAGAGGACTGACTACAGAAACAATGGTTCTCACTTGAGGGACACTGTCAACCCAAGGCCACTCGGAAGAGAGGAAGCCAAAAAAAAAACAGGCATTCCAGCCTCACCCCCTTCCCCTCACTATTCAGTATTTTGCTAGTGCCTTTCATTGGCTAAGCCCAACCAGTAGCCAGACAATGTGGAGTCTGTGGATGTAGTTCATAAAGGTATAAAGTTGAGCCTCTTGTGACACAGAGTAGGATAATAAAAGGTGAGGAATGGATCTGGAGGGGAAAACAGAAAATATATAGCACAAATGAACCTCAAATTGAAATGGATATCCTTCTTCTAGAATGGCAATGGTCACTGAGGTAGTAGCAGTTTTAATGCTTGACTAGACCCTAAAAATTATCTAGTTTTCGTTTTCCTGCTCTTATTCCCATCTAGGAAATTAAGAAATCAAAACAAAGTCTTTCTGAAGGTTATAGTTTATCAGTCAGAGTGCAGTGCAGGAAACAGAAAGAAGTCTAGTTAGCTCCCACAGAAAGGGATTTTGTAAAGAGAATTGGGTGTTTACAAAATTATTGGAAATGCTGGAGGACAGGGAGTTCAGGAATAGCTACAGGAGTATTGAATTCAAGTATATGTGAATTATCATGTATCCAGAGCCACCACTACCGTCAGCACTCAACACCCGTGAAGCAAACTTCAATCCTAGGTGCTAAAACTGACTCTCAAGACTTAAGTCTCACTGATTTTGCTTTTAGAGTTATAACTGAAGAAAAACAGGTTTCTTTTCATTAACAACCTTCCAGATTTCATGCAAACATATCCAATTAGTAGAATGCAATCTCTATCCAGAATCATAACTACAAGAGAAACTTAGAAAGTTAGCATTTACATTTCCAGACTTAGAAATACAAAAAGGCACCTAGATGGAGATGGATACTGTGAGCCAGGCTACCACACCCAACAATCACAGCTTGTACTAGGTGAGCTGAACCACCTATTACATTCCCACGAATGGAATTCCCAGAAACCAGAGAAAACTACATTAACACAATCAATATTAAATGATATTTCAAAGGGTTTCTTCTCAGGAGTATTTTAATTTACTAATAAAACACTGACTTTTATAAGATCTGGGATATAAGTGTTGCAGAGAATGCCATCAGGAGATACTATATCACAACAAAGAACTCCAGTTTTTGTGCCAGGAAACTAAATACAAAAACAAATGAATCACAAAGTGCTTGCCTATAGGTGTGTGGACCACATCTCTGGTTAGGCAACTCAAGCTGAACTTTTAACATAGTGCTAAGCATTTAACTTATAATATCTAATTTAGTTCTTATACAATTTCAATGTGGTTTATATTATTATTCCCATTTTACCTATTAGGAATGTAAAGCTCAGAGAAATGAAGTAATTTACCCAAATGTACACAGCTGGTAAGAGACAGGGTTGGAAATTAAGCCTGGTTTTTGTCTGATGCCATACATAGCATTGTCTTATTTTTTTCTTGTTCTCAAAATTTTGTTTTCCTGTCAGGATACTGCTGGCCCAAAGGCACTGAGAAATCAGGATACCGTTACATTAAAGATGGTCTGCGAATTGAACAATGGTGACACCAAGAAGCACTTCTCTTTTCAAACTGATTTCATATGTAGACTCTATCCTAGTCTTCCCCACATACAAGACTCTTTCATTTTTAATGAGATGGGATTCCCTTCTTTTATTTGTTCTTTTCCATAAGTTAATAATTTGATATTGGTTTCAATGTTTGAATGAGAAGATTGTGAAACCACCCACTTGCTTCACTTTTAATTTTATTTTGAGGGACTGTGGAATTGGAAAGTGAAAGAAATTATGTGACAAATGTATGTATAAGAGCCTTGAGTTGTCAGGCTATCCCCTTCTGGGCAGAGTAGCAGGTTGGTGGGGGTGTTGGTAGAATAGGTAAAATTAAATTCAACAGAATTTTTTTTCACATTATAGAATTCAATTTCCGATGCCAAGCCGAGTAAGCCACCCACAGTATTTAATATTTTCCATCTGTTCAAGTCCACAACTTTGAAAACAGTGACAACTGATATATTAAAAAAGTGTTTACTATATTAATATGAGTTACAAATAATCTAGCAGTCAAGGGAAATTTTAAGGTAATATTAGCAACACTCCTAAGTGCATACTTTCATTACTGTTAGTACTAGGGACATTGCTTTCTTCTGCCCTTTAAACACTATATTTCTCTTTCATATCCTTTCTGTACAGTCTTGATATTTTGCTTTCATTTTAATGGTTGTATTATTTATGTATATTTATTGTATATCCTTTCAACTCATCTTGATAGAATGTTCAATATTGTAAGAGATTTATATTTAAATGTAGATGATCTGTAAACAAAATTTGGTATAACAAATGCAGAGCTGTGCCCAGAGAAATACTAACTCTATAAATTGTAGATAAAAGTGCTAATTGTATACTGTCTTTAAAATGAGAAAGAATGTTGATAGAATATTTTGTACTTATAGCAACTGAACATATAACTTTTGGTATATTTACTTTTTAAAATAAACTTTCCATTTTAGAACAGTGTTTTATTTACAGAGAAATTGCAAAGATAGTACAAAGAGTTTCCATGTATCAACTTGGACTGACTGGGTGCTCCATAACCTCTCAAGGTTCTAGCTAGTCATCGCAGTATTAGGCTAGATGATGTCTAAGAATATTACATGTTCATAATAAGCACGAATATTTCAGTTTCATCATATTACTTTATTAGTATTCCTAAAGGTGACAATATTGGGGGCTTCTAACTTTCAAAATAAATATATAAGAAAAGAATAAAAATATAAGTATTCCTAATTTATTGTTTCTCTTAAAGGTTCCATTTATGCCAAACCACAATAACAATTACAAGATCTATCTGCTTTGATACTTGAATTTCTAGGAATGAAAGTCTCCATGTAAGTTAATGCCAAAGATTTAGTTTATATTCATTTCTTGTTAGTGCACCCTCTTCATTTATGCAGCCTTCGAGTTAGTTATAAACACTCCAGTTTCTGGTAGTTGCTATTTGATATGTGTGTGTTTGAAATGCAAATGTAGTAGGAAGAAGGATTTTTTAGGTTCTCAATAGTCCACTGTGGGAAAAGTTTTCAAACATTATGTTACATACTCCGGCTTTTAAAAATATTAGATAAGCCTCTCTGAAATATGGTCATTTAAACCCCTTGACCGATTCAATTCAGTACAACATGAATTTATTGAGCACCAGCTATATATTACCTGAGAATAAAATAAGATGGTGAAACTAGGGAAAATCTAGATCTCCATGGTGTCATCATAAATAAGCCAGAGAAAAATCAGAACATTATCTAGAATCTGGGTATGTATTTCTAAACATTATAAGATCACACCATCCACACAGTTGAATGAATTTCTTCCTTGTTGGGCTTTGCATCAAGGAGAATACAAACAGAACATCACAGACTCTGTGTGTGTGTGTGTGTGTGTGTGTGTGTGTCTGTGTGTGTGTGTACTAATGCACACTCAAGCACATTTATTTAGCCATTGGTATAAGCACATTTTCCAATTTATTTAAATAAAAATAATTTTATGAAATAATTATGGTTATTACTTAAGTTATTTTCACAGATAAGGAAACTAAGCCAAGAGCAGTAAGATGAATTTATTTGAGTTGTCAGAAGTAGTTTGTAATAGAGTCAGGCATTATATCAATAAACATTTGACTCCAAAGCCAAAACAGTTACTACATATACTCTAATAGTAATTTTTGAGAGAAAGTGAAAACAAGACTAATTTTTTTTGCCTTTTAATTTGCAAACTAACACAGTAAAGATACTCTAAGCTTAGGAATGGAAGATAGCTAAAGCTCATGAAATAGAGCTCTATTACCCTTTAAAGAGAGGAAATGTGTATATTACTAAGGAAATATGGGTAATGAAGTCTTGATTTATACTTATGTTTTAAAAATTTACATAAAAAGAAATAGATTAATATTACTAATTTACATTCTAAGTGGTGAGAATGAATATTTCCTATATTTTCTTCATAGATTTTTTCACTAAAAGCATAAGAAAGTCATTCTAAAATTTACAGTTTGCAAAAATGGGTCATTAATAAAAGATATATTCAAATTATGATTTTCAGTAATCAGCCCTGTTTCCAGTCTCACATTTCCAATGAAGGAAACCAAGGAAGGTCCAGAGAGCCCACCTGACTTGTGGAAAGATCATTCAGTACCTTAGCTCAGGAATAAAATTCAATCAGATGTCTACAGATAGAAGATGTCAATAACTGTGACCTTGCTCATGGTGGATAATTACTTTAACCTGAAAATTCAAAATATTTGTTTTGTTTTGTTGTTTGTTTTGATTTTTCCTTAAATGCAATAAAAGGAGCTTGTAGATCTTTTTATGGACTAGGGAAATCTAACTCAAATTTGAAATAAGCTAATCCCTCTAGAAATTGAATTTAATGACCTTGAGGGTAGACCAGTTTATTTGTTGCTAATGGTTTCAGCCAACGTTTCAAAGACATTTCCTAATATATAACTGTGAATCAATGGGGCTTTTAGTGTGGAGGAATAGATTTGGTATGGTGGGAGATGTTGATAAAGAAGTGAGATGGAAACTGGAGATTGATTGGCAGGGAAAAGGGACTTCAGTGAGAGAGCCCTACTGAGAGTAGAACTGTTGACTAGATAATATTGAGTGAGTGGGACAAAAAGATAACTGTTCAAGTTCCAGAGACATGTTGGATCAGAACCTTCAACAGCAACATACTTTTATGAGTTGAAGGTTTATGCCTTTGCCCTCAGTACATGTTCTAGTTTGGTCTTTATGAGAAAAACAACTTCACACTTTCTATGCTGAGTTCCCACTTTAGTTGACTATTCGTAAGTGACACACAATCATGTCATGAGTATTTTGCCACTTTATTGTCACTGCTGACAGTGTGTTTACTATAACAGTGTAACAAGAGGGAACTCCAGGACACCTCTTAAGGTTGTGATGACCAGCTTCAGCTTTTCTAGTTTGTATTTAGGGTTTACATTGAGGAAACTGCAGAAGTCCATGCTGAAATAATGAGAAATGAGCCTTTCTGTGACACATAGAAGGGAAAACCATTTCTTTCTTTTTACAATGTAAATTTAAGCCATCATTAAGTTGTCTTTTTGGTAGTCTGTTGAAAATAAGGTCTTTGATAGTACTAAAGAGGTATAACTACTGAGTTTTTTCAAAAATCTAAAAGTAGAAGCTTCAGACTTTTAGTTCCTTGAAGGAAAGCTTCTTAGTTAAATACAATTTAAAATAATGATACAGAGAAATAAATTCAGGAGTAATTACACGTGCATGTATGTGGACCCTGCATTACCACTATCAAAGTTAAAGCATGGGAAGGCTTTAAAGACTGGGATGAGCTGCCTATGCTCCGCTTTTTACTCATCTAACTGCTTTCTGGCTCACTGCTACGACTCGACTTTTTCTCTATGTACCTCTCCTTCCTCCAAACCAGTGAATCAATTCCCAGCTTCTCTCTCAACTAGACACAAACATGCTTATTTTATAGAATTTCATTTTAACTGCTTGTAATCTAAGAAACAGTCAGTAGTTGTATTAGACTCATAAACCGGTGCACCAAATACTAATTTCTTACTACCTTCTCCTTTGCTTTTCTGTACTCAGAGGCTGGAAAGTCCAATAGTCAATTTTACAGTATCCCTTTATGCTGAGGTACATGCAATAGTAAATATGATGAAGGGGCTTCCAGGCAAACTATCACTTTTCTAATAAAAGGGACAGAGATATAGCTGTGTGTCCTTTATTCTGTTTTTCTTTTCCTTCCAGCCCAGAATATAGATGTGATTCTTGGAGGGGTAAATGCATCTTATAAAATTAGATGTCTTGAGGATAGGCCTTTTATGACACAAGGGGAAATGTGTGACATCTAGGATTACTTATTTTCAAATTTCCTATATTCAAAATTATACCTTTATTTCACCCATCAACTAATACTTTTTATTACTTGCAGCTTAACCCATGCCTAACGGATATAGTGACTAATTCTAGTACTACAAAATGTTAAAATAAGGTACCTAAAGTTGCCATTGAAGACAAAATCACAGCCTCTGTAAATATGCTTCCTTCCTTCCCTCCCACATCCCATTGGAACCACAGTTAAAATACTCGGAAGAGAAGAAATACATAGAAGCTCCAACAATAAGAGGAAGGGGTAAGCTAACACAAGGCAGGAGAATTTGAATAATTTCTGTGAGGCTAAAAGCAATTTGTATTTCATTGAAAAATGAACCAGAATGGAGAAAGTTGCAGTTCAACAGCACACAAGCATTATAGAGGTGGAAGTTATTTATTTTATTTTATTTTTGAGATGAAGTGTTGCTCTTGTTGCCCAGGCTTGAGTGCAATGGCACAATCTCAGCTCACTATAACCTCTGTCTCCTGGGTTCAAGCGATTCTCATGTGTCAGCCTCCTGAGTAGCTGGGACTACACCAAGTGCGCGCCACCACACCCGACTAATTTTTGTATTTTTAGTAGAGACAGGGTTTCACCATGTTGGCCAAGACGTTCTTGAGCTCCTGACTTTGTGATCCGCCCACCTCAGCCTCCCAAAGTGCTGGGATTACAGGCGTGAGCCACCGCGCCCTGCCAGACAGAACTCCACAGAGGTTCCAAGCTTGGAGAAGGCAGCTACAGATATTAAAAGTTGACTCTGAATTCATACTTGGCAAAATGAATTGAGAACTGTACATAGACTAGTTGAGTCAGATTGCCAACTAACAGCACCCTATGCATGCTGAAAAAAACAGGAAGTAAAAGAATGGGCTCTCCAAATATCTGACATTTGTTCTATAACAAAACATAGCAAGTGGTCGAAAATAGAGAGCAAGGATCAGCATTTTCTAAAAACTCCCTAGATTGTAAAGCTAGGCTTGAGAACCACTTGTCTAATGGGAAAGGGATACATAATTATATTATTTTATACTATAGTAGACTATTGATGTCAACAAATATCAGGTAGTATAAGACCCTCTTAAACTGTGAGTAAAAGGAAGGCATGTCTAAAGAAATAACATATGGGATGGGCGCAGTGGCTCACGCCTGTAATCCCAGCATTTTGGGAGGCCAACGGGGGTGGATCACGAGGTCAGGAGATCGAGACCAGCCTGGCCAACATGGTGAAACCCCATCTCTACTGAAATACAAAACAGTTATTTGGGCGTGGTGGTTTGTGCCTGCAGTCCCAGCTACTCGGGAGGCTGAGGCAGAGGAATCGCTTGACTTGGAAGGCAGAGATTGCAGTGAGCTGAGATCATGCTATTGCACTCCAATGGCACTGCAGCCTGGTGACAGAGCGAGACTCTGTCTCAAAAAAAAAAAAAAAAGAAAGAAAAAATGAAATAACATCTGAGCAGTCTTCAATTATGCCACTCTCCCATTGTTCCATGATTTCAGGTCATCATCTTGTAAGCTGAAAGGGAATTAGAAGTGAAAGAAAGAGGTTCCCAGCAAAATAATATATTTTAAGTGATACAAAGCATAAAACAGTGTGGCATGGATGAATAACTACCAGGATTTGGGTATGGCTGGGGCATGTGGTATATAAAGGAAATGATAGGAAACATCATCAGAGAAGCAAATGAAGTCTAGATTGTAAGGGACATCTGGGGAACTATAGAAGAATTTTTTTCATGGGAGTAACATAACTGGCTTTGAATTTTAGAGATAATACTATGAATACAGGATGAAAGACAGTGAGCTCTAAGGCAACTAACGATGGGGGCTTTTGCAAATGGTCATACAAGAAATAAAATGGCCTTAAGTAGAACAATTAGAGTGAAAAGAGATGATAAATTCCAAGCAATTAATTTAAGAGGAAAAATTCACTAGATTTGATAATATAATTAAATGGGAATGGGGTGAAATGATCACAAGCAGCAGGGAGCCTATCAGAGAAGATGAAGATAAAACTATTTCAGTAAAATAACTTTAAATTCTGTTTTGAAAACACTGAGTTTGAGATGCCCATGGAAAATTCTTAGAAACTGATTATCTGAATTTTCCTCTTCTCTTGAAAGAATAAAGAGTTGCCTTCTTCAATCTCTACTGGTTGTTGAGCATGGAGATTGTCTTTTGTTAATAATAATTCAGAGAAATTTACCAACAGCTGAGGAAATTTCACAATCACTTTTCCTTTAGTCTTTGGTCATTTTTGATACATGACTCTACCTGTTGACCATATTGTAGTGAGGTTCAATTTCATAAATTCCACAGTCAACTTCCTCTTATCTAAGCTGACTTCAAACAGATCAAATCAGCAAAGGTGTGTTTTGAGAAGTAAAGGAGTTTACTTTTTGGTCCCAAAACATCTTCCTATTAGTTCAGCTATTCCCTTATTATCATACTTTTTAATTTAAGCATCTGAAGCCAACTTTTAAAACATAAAAGCCTCCTGGCATAATGTAACTCATTAAATCACCATTAACCATGAATACTTTGTGTATAAAATAGTTTGCCAGTTTAGTCAGAGGGTAGGTTCGAAGGCTTTGGGACTCAGGAAATAAGTAAAGTTCTAGTTAGTGTGGATGGTGGTAAAGTTGTTTATCTGTTAGAAATCCATTTTAGCCAAAAATAATGGAATATCCTACTAATGACAGCTTAAACAACTGGGGGTTTATTGATTTCACATAATAAGAACACTGGAGGTAGGCGGCTGCTGGCATTGACTCAGCTGTTCAACAGTTTCATCAAGGCTCACTTCTACATTTTCTCTGTCATTCTTTGTGGGTTGACTTTTCACTCTTAACTCACTGCACCACAGTCAGAAGATGGCTGCCCCAGCTCCAGGACAAAGGCAGGAATTGAGGAAAAAGGAGGAACCTGGGCTAGAAAGTTAGAAAAAGTTAAAAAAAGATTTTTGTTTTCCAAAAAAACTATAATTTCTTGGAAAAGAAAGTATTTCCCAGATAAACTCTAAAAATGTCCTTCTACATTTTCATTGCCCAGAAGTTGCAGTTGCTCCTAACTTTGCAAATATCAATAATTTCAGCTTATTACTTGAATAATACTGGATCTGTTGAGAGGTAAACTGGGTACATGGAACTCCTGTTGGCTAAAAACATTTCCTCTGAGTATCTGGGTCTTCTGGAGACATTGCAAGTAAAACTATTTTCCTCTTCATAGGTTTTCATTTCATTTTGTTTTGGTCAAAGAAAAGAGTGTAAGCATTATGGCCAGGAAATGTAGTAGTTGCATTTCATGGTGGTATAGTTTGAAGATGTAGAAGGACAGATTTTGTGTTTTCTTATTGGTATTGGTTTCTAAAATATATATCCTACTGTAACTTGTGTATTGTAGATGTATACTATAGCCATGTATATAGTTCTGCACTCTTTGAAGCAATGGAAGATTCATTCATGATAAAAATATGATGCTTAAGGGTTAAATGGGTAGGATTGCAATTTGGAAAAGTAAGAGACTTTGCATTAAAATGAGTGGGAGCTAAGAGTGGCTGAAGAATCCAAATAGAAAGTACACCTAGGACCTTACAAACATAGTTCAGCTCTTACTGAGGGGAACAAAGTCCTCCTTATACCTAATCCTAGGAACAAGAGGTGGTAAAGGACAGAAAGTATGAGCATTGCTTAAACAGTGGTCTTCTCCCTATAATCAGGGTAAGAAGTCAAAAATGTCAGTACAGACAGGAATGTACTGATAAGCACCCCCTACCCCCATTCTTCAACACTAAAAGAATCATGGCAGTTGGCTGCTTTCTAAACCATAAAGTTTAGGTCGAGGTATCTTTCATCAGACACTGCTGCTCTGGCAGCATTATTTCCATTTATTATTATTATTTTCCATTATTTATTTCCATTTTAATTTCCATTATTACTGTTTTTTGGGGGAGTCACCAGTCAGCTATAGCTATGCTTAGAGGAAACTATGTACTATTAATTTAAAAGGCTGAAAATCAATTATCTAGGCAAAGAGCTCGATAACTTAGAAAAACTGGAAATTAAGCCCCAAAAAATTAAATCAAGGAAATAACGTAACAGCATAAATTAACAAAATAGAAAATAAATGCACAATAAAGAAGACACAGAAAGTCCATAGTTCGTTTTTTTGAAAATATATTAAAATTGACAAATCACTCTATAAGGACAAAGAAGCTGTTTCTGTACTGGAGGCAGCACATGAGGGACTCACAAGATTTAAAATGATTTTTTAACATCAGGGTCATGGGAAGCTTAGTAATTTTCCATAATATCTTATTACAGCACAAGAAACAAAATATGGCCATACTATCAAATAGTTGGGTTTCATTTCCGGCATCTCAGTTTCCCTTCTTTCTGATCTGTCTGTTGTGTTCATTGTCAAATCAGTTCTGGACATAATGGAGTCTTAGCCTAATGGGCTTTTTTAAAGTCTGCACTTTACCTTGCATGGTCAGGGTATTGCATTAGACTCAAATAAACATGTTACTTCACTGGAAAACAATGGCAACTGGGCAGAATGTATACCTATCTGCTTTATTAGACTCAATTCTCTTTTATGGCTGTGGTATTTGGGTTGGTATATCCTAATGCAAACAAAGGGAAGTGTTTACACTGCTAAATGAAGTTGGAGTAATGATGTTGTTAACGAGAGGGTGGAAATTTAGAGGATAAAAGAATACATTGGTCATGCTGGAGGTTTTTGAGTTAGCTTCATATAGATAGACACTAGAAAAAGGAAACTAAAATGTACTCTGCTCTTAAGAAGCAAGGCCAGTTAATGTTATATTCATTATTGCCTTGAAAAATACCCGATTCACAGAGTTTTATTAAATTCTTGATGCAGTGGAAGATTAACCATTCTTTTGAAAAAGCGCTTGTGCAGTTTGCACATAATGAATGATGTCTCAGAGACAGCTATTCTTGCACCTTTAGGGTCAGCTAACTGTCTTCAGATTTCTGACTTGCTTAGGCATGTTAAAAATAAGAAGGTGGCATGATAAAGACTGAGCTAAAATTCCAATTATAAAGGGAGATTATCAACTGCATGACCCGAGACAGAACAAGGAAAGGTTGTAAAAAAGTTGAGGCAGGATTTTTGCCTTAATCATCTCCATATCATGTTGTAGAAAACACATGATTTGTTTTTCTTTTAACCAAACTGAACTGAATTAAATTGGATTGAACTGAATGAGGCTCTGGATCATGAGAGACAGTCTGAAAGAAAAGTCAGACCTTTGAAAATACACCAAGTGTGAAATGAGCCAGGGGAGAAAGTGATATATAGGAAGGTAGTGACACAAACTGGCCTATGACCAAACTGCCCCACTCCAAAGGCATAAAAATCAATGGCGGAAGAATGGATAGGATGAAAAAGGAAGACAGTATGCAGAGATCATGTAAGCAGAAATAGATAGCATGCCTGTTTATTTCTGCTTATGTGATCTCTGCATACTGCAACTATCTTGTTTTCCAGCTGCAGTGGCCCTGTACATGGTTAGGGCTCAACTAATATTAGCTGCTTGCTTTTCCTATTCTTTTTCCAATCCGTAGTAAAACCATGGTTTTAAATAAGTAGTAACTGAACAATACTATGGGCCAAGCTGTGCTTATGACTTACATGCTACATCTCAATTAAATTTCACAAAAAGCTTATCAGATATTTACTTTTAGTATCTCCATTTGAAAATGAAGAAAGTAAGTCCTAGAATGATTGAAAAAAGTTTTCTGAAATGGCACATGTAGTAGGCATGTTCTGAGTAAAGGAAAAAAATACATACATGAATGCACAAGTTCATATTCTAGTCAGCCTGATAGCCATTGCCTGCGTATTAGGTTTTTAGAAGAGCTAAAAGTAAAAGAACACTGAAAATGAGCTTAAGAAGTTTTCTTAAGTCCTAGGTTCTTCTTAGAACATCATCTACCTGCTTTCTATTTTGCTCTTGTTTTCTGTTAGTATTCTTTGCATACTTAGCCTATTGATTCCATAATAGTCAATACCCACCTTGTTTATATTTTTGAAACTATACAAAAATAGATGCATCTTTCTTTTCTACTTAAATGTGGAACAGCTATAGACAGTTCTTAAGTGATTCAGAGAAGAGTCTTTATATGTCTCTCTCTATGATGCATCCCTTCATGCAGTTCCTATTAGTTTGCTATCTGGCACCTTCCATTAGCTAAGGATATTCATTATCACAAAACTGTTTAATAGCACTAATTTAATACATCAAGAAACATGCTAACATAGCAAGTAGGTCTTTGTGTAAAAGCTACTTAATTATGCCCTGGAGTCATACTACCTCAATTAGAACACTAGCTATACAATATATTTAATACTTTGTGAATTTAGGCAAATTTCTTATCTTCTCTATGCCTCAGTTTCCTTACCTATAAAATGAAGATAGAAATAATATTGATCTCCGCATTGTTTGTATAATGATTGAATGAGTTATTATAAATAAATTGCTTAGAAAGGCACACAGGAACTGTGGTATATAAATGTTAACTGGTTTTTAAAATGATTTTCCCAACTTTATTGCCCTACAAAATGATGATGTACCCACTTTTCCCCCTAAGACCCTTGGAAAATATGTCTTTGGAGAGGAAGATGGAGAATGACAGAGGAGGAACAAGAACTTGAAACCAATAAGAGAGGTTAAGTCCCCCCACTCTGAGGGATAGACTTAACATCTGACCCATCTTTCAGCTGAGAAAGGCTTGACACTGGAATTAGATTTCCCAGGGAACTAAATGTACAATTCTCTCTCTGAAAGTAAAGTCCCAACTGCAATAGGGAAGCTTTAAGAAACAAGTGACATAGGCTCATTCCCCTTGGTAGTAAGGCAAGACAACAGCAATCTGTGTGGAGAATCGAAATTCATTCAGACCCATGACTTCACACTACATTGTGTTTTCCCTCTTGGGGAGGAAGTTTGGAATGCATAGCAACTCTGTGATCCAAAGCAGCTTGCTTACCCCATAATGTGATACAAAGTGGGTAAGAGTCAGGAGTCTTGAGAAATGAGTCAGAAGATATTACTCTTTTGGTTTTGAGTTGCGGAAGCTCTGCTGGCATCCACTGCCTGCAAAGCTGTTTCTGTCCCAGATAGAGGTGAGATACATGAATGTGGAGAAGGACACAAAACAAAGCATGGCGTTGGTACTAATCTGATCAATTAATCTGGTAAAGGGTGCCGTCTGACTCTAGAGCTGTCCGGCAGGAAATGTGTAAAAGCCCCACAGTGAAAAACATGATTTCTGTTAATCTCCTGCTTTCATCATGCTGATCCCTTGAGGCAGCCATGCTGGCTTATGAAAGGCTTGTCACTGGCTCAACTGCTGCCTAATGTCCTTCCTGGGAGGAATCTGGCCCTCAGATTTACCTAAAGTATGAAACACCATTAACTGCTCTCTTATTAATCCAGTGTGTGACTGGGAGTCAGGGTTTTCTAATATTTCCCCTTCTGTTTTCAGTCAGTCCTTGGCTACTCAACATATGTGTCTGTCAGTCCCCTGCTCTAACAATAATCATGTTTGAAAATCAGAAAAAGAATGATGTAACCTTGAGTATGGGCCACATTGCTATTCATTACTTGCTGGAAATGAAAAAAAAATGCAAACAAGAATTACTCTTCATAAACTTGGTTTAATTCTTGTGAGCAAGTTTGTGAGTCATTTTATGAATGGCTCCCGCTTCAAATTAGGGCTCCTGTTTCCGCTTCCAATGAGCCTCTAGTATTACATCTAATATTGTTTCCTCTCAGCAATTGAAATGTACATCCCTGCTGGGTTGGTAAGAATAGAATTTCTTTCCGGAATTCTTTCTTCTTTCTGAATTGCTTCATTTTACTTCCCCCAAAACTAAAATAATTTGTACTTAAGACCAGACAAAATTAACCTCATGGCTTGTTCTCCTTTCACTTTGCAACCTGACTGCTTGGCAAAGAAGGCTGCTTTCACTCATGCTCCACTTCCTCACCTCTGTGAGGTGGCAAATGAACTCAAAGGACATGAGAGCTCACCTCTGTGGAAGCAGATATAGATGAAGGGCTAGGACAGAGCAATAGGGTGGCACGGATAGCATAGCCCTGTGCTACAAAGCAATAGGGTGGCACATGTGGCACAGGTACCACAGGGCTATACTACCTGGGCCACATGTGCTGGCCACAAAGCACCTTAGGGATTTGTCCCTGGGAGAGGCTTCACTGTCCTTAGGTCCATCTACAGAGACCAGCAGCTATGTAAGTTAGGCTAATGCATGCTCCAAAATCTTGTTTCTGTGTCCTTGAGTATACCAAGCAACATCTGTAACATCTTCTAACGTCTTCTTACCTTCCTTATTTTCAAAGGGAAGGCTTCCATCATGTTAATAAAATATATTCATTGCAATTTTTCTGTGTACATGGCAGACATTACTTATTTAAAAAAAAGCTCTCTCCTGCTGAAGCTGGGTGTACATGGTGTTCGGGAAAAGGTAGTGCCAATTGATTAGCATTGTTATACACAAAAAATAACAATAACCAAGAAAAACAACTCCAAAACAGTAACTTTACCCTGATCTAGACATGATGTACCCAAGTACTCTAGGTTTGATATTTGGGTGGCAGGTAAGAGACTAAAATTTAATGGGGTGAACCATGCCATGAATGAGGGAATTTTGGGCTACATTTCTGTTGAGCTATTAGGCAGGGGAGGCAGAAGAGGGATAATAACAAACACAGGTCTTATAAAAATAACAATCAAAATTATCATCATGTATTAAATTTTAAAATTAATTGAAATTGTGCTATAGCAACACATATATTTATGTTGCCATCAATTCTACTGTTATCACATGTGCTAGACAGGAAAAGGAAAGGATGCAGCAAGGAGAGATTATAATCGGGAAGGCAAAATCTTCCTAGAAATATCCAACATCCTTCCACTTATATATTTGTGGCCAGAATTGTGTCACATGACCAGCCCTAACTGCTAAGAAAGCTAGGAAATCCTGTTATTTAAATGCTAACACATAGGTGCCCTAAACAAAAACAGAGATTCTGTTATTAAGAGAGGGAAGATAGATTTTAGGTGAGTAACTATGTCTAACACAGTCCCTATTAGTACACACTTTCATAATATCTTTTTATCATAGAATTTACCATAGATAAAATTATGTATTTGCTTATGTGAATACTGTCTTCACCAGCAGATTGTGATCTCAGAGAGGGCTGAGTATGTGTGTGGTTTTTGTTGACCGTTTTATCTCAAGGAACCAGCTCAGTGTCTGTAATGTAATAGACATTTTGCACATTGAGTAAACAATGAATAAATTCCCATACTTTTCTAATTCAGGAAAGCAATATATTCTACCAAGTTTACTACATTTCTGCCTAACATCTCAATTAGTCCTCCTGCTTTCACTCTACTGGCTGAGTGATCCCTCTAAATAGTTTGCAATCAAGTTAAACCATTCAATGTTCACCATTATCTAAAGGATAAAGTCTCGGTTTCTGAGCATAATTTACAACAACTTAATGACCTCTTACCCATATATCTTTCCTGCTTCATTGTTTAACACTCCTTGCTTCTCATTTAATTTCTGTATTAACTATTTTTCAGTATCTCGAAGGAACTCTTTTTTGAGTTATAATTTACATAAAGTAAAATTCACCTTTTACCCTGTACAATTTATAGCTTTGATAAATGAGTACAGAAGGCTACCAACATTAGCAATATGTAGAACGTTTCTGTCACCCCAAAACTCCTTCATGACCTTTTCTAGTCAGCCCCTCCCCCTACCTGCAGTCCCTGATAACCAATAATCAGTTTTTTGTTCCTATGGTTTTCTTTATTCCAGAAAGACAGATACATAGAATCAAATAGCGTAGAACCTTTTGAATATGGATACATTTATTTAGCATAATACTTCTGAGATTTATCCATGTCAGTGTTTGTATCAGTAATGTGTTCCAGTTTATTGCTGAGTAGTATGCTATTGTATGGATGTACCACAGTTTTTCCATTCACAGGTAAGGAACATTTGCATTGTTTCGTAAGAAATCGCCAAATTGTTTTCCAAAGTGGCCATACCATTTTGCTTTCCCACTATATTCTTTTTATTTATTTATTTATTTAATCTATTTTTTTGAGACGGAGTCTTGCTCTGTCGCCCAGGCTGAAGTGCAGTGGCACCATCTCGGCTCACTGCAAGCTCCGCCTCCCGGGTTCATGCCATTCTCCTGCCTCAGCTTCCCGAGTAGCTGGGACTACAGGCACCCAACACCACGCCTGGCTAATTTTTTGTATTTTTAGTGAAGACAGAGTTTCACCGTGTTAATCAGAATGGTCTCATACTCCTGACCTCATGATCCGCCTGCCTCAGCTTCCCGAAGTGCTGAGGCGTGAGCCACGGCACCAGGCCTATATTCTCTTTTAATGCTGGTCCTTTTCCGGTCTCACTATTGCTCCATTCATGCTTACTTGTACTTATACTTTAGTTTTCAATTTAGGGATTGTATCCTTGAGAAAGTCGTCCCTGATGCTAGGTCTGAATTGATACATCTCTTGTGTTCTGCATACTACTGTGTATCTCCTCCATTAATGTTGCACAATGTAGCAGAACGCAAAAATAAGCCTATTTTAGTCTCAATTTGAGCAGAACTTGAAAGATAACTGCTGCCGCCTACTCTAATATTCCAAAGGCATTGCTACACTATCATTGTAGAAATTGACAAAGGAGGTAAACCATATCTTTGTTTTCAACCTTAGCTTAGCACCCATTCAAGGATAAAGAATTGAGGTTAAATCTGAGAGAAAAAATTATCTGGAAAAACAATTTGCAATAAGACTATAAATCGTTTTTCATGGAGCAAGGAGGGGGTGTTTCCATGTCCCTTCAAGACCAATGAGAGACAATTCCATAAGACCACTTGGTCATCTTGATCTGTGTTCACTAGTGTCTACAGGGGTACCTCAACTGATGCCAAATTCTTTCCTAGAAAAGGCTAAAATTGTGAGACTTGGTCTTGGTAGCTACTGTGAAGGTGGGAAAAGGAAAGGTGATTCTATTGGGGAAGTTAAGGATATCTAGAATTTTCAGGGGAAAGGATATATACTTCTTATGGACAAAATATGGACCATATAACAGTCTTCCTATACCCATTTAATAAAGAATTGACATAAGTGTAATCCAGGAAAAGTAATGGGATCTCCAACAGTCTTCGTCAAGTGGACTTTCAGTAACTAAATGCCTCCCAGAAGGAAGAAAGGTGTAAGATCCCCAATGGTAGTCATATTCCCATAGCCCACAAATGCCTTTCAGAGAGGAGCAAATGCAGGTTATGCCAGTAATGTTGAATCTTCCTCTCATTTGCCTCTTCTCCCTCAGAAAAACATTATCAAATCAGAAGAGGTAGTAATATCCAGTGAGTGAAAAGGGAAGGGTAGAACTGCTAGTGGGGAAATTAGAGGAGAGGAACTAAAAATAATTTATCTCCTAAATTTTGAAATTCAGCTTGTGGTCAATTATTTACTGTTATAAATGATGGTACAAACATACATTTTGGTGTATAGATCTTTGTCCAGATTTCCTATAATTTTCTGAGACAGCATTCCTAGATTAGAATAATTGTAACTGAAGGCCCTAAGAGTTTTGAGGCTCTGGAAATATATTTATGTTACAATTCAGAAAGGTTCACAGTTTATGTTTTCACTAGTAATTTATAAGGGTATCTACCTCAACTTACCCTCTCCAAAAAAAATTATAATAGTTTTAAGAAAAAAGTCTGTTAAATTTTTAAATGCAAAGAGGGATACTATTGTTTTAACTTCAATTATTAATGGGATTAGATTTCGTTCTGTCCTTATTTTCCTCCCACACTTCCTCTGGATGACTTACTAGCTAACAACTGTTAATGTAATTTCTCATGCAGAAAACTATATCTTTTCCTAGATGAATTAAGGCAAGAAATGTACTCCTTGATCTTTCTAGGCTCCTCAATATCCTATATATTTATTTCTGAGAAAATTGTGTTTTGAAACACAAACAATTGTGCAATCCTATCAATCTTTCTTTAATGCATAACTAACTACCCTCCTTCCTAATCCAGAAAATCAATTCAACCAATTAATGTGTTGGAGATTAACATAAAAGAAAAAAAAAGATGATGCTTTTGTATGGTAGCACTTCCTGTCACTTGGAAATGCATCTTAAATGTTTCAAAGAACATTAGCATGTGTATGGGAATGGGTATCCCAGGAGAGAATGAGGAGAGCAAGAAGGAAGGAGAATATGTGGATGTTCATGTGGGTTTTATTGGGGTAGAGGATGGAAGACAATTATTCCTTCAATATTTCTGTCCCACTACAATTATGGCATTTCAGAGAGTGTAAAGAAGGGAAGCAAACCCAGACTTCTAATTTCAGACACGATCTATTTTCTGAGATGGCTAATATAAGAAACTACAATTTTCTTACATCTGATTGAGAAAATAAAATAGGTTTATATGGGTTCAGTAGGACCTAAAGTATGGGTTGAGGGATAAGAAGGGGCATTCATTTTAGCAGTCTTTTCTTCTTTACAGGGCCAAGTCATTGCAACAAACATGGCCCCAACCCAGAGATATTCAGTCAAGAAGAAAATTAAAATAGCTAGCAAAAACCACATTTATCCAGTGCTTACTTTGTCCCAGACACTGGTAAACAACTGTTTCACACACATTGTCTTATTTTATCCTATCTCAAGTTTATGAGGTTAGTGTAATTATTATGCTAAGTTTATAGAAGAGTAAACTGAAATTTAGAGATAGTGAGTTACTTACCCAATATCACACAACTAATAAGGGCAAAGCTGGGATTTATAGCAAGAATATTTTAAATTCCAGAGCCCATGATTCCAAACTCTTGGACACACCTTATCCAGCCTGGGTCTCACCAGGCTTGGGTAGCTTCACCTTGCCTTGTTCCTTTCCAAATACACCAAACCCCACTGGCTCCTTGTGGAACTTTTCTGTATTTTGTCATTTATTTTCATCAGGGCTACCTACATAATTTGAGGGGCCAATGTAAAATGAAAATGCAGGTCTCCAGTCGGGGTTGGGGAAGTAAATCTCCCCTTGCCACGCTGCTACTCCAACCCAAAACAGATGAGTGACCTCTAAGGTATTGCAACTTTTCCATCAAGAGACACTTGGTACCTGGAAAAATGGTGGGTAAGAGCCTCTACTAAGTTTCCTGCTGAATGAGCCATGACATTTTCAGGGAAGATTGAGGATGACTGCCTCCTTGCTTTCCTCAGAGATGCAGTAGGGTGCACGCCTAAATTTGACTCTCTTGTACCCATACTCAGGCCCCTGCCAAGGGCAAAAGTTGGCATGAAATACAGGCCTTCTCCCCAATTAATGTGACTGAGACACCCATGTAGGAGATGGGGAGGAAGTAGGGGGAACTTGCAAGGAGAAGCTAGGTAGAGTCCATGCAACATAGGGTGAAGAGTGGGTGATCAAGAAGCCATCTCAAAAAAAAAAAAAAAAGGTAGAAAACAGAAATATAAGTTATGTAAGTATATCCTCCATTGGACTATCAGAGTTCACTTATAAAACATAAATTAAAAAATGAAATTATTAAGAATTTCAAGGTAACAATTGCAAAGAATTATATCCCAAGAGTGGGGCCCTTTGAGCATGGCAGCCTATATAGTTGTGTATATAACTGTGTGGTTACAACCTATGAAGCTGACTGTGGTTTTTATTATCTGAATTTAGTCAGAGAGGCAATGAGAAAGGGTGATTAGTTTAAAAAGCCTGTGTAAATCTTATGCAGATCTGTTGCTTTGGTGGCAACAGAGTGTAAAGGTTAAAAATCTGAGTTTAGGTTTATATAGACCTAAGTTCAAATCCCAACTCTTCATATTAGATAATTTGAGAAAAGATTGTAAGCTCTCAAATTTGATGTCTTCTGTTTTAAATATGTAGTAAAACAGATTTTAAAATTTTGAACAGGTTGAAAATGTAATTCATGTAAAACATTCAACACAGACCCTGTCACATACTTTGGTAGTGAATAAATGTTCTCAATTATTATCATTAATATTTGTGATACATTTGAATTTGGAGATTTAAGTAAAATTTTAGTCAGCAAAAATACTTGTTTCCTGCTTCGTGTATTATCTTAGACATACATCTCAAAATCCTGAAAGATCTAATCACATAGCAAATATATATATATATATATGTGTGTGTGTGTGTGTGTGTATACATATATACATATATAGTTATTTCTCAATGCATATATATATGCATATATATGTATGTGTATATATACATACATATGTGTATATATATACATATATGTATGTATATATATGCATATATATGTATGTATATATATTGCATATATATGTATGTATATATATTGCATATATATGTATGTATGTATGTTTATGTGTATATATATATATATATATGCATTGAGAAATAACTAAGTACCAGGCATTCAAGTATGTTATATTAATTCTTATTCTGTTTCTATAGCAACTTTTGAGCATCATCAAGCCATTTTATAGATGAAGAAACTGAAGCTGAAGAAGGTTAAGCAAATTCCCAGGATTTAATAGCTGATGAGATAACTAAGATCCAACCTGCAGTCTGCCTGACTATGAAGTCTGTGTTAATAACCCCTGTGTCATATTGTCTAGATGCATTTCAACCTGGTTTACATTGAAAATGTTAATAAATAATCATGCTGGGGACCTAGCCTAGATTATTTTAATCAGAATATGAAACCTCAGAGCCTGAGGTTAAAAAATATTTTTAATGTGATTTAGGTGATTATTATGTGCATCCAGGGTTAAGAACTAACTAGTCTAGATGTTATAATGCACCTGGGAGGCTCTTAAGATATTTTGGGTTAGGTCATATAGCAGGCCATTTTGAAATCATGAATAGCAATGGAGACTCCATCTATTTTTTTTTTTTTTTACCCCAAGAGTGTTTTAAGACAAACACCAAAGAAGATTCATTGTAAGAAAGCAAAGGTATTCTTTCTTGTACAGGAAGAAAGAGTTGTTATCGTCATGACCTTGAATAATCTTTTATAGATGGGTGTGGGAGTATGATTTATTTTCTCAAACTCAGAGAAGTAAAAGCATCTGTGTACTGATCTAAAAGAATGTGTGGAAAACATAGGATGAGGAGAAGAATTACTACATAGCTTGGATCAGAAATGTCAAGGCGGGCAGACGTGGGATGGTGGAAAAGGAGTGTGTCATGAATACATCCTAAGTGGGCCCCTCCTTCACATTTGTTAGCATCATTTATAATAGGATGAATAATAGTGTTAAGATGTATGCTCCATGATGTGCCCCTTTATCCAGACAAATACAAAGCAGCTCCAATAAAGGTATTAACCAAGGTCAGCATATGCAAACTAGAGATAGGGTGCTAGTGATTTCAGCCCCAGTCCCAGTGGGAGGGCAATTCATAGAAATAACTGCCTCAGTTCCCCAACTTTATTCTGAAGATGGAGACTTATAAACAAGGCATTGATTCTTCCAATCGTTATACCTATTAATTCTATTTCCTAGGGTCACTTTCTAGAAGGGCATTAAATTAAGGGACTGATGTTATGTGCAGAAATAGGGGCTGTGGCTAGAGAAGGATGCTTTGACCAATTTAAACACGTAAAAATATAACCAAATTATGTCAAAGGCCACCAAGCTCAAGAAAGCCTTACTGTGAAACAGCCACCATAATATCATTTATATTATTATGTAAATATAATTTACATAATTATACAAATTATATAATTATATGTTATAATTATATAATTATATAAATATAATCCTCAAGTTAAAGGAAACACTCAAATTGTTAGTGTTAGTGAACTAAAGACCAGTCTCCATAGATATTGGCGATAGATATTAGTGTAAACTGTCTACTTTGTTCTGAAAAAGAATATCTTCATTATGTTAACCAAAACTATCAAGGATCCTAGAATTTTTCTCTAACAGCATCAAAATAGTGGCCTAATTCATGATAATGTGTAAGGAACCATGACGTGGTAAAAAGAATATAGATTTTTGACTCAGAATTGTTTGAATTCAATTTTGGTTTCTACTAACAATCTATTCTTGGGCAAGTAACTTAGTGTATTAGAACCTAATACTTTTTATCTGTGAAATGAGAATAATATTTACCATTTAGGTTTATTCTGAGGCTTATAGATAGTATCTGTGAAGCAGCAAGTACAATATATCTAGAAATTATTCCATCGATAATGATCATTATTCTATTATATTTTCATTGTTGGAAGTCAACTCACTCTCCTAACATCTTGTCAAGGACCTGTGCTTTCATATCCTGGAACTCAGCCATGCATTTCCCTGTTCCTCTCAGAATAAAATATTACTGGCCTAGAGAGTAGCCCTGAAATTAAACCTACTCACCAGAAAGGACAGATTCTGGGGGAATTGGCCAAACAAGAGGAGTTAAGCAAGAGTTTCTGCTGGCAGACAAAGTCTAGTGCCCAAGAAACACAGCAATAACTAGGCACAATTCATATGAGTTATCAGGAACCATCTTAGAACAGTAGGTTAGGTCAGCACATAGGAAAGCTTATATGCAGCAACTCATCAGGGCTATTGCCTTGCTGTCTTCTACTTAAGGGAATTCTAGATAAGGCATGTCATAGTTTGAGGTCTAGTTCTAACAAGGAACTTCTAGTTAAAGGATGGGTTCCATATACTAAGGAATCCAGGTCCGAAGCAAATCAGCAAAACAGGTTCATACGGGTAAAAACCATGGAACAAGACCATTTATAAGTATTGAAGTATGGCTTAGAGCTCAGAAGTGAGGTGATATCCCAACTTTCATATTTGAGTAGAAGATTTGCTCTAGATAAAGATAACTGATGCAGAATTGTCATTACTACTGCTGTTCAGGAATTAGGTTTACTCTTTCCAAAATCCCTAAGAGAGTTGCCATCCATCTCCACTTGACTGATGAAAAAGCCATAACTCAGTATGGACAAGTAAATTACTCAAAACAAAGCAAGCAGTGAGTTCCAAGTCTGATAGCCAAACTCAAATTTATCTGAGTTTAAAAGAATGGACTGAACCAAGGTACACTGTACTACTGACGAAAAATAAATAAAAAGTAAAAAACAAAAACTTCGGCTTCAGTTGAGATTGGTTCTGACAACAGATGGCAAGTTTAAAGCTGCATCTTATGATCAAACAGCTCTTGCTGTGGGAAACCTGATCCTAAAAGCCTGATATGGACGACAGTTTGTTGTCTAACACAAAGGGCTTTAAAATCAAGCAGCAACATCTTCTTGTTCAGACCATCAGTAGTAGTTTTCATAATTTCCTCTCTGTGACCATTGTTAAGGACCTCTGGAATCTCATGGAATCTATTGGAATTGTATTTGTATATTCTGTAGTTTGTACTATCATCATGGTCACTGTATTTCTCACCACAATATTTCATAAAGGAATTGTCCTGACTTAATGTTTAGGGAAGATTTAATGATTGGTATCATCCACTAGATTGCTTCCTTTTCAACATATTATAAATTGTTTGTTGATATCTGTATTGTCAAGGGCGTATTGTAGTTAGTGTTGCTGGGGTTTCTATGCCTTATTTGGAGTATCACTAGAAATATTTCCCTCCCCATCTCACTGTAATTAATATTACATGGCATATTTGGCTCTTCTGTATACATTCAGATGCATGTGCAGATGTCCAGAGGGAAAAGGCTCTTCTCATTGTTCCACTAGGAAATGTCAGAGAGGTGCTCAGTTCCCTTATAGATTCGAAAAGGAGTTTAAGTAGGCTTCATTCTATGAAGTCTGGGGACAGGAGAGGTCTAAAGGGAAAGAAACAGCCTTTCTTACCTCTTCTTCATAATTCTTTTTTAAAAAAACTGTGGGATTATGGAAGAGATAGTTGGGTTGAAAACCAAAACCTCACACTTGTTAAGCAGAAAACTTTTGATAAATATTAAGAATAAATTATCTGCAAATATTATGTAACAATACTTCTGTTCCATGGGAATATTCATTTGCTATATTTACTCTTCTATTTTCTGTCTCTCTTTTTTCAGATGTGTAATTCTCAGTCTACCTGACATGTCCTTGAAGAAGTCCCAAGAAAATAAAATTATTGTAATTTAAATAAGCCCCACCATAAAGAACCTTTCCTTCAACAGCTCTCCCAAACTCTTGCTATCCTTCTGGTAGCCTGAAAGACTTAAACACATATAACAAAACACTTAACTTTCCATCTCAGGGGAATACCTACATAATGGAGAATCTATTTGAACAGGCCAACTGAAGAGCAATTAAAATAAAAACATAAAAAACCTACTTTCTAAATGGTATATGAATGGAGGTAAGATGGTACTTCCCAGCAAATGAATAATTTTACAGAGTAATTGAGTCCTTGTTTATTTCTTTTAGGAAAATATGTTTTCTGCATTTAAAAACATATTGAAGATAGCTGTCCTCAGTGGTATCCAGCATTAGCAGTTAAACAATTTACAGGAGATAAATTTTCTACTTTGACTGCATAGAATAGTAAATTAGTGAAGACCTCTTGAAATTATTGAGACTGTCATACAGTTAGAAATTCACTGAATGCTATTTATGTGTCTTTGTAGCTTGAAAATTTAATGAGGCTGAAATCTGAAGAATAAAAATATTTCCACTACAAAAATGAAAAAAGTGTTTGAATGAAATCTAGTTTCATTGCATGCCTAAGATCTCAAGACCCAAACAACATTTTTCTTCCATAAGATCACATGGAGTGAAAATGAGTCAACATTCAATAGGATCTTTGTTTAAAAGACATCAAAGGAATGCTGACAATCTCACCATTTCACTCCTCTTCTTATCATCTGTGTAGACATAATATGCTCGATTTTCAGGAAGCCTAGAGCATCTTATACATTTTTGGTACTCCTTATGGAATGTGGATTGTGTAGTTATTGGCCCTGAATGTATAAACTATGAATTAAGTGTCACTTGAATGGAAAATTATTTGAAGAAAGTACACCATGATTCACTTCTAATGAATGCTTTTATATGTCTCTGCAAATGTATTCACCCAAAGAAGTTTTCATAGAAGCAGGCCAAGAAACTATTCTTTCTTGTGATATTTTATCTAGCAATTTTTAAAGTAAAATAATTCCCTAAAGCTAAGAAGTTTTCTTTTATTATCAAATAGCACACATAGAAATTTCCTGTGTCTGGTTAAAATCTTACCAGATAACCAATTGAAATTAAAATATTTTCTAACCCACAAAAGCATATATTCCACAAAGACTGAGAACACTTGATAGATACACAAAAACATGAACTAAATGCTTTGATAGTCAACCTACCAGAGGCAACTAATACAGACCTTACATCCTTTTAAAAAGTGAATGTTACCCAATATTTATACGAGTAAACTTTTGCACTCTGACTTCTTGGGGTTTTGTTTTGGTTCAAATTTTCTGTGTTTTCTTATAAAGACCTATGGAACTTTAGTCTTTATAATAAAAACTAAAAAAAAAAAAACACCAAATAAAAATAACTGCACATCCTTGATTCTTAGTATCTGGGACTCAGTTCAGTTGGCTGATGATTATGTGTTTGATAAAGACTTATGAATCTTGTGTATAATAAAAATAATTTAAAAAACAACAAAAATAATCTGCAAATGTGTGGTTTCTAGTATTTAAGACTCAGTTCACTGTTCTTCGCTGATCATTATGTAACATTATCAGAGACAGATTTTTGTGCTGTGCCCGATTGCAGAAG
Source organism: Homo sapiens (assembly GCF_000001405.40). Taxonomy (NCBI): domain Eukaryota; kingdom Metazoa; phylum Chordata; class Mammalia; order Primates; family Hominidae; genus Homo; species Homo sapiens. The sequence goes on along the minus strand of NC_000011.10, from coordinate 29,172,946 downwards.
ACCTTCCCTGCTAATTAGAAAAGTGAGGTCTAATCCAAAAGACAAAGATCCAGTAGCAAATATTGTCCAAAGGGTGATAAAATCATCCTTGTTTTACGGAGTAAAAATTTGTGACAATTTAGAAAACTGAATTGCACCCAGAGCATTTGGTTGTAGTTGCAGTTTTTCAAGTGATAGATGATGAGGGATGGGATTTAACACATTGGCCATTGAGATAGATATGGGAAATGGATCTTAAAAAATCTCTAGATATAACTGATACTCTATATATGGTTTAAATAGAAAGAATGGGATATAGAGGGGGTTAGTATAAAAAATGACATCAAATGCCCTGGCTGCGGAAGCAGAGCCAATGATTTTAAGAGAACAAGGGAGGTAGAGAAAGATTAGAAGGAGATGAGAAGTTCTGTTTTAGAAGTGCCCAATTTCAGGTACCTATAATTAAAGATGGTTACATCAAACAGGCTATTAGAGCTCTAAATTGTGTAAAAGAAAGTCTGGACTATAGTAAGAACTATTTCATTTCTCTTTTCCCGATTTTTCCCTTTGAAAGTTTATAGGACAACTTTAGGAGATGACTCCAATATCCGTGGAACTGAAGGTGAACTTAGGGCTGCAGTGGCTCTAATGATGCCTTATGGTCACTATTATTCCTTTAATTAGACTAATTGAAGGTTACACATTCAAGTCCGTCTTGCTCTGTCCTTCCTTTGGATTTAAAAAGCTTTGAATGCTCTCTGATCATATATCCTCTACCAATATTGAAAGACAGGTGCACCTTAACTGTAGAGGCCAAAGAAAGATTTGAATATCCTATTACCTTGAGTCCCAAAAATGCAGCTACTTCCTTTTATACCATTATTTTCAAAGCCTGAAATTGAAAATGCTTTAATTTCAATATGGTTGAATGGAAACAGAGGTAAATGAGTGCTGAACCACTTTTGTTCCCAGCAATTTTTCTCATAAACTTTGCTATTAACATTTTGTTTTAGCATTATTTTTTCAACCTTTGGCACGCACTTATGCAGGTATGCATGTAGCATTGCTTTTCTGACTTAATCTTCACAATGGTATTAGCATTTGGTAACTTTTTAAATTCTTGTTTTACAGATGGAAAAATAAATCTAAGGATATTACAATGTTAAGTAACTTCTTCAGGGACACATAGCTAGTGGGGGTTGGAATTTAAACCTACCACTGGAATGAACTATGTTTTGTTATGCTTAATTACCTAGTTGCAGAACACTGTACTGAGTTTTTGCTGAAATCATATCAAATCTAAGGTAGCTTCCAGGTTTAACATCATGAATCTATAATATACACAGCTGTAGAAGGAAAAAATTTATAGAAAAGCCTCAAGTAATTAAATAGACATTTTCATTAAAGAAAGTTTCTATGTTTGTGGTTTGTGGGATGAAAAATGTGAGAGTTACTCATCACTCATCAGCCTTGGGAAGATGATTATCATTGGCTTTATTTCTGGAAGACTTTAATGTTGGAGATGAGATTTAGAAAACCTTTGAAAAAGAGGAAAGAAGGTAGACTTTAAGTAAAAGGTTGTTCCAAGAATAATGAATGGCATGAGTGAGAATATAAGTGAGAAAGGCATGGTAGGGAATAGGGTAGGAGGTGAGAGTATAGAGGGAACAGTGAGTTCTTTACTCCTCCACACCTTGTATGTGATAATTAATCTAGAAAGACAGAAGAGAAAGGAATGGTGAGAAAGGGTGGGCAATTACTTAGGCAATCTAGAGAAGCCCTTGAATTTGATCCTTAGAGACTGGGCAGAGAAGGAAAAATTTCATGGCCTTTACCACAGTCAAGGAAACAGGTTCTAAAAGCAGAACTTGGACTTGTGATTTGATTGGGTAGCCAGAAGGAAGGAACAGTTATAGGAGATGTATTAAGTCCAAGTATTAGGCCACACTCATGGAGTAATATACAGAAAACATGAAATAGGCTGCTCTTCCTGCAACGGCTGGATTGCCATAGGATAGATACCGCAGGAAGAAACTCAGCTGTAAGAAGCAAAACTTTTTACAATGAAATATAGCTGGTTAAAAATATGTTATAAGTACATTATAAGCAGCAGCTCTGCATCAGATGAACAATTTAGGTCAATTCTGTTAATCCCTAAAGCCAAGTTCCCTAAGGCTGGGAATTTGTTAGAAATGCAGAATCCCAGGCCTCATTCCAGACCAATTGATTTGAATCCACTTTGAGAAACATTGCCCTAAACTCTCTTATTTTTACTTCTCTCATTTATAAAGCACGGATAATGGCTTCAGTATAAGGTTATGTCAGAATTAAATTAAATGGTATTCTCCAAGGGTTTAGTAGGGTATTTGGCATAGTGGGTGTCAAATAATTGGAAATTAATGTATTAATATTAGTAATAGTATATATGGAAGAATTATTTTTAAATCTAAAATAGAATTTATGGGTCAGGTACAGTGGCACATGCCTGTAATCTCAGCACTTTGGGAGGTTGAGGCAGGTGGATTGCTTGAGCCCAGGAGTTCGAGCATGGGCAACATGGTGAAACCCCATTTCTACAAAAAAAATAAAAATAAAAAATTAGCTGTACATGATGGTGCACACCAGTAGTCTCCGCTACTCAGGAGGCTGAGGTAGGAGGATAGCTTAAGCCCAGAAGGTCAAAGCTATAGTCAGCCATGATAGTGCCCCACACTCCAGCCTGGGCAACAGAGCAAGACCCTGTCTCAAATAAGTAAATAAATAAATAAAACATTAAATTTAAAAAATGAAATAGGAGGCATGTTGTTGTAAAGACTAGATAAATCCCACTTCAGAATTGGGCATTTTAATTTCTATTCCATACACAGAGTTTCACCGTGTAGGCTACCAATTGTTTATAATTCGACCTATATTTAGAAGAAAATGACCAGGTGGATGGATTGATTTTGAATGGTGCCTCGGTTGGCTGAATTTTGCTGAAGGAATTTTATTACATGTGGTTTCTGAATCATTTTCAGTATCAGTGCCTAAGAAAGGGAATTGTGAGCCAAAAAACTAATTGTCAGATTAATAGAGTTCTAATATGTAATGCAAATATTATGCTAATGAAATAAAAGTGCAGACCTGCCCTTAATTACTCAACCTGTCTCTCCTTGGGACATGCATGTGTTTATTTTATTGCTCAGCTTTAATCTATTCTCATTATTCTTGATCAGGTTTGTAAATGGGTTCAAAAGACCTTTGGGCCTGACAATATTTTAATCAACCCCAAAATCTTTCCTGCTTCAGCAATATTATATAAAATCACAGCACTCTGTATTCCCAGTCCACCTTCATGTCTGCTTTTTCTTAATTATCTAAATAGAGAAAAACTATTTGCAACATCGCAATCTCTATACTAGACCATATCTCCAAAGAGAACCTTAATCCTGATGCCCTTACAAAGGAAAATGGGGCTAACATAATGACAATAATGCTGCTGATGAGGATGGTGATGATGATGACAATGATAATTATAACTACAGTAATAATAACTTCCAACGTTTATGGTGTGTTTAATTCAATCTTCTAGTTTGGAATACTATTTTCACTCCTTATTTTTATTTTTAGTGGAAAACCTCTCTCTTCTGAATTTTAGAGACATATCCAACTGCCTACTCAACATCTTTAACTTGGATATCTGTGAGGCATCTCAAACCTAATTTATACAAATAATTGGCTTCCTGTAAGATACTGACCCTCCCATGGTCACTCCATCTTCATAAATGACACTTCCATTCCAAAAACAAAACAAAAAAACTTGAAGTCATTTTTTTTCATATCTCATCCCATTTGTCAGCAAATCCTGGCAGTCTTGTCAGTCTGATGTTAGCAACCATGTGTTTCCCCATTGTGCAACTCACAACGTCGAGTTTTGCAGAAGGAATTGTTACTTATATGTTTTGTGCCATTGGAATATCAAAATAATTTTTAAATTATGAGCTGCATGGAATCTTCCAAGGGACAAATGTGTCTTCAATAGTCACAATTCAGAAAACAGAAAATGTAATATAGAATGTGCAGGTAATGTTAGCAATTAGTAATAGGAAAAGAGATTCAATTCACAGTAATTTAAGTAATTTAGCCTTCAAGAATTTCCTGTAGGCCCAGAATATTTTGAATGTGTGCGCACATGTCTGTGTGATAGTAGAAAAAATATAGAAGTGTTTGGGAACTCAACAACTGTTTCCAATGACAAGCACTTATTAAATACTTAATGCTTGTCTGGTACTATGCACTAAGGAAATGGAAATACAAAGATGAGTGAGACAAAGTCTATATCAAGGAACTCTGACTCTAGTAAGAGAGTCAAGGCAGTAAATAGTTCAAATAATCATTAACTCAACTTTGCAAACTTACTGTAACTGTAAACATTCAGAGCACTATTCACTGGTGGAAGCAACTCCAATGGATGTGGAAGTGAATCAAACTTATATGGTAAATTTTCAAATCCAACCACCATAAATAATAACAAACATCACACAGAGCTTGTGATTTATCAAATCCCATAACTGTTCATATTTCTTGGAAACCAAAGAAAGAGCTCTGGAAAGTCTAAGGAGTTATCTTTTTAAATCTCCACATACCTGATGTAGCAATGCTGCACTACAAAATATCACCTCATGGTGAAAGGGTTTCCAGAACTGATGTTAGATAAAAGTCTCTATTAGGTTTATTTCCCAATAGTGCCTGTTGTTTTGGGTGACCCATTCTTTAAAGACATGAACACTGCATTGGGTTATTCCAGAAAATCAAGTAAGCTACAGAGTGATATAGTGCTCGAAGCACTAAACTTGTCATGAGTTCAATTCAAGAATGACATAGGAAAGATGGAGCACCAGGACACAAGCCAAGCTTTGGAAACTTTTATCATATATTCAGTTATGTTTTAAAATACATTTATCACTGACAAGAAAATGTTTCTACCAAAATACAATCATCATGGAAACTAAACACAGCCGTAACACAAAGCCACTCTTTAGATTAAATAACAATTTTTATTCATCAAATATTTGAGTACCTACTATGTTCCAAACACTCTGAAGGGATACAGAGATTAAAATAATTGGCCGCAGTGATCTAAAAGTTGATAGATTAGCGAAAAACATACTCCTAAATAAAACAAATTAACGCATAGTATACTTGGATGGGTGTAGGTACACGGTGTAATAGACGGTCTATCTCAAAGCTTCAGTGAAGCTGAGTTTGAAAAATGGAAAACAGTTAAACTTGTAAAGAAGTAATAGAGTGGCTGATGTAGAAAAAGAGAACTATTTTTAAAGAGAATTGGAAAATTTGCTGAGAGAGCAACTTGCCTGTTTTCTAGCATCTGGCATTCCTTTTTAATTGTTGCCTAGTTATGACACTCAGCAGAAATAATAGCCATTGGGCAGTCAAAATGATTTGTTATGGTAAACAGAATGGGAGGAACTCTTATTCCCTGTCTATGCATATGAGGCTATAGTTTTAGTACTAAATTCGTTTTTTCTATCTTAGGTAATACAATAGGCAATATTTCTTAAAAATATGATTTTCATTAATCTTGTGGATTGTTGAAACTAAAGGATATAAAGGAATACTGATTCAAATCAAATGTTTTAATAACTCATAATTAACTTATTCATGTCACAAGTATGATTGGAGGGCTGACAGAAACCAACCACTGTGCCAGACTCTAGAGATACAAGGATAAATACACATTCTTAACCACCAATACTCAAAAATTGAATGGTTTGTCAGATACATTTAAACAGATCAACCTTTTATGGATTTCCAGTCTTTAATTTGTTTATTTGAAATCTTTTATCTTTCAGATAAAAGTGTGGCCAAAATGCAAGAAGAGAATAAATTGGTAAGAGAAGCACAAATGAAGGTGATCTGACAAGAATATATAAATATGGAGAGAAACAGTGAAATCTGACCTAGCTTTTGAACAATGAAAAAAAAAGTGGTGAAAGTTGCTCTAGGCTAGCAAATAGCATAAACCAAGAGAGAACATGTAAAATGTCAGGGATTATTAGGGAAATTCCATACAAAATTTGATTTGCTGCAATACCAGAAAAACCCATATGACATAAGATGTAGGCAATAACTCAAAATTTATACTTTCAATGTTTTGTGTTCTTTTTGTCTTCACTGACAACCAACTCTCAGCCAAAAAGCATGGTAAGATTATAGGCTCCTTTATATGGCTCTGGGATTTTAAACATCCAATAAAAAAATGATGCTTTTGGATATAGTTGAACAGCTGCTGTAAGGAATAAGATTAGCAAATGAGTTAAAATGTGCTGCTGAGGGTTAGTTAATGCATTATATCAGTGTTAATTAAGGTATTATTAAAAGGCTGACTGTTGCCTCTTGTATTCCTAGAATTTACACACACACTTCATTAATCTTTGCCCTCCCTGTGGGATAAGCCATTGCACCTGTTCATCTTCATGAGCATAAGTATCGTCTGCAATATAGCTGGCATGCAGCTCAAGACAAGCATGGATGATATGTGGCAAATCAAGGAGAAAACATCCTGGCATTTGATAGGGATTTTACTTTCTCTTCATTTTGGTGATAGACCCTGGCCTTTTTTAAATTGTTTATTGGAATATAATTGTAAGACATACTCATTAAATTCCTTTTACCATCATCAATATCAAACACCCATTTTTGTCCCAGGCATATTTGCCAAGATTTAGAATTTAAAACATGTGACAATTGTACAAGTTTAGGGAGGATGTCTCTATTTTACACCATGGAAAATATGGCTGATCAGAGAACACATGAAACAGAGAAGTAAAATATTGGCAACGTAGACAAACAAAAGCATCATGTGCAGAGGATTTTTTGTAAGCATGGGAAATAGAATCTATCTAGAGATTCTTAGAGGTAAGACTTTAGAGCTTTGAAGGATAAAATAAATAAAAATAATAATAGTTATTGTTTATGGAAGACATACTCCATCAGACACTATTGTTATGAACTTCAGATATATTATTTCATGTAATTGCTATTGGTGTTTATTTAAAGTCAAAATTTTCCTTTATAGTTGTAAAGCCTAAACTCCAATAATTGTTTTGCCCACTATCTCACAGCTAGCAAGAGGCAGAACTAGATTCAAACGTTAAGGGAATCTACCTCTACATACTGTGCTCTTAGTGACTGTGTTGAATTACTTGTTTATTTGGTAACAACTGGCTACTAGAAGAATTCCAACCATAACTTTCAGTCAAAACAATTGACTGGGCTTTCAGGGATTGTAAACACAGACTACATGGATCATGATAGTTTGCTTCTGTGATGATTGGCTTATTAACTTGTAGCTGCTAGTAGCATGAATTTCAAGGCAGATTGGGAGGCTAAGGGGTAATATCTTGTCATTCAGGAAGGGTTTACAGGGAAAATATCTGAGTTCCCCAAGCTCCAGCTTGGTCCTCAATTTTGTCATGTCTGTTCAAAAGTGATCAATCCTTTGATTCAGAGGGATTCATTCTGAAGAGATAACTATGCCCATTTAATAATGTTATGTTAAATGCAATCGTAAATCTTATGAGGATGGCCCAGGTTAGCTGAGCAGCATGTTCTTGTCCTATAGCATACTGTAATAAAATAAACTAAATTATAATCTGAAAATTGCTTAATATTCATGGAATATTAGTATTAGCAAAAGGAGTTGAATCAATGTGTCCATCTTTTGGAATATACCTTCCAAGTAGATAGAATGCAAATGATCAGGGCACAAGGCTTCTCCCAGAACAAAGGAAACGCACTGACAAAAATCTTGCTTTTAGCCTCCTCTTCATTCTGGGCTTTAAACAGGTCACTTAATTCTTTTGAAAAGTTGTAGGTTTCAGAAATATATTCAAATTCTAATTGTATATTTTTGAAGTTGCGTTCTTGTCATTATGATTGTACCCAAATAGTTGCACATTTTTAATGTGTCATTAAGTGCGTTGCTTCCATGGATCTCAGACTCCATTTGTTTTTGGATACTTTTTAAGAATAGTTTCTTGGAGGTGATCTAGTGTAGTTTACCACTCATGTACTTTCAATATGTTAAGAAAAATGACCACTGTATGCATGAGTGGTAAGTACTTCAATATGCATCTCTCCCACTATACTTCAAACTACACAGGAGTTCTATTTGAAAAGTAGCATTTCACTGATGGCTAGCACAGTGACCGATGCATAGCAGGTGCTCCCAAACATTTGTTGAGCAAATGAATATAAGCCATGGTAATTTTCTGTCTCAACATGATTTTTAAATTTACTTTTTCAAAATTGAACTATTGTAATTATTTGTCTTATTATAAAATGACTTCATATTCATTGCAAAAACTTCCACCAATATAGAAATATATAATGTAAAGAATAAAAATCTGACAAAATCCCTGCTTCTCTCCTAAGAAGTGATTATTTCCATTTAAAGGACTATTCTTCCAGTCTTTCTCTGTGGTGTGTATGTGTGTAGTTTTTACATGAGTGAAACCATATTATTTGGGCAGTCTTTTTCTATTTAATATGATGTGAAGAAATTTCAATGCCAATACATATAAATCATCTTGTCCTTTTGATGCCTACTTAGACTGCCATTGTACAGATGTTACAATTTGTTTTACTGCTTAATTGATTTACATTTAGCTTAATTTCAATGGCAAACAATACCTCTTGCAGAACCATTTATGTGTACTTTTTCAGTATTTATGTAGATTTCTACTAATGGCATAGCTGAATCAAATAAATGCCTGTCTTAAATGTTGAGATAATTTTTTTCCAATTTATTTCATAAAGATTTTACAATTTAAACATCCACTAACAGTTAAGGAGTATCCTCAAATTGAAGTTTAATACTTCCATACAGTGAAAACTTTCATTAACCTGTGAAATTAGCCTCCATGTTTCCCTAAACTTAATACTCTGATTAGTGAGATAACTCAAATAAAAGAAGCATAATAATTGAATATGAGAAGGTAATAGCAATGCCCTTTTGATTTATAGGTGGATTTTTTAAGGCATAAGTGTTTAGAGTCTCTGAGGTAGTTAATTAACAAAAATCATTGATAACAATGATTTGTAAACATTGTTTGGAAAACAATGTCTTTAAAAACCAATACTTAAGATTAGAGTGTATTAGGCCATGGAATTATAGGTTTTTAATCATAAAATAAGCTCTTAGTTAAGGGTGATCTAAAATTGTGAAGATGAAGAGGAATAATCAACCATAACTATTAAAAAAAAACTTTCCACCTCAATGACTTTAGGCCCAAGTTTCTACGAATATTTATCCAACTGTACCCCATTCTACTTCTGCTGCCTCTCATTATGAATTTTATAACAATCAAAACAATAACAGAAAGTTTCAGAAATATTTTCTATGCACCAACCATACATATATCCTTTTATTCTTTTGTTTAGGAGCCTTCTGTAGACTTCCATGGAAACAGAAAGTTTGGCAATAATATAGATGTTAAAAACATATGCTGGGAGAAAAACAATCAAGCATTACTTCAAGGAAAAAAAAAAAAAAAAGCTTGGCCCGGTTCATGCATGTAATACCAGCACTTTGGGAGGATTGCTTGAGCTATATAGTCCCAGCAGTCCCAGCTACTCAGCCAGACAGGAAGCTGGGGGAAGTTGAGGTAGGAGGATAGCTTGAGATGAGCGCAGGGGATGGAGGCTGCAGACTGTGATTGCACCACTGCACTCCAGCCTGGGTGACAGAGAGAGACCCTCTTTCAAAAAAAAAAAAAAAAAAAAAAAGAAAGAAAGAAAGAAAAGAAAAAAATGCATTTAATCTAGAATTTTGTGATGATGATGAAGTACCACTTGGGGAAGCCCAAGAGTTAAGATGGTAGGGTTCACAAGAAGTATCAGGTAATAAAAGTTTACAGAATCCGCACTAGGCTCCTTTGCCATTTAACTAATTTATCTGATTGTGACCAACTTGGGATATTGGAAGATATAATGACCTCCAATGTGAAATATTACAAGGGAAGCAATTCACATAGTCTACATGAAAATTCCAATACAAAGGTTATTGGCACTGCATTTCTTTACTCAGAGGAAGCTCTTCCTCATTTCAAACTAGGTTTCTTGTACCTCAGACCTATTTTCACTTGATCAGTCCTGAATCGAAAGAAAGCACAGCTGGTCACATCTCTACTCAATAGCCATGACAACCCCTTAGATTTTGTAAGCCTCTGGCTGTTTCTACATGACATCAAAAACAGGATACAAAAAGGAATATTCTTGAGGAAAATGGTGATTTCATCAGGCCAGAGTTGCTCAATAGCAGTGCAATGGAAATTTTGGGCCACACAATTATTTGTTAGGAGGGGCTATCCTATGCATTATAAGGCATTTAGCAGTAAGTATTCTTGTATATGATGCCGGTACTACCTTTGCATTTTTTACAATAAAAAATGTCTGCAGACATTATCAAATGCCCCCTGGAGGGCAAAAATTGGCCACCCTCCAGTGAGAACCATGTATTATTGTTTGAGGGACAACTACTCAGTCACAATTGGCAAGGGGCATGTTTACATGCCAGACAAGGTCTTGATGTCCCTTCAGCTGATCAGTTGGGTACACCTAATATGGAACTGTTAACAGTTAACATATAGACCGTGATTCATTTGCCTGCTTTGTAACAGAATTTCTGAAAAATAATCCCAAGAGTTTTAAGCTATTAACTCCTAGTTAACACTTAGAGAGGCACATGTGACCCCAGAGACATGTGAACACACACTTAAATCCTATCAGCGATGCATATTTAAAAATTAATCATCCTCTCTGATTGAAGAATTTTTTTGTTAGCACTAAAATATAAAATCCCTACACTGACATATTAGTAAAGGGAGGAAGGGAGGCTCACATTTGTTGGGCCACTATTGTTTTACATGCTTTACATATATTAACGTATTTAATATTCATATCAATGCTATTAAGCCACTAGTATTATTCCAATTTCATTAAAAGATGAAGAAGTTGAGACTTAATAGGTTTAAATGAATTGTCCAATATGAGACTATAGGAAATGACTGACGTATGCATCCATCTTAGATCTAACTCCAAAGCCAACATTCTCTCTCCAGTATTATGGAAAAGTATTTTATTCAGAAAGTCAAAAAAATAACATGCCAAAAGTCTTTCTTGAAGATTCTCATTTGTGAAGGAAAATATTACATGAGATAAAATTAAAATCACTTTGCTTATAAATAATAGTTCTTAAAATATAAAAAGAACATTTACAGGTCTGAATGATATGATAATGAACACACATTTTAAGAATTGAAATTTAGAACCATTTAAAATAGAAAATGAATTCTTAGCCAAAATATGCACTCCTGGAAAATAAAAAAGGAACATAACCAAAAGGCATTGAAACTAAATCACTTCCTGAGCCATAATGAGCTTAGGTTTTTAATCAGACTAATGAGAAAAGATCTGTAATTCAGCATGGCTCATGAGTCATACCATAAAGTCTCTCCCTACAGTTTCATGGCAGGCCTTGATGTATCATTCATTAGGTACTGGAAAAGTAACATTTTCAAGAACACAATGAACTGCAGACAGACAGGAAAAACAATGAGGAAGCAGCCCTGGTCCTCCCTTCCAAACTGCCCTTTACTTCTATCAGTGTGCTCTCATTCCCTCATCTCCAAGCTGTGATTACTAGCTCTGGTCTGTATTAATTTGTTGAATCATCGATGGCCTTGGAAGTCTTGATCCTCAAGACCCATATAATAGAAGTGTAGGATGGTAATGAAACTCTAGTGGGGAAAACACGCAATCAATTAACTCTCAATTACGTGCCCTCCCCCCACAACCACCTGCAGGAGATAAAGACATAGATTTTTAAAAACTCACTGATACTTCTCTTTAAAAGGTCTGTGCAATATGACCTCAAATGTTCTAAGTATGCATCATCTGTGAGTGGGAAAAGCATGGAACTAGTGGTCTGGATGTGAAAATGTACCGTACCTGAGCAATTCCTGTAATTTAAAGACTAAGATAATGCAACTACAAACTGAAGCCAAAAAGGATCTAGGAAACCCGGAAGACCTCCTGGAGGGAGAACCAGTAGGTTAAGAGAATCTTTAAAACTGAAAGATAGGTACAACAGAGACATATGATATAAAAGCAAAAGACAGAGTTTGGCATGAAAAGATATGAAGTACTATTGGGGTCCACTACGTTTTAGCTGAGTGACCCAAAAGGCAAGTCTAAATTTCCCCAAACCTCAATTTCTCCTTCTGTAAATAGGGATAATGAGAATCCTATTTCACAGGTTTCTTTTAATAAAATGTAATAATGCATCTGAAATAAAATGAAAATTCATTTTACTTTTTATATTTACAGGTATTATTTTATAATTAAGCTTTATTGAGTATACTTTTATTATAAGAGGCATGGCCGTCCTCTCACTATTTAGCAGATACTCGGCTTTTCTATCAAGCTTTCATGTATTCTATAAGGCCGGAGAAGAAAGTTTTTTTCTAATAAACTTGTCTGATTCCTGGAGCAGTCCAACCACAATCTTTTCTTTTTTTTAACTCCCTCCCTCCTCTTCTGCTTTTGCTCTCCCTCTGCATTAGTTTGTTCTCACACTGGTATGAAGAAATACCCGAGATTGGGAATTTATAAAGGAAATAGGTGTAATTGACTCACAGATCCATCTTGCTGGGGAGGCCTCAGGAAACTTGCCATCTTGGCAGAAGGCAGAGGAGAAGCAGGCATCTTCCTCACTGGGTGGCAGAACAGAGTGAGAGTGCAAGAGGGAAATGCCAGACACTTATAAAACCATCAGATCACCTGAGAACTCACTCACTATCACAAAAATACCATGGGGAAAACCACCCCCATGATTCAATTACCTCCACCTGGTCCCACCCTTGACACGTGGGGATTTATGAAGACAACAATTGCAGGCGAGATATGGGTGGAGACACAAAGCCAAACCATACCATTCTCCTTCTTCTCCTTCTCTTCTGTGTCCTAACTCCCATCCTCCTCCTCTTTTCTCTTTTTTCTTCTCTCTTTTTTTCCTCATTTGCAAATTCTTTATTTTCTTGGTTGATGCTCCAATGTTCTTTCAGATTCCTGCCTCCCTCCCTTGGAAACCTCTTCCAGGGCTGTAAACTTAGCTGTAATTACAGTCATGGCCATAAGGGAGCAGCAGAATGCAAAGGAGCATCGCTGGAGCCTGGAGAAAGCTCAATAGGAGAGCCCAGCTAAAGCACGAGCCTGGGCCACCAGCTCCTCTGAGAAGTCCCTGACATCTCAGAAGCCACTGTGGGACAGTGGCAAATGAACAGTTATTAAAGTTAGAAAGACTAGGAGTTTGAATTATTTTTCAACTGTGTAATCTTTGGAGATACTTAATCTCTCTGCCTTGGATTTCATTATTTAAAAGATTAGGATGATATCATCGAGATAATTTTGTAAAACATTTTGTGTGCAAAACAACAAACATGGTGGCTGAGTCATAAAAGATATTTAATGAATATTTCCTTTTCTAATTTTTCACTATCACACTTGTGTTGAATTTGGCAATCTTCACTTCAGGCCAGCCTAACTCAATTTACCAATCTGCGGACACACCTACACACCCAGGTAGCTTACCAGCTGCCAATCAGCCCAATATACCTCCATTTCCAACTCCACTTCTATAGACTTTGGGTCTTCTCCACAATTAACTCTGACCTACCAAATGACAAGGAGTCAGCTTTCTAACAATCTTGGATCAGATATACAGTAAACAGCAAGAAGACTAGTGTGATAGGGTGGCTCTTATATAGCCCTCAGTGACCCCACCTGTTGTTACTCAGGACCTAGTGTCATGCTTTCCCCTAGAGTAACTATCTTGTAACCAATAAAATACAGCAACATTGAGAGGATGTCCCTTTTCTACTTAAGTCACAAAAGATGCTGACTTTGTCTTGCTTGTGGATTCTCTCTCTCTCCCTTGTCTCATTAGCCTTGATGAAACAAGGGGCGTGTTGGAGAGGCCTATGTGGCAAGAAACTGAGGGTAGCTTCTTGCCAACAGCCAGCAAGGAATGGAAGCTCTCAGTGCAACAGCGCTTATGAAACTGAATCCTCTTAACGACCACGTCGGTGAGCTCGGAAGTGGATTTTTCTCCATCTGAGTCTTCAGGTAACACTTTTGTATTGCCTGACATGTTTACAGCCTTGTGAGAGACCTCAAAGCAGAAGACCCAGCTAAGCTATGCCCAGATTTCTACTTTGCAGAAATTGCAGATAAAAAAATGTGCATTCTTTTAAGTTGCAATATTTTAAAGTAGCTTGTTGCACAGCAATAGATAACTAATAAAATTAGTAAAAGAAGTTGAGATGAGATCAAAGTATATAAGGGAGTCACATTATGTAGGACCTTATATGCCATAGCAAATAAATTGAATTTTATTTCAAGTACAATGGGAAAACAGTGGGGATTATTCAGCATAAGACAAATATGCTCTAAATACATTTTAGAAAGATTTCACTGGTTGCTCTGAGATGATTAAACTGTGTGGGACTTGTTTCAGTGGTATTTTGCATGTCTTCTTACCAAAAAGAAAATAGTTTATTCTGTCTTCAGAGGAAATAGAGGCACTCTTTATCTTCTCTTTAATCATGCTCAGAAATAGAAAAACTTTTGTTATCTTTGGAATAATCTATGGCAGGATCAAAAAATCCAGTTTGGGAAATTTTTTTCAATTAAACTGTTTTTTGTATGAAAATGTAGTTTCACATACTATTGTAAGAAATAATATAGAGTGACCTCATATACTCTTCATCTAATTTCTCCCAACGCTAACATCTTGAACAACAGCAAGATGATATCACAACCAGAAAATTGGTATTTTTACAATCCACTGATCTTATTCAGACTTTATTAGACTTATATACATTCAAGTGTGTATTTAGTTCTATGAAATTTTATTACATGTGTGTATTTATGTAACCATCACCACAGTCAAGATAAAGAATAGTCTCTTCTCAGTAAAGATCCTCTGTGCTACACTTTTATAGCTATACTCACTACTTATCTTTTCCCTCCCCCATCCATAATCCCTGGCACCCAGTAATCTATTCTACTTTATAATTTTTCATTTCATGTATGTTATATAAATAGATAGCATGTGATCATGTGTAGCTCTTTAAATATTTTTATTTTTATTTTTTTACTCAGCAGAATTCCCTTGAAATCCATTAAAGTTACTGTGGTTTTAACAGTCTGTTCTTTTTATGGCTAAATAGTTAAGTAGAAATTCACGGTATGGATGTAACATGGTATGTTTAACCATTCACACATTGAAGGGCATCTGGACTGTTTTCGGTTGTGGGCTATTAGGAATAAAGCCATTGTGAACATTCCTGTATTTTTTGCAAGTGCTAAATTTTTATTTCTGTGGCGCAAGTGCAAAGCAATTTCTGGGCTATATGTAAATTGCATGTTTAGTTTTATAAGAAATTGCCAAATGATTTTCCAGAGTGGATATTCAATTTTACATTCCCCCAGCAAAGCATAATCCAGTTTTTCTTTATCCTCACCAGCATTTGCTTGGTTTATTATTTTTCCATTTGGATATGTTTATAGTGATATCTAATTGTGGTTTTTATTTATATTTTTCTAATGGCTAGTGATGTTGAACACCTTTTCAAGTGTTTATTTGCCATCTGCCTATTCTTGTCAGTGAAATGTCTGCCATGTATTCCACCCATTATCTAATTGAATTGTTTTTATATATTGTTCTGTATATCTTCCTAGACATGACTACTTTGTCAGATACGTGGTTTGTAAATATTTTATTTTAGTCTATAGCTTTTATGCTCCCAGCAGGTTATTCCATAGAACAAAAGTTTATAATTTTGATGAGGTCCAGTTTAACATTTTCTTTCTTTATCAGATATGATTTTCTCTCTTCTAAAAACTCCTTTCCAGCTCTAGATACCAAATATTTTCTTCTGTCTTTTTTTTCTACCAGTTTTTTAGTTTCATATTTTACATTTAAGTCCATGATCCATTTTGAGTTAATTTTTATGAGATATAAGGTTTAGGATGAGATTCATTTCTTTTTGCCTATGAATGTTCAATTGCTCCAGCCAGCATCATGTGTTGAAAAGTTTGTTCAGCTAAAGCAGTTCAACTGTTAAAAAAAATCATTTGGTAGATATCTACATTAAGAAAAAATAAAGTTATACTCCTACTTAAAACAATATGCAAAAATTAATTCAAAATGGATAAGAGACCTAAACATAAAACTTGAAAATATAAAAATTTTTGAAGAAAACACAGGGTAAATGTTAATCTTCATGATTTTTGATTAGTCAGTGTTTTCTTAGATGTGACACAAAAAGCACAATTACAAAAAAAGATAAATTTAATCAACATTAAAATGTTGTCCTTCAAAGGACATCATCAAGAAATATGAGGACAACACACAGAATGTGAGAATATTTCTGCAAATCATTTGGTAAGAGATTTATATCTTCAAAATATAAAGAACAGTAACATCTCAACAACAACAACAAAAAACCCACTTTTAAAAATAGGAAAAGTTGACAGTGGGGTGTTAAAGTCTCCCATTATTAATGTGTGGGAGTCTAAGTCTCTTTGTAGGTCACTCAGGACTTGCTTTATGAATCTGGGTGCTCCTGTATTGGGTGCATAAATATTTAGGATAGTTAGCTCCTCTTGTTGAATTGATCCCTTTACCATTATGTAATGGCCTTCTTTGTCTCTTTTGATCTTTGTTGGTTTAAAGTCTGTTTTATCAGAGACTAGGATTGCAACCCCTGCCTTTTTTTGTTTTCCATTGGCTTGGTAGATCTTCCTCCATCCTTTTATTTTGAGCCTATGTGTGTCTCTGCACGTGAGATGGGTTTCCTGAATACAGCACACTGATGGGTCTTGACTCTTTATCCAACTTGCCAGTCTGTGTCTTTTAATTGCAGAATTTAGTCCATTTATATTTAAAGTTAATATTGTTATGTGTGAATTTGATCCTGTCATTATGATGTTAGCTGGTGATTTTGCTCGTTAGTTGATGCAGTTTCTTCCTAGTCTCGATGGTCTTTACATTTTGGCATGATTTTGCAGCGGCTGGTACCGGTTGTTCCTTTCCATGTTTAGCACTTCCTTCAGGAGCTCTTTTAGGGCAGGCCTGGTGGTGACAAAATCTCTCAGCATTTGCTTGTCTATAAAGTATTTTATTTCTCCTTCACTTATGAAGCTTAGTTTGGCTGGATATGAAATTCTGGGTTGAAAATTCTTTTCTTTAAGAATGTTGAATATTGGCCCCCACTCTCTTCTGGCTTGTAGGGTTTCTGCCGAGAGATCCCCATCAAGCTACCAATGACTTTCTTCACAGAATTGGAAAAAACTACTTTAAAGTTCATATGGAACCAAAAAAGAGCCCGCATCGCCAAGTCAATCCTAAGCCAAAAGAACAAAGCTGGAGGCATCACACTACCTGACTTCAAACTATACTACAAGGCTACAGTAACCAAAACAGCATGGTACTGGTACCAAAACAGAGATATAGATCAATGGAACAGAACAGAGCCCTCAGAAATAATGCCGCATATCTACAACTATCTGATCTTTGACAAACCTGAGAAAAACAAGCAATGGGGAAAGGATTCCCTATTTAATAAATGGTGCTGGGAAAACTGGCTAGCCATATGTAGAAAGCTGAAACTGGATCCCTTCCTTACACCTTATACAAAAATCAATTCAAGATGGATTAAAGATTTAAACGTTAGACCTAAAACCATAAAAACCCTAGAAGAAAACCTAGGCATTACCATTCAGGACATAGGCGTGGGCAAGGACTTCATGTCCAAAACACCAAAAGCAATGGCAACAAAAGCCAAAATTGACAAATGGGATCTAATTAAACTAAAGAGCTTCTGCACAGCAAAAGAAACTACCATCAGAGTGAACAGGCAACCTACAACATGGGAGAAAATTTTCGCAACCTACTCATCTGACAAAGGGCTAATATCCAGAATCTACAATGAACTCAAACAAATTTACAAGAAAAAAACAAACAACCCCATCAAAAAGTGGGCGAAGGACATGAACAGACACTTCTCAAAAGAAGACATTTATGCAGCCAAAAAACACATGAAAAAATGCTCATCATCACTGGCCATCAGAGAAATGCAAATCAAAACCACTATGAGATATCATCTCACACCAGTTAGAATGGCAATCATTAAAAAGTCAGGAAACAACAGGTGCTGGAGAGGGTGTGGAGAAATAGGAACACTTTTACACTGTTGGTGGGACTGTAAACTAGTTCAACCATTGTGGAAGTCAGTGTGGCGATTCCTCAGGGATCTAGAACTAGAAATACCATTTGACCCAGCCATCCCATTACTGGGTATATACCCAAATGACTATAAATCATGCTGCTATAAAGACACATGCACACGTATGTTTATTGCGGCACTATTCACAATAGCAAAGACTTGGACCCAACCCAAATGTCCAACAACGATAGACTGGATTAAGAAAATGTGGCACATATACACCATGGAATACTATGCAGCCATAAAAAATGATGAGTTCATGTCCTTTGTAGGGACATGGATGAAATTGGAAACCATCATTCTCAGTAAACTATCGCAAGAACAAAAAACCAAACACCGCATATTGTCACTCATAGGTGGGAATTGAACAATGAGATCACATGGACACAGGAAGGGGAATATCACACTCTGGGGACTGTGGTGGGGTCGGGGGAGGGGGGCGGGATAGCATTGGGAGATATACCTAATGCTAGATGACACGTTAGTGGGTGCAGTGCACCAGCATGGCACATGTATACATATGTAACTAACCTGCACAATGTGCACATGTACCCTAAAACTTAAAGTATAATAATAATAATAATAAAAGAAAAAAAAGATTAAAAATAAAAATAAATAAATAAATAAATAAAATTCCCAATTATTTGAAAAATTAAAAGCCTTTTTCAAAAAAAAAAATAGGAAAAGGATTTGAAAATTCATTTCTTTAAAGAAGATATACAATGGTTAATAAACACAAAAGATATTCCAACTCATGAATCATTGGGAAAAGATGCAAATCAACACTACAATATGATATTACTTCACAAACACTAAATGGATAAAATAAAAACAGATAATAATAAGTACTGACAAGGATATGAAGAAATTAAAACTTTCATTCATTGCTAGTGGGATTATAAAATGGTACAACCACTTTGGAAAACAGCTTGGCAGTTCCTCAAAATGTTAAACATAATGTGATACCATATGGCCTAGCAATTTATTCATAAGTATATACTCAAGAAAAAGAGAACACATAAAAAAGTTTACATGAAAATTTGTACAGAAATGTTAAAAGCAGCAATGTTTATGATAGACACAAAAAGTTACATGCTCCAGCATGAGAAAAAGAACACCAAAAATGGAAGCAATCCAAAGTAATGAATGAATAAAAAAATATGGTATGTCTACACAGTGGTATAATTTTGGCAATAAAATGAATGAAGTACCGACACATGCTACAACAAGGACAAACTTTGAAAGCCAGCCACAAAATACTATGTATTGGTTGTTTTCATTTATATGAAATGTCCAGAATGAGCAAATCCTTAGAGACACAAAGTAGGTAAGAGTTGCTAGGGGTTGAGGGGAGGAAAATATGAGAAATGATGACTAATGGATATGGAGTTTTCTTTGAGGATTATGAAAATATTCTAAGAAGGGATAGCAGTGGTGGTCATGTAACCCTATGAATATTCTACAAAACATAATTTTTCACCATTTAAAAGAGTAAGTTTTATGGTATACAGTATATTTCAATAATGCTCTTAGTTTTAAGAAAATAATAAAAACAAAAGAATCAGCTGGACATATTATGTAAATCTGTTTGTGACTTCTCTATTCTAGTTCCAGTGATTTATATGTCTATCCTTCTGCCAATATTTTTCTATCTTGACTACTAAGCTATAAGCATTAACATCAGGTAGAATGATTCCTCCCACTTTATTTTTTATTTCAAAATTGTTTTAGTATTTCAGATCCTGTGGCTTTCCATATAAATTTTAGAATAATCTTGTCTATATTTATAAAAAAACTTCCTATTATCTTAGTAATAATTAAATTAAACCTATAGCTATATCAGGGAGAACTGATTTATTTACTATATTGAATCTTTCCATAGATGAACATGGTATATCTCTCAATTTGTTTAGGTCTCCTTAGATTTCTTTCATCAGCATTTTATAAGGAACAGCAAGATTATATACAATTTATGTTAGGTTTTTCTTTTAAGCAATTGCAAACTGTATTGTTTTATATTTTGGTTTTCATATATTTGTTGTTAGCATATAGAAGTGCAATTGATTTTTGTGTATTGATCTTGTATTCTGAGACCTAGCTGAATATCCTTATTAGCTCTAGGAGTTTTTATTATATTTGGGGGATTTTCTACATAAACAATCATGTTATCTGCAAATAAGCTCAGTTTTATTTCTTCTTTTTCAATATTTACAGTTTTATTTCTTTTTCTTGCCTTATTGTACTTACTAGAAATTGCAGTGGGATATGCTTAATAGAGGTGATGAGAACAGACATCCTACTTTGTTTCATGATCTTAGGGAACAAGCAGTCAATTTTTCTTCATTAAGTAAAGATTTTTAAAAACTAATTAAGAGTTTCCCACACTGGGCTGTTAAGTTTGAATGAAAAGAAGTAAGGGCAGAGGGTTCAGACATATGTGGTACCAACACAGGTCTTATTAAGCTTGTATAAGAGGACTCAGATGAGTTCTTGGCAAGCTAGAGCATGAGAATCAGACACCAGTAGCTGGGCACAGAGTAGAAAATCTGGATGAAAAACATGTTCTCTATAACACTTTTATAAGTGACATTAGTGAATGAGCACTAACATTTTCTGATAAAATGCCTTATTACTTGTGCAATTTATTGATTTTCTTAGTGGTTATGATTAGGATTAAGGGTGAACAGACCTGGGTTTCAATGTAGTATCTGAGACCTTTGGCACATAATCTCTCACCAGTTGTTTCACCTTCAAAGTGAAGATTATATTAGGACTTACTTTAATCTGGTTGTTTTGGCATATTAAAAAATATATATTGAAATATTTCTATCGTTTATTTATAATTTAGTATTAAGAGTGCTAGCAAGGTAGTAGGAAAAAGGTTGCTTGTTCTATATTATTTATTATCCCCAGATATGTTAGCTAGGAAACAAATTATTAAAATGCAAAACATGGAAAATTACTACCCTAACTCTGTTGGTAAGATATGCTTAATTGAGAATTACAATACACCTTACTAAATAGCATGATTATTTGAGTAGCTGTGCCTTGTATCCATTTTTTGGAGTAGAGCATTTGGTGAAAGTCAATCCTTTACAATTTTTAGCTGCATTGCTGACTTTTCGGGTTTTCACTCTATATACTACAATGGAAAATATTAATCAATTTGAGAGTGCTTTACAACATTATTCTAAAGTACTTTCTAATGAACCTTCCTACCTAAATGACCCATAGCAGCAGCATCACCAGGGCTTTATTAGATATGCAGAATATCTAGACCACCCTAGATCTAATAAATCAAAATTGGCATTTAAACTAGATCCCTGTGAATTGTTAGCATATTAAAGTTTACAAAACATTGGACTATAACACTAGATTCATTGAATGATTAGGTTTTGCACAGCAATGGCAATAACAGTAAAGATTTGATTATCAATCAAAAGTTTGGAAAACAATGGGTTGAATAAATCTAAACAAGTTTCTTAACTTTCAGCCTTCTCAGACACTTTAGCTTTCTGATATTATCATCAGTCTACACAAATGGTTATACTATCTTATATTTTTCAAATGCATTTGGCTGTGAATTCCCTTTTTAGCAGAATAACTAATATTCTGTGGCATAACTTTTGGAAATTCTCATTTAAGCAAATTTTCCAGTGAGACAGAATCATAAGTGGAAATTGAAGATTTTTGATATCTATGTCTAACTTCTGAGGACACAACATCCAAATTTTATCACCAGCAACAGGAAGACAACGTATTTAAAATCATGATTTCAGGCTATACATGCACTCTGTAACTGTGCACTTGGCCCCTTTGAAGCCCTTAAGTTGTAATTTTGCAAGCTGGCAAGGTCAGCAGAGTCCCTAAAGGCCATGCCTGCTGGAGAGAGGATTATGGCAGAAATCATGACTTCTATTAGAAGTCATGATTTGGAGAAAGTGCCACTTAGAGAAAGAGTCTCTCTAAATTTGATAACTAATGAGCATCAACTGAAAGCAACTAAATGAGAAAACCGTCAGAGAAATAATCAAAAGCTTGTTGAATGAGAAGTCAAGAGATGGTGTATTTATTAGTCCCATTCCTGTTACTATGTGAACGTAGGTCAGCCACTTAATTTTCAGGATCATCAGTTTCCTCCTATATAAGAAGAAATAGTTATCATTTACTAGTCATTATGAGCATGATTTAGGAATTAGAAAGATTAGGACTGAATCCTGGCTGTGCTACTTATTTATTGTGTGACCCTGGAAAAGTTACTTGATCTCCTTAAGCTAATGTTCTCATAGGGTTCTTGTTAGGATTAAATAAGATAATGCATATAAAATACTCAGTGCACTGAAAAACTGGTAGTTATTATCATTTGGAGACTGAATTCACAGTGATTAAAAGTGCATGCTCTGGGATCAGACTGTCTTGGTTTTAATCCCATATCTATCATTTCTCAGTAACTGAATGTTAGACAAATAAATACTCTGAACCTCAGTTCTTTAATCTGCCAAATAGAGATAATATAGTTTCTATGTATTAATGTTTCTGTAAAGATTAAAATACTGCATACAAGCAAATATTTAGCTTTAGACAAAACACATATTAAGTACTAAAAAAAGTCAGAGATAATCATTATTAAATGCATTCAAATAAAACTAGGCAATTCTCATAGACTGGTAGAATTAGGCCTACAATCTAGTTACTGGGTGGTGACATCTTAGAGGTAAATCTTAATACACTTTTACCAATTAGTACAAGAAGAAACAGAAATCGAAAGACACAGATGCCCAAATTAAAAGTCAACAGCTCTCAACAGCCTACCATGTGTGAGACAGTGACAGTCACTGCATGGACTGTCATGGAAAAGCATGGGACTGTCATCCAGGTTAGCCCTTGAACTTTATGTTTCTCTACAACTGAATTTATCATTTATATCCCAATTTTCCAGTTTCTCACACTGACGTCTTCCTATCCTGATTGAGAAGTTTTTGTCTGTGTTGATGTGGTAGTCTTTGCAGGTTTATGATTAGTTTCAACAATGTTCACAGATGACAACACTACATAAGCTGTATGGAATTTCCTAAAGTAGAATGCTATGTCCTTTTCAGGGAAGATTTCTCTCCTAAAGAAAAGGTAACCCTTTTGATTGTTTATCTCAATATAAATTTGGAACAAAAGTCCCATAGAAATGCACTGCATAATCCTTTTTTCAAGCTGGCTCATTCTTATTATTATTTTAAGAGGACTTTAAGATATAGAGATCAGTCCTTGTTAGAAAACATACCTCAAATTATAATTCTTTCTTTATAACATTTATCTAGGGTGGCTATATAAAATATAAGATGCCCAGTAAAATTTGAAATTCCAATAAACAGCAATTTTTTGGTATGTCACACATACTGCAAAGGACATAAACTAAAAATACATGGTTTTATCTGAAGTTAAAATTTAACAGTGTCTTGTATTTTTATTTGCTAAATCTGGCAACCCTAAGATCCAGCAGACTTGGAAATTTTTATTTAATATTTTTCTCTTGCACTATCTCTAGGATCTAAAAGGTAGAGGGTATATCTGTCTTATGCATCATTTTTTTCCTAGTTTCTATCATAGTACCTGATATGGTTTGCCTGTGTCCCCACCCAATTCTCATCTTGAATTGTAGTTCCCATAATCCTCACGTGTGTGGGAGGGACCAGGCGAAGATAACTGAATCATGAGGGCAGTTTCCCCCATCCTCTTCTCATGATGGTGAGTTAATTTTCATGAGATTTGATGGTTTTATAAAGGGCTCCCCCCTTGGCTGGGTACTGATTCCTGTCAGAATGGCTATGATCAAAAAGACAACAATGACAAGTGTTGGCAAGGATGTGAAGAAAAGGTAACTCTTGCACACTATTGGTAGAAGTGGAAATTAGCACAGCCACTAAGGAAAACAGTATAGAGATTTATCAAAAATTAAAAATAGAAATAAAACATGGTCTATCAATCCTACTTTTTGATATATATACAAAAATGTAATTAGTATGTTGAAGATATGTCTGTATTCCCATGTTCCTTGCAGTGTTATTCACAATAGTCAAGATATTGAATCAACCTGTGTCTATCACTGAATGAAGAGATAAATAAAATATGGTATATATACAATGGAATACTATTCAGCCTTACAAAAGAAGGAAATCCTGTCATTCTGTCTGTCACTTGAGACAACATGAGTGAACCAGAAGGACATTATTTTAAGCAAAATAAGCCATTTAGATAAAAGGAATAAGTTCAAGAGATTCCATTCAAGAATACAACATGGTGACTACAGTTAATGACAATGTGTTGTATTCTTGAAAATCACTAATAGAGTAGATTTTAAGTGTTCTCATCACACAAAAAGCAATAAATATGTCCTTCTGGCATGATTGTAATTTTCCTAAGGCCTCCCCAGCCTTGTGAAAATGTGAGTCAATTAAACTTCTTTCCTTTATTAATTACCCAGTCTCAGGTAAGTCTTTATTAGCAGCGTGAGAATGGACTAATACGGTACCTGATATACTATTGACCCTTAATATGTTCTTGTGGATTAAAATGGAATAGGTGGAAGTTTTCTTTCTAATGATGCAATTATATATCTTATTTTTTACTTTACTATTTTTAATTAATTTTAATTAACAAAAAAGTGTATACAAAAGTGACAAAAGTGTTTACTGTAAGTGACAAAAGTGTATTTATTGTGTACAACACAATGTTTTGAAGTATGCATACATGTTGAATGACTACATTGAGCTAAATAACATGTATAACCTCACATATTTATCATTTTTTGTTTGATGAGAGCACTTAAAATCTACTCTGTTAGTGATTTTCAAGAATACAACACATTGTCATTAACTATAGTCACCATGTTGTATTCTTGAATGGAATCTCTTGAATTTATTCCTTTCATCTAAATGGCTTATTTCGCTTAAAATAATGTCCTTCTCGTTCATTCATGTTGTCTCAAGTGACAGACAGAATGACAGGATTTCCTTCTTTTGTAAGGCTGAGTAGTATTCCAGTATATATACCACATTTTATTTCTCTTCATTCAGTGATAGACAAAGGTTGATTCCATATCTTGACTATTGTGAATAACACTGCAAGGAACATGGGAATACAGACATATTTTCAACATACTAATTAAATTTTTGTATATATATCAAAAAGTAGGATTGATAGACCATGTTTTATTTCTATTTTTAATTTTTGATAAATCTCTATACTGTTTTCCATAATGGCTATGCTAATTTCCACTTCCACCAACAGTGTGCAAGAGTTACTTTTTCTTCACATCCTTGCCAACACTTGTCATTGTTGTCTTTTTGATCATAGCCATTCTAACAGGAGTGAGGAGATATCTCATTGTAGTTTTAATTTGCATTTGCCTCTTTATTAGTAATGTTGAGCATTTATTTGTATACTTGTAGCCATTTGTCTGACTTCTTTTGAGAAATATCTACTCAGATCATTTGCCCATATTTAAAACCCGGTTACCTGTTTTGTTGCTATTGAGTTGTTTGGTTTCCTTGTATATTTTGGATATCAACCCCTTATCAGATGTCTAGTATGCAAATATTTTCTTCCATTTCAGAGGTTGTCTCTGCACTGTGCTGATTGTTTCTTTTGCTGTGCAAAAGTATTTTTAGCTTAATGTATTCCCATTTGCTTATATTCAGTTTTAATGCTTGTGATTTTGGAATCATATCTAAAAAATTATCTCCTGAACCAATATCAAGAAGCATTTCCCCTATGTTTTTTCCAATGATTTAATAGTTTCCTATACTACAACTTTGTTTTTAATCTATTTTGAGTTGATTTTTGTGTACAGTGTGAGGTAAGGGTCTAATTTCATTATTCAGCATGTGGATATCTAGTTTTCTCAATACAGTTTATTAAAGAGATTGTCCTTTCCCCACTGTGTTTTCTTGGCAGCTCTGTTGAAAATCAATTGACGTTCAATGCATAGATTTATTTCTGGACTCTCTATTAGGTTCTATTGGTTAAGATGTTTGTTCTTAAGTCAGTGCCATGGCATTTTGACTACTAATCTTTGTAGTATATTTTGAAATTGGGTAGTATTGGGCTTCCAGCTTTGTTCCTTTTGCTCAAGATTGCTTTTGCTATTGTGAGTCTTCTATGGTTCTACGTGAATGTTGGATTCTTTTTTTCACTATTTCTGTGAAAAATGTCAATAGAATTTTTATAGATATTGCACTGAATTTGCAGATTGCTTTAAGTAGTATGGACATATTAGCAATTCTTCCAATTCATGAACACAGAATATCTCCCAAGTATTTGTTTCTTCTTCAATTCTTTCATCAATGTTTAATGGAAGTTTCTGACTTAGTCAAAATGTATATGTCACTTGGCCAATAATTTTTCAGAAAAGAAAATATTTTCTTAGTTAGAAATTTGGACCCCATCAGATGGTCATGTGGCTTTAGGAAGAAACCTAGGAAAAATGAGAGACTATGAGTGTTTAGACAGACATATTAGGAAAAATCTCTGGCAATAAGGTAGCATGTGTTAAAGCCACAGAGCCTAAAAAAAATTTTGTTGGCTTATGAAAGAACTAATGACCCTCATGTTTGATATATATTTTCATCATTCTTTCAGGTTACCATTGACTTTCCAGCATTTATTCTTTTTGTTTGTTTGTTTTTTGCATATTATCAAAAGTTTTTGCTGGCCTGAAAGAACTCTGGACCAGGAGTGGCAATCTCAATCCATGTGCAAATTTTCTAACTTTTCCAAATGCTTTTCATAGTGTTCACAGTGTGTCCTTTTTTTTTTTTTTTTTTTGAGATAGAGTCTCACTCTGTTGCCCAGGCTGAAGTGCAGATGTACATTTACAGATCATCACAATCTTGCACTCCTGAACTCAAGCAACCCTCCCTCCTCAGCCTACCTGACTAGTAGGGAAGGGCCTACTCTTGTGGCCCTTAACTTCTTGTGGTATCCTTCTGTAGGTCTTTTTGCCTTGTTTTCCATCCCTTTTCTCAGATACACATGATGTGTACAATCTGATAGTACCCACACTCATACATTCATTTTGTCTTCCTACAAATGAAGCTCCATGTCTCCTATTAGTGATCTACCCCAAGTTATGTCATCACCCAATTTAACACAAGGCTACTTTAACATTTTACTTTGAAATTTTTTCTTTCTTTGGTGTTCCTGGGTTTAAAAGGCCAACATTTTCAAAGACATACTGTAGGCTGGGCATGTTGGCTCACACCTGTAATCCCAGCACTTTGTGAGGCCAAGGCAGGTGGGTCACCTATGGTCAGGGGTTCGAGACCAGCCTGGCCAACATGGTGAAACCCCGTCTCTGCTAAAAATACAAAAAAAATTAGCCAGGTGTGGTGGTTCATGCCTGTAATCCCAGCTACTTAGGAGGCTGAGGCAAGAGAATCTCTTGAACCCAAGGGGCAGAGGTTGCAGTGAGCCAAGGTCACACCACTGCACTCTAGCCTGGGCAACAAGAGCAAAACTTCATCTCAAAAAAATAAAAAATAAAAAAAAAGGAGATGCTAGAGGAAGACTACATGGTTGAAGGATATAAGAGGGGCTTGTTGCTTCCTCTTTTGCTTTCTATCTTTTGCTTTCTGTCCCTGTCAACAGGTTCCTAGTAATTGTTCTTTCATATTATTGGGGCTTTTTCCTCTGTGTCCAGTTTTTCTTATATTCCCAGAACAAGTTTCATATGGCCCTTCCCAAGAGGCAGCATCCGCTAACCAGTGCCTGCTCTTTATTCTGAGCTCCAGCTCTGCCTAATTCCTCCTCTGAGCTCCTGAGGCACCAACTCAAATTAAGCCATGGTCAGCAGTTGCTTCTTCTATCTCGCGAGATATCTGCATCAGACAACACCAACTCTTCTGAGGTCAAAATCCAAGTTCTGAAAAGCGTCTCCTTTAAGCTGTAAGGTTCTAATTCTCACAGTCTCTTCTATTTATTTGTTCATTCTTCCCTAAGTATACTTCCCTAACTGCTTCTGGCAGTTAGTGTCTCTGTGTTACTTCAGAACCCTCGCTTGCATTTCCAGTTCTTTCATGCCCTTTCAGCCAATTCTTTGCACGGAATTCTTGCTCTTAAAATAACACATGTGTACCCGTTTTCTTTATTAAAACCTGAATGACACAGTATTTACTAAAAACAAACAAACAAACAAAAACAGTGGCAGCAAATAGAGCCTCACAGAAGATTCTGAGACTGTGGTCTTGACTTTGAACACAATGCTAAGCTTCTTGACAAGCAGAAGCAAGGCACAAATTGTTCTTGTTTCTATTACCATGAAACTAATTACTCCAAAATTTAATTGTACAAAACAATTTAAAAAATTGTTTTATGTATGATTTTGTGGGTCACGAATTTGGGAAACAAGTCTTCCAGTTGATTCTTGCAGAGTGTCCCTTGCAGTCAGATGTCAACTGGGGCTGTAGTCATCTGAAGGCTCAACTAGGCTGGAGGTCCTAAACATAGGTGTATGGTTTTTCCAAAAAGAAAAGTGATAAATAATTTAGGTTTTATAAACCAAGTAGTTGGTCACAACTACCTTAATTTGATATCGTAGTGCAAAAGCAATCATAGACAATATTTCAATGAGTAGATGTGGCCTTGTTAAAATAAAATAATTTCAAAAACAGGCAGAGGGTCGATTTGGCCTGCGGGCCATAGTTTGCTAATCACTATCTTCAACAGGTCTCTCTAATGACTGGCAGTTACTACTGTCTATGACCTGAGGGTTAATCTGGGAGTGTTGATGGGAACACCTGAGACCTCCCTCATGGTGGTCTCAGAGTAAACATATCATATAAAATAAAGGTAAAATATCCCTCCCCCCTCCCCCGACCCCACCACAGTCCCCACAGTGTGATATTCCCCTTCCTGTGTCCAAGTGATCTCATTGTTCAATTCCCACCTATGAGTGAGAATATGCGGTGTTTGGTTTTTTGTTCTTGCGATAGTTTACTGAGAATGATGGTTTCCAATTTCATCCATGTCCCTACAAAGGACATGAACTCATCATTTTTTATGGCTGCATAGTATTCCATGGTGTATATGTGCCACATTTTCTTAATCCGCTCTATCATTGTTGGACATTTGGGTTGGTTCCAAGTCTTTGCTATTGGGAATAGTGCCGCAATAAACATACGTGTGCATGTGTCTTTATAGCAGCATGATTTATAGTCCTTTGGGTATATACCCAGTAATGGGATGGCTGGGTCAAATGGTATTTCTAGTTCTAGATCCCTGAGGAATCGCCACACTGACTTCCACAATGGTTGAACTAGTTTACAGTCCCACCAACAGTGTAAAAGTGTTCCTATTTCTCCACATCCTCTCCAGCACCTGTTGTTTCCTGACTCGGGGGAGGGGGGAGGGATAGCATTGGGAGATATACCTAATGCTAGATGACACGTTAGTGGGTGCAGCGCACCAGCATGGCACATGTATACATATGTAACTAACCTGCACAATGTGCACATGTACCCTAAAACTTAGAGTATAATAAAAAAAAAAAAAATTAAAAAAAAAAAAAGATGATGAGGATGAAGACCTTTATGATAATCCACCTACACTTAATGCATAGTAAATATATTTTCTTTTCCTTATGATTTTTTAAATAACATTTTATTTTCTCTAGCATATATACTGTAACAATACAGTATATAATACATATAACATAAAAAATATATGTTAATCAACTTTATGTTATTGATAAGGCTTTCAGTTAACAGTGGGCTATTAATAGTTAGGTTTGGAAGGCGTCAAAAGTTATACACAGATTTTTGTGCATGGGGTTTTGATGCCTCTAAGTCCCACATTGTTCAAAGGTCAGCTGTACTAGTTAAATTGTTACAGAGTTATGGAGTCAAAAGATGGTGGACTTTGGAGCACAGAGCCCTTGGTTTAAATACCAGCTATACAATTTAGTAGCTATGTGACTTTGTAAAATCATTTGATATCTGTAAAACCAAGTTTTAACAGTTGTAAAATAAAGATAAAAATATACCCCCTTAAGGCCATTGTAAAGATTGTTGCAATGGACCGATTTTACCCCGTTTATATTAATATGTTGAAACCCTAATCCCAATGTTACAATATTTGGAGATGGGGCCTGAGGTCGTGAGGGTGGAGGTCTCATGAATTGGATCAGTGCTCTTATAGGAAAAGACACAGGTGATATGATCCCTCACTCAACCATGTGAAGATACAGCAAGAAAGAAGAGGTCTCTTACCAAGCATGGGATCTACCAGCATCTTGATTTTGGACTTCCTGGCCTCCAGAATCATGAGAAATAAATGCTTGTTGTTTAAGCAAAAAATAAAAATAAAAAAAATAAAGGTAAAATAAAGTATTTTCTTTGTATCTTAATTGATCTAAAAAACTACTGTGTAAATAATTGCACTAATGATGTTTTGGGTCACTATAGCATATGTCCAAGTGATATTAATGACAGCAATGCTATAAAAAGAAATTATGAACACTATATCACAAAGTACTTGTGCTACATGTGAAGTAGTATAGTGTTATTTGAAAGTGGAGATACATTAGGTAAAAAACTATATTATAAGCTCTAAACCAACTACTGAAATTTTCTAAAAAGAAGCATAATTGATGTGCTGAGAGAGGGTACAATGGAACCATATTGAAATGCTTAACTAAAACAGAGAAGGCAGAAAAGGAGGAGAAAAAATAAACAAAGATCAAATGCTAAAAATAGAAAATATTTACTGATTTGGTAGATAATCCAACTATACCAATAATCGCTTTAAAGGGGAATGGTGCAAAATACACATATTAAAATACAGAGATAGTCAGATTGGATTTTAAAAAAAAAACAAAAAATGATACTTTATGTTGTTTACAGGAAACAACTTTAAATACAAAAATATCAGGTTAAATATAAGGAGTTAGTAAATGATATACCATGTCAACATAAATCAAAAGAACGCTAGAGCAGCTATATTAACTTCATACAAAGTAGATTTTAGAACAAGGAAAACTATCAGGTTTAAAAAGGACTACTACATCATAATAAAAGTGAAAATTTTCCAAGACATAGCAATCTTTAATGTATATGTCCTTAACAGCAGTGTGTCATAATATGTGAGCCAAATCTGATATAGTGGAAAGGATAAATAGATAAATCAACTCCGATGGTTGATATCTTCAGCCCTCCTCTTTTAGTAAATATGTAGCAAGGAGGCAGAAAATCGGGACATAGTTGACTTAAAGAGAACCACCAATCAACTTGGCCCAATTCACATTTACAGAATACTCCCTCCAACAACAGCAAAATGGACAAATTTTTTCAAACTCAAATGAAACATTCACAAAGATAGATATCACTTTGGGCTATGAAGCATACTTAAGCAAAGTTTAAAATGATAGAAATCAGGCAAGGCATATTCTCACACTACAGTGCAATTAAACTAGAAATGAACAACAGAAAGATAGCAAGAAAAGCTCCAAATATTTTGAAGTTAAGGGAAACACTTCTAAATAAGCCATGGGTCAAAATAGAAGTTTCTTTGAGAAAAATAAATTATAAAATATTTTCAATTTAAACAAAAATGAAAATACAGCTTATCAAAACCTATGGATGTTTAGAAAGCAATGCTTAGAGAGAAACTTATAACACTAAATGCATATGTTAGAAAAAAAACTATCCAAGCCTTGTTTGACATTCAAAAATGAATTAATGTAATCTACCATATCAATTAGGTTAAAGAACAAAATTATAATTGAGAATTATTTTATAAACTCCAGCACTTATTTATGATAAAAATTTGCAGCAGAAATGCTGAAATAGAGAAATCTCAACTTGATAAAGAATATCTATCAAAAAATCCTCTACAGCTAACATCATATTTATTGGTGAAAACTAGATGTTTCAGGATGTTTAAATAGATGAAGCACTGGGGATTTTTTGTAGGGTGTTGAAACTATTTTGCATAATATTGTAATGATGGATTCATGACATTATGCATTTGTCAAAACCCATACTACTTTACAGCACAAAGATGGAAGCTTAGTGTATGCAAATATAAAAAAAAAACTATTTAGGAGGTTACAGGATCTCTTGATGGAATGCAAAGAATGACAAAACAATCTAACCATATAAAAAATGTGACACCATCAGTGACACCATCTCACTGAAGGAGGTGAAGGGAAAGGCACCGACCTAAGTAATAGTAAGAGAAATCTTTAAAAGTAAATTCAAAAGGAATTGTATGTAAGAATAGTACTTTAGTTGATAAAGCATTATCCCACTGGGGTATAGTTTCATGATTCTGATACTGTATATGTATACAAGAATTGAACAATTTTGTGAATACATGGCAAATGTAGGAGCCAGGTTTTCACTGTTAGAGTAGTTAGAGATAACCAAGGGGAAGAATCTAGAATGATCCATGAGTAAATTGATTAGAGTTGAAGACAAGTTTGAATTCATGTTCGAGCTCATATATATATATATGTATATATACATATATATATACACACACACACACAGATGGTTGCATATACTAATATTAATAGATGTGTATATATACATTTGTTAATATATGCACATATATTTCCTTGCTTTGTCAAGTGAGGGATCTAAAAGCAATGATAACCCAGTTGCAACAAGCACACCTGACACTCAGGTCTTGGTTTCTAATTCCATGTTCCCACAAAAGGATTGAGAAGTTCTTATAGAAATGGCTGATCTAAGACTGGGGTAGGAAATATGCAACATGACCAGGAACATCTGGCAGTGACAAAAAGTAGAAAGTGCTAAACACACATACACATGCATATGTGTATACAAAACTGATGGAGGCAGGCAAAAGGGCACGGGGACACCGAAAGAGCTTCCAGTGACCAAAGATGGAACATATTGATCAACAGATTAGATCAAGTAATATTGGGTTTTTGATCCAAAGTATAAAATAAATATATACTGATACCTATATCCAATAATACCAACAATTGAAAAAAAGAAATACATTTGGGAGAATAGATGAATCTCCCATGCATAAGAATTCTAAATATTTAGATACTTCGTCCTCAAAGAGGTAGAATGTCACTCTCTACTTTTTAGGTGTGGACTGTACATAGTGATTTTCATCCAAAAAAGTACCCTGAAGTGAGAAGAAAAGTCTTTATAGTGGATAAATCTGGCAAACACTAGCTCAGCCAGGTGATCAATGTTAATATCAACAATAAGCCATGTTGATTATATGTACCTTAAATATGATGTGATGAAAAAGGTAATATATTTCTGTGGTCTTCTTCCCCAAAACAGATTACATCAGAAAAATCCCAACTGGAGGCCATTCTATAAAATGCATGAGCTGCCTTAATGTCAAGGTCATCAAAAAAAAGGTAAGTCTGAGAAACTGTCAGAGAAAAGAGAAGCTGAAAGAGACATGAATAAATATAATGTGGGATCCAAGATGAGATCTTGGGACAGAAAAAGGACATTAGATAAACACTAAGAAACTCTTAAAAAGCATAAACTTAAGTTTAATTAACAATGTTTCAATATTGGTTTATTCATTATAATAAATGTCTCATACAAATGTAAGATATTAAAAATAGAAAAAATGGGCCTTTGGTATATTGAAAGTCTCTGTATTATATTTGTAATTTTTTCTGTGAATCTAAAACTGTTGTAAAATAGTTTATTTTAAAATTTAAAGGCAGTATGAATACTTGGTAGAATGCTGTAATAGACCTTTATGAATTGGATAGTTCATCAAATTAGATGAACTTTAAGTTTCTTTGCATGATTTTCAGTTCACTCATACTCTGTAGAATTTGTTTTGATACTCATATATAGAAAATATGGAAGAAATATGTACACATACTAATCTGACATTTAAAATAAATAATTAATAAAAATCATTAATTTTCCTAAAGAGACAAGCCTTTCCAGGGAGAGACTGGACTTATAAATTGGATCACTTGCAGCCAACGCATGGTTGCCACATAAACAGGAAAGGAGAAAATTAGTTAACATTTTAAATGAGTTTTTAAAGGCCAAGTGTGAGCTAGAGTTAGTCCAGAAGAGCTGGAAAACCATGACACAGGGGAGCTTGCACTCACACAACACTTGTTTTCCTTGAGCATCCACCAGAAGCTCCCAAGATAGATTGGGCATAGGATAGGAGACCTCAAAAAAAGAAAAAATCCCTTTTGTTAACGCCCACCTGAAGATGATGATATGATTAGCAACTGCTAAGGAAAAGGTACCCACTTCACCTACTTCCTGGATACTTTCTTTCTATTAAAAAAATAATAAAAAGCTTAGGTTGCTTGGGAAGAGGCAGCAACCTCAAACATGCCCTGTGCATGTCAAAGACCCATTGCACATGAGAGAAAGTAGAAAAAAAATTCTAATAAAGGAGGAGGAATATGGCAGGAAATCTTTAACTATTCAATATTTTAAATGTGTAGAAAGCAAAGGTCTGCTACTGTTGACATTGGGGCAGGAAATACCCTCTACAGACCAACCACAGATACGAGGCAGAGTTGGATGCTATGCTGAAGAGAGGTAGGAATACTAAAAAGTTCTACCACAAGAGGTCCAGGGACACGGGAACAGACTAGAGAGGTTGGACTATACTAACAGAATTCTCAGTTCCCACCTTGAGACTAGGTTAGCTACAATAGTCTGCTGCTGGATTATAGTCAAGAGCATAGAGAAAGATCTCTTCTGTAGCAGGGATGTGCAGAGATGGCTGAAGGACAAAGATGGAGCACGATCATTAAAAACAACCCCTTTGGCACTCCAGTGCTCATCTTAAGCACAAAACAACACCAGTTCACCTCTAGAAGACAAAACATACTGGAATAATGTTAACAACAAAATCTGAAGCAAACACCTCCTGAATACATTGACTCAACACCCTCACAATAACAACTTGATAATAGAAGAAATATATCCATTTCCAGGTTTAAATACTATTAACCCCAGTCTTCACTGAGATACACAGAAAAGCAACAAGTCAATTAATTACCAAGAGAGCCAGGTAGAAGCATGTTGGCTTTTTCTTGCCTAACCTTGAAGTCATGCAGAATAATTTTGCATTTTATTGATTACATGTAAGTCACTTAGCCCAGCTAAGATTTAAGAGATTGGAATGGGGACTCCATCTCTCTTTAGGAAGAAAGTCAAATAACTTGTGGATGTTTTAAAACCACTACACTTGTAATCCATCACATACTGTAGCATCCTAATTGATAAAGTTATTATTTGTGTTTTGTGCATTTGGAAATGCCAACGAAAGTAAGTGTCTACACATATCAAGTCATTGCTGTGTTTTAACTAATAGGGCAATAGTAGTTACTACAAAGACTGTGGTGGGGTAGATGCATCATAGTAGAGTTCGAACACTGAAGAGCTTGCAGAAGAAAAACTGATGAGCTTCCTTCTTCAGTCTCAGCTCAATCAAGATCACAGAATCAGGGAGTTTTTATGGTGGTCCTAAAAGACTCTCTTTTTTATTGCAAGCTTGGAACTGACCTCATTGAAAATCACACCCAGTTTGATTTTATATATTGTAAAATAAAAAAGAAAGTTTTACTTTTCAGCCTCACAAGTTGCTCATGTACAAAATAGAGCTTTGTTTAGGAAGGAGTGCGACCCTGAGATTTGGAAAAAGAATATCTGGTTGGACTGACATGCAGCTGAAAATCTTGTAACCCTGAGTTACTTAGAGCTTTCCTTGTCTGTGGAAGAGGCCTGCTATTCTATGTCTGAAGAAGCCAATGTTTCCTTCTTTGAAGACCCTGCTGTAACCTTGGCTGGGGCAGTTGTCTTGCAAGGGGTGCTCTTTCTTGTCATGACCTACTATAACCATCGTTCATTGTCGCTAAACACACCAGGGTCAGATCCCAGTATGCTTTAGTGGGATCAGTAGTACAATGTCTACATAAGAGGAAATATTCTCCAAAAAGTTTGCAAGAATTTTCTAATCTATATCAGCAGAAACTAGATAATATGTATCAATAAATGCTAAGGGTAAGAGACAAAGGGAGAAGAAATATAATACACTGGGCTAAATGTGTTAATATGGGTGTACATATTAGAGTTTGCAGAAGTAATGTGTGATTTCACTTAGCTAAAAGTGGCTTTGTCATTTGACTCAGTTTGTTGATTGAAATTTGGATTCAGCAATGCCCTATATTGAATGAGGCTGATGTATCAAAAGTTCCCTGGAATAACGTAGAGAAAGGATTCTGAAGACTTAGAGAGAGAAATAGTGTGGTAGATTTAAGACATTCACCTCGCACATCCATTCCCAAAGAGGTTCCTTGGACACAACCTTCACAAAAGCATTGAGAAAAATGCGAATGGCAGTGCTACCATTATACTTAAAGTTCTCTGATGAACGGATTCTCACAATAAGGGCAATTCAGACCCAGAGTACCACAAGATGTCAGAAACATAGAGTTGATTTTGTTATGCATATTAACCCTGAGGCTAGTTTTCTATAATATCATCTGAAGGCAACTCTAACTCTTTAAAAAGTAAGCCCCAATTTTACTTTAAGTATGAGACTGTTTCATCTAAACTTGATAAGCAATAATTAGGGTTTATCTCCTTAACATTTTATTCTCAAGCCCCTTTCCTCAATAAAGAATAAATATATCTATTGTAGAACATCAAGTGCCCTTGTTAGGATTATTGAAAAGTGAAAAATATGCTGGCAGCATTTCTAACGGTGCAGGCAAGGCTTGCTGCAACAGAAGACAATTTATCAAAACAAAAAAGTAAATCTCCCAAGTAGAGAGTATTTAAGGTGGAATCAAACAGTTGCTTAAGAGAATATTAGAATAGTTAGGCAATGATAAAACTGATTTTGGTGGTGATAGAGATGTTTGGTCAAACTGTTGAGTTCAAGCCTCATGAGTTTCTTCTGGTGAATGCTCTTTCCAGTGACTAATCTCCCAGGGAATTTAAAGGACTTTGGCAAAATAGAGGCAGCATGAGAAGTGGAAAGTAAATGGAGCTTGAAGAGACCCAGAAACAGATTGTTAATGGCTGTATGAGCTTAGACATATATCTTAATTTCTATGAACCTCAATTCCATCATCTGCCAAATGGAGTTAACAAAAAAGCATCTTATACAATCATAGTAAAAATGACATAAGATAATATATTTAAATCTAAAGGTATATACTGTTATTATTAATAATGGGCTAGGCTGGGTGCAATGGCTCATGCCTTTAATCTTAACACTTTGGGAGGTTGAGGCGGGCAGATAACCTGAGCTCAGGAGTTCAAGACCAGCCTGGCTAACATGGTGAAACCCCATCTCTATTAAAAATACAAAAATTAGACAGGCATGGTGCCGGGTGCCTGTAATACCAGCTACTTGGGAGGCTGAGGCAGGAGAATTGCTTGAACCATGAGGCAGGGGTTGCAGTCGTCGCACCATTGCACTCCAGCCTGGGCAACAAGAGTGAAACTCCATCTCGAAAAAAAAAAAATAATAATAATAATAATAATAATAATAATTGGCTAATATTTTTATCATTATTATTAACATGATTGTTGTCATCATGATGCCAAGTTGGTACCCATAGCTATAAAACATAATTTTTATGAATATAAATGCCATAGAATTATTTTTCTCTAGTGCCTTATAATAGTAAAATAACAATAAAAAAGCAACAACTGCTACTGAAATGACATTAACAATACTAAGAATGTTTATTGAGGTCTGTCTAAGCACCAGACCAAGTGGCATATGTGATTCATTTATACCACTCATAGCTTTGTCTAACTCATAGAGCAATTTTTACCATGATCTGGCTTCAATAAATGATGGTGTATAATCATTTAGTAGGTACTTATGGTGATACATAAATAATATAATACTGGTTCAGGCCATTCATAAATTTTCGTCCATTAAATAATTACATATAAACCAAAAAGGATAAATTAGTTTTGCAATGGAGTACAGTATTCATAAAAGGCTACTGCATTTCCCAAGGAGATTAATTTACTTCCAACTCTAAGAAAAATTATAACAATCAGGAACAACCAAATCCTGTATTTCTAATTCATTTACTATTCTGTGGTATCTACTAAAATAAACAAAAGCAGGAAGATTTCTATTGGTTCAGCTTTAATTGAAGTATATAATCTTGGTGTACTTTAATGCTGGTAGGCTGTAAAAAAATTATACCTTAAAAATTACTTGCTTATCCTGCAAAAATATTTATATGATTTTACTTCAAACCATATTTTTCCTCAACCTGAAAATATCTCTGAAATTTCTTTGTTGAACTTCCTTTGGGAAAATGGTGTCGTAAATTATTTCTTCCATATATTCCAAAATGTTACCAAAAGTAGTGTGGATGACTTGCCCTCATTGTGTGTGTGTTTTTTTGTTGTTGTTGTTGTTCCTAGATGGAGTCTCTCTCTGTCACCCAGGCTGGTGTGCAGTGGCATGATCTCGGCTCACTGCAACCTCCACCTCCTGGGTTCAAGCAATTCT
Organism: Homo sapiens; assembly: GCF_000001405.40. Taxonomy (NCBI): domain Eukaryota; kingdom Metazoa; phylum Chordata; class Mammalia; order Primates; family Hominidae; genus Homo; species Homo sapiens. Next base: position 29,134,094 of record NC_000011.10, on the reverse strand, counting down.
CCTGCCTCAGTCTCCTGAGTAGCTGGAATTACAGGCACATGCCACCACACCTGGCTAATTTTTGTATTTTTAATAGAGATAGGGTTTCACCACATTGGTCAGGCTGGTCTCGAACTCCTGACCTCAGGTGATCCACCCGCCTCGGCCTCTGAAAATGCTGGGATTATAGATTTGAGCCCCCGTGCCTGCCCGACTTGCCCTCATTCTTAAGGCAATCTACTGAGTCTTCCTCACATAGTGTTCAGCTTTGTTTAACATGACAATATCAGGTGGGAGCATGAAGGACGGCTTTTAAAGTCAGACTCAAATTTTAATGTAGACATAACTATGTCTATGCTATGTGACTTTGGGTAAATTGCTTAAGAAGTTGTAGCACTTCTCAAACACCACTAATATCTACATTGCAAACTGACATAGGCTAAATTGACCATTGACATGTTTCAGGTTGTTCCTTTTTGGTAATATGAGGATGCTCCGATGATTAGAGGTGCAGAAGGCTCTTGCTCCCTGAGCTTTCTCACTACTATGTGTTTTCTTACAATGTGAGCTAATCTAGAATGAAATCTGCCACAGGCATAAACATTTGTTAACAAACAGGTCCAAAGACAGTTATACAAGCAAGCTGTTCTACAACCTCAGTATTTTTTAAATTGTTGTCCTAAGCCCTCCAACAGCCACCTTGAATGAAAGGTTTACTACAAAGTAAATGTAGAAATGACCCTATGGCAGAATCAGATATGCTTTCAGTTAGATTAGATCAGACAGGATAATTTTGCATTAGTGAGGAGAAAGAGTAGGAACCTAGAACAGCATGGACTTTTAGACCAAATGTACAATTCCAAGTTTTGGCTATGGAACTTACCAGGTTTTCACAGGTTTTCAAGATCAGACATGTCTGAACAGTACTTGTAGCCATCTCATATTTTGAATACTATTTATTTTGACATACAAAATATATTTCCAACATCATTTAGTCTAATTAGCCAATATGCTAGTGCAGTTTTAGAAAGTTTTTGAAATACTTGTTATAAAGTTTAGGGACATGGACCCTTGATTAGAGTTTTTTGTGTGTGCTAACCAACAACCTATGAGTGCAGATAAATTATTACAGTGATTCAAATTTTAACTAGCTGCCTTTTGATTGTAGATTAAAATTAAACTATACACACATGTGCCTATGTCACTCTGTCTACTATTGTTTTTCAAATTACAGATTTCAGTGACCCATTAATGTGTCAAGAAAACAATTTCATGTGCCAAGAACAGAACTTTTACAAAATGATATCTAAAATAAAGAATACTGGGACATAAAAAATAAGGGTAAATATTTTTCTTAAAATGTTCATATTAGTTACAATACACACATGTGTGTATCTGCATGTTTGTGCATGCTGAACTTCAACAAAGTCCTTCAACCTATAAATTAAGATTTTAAAAAGTTTGAAAACCATTTTTACAGAAGTATTTAAAGGTAAACTATAGATGACATAGTAATCATACTCATTTAGTTGCTCATCTAAATCTCTTTTCCAGCTCAGAGAGTATTTATCACTTTTGAAAAGAATAAAAAGAGACTCTTGAAGTGTTCTTACAACAATTGCTCCTCTTTATAACAGGACTTCTTCTTTGATCATTAAAAATAAAACCATTAAAACATTAGAAGTGAAGTACATATTAGAAGTGCAGGGTTTGGATCTTTGGTTTTGCTCTGAACCATTCTTCTTAGGATGATAAATTTTCATGTCTAGTGGGCAACAAAAATAAAGTCATGAGCTTAAAGGAAGTTCATGGAAAAACCAAGCAAATACAGCTTAGCATTCACTTTATCATCTCAGCTAGTTAGCACATAATACCAGCTTTGTAGGTAACAAGTCCAGAAATATCTGGCAGGTATGCACAGGAGGCTGAATTAAAAGAATAAAAAGAAAGGGAGATATTTGGAATACATTAAAAACTTAAATGTGGTAATATTAATTCAGTGGGGTAAGGAGGGATCAATGTAACTTTAAGTCTGCTGGCTTGAAGGACCTCTTACGAAGGAAATGTCATTAGCTGAGAAGGTAAATTCATTTGTGTGTGTGTGTGCATGTGCATGTGCACATGTGTGTATGTGTGTGTGTGTCTAGGGAGTGTGGAAATTGAAATTATGTTGGCTTAAAGTGTCTATAGGACAAATTGTTGGAGATACCAAGCAAACAGTTGTCTGAATGAGTCTACAGCTAAAGAGAAAAGGCTGTAATGAAGATATATAGTTAAGTACCATTAGCATAGCTAATGAAAATTGAAGCTATGGCAGTAAAAAAATTTCTCAGAGAGTTATGTTGAGTTAGAGAATTTAGGACTAAACACTGGAACTTGAGACCATATTAACATTTCTACCATGAGCGGAAGAAAACTACCCATCAGGAGAAAATAAAAAATAATAGTGAGATGAGAGGGGACTAGAAGAAGAGTTGTCTCATTAATCAATGAAAGACAAATTTCAAGGAGAAAGTGATCAACAGTGTCACATATCATAGAGGGGTCAAGTAACAAAATAACTAAAAACTTTTAGAGTGACAACTTATGTGTTACCTCGGGAAGGTTAGTTTTAAGGGACTGGTAAAGGAAGAAGCCTTATTGTAGTGGGTGGTATGATCTGTGGTAAAGAAGAGGAAATAAGTATAAACTACCTTTTAGGAATGTGACTGTGAAGGCAAAAAATAAATCTGTAGTAAAGGAGTTACAGGATCAAAAAGAGTAGCGATTGTATCTTTCATAATTTTGTATGCTCCAGGATACAACACAATTTTGAACACAATGAAACTTTTGAATTCCTGACATATATACTTAAATGCTGACATGACATATTTATTTGATGTCCAAAACATAACTTAAACTTTTCTTCTGCTTTCACTCCTCCAATCCTTACCTCCCTACCATTTGTTCTATATCAATTGATAGCAGAAACACCCTTCCAGATGCTTAGTAACACAAACAAATGCATGGGAATCATCACTGAATTTTCCCTTTTCTCTTTCTCTCACACTTCATATTCCTCAGGAACTCTTGTTTTTGAACTTGCAAAGTGTAGAGAGGATATTACCTATTCTCACCAGTTCCACTTTGTCTACCCTGTTGTGACTCAACATCATCTCTCTCCTGGATTACTATCATGGGCTCCAAACCTTCATCCCTACAGCCTGTTCCTAACCCACAACAGCCAAAGTATGCCTTATAAAATGCAAGTCATATAATGTCACAAATATGGACAAAACCATCCAGTGGAATCTCATTTTTCTTAGATTAAAATCTAGATAATGACAATGGCCTATATAAACTTGACATCATCTGGCTCTTATTTCCTGGCTCACCCAGCCTCATCTCTTGCTACTTTCTCCCCTGTCCACTCTGCTACAGTCATCTTTACCTGCTTGCTGTTCTTTGAATGGTTACCCAAAACCTCATCTCAGAACCTGTATACTGCTTACTCCCACCTTGGGGAATTCTCTTCACCAGAATTTTCACAATGGTAAATCTCTCACTTCTTTCTAGTCATTGCTCAGATCTCATTTTCTTCATAAGAAATATCTTGACCACCTTATTTTAAAATGCAGAGTCTTCTCCCCAAGATTATTTTGTCTGTTTTTTTTCTTTGATGTGTTCCAAGTACTTAGGACAGTTCCTGACACAGAAGAGGTACTCATAAATACTTAATCACTGGTCAAATCTATGAATGAGCAAATTTAATCTTTTCTGATCACTTTCAGCTTCCAGAAGAATACCACTCTTAGTATGACATTGATAAGATTTGTATATGTAGGTGGTTGAGATACATTATGCTTCAAGATAAACACAATTTTAAGTGCCAAGAAACCAACACAATGTCAACTTAGAAAGTATCTTAAAATAATTATTGGAGACCAAAGGCTGTTTCTGGGGAAGAGAATATTCACAGGAAATGGAATCAATTCCAGTGCAGTATTATACATCCTCTTTTTCTGCCCCAAAGGACTGTCTGACTCATCTTCATTCAAAGAAGTCCACAGCTTCAAGGCAAATAACTTTGTGTTCTAGAGTAAAGCTGCAAGACCCACACCATAGGATACCAGTCACACTGGGAGGCTATTATTATATGCCATATTTCACAACTTGAGTACTTATTACATTATTTAGTTTGGTGGATTTAGGAACTGGGAAGTGTTTCCATTCTCTTTTCCTGTTCCAAGCAGGATTGCTGCATTCGTTCAGATAGGACTGTCAAAACAAATTCATTCAACTTACAGCATTTTTTTGTGATTTAAAGGGGCACTATTAATAGTTAAATCAGGGCAGAAACTGGGAATATGGTTGCCCTGTTTTTGGATACCAGGACCCCAATGTATAGTGCTATAAGAGGGCCTAATCATTGTCCCTTCATTTGTTGGATCAAGATTTGGTCTGGTGGGTCTGGTGGGTCCTAAGGGAAGGACTGAAATGCTTCAAGAAACAATGAGGGATATTTGGGAGACTTGGGTCTGTGGACAATTTCTAACTGATATAGAAAAAGAACTTCAACATTTTAAGCATACTGGCTGAAACTTCTTCCTTTACCTCTCAATTTGCCTAGGACAGTCCCATTTAATGCCTATTGTCGCAGTGTAATTATTAATAACTCCTCTTTTATTTTCAAGCTTTTCCTGGTTCAGATAATAAATTGTTGCTATGCTTTACTTTTTGAAAAACTGTTTGATGTTTCACCAAAATCTGCAAATAACACTGAATCACTGCTATGCAAGCATTGGTGACGAAAACAAAAAAAGCTTCAAGACCTGCTGCTGTACTCAGTCTACAGAATTAACTCTTCATCTAAAGTCACCCAAATAATATAATATTGTCTATTTCCAGTCTCAGCTCTACTAAATCAATGGGGCCTCTGTTAATAGTATTTCCAATACTATTTCCAATCTATACTATTTCCACTTCTATTTATTTCCTATTATATATTACCAACAATTTATTAGCTTTTAAACTTTAAATACTTGGCTTTAATCCTAATATAGCCATAGAACTATAAAGTCTTTGGGCTAGTTTTATAAATCCTCTTTGGTGTTAATCAAACATTTTAATAAACTGAACCACTTTTCTATGTTAGATTATGATAAAAGTTTATTTTACTTAATAAATTCTGTCGGTAATCAAAAATAAAATTTCACGGAATATCAGCACTAAATCATCCCCCCCATTCCTAGTGGTCAAGGCCAAGGCTGACATTCATCATGATTCTTATGTAATAACTATATATTATTTATCCTATCATTATTTTCCTTTTTTTTTTTGAGACAGTCTCTGTCACCCAGGCTGGAGTGCAGTGGTGTGATCTTGGCTCACTGCAACCCCTTTCTCCTGGGTTCAAGCAATCCTCCTGCCTCAGCCTCCCAAGTAGCTGGGATTACAGGTGCCCACAACCATGCCCGGCTCATTATTTTGTACTTTTAGTAGAGACAGGGTTTCACGATGTTGGCCAGGCTGGTTTTGAACTCCACCCACCTCAGACTCCCAAAGTGCTAAGATTACGACATCCAGCCCTTTTCCTGACCATTCTTAGCTTATGGTTTAATGATATAGCTTTTATTAAACTTTCTGTCTATATGTGAAACACACGCATATATAATGAAGTATAAGTACTTAAGCAAAAAATAAAAAGTATATATATATACATTCATAGTGACAGGTTGACATTAAAATTTACCTTTGAAAGTACAAGTTTTTTTTTTATTATTATTATTTTGGACCAGTGAGTAAACATACTTTTCCTACAGACTTCTGCACTAAAGTTTTTTCTTGAGCCATCTCAGCTTGAATTCTGGTTCAATCTTTTAAAAGCGATATTCTATCAAGCAAGTGGCTTAATCTATTTTGACTTAGTTTCCTCTTCTATAAAATGGGGGAAATTATTATTTCCATACGTTTCATAGGATTGCAGTTAGGCTTAATTAGTCACTACATGCAATGGTCTTGGAATAGTGGTTAGCTTGTAATAGGCACTTTATAAAGCTTAACAGTCCTTGAAAAGGCAAAGTGATATAGTATAAAGTGAATGAGGTAGTAATTTGATTATATGGATTTGGGTCCACTTCTAAATTTATTAGCCGTGTGACACTAAGGATGTTAAATCTCTCAGAATCTCTCTTCCCCTTCCCCTTCTCCTTCCCTTTCCCCTTCCCCTTCCCTTTCCTTTCCTTCTGTCAATAAAATAGGAACACTAATACCTGTGCTGAAGTGATTACATGAGACTTGGGATCACTTACTCAAAAATGATTATTAAGCCCTAAATTTTAGTTTTCCAAACATGTATTCTCAGAATCATAGGACTTAATAGGAGTTGGAATTTATTTAATGTAATCCTCTGCAAGAAAATACTTCCAATTGCATGGTTTCATGGATCACTGACTCTCTGACCTGAAAGTTGAAGAGAATTCAGCACCTCCCATGAAAGTTCATTTCAGCTGTGAAAACAGAACTGTCACATGACTGAATTAGTGTTTTTTAAACACTAGGTTGTGATGCATCAGTGCTCATAAAATCAATCTGGTTAATGACCCTCATCAATAACAAAATAGGATAGACATAAGTACTTTTTAAAGAATACTCTTTATACAATGTAGTAGAGGTATGAATTTTTATAAAAACTTTTATCTTATATATACATATACACACATATGCTTGCATATATACATGTATATATGTGTACATATATGTATTACACTGTGTACATACATGAACACACATACGTATGGGCTAAACATGGGGGGAATAATTTTTCTTCTAAGCTAAGACACAGAGGAGGCAGATAACAAGGAAGAAGTGCAGCCACCAACTTCTCACCAGTTTCCCTTGAAGGCAGTAAGATCTGAGAGAGAAAGTTGTTTAACTGCAACAGATGGGATCATGAGAGGCTCACAGAAAGAGTCTTCAGACCCAGAGTGGCATAGAAACAGAGTATGCCACCAAACTGACGGTAGATATGAACATTTTGGTGATTACTTATGTATCTAGATATCTCTAAGACCATATATTTTCTGTCATCTCTTACAAAGTCCTGGAACTACACATGTGCCCACTAAAATCATGAAATATCCCAGGAAAGAATGATTTAAGATTCCTTCCAGCCTAGGAGAATGAGGGCCTGAAAAAGAAGCTATGTTGAATCCGTAAGTAACTACATAAGTACACTTATATACTTGTACTCCTCCATTTGAGGATTGAGAACTCTCTCTGATTCATTACTTACAAACTTGTTTTATTCTAAGGATATGCCTTATTAGCGGCCCCATGATGAAAGGTAGAAGGTTTGGGTGTAGAGGTAGAAAAAAATGCATGCTTCCAAATATGGGGGGTAGTTATTCCTCTTGGCAAACTATCCTGTGTCATTCAACTGTCAGCCCCTGGATTCACTCAGCTATGGAAAATGATGTCTATTATCCAACAATGTATCTAAGTATGAACGTATAGTCCTGAGTGATTGGCAAAAAGTGATCATCTTTGAACAACACAAGCAAAGGATAACATGCATGTGAAGAAATGTTGTGAGATTATATCCATTCAAGTAAAAAGGGGGGAAAACAATTCAGGTAAATTCATCCTGTAATACCCTTATAATGTGTTCACTGTATCTGTACTGCACCCCACCCCTGTACCCACCCAATTCTGCCAAATAACAGATGGGAGAAAATTTACTGCTAAGGTCTTGGGTAGACTCAAAGGTTCTAGGTACAGAGAAATGATCTCCAAGAAAAATACTAGACCAATCTGACCCAAACCATAAATGATAACATCATCAATTGACCGAAACTCAAGTCAGCATGCAGTAGTCTTAGCCAACTGTATAGTTAAAGGGAACATTACCCATGAGATCACCCTCACTTCTGGCATTGAGTTCAGGGGTATCTCAAAACCACCCTCAGATTTGAAAATTTGCTGGAAGAACTTACAGAACTCACTGAAAGCTATGACACTTATGGTTTATTACAGGGAAAGGATGCATGTCTAATGTACTTAAAAGAAGAGATTTATAGGGTAGCATCTTAGAGGGGTACAAATATGGAGCTTCCAATTGTTTTATTCCTGTGAAGTTAAGGAGATTTTTACCTCCTCCTGGCCCTGATGTCTGACAATACACACAAGAGTATTGCCAACAAGGGAAGCACTTTTGAGTCTGTGGTGTCTAGAAATTTTACTGGGGCTTGATCACATGCCATCCACAGGCTTACTTTCTAGCCCTTTCCAGAGGTCAGACTAATCCCTTTAGTTATGAATCACCCCAGATGTTAGAACCAATAGTGTGTGGCCCAAAGTACCCATCATAAATTATATCATCAGGGTATCTGATGGCCAAAGCTCCCAGACAACAAAGACACCACTCCTATTATAAAGAACATTCCAGGGACCTAGAGGTCACTTCTTGGTGCTAAGGGAAAAGGCCAGTCCTCTCTTTCAGTAAGGTTAATTCTTCACTGCACAGGATTGGAAAAAGAGTCTCCATTCAACTCAGATGAATGACATTGATGAAAAGCAAGCCAACGATGTTTAAGAAGTTTCTAACAATTCTTCTCACTTTTACTGGTTAGCCAGGCATGCATTCTTTACAACAGAAATATTCTAGAAAGATCATGAAGAGTACTTACTGAGAAGAAATTTTCAGTAAATTACACAAACATATGTGAACCAAGCAATGTGTTCATGCTAAAAATTCAAAAAAGAAAAAGAAAAATACAAGACCTTTCAACCAAAGAGGTCATTGCAATAAAAGAGAAACAGCTTAAGTGGACAATTTTAATAGAATAGAATAAGTTATGAATGGGATAACTTATATCTGTGGAGTCACAGAAGAGAATAGCTTAATCCATCCTAGAGGTTTTGAGAAATCTTCCCTCAGATGACCTATGAAGGATAATATTTTATAAAAAATGAAAGTAGCAGCAGTAGCAGAAGTAATAGTAATAAAAATAATTAACACTTATATAGAATTTATTATGCCAGACACAATTTTAAGGGATTGAATGGATTAATTTACTTAAATTATTAATTTAGAAGCAGTGGCAACATCTGTTACTGAACTCTGAGCCTCTGTTCTCCCTGAATTCATGTCTTAAGGTCATATTGCCTTGAAAATCTATCACCTTTTTACAAAATGAAGTCAGGGGAGCTTATACTTCCCAGATCCAATAGAAAAGTACACCATTTTTGCTGCAGCGATTATTCTGAATAAATGCATGTGCAATAAAAGTTATGTGTTTTCAGATTTCACCTGCATTGCAACAATTTTACAAACCAGGAGAGCTTTTCCTTAAGCAAGAACGTGCCTCTTCTCATTACTCATTCACAGACTGTCCTTATTCTTGCTATGAAGTAGGAACCTTCCTTTGGAGGCAATGACAAATCCTGGGGCCTGCGTTGCACTCATCTTGCATGCAGTGCTCGCATTGAGGCCACTTAATCCGATTGACGTCAGCCAGCACTCCGTGCACAGAATGTGCCACTCAGAATCTAGGGGAATCGATCGTCTCTCAACTTGCATTGCCATGACACCTACAGCCTCAAATTATTTCAGCTTTGTAGTTTCTGTTGCTTTTCCTTCTCTTTCCTCTCCAACTAAAAGAAGTACATATTTTCCATCTTCACAAAAACCACTTATTAGAACCCCAGCTTCATCACTGGAAAATTCAGACCATCACTTTGTACTGATAATTAAATTTTTCTGAGTAAAGCTGCTGTGAAGAGCCAGGTAAGGCTGAAAAATATATCACACATCTCAGACTAAGCATTGACAGGAAGGTGCTTATTATTATATATAAGTATTTTTCCAAGAAAATATAAGTATGGAATTTCATTAGCCCCAATAGGGAAGGAAAGGAGAAGGAGATTCATGAAACATCTACTATATTCTGGGCATATCATAAATATTATAACATATATAATTTGGTTCTCAACCAGGTGTAATCACTTCCCACCCACCTCCTGGGGAACATTTGGCAATGTCTGCAGACTGCCATGAATCTAGTGTTTGCTAAACATCCTACAATGCGTAGGACAGTGCCCCTACCACAACAAAGAATTACACAGCCCCAAATCTGAATAGTATTGATGTAAAGAAACCCTGCAACTGAATCCCACAAAGCTGTTTGAGACAAGTGTTAATACTGGCAGTTTATAGATGAGGCCACTGAAAGCAATTAAATGACTTGCTTGTGTTCACATAGTAAGCATCTGGATTTGAATCCAGACTTATCTAGATGCAAAAGCTGGACCCTTCTACTGCACCAGGCTGTGCTGGCAAGCCTTCGTGGCAAAGAAAACTACAACTCTTAAAGCTAGTCTTCAGATGCATTTGACCTTTTCCTTATATAGCAGTCTTTTTTTCAGAAATGTGTTTTATAAGAATATGAAGGCACATTTAAAGGCTGAATTAGGGAGAATTATTGGCCATTGATGACCCAATGGACTTTCAGGCTGCATATACAAAAGATAATTTCACTAATCAAATAATTGTTTATCAAATGATTGCTCTGATTACATTTATACTGGGAACCTGTATGTGTGTATGATTCTATATATGTATGCATGACTTATTACTATTTTCTTTCTAAACTTCAGGTATGAATAAACCAATTTAACTTGCCCAGCATAGTAGAAAGAGATAGGCAATACAGGCTAGTAAAGCACAGTTACACACCAAAGACAGTAGCTGCTGTCTTTCATATTGCAAGACAAATTCATACATCAGTCATTCCTTTGAAAAACAAATGTTTATTAAATATTTCATATGGACTCAGTACATCTGGCCAGACACAGAGCAAATAATTACAATAATGTGATACATACTACGACAGAGGTGAGCTCCAGTGATGTAGGAACATAGAGGAAGAGGCGCTTCACTATCTTTGGAGGTGATGGAGAATGCCTGCTACAAGGTGAGTGAAAAATGAAGATTAGAGTTCATCAGGTGGAGTGGTGATGGGGCTAAAGAAGAAAGCAGAAACCAGACCATAAACCTTGTAGACTAAACAGTTTGAATTTTATTCTCAAAGTCAAATGAAGCCAATATGAGTTTGTGAAATGTAAGTGATTAGTTTTTTTTCATGTAAGTGATTAGTTCTTTTAGTAGGAATTTAGGGAAGTGGGGAGAGGGGAGGTAGAGAGACACAGTTTGAGGCTATTGCAGTAATCCAGGTAAGGAGTGATAAAGGCCCAAACTAAGGCAGAAACACTGAGAATGGAAGGAAAGGTCAGAACCAAAATAGAATTAGAATTAGAACATATAGGTATTCAATGTGGAAGTTAAAAAAGAGTAAGGATTTCTCCTTTGGCAAATGGAAATACAGGAAAAGTAATTTACAATTGGAAACAGTTACGTTTAAGGTATCTATGTTGAGTAAAAATATTGTGGGTTAATTAAATGTCAGAAACTCTACCAGACCCTCCTTATGTTAATCATCACAAAAGCCATGTAATGTGGTATTATTCTTTTTTATTTTGAGGATGAAGTCTCAGAGAAGTTAATTTGCTCCATTTGTTAAGTGCCAGAGTCAAACGTTACTACAGTTCTATGTATCTTCAAGCCTGTATTTGTTCACCACTAGACAAGACTGCCTCTTTTGTGAAGCTGATGCTCTGTAGGACTTCAAATTGTTTTTAGCTAGAAATCAATTCGGGAGATGTTGCTCCTAGAAGAAGCAGTTGAGATCTTGAATGTATATGAAGTCACTCAGGGGGGGTGTTATTTAGGAATGAATGAGAAAGAGTCAGAAGTACAGAAGATTCAGGACAGAATTTCAGGAATACATTAAACTTTAAAATGCATTATTTAAGGAGATTAACCAAACAAAACACAAAAAAAGTCAAAGAGATAGGTGGGAGCTGAGGGAGGATAATGTCAAGGATGCAAAGGGAAAATTTGTTAACAGTCTTTCTAGGGAGTCAAATATTGTCCTGTTTTGCACTAAGAAAATGTCTCATCACAAAAGTACAATTAAGGTCCCTGCTGGGAAAACCTCAGTCTAGATGAGATAATGTGGTGCCCATTCTCTCCTTTTTATAGCCACTGCAACAGTCTACTTTAAATGCTGTTGAATAAGTGAAATTATTATGTGTATAAAGTCACTAACCCATAGCAAGCATCAAAAATGCCTTCTCTGCTGGCATGGATATTAGACTGTAGATCTGATGGCAAGGATCTTAAACTTTAGCTGCAAACATCTGAAACTTCAGCAATTTATTAAATGTTCATGCTACTGTGCAAGTTAATTATTATTATTTTCATTGTACAGATGTTGGAATTTAGGCACAGAGAGGTTAAAAACATTCTGCCTGGTCTCAAAGCTAGTAAGCAATTGACCAAGAATTCAAGTTAGGGTCTATCCAGCACAAATGTCACCACCTCTTGCTTAATTGTAAAGCTCCATCTTTAAGTTAAGAAGGTGATATAATTAAACTTTCAAAACAGGTACCATTGGGTAGAAGAAAACACTTGTGTTGCCAAGGGTTTAGAGACTCAGTGTCTCCCCTTATCATGGTCCCATGGTTCAACCTCTAAGTCGGAATGGAACTAGGATCTTTCTCTTGATTTTAGAGCAGGTTTTCTCAACTTCCACACGATTGACTTTCAGATGGATAATTCGTTGTTGTGAGAGGGCTGTCCTGTGCATTGTAGAAAGCTTAAAAGCAATCCTGTATGTCTAAGGAATATTTGTACTCTCAAGTTTATTGCAGCATTATTTATAATTCTCAAGATGTGGAATTAATCTAAGTGCCCATCAACCATGAATAGATGAAAAAAATGATATATATATATATATATATCACATTTATATATATACACACACACAATGAAATAATATGCAGTCTTAAAAAATAAGGAAATCCTGTCATTTGTGACAACATGGATGAAAATGTAGGACATTATGCTAAGTGAAATAAGCCAAGGACAGCAAAACAAGTATTGCCTTATCTCACATTTCTGCAATCTAGAGTTGAAACTCGTAGAAGCAGAGAGTAGAATGATGGTTACCAGGGGCTGGGGGTCAGGAGTGGAGGTTGGGGGTTGGGGAGATGTTGGTAAAAGGATACGAAATTCTAGTTAGAAAGGAGGATCGGTTCAGAAGATCTATTGTACAACATGGTGACTATGGTTAATAACAATGCATTATATACTTCAAAATTGCCAAAAGAGTGGATTTTAAATGTTCTCGCTACACAAAAATAATAAGTGTGTGAGGTAGTAGATATGTTCCTTAGCTCGACTTAGCCATTCCAAAATGTATACATACATCAAAACATCATGTTGTATACCATAAATATATATAATTCTTATAAATATATAGAGATAACTAAATAAATTTAAAAAGCATCCCTGGCCTCTATCTATTAGGTGTAAGTAGTACCCAACCAGCACCCACTTTACTTGTTACCATTAGTGACAAATAAAAATGTTTACAGACTTTGCCAAGTGCCCCTTAGGGTTCCTTGGTTGAGAATCACTGGTTTAGATATACAGCCTTCTCATTCTTAGCATTAGTATACAGCCTGAGTTCCTGTGTTTATGACTCCTCTTCCTGGAAACTGCATTTGCTTGTCTTCCAAACCCTCATTTACACCATTTCTGCCCCATCCAGTCATCCAATTCACCCTGCCTTAGAACGACCCCACTGCACGGGCTCCGCCAAAGGATCCAAACCCCTTCTCTGAGCTGATATCCGAAACCTGTCCCTGATCTGGAGACCGAGGCAGTGAAAAGCCAGCTTCTGTGATTGTGTATCATTTGGGTAGAAAAAGTCCTCATAAATCACCGGATTGTTTTGTGGGCCTTCGAGGGTGCTACTGGGAATGGCAGGGAGTGTGACTCATTCTGCTGTACTGCAGTAATATTAAAGAAAATAAATAACGGAACTGAGAAGGCATTAAGTGAGGAAATGAGGCACGGATGCGTGAGGCAGAGGTGATCCTACTGCACTGCATGTACGTGGATATTACCCAATTACTTGGGAAGCAGAACTTAGGAAGAGAACTGTGGAATCAGTTTTCTGAATGAACTGCAGAGTATACACTCAGATTGTACTGAATTCCCCAGGCAAGACTTTTCCTCTGAGCTCCCTTTCTGAATAATAAGGAAGTACATGCAATTGGGTTGTCATGGTTTGTTCTCTGTCTTAAGTACTACTGGTAATAATCATGCCTTATGTTTGTTCAGTGTTTCCTGGTTTACAGAACACATTCCCATATATTATGTCATTTCACTAACAAAGCAATCCTCTAGACAGGAGGAATCCAGCCAGGAGGAAAACAGTGTTCTAGAAGGGGTGTTTTGACAGGTTTGAGACAGCAGAGCATACTTGTGAGAGCACAGGATCTGGAATCTGAAGATTTGGGTAAGAATAACAGCTCAAAACAGCTCTGGTATCTTGACCATTAAACTGTCAAACTTTAGTGTTTCTTCTGTGGAGATAATAGCACTGCTACGAGGTATTCAATGAAATCAGACCTATAAATACTGAATACTGTACCCACCTCACCCTAGGAAACAGGCTCTTAAAAACAGTGGTGGAAGCAATCTTTAACTCAGGATAATCTGTAGATTACAAAAGTATAATAGCATATTTTATTGCATAGTAGTCAAGTATAAATGAAGACTTTAGAGTCAGGTGACCAGGGTTTGAATCTCAGCTCTGCTTCTTGTAACTGTGTCACTTGAAACAAGTTTCTCAGCCTCCCTGTGTCTTGGTTTCCTTATCCATAAAATAGGTGCTTTGGAGATTAAACAGGCTATTATATAAAAAGTTTTTATAACTGCAGTGTTTCTCTGCTTTGAGTCATCTATATAACAGTCATCCCGTATCCACAGGGGATATGTTGCAAGACCCCCCTGGATGCCTGAAACTGCAGATAGTAATAAGCCTATATATACCATATTTTTAAATGCATACATACCTATGATAAAGTTTAATTTATAAATTAGGCACAATGAGAGTTTAACAACAATAGCTAATAAAAAGAACAATTATAACAACATACTATAATAAAAGTTATGTGAAAATCAATACCTCTCTCTCTCTCTCAACCCAAATATCTTATTGTACTTATTTTTGGACCATGGTTGACCATGGGTAACTAAAACCAAGACAGTAAAACTGCTGATAAAGGGGGAGTACTGTACTTGGTAACTGTGATTACTCAGAGTTGACTTTAAGTACAGCATTATTCAAGGTGAACAACACTGGATTCTGTGACAGATGAAGTCCCAAATATAGTGGCTTCACACACTCATCTCTTTTCCTCCCTCTCTTCTTCCCTTCGTCCCTCCTTCCCTCCTTCCCTCCCTTCCTTCCCTTCCTTCCTTCCTTCCTTCCTTCCTTCCTTCCTCCTTCCATCCTTCCTTCCTTCTTTCCTTCCTTCCTTCTTTTTGACAGGCTCTCACTCACTCAGGCTGGAGTGCAGTGGCATGATCATGGGTCACTGCAGCCTCGACCTGCTGGACTCAAGCAATTCTCCCACCTCAGCCTCCCAAAGTGCTGGGATTACAGGTGTGAGCCACTGAGTCCAGCCACAATCCTATTTCTTGCTCATGTCATATTCCAAGGCAGGTTGTTGGTGTGTGTGTGTGTGTGTGTGTTGGGGTTTACTCCATGCAGAAACTCAGAGACCAAAACTCCTGCTCCTAGCATGCTATGTCTCTACCCTCCCCTAGGTCCTCAGATTTATCTCTTTGACAGATGAGGAAACCATGATTGGGTATGGGGATTCCCAAGGGTCAAGCCTAGAAGTTGAATATATTGCTTTTGTTCTCATTCCACTGTCCAGAACACAATCATATGGCCACAATTCACTCATGAGATCCTGAGAAATATAGTCTGACCATGTGCTCAACAAAAGGAGAGTTCATATATTAGAGAAAGCTATCAATCTAGCAAGTCTTGAGTTCAGGGAGTCTGTGCTTCCCAACAGCAGGCCTTGTAAAGCACAGCTCTACAAATGAGGCTCCTGTGCTATGCCATTTTTCTGACCCATGCAGTTTGTGTAGCCATTATTTTCCCATCACTCTGTAAGCAATATTTTGTGCTTCTGCAGCAGGATTGGTTTGGTCATAATCCTGATTGAGATCCAACTTGGAAACAACTTTTCCTCAGAGTTGACTTTAAGTACAGCATTATTTAAGGTGAACAACACTGGATTCTGTGACAGATGAAGTCCCAAATATAGTGGCTTCACACACTCATCTCTTTTCCTCCCTCTCTTCTTCCCTTCTTCCCTTCGTCCCTTCTTCCCTTCGTCCCTCCTTCCCTCCTTCCTTCCCTCCTTCCCTCCCTTCCTTCCCTTCCTTCCTTCCTTCCTTCCATTCTTCCTTCCTTCTTTCCTTCCTTCCTTATTTTTGACAGGCTCTCACTCTCTCACTCAGGCTGGAGTGCAGTGGCATGATCATGGGTCACTGCAGCCTCGACCTGCTAGGTGTTTAAACATCAGCTGAGGGTATGACCCATGATGTAGCAATCCAGTGCCTTGTAAAGGACCACTCACCTCCTTCTGAGGCTGAAAACTAGAGTAATAGGTTTGACCTTGACAGAGGTACAAGATCAAGGTGGATCTACAGGTAATAGCAGGCAAATGGAAATGAGCTCAAAGCCAGAAAAGTACGATCAGATCCTGGACAGATAAACATAAATTTAGAACCAGAAGGAATACTCAGACATGGTAAAAACTTCTAAAAACCTGGCAACCAGACACCTGCTAAGTAGTGAAGCCAGGAGACTGTGAAAGAATATTTAAAGATATTCTTTGGAAGAGACCCAGAAATAATACCATTCAACAAAAAAAGCACAGAGGCAGTATAAAGGAGGGAGTTAAAACATTGATTTTGTGATGTACAGCCCTGCATTCAAATCCAGTGTTCAAACTCTACCAGTTATGTGACTGGACAAGGTTCTTGATGTCTCTGAACTTGCGTGTTCCCATCAGTAAGGAGGAAATTAATAAATAACTCCTCTCTCAGAATTATTGTAAGAAATGTCTGAGATACTACAGATGAATCTGTTTCTAGATATGGGGTTTCCCATTCTGGCTGCATCTCAAACTCACCTCATGATTGCAATAGTCTTTGTTGTAGTAACGTATGCCTAAGTTCCATCTTGGGTGTTTCTTATTCAGTAGCTCTCGGGTGGCTGGCTGCACCTATATGTTCACAAAGCCTCGCAGGCGATTCTAATCACCATGACACTGATTTCCCAGTTGAAAACCAACGTTTCATTGGGCCATGGGCCAGCAAACACTTTTTAATTAAGGAAATATCTTAGTTTTTGCATGTTGTATAGTCTCTGCTGCTGCTATTCAACTCTGCAATTTTTGTGTAAAAACGGACGTTGATAATATGTAAATTCACAAGCTTTGGTTGTCTTTCAATAAAACTCATTTATGAATGCTGAAATTTAAATATCATATAATTTTCGCATCACAAAATATTACTCTTCATTGTATTTTTAAAATTCTTTATGAATGTAAAAACAATTTCTAGCTTATGGGTGATACAAAAGTAAGTTTCTATGCCAAATTTGGCCCACAGGTCATCGTTTGCTTACTGTGTAGGAGAGCAGAGGCTCCTAGGCTTACACATGCAGGATCATCCAGAGGGCTTGATAAACTTTTTGGGCCCAACCCCCAGAGTTTCTAACTCAGTAGGTCTGTGATGTGACAGAGAATTTGCATTTGTAACAAATTCCCATGGGATGATGATGTAGCTGGTCTGGGGACTGCATTTTGAGAATCATTGATCTAAAGGAATACTCAGATGATTGGTTCTTCAGATTGTCCTTACTTTAATTTATAATATAACATGTTATTTAAATCATTTTCCATTTTTGAGCTTTGAAAACTATTTGGTAGCTGTGCACTGAGTTTATACCCTTTAAGAAATACCTGAAATAAAGACAATTTCTATCACGTTAACGGTTGAGTATAGATAATAAATTTTACTAGTTAAAAGCATGGACATTGGAGAAAAATCAGACCAGGCATAAATCCTGGACGTCCTTCAATTGTATGACCTTGGGTAAGTATGTTCTCTGCATCTCGGTTGCCTCAGTTCATATGTAAAATAAAGGTAATAATAATACCTATATTGTAGGATTGTTGCCAGGATTAAATGGGTATGAAAAACATTCAGAATAGTGCCTGGCCCATAGTAAATATTCAATAAATGTTGGTTACTATTATATCTAAAGGTAAGTTATGACAGCAAAGGTATTTTTAATAAGAGGGATGTACTCTATTGAAGGCCTACATAAGGGTGAACCAAGAATATGATATGCAGCAGGCAAAAATCTTTCTAAATAATTTTTGATCCATTTTTAGATATGTAGCAATTATCTGTTCTAGGTCTACAATAATTCACCTGACTAATAATTTTTCTAGGCCCACAATAATTCACCTGACTAATAATTTTAGTCAGGATGTTTTCTTTTATTTAAAGTAAATACGTTACTGAATTCCCAAGATGACATTCAAAATAAAACAAAGTACCTATAAGTTAGCTTAATTTAAAAACCTCTTGATTCTTAAGTCTGATGACTTTCTTTATTCACCAAATAATTATTGAGCATCTGGTAGCAAGATAGTGTGCAAAGAACAAGTGATAAAGCAGAGTGGTCAATGAGACAGGTGCAGTGCTCCAACTCAGGGAAGACAAACATCAAGCAAATAATAACTAAAACAATTAATTCCTTCCACCTGTAATAAGTATGAAGAAAAAGTGCAAAGTTTCATGAAGAGACATCACTAAAGGAATTACTCTAATCTCCAGAGGTGAGGATCACAGAGAAAGTTTCCCTAAGGAAGACATCTGTGATGGTTAATACTGAGTGTCAACTTGATTGGATTGAAGGATGCAATAATGATCCTGGGTGCGTCTGTGAGGGTGTTGCCCAATTAGAATAAGATATGAGTCAGTGGGCTGAGGAAGGCAGACCCACCCTTAATCAGTTGGGCACCATCTAATCAGCCACCAGCGTATATAAAGCAGTCAGAAAAAAACGTGAAGAGGCGAGATGGGCTAGCCTCCCAGCCTACATCTTTCTCCCATGCTGGATGCTTTCTGCCCTTGAACATCAGACTCCAAGTTCTTCAGTTTTGGAACTCAAACTGGTTCCCCTTGCTCCTCAGCTTTCAGACAGCCTGTTGTGGGACCTTGTGATCATGTAAGTTAATACTTAATAAACTAGCATATATAATTTCCTATTAGTTCTATCCCTCTAAGAGAACCCTGACTAACACAACATCTCTATCTAATCTGATATTTGCTGCTGCTTAGAATTTCAGAAACATTCACTAAAATAAGAATCTGTGGTTCTGGGAGTGTGTCACAAAAATCTATAGGTAACATTTATTTGTTTTTTTTATTTTCACAGTGGGTATAAAAGAAAGGATCATGCATCCTGCTTATCAAAAGTGTTCTGAAGTCATTCATGTATAAATTAGAGAAATGAGTGCAAGAAGGATTTTCCAATGCCAAACATACATAGTTTTAAATTCCATTGAAAATTATCATATCCATTAAGAGATAATTTCTACCAAACTTGACCCTTGTGGTGTCATTGATAAGCAAGTTTTGAACTCATACCCATTTCTATGGATCAATATTGAGCCATGCATTTTATCTAGTAATTAATACTTGACTATGTTCTGATAAAGATTAAATAAATGCCCAAAATGCTGCAAATGTTTTGGTTTTTTTGATGTATTTTCCCAGAATGTGATAAAATGCCCAGAAATCAATAGGGCAATAGCTGTGCCTAATATCTCCCTCCTTCTTTTCTACAATATCAACCTGAGAAACTTTAGGTATATGTAATAGGTATAGGTATTACTTATATGTAATAGAGAGAATAATGATCCCCCAAAGATGTTCACATCCTTATTCTTGGAACCTGTGAATATGTTATATTACATGGCAAGAAGGAGATTAAGGTGGCAGATGAAATTAAGGTTGCTCATCAGCTGACTTTAAGATTGGGAGATTATCTTGAATTACCTGGGTGAGCCCAATAAGGGAGAGAGAGAGAGACAGAAGAGTCAATGTCAGGGTGATGTATTTTGAGACAGACTCCCACCACCATTGCTGGCTTTGAAGATGAAAGGGAGGCATGAGCCTAAGAGTGCCTCTAGAACTTGAAAAGTGAAAAAATGGATTCTCCTCTAAAAGCTTCCAAAAATGAACACAGCTCTGATGACACCATGATTGTAGCCCAGTGATACCCATTTCAGGCTTTTGACCTCCAGAACTGTAAGATAGTAAAGCTGAGTTGTTTTAAGACACCAAATTTATGGTAATTACAGTATTGATAGGAAACTAATACAAAATACCATTCGAAACAAATGTTTAAAGAAATGAAGCACTCAAAAGATTGAGAGAATAGTGTTTCTTTTATAAAAACAATAAATCTTCAGAACATTTCAAGGGCTACTCTAATTGGTAGCTCTGATTCTTGACAAGAAATAATTCTACAGAGCTGAGCCCACCAGGCTGGCTTTCTCCTCAGACCCACTGAGCATATATTTTATCTGCCAAGGTAAAGACAAGAACAGAAAGAATGTTTTATCTTTAGTGTCTCCTACTAGTAGACACTGAATAAAGCTTAGTTAAACATGTGGGTTTATTTATTAAAAGACCCTTTGACATCCCAGGTGAATATATATGAAATAGATATTATAAATTAACTCATCTAAAATAAAACTCCTGATTCTTCTAACAAAGTTTGCTTCTTTCCTAATTTTCTACAATTCATGTTAGGTATGAAAGTAAGAAGGATGCTTGCCCCTACTTTTCCCTTTCACTTCATCACAAAATATTTTATTAATTAAAAAAAAATCTGTCAAGGACCAACCACGTGCCTTGTCACTAGATGTAATTAAGAGCAAGTCCATTGGCTGATCTTCAAAATGATTGCAAATCTAATCATTCCTCACTACCTCCACTTCCGTGACAGCATATCCATGGCACTACCGTGTTTAAATCAGAACACTGCAATAGCCTCCTAACTTGCCACCTGATTTTATTCTTGCCCCCCTATAATCTATTTTTCCCATAGCAACCAGAATAACTTTCTTAAAAAATATCAGATTATGCCCTTAATTATCCTGCTTATAAAGTCCAGTGGCTTACTCTCACAATGAAATTAAAAAACATTCTCTGTACTGTGATCATGCCCCTACATAATTTGTCTGTCTCCTCTCATTTCTGACCTAATCTCCATCCACTCCATTCAAGTTGACATCCTTGTTCCTTGAGCATAATCAGCATTCTCTCACCCGAGGACATTTGCCCTTGCTGTTTTCTCACTGAAAAATACTTCATCAGAGTTTCACATTCTGCACTCTCACATCACTGAGGCTTCAGCTCACCCTAGGATCGCCACCTCCAAAGTCTTCTCACTTTATCAAGTATTTTGATGAACTTAAAGCACTTTAGATTTATAGCACATTATGAACACAATAGTTTAAACACTTTGATTAGTTTAACATAACTTTCCCTAGATAACCAATGTTGGCACATTTTGTTCTAAATGTGTAGTATGCATGTGTTTACCAGTCTACTCTAGAATTTTGTTGAAGCTGGACATCAGGTTTACTTATTACACTTTTCACCATTTTCCTCTATTCTGCTTTCAATCGAGTGAAATGTCTGCCTGTCTGTAATCATGTGGCAGTTCTTCAGTAAATCATGGTTTCTCCAAAATTGGCATCATGATACTGAGATCTTAATTCAAAGTTTACTTTTACACTAAAATGCAATATATTTGGGCCTTTAAATCTGAGTGATCACTTTTTTTAATATATTCTCATCTACACTTGGTTTTATTAAGGGGACTTAAAAATAAGGGTATTTGGACTCATCCTTTTTATGGTTGTATAGTATTCCATGGTGTATATGTGCCATATTTTCTTTATCCAGTCTATCATTGATAGGCATTTAGATTGGTTGCAAGTCTTTGCTATTGTGAATAGTGCTGCAATAAATATATGTGTACATGTGTCTTTATAGTAGAATCATTTATAATACTTTGGGTATATACCCAGTAATGGGATCCCTGGGTCAAATGGGATCTGGTTCTAGATCCTTGAGGAATCACCACACTGTCTTCCACAATGGTCGAACTAATTTACATTCCCACCAATAGTGTAAAAACGTTCCTATTTCTCCACATCCTCTCCAGCACCTGTTGTTTCCTGACTTTTTAATGATCGCCATTCTAACTGACATGAGATGGTATGTCATTGTAGTTTTGATTTGCATTTCTCTAATGACCAGTGATGATGAACTTTTTTTCATGTGTTTGTTGGCCGCATAGATGGATGAAGCTAGAACCCATCATTCTCAACAAACTAACACAGGAACAGAAAACCAAACACAGCATGTTCTCACTCATAAGTTGGAGTTGAACAATGAGAATACATGGACACAGGGATGGGAACATCACACACCAGGGCCTATCGGGGGTTGGGGGCTAGGGGAGGGATAGCATTAGGAGAAATACCTAATGCAGACGATGGGTTGATTGGTGCAGCAAGCCACCATGGCACATGTATACCTAGGTAACAAACCTACACGTTCTGCACATGTATCCCAGAACTTAAAGTATAATAAAAAAATAAAATAAAATAAAAAGGGTATTTGGGTAGAAACAGAATTGTAGGTTGTCCAGAGACTTTGAAAGACAGCGGTGTTCTTTGAAATTTTTAAGTTGGCCTCACTGGTTTGACCACCTTTATCTTGGCCTGGGGACTGCCTTTTGTTCCTGGGTGATATGGTTATATTGCTGGTAAAGGCCTACATGTGTTGTATTTGTGTCTAAATGCTATTTTGCAAGCAACATTCTGCATTTTATTCAGAGCATTTCAGAGTTTCAAATTGTGATTATAGTGTCATCAAATTATTTACCTTCCTAAAGTGTACTTTGTGAAATATATGTAAATTTGGTGTTTATCTACTCTTCAACACAGTAATATATTGGGATGGGAAATGCTTCCTCCTCCTAGTTGAGCTTTAGATGTCCTGTTTTCTATGGCTGTGATGCAGACAAACATTATGATGATAACTTACTCTCTGCTCTGGTACCGTATATTAATATTTGTCTTCATTATAGTAAACTTGTACCGCCAAGGAGCCCAAGCTGCTAGAAGATTTTCCACATCAGTATAGCCATCAACTCTTTCTTTAAGTTAATTGTTCCCACTCTTCACTTCACAGTTAGCAAATTGTTTATTTACGCATTCAACAAATATTTACTGAGTACCTAGGTGAGACACTAGATAGATGCGAGAAGTATAAATGTGAATAAAATTACATTGATGATAGGATTAGTAATAGCATTGATGGGAGTATAAGCAAAAACAGTGCCAGTAAAAGCAATAGGGTATTCTACGAAGTTCTTGGAATGGTAGGATGACCAACTGATAACTAACTTGAAATTATTGATTTTACATCTGTAGGGAGAAATGTCTGTCTTGTTTCTGAGTGGGTATTGATTCATCAGAATGTAATGTAAGGTGTTTCTCTTTCCATTCAGGGAGGGAATATTGGCCCTTGTGTTTTCAAAATAGCTTACTTATTTATAGTCATTACCTAATTTCATTATTATGTCAGCAAAATAAGGTACTTATTATCATTATTCCTATTTTTTACAGATAAGGACATTGAGGCTAATAGAACTCAAGTAACTTGTTCCTAGTCACATTATCCTAAGCACTATAGTTTCTCATAGTAAAGTTGAAAATAAATAGGTTTATTTTTCCACTATAATCCCTTAGCATTATACCATTTTCACCAAGCAATGGAACTATCACTTGATTGGCCAGATCATAACTTACAAAGTCAGTATTTTTATTAGTTTTTCCCTTTAGCATGCAAACTTTATCAGTTTTGGCCCTTCGCCTCTTTGAATTGGTTTGTGACAATCATATACGTACATTACATATGATGCATATATGTATCACTTATGCATTCCTTTGTCTTATTTTAGATTCCCTTGAAAGAAAAGCCTTTGTCTTATTTTAGATTCCCTTGAAAGAAAAGCCTAAAATAGGGGCTTTTCTACAGGTGGTTTATTTTGAGAACAAGAGTAAAGTACCAGTAGGTGTGCAACAAGAAAGGAGGGAAAAATTATCCAAAGGGTGAGTTGCAAGCCTAACCCATCATGGATAGTTGAGACTTGATCCTGTTATAAAGCCCTGAGGTTTACACGTAGAATGCACTTCAGAATTATCTGTCCAAGGATAAGAAAAGCGGTGGTATTAATTCACTAGATTCTGTTTCTCACTAGTCAAAAGTTGACCTATAACTACCTTGCATTTGTTTGCAAATGCATCAAAATGGCTGAATGAAAGCTTGGAAGCAGAAAGTGAGAGCTACAGAGTACAAATGAGGTGAGATGCTATAAGGTTACGGCAGTGCACACCTGGATTCCACAGCAAAAGCTGGAATAAACGGGTAAGCTGAGAGACTATGGGGGATGGATACAGAGTTATCGAATAAATACTTCGTTTGTCTTGACTTAAAATCTTAGCTCATCTCAGCTTTTCCTATGAAGTCACCTTGATATCTTCAAATGCTTATTGAATATATTAATCTCCGTAGGTTTTACGATAGAAACAATAATTACATACTGCTTAATAACTATACTACTTGCTTCATTAATAAATCACTACTTAATTGCTAACCCATCCCCCATGAGCCACCTTCTGTTTTTACGGTCTCTTGACAGTGGCAGGTGAGACAGTAGTGACAGGCCATGATTGTGGGTATCTTCCCTGTGCCTGGAGGGTTTGTGATTCCTCACAGATCAGGTGCAGAGAGTTACAGTTACCACCTTAAGATTCCATGTATCCTTTCTTTCTCAATCAGAAAATTATCATAACCTTATACTGTAATTTTTTGTTTTCCATTAATAGCAAATTTGTTTGTAATTTGAGATCTATTGATAAATATTTAAGTCACTAGACTGTATTGATTTCAATTTCTTAATTCCTTTCCCCATTGTTACCATTCAGTTGGCAAATCCAGATTATATTTGTATTATCAACCCCTCACTGTTCTTTTTCTTCCTCTTTTTCAACTGTCAGTTGTCAACTGTCAACTGATTACATCCTCTTTCTTGAACTGTTAATTCAGCCTATCTTTACTTCGCATTTTAATGTTGCTTTTTTTGTTTATCAGAACATATTTAGTCATGGGTTTCCATTTCCTAGTTGCAGTAGATATTTGCTGCTGTGGGTTGCAAATAACTCTTTCTCCATTCTCCTGGTCACCACATACCAATTACTTTAGTGAAATACTTCCCACAGTCTCTCCCCTTACAGATTTCAGGTGGGAGCTAACAATTAAAGAATCCAACTCCTATGGTCAAAGGAACAGACATACGACCCACTTGCACAGCATCTCATCTCCAGGACAGAATATATTGATGCCTTTGAGGTATATGACCCCAGCAAGACCAACCGGTTTTTCCTTGCCTCCACCCCACATTCAAATACCCGTGGCCATGATGTCACTTTCATAATAACAAGAGACCTGGGAGACATAAAGTAATATATAGAGAAAATTAACAATGAGAAAGAATGGGCAAAGAATGAGGAAAATTGAATGGTATTTGGTTCTATTAGGGAGATTTATGGGTTCCCAAAATTAAACCACAAATAGGATAAAAATACAACCAACAAATTTAACTTTCTTGTTTAATTACTTGAAGCTGAGTTTCTGTTTTTTGCAACCAGAGTTCTGACTACTTCACTAAATATATATACCATCCAAATTATAAGGGACAAAGGCCTGTTAAAACGTTCAGCTCCTATATTGCAAACATTTAGTAGTCTCCATTTGGAAGCTTTAAACTTCTGCCTTTACTGAGGAATAAAAATAGTTATTTTATTCTAGGAACACATAAAGCTTTGGAGAATTAGAAAGTGCTTTGATTCCCCATGCCTAGGGTCATCTGTGCAAATGGAATAGTGAGAACTGCATCTTTGGCAGCATGTGCTCTCTAATCCCCTAGAAACTACCTGTCTTCATCTCTCTCACCAGAAACTCATCTTTGCAACAGCGGAGGCTTCCGTCTCCCCTTCTGGTCTGAAAGCAACTACTTTAATGTTTTTTTCTCCTTCCAGAGCAGTATTTCTATTCTTCTTCTCTGGGGCTATAAGCCTTAGCCTCATCCTAATGGTAGAAAGGCTTCGGGAAAACACACACACACACACACACACACACACACACACACCAAGAAAAGGCCATCTAGTGGACAATATGTCAGAAATAGCATTTCTCTACATTTGGAAATAAACTAATATGTTAATATTAATTCTACTGATTAATGTAAAGTACCCAATGATGATTTCTATAAATAACAAAAAAGGTATTTCATGCCATTGAATAGATGCTTCCGGGTAAAAAGAAAAGAAACATGTAGATATGCCAGGACAGAATATTATTTCCTTGACATGATAATTTTTTAAAAAAAAATCAACTTCCAATATCATACTTAATGGTGAAATACTATAGTCATTCCCATTAAAATCAGGAACAAGACAAAGACATCATTATTTTTTAAAATTGTCTTGAAGTTCTTTCCAAAACAATAAGGCAAGAAACAGAAATAAGAGATAAAACTATTGGATATGAGACAAAATTAGCATTATTTGCAGGTGGTAGAATTGTATAGAAGTAAATGGAAGGTGGACAACCTTTTAGATTGAATTTATCTTCTGAACAGTGGTTGCATTCTACATTAATATTAAAAATTTAGATGTTTTACTCTCCTTGAAATACAGTACCTGAATGTATTAAGTCATTCTTGCATTGCCATAAGGAAATAACTTAGACTGGGTAGTTTATAAGAAAAGACGGTTAATTGGCTCATGGCTCTGCAGGTGGTTTAGGAAACATGGTGGCATTTGCTTCTGGGGAGACCTCAGGGAGCTTTTACTCATGGCAGAAGATGAAGCAGGAGCAGGCACCTCTCATAACAAAAGCAGGAGCGAGAGAGAGAGTGACGTGGGGAGGAGGTGCCACACATTTTTAAATGACCAGATCTTGTGAGAACTCACTATTGTGAAGACAGCACCAAACCATGAGGGATCTATCCCTATAATCCAAACACCTCCAAACCAGGCCCCACCTCCAGCATTGGGAATTAAAATTCAACATGAGATTTGGGTGGGGACAAATACCCAAACTATATCACTGAAATATGTTAAAAATTTTTCAGTTAAACATTCTCAATCTCAAATTGTACCATCATGAAAAAACATAAAACAGCCTATCAATTGCGTACATATACATGCAATCACTGTCTATGAATATCACTGTGTAAATCTACATGAAGAAAATTATAGGCTGGGTGTGGTAGCTCACACCTGTAATTCCAGCACTTTGGGAGGCTGAGGCGAGAGGATCACTTGGGGCCAGGAGTTTGAGACCAGCCTGGGCAACATAGCAAGATCTCATCTCTCAAAAAAATTAATTAACTGGGCATGGTGACACATACCTGTAGTTCCAGCGACTTGGGAGTCTGAGGCAGAAGGATCACTGAGCCCAGGAGTTTGAGGTTGCAGTAAGCTATTATCACGCCACTGCACTCCCAGCCTGGGTGACACAGTGAGACCCTATCTCTTAAAAAAAAAGGAAAAGAAAACTATAAAATATTGTATTATTTAGAATGAACTAGGTTATATTGTGGTGACAAACAATCTACTCAAATAACCTTGGTTTATTTCTCATTCTTGTTACATACCCTTGGTTAGCTGGAAGAGAACTCTGCTCCATATGGTGCTAATTCAGGTCCCAGCTATTGATATGCTCTGCATCTGTGGCAAGGGAAAAGGAAGATAGAAGATTGCATAACAGAGTCCTGTACCACTTCGGCTTACATTTCACTGGCCAAAACAAGGCACATGCCATGCCTAATCTCAAAGAGGCTTAGGAAGTACAATACTAACCACAATGTAACTGAAAAATAAGGTGGCTAATTATCGGTGGAACCCACCCCCAATATTTCAACGTAGGTTCTTTCTATTTTCCCTAAGTGTTGGCCAGTCTGAGAAATAAAGAGATAAAGTACAAAGAGAGGAATTCTACAGCTGGGCCACTGGGGGTGACATCACATATCAGTAGGTCCTTGATGCCCACCTGAGCTGCAAAACCAGCAGGTCTTTTTTGAGGATTTCAAAACGGGAGGGGGTGCAAGAACAGGGAGTAGGTCACAAAGATCACATGCTTCAAAGGGCAAAAAGGGGAACAAAGATCACATGCTTCTGAGGAAACAGGACAAAAGGCAAAACAGAACTACTGATAAGGGTCTATGTTCAGCTGTGCACATATTGTCTTGATAAACATCTTAAACAACAGAAAAAAGGATTCGAGAGCAGAGAGCCAGTCTGACCACAAATTTACCAGGACGGAGTTTTTCCCCACCCTAATAAGCCTGAGGGTACTGCAGGAGACCAGGGTGTATTTCAGTCCTTATCTCAACCTCATAAGACAGACATTCCCACAGTGGCTGTTTATAGACCTCCCCCCAGAAATGCATTCCTTTTTCGGGGTCTTAATTATTAATATTCCTTACTAGGAATATTAATATCAGTGATATCTTCCCTATTTCCATGTCCATTTATAGGCTCTCTGCAAGAAGAAAAATACGGCTCTATTCTGCCCGACCCCTCAGGCAGTCAGACCTCATGGTTGTCTTTCCTTGTTCCCTGAAGATCACTGTTACTTTGTTCTCTTTCAAGGTGCACTGATTTCATATTGTTCAAACACACATGTTTTACAATCAGTTGTACAGATAACATAATAGTGGTCCTAAGGTGACATACATTCTCAGCTTGTGAAGATAACAGGATTAAGAGATTAAAGTAAAGACAGGCATAAGAAATTATAAAAGTATTAATTTTGGGAACTGATAAATGTCCATATTAAAATGAAATCTTCACAATTTATGTTCAGAGATCGCAATAAAGACAGGCGTAAGAAATTATAAAAGTATTAATTTTGGGAACTGATAAATGTCCATATTAAAATGAAATCTTCACAATTTATGTTCAGAGATTGCAATAAAGACAGGTGTAAGAAATTATAAAAGTATTAATTTGGGGAACTGATATACGTCCATACTGAAATGAAATCTTCACAATTTATGTTCCTTTGCCACAGCTCCAGCCAGCCCCTCTGTTTGGGCTCCCTGACTTCCCACAACAGCTAATTGCAATACCCAATCTAAAGATTAAGAA
The DNA here is from genome assembly GCF_000001405.40 of Homo sapiens. NCBI lineage: Eukaryota > Metazoa > Chordata > Mammalia > Primates > Hominidae > Homo > Homo sapiens. Next base: position 29,104,820 of record NC_000011.10, on the reverse strand, counting down.
TTCAGACTCCAGAAACAGTGCCTGAGTTCGAATCTTGGCTATTAAAATTGCTGCTAAATATCCTTGCTATAATTATGGCTCCTCATCAGAAAACAACAATAGCATATTTCCTATCAGATTATGTTACAGTTTATGCATTTATGAAAAATATTTATTGAGCAACATTTTGTAAAAAGAATATACGATCCTGGGTGCCTGGATATATCAGTGAACAAAATGGACAAAGATCTCTGCCTTTGGGAAGCATATTCTTGAGAGGGAAAGGAAATAAGCCATGGAAAAACTGTAAGAAAATTGCATAGAATTCTCAGATAGCCTTTTAGGTTACAGTAAAAATTTTGGCTTTACTGTGAGCAGATGGGGAACCACAGGACACTTTTCTCATAGGAATGACATTATCTGAGTCACTTATTAAAATGATCCTTCTAGGTATTCTTTTGGGAAAAGACCCTAGTGGAGCAAAGGTCAAAGCAAGGAGATCCCTAAGTAAGGAGGCTATCGTAGCATTATATATGACAAATGGTTTGGACTAATATGGTAGCAATGAAATTTTTGAGAATTGCATCCAGCACCAAATACATCTAAAGTATTCAGATATATATCATGGATATATATTAAGATATATCCTTGATACATTTTGAAAGTAGAGTTATTGATCAATTGCATGCACAGTATTAAAGAAAGAGAAAAGTCAGTTAGGAATTCGGACCACAAGGTGTTTAAACTGAGCCATTAACTTAGATGGGGAAGGGAACAGAGAAGTCCAGTTTGGGATATGTCAAACCTTAAATGCTTATTAGACATCAAAGAGGAAGTGTTGAGTAGGGAGATGATACATTTAATAGAATTCAGGACAGCATTTATAACTGGAAAAGCAAATGTGGATGTGCTCACAGAGAATGCATTTAAAGCCTTGGAACTCAACCAAATCACCAACGAAGTGAGTGCATTTGTTTTTAAAATGAGTTAGTAAGCGGGAATGACTTAGAATGATAGAATATAATAAACACTCAGTGAATGTTAATTATTATTATTATGTTCCTTGAAGAGACAATTGTTTCAAAATTCTTAGTTCTTACCAAATTCCAATTAACTACCGATGTCATCTCAATAAAATTCCTTTTGTCGAGGAAAGGAGTTTACAAAACTATTCTAAAGGCTGTCTGGAAAAGAAATCAACAGTAAAATTATTCTAGACATTTAGGCGTAATGATATCAGAGACAGAGGTTGAGCTTGATTACCATGCACCTATCTGATATTACCCAGGCTGGGCAATTTTACTAAGTGTGGAACTGGTTCAAGACATAATAATAAAATGAAAGGAACCAATACATAGCCCCCAAATGTAATATCTATATTTTTTATCTATATCTACATATACACTGATAAATTAAAAAATAATAGATTGTGTCTGGGCGCCTTGGCTCATGTCTGTAATTCCCAGCACTTTCAGGGGCCCAGATGGGCAGATCACTTTGAGCTTGGGAGTTTGAGACCAGCCTGGGCAACATGGCAAAAACCTGTCTCTACAAAAAACTTTTAAAAAATTAGCTAGGCATGGTGGCATGTACCTCTAACCCCAGCTACTTGGGAGGCTGAAGTGGGAGGATCACCTGAGCCCAGGGTTGGTCAAGGCTGCAGTGAGCTGTGATCACACCACTGCATTCCAGCCTGAGTGGCAGAGTAAGACCCCATCTAAATAAATAAATACATAAATAAATAAATTAATTAATTAATTAATTTTAAAATGGTTCAGAGTTTTAAAATATGACATAAAACACTAGGACTTTTAAATAAATATCCATCTACTTTGGGGTTAAAGTATATTCTGAGCATATAAGCAATAAAGATATAAAATATTGAAACATTTAATGACATAAAATTTTACTGTAGGCTGGGCAAGGTGGCTCACGCCTGTAATCCCAGCACTTTAGGAGGCCGAGGCGGGTGGATCACGAGGTCAGGAGTTCAAGACCAGCCTGGCCAAGATGGTGAAACCCCATCTCTACTAAAAATACAAAAATTAGCTGGGCATGGTGGCGGGTGCCTGTAATCTCAGCTACTTAGGAGGCTGAGGCAGCGAATTGCTTGAACCTGCAGGTTGCAGTGAGCCGAAATCATGCCACCACTCCAGACTGGGCGACAGAGAAAACTCTGTCTCAAAAAAACAAAAAAAAATTTACCATATATCATAAACATCACAAAAAGTAAATGGCAAATTTGGAATATTTTAAAAGATAGGACCAACAATAAATTATATGAACCTAACAAAACTTATTGTGAATTATCAAGAAAATGAAATTTAATAGTCTAAGAGAAAACTGGAAAAACACAAATAGATAAGTCATGACATTAAAAATATATATTCCTACTGTAATGTAAACATTAAAATTTTCTAATAAACAAATGCGAATTTTTAAAAAACAAAAGTATTTCAAAAATACTCAAGATTTCTAAAAATATTGAATGCTTGCAAATTTATAGTGAGGCAAATATTATCTTACATTCCCAGAACAAGTTAAATTCATACAACCTTTCTAGAAAGCAATTTGGCAAAACGAATCTAGAAATCTAAAAGACACATATGCTTTAACCAACTAATTACACTTTTTGGAATTCATCCTAAGAATGTATCAAAAATGAAAATGATAATTCTACACTAAAGAGTTTTTACTGCAGTGTTGTATTTATAACAGTGCACATTAAAAAGCAATCTAAGGCTTAAACAATAGGGACTTGTTTAAGTAAGTAATGATCAATACAAACAATGCTAATACTAAATAGCAATTAAAAATGATATTTTCATATTTTAATGAAATAAAATGCTCTCCCTGTAATATTATGTACAAGGAGCAGTGTTCAAAACTTCAAACACAGTACAAGTTTCCTATCTATAGCTACATATATATATATAACATTTATCTATAGATCTATTCATATTCATATATTATATATAACAATATAATGTTATTTCTGTGTGGTGATATAATTATGGTTTTTCCTCTATAGTTATCTATTATGTATTTTTAAATGTCCTGGATTGCATATGTATTAATTTTATCATAAAGTATATGCAAGATATAATAAAACATATAAAAAGCATCTATATAATTAAAACTATATATTTGTCTCTGTGTGTTCTTACACTGTATCAAGTATATAAATATTTAAAGTAGTAGAGAAAGTTTCTAACTTGAAGAAAATTCAATGCCAAGAGGACGTTCTTTTAGCAGATACTAGTCATTAACCATTGCCATTCCCATAAGGATTGTTCTAAAGTTTTTAATTTTTTAAAATCTACACACACTTACAGGCCTGTTGACTCCCATTTCACTCTATATAGGTGACCTGGCTTTACATATCACTGACAAATTCAAGATTGTATTTAACCAGGATCACTCCTTAAATATGAACATTAATGTTATTCAATCATGCATATATACATTTTCCTCTTTATTTGGAATGTCAAATAAAATACAGTAGTTCCAAGGCATCCTATATTTTTACTTACTAAATCTGGCAGTCCTAGCGCTCCCTCATTTCTCCCCACCCCACCACCTCCATTTCCCCTTGTGAAGTCCTACACGTCTTTTAAAACCCAACTGACATTACATCCTTTTTTGAATGCTTCCTTGAAAACCACATATAACACTTCTTCTGTGACGTCATCATTTGATGAATATGCCCCACTTAAACATTTGAATAACTTGTTAGTTGTTTGTATGTTTATCTACCCAAAAGCACTGTGGGTCCTGGATAAAAATATCACATCCCATTTGTCTTTGGATTCCCAGAAGGTAATTGAGCATCTTTCTCCCTTATGTAGATGCTTGGTAATTATAAATTAAAGGCAGCAGAATGTGTTAGATAGAAAAACCTGACCTCTGACATCTGACTAGATTCTATGAGTCAGAGTTCAGAACTTGTTTTGCTATCATTCCATGGTGCTAGATTTATAAAATAATTCCTCAGGCTCCATATTTGATTTTACAATAAAATGCCCATATATCAACCTTACAGCTACCTTAGTCTTTACTTATTTATTTTTATTGAGGATAAGGCTAGATGAAATTAATAACTGGCAGCAAATTCTAAAAGTCAATAATACTAAAACACATCTTCAGTATCCTCAATCATAATTTAATACTGCTTTTTTATGTTGAATTTCTGAATTGTTCATCATTTTCGAAGGTCAGAATGTTCATACCAACAGCAATGACAAGAACATAATGGAAGAATTCAATGAATGTGTTCTTTTGAATTTATTTGGCAATATGAATTAAAACTGGCCACATTTCTTGACAAAGCATCTTAAACAATTAATATAATTTGATACTTGAGCTAGCGCACACTGGGAAGATTCTGCTTAATTTGTTTAGAATTTAAATTTTAAAAGTTGCCTATTGAAAGATATTCAGTGAACAGTTACATATCAAAGTTAACCTTTGGATTACCTTCAAGGTCATGAAAATATCACTAGCCATTGCGCCATCTATATTCAGCAATCTGTATTCAACCAAGTGTTAGGATAAGTTTGTGTGTGTGTGTGTGTGTGTGTGTGTGCAAGAGAGAGAGAGACAGAGATAGAGCGCATATGTCTATGTGTATATTACATAAAGGAGTAACATCTCAAATTTAGAATTGGGTTGGGGAAAAGGAAAGTGCATAGAATATGTCCTCTTCCATATAGTTCTAGATTTGAAAGCCTTTCTTTTCTTGTTTGTTTAAGGCTGAAATCCCTGCTTCAGAACTTTAAAAGGGTCTATCTCTTTTTCTTTTTCTTCTCCAGGCATATTCTTAAGAGTGTAAATCAAAGACATAAAATGTAGAATTACAGAGATGAAAAACATTCCTATATCAGCATTCCTAGGCATATTCTTTGGGAATGTCTTCAGAAAAAGAATTGTGTGTCCAGATGAATTTATCAAATGCAGTTTACACTATCCTCACCTTAAGAAGCACCATAAAGATTTAAATTAAAGACTCAGAGAAACTCTGTAATTAAGAAACCAACTTAACTTTGATTAACCCAGAAATTCACAAAATTAATTGGCTAACAGAATATTTTTATTACATATCACTAGTTTGACAATATTTAGGTTCTGCACTTTATTTTTAAATTACCTCTATTTGCAAATATTTTAGAAGGATTAAATATTCTTACAGTTATTTCCTAACTTTAATGAATTGAAGGACTTTCACACTCTTTTTTTTTTACCAGCTGAGTAAATTAGAGCTAGATTCGTGACGTTGGTTGCATTAATTATCACTAAGTTTGATGGAAAAATCATCCTCCTGTGGCAGATATAGCTTATCATCCTAAGTAAACAACTAACATTTTTCTCTAATAAACACTGTGGCAAATGTAGTTTTCCATAACAAATGTGTTATGTTCTATGGACTGAATGATTGTGTCCCCTTAATATTTGTATAATCAAACCCAAATCTTCAATGTGATGATATTTGGAGGTGGGACTTTGGAAGGTAATTAGTCCATGAGGGTTGAGCTCTCACGAATATAAGACCTAAGTGGCTGCCACACAGGAGACATATATAATCATTACAATATAAAAAACAGTATGTCTAGTATTGATTAAAAATGTATACTGCACTAAATGCACTACATGGATCATCTCATCCATGCTCCACAGCAATCCTATCAATGTGGTTAAATACCTTTCTCACGGTCCCACAACTAGGCTTGTCCCTTAATCATCAGGATAAACTACCTAATATGTTCCATATTTACATTATTGCATTACTATGGACAGAGAGGGATAGGTGAAAGACATGAATGTTTCAAGTACAAGCAGCAAATCCAAAGGTGGTACAAAGTAAATCTAAATTCAAAAGATTGTTTTATTTTTGCTTTTTTTTTTTTTTTAGATAGGGTATTACTCTTTCACCCAGGTTGCCAGATTGGAATGGTATAGTAGCATGATCTCAGCTCATTGCAACCTCTGTTTCCAGGGCTCAAGGGATTCTGCAGCCTCAGCCTCCTAAGTAGCTGGGACTATCAGCATGAGCCACCAATGCTTGGCTAATTTTTGTATTTTTTGTAGAGATGGAGTTTCACCATGTTGCTCAGGATAGTTGTATTTTTGCTTCTAATTTAAGCCACTGCACTTAATATGTTCCAACATTAGTATTAAGATGGGAGACAGGAATTACCCTGAGCAACCTGAAGGAAGCTGGGTAGTACATAAGTCATACTTTATGCCATTAAAATAATTTTTATTTCATAAAACAACTAAAATATATCTATATTTGGGGTCCCACTAGAAGTACAATGACTTTTAAGTGCTCTGTTTCCTAAGAAAGGTTAAAACATATAATATTATAAAGGTCACTAAGGGCTCTCTTTTGAGTAATAGATCCTTTTGATACCTTGAAAAAAAATCTATGGAATGAATATCTTCTGAGAAAATTCATATGTATAGTTAAACATATATATTTGTACATAATTTTAGACCTTCAAAATTGTATATGCCTAGTCTTATCCCCTCTGGAACTCCATGAACAATTAACAGTCCAAATCCCTCATTATCCTATTTGACCATCTTTCATTAAGTAAATGTACACAGTTATGATGCATCTTAATTTGATCAAGCAGGATTCAACCATCCATAATCCTCAAATATCCATAGTGGAGATGACCATAAAAAGAGAATTATTTAAATGAAATTTAACTTAATTGGGTTTCAGTTTGGGGGAAAAGATAAGAAGTGAGTAGATATCCTAATTACAATTTGAAAAATGTCTACTTCCCCTCACTTATTTTCTCTGGGTAGTGCTACCATCAGTGTGAATCCCAGCATTACCTTGAGAGGGTACCTAAGTAGCTAGAGCTGTACTATTTTCCTCTTTTATTTCCTATGCAAGCCTGAATGAAGCTAAATTAATGGTAATGTAGGGGACATTATTATTCTAAGCAGTTACTGCACAAAAATGTAAAAGGACTTTGATTCCAGTTGAATCTTTTTAGTTGCAATGCACACACTGTGTATATCAAGAATCAATTCCTTCAGGGCAAACACCTCTGAACTGAGGGCTAAGGACACATTCGTATGTTTTTTCTTCTCTCTTTTCTGATGAAATCATCATTTCTTTTAAAAGAATGTTGTTGCAACAATGATTCAAACTGGGAGAGACATGCTGAACAGGGAAGGGATTAGGAGACATTGACTATATAATATGTAATAAATATGTATGGAGTAACATGTAACATGTAAGGAAGTGTAAAACTTGTAAGCCTTTGTATGTCCACACTTTATACCTTAGCTTGAGATGTTGAATCATCTCCTTTCATGAGGTGGACTTTATGAGATCAGCTAAGGGTCTCATGACTTTGCCGGACTAGTCTCAGTCTTCAATACCTTACTTAGGGAATCTTGCAAAACATGTTAGAAGAAATGAGGTGGAGATATTGACCAAATTTTATTGATTACATTTGGTTATTAGGCCAGAAATATAAAAATCCAGAAAAGAGCTGGGTGAAGTGGCTGATGCCCGTAATCTCTGCACTTTGGGAGGCTGAGGCAAGCAGATCACTTGAGATCTGCTCGAGATCAGCCTGGCCAACATGGCAAAACCTGTCTCTACTAAAAATGCAAAAATTAGCGAGGCATGGTGGCACATACCTGTAGTCCCAGCTACTTGGGAGGCTGAGGCAGAAGAATCGCTTGAACCTGGGGAGCGGAGGTTGCAGTGAGCCAAGATTGCACCACTGCACTCCCATCTGGGTGACAGTGAGACTCTTGTTTTAAAAAAAAAAAAAAAGAAAGAGAGAAAGAAAAGAAAAGAAAAAAAGAAATTGGTAAAATTCTCCTGTGGTTGGATCCCTTACTATTTGCACTCCTTTAGGTGGATCTAAATGCCTTCACAGAACCAGAAATCAGAATTGAATCAAGACCCGAAAGCACTGGAAATCCTTTGAATGTCAAATGTCAAATAAAGGGTTACATGTCATCACTGAATTGCCACTTGAAATGTGTTCTTCAGGATTTGGGCCATTCCAAAATTAACGCATATATCCATGATGTTTAGCATTGTGTAATTTGGATAAGCCACACATTTAGTTTTTTAAAAGTGTATTTCTAAGTATTTTATTTATTTATTTAACTTTTATTTTAGATTCAGTGGGTTTGTTACATGGGGATATTGTATGATGTCACAGGTTTGGGGTATGATTGATCCTGTCACCCAGGTAATGACCATAATACCCAATAGGTAGTTTCTCAGCCCTTTAGCCTCTCCTTCTCTCCCCTCTTTTAAAGTCTCTAGTGTCTATTGTTCCCATTTCGTGTTCGTATGTACCCAGTGTTTAGCTCCCACTTATAAGCAAAACCATATGGTATTTGACTTTCTGTTCCTGCCTTAATTTGCTTAGGATGATGGCCTCCAGCTGCATCTATGTTACTGCAAATGACATGATTTCATTCTTTTTTATGGTTGCATAGTATTCCATGGTATATATGTACCACATTTTCTTTATCCAATACACCATGGATGGACCCCCTAGGTTGACTCCATGTCTTTGCTATTGTGAATAGTGCTGCAATTAACATGTGAGTGCATGTGTCTTTTTGGCAGAATGATTTATTTTCCCTTGGGTAGATACCCAGTAATGGAATTGCTAGGTCGAATTACAGGTTCTGTTTTCAGTTCTCTGATAAATCTCCAAACTGCTTTCCAAAGTGGAAATGGGGCTTATACATTCCCACCAAGACTATATAAGTGTTCCCTTTTCTCCACAGACTTGCCAGGATCTGTTATTTTTTGGCTTAATAATAGTTATTCTGACTTGTGTGAGATGGTATTTCATTGTGGTTTTGGTTTGCCTTTCTCTAATTATTAGTGATGTTGAACATTTTTTCATGTTTTTTGGCCACTTGTATGTCTTCTTTTGAGAAGAGCCACTCATGTTCTTTGCCCACTTTTTAATGGAGTTATTTGTTTTATGTTTGTTGATTTGTATAAGTTCCTTATAGATTCTTGATATTAGTAGACCTTTGTCGGATGCATAGGTGGTGAACCCATTTTCCCATTCTGTAGGGTGTCTGTTTACTCCATTGGTAGTTTCTTTTGCTGTGCAGAAGCTCTTCAGTTTAATTAGGTCCCACTTGTCAATTTTTGTTTTTGCTGCAATTGCTTTTGAGGTCTTATTGCCATGTAATTGAATCACAGTACTAGGAGGATGCTATAAGGATAAAGTTGCTGCCAGTATCATTTTGTCAAATATTCATTTCTGTTATTCTACATTCATTGCTGACTATTTAGGGACTCTCAAAGTATGATTTTAGAAGTTTTGTTTCAAATAGTTATACATACTGGAATGCATAAATCTGCATGTTTGTGAAGAACACAGTATTATTTATTTCAAATGGCAAGACACCCTTCTTTACAAGACAGGAAATTAGCTTGATGTAAAAATAAAAATAATTTCAATGGTATTTTCCAGTTCTAATCGTTATAATTTTCCCATTTTACAAAGATATTCTACATGGTAGAAAAAAATGTAATTATATAATGTGAACATTCACACAACTGCTAAGTTCAGTTTTCCTCTGTGAAAAATAATTATTTCTATTTCATAATGTTCTTGTCAATATTAAAGGAACCTGACTTATGTAGAGTAGTGAATAAAATATAAAAAATTATTACAAAATTACTCTTCAATGAATAAGTATTATTGCTCAGGACATTCTATTTCATGAGAATTCTAAACATGTGAAAATTTTAATACTAAGTTCAGAGACTAGAAGATCTAGGCATACTATCATTGTTTGCACAAAAAGAGTTCTGTTACCAACATATAGCCATCAGTTTTCCTGAAAACTTTTAAAACTTTAAGTGCTTACTGTGCAAGATGTTATCTTTGCAGTTAAAAATATGTCTACTTATTCGTCTTTTTGGAATAGCACACAGGTAATTTATGCTTTTTAACAAAGTGTCTGGAATCTCTTTGGACCTATGATTCCTGTTGTTGGAACATTTTGTCACAACAGGAATGTGACTCTTTCTTATCCTGTGAGTTGACAGGCACAAACCATTCTTTTTTTTTTTTTTTAACATACAATCCCCATCAAAATGCCACTTTTTCTGAGAGGAACTCACCAAACATTTAATGCCAACTTATTTACTTACTTATTACACTCTTGCTGTGTGCAAACATAACGTTCTGTACTCAAATTCAGAGAAAAGTAGAACTTCTGATTTCAAGGCATTCATATCCTTGTGGTAAAGATTGGCCAAAAGAAGGCTACAAGGAAACAGCAGGGCACATGAGGCCCACAAAGGATTTGGCTGGTGTAAAAGCAAGGCAGACTAAATTCATCCCCAGAGAAGATGACATTTAAGCTGAGTCTAGAGGAATGAATAGGGACTGGCCAGATAACAGAGAAGAAAAATGCATTCCAAGTAGAGGAAACAATATGACAAAAAAATAAATAAATAAAATAAAAAACAGGGTTTAATAAAGAGTCTGTTATAGTCAAAGAACTACAAACACGTGATGTGTGGCTATAGCACAGGCTCCATAGGGTAGAGAGGAGGAAGATGAAGTTAGAGAAAAGAGATAAATACAGAAGAATTTGTAGGTCTTGTCAAACACAAGTATCTAGTGGCATTGTGTCTCTTCTACCATCATATCCTGGGAATGGAGGAGGGTTATTATTGTACGTTTAGGGCATATAGTGTAGACAAGTTGTTAGCCACTGAAATTAGGGGCATTGCTTGTTACCAAATTATATACTGACTGATACAAGAATGGCATTGATCACCGTGATACAAATGGAGTGTACCACCTAAGAAGAAAATTAAGAATAACTGATCAGGTATGAGATGAGAGAAGCTTGAGGGATTGCTTTTAATTATTGGAGTCAGCTGAGCCTGGGGAAATTAACTAGCTGTATTTCCCAGGTGGAATCTGTTCTTCTAAATAAGACTGCTATAGTCATTTCTCATTCTGCATTTTTTTAATTGAATAGAGCAATTGAATTACAATATGTACACCATACCATCTTAAAATGATTTTACTTCTACCTTTCCAAGGTTGATATTTAAAATAATTATAATTTATAAATGAATGAAATGGGATTGGTGTAGTTGCAGCAGAAGAGAAATGCTAGATGTAAGGTCAACCAAGAACTGTTTAAACAGTGGTTATTCTTTATTCTCTGACAATAGAGTTAAGGAATTCCAGGCATGTGCAAATATAAGCAACACCACAAGATATTTTGGAAACTCATGGTAATACAATATGAGGAAAGATATTTGGGCAAAAGGAAAATATGTTGTCTCTTTAAAGGATAAGAATTTATAATAAAACATCTCTCTTCCCTGCTGTTAAAGTTCTGGTTAATATAAATAAAATTTAAATGAAACATTGCAATTTAAAGAGCTTGTTGAAGCAAAGATAAGCCTCTGTCACATTGGTTATTATCCTCCTAAAACACTAGGAAATTAAAGAAAAATAGAATTCAGATGACTTAAAAATCTATTTAGCTTATCAAAGTGTTTTTGATTTTAAAAATCTAGTATAGATCCAATGGTGTTATTATTTTTGCCCCTCTCCTCTTTAATGGTCCTTATACATTTATTCTGGGACCTTTTTCTAATCAAGAATGTAAAGTGATTATTCTTAACTATATCCTAAGATTTATTTTCTTAACAGGTATTCTCTTTGCGATTCCATTAATCTCAGGATTGCTTAGAAATTCTCCAGAAATGAACACTGTAAAACCTTATTATGACAGTCCATCCTTGTTACCTCTTCATTAAGTGTTAAATGAAGCTTAGTCTCAGTTATTGCTCCATTCAAATAATTCAATTCCATCTTACTTAGAATAACCACTGTTGTAACAGTTCTTGGTTGACCTTACATCTAGCATTTCTCTTCTGCTACAACTAGACCAATCTCATTTCATGCATTTATATGTTACTTCTAGTCACTGCAACCAAGGCTTAAATGATCCATGGCCTGTTTACAGGTACCAAAAAGAGAATTTTTTTTCTTTTTTTTTTTCTTTTGAGACAGTTTCGCTTTAGTTGCCCAGGCTGGAGGGCAATGGTGCAATCTCAGCCCACTGCAACTTCTGCCTCCCGGGTTTAAGTGATTCTCCTGCCTCAGGCCCCTGAGTAGCTGGGATTACAGGTGCCTGCCACCATGCCTGGCTAATTTTTTTTTATTTTTAGTTGAGATGGAGTTTCACCATGGTGGCCAGGCTGGTCTCGAACTCCTGACCTCAGGTGATCCACCTGCCTCAGCCTCCCAAAGTGCTGGGATTACAGGCGTGAGCCACCGCTCCAGGCCCAGAAATATTTTCTTGTTTTGTCTTTGTTTTTCTTGTAATCTGCACTTTTCAGGCTCACATTTAAGGCAGAAATATACTTAAATAGTAACCATTCTAAACAGCATAAGCAGAGAGATGCTTTCTGGATCAAGACTATCTGAAAAATCACTTTATTGAAGGCAGATAATACGCTCAATACAGACTTATCATCATGTGAGCATTGCAGTAGTAATATCTTTCCTGGATTTGGCTTCCAACTCCTCTCCCTACTTCGCACTATGACTTTTTTATTTTTAAAGATCGTATATTATAGGCTTAACACAAACAGAACACTATCATGTATATAGTTATCAAATCCAGGAGTACAAAACAAGTACTTAATCATGTTCTTAAGGGTTACTTTATTCTTGCTCACTGGAATTCCTCATAGAGTCATAGTTTGTCAAGGCTACCCACTGAAATAACCTGGAGAGTTCTTATTTGTTTCCAGTCACTTGGACATTTAGTACAGGAAATGGTAATTTGACCACGTCCTATCTAGGTTCATGGAAGTTCTACAGCCATTTCAAAGAGGAGAGATAGAACTGGTAATATGGTGGCCTTTGAGATCAAAATATGAAATGTTGATTCTAATTATATCCACCTATTTCAATACATTTTCACTTTAAAAAATGAAGATCTGGTCCCTATGGTGAAAATCTTGTTATTTTAAATTCAAACAAAGCCTGATATTTACTGCTTATGTTTAGTATGCTAATATACAGTCATGTGTGGTAATGGACAGAAAATTGCAAGCATCCTGGTCCACCTTACATGTTAGGGGCCTCAGATCCTGTGCCTGAGTCATTGAAATACTCCAATATTGAACCATAAACACTTAAACAAAATTAAATATCTTCTAGGGACAGAAGATTTTTTGGTTAAAAGCAGGACCTAAACAATCTTGGATCTTGAATCCAGCTCTTAATAATTTGTGCTCTTAGACAACTTATTTAACTTATTTAACTGTTTATAAAAGTGAAGATAATAAAACTATCAATGCAATAGGTTTATTGTGATGATTAGAAGAGAAAATACGCATGGAAGCATGACATAGAGCCTTACAACTGTAATAAATTTTTAGGAGAAATCATTATCACAATTTCCAGGCAATCAGAAGAACATAATCCAGAGCATAATGTCAAATATTTTCTTCCTTTGGTATATAGAGGAACACGTCACAAACACCACACACACATACACACACACACACACATATATCTAAAGATTGAATTTGATTTTCCCAGACAAATAAAATTTGGGAAAATCTTTGGTTAGATGGCTTGGTTATGCACACAAACAAAACAGAAAGAAGAAAATATGTCATTGTTTGAGAAGGGGTTTTGTTTTCAAATTCTTTCAAAGAAGGTCATCAAGCCAATATTCAGTTCCAGAACTAAATTAAGTAAAACTTTTCCAGTAGCACTGACTGCTCCCATTTTAATGATGAAGCTTGCTGATACAACATTTTGGAAATGATAACTCTCCCAGAGTCAGAAAGACAGGAAATGCAAAGTGCTGGGAACCTCCTCAAAATGCTAATTCATTAATATTTGCTGGATGCTTTTCTAAAATCAGTAGTTAGCCATATGGGTTTGAATAAATTTCCTAATTCTCTTCAGCTTTTTATTCCTTAATTCTTTGTCATTAATTTTCCTTAAGTTTGGCATTGTTCTCTGTTAATTCTCACTAAGAGAACCTGATCTTTATTCAAATCTCATCCAGCTGCCCAACATTACCACAAGAGAGTGATAAAAGTGCACTTTGAAGACTGGGTAAAATTTTTCTTTGCAGAGAGAAAAAGAAGAGGTGAGAAATCTCACCATGGCTAATGTTGATATGAAATGAAAACAGTGGCAGGTAGTGGTATTTGTACACACAAATGATGAAACAATGTTTAGGTTAAAATTATGCTGATTTTTTTGTTTTTGATTCAACATCACCATCACTGCTTTCAGAATTTTTGCATTAAATGTCAAGAGAGAGGCATTAGTGTGAGACTTGGAAGGTAGAATACCAAGGGACCTCATCAATCTTGACAACATTAGAGGGCCCACATGGGCAGAAGTTGAGATTCACAGTTGGTGTCAGTAGTTGACAACTACTCTCTTGGCTGTTGCAGTCTGAGTTTGCCTTTGAATTTACTAAGATTTTGAATTTACTGAGGGGAAATTTGCTAGATGACCTTGAGACTGACAGTAGCCTCTTCAGTCTCTTGAGAACCACCCACTCTAGTATGCAGGCTGAGATTAGTGGAGGTAAAGTCTTAGGGCTTCCCAGAAGCAGATCTTGAGTCAAGGATTCGAATGAGGTAGTTTAGCAGGTCAGACATCCTAGGAAACACCAAAAGGGAAGTAAAGAAGACAAACTCTCATTTGTTATTGGTTGAGAGCTGCCACTAAAACTCATATTTTTTGTCATATTCGTCCTTCTTTGAGTGTAGGCAGCAAGGATCTGATATAGTAGAGAATTCTCGGGTAGCTGGAAGTCAGCTCTTACTTACTTTTTATATCATAATAAGACTATAGGGTATGCCTTACCATATCTATATTTGTCAAAATCCCATTTATCTTCAATACTACCTCAAATAATCATTGTGAAACCATGCCTAATTTCTCCTATTTGGCATTAATTATGTTTTTAGCTCTATTCCCCTAGCACATCTCTTACAAATTGTTTTAACAAATTGGTCAATCTAGCAGAGTAAAATCAAGCATATATCTGTTGATCATGCTGTCATGTGAACATCTGAAAGTCAGGCACTATGAGACACAGAGTTTTTTCTCTCAAGTCACCTAGCAGAGTCTTTGCATGAAGGACTGAACTTGTTAACTTGGAAGAACTTGACTAGGGAGGGAATCGTATGATCAGGAACCCAGGTCTCAAGACAAACAGACCTGTGCTCTAATCTCTGATCTTCCACTTAATAACTGTATGTCTTAGGCTGGAAATTTACTTCTTTAAGCATCGTTTTTTTAATAAAATCTGTAAAATAAGAATGCTGACCTATATTATAGAGCATTGTAATAATAAAAATACCTTTCTCATGTCATGTTTTCTTGTTCTTATATTGTCTAGTAGGCAGAACCCAGATTAATGGGGAAAGTTAAAGAAATCCTACAAATAAGCAGGAAGATTGAGCATAGGTGATATTTATGTTCTTTTCAACTCTAAAATTCTGTAAAATAATATAATGCATATTTTCCTGGCCTCAACCAGCCTAAAGATAAAATTAGTGTAAATTATATTAATAAAGTTAAATAGTTTCAGAACAATTACTTTGGGTCCAGCTTTATTAGCAATTGTGCAATCTCCAGTCATTTCCCCATTCAAAAAATTCTCTTGGCTATTTCAGGCGTGTGTCCTCCCTAAAGTCTGAAGGTGAGGAACATTGCCTATTGCATTGGTCAGGGTTCTCTCAGAGGGACATATCTTCTATATACATGTATACATATATATGGGGGAGTTTATTAAGTATTAACTTGTACAATCACAAGATCCCACAATAGGCCGTCTGCAAGCTGAGGGGCAAGGAGAGCCAGTCCAAGACCAAAAACTGATGAACTTGGAGTCTGATATTCAAGGGCAGGAAGCATCCAGCTTGGGAGAAAGATATAGGCTGGGGAGGCTAGGCCCATCATCTGCTTTTCATGTTTTTCTGCCGGCTTTATATTTACTGGAAGCTGATTAGATTGTGACCACCATATTAAGGGTGGATCTGCCTTCCCCAGCCCACTGACTCAAATGTTAATCTCTTCGGCAACACCCTCCCAGACACACTGGTATTAATACTTTGTATCCTTCAATCCAATCAAGTTGGCACTCAGTATTAACCATCACACCTTTTTTTGTTAGCAGTGTACCATTAGGATCTAGAATATTGCCTGGAATGTTATAAGTGTTCTAGCCACCTGTACTTGCCACTAAATGAATGAGTACAAGAGGTTGGTATGTGTGCACACACATGTGAATTCAGGTGTTTAATATATATTTGGGCATTTGAATATATTTTACCCAATTACTAAATTTGCTACTAAAGATATCACTCCTTCTTATAAAGGCAAAGATATCTGAGTCTAAACTCACTTCACATTTTCTAAAACTTTGAAGGATGCTATGAAACTATAGAACAGTCCTTGAAAATAATGTGGGAACAGTTCCATTTGAGCAGGAAGTAGAGTTAGGACAATGCCAATAAGAAGCATTAACCAGAAGTATCATAATTTATGGTCTGACATAGCAGATGCACATTTAAATGGGATTTTTGGTATTGAGTTGTCAGGTTAGACAAGATATATAAATCCTCTTTGGATTCTAGCATTCTCTAATTCTAAGTGTATAATGTGGTCATTGAAAATTACTAAATAGGGTGGGGTGCGGTGGCTCACACTTGTAATCCCAGTACTTTGGGAGGCTGAGGTGGGCGAATCACTTGCGGTGAGGAGTTCGAGACCAGACTGGCCAACATGGCAAAACCCCGTCTCTATTAAAAATACAAGAATTAGCTGGGCATGGTAGTGCACGCCTGTAATCCAAGCTGCTAGGGAGGCTGAAGCAGGAGAATCTCTTGAACCCAGGGGGCGGAGGTTTCAATGAGCCAAGTTCATGCTACTGTATTCCAGCCTGGGCGACAGAATGAGACAGCCTCAGGAAAAAAAAAATAAATAAAAATTATGAAATAGATTGTTTAGGAACCTAATGAACTTAGATAAATTTAGTGAAAGAAAAGTACTCAACATTTTAATGAAAATCTAGCAATTTAAGGGTTAAAATTGTGCCTTGGGAAGTTCAGAGGAGTGGTTAAAAAAAATTGAGATTGAGTATTGGGTATGGCCTCGGGTGGTATCCTGCTTCTGGCATTTGTCAGCTAAGATATTTTTGAACAATGTAGCCACCCAAAGACTCACTTTTATGACATGTAAATTATGAATAATGCTTACTTCACATTGTTGTAAAGATTAAAAATTATAATGTGTGGTAATATTTCATGAAACCTCTGAAACATAAAAATGCTCCATAGTTGGTACAGTTTTATGTTTTATTTTGTTTGTAATCAGAGCCTTAGACTGAAATATCATGCAAAATATGCTAATTTTGGCCATTAAGATGCTATCAAGGGATCTTTGTTGTGCATCTTTTGATCCAGTAGATGAAATAAAATAGATTTCTACAACTCCTTATAGTCCACAAAATTAATTTGAATCTAGCAGATCAGAAAGCAGATTGCTTTAATTAAGGCAGAACATTTAAAGCAGTGCCTGGATCATAATAAGAAATCTCTGTTTGCTATCCCCATCATTAAAATAACATATATCATGTTTGACCTCTTGACACAGATTTTTCTAAGTAATTTATTCCATAATCTTTTTTATTTTGAAGAATGGTTATTTCTTTCAAATATGCATACTAACTTACCAAAAATAAATTTGTAAATATGTCTAAAGAAAAAATTTTTAAAAATCTGTAATACCAGCACCCCAAGACATTCCCTTCTACTATGCTAGAATTTTCCTCTTGTTCCCTTCATGTATTAATTCATTTGTTTATGTTAATTAGCCTTTTATTTTAAAAAGGCATATTTACACAGGTCCACTTCCATTTTTACCAGCTTTTATTCTATAAAAATTTTTTTGTTTTGTTTTTGATAAAAGCAATATTTTTATAAGGCTTGCAGAGTATTCCACACTTTATTTAATCCACCCTATCATCGAAACAGTAAGTTGTTTTCAATTGTTTGTTATAATAAATTCACTGCTGTTATGGTATCATTGGACATAAATCATTGCTGCATATCTAATTATGTCTTCAGGGTGAATTATATAAAATATAATTACTAGAGCAATGAATATGAATGTTTTCAAATCTCATGTTTCACCTTATTAAATTTCTCTCTAGAAAGGTTATTAAATTTCTGTCTAGAACCCTAGTGGCTCCCTATTTCAATCAAAGTAAGAGCCAAAATTCCTATAAGGGCTACATACGTGGCCCACTATTTAAGCTCTGACCTCTCTTTCACTACTTTCTTCCTCATTTATTCCGCTGTGAACACACTTGGCCTCCTGGCTGCTGTTTTTATGCAACATTCATGTTCTAGCCTCTTAGTTCCCTCTTGTAAATTATTCTTCTCTCAGCTACCTGCTTGGAGTCTACCATATTTCTGACAATGTTTTCCTCAAAATTCACTTCTTCAATGACGTCCAGCCTTATTACCTTCTTTCTTCTGCAACTTCCACCCTCAAACTCCTGACTTTAACCATTTATTGTGATATTTTAAATTTTTCTCTCTTCTCACTCTGGACGCTACATACGTAGGTATCTTTAACTGTTTTCTGCACTGATGTATTCCAGTTATAGTTATCTATAGTAATGCCTCATGCATCATAGGTGCTAAATATTTGTTGAATAAATGAACATACTGACTATCACTACCAGCAACTATTACGAGTTTGTCTATTATGCAACACTCCCACAAACAGTGTGTGTTTTCTTCTGGCTCTTCCATAGTGATCATATTCTCTCCCCATTTGCCCTGTTGTATCACTCTTACTTCTGTATTCTAGGAATTATTGCTAAGTTATCTTACAAATCATCAAACATGTTTCCTCTAAAATTGTTTTTGAAATTTACTGTTTATAATGATTTTTTTAAAAAAAATTTGCATGTGTGTATTGGTTTGTGTGTATCTGTGCATCCATAAATAATTTTATTTTAATAATCCCACATATAAAATGGCTGCCTTTTTATTCCCATTCTCTATTCAACAACATCTCTTTTTAAAAAACCTTAGTTCATTTTTGTCAAAATTTGAGATTTATAAAGTTCTTAATTCATTTAATTATATTCCAGAACCAAAGCAAATGTATTTTTAATATTTTTGTTACTGATATTTATAATATTTAAAGTATGCTCTGTTCCTTGAGTATTTTTTTTCTGTGACTTGAGTACATAATCATTTTATGGTCAGTTTTTGGTTCTGTATTTCTGTTTACACATCTTTGAATAAAAAGAGATTCAGTCATTCATAGTACTTGGCCATAAACTAGCATTTTCCTTCATTTCTATTCCTGTTTACTGGTTGAGTATCAGTGTTTCCTCTCAGGACTTAAGCTAGAGAGCCAGCAGATGTATTAATATGTAGCTTTTCAGGAAAAAAAATTGTGTCTAGTTTATCAAATGTGGCTTAACAGAATTAAGGGAAGGGATCATCAGCTCTCTCTGGATTGAATTAAGAAAAGTGAAAATTATTTGTCAGTAATTGAAAATAGAGTTGGTACTTGATCAACACGGGTTTGAACTGAACATGTCCACTTATATGTGGATTTTCTTCTACCTCTGCCACCCCTGAGACAAGACCAACTCCTCTTCTTCCTCCTCCTACTTGGCCTACTCAACGTGAAGACAATGAGCATGAAGACCTTTATGATAATCCACTTCCACTGAATATTACCCAGAGTTGACCCTCAAACTATGCAGGGGCTAGGGCGTCAACCCACCACACAGTAAAAATGTGTATAATTTCGTCTCTCCCCAAACTTAACTACTAATAGCCTACTGCTGACCAGAAGCCTTACAAATAACATAAACATATTTTTGTATATGTATTACGTACCTTATTTTTACAATAAAGTAACTTAGAAAAAAGAAAATATTACAAAGAAAATTGCAAGGAAGAGGAAACATATTTACTATTCATTAAATGGAAGTGTATCATCATAGAGGTCTTCATCTTCAACATCTTCACATCGTGTAGGCTAAGGAGTGGGAGTGAGAGGTAAGACTGGCTTTGCTGTCTCAGGAGTGGCAGAAGAGGTAAAGAAGGTGAAGATGAGGCAGAAGAGTTCCCCGTTAACACCCTGTTAACTTTTTTTTTTTTTTTTTTTTGAGATGGAGTCTCGCTCTGTTGCCCAGACTTGCTCTGTTGCCACTGCAAGGTCCGCCTTGTGGGTTCATGCCAGTCTCCTGCCTCAGCCTCACGAGTAGCTGGGACTACAGGCGCCTGCCACCACACTCAGCTAGTTTTTTGTTTTTGTTTTTGTTTTTGTTTTTGGTATTTTTAGTAGAGACGAGGTTTCACCGTGTTAGCCAGGATGCTCTCGTGACCTCGTGATCCGCCCGCCTAGGCCTCCCAAAGTGCTGGAATTACAGGTGTGAGCCTCTGTGCCCGGTCACCCCGTTGACTTTTATTGAAAAAAATCCAGGCTGGGCTTAGTGGCTGACATCTGTAATCCCAAAACTTTGGGAGGCTGAGGCAGGAAGATTGCTTGAAGCCAGAAATTTGAGACTAGCCCGGGCCACGTAGTGAGACCTTGTCTCTACAAAATATTTATTTAAAAAAATTAGTTGGGTATAGCAATGCATACCTGTAGACCCAGCTACTTGAGAGTTGGAGGTAGGAGAATTGCTTGAGCAGGAAGTTTGAGGCTGCAGTGCACCATGATCACACCACTCCACTCCAGCCTAGGCAAACACAGTGAGAACCCAACTCAAAAAAGAAAAAAATGCACTCATGAGTGGTGGCACACAGTTCAAATCCATGTTCTTCAAGGGTCAACAGTATATGTTCTCTTTCTTACAATTTTCTTAATAACATTTTATTTTCATTTGCTTACTTTAAGAATACAGTACAAAATACTTGTAACATACTAATATGTGTTAATCAACTATTTATGTTATTGATAAGGCTTCTGGCCAAGAATAGGCTGTAGTTAAGATATGGGGGAGTCTAAAGTTATATGCAGATTTTTGACTGCATGGTGGGGGAGCAGTACCCCTAACCCTTCTGTTTTTCGAGGGTCAACTGTAATGCTTAATTTTCCTCTGGCCAGAAAGCCAGAGAAAAAATCTAAAATTTCAAAACTAAAATTTGAAGACAGTACCATCCCCATTACTTTTTCTGTCACAAATTATTCCTTGCTTGATTTCAAATTCTAGAATAAGAGGGCTAGCATCTATTTACACATTTCTTTATTACATTACTAGAAACAGAATAAACAAATGCCTTAAGGGATTAAAATCATGACAACTAGTTTTCTTGGTGGAGATCTTGATTTCTAAAATCCAAAAATAAAATGCAAAGATGTCTTCTCATCTCCTTCCCCAAATTTTATTTCCTTTGGAACAAAATTTTGTTTTAGCTTCAATCACCAGTGGTGATTTTCATTTCATATCTTCAAACTCATCATTACAGAAAATTGTGTTTGATTCTGTTTTCATGGTTGTATGTTTTAATTTTATAATGAGATTTTTAGTTTTTATTTTGTAGAATATATTCTGCTAGTCAGATGTTATCTTTAAGAGGGCAACATTGAATTTTATTTCTGCTTTTTAAATGGTCTAGCCCAGCATTCTTGTATTATAACAGTATTTTTAAAAATCTGAGCATTGTATTTTCAAAAACTTTCATTTTTGCATCTCATGCTGTTTTTTTCTGCATTTCACCCTGTACTCTCATCTTTATGAAATTTTCTTCCATATTAAATTCCCTTCTATATTAAAAGGGATTCTTAGTAATCTTCTAAACTATTGATTGAGTTATAATAAATTATGGTGAGAGGAATATTAGTACTCTTTTCTGATGGGGAGGCAACTGGCAGAAACTCAAATGCCAGGGACTCTGTTAGTATGCCTTCAAATCCCATTTACTAAGCCAGTGCACCCCTACTTCAGCTAGTGATAGTTGTGAGTTTGGGCTGATAACTGTTCACATCTGCTAGTTCTGTAGGTTATTGTCTTTAAAAATGATCATATTGGGAGGATTTGTCTCCAAACCACCACCGTGCAGTAAAGGCAGAGACAACCTGCATTTAATGATTAACTAACACTAGGAAACAAGATGCTAGACCCTTGCCTAAAGGTGGCAATGCCTTATACAGATCTCACTCATGTTTCCTTAGATCTGTTCCTCCGTGTCCATTGCTACAAGTAGAAATAAAACTGATTGTGTCATATTGACTTTGTATTTAGTAGCATTGCTAAACTCAGATAAGTACATACATGGATATATATTTATAAGTATATATCTGTATACATACATAATATTCTAAATACACAATGATTTTGTCTATTAATGATAAACATTTTACTCCTCCTTGCAAAATTCTTATAAAATTCATTCGTTTGTTTTGTTTTGTTTTTATTGCTCTAGCCAGAAAGACTTCTATCAAAATGCTAAATAGAAGCCATGACCACAGATGTCCTGTCAAATTGTTTATCTTTGGACAAGAGTTTGTCATATTTCACTACTAAATATTATAATTGCTCTAAACTTTAAATTAATTTTCACTGGTTAACAAATTTTCATTTTATTTCCAGTTTGCTAAAAAATTTTAGTATGAATGACTGTTGAATTTTTATCAATTTCTTTTTGTATCAATCAACATGAACGTATGATTCATCTTGTATATTCTACTAATGTGGTGACTTACAATGATATATTTCCAAATAATAAACCAATTTAACATATTTGGAAAGTCCAATTTATTTGTGATATATAATTTTACATACAATATATTGCTGGATCCAATTTTCTAATAATGTATTCAGGATTTTTTATTTCATTTTTTGAGATAGATAGGTCTGTAGTTTTCCTTTATTGTTTATCCTCATCTGTTTTTCCAATCTATGGCTCTTTCTCTCAAAAAATTTATTGGTATATGTTCCATCTTTATTTTCTGCAATTTCATGTATTATTGGTGTTATTTCTTCCTTAATTATTTGGAAGAATTTGCAGGTGAAACCACCTAATACAGGAGTTTCCTTTGTTGAAAGGCTGTAGATTGTGATTATAGCTTTAATGAAGATAGAGCTATTTACATTTTCTATTTCTTTTGTGTCAATTTTGAGAAATTTTATTTTTTCTAGAAATTTTTCTATTTCCACTCAATTTCCAAATTTTGGGATGAAGTAGTCTATAATATTCTCTTATTGATTTGTTATAAATCTTTCAACTACTCCTTTAGTGGCTGCCGTAACATGAGTAAAATGCTAATATTATAAATACTAGCATAAAATGCAAATAAGAACCTACTTTAAATTAGTATTTTTCTCAATTCTTAGCCATGCAAACATAATCTTTGTACTGTTATTCATGAATTTTATTTTACATTTATTCTACCTTCAAAATCATTGTTGCTTTAAACATTTTATTTGTGTATATATAGATATATGTTTTGCTTCTATATTTACTTTTACCAGCACTCTTCACTTACTATACTACTATGTTCCTGTGTGGGATTAGTTTTATTCTGCCTTAAGTATTTCCTTTAATAATTCCTTTATTATGAATCTGTCAGTCAAAAACCTAGTTTTGTGGGGTTTTCTTGGTAGGAGCAGGCAAGGATGGCCATTTTACCTTCATTTTCAAAAATATTTCCACTATATATTTAATATTAGCATATTACAAGTATTCTTTACTTTAGTACTATAAAAATGCCATTATCTTATCTTCTGACTTCCACTGTTTATAGTGAAAAGTTACACATGAGTTTTAGTGTTTTGAAGCTAGAGTATCTTCTATCTCTGGATGCTCTTTTCTTGCCTTTGGTTTTCACCAGTTTTACTATGACGGACCTAAGCATGGTTATTCATTGAAGTTTTTCTGTTTTGGTTAGCAAACTTCTTGAATCTCTGAGTTGAAATATCTCATTAGTTAGTATCATTATCTTCTTGATATTGCTTCTGACCCACTTACTGTTTATTTCTTCCTTACTGAGACTCAAATTACATTTAAGTTAAAACTTTTTACTGGGATCTACATAAGTTTTACTCTCATTTTTCTAATTTGTATCTTTTTTTCTCATGTATGTTCCAAGCTGGGTTTTTCTTTTTACCAACATAACTCCCAGTTCACTAATTATTTGTTCTATAAATGTGCTAAATCTATCCAATTCTTAATTTCAGTTATTCTGCTTTTCAATTTCATTACCTTTAGATTTATTTTTAATATATTCAATTTCTCTGATAAAATTCTTTCCCATATATTCTCTCAAACATATTTATTACAATTATTTTACATTATTTTGTTTCTATTTCTCTTATTTCCTTTTTAAAAAACTTTGATTTTAAGTTCAGGGATATAAGTGTGTCATGGGGTTTGTTGTACAGATTATTCCAACTCCCAAGTAAGCATAGTACCCACTATTTTTCCTGATCTGCTCCCTCCTCCTACCCACATATTAATCATAATTATTTTATTATATTTCTATTTATTTTATTTTTCTTTTTTTAAACTTTTAAGTTCTGGGGTACAAGTGCTGGTTTGTGACATAGGTAAACGTGTCACAGGTGTTTGTTGTACAGATTATTTCATCATCCAGGTAAGCCTGCTACCCATTAATTATTTTTCCTGATCCTCTCCCTCCTCCTACCCTCTATCCTTTGAAAGGCCCCAGTGCATGTTGTTCTCCTTTATGTGTCCATGTGTTCTCATTATTTAGCGCCCACTTATAAGTGAGAACAGTCAGTATTTGGTTTTCTGTTTCTGTATTAGTTTGCTAATAATAATGGCCCCAGCTCCATCCATGTCCCTGCAAAGGACATGATCTTGTTTTCTTTTTTTGTGGCTACATAGTATTCCATGGTGTATATGTTCCACATTTTCTTTATTCAGTCTATCATTGATGGGCACTTACGTTGATACAGTGTCTTTGCTATTGTAATTGCAGTTAAAGTCTGTAGATGATGTATTAGTCTGTTTTCATGCAGCTGATAAAGACACACCTGAGACTGGGAAGAAAAAGAGGTTTAATTGGACTTAGAGTTCTACATGGCTGAGGTGGTCTCAGAATCATAGCAGGAGGTGAAAAGTGGATTTTATGTGGTGGCAGAAAGGAAAAATGAGGGAAAATCAAAAGCAGAAACCCCTGATAAACCCATCAGATCTCGTAAGACTTATTCACTAGCACAAGAATAGCACAGGAAAGACAGGCCACCATGATTCAATTACCTCACCTGGAGTCCCTCTCACAACACATGGGAATTCTGGGAGATAAAATTCAAGATGAGATTTGGGTGGGGACACAGAGCCAAACTATGTCATTCTGCCCCTGGCCCCTCCAAATCTCATGTCTTCACATTTCAAAACCAATCATGCCTTTCCAACAGTCCCCCAGAGTTGTAACTCATTTTAGCATTAACCCAAAAGTCCACAGTCCAAAGTCTCATCTGAGACAAGGCAAGTCACTTCTGCCTATGAGCCTGTAAAATCAAAAGCAAGCTAGTTACTTCCTAGGTACAGTGGGGGTACTGGTATTAGGTAAATACAGCCATTCCAAATGGGAGAAATTGGCCAAAACAAAGGGGTTACAGGGCCCATGCAAGTTCAAACTCCAGCAGGGCAGTCAAATTTTAAAGCTCCAAAATGATCTCCTTTGACTCCAAGTCTCACATCCAGGTCACAATGATGCAAGAGGTAGGTTCTCATGGTCTTGGGCAGCTCTTCCCCTGAGGCTTTGCAGAGTACAGCCTCCCTCCTGGCTGCTTTCATGAGCTGGTGTTAAGTGTGGCTTTTCCAGGTGCATGGTGAAAGCCGTCAGTGGATCTTCCATTCTGGGGGTCTGGAGAATGGTGGCTTTCTCCTCACAGCTTCACTGGGCAGTGCCCCAGTAGGGACTCTGTGTGGGGCTCTGACCCCACATTTCCCTTCTGCACTGCCCTAGCAGAGATTCTCCATGAGGGCTCTGCCCCTGCAGCAAACTTTTGCCTGAGCATCCAGGTGTTTCCATATATCTTCTGAAATCTAGGTGGAGATTACCAAACCTCAATTCTTGACTTCCATGCACCCACACACTCAATGCCACATGGAAGCTTGGGGCTTCCACCCTCTGAAGCCACAGCCTTAGCTGTACCTTTGACCCTTTCAGTTATGGCTAGAAAAGCTGGGACACAGAGCACCAAGTCCCTAGGCTGCACACAGCACAGGGGACCCTTGGCCAGGCCCACAAAACCACTTTTTCCTCCTGGGCCTCCAGGGCTGTGATGGGAGGGGCTACCATGAAGGTCTCTGACATGGCCTGGAGATATTCTCCCCATGGTCTTGGGGATTAATATTAGGCACCTTGCTACTTATGCAAATTTCTGCAGCTGGCTTGAATTTCTCCCCAGGAAATGGGTTTTTCTTTTCTATCACAGAGTCAGGCTGCAAATTTTCCAAACTTTTATGTTCTGCTTCCCTTATAAAACTAAATGCCTTTAACAGCACCCAAGTTACATCTTGAATGCTTTGCTGCTTTGAAATGTCTTCAGCCAGATACCCTAAATCATCTCTCTCAAGCGCTCAAAGTTCCACAAATCTCTAAGGCAGGGGCAAAATGCCACCAGTCTCTTTGATAAAACATAGCAAGAGTTGTCTTTGCTCCAGTTCCCAGCAAGTTCCTTATCTCCATCTGAGACCACCTCAACCTGAATTTTATTGTCCATATCTCTATCAGCCATTTTTGGGGCAAAGCCATTCAACAAATTTCTAGGAATTTCCAAACTTTGCCAGATTTTTCTGTCTCCTTCTGAGTCCTTCAAACTGTTCCAACCTCTGCTTGTTACCCAGTTCCAAAGTTGCTTCCACATTTTCAGGTGTCTTTTCAGCAACGTCCCACTCTACTGGTACCAATTTTCTGTATTAGTCTGTTTCAACACTACTGATAAAGACATACCTGAGACTGGGAAGAAAAAGAGGTTTAACTGGACTTACAGTTCCATATGCCTGGGGAGGCCTCAGAATCATGGTGGGAGGTGAAAAGCACTCCTTACATAGTGGTGGCAAGAGAAAATGAGGAAGAAGCAAAAGCAGAAATCCCAGATAAACCCATCAAATCTCATGAGACCTATTCAATATCATGAGAATAGCATGGGAAAGACAGAGCCCCATGATTAAATTACCTTCCCTTGGGTCCCTCCCACAACATGTGGGAATTCTTGGAGATACAATTCAAGTTGAGATTTGGGTGGGACATAGCCAAACTATATCAGATAACACAAATATTTGGATTAATTATAGAAGTTAAAATTTTTAATTTAGTTTTTAGCAACATAGATCTATTTTTATTATTCCCGTCAATTGTTATTGAATTTTAGAAATTTATATGAAAAATATCAAGGGTATACATGATGTAGTAAACTAATTTTCTTCCGGTAGCATGAAGACAATGGGCAGCATGATCTTAACCAGTCTATTTCCAATATACCATTACTTCTAAGTCTTTTTTTTCTTGGGTTCATAACTGGAAAGCCTTCCATATATACCAGGACCTTTTTCCTGGGTAGGCTTTCAACTCAAATTTTTTGTCTCTCTAGCACAATAAAACTGCTAAAATATCTGCTTATTTTTAAATTATTGGTTAACTATTTTCAGTAGCTGAGCATCTTGCCCTGCCCATGTTGAACTTAGGAAACAAACAAATGCCTCAAGAAGAAATTGCATCAGAGATTGCAGCTCTGGACAGAACAGCAGGAGGGGGCTCACATTGTGAATTTTACCTCCAGATCAACTGCAAGAACAAATCAGCAATCCTGAGAGGACCCACAGACCCTCTGAAGGAAGTGGACTGCTCCTTCAGGACCCAGGAGACCCTACCAAAATGGCGAGTGCCCCAATGGCAGAAGTGGGAAAGGGAGACCCTCCTCTCCAGAATATACACCCCCACTAGAGAAGCTGACCATCTGTTTGCAGGAGAAGTTTCCAACTTTACTTGGAACTGAGTCAATTCAGAGAGCTGAGCAAAATACAGGGGTAGAGGAGGCAGCAGAATTCCCTGGGAGCTCACTGGGTCCTGTAGCAGGCCATTCCTGCCTGCCACCACAGGGATACAACAGGAGAGGAGCAGGGAGTAAAACTACACAGGGAGAAGGAAATCTCTAGCTGAACTTCATAAAAGTTTTAACCGGGTGAGAAACCTCCTGGCCAGATCTCAGGGGAGGGTGCGATTCTGGTGTGCAGACTCCACAGATTGGGTAAGAACCAAGCCCTTTTCTTTTGCAGCTGGGAGGTGGGTAGCCTGGGGCAGGTTTTCAAGCCCATCTCACTCTCCACCTGGAAATAGACTGGGGTCTGTTGGCGGGTGGGGGGGCAGGCACAGTGGGAGTGAGACTGGCCCTTTGGTTTGCATGGGAGCTGGGTGAGGCCTATGACTGCCAGCTTTCCACTACTTCCTTGATAACCTGCATGACTCCGCAGAGGCAGTCATAATCCTCCTAGGTACGCAACTCCAGTGACCTGGGAATCTCACTCCCATCCCCTACAGTTGCCACAGCAAGACCCACCCAAGGAGAGTCTCAGCTCAGACACGCCTAGCTCTGCCCTCACCTGATGTTCCTTCCCTACACATCCTGGTAGCAGAAGACAAAGGGTATATAATCTTGGGAGTTCTAGAGACCTGCCCACCACCAGTTCCTTCCCATACTACCAAAGGTGATGCTCTCTGGAAAGCACCACCTCCTGGCAGGAGGCCAACCAGCACAAAAAATAGGGCATTAAACCACCAAAGCTAAGAACCCCCATGTAGCCCACTGCACCCCCCTGCCACACCACTGGAACAGGTGCTGGTATCCATGGCTGAGAGACCCACAGATAGTTCACATCACAGAGCACTGTGACAACCCACAGCACCAGCCCGGAGCCGGGAGACCCAGAAGAGAGACAACAACCATTGCAGTTTGGCTCACAGGAACTCACATCCATAGGAAAAGGGGGAGAGTACTACATCAAGGGAACATCCCATGGGACAAAAGAAACAGAATAACAGCCTTGAGCCCTAGACCTTCCCTCTGACACAGCCTACCCAAATAAGAAGGAACCAGACAAATGACCCTGGTAACGTGACAAAACAAGGCTCATCAACACCCCCCAAAAATCACACTGGTTCATCAGCAATGAATCCAAAATAAGAAGAAATCCCAGATTTGCCTGAAAAAGAATTCATGAGGTTAGTTATTAAGCTAATCAGGGAGGGACCAGAGAAAGGCATAGCCCAATACAAGGAAACCCAAAATATGATACAAGAAGTGAAGGAAAAAATATTCAAGGAAATAGAAAGCTTACAGGAAAAAAAAAACACTCTAAAATTCAGGAAACGTTGGACACACTTTTAGAAATGCAAAATGCTCTGGAAATTCTCAGCAATAGAATTGAACAAGTAGAAGAAAGAAATTCAGAGCTTACAGAGAAGGTCTTCAAATTAACCCAATCCAACAAAGACAAAGAAAAAAGAATAAGAAAGTATGAACAAGCCTCCAAGAAGTCTAGGATTATGTTAAATGACAAAACCTAAGAATAACCAGTGTTCCTGAGGAAGAAGAGAATTCTAAAAACATATGTGGGAGAATAATTGAGGAAAACTTCAATGGCCTTGCCAGAGACCTTGACATCCCAATACAAGAAGCATAAAAAACACCTGGGAAATTAATTGCAAAAAGATCTTCACCTAGGCACATTGTCACCAGGTTGTCCAAAGTTAAGACGAAGGAAAGAATCTTAAGTGCTGTGAGACAGAGCACCAAGTAACCAATACGGGAAAACCTATCAGATTAACAGCAGATTTCTCAGCAGAAACCCTACAAGCTAGAAAGGATTGGGGCCCTATCTTTAGCCTCCTCAACAACACAATTATAAGTCAAGAATTTTGTAACCAGCAAAACTAAGCATCATGTATGAAGGAAAGATACAGCCTTTTTCAGACAAACAAATGCTGAGAGAATTCACCATTACTAAGCCACCACTATGAGAACTGCAAAAAGAGCTCTAAATCTTAAAACAAATCCTGGTACCACATCAAAACAAGACTTCTTTAAAGCATACATCACACAGGACCTATACAACAAAAATACAAGTTAAATAGCAAAAACCAAACAAAAAAACAAAGTACACAGGCAACAAAGAGCACGATGAATGCAATGGTACCTCACATTTCAATACTAACATTGAATGTAAATGACCTAAATGCTCCACTTAAAAGATACAGAACTGCAAAATGGATAAGAACTCACCAACCAACTGTCTGCTGCCTTCAGGAGACTCACCTAGCACATACAGACTCACATAAACTTAAAGGGATGAAAACAGGAATTTCATGCAAATAAACACCAAAAGCAAGCAGGGGTAGCTATTTTTATATCAGACAAAACAAACTTTAAAGCAACAGCAGTTAAAAGAGACAAAGAGGGACATTATATAATGTTAAAAGGCCTTGTCTGACAGGAAAATATCACAATACTAAACATATATACACCTAAAACTGGAGGTCCCAAATTTATTAAACAATTACTAATAGACCTAAGAAATGAGATAGACAGCAGCACAATAATAGTGGAGGACTTCAGTACTCCACTGAAAGCACTAGAAAGAGACACAATGATAGTGAGGGACTTCAATACTCCACTGACAGCACTAGATAGGTCAAGACAGAAAGTCAACAAAGAAACAATGGATTTAAACTATACCTTGGAACAAATGGACTTAACAGATATGTACAGAACATTTCATCCAACAACCACAGAGTACACATTCTATTCAACAGCACAGAGAACTTTCTCCAAGATAGACCATATAATAGGCCATAAAACAAGCCTCAATAAGTATAAGAAAATTGAAATTATATCAAGGACTCTCTAAGACCACAGTGGCATAAAACTGGAAATCAACTCCAAAAGGAACCTTCAAAACCATGAAAATACACAGGGAAATTAAATAGCTTGCTCCTGAACGAGCACTAGATCAAAAACAAAATCAAGATGGAAATTAAAAAATTCTTCTAACTGAACAATAATGATGCAACCTATCAAAACATCTGGGATACAGCAAAGGCGGTGCTAAGAGAAAAGTTCATTGCCCTAAATGCCTACATTAAAAAGACTGAAAGAGCACAAACAGACACTCTAAGGTCACACCTCAAGGAACTAGAGGTAACAAGAACAAACCAAACTCAAACCCAGCAGAAAAAAGGAAATAACCAAGATCAGAGCAGAACTAAATAAAATTGAAAAAAACAAAAATACAAAAGATAAATGAAACAAAAAGCTGATTATTTGAAAAGATAAATAAAATTGTTAGAACATTAGCAAGATTAACCAAGAAAAGAAGAGAGAGAGAAAATCCAAATAACCTCACTAAGAAACAAAACAGGAGATATTATAACTGACACCACTGAAATAAAAAGATCATTCAAGGCTACTATGAACACGTTTATACATATAAACTAGAAAAACTAGAAGAGATGGATAAATTCCTGGAAAAAATACTGCCCTTCTAGTTTAAGTTAGGAAGAATTAGATACCCTGAACAGACCAATAACAAGCAGCAAGGTCGAAATGGTAATTAAAAATTACCAACAACAAAATGTCCAGGACCACAGGGATTCACAGCAGAATTCTACCAGACATTTAAAGAAGAATTGGAACCAATCCTTTTGACACAATTCCACAAGATAGAGAAAGAAGGAACCTTCCCTAATTCATTCTATGAAGCCAGCACCACTCTAATACCAAAACTAGGAAAGGGCAAAATCACAAAACAAAACTACAGATTGATATCTTTGATGAACATAGATGCCAAAATCCTTAGCAACATACTAGCTAACCAAATCCTGCAATATATCAAAAAGATAACCCACCATGATCAAATAGTTTTCATACCAGGGATGCAGGGATGGTTTAACATATGCAAATCCATAAATATGATACACCACATAAACAGGAATAAAAAACAAAAAATCACATGATCATTTCAAAAGATGCAGCAAAATTATTCAACAAAATCCAGCATCTCTTTATGAATAAAACTCTCAGCAAAATTGTCATACAAGGGGCATACCTTAATGTAATAAAAGCCATCTATGACAAATCCACAGCCAACATAACACTGAATGAGGAAAGGTTGAAAGCATTCCCTCGGAGAATGGGAATAAGACAAAGATGCCCCTTCTCATCACTCCTCTTCAACATAGTACTGGAAGTTGTAGCCAGAGCAATCAGACAAGAGAAAGAAATAAAGAACATCTAAATCGGTAAAGAGGAAGTCAAACTGTCACTATTTGGTGATGATATATTCGTTTACCTTGAAAATCCTAAAGACTCCTCCAGAAAGCTCCTACCTACCCAAGGAGTTGAAAGACCCCTACAAGGAAAACTACCAAGCATTGCTGAAAGAAATCATAGATGACAAGAACAAATGGAAACATCCCATGCTCATGGATGGGTAGAAACAATATTGTAAAAATGACCATACTGCCAAAAGCAGTCTACAAATTCAACGCAATACCCATCAAAATACCACCATTATTCTTCACAGAATTAGAAAATGCAATTCTAAAATTCATATGGAACCAAAAAAGAACCCACATAGCCAAAACAAGACTAAGCAAAAGGAACAAATCTGGAGGCATCACACTACCTGATTTCAAACTATACTATAAAGTCCTAGGCACCCAAACAGCATGGTACTGGTACAAAAATAGGCACATAGACCAATGGAACAGATTAGAGAACCCAGAACACAGCCAACTGATTTTTGACAAAGCAAACAAAAACATAAAGTGGGGAAAGGACACCCTTTTCAACAAATGCTGCTGGGATAATTGGCTAGCCACATGTAGGAGAATGAAACTTGATCCTCATCTCTCACCTTATACAAAAATCAACTCAAGATGGATTAAGGACTTCAACCTAACACCTGAAACTATAACAATTCTAGAAGATAACATTGGAAAAACTCTTGTAGACATTGACTTAGGCAAGGAATTCATGACCAAGAACCCAAAAGCAAATGCAATAAAAACAAACATAAATAGCTGGGACCTAATTAAACTAAAGAGCTTATGCATGGCAAAAGGAACAGTCAGCAGAGTAAACAGACAACCCACAGAATGGGAGAAAATCTTCAGAATCTATACATCTGACAAAAGACTAATATCCAGAATCTACAACAAACTCAAAGAAAGCAGTAAGAAAAAAAAAATCTCATTAAAAAGTGGACTAAGGACATCAATAGACAATTCTCAAAAGAAGATATACAAATGGCCAACAAACATGAAAAAAAATGTTTTTTTCCCTGATCACCAATGGTCAGGGAAATGCAAATCAAAACCACAATATAATACCACCTCACTGCTTGTAAGAATGGCCATAATCAAAAAACAGTAGATGTTGGTGTGGATGCAGTGAACAGGGAACACTTCTATGCTGCTGGTGGAAATGTAAACTAGTACAGCCACTATGGAAAATAGTGTGGAGATTCCTTAAAGAACTAAAAGTAGAACTACCATTCAATCAAGCAATCCCACTACTGGGTATCTACCCAGAGGAAAAGAAGTCATTATTCAAAAAAGATACTTGCACACGCATGTTTATAGCAAAACAATTCACAATTGCAAAATTGTGGAACCAACCCAAATGCCCATCAATCAATGAGTGGATAAAGAAACTGTAGTATATACATACGATGAACTACTACACAGCCATAAAAATAAATTAACAGCATTTGAAGTGACCTGGATGAGAATAGAGACTCGGGAATGGAAAACCAAACATCGTGTGTTCTCACTGATATGGGGAGCCAAGCTATGAGGACGCAAAGTCATAAGAATGATACAATGGGCTTTGAGGACTTGGGGGAAAGAGTGGGAGGGAGGTGAGGGATAAAAAACTACAAATATGGTGCGCGGGTGATGGATGCATCAAAATCTCACAAATCACCACTAAAGAATTTACTCATGTAACCAAATACCACCTGTACCCCAATGACTTATGGAAAAATTTTAAAAAAGAAAAATAAATTTCATTAAAATTCATAGATTACTTATTTGTGTTTCTCTTTTTTTGGTCCTTCAAGTTATAAATGCTTTAGCAGCCTTAAATTCAAATTTTAGTTTCACTTGTTCAGTGAAACCACTGCAGTATCTGGATCACTATTTTCTGTTCGGCCTCTATTTATCACTATTAAAAACAAATTCCCTGAGGAGAAAATTTTGGCATAAATACATAGTTGCTCACAATGTGTTTACATTATCTCTGACTGTATCTGGCATTGTGATTCCTCAAGCCCTAGCTATAGTCTGCTCTCCAATATATTCAAACATATGCTTTTTCCCTTAAACTTTATCCAGTTTTGATAGTTGTTCTTAGAATGAAGGATAGCTTAATATTACCTACCTCACTATAACAGGAATAGAAAATAATCATGCAAACAGTTAATTATGAAGGTGAGATTCAAACGAGTGGTTTGATTTTGTTTGTTTGGTTACACATATATATGTGTATACATACATATGTATGTGTGTATGTGTGTATATATACATATGTGTGTTTATATACATATGTGTGTTTATATATACTCATATATAATGTATGTATATGTGTATATACATACGTTCGTATATATGTGTATACACACATGTATGCATGTACATGCACATGTATATATACACATATGCACATGCATATGTGTGTATACACATATATATACATACATACACATGTATAAACACACACACAAATGTAAATATATACACACAATCATAAATTGAGCTATTTACATTAAGAATGTTTATTCTTTCATAAGACTTGATAATGGAGATTTGTTATAAACAAAACTGTCAATTGTTAAGTAAACAAAAAGGTTCAGAGAGTGTGCTCACCTTAAACACACATACAGTACAGTCTTCTTCACACTAAGCCTCCATATACAATTATTTTTTTTCTTTGTTCATCTCTGGACAGTATTTATTTTTCTTTCCAACTTTTATTTTAGATTCAAGGGATATATGTACAGGTTTATTTCATGGGTAAATTAAGTGACCTGGGGGGTGGTGTACAGATTATTTAGTCGCACAGATAATCAGCATAATACCCAATAGGAAGTTTTTCAATCCTCAGCCTCCTTCCATCTTCCACCCTCCAATAGGTCCCAGTGTCTATTAGTCCCCTCTTTGTGTCCATGTGCATCTTGTCCATGTTTAGCTCCCACTTATAAGTGAGAATATGCAGTATTTGGTTTTCTGTTCACACATTAATTGTCTTAGGATTATGGCCTCCAGCTCCATCCATGATGCTGCAAAAAACATGATCTCATTTTTTATAGCTGCATGGTATTTTATGGTGCATACGTACTTTTTCTTTATCCAGTCTACCACTGATGGACATTTACATTGATTCAACATCTTTGCTGTGATGAACATATGATGGCATGTGTCTTCATGGTAGAACAATTTATATTCCTTTGTGTATATACTCAATAATGGGATTTCTGGGTTGAATGGTAATTCTGCTTAAGTTCTTCAAGAAATCTCCACACTGGTTTCCACAATGACTGAATTAATTTAGATTCTGATTAGTAGTGTATAAGTGTTCCCTTTTGTTTGTGACCTTGAAAACATCTACTTTTGGACTTTTTAATAATAACAATTTTGACTGGTATGAGATGCTATCTCATTGTGGTTTTAATTTGCATTTTCCTAATAATTTGTGATATTGAGCATTTTTTCATGTGCTTATTGGCCACACGTATGTCTTCTTTTAAGAACTGTCTGTTGATATCTTTTGCCCATTTTAATGGGGTTGTTTGGTTTTTGCTTATAGATTTATTTGAATTTCTTACGGATTCTGAGTATTAGACCTTTGTTGAGTGCATTCTTTGCAGATATTTTCTCCCATTCTGTAGGGTGTTTGTTTACTCCACCGATAGTTTATTTTGCTGTGCAGAAGTTCTTTGGTTTAATTAGGTCCCACTAGCTAATTTTTGTTTTTGTTGCAATTGGGTTTGGAGTCTTCCTCATGATGTCTTTGCCTGGGCTGATGTCCAGAATGATATTTCCTAATTTTCCTCTAGGGCCTTTATACTTTTAGATTTTCCATTTAGGTCATTGTTCTGTCTTGAGTTGATTTTTGTATATGGTGAATGGTAGAGGTTCAGTTTCAATCTTCTGCATATGGCAGGACAGTTATCCCAGCAGCATCTATTGAATAGGGAGTCCTTTCCCCATTCCTTGTTTTTGTCAGCTTTGTTGAAGATCAGATGGTTGTAGGTATGTGGCTTGATTTCTGGATTCTCTAACCTGTTCTATTGGTCTATGTGTCTTTTTTTGTACCAATACCATGCTGTGGACTTGTAGTATATTTTGAAGTTGGGCAGTGTGATGCCTCCAGCTTTTTTTCTTTTTGCTTAGGATTCTTTTGGCTATTTGGCCTCTTTTTTTGGTTTCAAATGAATTTTAGAATTTGTTTTCTAATTCTCTAAAATATGTGGTTGGTAGTTTGTTAGAAATAGCTTTCAATCTGTAAATAGCTTTGGGAAGTATGGCCATTTGAACAATATTGATTCTTCCTATCCATGAGCATGAAATGTTTTTCCATTTATCTGTGTTGTCTCTGATTACTTTCAGCAGTATATTGTAATTTTCACTGTAGAAATTTCTCACCTCCTTTATTTAGCTCTATTTCTAGGTATTTTATTCTTTTGTGGATATCGTGAATGGGATTGCAATTTTTATTTGGCTCTCAGGTTGTATGTTATTTGTGTATAGAAATGCTACTTATTTTTGTACATTAATTTTGTATTCTGAAACTATGCTGAAGTTATTTATCAGATCTAAAAGACTTTAGGCAGATACTATGAAGTTTTCTAGGTATACTTTCATAATGTCTGTGAAGAGAGATAGTTTCACTTCCTTTATTCCTATTTGGATGCCTTTTATTTCTTTCTCTTGCCTGTTTGCTCTGGTTAGGACTTCCAGTAATATGTTGAATTAGAGTGATGAGACTGGGCTTCTATGTCTTGTTCCTGTTCTCAAGCGGAATGCTTCTAGCTTTTTCTCATTCAGTATAATGTTGGCTCTGGGTTTTTGTTAGATGGCTCTTATTATTTTGAGGTATGTATCTTTGATACCCAGTTTGTTGAGGGTTTATAACATGAAGGTATATTGAATTTTATTGAAAGACTTTTCTGCATATATTGAAATGATCATGTGGTTTTTGTTTTTAGTTCTGTCTATATGGTGAATCACATTTATTGATTTGGATATGTTGAACCAACCTTGCATCCCAGGGATAAAGCATACTTATTCATGGTGAATTAGCTTTTTGATATGCTGCTGGATTTGGTTTGCTAGTATTTTATTAAGGATTTTTGCCCCTAACTTCATCAGGGATATTAATCTGAAGTTTCCTTTTTCCGTTGTATCTCTGCCAGGTTTTGGCATCAGAATGATGAAGGACTCATAGAATGAGTGAGGAAGGGTTTCTCCTTGATTTTTTTATTTTTGAATAGTAAAATAGTACTAGGTCTTCTTTATATGTTTGGGAGAATATGGCTATGAATCTATCTGGCCCAGGGCTTTTTTATTTTTTATTTTTGGTTGTTATGTTTTTACTAATTCAGTTTCAGAACTCATTGCTGCTCTGTTCAGGGACTCAATTTCTTCATGGTTTAATCTTCAGAGGTTCTGTGTTTCCAGGAATTTATCCATTTCTTCTAGGTTTTCTAGTTCGTGTGCACAGAGGTGTTCACAATAGTTTCTAAGGGATTTTTGTATTTCCGTGGGATCAGTGGCAAGGCACCCTTTGTATTTCCGATTGTGTTTATTTTGTTTTTCTCCATATTTTTCCTTATTAGCCTAACTAGTAGTCTATCAACCTTCATTGTTTCAAAGAACCAACTTTTGTTTTCATTAATCTCTTCTTTTTTCTCATCTCCATTTCATTCAGTTCAGTTCTGATTTTGGATATTTCTTTTCTTCTGTTACCTTTGGACTTAGTTTGCTCTTCTTTTTCAAGTTCCTTCAAGTGGGATGTTAGGTTGTTAATTTGAGATCCTTCTAGCTATTTGATATGGACATTTAGCACTATAAATTCTCTTAACATTGTTTTAGCTATGTTCCAGAGCTTATTGTATGTTGTATCTTTGTTTTCATTAGTTTCAAAGAATTTCTTGACTTCTACATTAATTTCATTGTTTACCCAAAAGTCAGTCAGGAACAGATTAATTTCCATGTAATTGTATGGTTTTAAGATCTCTTCTTGGTATTTATTTATATTTTTATTGCCTTGTGGTCTGAGAATGTGGTTGGTATAATTTCAGTTTTTTTGAATTTGTTGAGAATTGCCTCATGGCCAAGTGTGTGGTCAGTTTTAAAGAATGTGCCACATGCACCTGAGAAGAATGTATAGTCTGTTTTTTGTTGGGTGGAGTGTTCTGTGGATGCCTATAAGGTTCATTTGGTCAAGTGTCAAGTTTAGATCCCAAATATCTTTGTTAGCATTCTGCCTTGATGATCTGTCCAGCTGTCCATGGAGTGTTGAAGTCTCCTACTATTGGTTACCTAAGTCTCTTCATAAGTGTCTTAGAATTTGTTTTATGAATCTGGGTGCTCCAGTGTTGAGTGCATATATATTTAAAATAGTTAAGTTTTCTTGTTGAATTGAACCCTTTATTATTATGTAATACCCTCATTTGTCCTTTTTGATCATATTTGGAAGTAAAATTTACATCTGTGTGGAGACCCTGTGAGCCTCCATGAACTCTACTTACTATAAGGCCCCCAAAAGACTTGACTTAAATATTTTAGTTTTTGCTCTAAGAGAATAATCAAAAAATCAAAATAATTTTACTATAATTTTTACTATATTCTCACTCCCAGAACATTTTTGTTACTTAAACACTTTTGTCTTCATTAATAATAAATTTCTGTTGAAAGTATAGAGTTCAAATGAGTCTATACATCTGTTAAACCAGTATTTTATCTACATTACATGGAATATTAGTATACATTTACTATTTTTTCTACTGTTTTATTATATCTAAAGTAGAGAATTTATATATTATTAATTAAAAGTACTAAATGGAGTTTTGCTATATTTTAAAATATTATTTTGGAGAAACACTGGTCAAATAAACCTGAATACTGAATAGCTAATAAGCTTTTTCATTCCTCTTTCTGAATAAAAAAATGAACAAACAAAGTATAAACAAGTAGGGATCTAATTGGACAAAGATGGAAGATAGTGGCTAAAATTTATATCAAAAATAGTTGTTAAGCAAATACATTTTGATTTACCATCAAAATGTGAATAAAATGTTTATGGGTAGCTTATCAGTAAACCAACAATTTTAAGAGACTAAATTTCATTTTGTATTCAATTATATCATTTGGGTTTCAAAAATTTTAGATTCATAGAATTCTTCAGCTTGAGAGAATATTGAAGATCATCTAGTCTAGGGTTGGCGTAGGTTGTCACTTTGCATGCCAACTCTGCCTCAGTGAAAAAGAGACCAATGATCCTGAAGCAGCATCTATCATCATCATGGAAGAGAGAAATTGAGGCCTGTATGTAACTTTTTTGTTACACTTAGTCAAAAACATCCCCACTCCCCTTTACACACATAGAAACCTTCAGGTAGACAAGTAAATGTTCAGTAGCCCGACAGTTTGATACTTTCTGGAGGAGCCAGAACTAAAACCCAGTTTTCTCCCATGGTATATTTCCCTTGTGTCCTTTTTGGTCTTTGTTACCTAAAACTTATTTTTAGCTAACCCTTTCTATGAGTGAAATAAAATAATTTTCTGTGAAACATAACTAAATTCCTGGGAACTTGATAATGTTATATACAGTAGCTCTAATTCATTCAGGGCTTATTTTCAAGAATGAAATCATTTTAGCCATGCTTCAAACAGTATAAAAATTTACATCTTTAGTAACAATATTGTTCAAAATAGATAGTATTTGCAAGGAGTAGAAATCCTAATTCATCATATATTTTTAAAATGTAATTAAAATAGCTAAAATAGCTGTATAATGATTTTAGTATCTATTTACCTTTTATTTAAAATATTTCCTATGGAAGCCTTTCTTCATCATTTTAATCTATTGAAATGGATTGAAAATGGCTTTGTTGAATGAACTTCAATCCAGTTATATTTTCCTCAATCTGTCCCCCCGAGTACTTGGCTCATCTTTCTACCCATGGCCTCCCCTAAGGTATGCAAGGACCTACTCCCCGTGAATACATTTGTGCAGTCTCTTTCTACATAAACTAGGGATTGAGGCAGAGTTCCTGTTCATCTTGGACTAAAGGTGATTTTTCTCCTCATTAAGATGATAATTTGCTTTGGGATCTGCAATCATTTAACACTAAATTTTACACACCAAAAAATTTAAAATATACTTTTCATTCTTTTTTGTATCCCCAACATTTGGTACAGTGCCTGGAATACAGCAATCATTTAATTATTTATTAAATACTGTCATGTATGTTTAACAATGGGTTACATTCTGAAAATGTATCATTAGGTGATGTCATGGTTATGCAAACATCGTAGAGTATGCTTACACAAATTTAGAGTATTCTTACACAAACACTGTAGAGTATGCTTATACGAACATCCTAGAGTATGTTTACATCATAGAGTATGCTTGCATATAGTTGTGCAAGCATTGTGGAGTATGCTTACACAAACCTATACACACCTAGGTTATATGGTATAGCCTATTGCTCCTAGGCTACACATCTGTACCCCATATTTCGGTACTGAATACTGTAGGCAATTGTTACACAGTGGTATTTGTGTATCTAAACAAGCATAGAAAGGGTACAGTAAAAATACAGTATAAAAGATAAAAAGTGGTACACTTTTATAAGGCACTTACAATGGATGGAGCTTGCAGGAGTGGAAGTTGCTCTGAGTGAGTCAGTGAGTGAGTGATGAGTGAATGTGAAGGTCTGGGACATTACTGTAGATTTATAAACACTGTACACTTAGGCTACACTAAACTTATATACAAAGATTATTTCTTCATTAATAAATTAATCTTAGCTTATTGTAAGTTTTTATAAACTTTTTAAAAAAACTTTTGGCTCTTTTGCAATAACATTTAGCTTAAAACACACATACATTGTACAGCTGTTCGAAAATATTCTTATGTCCTTAATTCTATATGATTTTTGTATTTTCAAATGTTTTATTTTTATTTTTCTTACTTTTTAAGCTTTTAGTTAAAAACGAAGACACAAACACATGCATTAGCCTAGGCCTATACAGTCTCAGGTTCAGGATCATCCATATCACTGTCTTCCATCTCCTCATCTTGTCCCACTGGTCTTCAGGGAAAATGATACTCATGGAGCTATCATTTTGTATGATAACAATGCCTTCTGGAATATCTCCTGAAAGACCTGCCTGAGGCTGTTTTACAGTTGACTTTTTCTGTAAGTAGAAGGAATATGCTCTGAAATAACAATAAAAATTATAGTATAGTAAACACATAAGCCATAAATCAGGAACAGTCATTTATTATCATCTTCAAGTATTATGGATTGTACATAATTGTATATATTATACTTTTATATGATTGGCAGAGCAGTAGGTTAGGTTAAGCCAGCATCACCACATACACATCCATAATGCACTGCACTATGATATTATGAACCTATGGCATCACTAGGCAATAGAAATTTTCAGCTTTGTTATAATCTTCTGGGGACAATATGATATATGTAGTCTGTCATTGAATCAAACATCATTATACAAAGCATGACCATAAATTGTCTCCAAAATTGATAAAATAAACAAGTATCTCAAAATCCCAGTGACATTATGTCATGTTCCTTCCTTCTGAAAGCCTTTATCAAGCTCCCAGCCAAAAATGTATGTTCTTCCCTGAACACTTTACAATGAGGTTATATGTTTTACTTAATACTGATCTCTTTACTTCATTATAATTATTTATTTCATTGTCTTATTTTTCTCAAAAAGACTGTCATCTTCCTAAGGGCAGGACCTGTGTCTCATAATTTATGTATCTGTCTGCCAATGGTTATGCTCAATATTTGGAGCACAATAAATGCCTGTTGAAAGAATAATTAATCACATGGAGAGGTGTGAATTGGAGATAGTATTTTACTTTCTTCAACAAGGTTGTTATGAAGCTCAAATGAAAGCAAAACACCTGTAAAAGTACTTTGTAATAAGTAAAGTACAATACAATTGAAAGAACCAAGATGATTATGATTTGTTTACTGTATATATGGAACAACATAGAGCTTTAAGGATCTTTGGTGCTACCACCATAACTGCTATTCAGAGGCTACTGAATACTTCTTCCAATTCACCATAATGTGTATTAGACATCATTCATCCATCACGAGTGAAGAAAACTACTTTCTCATGGAAATCATACTTGTAATAGGCTTCAGGATTCTTTAGCTAAAAATATTTATGACAACATTTTGAATTAAACTGAGGATTCATGCAAACGTCTATCCATGAAATATTTCTGAAGGTCTGGTATGAACCAGGCAATGTTAGGTGCTAATAGCTAAGGATATATTGATGAACAAAATAGACATGGTCACTGCCCTGAGGGAGTTTATTTTCCAAAATAACTTATCTTTAACAATATAGCTATAGTTTTATGGTTTTGTAACTGGATCTTTGAAAATTTTTTACAATAGGTACTTTAAGCTCCCTCTTATGAGGATTTGGCGAATCTTAAAAAGAAAAATCCCTTCACAAAGATTTCTGTAATCAAGTTTAACCTTTTTGATCCAACAGAATAATGCCCTTGTTACTCAGGGATATGCCATTAACATTACCTGGTTAGTAAACCTTTTGATTCTTGGTATCAAGAGGTCTAATTAATTTAGATGGCTTGGAATCAGTCGATATGTCTGAATATAGCAGAGACAAGTTGTGCACCTTGTCTACCTACACTCTGAGTCTTAGAACTTTGTCTAACTAAATGAGAACTCTGAAATGTTGTGCCCTAAACTAATAAAAGGAGGACACTGACAACTTCTGTAAAACATGTGGTTGATAAAGCAAGACCAACATCTTTCCATTCTGTCTAATAAGAAATATCTTACCTAGTCATCTGACTCAGCAAATCTAATAATCCCCAAATTTCTTATCAGATAGACTGGGTGGTTTTTATATAGGCAGGACTCAACCAGGAAAAGTCATATGTGTGGGGGGGGTGTGTGTATATATATATATCACACAGCTATATTTGTATATAGAGAGAAAGTATATACACATATAGATGTCAATACACACATATATGTATATGATTTAATATACTATGCTATGCTATGATGTTTATTACATATATTTATATCATATAGATACATATTTGACTTAAATAATATATAAAGAGGTTGTGACATGCTGTCTACTCTGTCATCATCCTCTCTTTTTTTTTCACACTGACTGTGCTTTGTAGTGTGACAATGCTTTGCAGGACTCAAAGGAGTTCTGTACATTGATGCTGAGAAATACAGATCTGAGTACTCAACATAGCTCCAAATAAAACAGCCAGAATTCCACATACAGTTACTAAAATAACCCTGTGATAGGAGCTGTCTTGAACCTATTTTACTCATCTTGTAGTCTTTTAGTGAGGCTGTTAATAATGGTGACTTATATATCCACTGACCTGATGACCTATTAGACAGGGGGGGAAAATTATTCTCCATAGACATTAAAACAATAAACATTTAAATTTAGAAGAAAGGATAAAAACCGGTCGCTTCTCTAGGGAAATGGTATCAGCAAGAACTCTGATCTGTGCTTCAAGTCACTGAAAAGCGATTATGGTACATGCTACCATAAAAAACAAATTCTTCTGAAAACTCTCTCTTCTGTAAATTTTTTTTTGACACCATACTCTTCTATATCTTCTCCTACCCCTCATATGACCTGTTCTCAGTCTAGCAGGCTCCTTCCTCTGCCCATTCTAAAATTGTTAGACTTAACTGTATCTTTTTTTTAAAATTTTATCACTTCATACATTCTCACATAACTTTATCCTGTCTAGGAGGTTAATTACTACTCATACTAATAGCTCTTAAATTTTGAGGTCCAGTCAATAATTTTCACAGGAAATTCAGATCTGTATTTTCAAATGCTTACTATCCTTTTACACTTGAATATATTATGAGCACC
This sequence comes from Homo sapiens, assembly GCF_000001405.40. NCBI lineage: Eukaryota > Metazoa > Chordata > Mammalia > Primates > Hominidae > Homo > Homo sapiens. The sequence goes on along the minus strand of NC_000011.10, from coordinate 29,060,574 downwards.
TCTGTCTGAAATATCTAAATTTAAACTCATCTCTCCCACTCGAAACCTGCTTCTTTTCTCACAATTTCTCTCTGTAAATGGAACCACTGATCATTGAATTGCCAAGTCATAACTGAGGCATCCATGTGTACTTCTCTAACCTTATCCAATCCATCAATTCAGACAATTATAACTCTTTAATATTTCTGAAATGCATCTAATTCTATCATTTCTCTTCCTACAACTGTAGCTCTGGTCATCATTATCTTTCATTTGGATCACTATGTGTTAATTTTTATCATCTAGCTCCCCACTAAGTCACTCCACTCATTGGAATAGTCTTCTAAATTGTAAATATACTGAGGCCACACTCCTGCCTAAAATACCTCAACGACTCTCCAGGACCCTCCAGATAATATCTAAGATCTTTCCTCTTATGCTTCCTCATCATGACCTGACCCCTGACGATTTGCCTGGTCTTAGCTTTTGGCCTTCTCCTTAGCGCTGACTTTCCCTTGTGAACTCTAGTAATATTAAATCTCTTGCCTTACCTTGAAAGCACATTCTGACACCATTCTTTGTCTCTGAAACTGTATATATTACCTTCTCTCTGGAAACATTTTTTCCTCTTTGCTTCTTTGTGTGTATTGCTCTTAACTCATTTTTCAGGTAATAATTTAGATACAACTTTAACTGGAAAGTCTCTTCATCTATGTTGAGCCCCAAATCTCCAATTTTTATTTACTCCATCTGTGTTTCCATAGCACCAGTACTTCCCTTATAATTATTCTTTTGTTTTGTTTTGTTTTGTTTTTGAGATGAAGTCTCACTCTATTGCCCAGGCTGGAGTGCAGTGGCATGATCTTGGCTCACTGCAACCTCCACCTGCGAGTCTTCTGCCTCAGCCTCCTGAGTAGCTGGGACTACAGGTGTGCACCCCCATGCCTTGCTAATTTTTGTAGAAACAGGGTTTCACCATGTTGGCCAGGCTTGTCTTGAACTCCTAACCTCAGGTAATAACCCAGCTCAGCCTCCCAGAAGCGCTGGGATTACAGGCGTGAGCCTCCATGCCCTGGGCCCCCTTATAAATTATTCTTATCAACATGCACTACAATTGACTTACCACTTATCTGCCTTCCCCACTGGACTGTTGATTCCATGAAGACTGGGCATATTGCAACATTATTCACCATTATATCTCCAGCACCTAGCATAATGTAGTACATAGTAGGCACTAAAAAAAATTGTTCATTTCCAAATGTTTCTATTATTCCTTATTTACACATAATGGCAGATTTTTACGTTTTATATAAAACATCACCAACATATCCTTATTTTAACCACTGTTCCTCTTTTATCTGATTAGCAAAATGAAATTTTGGCTAAGATTTGATGTAAACAATCACAAAATAAAATTTGTAGTGTTTTCCAGCTAAGAAAAGCTTGTGTATCAGGGTTTTGTCTCTTACTATGCTAAGAATAATATATTCTCTTTTTAGTTACCCTCATCCCTTTTCTTTCTGTACTTTATAGTATACCCACTTGAGTATCTGAGTCCCCTATAGATAGAGTTGACAATTTTTTAATCTTTTCAAATCTTAAAGTGTGCAGCACAGCAGCTTGTATCTACCTTGATCTTAATAAATATTTGTTCAATTTAACTGATGTTTAACACAAAATGGGGGAACTATAAGCCTGAGCTTTCATTTGAGAAGGTACTTAGAGTGAGTCTCCAATTTGACCCTCCAGATATATTCTCACCTTGCCCTGTGTGCGGATAGGTTGACTTTGATGGACTGCATCAAGAAGCTTCCTTGCAACCTGGCTTCTGGTTGGATTGGCAAATAAGAGGCCATGGCAGAAGATCAGAGGCAAGAAAAATAGTAAGATAAATATTTCTATTTCCCTGGATCCTTTCTTGCCGGGATACCACTCACTAAGTTCCAGTAAATACTTCTCCTCTGATTGCTTCAATTCTAAGGGCCCTACTAGTGGCTTACTGTTATAAGCATACACACATCTAGGATATTATACTCTTCATTATTTCCTTAATTACACCCATGTCTTTTTTAATAGAACCTTTATTAGATTCTTCTCAAATTAGTCTTAGTATGATATCTTTTCCTGCCCAAGCCATAATTAATAAATAGCCTTCCCCTATATTCTCTGACATCCCATTCTCAATCTCCAAGAGTATTTGTCCATTTTCACACTGCTATGAAGAAATACCTGAGACTGGGTAATTTATAAAGAAAAATAGGTTTAATGGACTCACAGTTCCACATGACTGGGAAGGCCTCACAATCATGGGAGAAGACAAAGGAGGAGCAAAGGCACATGGCAGCAGGCAAAGGGCATGTGCAGGGGAACGCTTCTTTATAAAACCGTCAGACCTCATGAGACTTATTCACTATCACAAGAACAGCAAGAGAAAAACCCACCCTATGATTCAATTAACTCCCATTGGGTCCCTTCCATGACACATGGGGATTATGGGAGCTACAATTCAAGATGCGATTTTGTGGGGACAGAACCAAACATATCACCAGGTAAATACTGAGCTAACTTGGTCACTGGGGCCTATCAGTGAAAAATTTGGGGCAGTTATCAAGAAGTTTTCACGCTCCTGATAAAGACATACCCAAGACTGGGCAACTTACAAAAGAAATAGAGAGGTTTAAAAAGAAAGAGGTTTAATTGGACTTAAAGTTCCATGTGGCTGGGGGAGCCTCACAATCAAGGTGGAAGGCAAGGAGGAGCAAGTCCCATCTTACATGGAAGGCAGCAGGCAAAGAGAGAATGAGGAAGACACAAAAGCAGAAACCCCTGATAAAACCATTAGATCCCATGGGACGTACTCACTACCATGAGAACAGTATGGGGGAAACTGCCCCTATGATTCAGTCATCTCCCACCAGGTCCCTCCCACAACATGTGGGAATTATGGGAATACAATTCAAGATGATATCTGAGTGGGGACAGAGGCAAATCATATCATTCCACCCCTAGCCACTGCCAAATCTCATATCCTCACATTGCAAAACCATCTATACCTTCCCAACAGTCCCCCAAAGTCTTAACTCGTTTCATCATTAACCCAAAAGTCCACAGTCCAATGTCTCATCTGAGACAAGGCAAGTCCCTTCTGCCTATGAGCCTGTAAAGTGAAATGCAAGCTATTTATTTCCTAGATAAAATAGGGGTACAGACATCAGGTAAATACAACTATTCCAAATGGGAGAAATTGGCCAAAACAAAATGGCTACAGGGCCGATGCAAGTCTGATATCCACTGGGGCAGTCAAATCTTAAAGCTCCAAAATGATCTCCTTTGACTCCATCTCTCACATCCAGGTCACACTGATGCAAGAGGTGAGTTCCCATGGTCTTGGGCAGCTCCACCCCTGTGGTTTTGCAGGGTAAGCCTTCTTTCTGGCTGCTTTCACAGGCTGGCATTGAGTGTCTGTGCCTTTCCAGATGCACAATGCAAGCTGTTGGTGGAACCACCATTCTGGGGTATAGAGGAGAGTGACCCCCTTCTCACAGCTCCACTAGGCAGTGCCCTAGTAAGGACTCTGTGTGGGTGCTCCAACGCCACATTTCCCTTCCACACTGCCCTAGCAGAGGTTCTCCATGACAGCCCTGCCCCTGCAGCAAACTTCTGCCTGGGTATCCAGGCATTTCCATCTTCTGAAATCTAGGGGGAAGTTCCCAAACCTCAATTCTTGACTTCTCTGTACCCACAGGTTCAACACCATGTAGAAGCTGCCAAGGCTTAGGGCTTGCACCATCTGAAGCCACAGCCCAAGATCTACACTGGCCCCTTTCATGCACAACAGGAGGAGCTGGGACGCAGGGCACCAAGTCCCTATTCTGCACACAGCTCAGGATATTCTCAGTCCAGCACACAAAACCACTTTTTCCTCCTAGGCCTCCAGGCCTGTGATGGGAGGGGCTGCCACGAAGAATTCTGACATGCCCTGGAGACATTTTCCCTATTGTCTTGGGGCTTAACATTTGGCTCCTCATTACTTAAGCAAATTTCTGCAGCTGGCTTGAATTTCTCCTCAGAAAATGGGATTTTCTTTTCTATCACATTGCCAGGCTGCAAATTTTTCAAACTTTTATGCTCTGTTTCCATTTTAAAACTAAATGCTTTAAACAGCACCCAAATCACCTCTTGAATGCTTTGCTGCTTAGAAACTTCTTCTGTCAGATACCCTAAATCATCTCTCTCAAGTTCAAAGGTCCACAAATCTCTAGGACAGGAGCAAAATGCCACCAGTCTCTTTGCTAAAACATAGCAAGAGTCACCTTTGCTCCAGTTCCCAACAAGTTCCTCATCTACATCTGAGACCAGCTCAGCCTAGACTTTATTGTCCATATTGCTATCAGCATTTTGGGCAAAGCCATTCAACAATTCTCTAGGAATTTCCAAACGCTTCCACATTTTCCCTTCTTCTTCTGAGCCCTCCAAATGGTTCCAACCTCTGCCTGTTACCTAGTTCCAAAGTCGCTTCCACATTTTCAGGTATCTTTTCAGCAACGCCCCTCTCTAGTGGTGTCAATTTACTCTATTAGTCCATTTTCATGCTGCTGATAAAGACATACCAGAGACTGGAAAATTTACAAAACAAAGAAGTTTTATTGGACTTACAGTTCCACATGGCTGGGGAAGCCTCACAATCAGGGCAGAAGGCAAGGAGGAGCAACCCCCATCTAACATGGATGGCAGCAGGCAAAGAGAAAATGAGGAAGATGCAAAAGTAGAAACCTCTGACAAAACCATCAGATCTCATGAGACTTATTCACTAACACTAGAACACTATGGGGGATTAAAACCCCCATGATTCAATCATCTCCCACCAGGTCCCTCACACAACATGGGGAAATTACAGGAGTACAATTCAAGATGAGATTTGAGCGGGGACACAGAGCCAAACCACATCAAGTAAAATGCCTATTTAGAAATCCTTTGTATACCTTTATTATGGAGCCAACAGTACACACAATTACTTGTTGGTGCAAATTTGGAATAACCTCTTTGTGCTCCAAGCAGAGTAACATGGAAAGAAAACACTACTATTTGCTACATTTTGCAAACTTTTAAGTAGTCCATTATTTTGCTAAATTAATCATTACCATCTTTTACAATCTTCTGTAGTTTAACTTCTAAGGCTAGTTGACTTCTTACAGTTGATGTTATAGGTCCATTTTAAACTTCCTCTTAGTTCTCTTTAAAAGTTGGATAACTGTAAATCTCATATTTTCCTCAATTGATTTATCAGCAGAGTACAAGTCTTTATCACCATTTTTTTCTTTTTTATTTATTTATTTTAATTATACTTTAAGTTCTGTGATACCTGTGCAGAATGTGCTGGTTTGTTTCATACGTATATATGTGCCATGGTGGTTTGCTGCACCCTTCAACCTGTCATCTACATTGGGTATTTCCCCTAATGCTATCCCTCTCCTTGACCCCCACCCACCGACTGGCCCCAGCATATGACGTTCCCCTCCCTGTGCCCATATGTTCTCATGGTTCGACTCCCACTTATGAGTGAGAACATGTAGTGTTTGGTTTTATGTTCCTATGTTAGTTTGCTGAGAATGATAATTTCTAGCTTTATCCATGTCCCTGCAAAGGACATGAGCTCATTCTTTTTTATGGCTGCATAGTATTCCATGGTGTATATGTTCCAAGTTTTCTTTATCCAGTCTTTAATTGATGGGCATTTGGGTTGGTTCCAAGTCTTTGCTATTGTGAATAGTGCTACAATAAACATACATGTGCATATGCCTTCATAGTATAATGATTTATGATCTAATTAAACTAAAGATCTTCTGCACAGCAAAAGAAACAATCATTTGAGTGAACAGGCAGACTACAGAATGGGAGAAAATTGTTGCAATCTATCCATCTGACAAAGAGCTATTATCCAGAATCTACAAGGAACTTAAACAAATTTAGAAGATTATAAAAAACCCATCCCATCAAAAAGTGGGTGAAGGATATTAACAGACACTTTTCCAAAGAAGACATTTATGTGGCCAACAAACATATAAAAAAAGCTCACCATCGCTGGGCCTTAGAGAAATGCTAACCAAAACCAAAATGAGATACCAGCTCATGCCAGTTAGAATGGCAAATATTAAAAAGTCTGGAAACAACAGATGCTGGAGAGGATGTGGAAAAATAGGAATGCTTTTACACTGTTGCTAGGAGTGTAAATTAGTTCAACCATTGTGGAAGACAGTGCTGGCGATTCCTCAAAGACCTAGAACTAGAAATACCATTTGACCCACCAATCCCATTACTGGGTATGTCACCATTTTTAAGAATGAAAACTAGACAATATTAATTTTGTGGATGTGTCTCACCTGTGTCAAAATGAAGTCTGAACTAGGTCATTCAACCTTCCTAATTTGTTTTTTTTATTTATAATTACAACTGAGATGAAAAATGTACAGTGCCTAATATAATGCTTGGCATATGAGCACAAAGTAATCTCACCCTCACCTCTGCATTCTAGCCACACTGACCCTATGTTATAGCCTTTAATGCTTCATGCGCCTTACTCCTCACCAGGCTTTGGTACATGTTATTCTTGAATACTCATAAAATCTTCTTCCAGAAAAGCTGTTCTGATTCCCAGGATCATTTTTGTTTTCTGGTTTATATTTCATACATCTGTGTATATTTCCTTTATAACACTTGATTCATTTATTTGTGCATTCAATAATTATGGAGTTACTATGTTTTTGGATCAGGTTTTAAGGATAAGACAATGAATAATATAAGACAATGAATCTTTCTCATTATTTAGTTCATAGCCTCATATCTATAATTTTTCATTAGAGTTTAGAGTTATATACAGTTGTTTTATAAGTAGTCTAGTCTTTCTGTTCATTTAACCCAAACAATAAATCAATAATGGGCTATACAAATCTCAGGTCAAAATTAAGTATTATAATTCATACTCTCTCTTTACTTCTTGCAAACAGCAAATTATTGGGGGGATTCTTCCCTTGTCAAATTCCTCCCAGTTATTCCTGTACAATCATTATGATTTTATCATGCTTGTAAAATCGGAGATTCTCTATTTGTTGTAAACTCAATAGAGGTAAATTAGAGCTTACTTAAGTCAAAGGAGTTTCAGTAAAATCCAAATGCAGGAATATAGCCAGGCCTAGAAGCCAAGCACTGGCCAGTTGGTCAGTTGTCACATCTGTTCCCGCTTTTATCTGTTTCTTTTAAAAATCATCTCTCTCTCTCTCTCTCTCTCTTTCTCTCTCTCTCTCTCTCTCTCTCTCTCCCCCTCCCTCCCTCTCCTTCTCTCCCCCATCCCAGACTACTTTGATGTATGAATTTATTTTTGCTTATGGTACATAAGATGTCTTGGGCAAGATACGGCTGCCCATGACAGCAATACATAAAATTTGTATGTCATTATTTGAATCATATAAAACTTAATTTGCTATCTCTTAGTTCCAATTCCAAAATCCAGGGAGAGAGCTTATCAGCCAGCAATTTTTTTCAGGCTATCATTAATTTATGATTCAGTTTATTGAGTTTGACAATCTGCATGTTTAAAAAAGAAAATAAAATAGAAAAATCAGAGTATAAGGCACATAGAATATGTTAAATATATGGGTGTGTATTCAAGGTACCAAATAAAAATGTACTGTGAGTCTCAGTGAAAAAGCTTGAAAAATGCTCTTAGGACCAGTTTGGAGATGTTTATGTCTACCTAGGGGAATCATGATAGTTTATTCAAAAAAGAAACAGAAGTGTGTTATAAATATGGCTATGAAAGTGAACCTCTGGGTAGAGGGTATGGTAGAGTTCTTACAGAAGAGGAACCTCACATGTGGATAGTGCAGAAATCCTGAATCATCCATTGCTTCTGCTCACCACCTGCATTTAAACCTTGCCTTCATAGACCACCCTCTGTGTGACCTTAGGCTGGCAATTAACTCTCTGAACCTTAGAATGATTATATTTTAAATGGAATCTTAATAAAGTTTGTGGGTTTTTTTTTTGTCTTTCTTGCAGATTTATTATGTGGACTAAATGAGATAGCCCATACTCTTAGCAAACTGTAGTTAACGGTTTAAAAAGAGTCTTTTACAATATTATATTAGTCCTCATTACTATTCATCATTACTGTAATATTATTCCTACTGACAAATTATATTTACTCCATTTTTCCTCTTCATATGAGGCTCTGTCCTGTTGCCATTAGTAATGAAGCTCCTGTGCTGACACTCAGAAGCTGCAATTGTATACTAAAAACATTAATGCCATCCAGAACCTGAAATACTATCAAAGTTTTCTCTAGGGATTGGATGAAGTCCACTAACTACATTAATTTCATACGCCAATACTAATTCTTCAAGAACTTCAGGTGTTCTTCCCCCAGTATGGTGCTACTCTGATGACTAATAATGGTGACTAATAATGAACCCTTGTTCTTCTAAAGTGTTAGAGGTTGCACAAAGACATCCCTATACTGGTTTGTGCTTACTTTGACAAACCATTCTTTCCCTAGGCATGCTTTCCCTATACATTGGTACTGTATATCTTTAGATTCAGATACTTTTAACTTCTAACATTTGTTGGAGCAAAATTCATTTGAATGGAGTTTATTCTTGATGTTTGTTACCCAGAGAGTTCCTTTTCATCAAATAAATAGAAAATTTTTTCTTATAGCTTCAGGATATATCCAAGCCTAACTGTATACGAGAGAGAACATTATACCCAACATAAGGTCCTCAAATAGAGATTCTTCATTTCTAAAGCAACAATCAGTTCTGCTTTTCCTGTTTTTTTCCCCATCTTTGTGGTTTTATGTAACTTTGGTCTCTGATGATGGTGATGTACAGATGGGTCTTTGGTGTGGATGTCCTTTCTGTTTTCTAGTTTTCCTTCTAACAGTCAGGACCCTCAGCTGCACGTCTGTTGGAGTTTGCTGGAGGTCCACTCCAGACCCTATTTGCCTGGGTATCAGCAGCGGAAGCTGCAGAAGAGCAAATATTGCTGAACAGCAAATGTTGCTGCCTGATCATTCCTCTGGAAGTTTCCTCTCAGAGGGGTACCCAGCCTCGTGAGGTGTCAATCTGCCCCTACTGGGGGATGCCTCCCAGTTAGGCTACTCGGGGGTCAGGGACCCACTTGAGGAGGCAGTCTGTCCGTTTTCAGATCTCAAACTCTGTGCTGGGAGAACCACTACTCTCTTCAAAGCTGTCAGACAGGGACATTTAAGTCCGCAGAGGTTTCTGCTGCCATTTGTTCTGCTATGCCCTGCCCCTAGAGATGGAGTCTACAGAGGCAGGCAGGCCTCCTTGCGCTGCGGTGGGCTCTATGCAGTTCGAGCTTCCCAGCCGCTTTGTTTACCTATCAAGCCTCAGCAATGGTGGGCACCCCTCCCCCAGCCTCACTGCCACCTTGCAGTTCCATCTCAGACTGCTGTGCTAGCAATGAGCGAGGCTCCGTGGGCATGGGACCCTCCGAGCCAGGCACAGGAAATAATCTCCTGGTGTGCCGTTTGCTAAGACCACTGGAAAAGCACAGTATTAGGGTGGGAATGACCCGAATTTCCAGGTGCCATCTGTCACAGCTTTGCTTGGCTACGAAAGGGAATTCCCTGACCCCTTGCACTTCCCAGGTGAGGCGATGCCTCACCCTGCTTCAGCTCACGCTCGGTGCGATGCAGCCACTGTCCTGTAGCCACTGTCTGACAAGCCCCAGTGAGATGAACCCGGTACCTCAGTTGGAAATGCAGAAATCACCCATCTTCTGCGTCGTTCACGCTGGAAGCTGTAGACTGGAGCTGTTCCTATTCTGCCATCTTTCACAGAACAGAAAAACTGAGAATTCTAAAAATCAGAGCACCTCTCTTCCTCCAAAGGAACACAACTCCTCACCAGCAATGGAACAAAGCTGGACGGAGAATGACTTTGAGATGAGAGAAGAAGGCTTCAGACGATCAAACTTCTCCAAGCTAAAGCAGGAAGTTCAAACCCATTGCAAAGAAGTAAAAAACCTTGAAAAAAGATTAGATGAATGGCTAACTAGAATAACTAATGCAGAGAAGTCCTTAAAGGACCTGATGGAGCTGAAAACCTTGGCATGAGAACTACGTGATGAATGCACAAGCTTCAGTAGCCGATTCAATCAACTGGAAGAAAGGGTATCAGTGATGGAAGATCAAATGAATGAAATGAAGTGAGAAGAGAAGTTTAGAGAGAAAAGAATAGAAAGAAATGAACAAAGCCTCAAAGAAATATGGGACTATGTGAAAAGACCAAATCTACGTCTGATTGGTGTACCTGAAAGTGATGGGGAAAACGGAACCAAGTTGGGAAACACACTGCAGGATATTATCCAGGAGAACCTACCCAACAGAGCAAGGTAGGCCAACATTCAGATTCAGGAAACACAGAGAACACCACAAAGATACTACTCAAGAAGAGCAACTCCAAGATACATAATTGTCAGATTCACCAAAGTTGAAATGAAGGAAAAAATCTTAAGGGCAGCCAGAGAGAAAGGTCGGGTTACCCACAAAGGGAAGCCCATCAGACTAACAGCTGATCTCTCAGCAGAAACTCTACAAGCTAGAAGAGAGTGGGGGCCAATATTCAACATTCTTAAAGAAAATAATTTTCAACCCAGAATTTCATATCCAGCCAATCTAAGCTTCATAAGTGAAGGAGAAATAAAATACTTTACAGACAAGCAAATTCTGAGAGATTTTCTCACCACCAGGCTTGCCCTAAAAGAGCTCCTGAAGGAAGCACTAAACTTGGAAAGGAACAACCACTGCAAGAACATGCCAAATTGTAAAGACCATCAAGGCTAGGAAGAAACTGCATCAACTAATGAGCAAAATAACCAGCTAACATCATAATGGCAGGATCAAATTCACACATAACAATATTAACCTTAAATGTAAAGGGGCTAAATGCTCCAATTAAAAGACACAGACTGGCAAATTGGATAAAGAGTCAAGACCCATCAGTGTGCTGTATTCAGGAAACCCATCTCCCATGCAGAGACACACATAGGCACAAAATAAAGGGATGGAGGAAGATCTACCAAGCAAATGGAAAACAAAAAAAGGCAGGGGATGCAATCCTAGTGTCTGATAAAACAGACTTTAAACCAACAAAGATCAAAAGAGACCAAGAAGACCATTACTTAATGGTAAAGGGATCAATTCAACAAGAAAAGCTATCTATTCTAAACATATATGCACCCAATACAGGAGCACCCAAGGATATCCAGGAATTGAATTCAACTCTGCACCAAGTGGACCTAATAGACATCTACAAAAGTCTCCACCCCAAATCAACAGAATATACATTCTTCTCAGCACCACATCGCACTTATTCCATAATTGACCACATAGTTGGAAGTAAAGCAATCATCAGCAAATGTAAAATAACAGAAATTATAATAATCTGTCCCACAGACCACAGTGCAATCAAACTAGAACTCAGGATTAAGAAACTCACTCAAAACCACTCAACTACATGGAAACTGAACAACCTGCTCCTGAATGACTACTGGGTACATAACGAAATAAAGGCAGAAATAAAGATGTTCTTTGAAACCAATGAGAACAGAGATACAACATACCAGAATCTCTGGGACACATTCAAAGCAGTGTGTAGAGGGAAATTTACAGCACTAAATGCCCACAAGAGAAAGCAGGAAAGATCTAAAATTGACACCCTAACATCACAATTAAAAGAACTAGAGAAGCAAGAGCAAACACATTCAAAAGCTAGCAGAAGGCAAGAAATAACTAAGATCACAGCAGAACTGAAGGAGACAGAGACACAAAAAACCCTTCAAAAATCAATGAATCCAGGAGCTGTTTTTTTGAAAAGATCAACAAAATTGATAGACTGCTAGCAAGACTAATAAAGAAGAGAGAAGAATCAAATAGATGCAATAAAAGATGATAAAGGGGGTATCAGCACCAATCCCACAGAAATACAAACTACCATCAGAGAATACTATGAACACCTCTATGCAAATAAACTAGAAAATCTAGAAGAAATGGATAAATTCCTGGACGCATACACCCTCCCAAGACTAAACCAGGAAGAAGTTGAATCTCTGAATAGACCAATAACAGGCTCTGAAATTGAGGTAATTATTACTAGCTTACCAACCAAAAAAAGTCCAGGACCAGACGGATTCACAGCTGAATTCTACCAGAGGTACAAGGAGGAACTGGTACCATTCCTTCTGAAACTATTCCAATCAATAGAAAAAGAGGGAATCCTCCCTAACTCATTTTATGAGGCCAGCATCATCAGGATACCAAAGCCTGGCAGAGACACAAACAAAAAAGATAATTTTAGACCAATATCCCTGATGAACATTGATGGAAAAATCCTCAATAAAATACTGGCAAACTGAATCCAGCAACACATCAAAAAGCTTATCCACCATGATCAAGTGGGCTTCATCCCTAGGAGGCAAGGTTGGTTCAACATATGCAAACCAATAAATGTAATCCAGCATAAAACAGAACCAAAGACAAAAACCACATGATTATCTCAATAGACGCAGAAAAGGCCTTTGACAAAATTCAACAGCCCTTCATGCTAAAAACTCTCAATAAATTAAGTATTGATGGGACGTATCTCAAAATAATAAGAGCTATTTATGACAAACCCACAGCCAATATCATACTGAATGGGCAAAAACTGGAATCATTCCCTTTGAAAACTGGCACAAGATAGGGATGCCCTCTCTCACCACTCCTATTCAACATAGTGTTGGAAGTTCTGGCCAGGGCAATTAGGCAGGAGAAGGAAATAAAGGGTATTCAATTAGGAAATGAGGAAGTCAAATTGCCCCTGTTTGCAGATGACATGATTGTATATCTAGAAAACCTCATCGTCTCAGCGCAAAATCTCCTGAAGCTGATAAGCAACTTCAGCAAAATCTCAGAATACAAAATCAATGTGCAAAAATCACAAGCATTCTTATACACCAATAACAGACAAACAGAGAGCCAAATCATGAGTGAACTCCCATTCACAATTGCTTCAAAGAGAATAACATACCTAGGAATCCAACTTACAAGGGACGTGAAGGACCTCTTCAAGGAGAACTACAAACCACTGCTCAAGGAAATAAAAGAGGACACAAACAAATGGAAGAACATTCCAAGCTCATGGATAGGAAGAATCAATATTGTGAAAATGGTCATACTGCCCAAGGTAATTCATAGATTCAATGCCATCTCCATCAAGCTACCACTGACTTTCTTCACAGAATTGGAAAAAACTACTTTAAAGTGCATATGGAACCAAAAAAGAGCCTGCATCACCAAGTCAATCCTAAGCCAAAAGAACAAAGCTGGAGGCATCATGCTACCTGACTTCAAACTATACTACAAGGCTACAGTAACCAAAACAGCATGGTACTGGTACCAAAACAGAGATATAGACCAATGGAATAGAACAGAGCCCTCAGAAATAATACCACACATCTACAACCATCTGATCTTTGACAAACCTGACAAAAACAAGAAATGGGGAAAGGATTCCCTATTTAACAAATGGTGCTGGGAAAACTGGCTAGCCATATGTAGAAAGCTGAAACTGGATCCCTTACTTACACCTTTATACAAAAATTAATTCAAGATGGATTAAAGACTTAAATGTTAGACCTAAAACCATAAAAACCCTAGAAGAAAACCTAGGCAATACCATTCAGGACATAGGCATGGGCAAGGACTTCATGTGTAAAACACCAAAAGCAATGGCAACAAAAGCCAAAATTGACAAATGGGATCTAATTGAACTAAAGAGCTTCTGCACAGCAAAAGAAACTACCATCAGAGTGAACAGGCAACCTACAGAATGGGAGAAAATTTTTGCAATCTACTCATCTGACAAAGGGCTAATATCCAGAATCTACAAAGAACCCAAGCAAATTTACAAGAAGAAAACAAACAACCCCATCAAAAAGTGGGCAAAGTATATGAACAGATACTTCTCAAAAGAAGACATTTATGCAGCCAACAGACTGCATAAATGTGTCTACATGAAAAAATGCTCATCATCACTGGCCATCAGAGAAATGCAAATCATAACCACGAGATATCATCTCACACCAGTTAGAATGGCAATCATCAAAAAGTCAGGAAACAACAGGTGCTGGAGAGGATGTGGAGAAATAGGAACACTCTTACACAGTTGGTGGGACTGTAAACTAGTTCAACCATTGTGGAAGACAATGTGGCGATTCCTCAGGGATCTAGGACTAGAAATACCATTTGACCCAGCCATCCCATTACTGGGTATATACCCAAAGGAATATAAATCATGCTGCTATAAAGACACATGCACACCTATGTTTATTGTGGCACTACTCACAATAGCAAAGACTTGGAACCAACCCAAATGTCCATCAATGATAGACTGGATTAAGAAAATGTGGCACATATACACCATGGAATACTATGCAGCCATAAAATTGATGATTTCACGTCCTTTGTAGGGACATGGATGAAGCTGGAAACCATCATTCTCAGCAAAGTATCGCAAGGACAAAAAACCAAACACTGCATGTTCTCACTCATAGGTGGGAATTGAACAATGAGAACACTTGGACACAGGAAGGGGAACATCACACACCAGGGCCTGTTGTGGGGTGGGGGTAGTGGGGAGGCATAGCATTAGAAGATATACCTAATGTCAATGACGAGTTAATGGGTGCAGCACACCAACATGGCACATATATACTTACGTAACAAACCTGCACATTGTGTACATGTACCCTAGAACTTAAAGTATAATAAAAAAAAAGGAAAAGAAAAACAAAAGACAAGAAATAAATAAATAAATAAATAAAGCAACAATCAAGAGCTAACAGGGGAACCTTTATAAGTGGACAACTGTGTGGTCACACAGAGCCCTGAAATCAGAAGGCCTTTGCACTTGGTTTAGCGTTCTGCTGTTACCACCTTGAAATTCTTAATGATTTGATCTTCGAACTTGAATTTTGAAAATGAAGTCCAGCGAGACAATGGAGCAGTGAAGTTTGACACAATATCTATGCCCCCTTTTCCTGGCCACCTCATTTGCATATAGATGCCTCTCAAGAACAGAAGTTCATTGGACCGAAAATGTATGGGAGTTCAATGCAACCCACATAAGTATAAGAAAAACCCTTTAAATGTACAACCTGAGTAAGCAGGATTGCTGGACGTCCTATAAGGCCATATTTTTCATTTGAACCAGACCTTGCTTCAATATTTCAATGGCACTCTAAGAAGCAAAAGCAACCAAGGAATTACATCATAATTTTTTTTTATTTCCAGACAGGGTCTTGCTCTGTCACCCAGTCTAGAGTACAGTCGTATGATCTCAGCTCACTGCAACCTCCACCTCCTGGGTTCAAGGGATTCTCCCACTTCAGCCTCCCACGTAGCTGGAACTTTAGGCACACACCACCATGCTTGGCTAATTTTTTTTTTTTTTTTTTTTTTTTTTTGTAGAGACAGAGCGTTGCCATGTTGCGCCGGCTGGTCTCGAACTCCTGAGCTCAAGTGATCTGCCCACCTCAGCCTCCCAAAGTCCTGGGGAGTACAGGCATGAGCTGCCACACCCAGCACTTTTCTTTTATTTTCCCTTCCTTTTCTTTTATCTTCTTTCCTTTCCTATTCTTTTTGTTAACTTTTACTTTAAGTTTGGGGGTACATGTGAAGGTTTGTTTCATAGGTAAACACCTGTAATGGGGGTTTGTTTTACATATTATTTCATCACCCAGGTATTAAGCCCACTACCCAGTAGTTATTTTTTCTGCTTCTATCTCTCTTCTCACCTTCTCCCTTCAAGTAGACACCAGTGTCTGTTGTTTCCCTCTTTGTGTTTGTAAGTTCTTATCATTTAGCTCTGACTTACAAGTGAGAACATGCAGTATTTGGTTTTCTGTTCCTGCATTAGCTTGTTAAGGATAATAACCTCCAGCTCCATCCTGGTTCCCACAAAAGACACGATCTCATTCTTTTTTTATGGCTGCATAGAATTCCATTGTGTATATGTAGCACATTTTCTTTATCCAATCTGTCATTGATGGGGATTTAGATTGATTCCATGTCTTCGCTATTGTGAATAGTGCTGCAAAAAAAAAAAAAAAAAAAAAAAAATCATGTGCATGTGTTTTTATGGTAGTATTATTTATATGCCTCTGGGTATATACTCAATAATGGGATTTCTAGGTCAAATATAGTAGTTCTAGTTTTACATTTTTTTTTTTTTAGACAGTCTGGCTCTCACACAGGCTGGAGTGCAGTGGCACGGACTTGGCTCACTGCAACCTCTGCTTCCCAGGTTCAAGACATTCTCCTGCCTCCGCCTCCTGAATAGCTGAGACTATAGGTGTACACCACCATGCCCAGCTAGTTTTTGTATTTTCAGTAGAGATGCGGTTTCACCATGTTGGCCAGGCTGCTCTCGAACTCCTGACCTCAAGTGATCTGCCTAACTCGGCCTCCCAAAGTGCTGGGATTACAGGCATGAACCACTTGGCCTGCTTTTAGCTCTGTGAGGAACCATCATACTGCTTTTCACAATGGTTGAACTAATTGACACTCCCACCAATAGTGTATATATGTTCTCTTTTCTCTGCAACCTCACCAGCATCTGTTATTTTTTTGACATTTTAATAATAGCCATTCTGACTGGTGTGAGATGCTATCTCATTGTGGTTTTGAATTGCATTTCTGTAATGATCAGTGATAATGAGCTTTTTTTCATATGCTTGTAGGCCAAATGTATGTCCTCATTCGAGAAGCATCTGTTCTTGTCCTTTGCCTGCTTTTTAATGGGGATGTTTTTCTTGTAAATTTGTTTAAATTCCTTATAGATGCTGGATATTAGACCTTTTTCAGATGTATAGTTTACAAATATTTTCTCCCATTCTGTAAGTTGTCTGTTTATTCTATAGTAGTTTATTTTGGTGTGCAGAAGCTCTTAAGTTTAATTAGATTCCACTTGTCAATTTTTGCTTTTGATGCTATTGGTTTTGGTGTCTTTGTCATGAAATCTTTGCCCTTTTCTATGTCCAGGATGGTATTGCCTAGGTTGCCTTCCAGGGTTTTTATAATTTGGGGTTTTATATTTAAATCTTTAATCCATCTTGAGTTGATTTTTCTATATGGTGAAAGGAAGGGGTCCAGCTTCAATCTTCTGCATATGGCTAGCCAGTTATCCTAGCATCATTTATTGAATAGGGAGTTTATTTCTCATTTCTTGTTTTTGTCAGCTTTGTTGAAGATCAGACGGTTGTAGATATGTGGCCTTATTTCTGGCCTCTCTATTCTGTTCCATTGGTCTATGTGCCTGCTTTTGTACCAGTACCACGCTGTTTTGGTATGATAGCCCTGTAGTATAGTTTGAAGTCTGGTAACGTGATGCTTCCAGCTATGTTCTTTTTGATTGCCTTGGCTATTCAGGCTCATTTTTGGTTCCATATCAGTGTTAAAATACTTTTTTCTGGTTCTTTGAAGAATGTCATTGGTAGTCTGATAGGAATAATATTGAATCTGTAAGTTGCTTTGGCCATTTAAATAATATTGATTCTTCTTATGCATTAACGTGGGATGTTTTTCCATTTGATTGTTTCTTCTCCTATTCCTTTGAGAAGTGTTTTTATAATTCTCATTGTAGAGGTCTTTCACCTCTTTGGTTATCTGTATTCCTAGGTATTTTATTCTTTTTGGGGCAATTGTTAATGGGATTTCCTTTCTGATTTGGGTTTCAGTTTGGCTGTTTTTTGGTGTGTAACAATGCTAGTGATTTTTGTACATTGATTATGTACCCTCTTTACTTTTCTGGTAGTAAAAAAAAAACTAAAATAAGATGTACCCTCCTAGTATATTTTGTGTATAATACAGTATTGTTAACTATAATATTGTACAAAAAGCTACCAGAATATGTATAATTATGTAATTGAAACTGTATATTCCATTCCATTCTTTGATCCTATAGATTTGACTAATTTAGGTAGCTCATATAAATAGAATCATGCAGTATTCGTCTTTTTGTGGCTAACATTTCATTTGTGTAGTGTCCTTAAGCTTCATTCATGTTGTTATATATTGCAGAACTTTTTTTCTTTTTTAAAATGGAGTTGTATTCCATTACTTCCTCAAACAAGCCCACAATTTATGATGAAAATGATAAAATAAAAAAAAGAAAAATATGGTACAACTCATAGTTCCTTTTCCTTTCAGTCTTTCTTTACTCATTAGCAAGCCAAAGATAGTGTTGGTATATATACTTGTATCAAGAAGTACAATTTTTTTAAAAGTTGAGTTAAATTTGTGCAGTGTTTCTACTATTCTGGTTGGAACAAAAATACATATGTATGTATGAACTACAAATATGTAAAAATTATGTAATTTCAGGAATTCCACATAAAAGCTATGCTCTTACAATTGCATTTAGTATGGGCATTGCACAAAATTAAAATGAATTGTAAAACTTATAATAGTTTAAAATTTTAATGTTTTTTTAGAATGACATTAAACAGCTAATAATAAGCACAACCATAATTGAGAATGAGACCACAGAAGAAAAAGCTTTATATTTTAGTACAAGCAAAATAACTTTTTTTCTGCTTTTTGGACAGGGAAACCCATGTTTTCATTTTGCACTGGCCTCAGAAATTATGTAGCTAGACTTAAGAATCGGATGAATTAACTGAGAATTCTGATGCAGGAAATGTGGGCAATTTCTTTACCCTCAGCTTCTTTTCCTAAAATTCCTCTAAAACAACATAGCATTTTACATTTCTGGACCATTGTGTTTCTTGGGAGGACTTACTTAAAGAGAACAATTGTTTATTATTTAAATGTTTATGTAGCTCCTTTATTGACATGGGAGAAAGGAAGCATCACTGTATTTCTCCACATTTCCAGTTTGTTTTGTTTCCTTCCCACTGGACTCTGCCCCCATGCTTCACACTAAGATTTCATGGGTGATGACAAGTCAGATGGCATTTCTCACCCGTGCTCCATTGGGTATCCTAGCAGTTTAGATCACCTCCACTGCAGACAAAGCTGCTAGAAACACATGCAAAACTCAGTTCCCCTCAGAGTTATTCTGAGAACCCTAATTCATTTGAGAAGTGGAGGGGTGGCAAAGAACTTCAGCCTACACTCCAACTTACAAAGCAGATAATAACACTGACTTTTTTCCTCTGATGTTGAATCAGAGGAAAAGGCAGTCAGAAACACCATTTTAGCATAGATGGTCAGAATATGCCAACCCTCACATGTCCCAGGCAATGCCATTTTCCACTTGATAGCGACAGTTTTCCTGAGGTGTGGTTAGAGGTGCAATGAGTGAAACACAATGTGTGGAACTGCAAGGAAGGGAATAGGAATGTTGATATTGAACCAAATGATGAGATGAAGAAGCCCCACAAGGAGGAAACATATGGACATGCATATGCATGGTGATTTGGATCAGGAGCACATGTGGCTAGATGACACCATGGTAATGCTAGGGGATAGCAGTCAGAATCAGTCTTAAAAGCTGCTTACTCTCTACTGAGTGCCTTCCCATCATGGGAAGATAGTTCTCAATTATATTAAAATGGATTTCTTCACTCTCTTGCAGGCTAGGGAATATCTCTATCTGAATATGAGTACAAATTAAAAGTACCTTGCTTTGCACTTGTTTTTTCATTGAAGAAATTGAGTTTTTCAATTATATTTTAAAATACACATACATATTGGATATTGATTGATCTTTTCCATCTGCATTCTTTCTGGTTGAGCAATTCCTCACACATGTCCTTAAAAATCTTTTTAGATGATGATGATGATGATGATGTTGATGATAATGCAATAGCATGTCTGTTTCATCTGTCTAGTATGACATCATCTCATTGAAAATCTGCAGGAGCATACTAGTATTATTTGAACCCTAATCATGAGGAGATCACATATGTCTCAGTATAGTGTAGCACTGTTTGTGCTATAGGTGAGAAGCAAGGCCTCTGTTAATAAATGTTATCTTGATGCTGTTTATCCAATTAGTTTTGTTTCATGTGGAACTGGAAACTATAGTGAGGTTTAACTAAATATTCTTTAGAGAGGAGAAAATTTGGTGACAATAATTATAGTAGAGGTCATTTGCCAAGAAGTTGAAGATGCTGTTGTATACCTGATATTAGAGACATTTCCTTCTAGAAAATGTATCACAGTAGATATAGTTTAAAACATCAGTCTCTATTTACAGCTTTAGAATATTCCTCTTTAACACAGTGCATATAAAAATCGACTCATCCAGGCAATTTGTTTTTCAGAAAAGTTGCCAAGTTAGATGAAAAACCAAATGAAATTTTAAGATTGAGAAATTGTATTATTATTATTCTATTTAAAAATTCAAAATATTCGTTGCTTGTTTCTCATTTGCAGAATAGTTCTTTTGTGTACTGTGTTGTGATTGTGATCTCTCTGGGCTAATACGGGTATTGTTGCTCTCTCCATATCAACCTAATCCCTATTACACTATTGTTCCTAAAATGAAGAATGTGCATCTTCCAATGTGATTTAAACAATTTGGCATCCAACAAAAGCTCATAAGCAGAGAAGGTGCCAAATTAATTTTCATTTAACAAATATTGGAGCAGCATAATTTTTCAAAGTGCTTTTTGAGGTGCCAGAAATACACAAAATAGAAACATTTCTTCTCTCATAGAACTTACAGTCTAGTGAGGTTATGCAGGCAGTAAAAATATGAACCAAGAAGTGGACAAGGTTATTTCAGATTAGAGTTTTGAAGAAAATAACACGAGATGATCCATAGTGGGGTCACTATATGTGGGGCTTCTTTAGGCAGTGACAAAAATCCTCTCAAGAAAGTCACACTTGAGTTGAAACTCAACAAATGATAAAGAAGCCAGACCGTGGAATTTGGGGGGATGCATTTCACACAGAGGGAGTAGCAAGCATAAAGAACTCTGAAAGGAAATCACCATAGAGTGCTTGAAGTTCCAAATAAAGTTCAGTGTAGCTAAAGCACAGTGGGCAACACATAAAGAAGTAAGTGGAAGCCAAAGAGGAGAAACCATATAGCAGGAGTCAGATAACAGGGTGACAGTAATGCATGTCGACATCTTCTATGATATATACTATTTTGACAGGTTTTATATCTATATGTGCTTTAACTTAAATTCATCCTTTGGTTTCTTGAGGAGAAACCCATGCCTGCCTCATTCTAATAAAATTCAGGTATCAGCTAGCTTGCTCTATTCTTTGATATTTAAAAGAGTTTGGCTTAAAATATTCAACAGCAGGTAGTGGGAAAACCAATAGCTGTCCCAATTATTTCAAAGATTTATTTGTGAGAATGAGGCATACACACTAAATTAGTTTAATTTGTACATTAATTAATTGAATTAGAAATTTTGAGTATTTATCAGAGCAAGGAATTAAGAAAGAAAATATTCCCCATAATTCCCATGTGATAAAATTAGAAATGAAACTTAAAACTAGAGTTCAAACTTAATGCTGCAGGGACTGGATATTGGGAAGAGGGTAGACATAAATATTAGCCTTAATGACTATGATTACATGTAAACAGGAAGTATGGTCTTAGGTCTAGGTGATGTAACAGAACTGAAACGGATACCATTACAAAATGCCATATATACAAATTCTAGAAGTTTTTCCCATTAGTAAAAAAGAGATTATAAAGATTATAAAGACTCTTTTCATTGGCTCAAGAGAAACATTATCATTGCTAGTTTTTTGACTGGAAAAAAAAGTTTAAGATGGGAAATCAAAGTTTTACCCCATATCCAATATAGGTATGAATCCAAATGTATACAACCCACATGATTCAAGAAGAGATTTTGCATTTATTTAAAAATGATCTAAGACTGAGGAAATAATGAGGGCACTGGGCAAAGGACAAAACAGAGCTTTAACCCCAATCTCCCTACCAAGAGCACATGTATCTTCCATAGAAATATTTTTAAAAATTGAAATAAACAAACCAATCTCCCTACCAAGAGTACATGGATCTTCCATAGAAAAAAATTTTAAAAATTGAAGTAAACAAACAGAAAAAACCTATCTCTACTGCAGCTGAGCTCACAGCAAATGTGAAGACTACTTACGAAATGACCCCTCAAAAAGGAGAAAAAAAAAACCTAGCAGAATTAGCACTATGGATATGTTTAGAATGAAAAGAAAATAACTTTGTCATAATTAAAGACCTAAAGAAAGCAGTAAGTAATGCAATGAAAATATAATTCGAAAATTCAAACAAGTTGGGATTTGGAAAATGTCCAAATAAGACTTCTATAAATGAAAAAGGTAATTCTTGAAAAATGATAAAACAAACACAATAGATACAGTTAACAATTTTTTTAAAAATGAAGTGAGCCTGAGGAAGTTAAACAGAAAGTAACCTAAAAAAATATGATAGATGAAAATACAAAAACCTGTGAGATGCTTCCAAAATAGTAAATTCCTAGTCATTTACTGCACCAGGGAAATAGTCAATGAAGTAAAGGGAGGGGAGGAAATGTAACTGCTTATCAAAGAGGTTTAACCTTGTCTTCCTTATTTTAGGCTGCTTCTTCCCTCTTGGTTTTAAAGGTACCTGGTTCTTCCAGTTCCTATGACTTTGCGGTTTTGTCTGGTAAAAGTCAGACTCATCCCTGGCTGTTCTCACTTCTGATTTGTAATTTTGCTCCACTGAGGTTTTTAACTTGGTTGTCACTCACCCTTCTGCTTTTTATCTTCCATCTTTTCTTCTCTTATTCATGCTCTTGTATATTCATGACTTCAAAGGATTGTCACTAAAAAGAAAGAAAAAAGGATGTACGACAGAGACTTTACAAAAATTGGTGTCTTGTTATAGCAAGGAACAAGAAGACAAAATAGTAAAGATGTCAATTATCTTCAAGTTAAACAATAAATATAATTCCAATCAATATCCGAAAATGATTTTTCATAGAAATTGACAATTTGAGCTTAAA
The DNA here is from genome assembly GCF_000001405.40 of Homo sapiens. Lineage (NCBI taxonomy): Eukaryota > Metazoa > Chordata > Mammalia > Primates > Hominidae > Homo > Homo sapiens. The sequence goes on along the minus strand of NC_000011.10, from coordinate 29,037,561 downwards.
ATCTCATTATAAAGTAAAGAGAAAGACAATTTTTTTAAAAAAAGGAAGTAGACTTATCCTACAAGGTATAAAGACACTGTAACGTTAAATTATTGAATTGTGTTTTCAACTTGTAGATAATAAAAAGTAGACCTTTGGAACAAAGTTGTGAGCCTGGATATAGATATATTCATATACAGCCAGTCTCTGAGCAATGGGAGGATTAGGGAAACTTGTGGAGTTGAAAATTTGCCTATAACTTTTCATGCCCCCAAAACTTAGCCACTAATAGCCTACTATTGACCAGAAGCATTACTTATAACATAAACAGTTGGTTAACACATATTGCTTATGTTATATGTCTTATATACTGTATTCTTATAATAAAATGGCCAGAGAAAAGAAAATGTTTTTAAGAAAATCATAAGAGAAAATATATTTATATTAAGTGGAACTAGATTATAAAGGTTTTTATTCTTATTATCTTTACATTGAATACACTGAGGAGGAGGAAGAAAAGGGGTTAGTCTTGCTGCCTCAGAAGGGGCAGAGGTAGAAGAGAGGCAAGAAACACAGCAAATTTTGTGTAATTTACAAAAATACATCATAATTTCTGCCTGAATGTTTTGCTTTTTCATTTCTCTAAAAATGCTTCTATACAGTACCAATTCTTCCACCATTTGCTTTAGCTTCAGTGCTCATATCTTAAAAAGACCAGGTTTTAAAAGAAGTCAAAGCAGTCTTGAGTAATCAGAACTCTTCTGCTAGATTGTCTAATGTGAATTTGCTTTCTGTCACTGCTTCTTCTACATATTCTTCCTCATCATTTGAGGCACTCATCTCCATCAAGCCATCTTCTGTTAATTCCTCTGGTGTGGTATCTCTTAGCTCCTGAATTTCTCCAAGATCCCTATCTTAAAACCCTTCACTCTCCACCTTATTTACCATATCCACAATCTCTCTCATGATTTCCTTGGTTGGCTTTGTTGCAGATCCTACGAAGTCATGCAAAACATCTGGACATAGTTTTCTCCAGCAGAAATTCATTACTTGGGGCTTGACAGTTTTCATGTATTTTTCTATACTGATGGCAATTTCAATGGAGTAATCTTTCCAGACTTTCATGATGTGTTGTCTATCAGGGTTCTCTTTCATAGCATTGATGATCCTTTCCACAGAGTACCATACATAATGATCGTTAGCAGTCTTTATGACTCCTTAATCTACAGGCTGAATTAGAGAGATTGTGTTTGAGGGCAAATAGACCTTTGATGCCTTTGGTATTGAACTCATGGGGTTCTGGGTGATCAGGGGGCATTGTCCAATATCAAAAGAGCACTTCTTGACTACAGGGACAAAGCACGGATGGAACTTATCCAGAATAAAATGTTGTGTTCAGGCATTCTTGTTGTACAACCCAAAGTCTGGAATGGTGTTTATCTTTTCCATTCAAGGCTTGAGGGTTAGCAGTTTTGTAGATAAGGGCAGTCCTGATTATCAATCCAATTGCATTTGTACAAAACCATAGTTAGCCTGCCCCTTCCTCCTTTAAATCCTGCTGCTCACTTTTTCATAACTAACAAATGTCCTCTGTGGCATTTTTTCTTCAAGTATAGGACACTTTCTTCTGCATTAAAAGCCTGTTCAGGCACGTATCTGTTTTCCTCAATCACTTTTTTAATGGAACTTAGGAACTCTGCTGCTTCTTGTTCAGCAGAAGCTGTTTCTCCTATTACCGTGACTCCTATTATTAATACCTCTCCTGCTTCTCCTATTACTTTTGCTTTTTAAAAAAGCCACCCCTCTTTCTAAAATTGTTAAACCATCCCTTGCTGGCATTAAATTCTTTAGCTTTAGATCCTCATCTTTCATTTGCTTTAAGTTGTTATACAATGACTTTGCTTTTTCTTCAATTATATTAGAGTCTACATATATGCTTTTCTTACAGCAAATCTGCACCCACATTAAAGCTGCATTTTCAGTATGAAATAAAAATGTTTTTTTTTAAAAAAGTACAAGTTTTTCGTGTCTGCTGGCATTGGTCCTTAACGCCAAATTTATTTATCTTGAAATGTCTTGAAATGGTAGCCACCACAACTGCAGACTTCAATCTGTGGAACCTATCAAGCAATTCAACCTTTTCTTGTAATGTCATGACTCTGCTCTGCTTCTTGGGAGCACTCCTAGCATCACTAGTGGCACTATGTATGGGTCTCATGATATTATCTAAGGTTTACGATATTGCAGTAAACACAATAAAAATAGGTAAGAACTGTGAGACATCTCTTTTTATTGCAATACACAATTTACTGGAGAGGCTGCTCACCTGGAGATGATTAGCATCACAAGGATTTTAAACAGATACTCTCAACACTTGAGCTCACCACAATAGAAAGAGAAGGTGACTACAAAATTATTACCATTGTACCTTATGTACTGTAGTTAATTTTATGCAGTAATAATAATTTCTTTCTTTCTTTCTTTCTTTCTTTCTTTCTTTCTTTCTTTCTTTCTTTCGTTCTTTCTTTCTTTTTTTTTTTTTTTGAGATGGAGTCTTACTCTCTCGCCTAGGCTGGAGTGCAGTGGCATGATCTCAGGTCACTGCAACCTCTGCCTCCCGGGTTCAAGCGAATCTTCTGCCTCAGCCTCCCGAGTAGCTGGAACTACAGGCACCCGCCACTACGCCCAGCTATTTTTTGTATTTTCAGTAGAGACAGTGTTTTATCATATTGGCCAGGCTGGTCTTGAACTCCTGACCTTGTGATCCACCCACCTCATCCTCCCAAAGGTCTGAGATTACAAGCGTGAGCCACCACACCCAGCCTATGCAGTTATAATTTCTTACTGTATCTTTATGTTTGTTTACCTGTCTCTACTGCCAATGAAGTCATGTACAGTCTGCCTTTGTGTGCATGAGTTTTGATACATTTAATCTTCTTATAACATATTTGTGTGTATTTTATGGTAGTAAATGATAAAATTGATTAGAATCTTCATGTATTTTATGCATTCATCACATAACCTTTTTATAAAAATTTTCAATACTTCTAGGCTACACTGCTTGTCTGCAAGTTTTTCAAATTGCCAAAAATCTCAAAAAATTTTTCCAACAGAATTAATGAAAAAAAAAAAACCTGTGTAGTAAGTGGACCTGTGCAGTTCAAAACCATGTTGTGGAAAGGTCAACTGTATAGAAAATTGGAATATAACAGATTTGGCATTTTAATAAGTAGTGGAAAGAAAAGAATTATTTATAAAATGGTTCCAGGACAAATGGCAAATCATACAATAATAAATAAAACCAGATTCCCTTGTACTGTACTTCAGATTATCTCAAATTTAAATTAAAGACCTGCATATTAAAACCTTTAGAAGAGAATGTTGTCATGAATTAGGAGCAGGAAATAATTTCTGGAAAATACTCAAAAAGCACAAACCTTAATGAGAAAGACTCTTAATGACCAGAGTAAAAAAACTTTCCATTACAGATAATACCATAAACAAAATTAAAAGACAAACAGTTTTGTGGGAGAAGGTGTTTTTATAGTATGTGATCAATAAAAGATTGGTTATTAGATTACATATTTTTATAAAATGCCTTCAAATTATTAGAAAGACATACAATCCAAAAGTAAAATTGTTTGTCTTTCTAATGTTTATATATAGACATGTATATATAATACACATGTTTATGTATATATAATATACATGTTTATGTATATATAATATACATGTTTATGTATATATAATAGATATAATGTTTGTATATATTTACATGTATATGTTATATATTTACATGCGTGTGTGTGTATGCATATATATGTATATATGTGAACAACAAATTCAGAGAAGTGGAGGCCTGCATGACCAGCAAATGTAAGAAAAAATAATCAACTACAGTTTTAATAGAACATATAATTTTAAAAAATGAGCTACTAAATCACATCTCAGTTTGACAAAAAATGTAAAAATCAGATATTCATAATTGTGATGCTGTAGAGAAAGAAAAACTTTCATACACCGATAGTATGAGAGTAAATGGCACAATCACTTTGGCATTATCTGGTAAATTTAAAAATGAATTATTCTACAGCCCTGTAATTTCAACCCTAGGAACGTACCCTAGTGCTATGGTGTCTCAACCTACAAGAACGCTATTTTATATTGTGACTCAGTATATGCCAGGACACAACTGAAACAAAATTTTCATGAAAGAGCACTTATTCTATTTGTGTGTGATACTGTTATGCATTGAATTGTGTCTTTTTAAATGTATATGTTGAAGACTAACCACTAATACCTCAGAATGTGGTTTTACAGAATGCAGAGGAAGAACTTTTACAAAAATAATCCATTTTAAATGAGATAATTAGGGTGGACCCTAATTGAATATGACTGGTGTCTTAATAAAAAGGGGAAATTTGGAGACATACACATTGGGAGAACACCATAAGATGAAGGCAGAGATTGAAATGATGTTTCCATAAGCCAAGGAATACCAAAAATTGACAGCAAACAACCAGGAGCCAACACTGCTAACACCATGATCTTGAACTTCTAGCCTCCAGTACTGTGAGACAATACGTTTCTAAGTATTTGTGCATACTCATCTAAGTTTATGTGCATACTCATCAACATGTTGGGGAAAGGGAAAACTTGGTGGTTTACCTCATTCCAAATGAAATCTAAATGTCTGCATAGAAAGGAAGAACAAAGCTGCTCACTTGTATAGCCAATGAAATGCTGAACTTAGCCTGCTCTTATAAAATTACAAAATACCATTCTACTGTCAATTCCATAACAAGTTATTATCAGATATCTTTAAAGCACAGATTTATCTCATGTTGCCTTATACATTTAATTACCCTAAGATTTGCAGATTGTAGAATGCCTTTCAGAATTTTCCATCCATCAATCTGCACTCTTTAGAGTTAGAAAATATTTATTTCTTCATCTCCATGATAAGTACTACGTCATCTTTAATGTCATGCCACCCACAAAAGATGGTGAAATATGCAACAGCATCCAATACTTCTGGCAATGCCTGCATAACACTATGACTAAAAGAAAACTTGAAAGCCTCTGAAATGTAAATGTTAAGTGTTCAATAATAAAAGAAGTTAGCATTAACCCCAGGGTTGAGATGAAGAAGATGTAATTTGTTTCCACCCCCATAAACAATGTGAAAAAAGATATTAAGTTGAACTCAAGTACACAAGTCCACAAGCATTGGGCATGTTGTTGAGCATAATTCTATAAACATGCAACAATAAATTATTTGTAATGTAAATAAATGAGTAATTCACACAATGGGGCAGTGCAAAGAGACATTTTTTTTTTTAAATAAAGATTTTCTAATTTCCAGGATTGGTGGATTCATCCATTGATCCATCAAATGATTGCTAAGTATCAACTAGTTTTCTAAAGCACCCAATAAAAAACAGAGGAACGAGGCAGAAAGGTATTGTTTTCTTGGTACATAGATTAGGAGAAGAAATATAATTCAATAAAATTATGACAAGAATTAAGTAATGTACAGACTGCTTGAACACATTCCAGAGTCATCTAATCTAGTCTGGCACAAAGAAAGCCTTCTACGTAGAAGTCACATCAAATAGCTTCCTCTAACCAGTAGAGTAACAACCTGGATTAACTGTTTAATATATTTTTTCAGTTGTATTTATAAGAAATTGTAACTGTTCATACATTTTGCAAAATAAAATTAATAGGTTAAATTTCATTTACTCTGTAATTTTCAAAATTTTTCTAAAGCTTTTCTGCCTATGTCCTATCATATGTAAAATGAGGAAAGTAACACACATCTAGACACTTTCAGACGAGATCAGGCACGTTCAGGGTGGTGTGGCTATAAGACAACATCTAGACACTTTCAAAACATATTTCAAGAAATACTGCCATGTAGAAATACTAAAAACATTAACCTTCATACTAAGTATTCTGTCTGAATGTATAACCAGCACAAATGATCATTATTATTTTTAAAAATTTAAGTATATTGTACTTAGTCAATATATCCACATTATTTTGACATATAATTATTATTGATATATTTTATCTTCTTTTTTATACTAAATATTCAAAGCCAGTATATATTTCATACAGACAGAACATCTCAATTTGAACTAGCCACATTTCAAGTGCTCAAGAACCACACATAGCTATTGGTGATTTTATTGGAAAGCAGAACTCTGTCATAAGCCAGACATGATAGTGTATGCTGAAAGAAAACAAACCATGAAACAGAACTTAAACAGTATGAAATGTATTGATCGGGAGATGAAAGTGTCCAGCCTAGACCAACAATTCCCCTCCACAGTTGCAACCACTATTAACAGTGTGTGTTGTTGGCCCTAAAAAATGTTTGTGCCTATAGACTCATAAATTGTATATTTGTATATTTGAGTATATGTGTAAATATATATAAACATAAATATATATACACACACACATTATACACACACATATACTCAAATATGTATATTAAGTAGATATAACTCATGATATATACATTATATTAAATTGTATATATATGCATGTGTTTGTGTGCACATATTTGTGTATAATTTAAGCAAAAGTGAATGTTGTAACGCCACTCTGCTCTTTGCTTAATTAACAATGTGTGTTAAAGACCATTTCAAAGGGGCATATGTGCCTCATTTTCTCACTAGCATAAAAACACTATGGTGAACATTTTTATATAAACATCTTTTTGCCTAGAAAGGAGCATATCTGTAGAATACAGTCCTGGAAGTATAATTACTTCATCAAAGGGTACATGCATTGATGAACATTGCCAACTTATTCTGTTTTTTTTAAGTTATGAAACAATACATGTTGAAATGAATCTCAATACAGATAACAGTATGATTAAATAAGTGATCATTTCTTTTCTTGACCCTCATCTTCAGTCACCAAGCCCCAATCCCAGTACTTTCTCTTGCAGCGACTCTTGTTTCCAATTTGGAATTTCTCCTTGTTTTATATCCCCCCTCCAAGCTTATTTGTTATTTCTTTTGGAAATATTACAACCTTATTAATCAAAATATTAGTTTCCCCAAATGATCTTATACTCTTATAATAGAAAGCCTTATAATTAAACTTTAGATATATATGATTTAGATCAAACTTGGGAAGTCTATAGATAGGAAAAAATTTGTTAGTGAATTAATGAATTTGTCTTCAGTTTGTAATTCTAATGCAGAGGATAGAAAAGTCTTGACATAGGCTATGCTGTGATGAAAAATATAAATATCTGAAAGCATACTGAGCTGAGTTTTTGCTTTAAAAATATCACATTTGTGCAATTCACAGGTATTTGTGAAATTCAAGTTCATGTATTCTCTTTCTTACAGAAACTTCAAATTAACAAATAACATAATTGAGGATATTTAGTAAACATCACTGAATTAATTAATTTGCTACTACTAATACTAATTTGCTACTACTAACAATATCCTTTGCTTACATTAGCTTAGGCTTGATATTTAAAGCCATCGAAGTCTAATCATTATAACCTTCTTCCATTATTGTTTCAGGTTGAGTAATTTGATATACTGAGATTTGTAGGCAGGGGGACTAATGAGGAGTATTCAAGGAACAGAATTCAGGTGGATACCATTTTCAGTGCCTTTCAGTACTGTGTGTATATCTGCATATCTATCTGGCTTAATTTTCCTCCAACTAAAGTACTTCCTTTAACACTTTCTATAGTACAGTTCTGTTGAAAATGAATTCTTTCAACTTTGTTGGAGAAAGTTTGATTTCATCTTTATATTTGAAAATATTTTTATTTGATACAGAATTTAAGTTTAATAGCTTTTGTCCTTCAGTACTTTAAAGATGTTGTTCCACTGTCTTCTTGATTGCATTGTTTTTTACGAAAAATCTGCTGTCATACTTATTTTTGAACTGTTGTATGCAATGCATCTTTTTTTGTTTGCTTTAAAGATATTTTTCCTTTATCTCTGATTTTGGGCAATGTGGTATGATGTTTATTAGTGTTGTTTTCTCCATGTTTCTATGCCTTGGGTTTATTTAGCTTCTTGGAACTGTGGGTTTATAATTTTCACTGAACTTGGAAAAATTGTTTCTCGGTCTTTTTTTCCCCCAAATTCCTTCCCTGCCAACAACACACACACACACACACACACACACACACACACACACACACACACACACACTCTTTCAGGGATTCCATTGCAAATATATTAGCTCACTTGAAGGTGTCTCACAGCTCAGTAATTCTCCCTTCACTTAGAAGAAATATTGTTCTGTGTTTTATTTTAGTTTCTAGTCCTAGGTCTTCATGTTTACTCACCTTTTCTTCCACACTATCAGATTTGCCATTAATCACATCCCAGATCACAAATCGTAGGTCTCATCTCACAAAGTTTGACTTGAAACTTTTTATATTTTCTATTTTCCTACTTAACATTAACACACAGAATACAACTATAATAACTATTTTTAAAGCTGATTTTAACATCTGGCTCAGATCTAAAATGGTTTCAATTGATCGATTTTCTGCTCCTTCTAAGTAATATTTTCTTACATATCTGGTAATCTTTGATTAAATACCAGGCATTATAAATTTTACTTTATTTGTGCTGAATATTATTCATTCCTATAAATATCAGTGAGCTTTTTCTATAATGCAATTAAGTTACTTGGAAAGACAGTTTGATCCTGTAATGTCTTGCTTTAATGATATGTTAGTAGCTTCTGGATTAATGCTCATTCTAGAGATAATTACACTCTACCACTGAGGCAAGACCTTCTTGAGTACTGTGCCCAATTTCCTGTGAATCATATTTTTTTTTCAATCTGAGTGACATAAACAGGGACTTTTCCTTGTCCTGTGTAATGCTAGACACTGTTACCTCTAATCCTTTTGGGTAGTTCTTTCTCCAGTCCTTAGTAGTTTTCTCACATACATGTGTAACTCATCAATATTTAGCAAAATACTTGAGAAAGACCCTAATCAGCTCCCTAGAGCTCTCTTTCAATGCACACTCTATCATACCCTGTCCTGTATTCTAGCTCCCTTTGTCTGCCCAGACTCTCTGCTTTGTCTCCTAAACTAAGGAGTCCTCTACATCTCACATGGATTTCTCCTCCCTGTACTATGACCCAGATACTCTCAAATTTGTAACCTGAGGAATTTGTTTGGCTCTCCTCATTTGTCTCCCGTCCCACAGGGTTCAGTGTATTTCAGTCCCTGATGTCCAGTGTCTTAAAATTATTAATTTATATATTTGTCTATTTTTGGTTGCTTAGAAAATTATTATTGGAATTTGGAGATTTCAATGCCTTTCCCCCATCAATTAAAAATATTTTTTGGCTCAGAAGTCTAAATGGGGTTGAAAATATGAACTCTTATTTTCATGCCCATTCTATAGGGAGGAAATAAAGCAAAGCAATTAAAATTGTGCACTGGAATTGTATCTTGACACCAGAAGTTTAAGGAAGTTAGTAAATCATTCTGTACCTCATGTCATCATGTATAAAATAAAGAAAACAATAATACCTGTCAGACAAATTTTATTAAGCATCACATAAATTAGTATATGTTAAACAATATATCCCTAAAACATAGCATTTAGAACATGACCTGGAAGTGGTAAGTTTGCTATAAAATTCAGTTATACTATACAACCATTGAGAAAATGAGGATATAATTAAGACAATCCATTTGTACTGACAAACCCGTAGTTGGACTAAATATTCAAATTTCCTATAGACTATGCAATGAAGAAAATTGTCCTTTTCATATCTTCATTTTGCTGATTAATTCCAAGCTCAATTTTGTATACCAGCATGAAACTATTTCTCTACTTAAAAATCCTGTGAAATTCCAGCCAAAGTGAGAAAGAGCCCAAGCTGTACCCATGATTGTCCAGTCTAAATTCTTTTTGGTAAAGTAACTCTGAATCATCAGGGTGACTTGAAGCAAAATAGAATTTCCTGATTTTGTGACTGTCTCCCCATCCCTTCCTTCAGTAACTCTTATATAATTTGTACTTCAGAGTAAGAAAAATAAATTTAAAAAGCCATCAATACTAAGATGCCGGTGAGGTATGCTAGTAAAAGAGAACCAAGATTTATTGCAGGTCTACTATGTGCTAGACTTAGTTCTTTTAAAAGTATGTGTTTTTTCTCCACCTCTCCACAATACTCTCTCATTAACCCCATTTTGCAGATATTCATTTCTTTTTTTACTGAAGAAATACGAGTGATTCAAGTTTTGTGATTACTTTTAATTGCAAAAACTGCAATTACTTTTGCACCAACCAAATATTTAGCCACATTGTTTGTGGTCACCTAATTAAGACATTAGAACTCAAATAATTTGAATAAAAAGAGCTAAGATGTATTGAGCATTATCTCATTAATCCTCATGACAACTCTATACTGTACCATTATTTGCATGTAACATGGGAAAAAAAAAAAAAAAAGAACCGAAGCTAAGAAAAATTGCCCAGGCTTCTCAATAAATAGCAAAGTTCTACCACCCTAAAGCCGTATACTTACAACTACTGCACAACTTGTCACCTTATATGTTCAACTTTGAAATAATGCAAAGTTGTACACTAAGCCCATATTTAGGGTACCACTAAGGTAGATACCAATAAAATGAGAAAAGTTCATTTTAGAAGGAAGCTCAGTTAATATTTGTGTTTTTAGGTTTAGTATTATGTTTAATTTGGATTCTATGTGACAGGTCTGGGATGGTGGGCACTAACACATTTTTATCATTTAGAACTTTTGTTGACTCAGGGTATCTTAATCAGGTCTTGATAGAGGAGTAAAGTAGACTCACTTTTAAGGACAACGTTTACAAATGGATTGGATTCTGGGCACCAGTAACAGCAGTTAAGAAAGCTATATTTGGTCATAGCCCTCCTTCATTTCACCACATATCCATACCAATGTAGGTACCAGAGTAACCTGTTTCTTTAAATTGTTTCATGTTAGCTGTGCTTTCCATCCCTCTTTCTAAAATAGACTTAAATATACTGAAATTTCATTTCTGAATCACTAACAGTCAACTGATATTTTCACCTTCCCCTAAGAAGGAGGGCAGTTTGCCAATTTCATTTTCAATATGTTGCTAGTTCTGAGAATCTTCTTTCTTTCCCTTTCTCTATGCCAAGAGAGAAAAGGAGGTGAGAAAAGAAGGGATCACCAGACAAATCAACATGGGTATTTCTTTTTCGTTTCCTGAAACATCTCCCGTAACTTTCTGACTTTAAAGCTTATATCAAGAAGCATGATGTCTGACTAAGAAAGGAGAGCTGTGTGCGGCAAAGCTTAAATCCATCTGAAAAATAATAATCTGGTATAATCCCACTACAATAATTATTTGTTCCTTGTCTGGCTTGACAAAGAAATTTTAACACGTGTCTACCCACCAGTCATAAGAAGAATGAAAACCAGAGATTTTTCAGGGTAGGGGGTGTGACAAGTGAAGGATAATGATGTACACAAGAGTTTGAACACTCCTCTGTTGCTTCTTTCACGTTTTTAAAAGTATGCATTGCAGTGGTCATTATTTTTCTGGTCAGTCTGAGAAATTAGCCTAAGGACAGACTACTTTTGTAAGGAGTAAGGTGGGCAGAGGAATAATAGAGAAGTTGGCAGAGCGTAATTCTGAAAATACGAGCAGTGGGCCTGCAATGAGACAGAACTGGGGAGTGTGGGGGAGCAGGTGGGCAGGCATCTTGGCTGGGGATGGGACAGAATATGAATCATGCCTAAGGCTTGATAAAATTGACTACAAATAAATAATTGTCTCTTAAGCATAAGAAAAAAAATCAAATGGCAGAGGAACTGGCTCTCTCAATATCAAAAAACAAATAGCTGCCCCCTCAATTTAAATCTCAATCACAGTAATAATGATTTGGATTTTCTTAAGACCCTTCCCATAAATGCACACCATGCTTATATAAAGATGTAGAAATTTAGTCTCATGATATTCTAGTGGATGCTACAGGAATATTTTAATTTTGCAGTGGAAAAAATGGGAACAGCTGAAGTTGGAATCACTATGATTATGTAGAAGAGAAAATTTAATACCTTGTCCTCACTATTTGCAAGGTTCATGGCTGATACTCCAATAACAAAGGACGGCTTAACAAGAGAAAGGCATAACTTATTTAATAAAAGTTTTATCTGACTTGGGAGCCTTCAGAAATGAAGGCCCAAAGACCCAAGAAAAACTGTATATTTTTTATGCTAAATCTGATGATATAAGTGGATAGTTGTGGAGAAACATGATTGGACAAAAAGGGGTATGATCTAATGGTAAGGAATGCAGAGTGGAGAGTGCCTTCAGCAAGGCCTGTTTGTTCACATTATTTCCTGTGTCTCTTTATCACGTTCCTTCTTCCTGAGCAAAATAGGTCAGAGAAAGCCTTTATAGTCAGGTTTCAGGCAGGAAAGATGGGAGAAAGTCAGTGACCTTCTTGCTTCTGCGGTTTTCTCAATTGTCAAGCTGCCATGTTGTGGGGCATCATGTTTTGAGCTCCAACAGTTACAACGATGATATTCACTATTCTGACAACAATGGCTTGAACAGTCTATGCAAAGCCTGGTGCAAAATTCTTTGTAATCATGATCTCATTTAGTATTTCACATAACCCTGTTGGGTGGGTATTATTCATTTCTTTGTAGAAAATATGTTCTGAGAGATCACAAACCTCACCTAGTGTTAATCAACTTCTAAGGGGTGAAGGCCACATTTGAGTCTAGATTCCTGATATTCTAAATCTGATTGGTAACCACTAGAAAGAGGTGCTCCCATTGAATGCCTTTTGGGATATATTTTAGGTCACAGTGTGCAGTGACCCACAGAATAGTGACGTTGAATCTGGGGATCTGTAGCCAAGACATAGAGCACCCTGTATTTTCCCCAAAGCAGCTGCAACATGTGGTGATGACCACACTGTGGAGAACAGGCTGTCATTCCCTTCATCATCACGATGTGTCAGGAAAGATGAGTGGGGGCCGGCATAAGGGGTGGAAGAAATGGAAGGTGGTGAGTCATGCTCTCATCTCAACATCTAAAAATAATCGCAGCATATTAAAAGAACATTTTTTCTATAAAAATGAATTTTTTTTACCTATATGTCTGTAATTTTCCATTTCCAAACAGTATTCCATTGGCATGGGGTTGTATTCCTCGAAAATATTAACGATCATCCTGAGAAGCCAGGGAGCCAATTTAAATCATGGCACCTACATAGGCCATTGATAATACAGGCTGAGCAATCAGTCGGTTGCTAGGGATGTCCTTTGAAATAACTTTAAGAGAAATGAGCATAGTTCAGAGGGCTTTTAGAAACAGTATCTTTTGCCCACAATCCCACCCACCAGAGGTCTTTAGGAGGTAAAATAATTTTTGTCTAGCTCCATCAAAATCCACCTCTAGGTCCTCGCATTTATAGGAAGGAGAAGCAGACAGATTTCCCCATTCCTTGTTATCACAGCAATAAATCTGCCATTACTGAAGAAGATCAAACCCTGGGTGGTTTTTGAAGGGGCACCAAAGGGACAAAGGAATATGCCTGGGAGTATAAAAATACATCTAAGATCTGCATAGTGAATCACTGGTTATTTTTAAAACTCAAACTGAATTGATCTGAAACTTAGTTAGACATGCACTACAGACATGGAAGTGATCTTGAATTTTTTGCTGACATCTGTGGGATTGGACACAAAGAAAGAAAGGAAGGAAAACTATGTGATGTACCCAGTTTTCTCCTATAAGCCATGATTAGAAAAATTGCACTGATATTCTAACGAATTAAGGCCTCAGAAAGTATAGCTTTTAGTCTTTGCTTTATGCCGACATATCACCAATTGGTAACTTTGTCAGAAGAACTGCCTGGGGAATGTTCAATCAATAAAAATGAAGGTATTTCAATATGAGGAAAATGTCAGAACCTTGGGGAATAGGTAGTAGGATGCAGATGTTTGTTAATTAAGTTTACAAAGGCAGTAAATGTAATGAAGCCAGTATCTCACATAGGGCATTACTAAAGAAACAGCTGTTCTCTCCACTCCACTAACTCTGTATATACATGTCCCACCCCCTCAATAGCTGTCAAGTTCTGGGAATACTTGTTTTGCCTATAAACTTTAATTATTCCATAGAATAGTACAACAAAATGATTATCAATAATTCACACTAGGGAAAGCAATGGATAATACACAAGAATGTAGTTACAGGGCCTCCTAAACCTACAATTGTAGAAAAAAAAAGACTCATTGTCTATCTAATCTTTACCCAAGATAATGATTGCTTCCATCATGGATCATTGCATTCATTTGGAAACTTGATTTTTATAGACTTTTATTCTGAGTGATGAGATTCCCATTTTCCTTTGAGAAAGCACACGGAAAAAGAGTTGCTTAAGTAAAGACTGTTACAACCCAACTGCCAAAATGCAATGCTTCTTCCCAGGATGCACTTTCTTTTCAGAAAAGGAAATTGAAAAACAAAGAAATAAGTTACTCAAAGTCACATCACCAATGGCTGGCAGGGCAGGAATTCATGCCTGTGAAGTCTAGTTGTCAGCACTATAGTATATTGCCTTTATCTACTAGTGCATATGCAGATCAAGGAAGTCACAGCACTGCCATGCCATACCTTACTTAGGAATCAGGAATGTTGTGTCCGTTTCAAGATGTTATTCATTATTTGGAACACTGACTAATTTGAACATGCCCCAAAAAGGTAACTAGGGTGGCAACAGACTGAAAGGCATTTCTTATTGCTAATTTCAGCCATGCTAACATGAGGAGCTATTTTAAGGTCAATCCAACGTGAAAGATGTGAGAATACTTTTTTAAAGTGTGGCATAATAATATCTTGTATCATCATCACAGTCGTCATCATCATTAATCTACTTATTTTAATATTTTATAGGTGAGTCATAATTGTATATATTTATCTTAATTTTAATATTTTAGGTGAGATTTATACTTATATAACAGATATTGATTAGTTTCAGTTTTAGGGAACAAATTGAAGTCATTACTTTCAGTATGCAAATTTTATGACTCAGTTCCATTTTGGTCTGAAACCAGATTTTCTTCCTTCTCCTTCCAGATATTCCCCTTTCATTCTGAAGCTCAGACCTGGTGACAATTTTTTTTTTTTTTACAGAGAACAGTGAGAATATTACCTACAAAAATTCCACATCTAGCTTGTTATTATTATTGTCATCTGGTGAAACTGTGAAATAATGACATGGTGACTCTATGTAAACAGATCACTAGCCACCATATGTAGGTATTTTTTTACCTCCTTAGAAGAACACAACACTTCCTTTTATCCGTCTTTGTCTAAAATGGTAGTAGTTCCTTGCTGATACTCAACTCTGGTTTATCTATCTTATATTTGACTCTCTTTCCTTTTATCTAACTAACTCCTTGAGTTAGTTTTCTTCTGCTGTAAATACTTCAAGTGATTTCCATTCTTCTGTTTAGATAGACTTTGATAAATACAATGAATTAACATAAAGTTTTATGTTCTGTTTGTGTCCCAGGAAAACATAGGATAGTTAGTAGAGGGACCCTTCTCCAGCAGGTTTTCAGCCCCAAGATGCTTTGCTCTGGAAACTCCACCCCTATCTAAATTTTTGGGTCTTCTCTATTCAGTGGTACATGGAGAGACAGAGTAAGAATGAGGGAACTGGGTATAGTAACTGTATGGGTCAAATCTGCAACTGGATGGCCATCACTTCTACTTATATTCAATTGGCAAGAATGTAATCTACCCACATGGTTGGCTACACACACCTAACTGCAAAGAAGGCTGGAAAATATAATCTAGCTTTAAGCTAGCTTTAAGCCTAGAAAGAAGAGAAGAAAACATACCATTAAACATTATCAGTTTCTTCCTTGGTGTTCCAGTCTAACTTCTGTATCTTATGGCTTGGCAGATGGTGATAAACATCATAAAGAAAAACGAAGCTGCTGCTACTCTAGACAGGTTACTCAGGGAATACCATCAAAAACCTCACAGAGTAAGACAGCAAGCTATGGGAAATAGGGGAAGACTACTCCATGTAGACCATGTTAAATGCAAAAGCCCTGAGGCACCAATAACATTGGCATGTTTGAAAATTAGTAAGGAGCTAGTATGGATGGTATTTACTTAATATTTAATTGTTTTAAAAAGATCTTAGTGAACTTTTTAATCTTCAGGACTATTTTTAGAATAAATAAATGTATTTAAATTATGAAAAAATCTGTCTTCCATAGTAGAAATTATATACCAATGATTTCGACAGAAATCTTCCTTCCATTCCCTTCCAATCAGATCTTTTTCCTCCTTTCCTATCAATAACCCTTTTCATTAGTTTTCTGTTTTATATAACCACTGTTTTTTTTTCTTAAAATCATAAGCAAATATATACCAAGTAACAAACCATTCTGGCAACCATTTCTTATCATTTGGAGATCCTCCTGTTACTTTTTGCCACTAATTAGTAATCCATTTTGTGGACATAGCATATTCCATTCAACAAAGACCCTACAGGTGTATTACTTTGTCTTTTGCAAAGTAGAGTAGCCTTCCCTAAGTCACTTACTTTTATCATTCTGTTTTACTTTCCTCAAAGCATATATCACTTCAAAAATTATCTTAATCATTTACATGTTTATTTCCTGTCCTCTCACTCTGGCATTATCAGTGCCAGTAAGCCAGATACCTTGTTTTTCTTATTTCTATATCTGCATTCCTTGGAATAGTGTGTGACACTTAGTAGAAGCTCATTTGTTGAATGCATGCTTTTGTTTTACTCCTTTAAAGCATCCTGATGGTGGTTAGTGTTTTTTCAAAAGGAAGTGGGAAGCAGGCTGTATTAGTTAGGCTTCTCCAGAGAAACGAAACCAATAGAATAGATAACTAGATAGATAAATAGACATGACTTATTATAAGGTATGATTCACATGATTATGGAGGCTGATAAATCCCATGATGTTCCATCTGCAAGCTAAAGACAGAAAATCTGAGGGCGCAATTCAATGGCCCAGCAGCCAGGGGGCTGATGGTATACATTTTAATCCAAGTCTGAAGGCCTGAGAACCAGGATCCTGAGGGGCAGAAAATATTGATGTTTTAGCTTAAGTAATCAGGTAGAGGGAGTATGAATCCAAACTTGCTCCTCCTTTTTGTTCTATTCAGGCCTTCCACAGATTGAATGATGTCTCTCCACATTAGGGAGGGCAATCAACTTTACTAAGTCCCCCAATTCAGATGTTAATCTCTTTTAGAAACACCCTCATAGACACATCCACAAATAATGTTTAATCAGATATCTGGGCATCCCATGACTCACTCAAATTTACACTTAAAGTTAACCACCACATAAGCTCGTAGTTGTAAAAAAAGGCTGCAAAGATACTGGTTTTCCATCTCAGGGGTGAAAGAGATATCCTCTGCCAGACATAGTTTAGCAACAGGCTGGGCAGGCAACCTGTGAGGTGGGGGAAGGAAACCACTCAGGAAATAATTGAAGCAGAATATTGTAATTGTTAAGAGCTTGGCTTTGGATTCTATCACTTGCTAGCTATGTGACCTTGAACAAGTTACTTAACTTCTCTAATCTGTAGATTTCTTATTTGTGGAAATGGAATAATATGTTCCTTATGGAATTGTATGCATTAAATAGGATAATCCATATAAAGGGCTTAGTGCAGTGCTTGGCTCAGAGTAAGATATCAATGAATATTAGCCATCATCGTCATTATTATTAAAGAAAAACAAAGTTTGAGCCTTCTGGAATCTGGATAAACACACTGAGAACATTATGCTTTGCTGTTGTTGTGGATACAGGGCCAGAATATTACTAGACATAGAGCTGACATTTAGAAAGAAAATATAAGCCACAGAGCCAGTAAGTGTCACAGGTAGGGAAGCTGGGTTTCAAAGTGAAGCTTTCTGCCTGCTGGCCCTGTATTCTTAGTAATATGATAGCAGAAACAGCAATTACGATAGACTGTTTTATTAGAGAAATAAATGATTTTTAAATATCTCTATGTACACGGTCTCTGAATAAAAAACTTCAGACCCACTCCTCTGATTATAAGATGCCAACATTGTCTTACACAGGGCCTGGTGAATAATGCACCATTACTGAAGGAGAGGTGGTAAGAAAAAGCAGACAAATTCAAGAAAACAAGGAAATAAGGGAAGAACAAAGAGCAAGTGGACTCCATTGTGTCTGAGTGCAGGGATGGATTCTAAGGCTTTCCTATGAATTTGTTAGGACCGCACTTAGAACTGCAGAGTTCCAACAGCTTCCTTAAAACATTTCATTTAACATTGTTATGCTCAAATAATTAAGAGTTGACTAGTAAACAGATGTCAGATGTTCAGAAATCTCACTTAATATAATTAAAACACATATACTGAATGCTCAGATAAATATGCTTTGGCCATGAGAATTTTTTAGATACTCATTAAAATCCATATTTAGCAATCTAACATAGCTTTTTAAAGTACTTTCTTTGTGGTAAGAAACTACTTTCATTTTTTAATGTGTCCCTCAGAGAGAAGAATAATTAGAAGAATTGAAAAACATACACAGTAAGGGCCATGGAAATGGTGATTATGTCTGTATTCTCTCCTAGTGTTTTGTCTACACTCAGCTGTCTTTCTGGCATTTCCTACGTGATTCACTAAGACTGCCTTGTTGTGGCAACAACTGAGTATTTCATTTATCACCTCCGTATCTCTTGTATTACTGAATGACTAAGTATTTGTGCAAATGCTGACCCCTTCAGTATACTGCCAAAGAATGGCACTGTAAAACATGAATATTACAATAAAAAAACATGAATCACATCTGTGTTGAGGTTCTTTATTGTTGTTTTTCTCCCTTTTAGTTATTTATGTAAAGCAGGATAGAGACTTTATGTAAAAAAAATTTAAACAATAGGTAAAAATTGAAAGTCCTTGTGAAGTCTTTCCTCTTAATTTCTTCTCTAGAACTGTCACTGTGATTGTTTTCTTGTTTATTTCTCTAGAACTTTTCCTTTACATTTACAAAAATAAAACAGACACATGAATGCACATAAAAGCTCATGTATACTTATAGCTTATTTTCTTTTATAAAGAAATAAGAAGAATTATTTCTTTATAAAGAATTACAATCCAACTAGATATATTGCTCTGTAACTTACTATTGTTATTTCCTAATATGACTTAAGGATCTTTTCATGTTATTAGATGTAGAATTATCATATTCTTGAAACTCTACAATGTGGATACATCAGAGGTTGCATTACTTTTTATGAATTGGTAGATTTATATTATTTTCAATTTTTCCTCGTTACCTAAAATGCATGTACATGATTAATCATGAGTATGCATGTATAACCTCATAGGTGAGGCACCTAAACAGTTCGTGGTTGGGCCAAAGACAATACTTGTGCACAGGTACTATTACATTGACCTCCTCAAAGGCTGTACATATTTATACTCTTATGTATTTCCCCTCATATATGCCAACATATGATACTGGTAATGTTTTTATTTAAATCTAATATGTATTTTAATTTGCATTTTTCTAGGTAATACTAAATGTGAAGTCATTCCTTTATACTTATCAACTATTTTTATTTATTTTCTGAGACACAATCTCACTCTGTCACCCAGACTGGAGTGCAGTGGTACAATCATGGCTCAGGGCAGCCTCCACCTTCTGACCTCAAGTGATCCTCCCACTTCAGCTTCCCCAGTCGCTGGGACTACAGGCACAAGCCACCATGCTGGACTAATTTTTTATTTTTTGTAGAGATGGAGTCTTCCTATCTTGCCCAGGATGTTCTCAAATTCCTGGTCTCAAGTGATCATTCTGCCTTGGCCTCCCAAAGTGCTGGGATTACAGGCTTGAGCCACCATGCGAGGCCTCTGTTATATTTCTTCTGTGAGTTACTTGATCATAGGCTTTGACGCTATCTATGAATTGCTTTGCCTTTTCTTTTTAAAATATATTTGAAATTTGTATAATCCAGATAATAATCTAATGTTTTATTCTATTTTGACAAATTTTTTCCCAGTGTACCACTTGTCTTTTATCTGTTTTTATAATATTGAGGATTTCAGATTTGTGGGGTCAAAATTATTTATCTTATTTTATGCAATTCTCACATTCCTTAGGAAGGGCTTTATATCAAGGTCATAGCTTTTTTTTTATTTAATTACTTTTATTTTCAAATAGAAGAAGCCATTTAATAGATTTTCATTTTTTTAAATAAAGCTTTAAAAGGATATTTGTCCTTTTCTTTGCAAATGTGTAGGTCACATTTGCCAATCATTATTATTATTATTATTATTATTATTATTATTATTATTATACTTTAAGTTCTGGGATACTTGTGCAGAATATGCAGGTTTGGTACATAGGTATACACATGCCATGGTGGTTTGCTGCACCAATCAACCCATCATTTACATTAGGTATTTCTCCTAATGCTATCCCTCCCCCTATCCCCCCAACCCCCTGACAGGACCCGGTGTGTGATGTTCCCCTCCCTGTGTCCATGTGTTCTCATTGTTCAACTCCCACTTATGAGTGATAACATGTGGTGTTTGGTTTTCTGTTCCTGTGTTAGTTTGCTGAGAATGATAGTTTCCAGCTTCATTCATGTCCCTAGAAAGGAAATGAACTCATCCCTTTTTACGGCTGCATAGTATTCCATGGTATATATGTGGTGCATTTTCTTTATCCTTCTATCATTGATGAGCATTTGGGTTGGTTCTAAGTCTTTGCTATTGTGAACAGTATCACAATGCACATATGTGTGCATGTGTCTTTATAGCAGCATTATTTATAATCCTTTGGGTATTATAATCCTTTGGGTATACGCAGTAATGGGATTGCTGGGTCAAACAGTATTTCTGAAATAGGAACACTTTTACACTGTTGATGGGAGTGTAAATTAGTTCAACCATTGTGGAACACAGTGTAGCAATTCCTCAAGGATCTAGAACTAGAAAGGTCACAGCTTTATTACTCTGTATCTTCAGCTAGTACTTTTTACTGAGCTATAACATACATACAGAAAACTGAATAAATCATTAAGTATACATTTCAATAAATGATCACCAAGTGAACATGCCTATGTGTCAACAACCCAGGTTAGAAAATGGGGTATTTCCAGCTAAAGTGAAACTCTTCCTAACATCTCCCAATCATGAACCCAGCCCTCTCTCCAAAGGTAGTTGCTATCCTAATGTCTATGTCTAACATGTTTTATTTAAATATAATCACACAGTACATATCTTTGTTTTATTTTACTAAATATTAAGTTTATGAAATTTATCTTTTCCATTAGTGTGAGAGGTTTTTTTTCAGTATTGTTGATATGTAGATTATATTATTTGAATATACCAAAATTAATTTCATCTATATTCTTGTTGCTGCTCATTTAGAGAGTCTCTGGTTTTTGATGGTTATGAACAATACTGCCATGAAAATCTTAAATTGTAATGAATTTCTTCCAGAATTTTAAGGACAGCTTCATTGTATCCTATTGATCAGTATTGTTGAGAACTTATTCCTCATGTGTTAAGACTAGGCTTTTCTCCTTTATTTCAGGTTCTTTGCCAAAATGTGTTTTGCCATTTTTGTGCATTAGATCTTCTAGATTAATTTTCACATATTAATGGTAATTTCATTAAAAATTATCTGGAGATTTGGAGGAGAATTTCATTGAAAATGTGGAAGATGGAAAAAGATGAAATATTGGCATCTTTATGATATAGAATATTTCCAGGCTGAAGCATAGCACACCATTCCTTTATCTTTGAAAACGTGTTTCAGCATTTTCTCTCTTATATGAGGTTTCTCTTATCTTCAAATTAACCTTAAACATATCATAAATTTGTATACTTTTTTCTGTCTTAGAATCTGGTTCTGGATTCCACGTTAACTTTATTAATAGTTATCTCCTTACCCCTTCCTCTAATCTGTGACAGCTCCTTGGTCTTTCCTTGCCTTTCATGATGACAACTTTGAGAGTACTGCTCAGTAATTTTGTGTAAAGTCTCTCATTCTGGGGACTTGTTTGATTATTTCTCATTATTAATGTGAAGTTATGCACATTTGAAAAGGTAACAGAAAAGTGATGGGTTATCAGTATATGATATCAGGAACCACATTATTAGTATGTCATTTTACTGGTGATAGTAAATTTGATCACTTTATTAAGGTATTGTCTGCCAGATATCTCTAATTTAAGTTTACTCCTTTTCTCTTTGAAATTAATAAATATCCTAAGGGAGGTCCTTTGATTCTATACAAACATCCTGTTTCTACTCATACTTACGCTCATTGATTTTTAGCAACCATTGGTAGATCTTGCCTGACTGTTATTACTGCTAAATTCTAATGAGGCTTTCTATTTCTCTCATTAATTCTATATTTTTTGTTAGGCTTCTTATGTAAGAGAAAGATGTTCCTTATACCCAATTATTTAGTCAATTATTTCTTTCTATCAACAAGTAAATGTAAATATTTATTTTAGAATATGTGTTATAAGGCAATACTATTGTTATTAATTTTCTTTCTCCGATTATTTGAGTATTGGTCATTGGGACATTGACAGATTGTTCTGATTTGCTCCACAACAAAAACAATAAAACAAAGAACTATATAATAGGTTTGAGGAAAAGTATTAACACACCAAAAGTTGTATGTCATTTTATAAGTATGAATCTTTGAATACACAAGAAAAAAGTAGTTCATATAAAATTTTCAAAATATGTATTACCTAAGCACTTTATCTAAACATATTAGTCAGGTTTTCTGAAAGAAGTTGAAATAAAAACATAAGCATGAGTTTGTCAGTACTGTGGGTTAGGGAGGTACATTAGCACTGAATAAATACATAACTTTATTAATAATTTAAAAATAATAGCAATTTGTATATGAAAGAAAAAATAATCTACTACATAATTCCAAAACTTCTAATATAGAATAAATTGGGCTGGGAACAAATAATTTAAAAGTGCATAATCTCCCATCTTTTATATAGAAAAGCCTAAAGTTATGTTTTGTTTTTAATTTAAAATTAGATGAATATAGTCTTAACAATATATTAGGTAAAACATAAGGATTGTTAACATTACAATTGAAAACAGGTTTTACTGCCCTAACATCTTAAGAATATTTAAAAATTCAAAGAATTAAAGAAAATAGAAACGATGTAAAAGAAAAGAAAACAAAATAGCAGAAGGCCATAAAATAAGCACATTTTAAAAGATAAATATAAAAATTTACTTCCACTATTCTAAAGCATAATCTTTTGAAATAGACTACCTCCCGCTTTTCTACTTACATGCAGTTCTAAAGGAAAATAAAACTAGTCATATATAAAAGGATTGGTAAACATGCCTTGATGAATAATTTACATTTAATAGGTAAATTAGAATGTATGGCAAAGGAAAAATTAGGACACCAAAAATTGATACAGTCTATTAATATATATCCAAATATATCAATATATCTGAAGTAAAGGTAATAAATAAATCTAAAAGTTAATAAATATCTATGTGCCAAAAAGAAAGCACTAAAAGAGAAAAGAAAATTGAAACTCGAAAATAAAGTGTTCATGAAGATACAAGAGCAGTAGATGTTTACAAAAGTAACATCTGTATATAGCAGAAATATTTATTCAGG
Source organism: Homo sapiens (assembly GCF_000001405.40). Lineage (NCBI taxonomy): Eukaryota > Metazoa > Chordata > Mammalia > Primates > Hominidae > Homo > Homo sapiens. Next base: position 29,013,865 of record NC_000011.10, on the reverse strand, counting down.
GTTATTAAGTATACATAGCAGTGATGCTTCTCAAAATAAAACTTTAAGAAGTTACCAGAGTTTTCTAATGATATCAACACTCCAAAAAAATGTGTCATATGTCACTTGTGGATTTGCTTATTCTTCATTAGAACATGTTGCTCCAGTTTAAGTTAAAGGGCATAAAGGATAAGAGCAATATGATTACTAAAGTAGAATGAATAGATAAAACCTAAAAGACAACAGATGTATTTTGCTCAAGTATTCATAGAAGGCTCAGAAAAATTGATGACATGTTTAAAGAAAAACCTCAATATATCCCAGAGATATAAGTGCTCTACTCAATATAGTATAATATATTCCCTACAGATCTTTGTAAATAGATTATTGTTCTTTTAGACATCTGTGTATGACTTCAAATGGGAGGTGCTGAAATTCACTCTCACTAGCAGTGTACTATAATATTCACTTATACTGTTCTTTTTTTTTCCTTACACAAATAAAGGATATATAGTCTTTCTGTATACTAAGTTGTGCTCACTTTTGAAAATGCTGTATCTCCTTTAAATGTTGAAGATGTTTTGGTTTGGGGTATTGCACATGTAAGGCACGTTTGGACCATAAAATTACATCAAATTTGGTAAATCAAACAAGTGATCATTATTCTATATTACTTAGAGGTGAAGTTAAAAGTGATAAATCAGTTTGTTAAAAAAGGGCATCAAAATGAATGTCACTGATTATTAAAAAACTGAACATAATTATTGCCAATGACATGGCCATATGTAGAGAAAATCTTTAAAATTCCACCAAAAACTGTTAGAACTAATAAATAAATTCAGTAAAGTTGTGGAATACAAAATCAACATTCAGAAAACAGTTCCATTTTTATACACTAACAAACTATCTGAAAAAGAAATTAAGAAAGGAATATCATTGACAATTAATAGCATCAAAAAGAATTTTTAAAAATAGACCAATGGGATAATATCATACTAAAAGGCTTATGCACAGCAACAGAAACAATAATTAGAGTGAAGAGACATCCTATGGAATAGAAAAATACCTTTGCAAACCATAATTCTAATAAGGGATTAATATCCAAAATATATAAGGAACTCAAACAAATCATTGATACAAAGACAAATAAGACAAAAGGTAACATGTGCTGGCAAAGGTGTGAAGAAAGGGGACACGTGTATGCTGTTGGTGAGAATGAAAACTGGTACAGCCATTATGGACAACAGAAAATATTAAAATTAGACGTATTGTATGATCCAGCAACCCTACTTCTCAGTATGTATTCAAAAAATGTAGAAGAGGTACTTGCACTCACAAATTCTTTGCAACATTATTTACAATAGCCAAGATATGGAAACTATCTAAATATCTATCATGGATGAATGGATGAAGAACGTGTGGTATATACATACAACAGAATATTAGTCATCATCAAGAAAGAAGAAAATGCTTCCATTTGTAACACCTAAGATAAACCTGGAGAGCATTATGTTAAGTAAAATAAGCCAACAAACAAAAGGCAAGTATTGCATTATTTCTCTCATATATAGAATCTAAAATAGTCATACTCATAGAAATAGAGAATAGATTGGTTGTTGCCAGTGGCTGGGGAGAGGAAGAAATGGGGAGGTGATGGTTAAAGGATATCAAGTTTCAGTTATGCAACAGGAATAAGTTCTGGAGACCTACTCTAAAGCATAGTGTGTATAACAACAATGTATTGCTTATTTAAAATTGCCAAGAAGGTAGATATTATATGGGGTCTAACCAAAAAATCTAATAGTAATAAAGGAAGTGGGAGAAAACTTTAGAAGGTGATGGATATTTTTATGGCCTTGACTGTAGTGGTAGTTTCACAGGTATATATTTATCTCTAAACTCATTGACATGTATACATTAAATATGTACAGCTTTTTACATGTCAAGTATACCTCAATAAAGTGGTTCAAAAAGAGAGAGAATATGATATATCAATATGTAATTTTATCAAACAAAACTGAAAATGGGTACTCGTATACCTTATTCATGGAAGTATATGGGAATATTACAAACTTTTAGAATGCAATACTGAAATATACTAAATTTTAGGTGTTCATATCCATTGACCTAACATTTCTACTATACTCTTTAGAAACACCCCACAATCAATAAGAATGTTTTATTCATCATCAATGATAATTATGAAAAATTAAATGAACCATATTGTCCTTAGATGGATCACTAAATAACAATCTTAGATGCAGGAATAAAATCTTATACGGCTATTAAGAATAATAAAAAGTTCCATAAGTGTTGACAAGGAAAGGTATCCAAAATTATTATAAGGTGAAAAACAAAAGCAAATCAAAACAAAAACCTATAAACTTTAGAGGAATATATTTAATATCATCAGATTTTGCTAAAATAAACCAAATACAGTGTATGCAAATATATACATATATATCAAAAGGTAAAATGGTATCCAAAATCTTTTGACAATGTATATTTCAGAGAGGGAATAGTGAAGAAATTGATAGTTAATAGGTACAAATATTAGATACAGTTAAATAGAATAAATAAAATCTAGTATACATTAGCACAATGGGGCAACTATACGTAACAGTAATTTGTTATTTATTTCAAAAATAACTAAAACAAAATAACTAAAAAGTGTAATTGGAATGTTCCTAACACAAACAAATGATAAATACTTGAGGAGATTGATATCCCAATTGCGCTGATTTGGTCATTATGCATTGCATGTTTGTAACAAAATATCACATGTACCCCATAAATATGTACAATTATTATGTAGTCATAATTAAAAATTTAAAAATCAAAAGTTTTCATGCCTTCAGCATATTCATTTTTTATAGAGTGCAATAGCAAAGAACAACTTTATTAAAACTGATTTCCATAGAAATTTCTGCTTTCTTTCTTAAACTAAGTATTACATTATTCTTCATCTCACTATTCTACCATGCCTTCACTAAGAAAGCTTTCTCTTACTTTCCTAATTAGGTCAAACACCCCTGTTATATGTTCTTAAAGTATCATGTAACTTTCCACACAGTGCTTATCTGAGTTATAATTTACATAATTTGAAAAAAGAAAGTTATTTTTCCCATGTCTGTGTCCTCCACTAGATAGATCCTAACTCTGAGGACAGAGATATCTATTTTGGGCACCGTTTAATCCAAAGTGCTTATCACAGCACCTGACACATCTTAGGCACTCAATTATATTAATTAAAACAATAAACTGCCCCAAGTGTTATTTATCATTGTCTAGCATAAAATACATAAATAGTGATACATACCCAAGGCTTAAACTACTTGTCAACAACATGAACTGTGTATACATATTTTTTAATTGGATGGTCTTCTCATCCTTTTTCTCCAAAATGGAACTCTCAGAACACATACTCGAATGCTTCTTTTAGTTGAATTTTGTATAATTAAGGTTATTATTTCATGCAACCAAAGCTCATGAAGGTATAAAAGAGATGAAGTAGTTCCTCCCTCTTATGCTGAGTTTGAATCCTCTTGTTCAGCTATGTAATAAATTTCATTATTTCACTTTATTAGAAATTTCTAATTCTTTAACTAACATAGAAAAATCTTCCCCACCCTCTCAATAATTAATTTCAGCCACCAAAATTTGATTCTGTAAGCATTATTATACAATAGGGAAAAGACTCCCCATTCAATAAATGGTGCTGGAATAACTGGCTAGCCATATGTAGAAGACTGAAACTGCACTCCTTCAGTTCACCATATACAAAAACTAGCTCAAGATGATTAAAGACTTAAATATAAGACCTAACTCTTCAAAAACCCTAGAAGAAAATCTAGGAAATAACATTCTAGGCATCGGCCATGGCAAAGATTTTATGACGAAGTCTCAAAAAGCAACTGAAACAAAACCAAATATGGACAATTAAACTAAAGACTTTCTTCACAGTAAAATAAATTATCAACAGAGTAAACAGACACCCTACGGAATGAGAGAAAATAGTTGCAAACTCTGCATCTGACAAAGGTCTAATATCCAGAATCTACAAAGAACTTAAATTAACAAGCAAAAAGCTAACAAACTGATTAAAAAATGGGCAAAGAATATGAACAGATATTTCTCAAAGAAGACATACACATAGCCAACAAGCATATGAAGAAATGCTAAACATCATTAACCATCAGAAATATGCAAATTAAAACCACAATGAGATACCATCTCATACCAGTCACAAAGGCTATTATTAAAATGTCAAGAAATAACAGATGTTGATGAAGTTGCAGAGAAAAGGGAATGCTTACACACTGCTGGTGGGAATGTAAATTATTTCAACTACTGTAGATTGGAGATTTCTTAAAGAACTGAAAACAGAATTACCATTCAACCCAGCAAATCCCATTACTGGGTATATACACAAAGGAAAATAAATCATTCTACCATAAAGACACATGCAACCGTATGTTCATTGCAGTACTATTCACAATAGCAAAGACATGGAATCAACCTAGGGGACCATCCACAGTGGACAGGATAAAGAAAATGTGGTACACGTATACCATGGAATCCTATGCTGCCATAAAAAAAATGAATGAAATAATGCCCTTTGTAGCATCATGGATGCAACTGGAGGCTATTATCCTCAGTGAATTAATGTAGGAACAAAAAAAACAAATATCACATGTTTTCACTTATAAGTAGGAGCTAAAAACTGACTGCACATGGACACACAGAGGGGAACAACAGACACTAGGTCTACTTGAGGGTGGTGAGTGGGAGGAGGGTGAGGGTCAAAAAACTACCTATCAGGTATGTACTATGCTTATTACCTGGGTGACAAAATTATTTGTACACCAAACCCCAGTAACACACAATTTACCCATGTAATGAATCTGTACCTGTACTTTCTGAATTTCCACATTAAAAAAGAAAAAAAAAAGCTTTTATAAATAAATTCCAACAATTGATATGTATGCGTACATATATGGTCATTATATCCTGGCTATTGAAATATATTCAATATTCAAAACAATTTTTTTCTAAATGTAGCACTGGAAAAGTACAGTTTGTTAAACATTTTTTCTTTAACCTTCCTCTCACATTTAATGATTCATTCTTAGCAGTGTCAGCACTGAAAACAGGAACATAAAGTTAAGTTCTCTCAAAAGGTTGAACATTTTGCCATTTCCTGAAAGACTGAAGGAAATCAAACCCAGCTAGCCACCCTTACTTCCTAGGTTGGTAATGCTTTTACTTACATAAGTCTCCACAATCAAGTGAAAGCTCAGAGAAGTATTTTTAAATTAAGTATTCATTATCACACAATTTTATTACTTTATCAAAAAGTCCAGCCCAGAAAGGGCTTATTCACCTTTTATAAGTATTTCCTTAGTATATGCTAGGAAATAAACCCAACTAGAAAATGCAAGTGTTTGTTTTGTAACTATATAATCATTACAGCAGTACATACACTAGAAAAAAAACAGTAATTAAATTTAATTGTCCAAAGATTTTTGAAAAAGCCAAGTATCTACGTACTAGAGAACACTGTGAGGCATATCCAGATCTTAGAAAGCAACAGGTATGTTCATTGTCCTCATGCAACTTAACACATATGGCTTCCTTACTTCTGTCTTCAGGTATGTACTTCATTTAAATGTATACATGCTCCATAGAAAACTGTGAACGTTATTGTTTGATTGCATCCAACACAAGTGCCCCCAAAGAGACTTGGGTCCTAAAAGGGTTTTTCATGTTAGCCAAATTTAACCAGTCTGTGTTTCAGAGAAGGCTTTCTGAAAAGAATGACATCTCAAAGGAACCATGAATGATAAATGGGAGTTAAAATGACAAACAGAGTTGAGACATTGGTCAAGGGAATGGCATCTTCAAAGATCTTTATGTTACAAGGGAGTTGGTGAGTTCCAGGCACTGAAAACAAGTGCAACATGTAGACTGATAGTTTGGAGCAAGGTGGAAGTGGTAGAAAATGAGACAGAAGAGGTGGCTAGAAACAAAATTACAGATGCTCTTCAACTTACGATGGAGTTACATCCCAATCAACTTATCATAAATTGAAAATGCATTTAATGCACCTAACATACAGAACATCATAGCTTGGCCTAGCCTATCTTAAATTTGCCTAGAGCACTAATATCAGCCTACAGTGTAGCTAAACCATCTAACACAAAGCCTATTTTATAAAGCACTGAATATTTCATGTAATGCATTGAATGTTGTACTGAAGGACAGTTGCTTTCACAGCATCATAAACTTATAAAATCATAAGTCAAACCATGGTAAGTCAGGTCCTGTCGATATCTCAAGAAATGTTAGATTTTAATCTAAGAATGATGTGAAACCATCCAGGGGTTTCAAGCATGGAAATGATACAAGTATTTCTTGGTTGAAAACACTCAAATCTGGTCTGTTGAGCAGAAATATTCTTAAATGAAGATAAGTGCCATGAGACACTATGACATCATATATCTGACTACAGTGCCTCAGAATCCATGTTCAGAATTCACACTCAGCTTTCCCATGTATATGTTTCATTGCAAAATAATTTTCTTTCTTTCCAATACTAGGACTCCATCAAGTATTGTTGTTTTGGGTAGACTGGATCCACAGAGCCAGTTGACATTCCCTAAGTGACCCCTGACTTTAGGGTCCCTTTCATCATTCAAACTGGGAGTACATTTTCCCAAGAGGGCATTAAGCAGCCATTGAAATATATATTAGGTGCTCATAAAGATATATATCCATTATATAATTAAGTTTTAAAAGAATATAAAGCTCTAGTATGATCACACCATGCTTTAAAAAACAAGAGGTAATGGTGTCTTTGTACTGGGGTGGCGGGGAAGAAGTAATAAGAAATAGTAAAGCTCTGGATATATTTTTAATAATTTTACAATGCCCAGAAGTGGGGTCTGAGGTAAAGACGGACATCAGAGATGACTCACATTTTCAACCTGAGCCACCAATGGCTGGGGGCACCATTTCCGAGCAAGAAATTGAGTCACTGCTCAAGAGAGGATGCATTGGAAGGAGGAAATCCTGGTAGTATTACTGCTATTTTTTCTTTAGAGAGCACTTGGGATATGGAGAAGAATAAACATGACAGAATTAAACAAAGAAAAAACAATTAAAATAAAAACAATTAAAATATTTTTAAAAAGCATAACAAAATTTATATTTTCTGAGACCTTATATTTCCATCTGTTTTTAATCATAACTACATATTATATTTAGAAGGACACATTAAGGAAATTTTATTTTTTAAAAAAGAAACCTTTTCTTCTCTAGCAGATGATAATACTGAGATAAACTAAGTGATAACATTTCTGAGTTCTTTTAGATTAGATGCTACCTCAAACCTTAAATTTTATAATTAAAAAGCCTACATTGTTATATTAGAAATTAATATTTCTATTAAAAGTCATCACCTGAAGTAGCCTCAGAAGAAGACTATATTTCAAGATTTAAAAACTAAAATCTCTAAATTTCAGACAGAACTAGATATTCTTATTAATTATTGTTCAACTTTTGCCCTTCTTAATTGTTTTGAATTCAAAGAGAGTTACAAGCGCCTATTTAAATTTGACTCTACATTTCTTCCTGAATGTTGACTCTTTCCCGCTGTAGGGTCAATACTCCTAAAGCTTTCTCATTACCTCCTTGTTAGGAACTTGGTCTCCCTGTAGAGTTCCCTGGACAGTGTGGTAGACTCCAGCTCCAAACTCCAACTTTTCTCACCCACAGACCTAGAACAAATGATTTAACCTCACTATAGTTCAGTTTCCTCAGCTGAAAACTGTGGACAATAATAGTACATCCCTTGTGGGTTGGGAAGATCAAATGACATAATCCATGTAGAGAGTACACATACATGGTCCCTAACAAATAATATTTACTCAACAACCATTAGCAACCAAAGGAATAATTTCACAGATTGTTACAAGCTGAGTTCTCTAGGAAGTAGACCCTGAGGTAGAGTTTGAGGTAAAATTTATTTGGGGACACTTTCAGTATCAGCACCTGTGGAGGGGAAGAGACAGGAAGGAAGCAGAACTGGGCAGATAGAAATTGATTCAGTCTTGACAAACGCCACAGCTGTCCCCACAGAGAAACTAGAGCAGTCCTCCAGAGTCGGCTTGCATTGGATCAAGGAGTTAGAGTCGAGTCAACTTATCATGGGATACAGGCTCTTACTACCTTGAGGTTGAGGGAACCCTTTCCAGCCTAGGCAATTTCTAGAGAGGACTCACAGTTAAGAGCTGCCAGCTGGGGGCATAATTCCTGCAGTCCTGAAGGGAGATCATCATGGCTCATCACAGTATCTTTTACATAGGTTGACGAGAAATACAATGTATTCCTGTTTCCCTTTTCTCTAGATTTCTATCTAAACTCTTCCTTCCCACAAGGGACTGCATTTCATACCACTAAATAAATATATTTTGCCACACTTTCACTTAATTTTTCATCCTATTCATCTCAACTATTTTTTCTTCTTATTCCTTTCATTTATATGTTTTTTCTGGACTTAATTTGCTGTCGTAATTTACATACAATGAAAAGATTACTTATTCTTTTTTTTTTTTTTTTTTTTTTTTTTTTTTTTTTTTTGAGACGGAGTCTTGCTCTGTCACCCAGGCTGGAGCACAGTGGCGCGATCTCGGCTCACTGCAAGTTCCGCCTCTCGGGTTCACACCATTCCCTTGCCTCAGCCTCCCGAGTAGCTGGGACTACAGGCACTGGGACTACAGGCGCCCGCCACCACGCCCGGCTAATTTTTTTTTTTTTTTTTTTTTTGTATTTTTTAGTAGAAATGAGGTTTCACCGTGTTAGCCAGGATGGTCTCTATCTCCTGATCTCGTGATCCGCCCGCCTCGGCCTCCCAAAGTGCTGGGATTACAGGCGTGAGCCACTGCGCCCGGCCAGATAACTTATTCTTTAAAAAATGTGGTTCTCTTAACATTTCCTTACCCATTAACCAACTTTACAAACTGCCTCAGGATTTTAAAAATGATACATTCTTACTTTTAGGGAAAATGTTTAAAGCAAAACTTGATTAAGCAGTTAAACATATTTCCCTGAAGGTTGATATTATTTGATTACTTCATATTTTAATAGCAAATGTTAGTTATTGACATGGCCTGCCCCTTCCTGAGGAGATCCATAAAAATAACATGTGCCTCTGAAGAATTTCCTAGCTGAAGCAGGTTTTGCTTTGTGTCTTCAATTATAATTATCTTCACTGTATTGTAAAGAATCCTTGTCATACACTAAGTCATCCATTAACAATCATAATGTGAGCAAATTTTCTTTGTTTTAGTACATCTCAAGGGTCCAGGCTGTTTGTATATGATACCAGCTCATTGAGATCCAAATTATGCAGAATTTAAAATACGAATAGGAAAAATACTGCTGTTTCACCATTTGTTTTTTACAGGAACTTGCTTTTTCCTTTTATATACAATGCATATTTAAGGAAGACTCTTTGGAAGAAAGTACCTCCTTAGGTTAAGCAACAAAAAGAAGGAGAAGGAGGAAGAAAAAGGGGAGAGAAGAGAAAAAGAATATGTCTCAAGGAAAAGTGTGAGATATATATATAGAGAGAGACCCCCTTATTCTACTAAATAACTAATAATATATAGACCCCTTTATTCTACTAAAATAACTATTAACAATAACAAGCAATTTGTTATTGGATACACAATGAGATTTAAAGTTCAAAACATATATCAATAAACTGTTATCCTTTTAGTACTCTAAAAATTAATTTTGGACAAAATACAAATGTTAAGGACTTAGCAGGTGAGGAAGAGCCATCTCTTGATATTTAGGGCACTGTGCTTCTGAAGTCTCTCTCACTCATAATGAAGATATTCATTTTAATTCCAGTCTCAACTTACTAGGCCTTTATCTTTTCAGTAAGCTTAAAGGTAAGAATTAATGACCAGATTTCACATATATCTATTAAATTACGTCTTTTGTAGCAACATGGATGGAACTGGTGGCCATTATATTAAATGACCCAGTTCAGAAACAGTCAAATACTGCATGTTCTCACTTATATGTGGGAGCAAAATAATGTGTACATTTGGACAAAGAGTATGGAATAATAGACACTGGAGACTCAGAAGCGTAGGAAGGTGGGAGGGGTTGAGGGATGACAAATTACTTAATGGACACAATATGCAATATTTTGCTGATGTTTACAATAAAAGCCCAACTTCACCACTACACAATATATCCATGTAACAAAACTGCACTTATAGCCTTTAATTTTATACAACTAAAAAAAGAAGGATATGTCAATCTAATCAATACAAATAACTCCTAGTAAATGCATACTGAGCTACAGACAGTATGGGTGAAAATTTCTATACAAGAAATACAGAAATGTAGAAAAGTGCCTACTATCATGCCAATAACTTTTGAGGATATAGGGAACATAGTAAAAATAAATAATAATATGATGTGAGAGTAAGGTCAACAAGAAGAGGCAATAGAGACAGACAAGTCTGAAGTAACCTTTTTTTTTTTACAATGTGGAACAGATGGCAGTTAAATGATATGCTTTTCAGTGCTGAGTGAATTGAAGAGATGTTTTTGGAGGGAAATGATGTTTTAGGCAGGACTCTTTCATTTGTGAGAGATAGGAAACTTTCCATCTCCACAGATTTGGGCAAAAACAAGCTTTAATGTGATGTAGCTAAAATTTCTTAGCAATGATTGATTTTGGGAACAACTGAATACGTGTTCTCCAAAGTTGTCACCAGTATCTAGACTTGCTCTTTTAGGTTCTTGGCTATGCCTTAGTCTGCATGAGCTTCCTTTATAGACTGTATACTTCCTGTTGCTGGCAGAACGGATGTCAAAGTCTCCAGCATTTCATCATATGTTCTCAGCAACTGCATGAAAAGAAGCTTCTTTCCCATTCCATCTATCAGAAGCCCCCGGTACCAGGCTCTAAAATGACCAACCTGGGTCAAGTGTTCATTCTTGTACTCTTCTCTATGGCCAGAGGTAAGCCATTTCTCTGTCCAAGGTATGTCTGAATCCTATAGGCTGAGAGAATGGAAATGTGGTACTTTCCCAAAACAATATCAGGGCTCTTTAACCAGAAAATGGGATAAGAGTTGTGAGGGAACCCAGAGTATTTGTTTACTACTAATGGTAAGAAAAATGGGATTTAAGTCTAGAAGAGAAAATGGAATTCAGAAAGGATATTTGGGGGGAAAGAGGTAAAAATTAAATACTATCTTTCCTAGTATTTCTATTCACTCACTCAAAAAACTCTAGATTTTTAGAAAGGAAACAAATACACCTCAATAACATCTCTTTTTCTTTTTTTCTTTCTAGTTAACTTGTAGGTAAGTTCTACAGGTTGATACTCTGTGTTTTGTATTTGATGTTTTAGTTAAACTGTATTAAAACTAAACAAAAAAGAACATGGATATATATTCCAGACCTCCAAACAACGACAATGAGTAGCACTTCAACTACACCCACCTCTCAGCTGGGTTGGGGAGGGGTAGATGGAGATGAGAAAGCATAGAGCCTAAGTATAAGACACAAAGAGGATAATGAGGGGCAACTGCAATTATCCTGAATTGCAGGTTACCTGAGAGGGCAAGGGAAAAACCACACAGTCTAATAGGCAGGAGAAAGTTATCATAATTCTTTTTATGATAACTTTAAAACTGGCTTTCTTGGATGATAATTTTATTTTTTCCCAACTAGCTTTCAAATGTGGGTTTAGCTAAAGTTCCCTGAACAATTAAATATTGTTATATATATATATATATATATATATATATATATATATATATATATATATATATATCTGAAGCACCTAGCCTTGATAGAGATTGGCAATGTGTTTTTTCCTCTAATTTAATAAGGCTTGTTGAGTTCAAGCTACATAAGCAGAATTTTGTGATTCAACAAAGAAAAGCCCAAAGAAGTTTTAAAGCAATAGTTTTTAAGGAAGACTAATAAATTAAGAACTGCCAAGGAATATGAATAATTATTCTGTTGAATGAAAAAAATTATTTATCATAATTAACTATATCTTACCTTGTATGAATTTAAATGCCTGTAAGGTAAAGCATCAACAAGCTAAGTTAGAGTGATTTGCCTGAGAGCAGGACAGAATTAATTTGTTTAAACTCTATCTGGCACAGTCAAATTATTAAATTAAGTGTGGAAGGGAAAGAAAAAAAACAGAGACAGAGCTATGAAACTGATTGCTATTAGGGAGGGCTGCAGGCCTGATATGAGAACGAAGTGTAGGTGGTGCCCAGTGATTCGTACATGAAACCAATTGAGAAATAGCAGCAAATAATATTTATAGCTTCAGATGCATGTACACCAATTTTCAGAGCATGGGTAATAAACAAAACTTAAAATGTTGGTACTATGTGGTATATTTTATATTTTTATTAACTTATAACATTGTATATATTCACATATTTATGTATGTATATATCTAATTTGTGTGTGTTAGGACTAAGATGTATAATGAACATTATCAATAAGAAAGACTTCCCATTATGAGTAGTTGAATGAATTATAGAAAAGTGCCCAGCAGAGTTCTGTGAAGTTATGTTTCAGGCTACTAAAGACTTGTGTTTGAAACTGCTATTCTGCTTCCAGTGGTCTTGAAACATGATAAAATGGGTTTTGTGCCACAAGGCTACAGATACAGTGGTAGTTCTTTTTAAAAGGGATTGTAATTAGCCACACACAAACTTTATGACTTGTGATTTACAAGCTTGAAATAAATGTTAAGCACAATTGAATAGCAGACTATTAAAGTAACAGTTTGTAAGCATTTGGAAGTGGAAACAGAAATCAGCAGGATGAGTTTAAGAAGAATGAGTCAGGTCAGACTGACTTCATTCCCCCTTGAACAAGAATTTGAAAAAGGTGGATTACATCCATCTGGATTTAGCCAGGTATTTGTCACAGTCACAAAAGGAAGATAACCTGAATGACATATAGGGAAGTATATCTGCAAGGGCCTAAACAACCATATTCATGATTCTAATTAATGAACTGATTAAATATTAGAGCACAGATTTTTGCTATTTTCCAAAGACCTCTTCCTTTAGCTTCTTTCTTTTTAAAAATTACCACTACTACGTTTGAGCAACTGCTATGTGCTAGGCATTGAGGAAATTGCTTGGCATAAACTTTATTCTCACAGTTACCAATAAGATAGATATTCTTCAAATTTTAAAGATATTTAGAGATTTGCTCAAGGTCACAAAGCTATAGACAGGAAGTTTAAATTTGCAAATTACATGCAGCTGGAAGAAAAAAAATACGTTGAATTACAGAATTAGACTCTCAAAGAATCTAATCGTATTAGTATGTCAGATTAAATATGAAATTCATGGTGATTTTATACATTAACAAACTCAATGAGAGTCAGTAGTGCTGACATGGCTGCTAAAAAATTAAAAGATTTTTAGGTCATACTGTGGAATAAAAGTAGCTGAAGGGAGGTGGCATGCTTCCCCTTACAGTATTTTCAGTTCCCAGGCATCACACCTTAATGTGGAATACATCTGTCAGGATTCTTTCCTTTGTTAACGACAGAAACTTCACATGCAAGAAAGGGATTTTTTTTGGCTCACACTGCTAAGAAGAGTTCTCAGATAATCTACCTACCTGAAGAAAAAAATTGCTTAAACCTGAGTTTTAGGAATGGAAACCAGGATTTCGGAGCCATTCAGTCTCTCTGTTTGTTTTCAGTCTCTCATTTCTGTTTATCACTGCTTCTCCTTGCATGTTGACCTTACCCTTTCTTATTTCATATAGGCCTTCACTACTGGGAGGAAGCATGACCACTAAAGAGTCTTGGCTTAGCTGTTTCAGCTGACAGAGTAAACTTCCTTTCACCTAACATTTAGATAGAAATTCCTGAGAAAAGCTCTGATTACTATGCTGCAGTCATTTAAAAACCTTTCACCGAATCACTATTGTCAGGGAGATGGAACAATGTGGTTGGCTAGGATTTGGTCATGTGATCAGTCTTGTGGCCAGTGGCTGTGTAGAATATAGGGTGGAGCAAACCTGTAACCAGAAGAAAGAGAATGGAGAACTGGCTGAGCTGACCATGCAGGATATATTCATTTCAGGCATGTTAAGAAAGAAACAGGCATAGGGATGAGAATTGAAACTGCACCATGAAGACCAGATGAGGAACCAAGTGCAGCTTTTTTGGAAAAGAGAAAGCTTGGGGGAAGAATTGTTAAAAAAAAAAAAAAAAAAAAAAAAAAAGAAAGAAAGAAAAGAGAAGAAAAGAAAAGAGCAAGCAAATTCTACATTCTACATGGTTCAAGGGACAGAATCTGAGTCATCTTCACTGGAGGAAAGGTTTTAATTTTAAACATATTTCAACTTAATGAGACTTTAACTTTCAAAGCTTAGAGCAGGCCACAGTGTCTGTTTCATTTTGATTAAATAGGAACCTTGTCACTTCTGTTTTGAAGGCATTAACTGTTTAACCATTTGTCAGTGAAGTTGCATATGGGTTATGAGCATCAGATGAACGGTTGGACTAAATTACTATAAGTAAAGGAGAGGCAATGAAGAAAAGTGTAGATTTTAAAGTCAAACACATATGAGTATGAATCTAAGTTTTAAAATTCAGTGGCTATGTGATCTTGGACAAATTGCTTCCTCTTAACCTCATTTTTGAAATGGAGATTATATTTCTTGCCTTGCAGGGCTGGTGTGAGAAGTGAAGATACCCTTGGCAGAACTCCTGTTTCATAGATAGCTCTTAATACATTACAGTTTATTTGTGTATACACACAAATGCACATGCGCACATTCATAGTGGTATATCTTGAGATTTTCTGACATCTTTAAAATAGGAAGTATGCCATATCTGAACCACAACAAACCCTTAAAAATGCATAGATTGTGCCTGTGAAGTAGCTGTGGATTTGGAAAGAGAAAGAGAGGAAGAATGGAAGGGAGGCTAGGTATATGAAGTTAGAACATATAATGGGAATTTATCAAGACTGCCCAGCATCTTGGAATTTACTGTCTTGGAAGTCTGGCATTCCTATGGTAGAATTTGACAAATTTAAGTTAGCACATAAAGTCTCAACATGTTTTTCATGTGAATGAAGTAAGATAACAAATGAAAAAATGCTTAGAATAATTCCTCATACCCAGATAGTGCTACATCAAAGTTTATTATAATTTCAATTAAAGGTTTATTGTATGGTCTCCTGCTTATCAAAACACAGAACATACCATATTGATCACATTTTCTCTATACTTTAGTATATTGCCTGGTACTTTATAGGCATGTAAATAAAAGATGGCAGAAAAGGAGTTGTGGTATCATGAAATAAAAGCCACAAAATCAAAATTATAACCTAAAGCTGTGTGTGGATTTACACTTGAAATAGCAAGAGAGGTAAAATCTAATTGGTAATAAAAAAAAAGGGGGGAGCATGGTAGAAAGATGAAGACCAAAAAGGGTGAAGGATCAGGAGATAAGCTCAATAAGCAGAAGTATGGCAGTCTAATTCTGTAAGATTCAGAGGCCAATACTTCTACAACTGAAATTAAAAATGTCATATATTATAATTCCATGGTATTTGTTTTCTATACTACACTTTCACGTTTCATACCTTCAGTACTTAAGTTTCTACAACCAATTTCAGTTAGCAGCAGCTAGCAGGCACTTACACCAGGCTTGCTTCTCTCAAATTACCTGCCTAGTTTATATGGACATTTTGAGTTTATCACTCTTCCTCTAAAGAAGGGCTTTCCAACTTTATTCATGCCATAGCATACATAGAAAATGAGAATACTTCATTAGTGTAGCTATTGAGCTAATGGAAAAGCTAGATAACAGCTGGGGAGAGATTGCCCCGAGTTCTAGCCACCCTAGGCCCTGGCAACTGTCCCCAGAGCTGAGGGGAACAGTATTTTAGCAGGCCTATAAACCAACAATTGGGGCTATTAGTGTGATGGGTCAACTCCAGTTGGCTCTACTGTGAAGAATTGCACACAGCAGATTTTATAGTTTTGTTCATTCGACAAATATTTCTGATAGTTACCCTTCTAGCCGCTGAGGTACAGAAGTGAATAAGACAAGTCCCTGCCTTACTAGAAAACAGGCTGAAAGAGGCTAAATGTCCTAGTCAAGTTCACAGGACTCTGTATAAGGGCCACAAACCACAGCATCTGAATCAATGCAAGATTTTTGCCAAGAAAAATAAGTGCTTAAGGGTCTATACTATATAATATATATTCATCATTTCTTGGTGAAGAAAATGACTACCCAGCTTTCTAACTTACAGGTTAATAAATTTGTACTCTACTTATTTGGAAAGTGAGAGAATTTTAGGAGGGTCGAACTGTGCACTTCAAACTTTTCTCAATTACTGGATAGGTTAAAAGAAAAAAAAGATTTCTAAGGTCTGTGCTACTTTGATATATGTTTATCTTGTTTTTATGGATACTTCAACATTTACCAACATCTTTTATTGTGGGTGACACCCCTGCTCACAACAGGCAAGTAGAAGAGTGAAATAATAGATTGTCACCAGCATTAACCCAGTGAGAAAAAAATCCTGTTATCACTTAGGTGAGGCAAGCTTGACAGAAAGCATAAACCATTCCAAAAAAATAAAATTTTAATATGCATAATTGATAATTACAGATTCATCTTCAGTTTTCGTTAAAACAGATCCCTGAAGATCTCTACTTGGGAACACTTTAATAATTTATTTGAAACTATGTATGTGTGTATATATATATACATTTATATTTTCAATAATTCAAACTTTTTTTCTAATCCTCGTAATGAGAGGTAACAAATGATAGATTATGGGTAATTTTATGTAGTGAAAAAATTTTCACATATTTGTACATGGATCCATGCAGACAAATGTCCATCTAAAACTCGATTATTTCTAAACACAGTAACAGAGGGGAAGATGTAACGCTATTCCCACTGACCTGGATTAGGTAGGACATATTGTTACTATTACATTTTTATAGATGGTAGCAAGTAACCTGTTAGAGGTAGCCAAAGGCAGGATTGAAATGTGACCCCAAAACCCACAAACACTGTCTCTTTCGAATTTATCCAAAAAAAATCTCATTTTTTAACTACTTCTCAAATATTTGTGATTTTAGTATAAATATGTTCACTTAATGCCTACTATTTAGATTGAAATATAATATGTTGTAAAAACCTCCAAAACCTGAATATTTAAATTAAATAATGATGCATATATTTTTACTTATTAAGCACATTTTGGGTTTGATGCTAAAGTGTTCAACCACAGAGAACAGAAACCCATAATGTCAACAGAAGTTGAATGATAGCTGCTTGGGTTTTTAATGCAGCCTTCAAAACAGGACTTATTAGTGTTTGAAGCCAAGGTAAAGTTATGTCTGTTAAGTGGATGGAGAACGGTGATGATCAGTTTTTGAGCACCTGTGGTGAGCCAGGATATGATACAAGGATCTCCATCACTATGTTTCACGTTATAATGTGCATCACCCGGGAACCTTGTTGCAATGCAGATTATGATTAATTACATCTGGGAAATGTAATACATCTCGAGTTGAGTTAAAGCTGGCCTCTGCATTGGAAGCTTTTCTCAATAAATGGACACATAATGCTGGTGCCATTGGAGCACACTTGAAGACCACATTTTGAATAGCAAGGTTCTTAACACCACCTGAGAGCACCTTCATTTCATTTTACTCATGAGGAAACATGGCTCAGAAGGCATAGTGTTTTGGCCAACATCTCTAAATTCTGCAGAATATTCAGTTTCATAGTAGGGTGATCTTAAAACCCCAGCCATTTCCACCATTCCATGCCTTTCCCCGTTACTAGAAGTCAGTGAGCTGAAAATAATAATAATGAGTAACATCCCCCTAGGCATTTTTAAATACAGCGAACCCAATTTTGATTTTGGAGAAGAGTTTGAAATGTTTCTGATAGCATCTCAATCAGTTTATTCTTTTTACGCAGCTTTTATGAAATCCTCTAATGTTTCTAATGTAGTTGCTTTTTTTGAATTGTTGGGTCATTTAAGAAAAAAAGAGGAAAAAGTTATGACTTCAGAAAATGGTGCGAAAAATGAAATTATGTTATTTTAAAGCCATCTACCAAAGGCATGGAGAATGTCATCTATTCTTAACATAATTTAATTTTCCCTGGCTCCGTGGCAGAGTACAAGAGAGTAAAGTAACGGCTCTGTTCCCACCTAGATGATCACTTGCTTAGAGAGTTGCCAAGGTAACCATAACTTTTGATTAGTATCAGAGTAAATAAGAACCAAAAAATCCCTCAATTTTCATTTTCAATGTTCCATGTCACTTGGAATAATAGTAATGTAAACTTTATTCTCCCTCCACATCTTTCAAGTGATTTTACCCCATAACACTGCATTTAATGATTTGTTTTTCAGGAAAAGATATTACAACAATGAACCATCCAGAATTCTTTAACCTGGAGAGGTAACAGGTTCAAGAAAGACAGAACTCTATCCACAAAAATGCTTCAGAAAATAAGCGATTTGCCTTGGCTGAGAAATGGGGATAGTGAAATGTGATGAGAATTAAGGAAAAAATGCTAGCTAGAGAAAAGACCTGGCTGCCAAGTACCAGGTTCCAGGTGGAACCATAATTAGGAAAATCAAATTCCAGATAAGAGCAATTAATTTAATATTTCTTATAAAATATAATAGGCAATGAGATGATAAAATATCAAATTTATGGCAATAAGTATAGTCCCTTAGATAAGAGAAATGTGCCTATTTGGGGATTTGATTGAGTTTGGTTTAATTTGTGTTTTATAGCTACTGCTCTAGGATATTGGTCATCTACTTTGATCTTCAGAAATATAATCATGCCACGTAAAAAGAATGCAGGGAATTTCCTAAGAAGCTATATTAGATGTACTGAAAGAGCATATGCTACTCTTCTCCATTAGACAATTAACCTTATTATAGAAAATTTAGAGAATACAGAATAGAAATACCGAAAACCATCTAGATTGCTAAAACAATTATACTTTTTATTAAATATATTTAAGGTGTATAGTGTGAATGTTTTGATATACCTATGCATTGTGAAATGATTACCACAATCAAGCTGATTAACATAGTGGTCATATCACATAGTGACCATGTTTTGTCTGATGAAAACCACAAAAGATCTCCTCTCTTAGAAAATTTCAAGTATACATTATTATGAAGTACAGCCATCATCCTGTACATTAGATCTTCAGAATTTATTAATCTTATACCTGAAAGTTTGTACCCTTGGATCAAAATCCCACCATTATGATATTTAGATATATACCTTTCAGTTGTTTTCTAAATATTTTGACACTTAAGACTTATTACTTACATAATGTTAAAAGAACATTTTACATAATGTAAAAAGAACATTCTTTTTATCCAAATTTATATTTTATGTATGAATGTATGTATGTACGTATTTTGAGATGGGGTTTCGCTCTTGTTGCCCAGGCTGGAGTGCAATGGCACAATCTCAGCTCACTGCAACCTTTGCCTCCCTGGTTCAAGCAATTCTCCTGCCTCAGCCTCCCAAGTAGCTGGGATTACAGGCGCCTGCCACCATGTCCAGCTATTTTTTTGTATTTTTAGTAAAGATGGGGTTTCACCATGTTGGCCAGGTTGGTCTTGAACTCCTGACCTCAGGTGATCCACCCGCCTCAGCCTCCCAAAGAACTGGAATTACAGGCGTGAGCCACTGCCCCCGGCCCTAAATTTATATTTTAATGTTAGAATTCATCTCAAACAGTTTTCATGGCAGCCGTATGAATTTATGCTAATTTATTTAACTATTTCCTTACAATTGGATATTTACATTATTTTTTAAATGCCTTGCCAGCTGCAGCTAACACTGCATTGGACATCTTTGTATTAAAGTCTTTTGCCTATATTTTGGGCTTTTTCCTCTGGATATAATTCTAGACATAAAATTACTGAGCCAAAAGAACTATACGTTAGGGTTCTTAATAAGAGTTGCCATATTTTTTCAAAATAATTTATTTTACTCTCCCAAGTTTTAATTAAATGCTTAAGTGTGTATAGTGAATTTTTTTTTTAATATATGGAACCTGAGGCAGTTGAGCATAGTAATAAACAGCACCAGATTTGGAGCTAAACCTACCTAAGTTCAAGAACGTATGAATAGAAACTTTTAACCTTTCTTCTAGAGCTTGCCACTCATAAGGTTGAACAAAAGTCTATGACTATAGGATCTATAACTATGGCAATATGTTCTATTAACTCCATTTTATAGAGGAAAAAAATAAAAGTCAAAAGAAAAAAGGTTAAACAAGTGGTGAAGCCTCCTGCTCCCCAGGTCAGATGCTATTTCCAACACCCGGTGCTTCTGGCCTATGCATACAGACTTCAAATGTTGGGTTTCTGATCTAATCTCCCACAAACTATTTTAAAATAGTTTTAAATCACATGCTTTGTGTGATTTAGCATTTAAGTTCACTAAGCTTTGATGAGATAAATAGTGCTTTCCTCTTGTCATGATGTCATTACCTACTCAATGTATTTTTCCCCCTTTTTTTGGAATCATGTCATGTACATTCAATTCCCTAAATCCTATAATAGAAGCTTTTTATTTTTTAACCTCATGTGTGCTCTACTTCGACCTTTTATCATAAAAGCCTGTTTGTTCACTTTCTGACAGCTCTCCACAGCTCATCACCCTGCCGGCTGCAGCTAAACCATACCATTGTATGAATTTCAATATATAGAAAAAGATGAAAGATGAAAAAAATAAGGAGAATAGACAATGGATCTATGATAAGTCAAAGAAGTAACAAAAAGGGTCAAATTACCTGAAGTTCAAACCAAAAGACATCAAAGAGGGAAAGCCAAGTACTAAAATAAGAGATAATAGAAGATGATTAGGGGGAAAATCATAATAAAAAGGAGATAATGGTTTGTAACTGGGAAGAGAAATTGTAAAGAACTAGAAATAAATGGGTAAGATAGAATTAAAGATATAATAATGAGAACTGAAAATTAATAGTGGATGTAGTGAGAGATAAACCTGTCATATTATCACAGGGAAGATGGGAGTAGAGGAGACTGTTCTGTGGGAAGTTTCCAAAGCCCTGGACTGAGTGGTTTTATTCAGATGTGGAGGGAAGTCATGGGGATACAAAAGTAAATTGGGACAACATTGAAATGGGTAATTATAATGGTGGCAAGCCAGTCTTGTAATTTAAAACAGTATGAATGTAAGAAAAGTCCTCAGGCTTCTTTTTCCATGAAGAAAACACAGTGTGCTTGCAAATCTATATGATCTGCCTCTCAATTCATCTTATTAAATCTACATATTCTGCATCATAAATGTCTTTGTTGGAATACATGTTGTGTGTGCTCATGTATGTGTATCTTTCTTTCAAAATATCTTTGCTAGAACTATGTGCCATAAGTGTTTTTGTTCACATCTGTCTTCTTCACATTTCTTTCAGTGCCACTAGTTATGTGCTTTGTCATTTTAATATGTTATTTTTACTTAATCTGATTGGTCATTTGAGTACACAGGTTGTGCAGTACAATTATACTTGCAAAATTAGCAGGATACATATATAAAGCAATAAGATAGCCTTCATTTGGTTATTTACAGATTCCAGAAGTATATAAGTAATTGTTTTTGCTTTATTTGAACATGGGCTTTTTAAACAATAAAAAGACTTTCAAATGTACCATTCTATTATTCAGCTGGGGGCTTACTTGATCTATGCTGTGAAACTGATCCAGTTGGAATGAAACAACTGCATTTGAGCAAGAAACCACAATGCACTATCCTGGAGGTATTGAACTCTGCCCAGAATTTAATATATACTTGATTACAACAAAATGTGCAAGTTAGGAACACAATACCATGCTACAAATGAATGAATGATTAAATGAATGTAATAATTAATACAAATTTGCACTCCTAGAAAATCTAGACTCAAATATACAACAGAGATTCACAGTAACCCCCAAGTTTTAAATTTCAGGAAAATTCCTGAGTATTATACAGAAGCTCTCACAACAGTTGACATAGCAAATATACTCATCTATATGTTCTTATCTAACAATCCTAATTATAGTTCACAATGAAAGGTCATTTTCTTTAATCCAGCAATTCATGAACATATAGCTGACTTTGGCTACAGAATTAATATTATTCATAGAATAATAAGGTCAACTTCATTATCTAAGATACTTTGTATAAGATTGATTTGATTTAATCACCTATAAATAAAAGAGAAAATGTCAAATACAGTTGAACTCGGTATGACTGAAAAAAATTATATTTATAAAAACATGATAGTTTTCCCATTAATACCACTATTATTGAATATTCTTCTTTAAATGCTGGTCAAGTAAAGATAAAGTAACATAAGATGCAAATATTGAAAATGAGAATGCAAGTTTACCTTGGAATACTATGCAGCCATAAAAAAGAAAGAGATCATGCCCTTTGCAGGGACATGGATGGAGATGGAGGCCATTATCCTTAGCAAACTACCACAGGAACAGAAAACCAAATACCACATATTCTCACTTATAAGTGGGAGCTAAATGATGAGAAGACATGGACACATAGAGGGAAACAACACACACTGTGGCCTTTCAGAGTAGGGAGGGTGGTAGGAGGGAGAAGATGGGGAAAAATAACTAGTGGGTACTAGGCTTAATACCTAGGTGATGAAATAATCTATACAACAAACCCCCATGACATAATTTTACCTGTGTAACAAACCTGCACTTGTACCCCTGAACTTAAAAGTTAAAATAAGTAATATAATGAAATAAAATTTTTAGTTGATTCCCTATTAGAAAAAAATAAAAGTTCACTAAAAGTTTGCTATAAAATACACAAATTATTTTTAAAAACTTTGATTTATTAATAATACAATACTAATTTTAAACATATAAAGAAAATCACGGACATTTAACCAAGTGTATATAGGAATTTAAAATATGATGAAGATGGCTTTATAAATCAATGATTACAAAATGAATTCCTAAAGAACTGGTATTAAGCATTTTAATGAATATTTGGAAAAAATAAATCTGGACTCTTGCTTCATTCTTAATCTCTCTCCCTCTCTCTCTCTTTTCCCCTTCTTCCCTCCCTCCCCCACCAGATTAAAAAAAAAGATACAATTAGTAAAATAAAATGGTATTTTTAGATATATTACATTTAGGAGAACTTACTAAACTTTATATGAATGCTAGAAATTTTAAAGGAAAAGGAGATCGATTTAACAGCATGAATAATAAAATACAAGCCAAATCAAATCAAATGAATCTGTTTAGCCAACATCAGAATTAGGACTAAGAAGTTACATAACAAATTGAGGAAAAAAATTATATATACATATATATACACACACACACATACACACATACATATATACATACACATATGTAAATATATAAAGTATACATATATACATATTTACTATATAGATACAGCTGTAATAGGTTAATATAAACATAGATATATATCAGACACATAGAAGATCTCTTAATATTCACATATCCCAGGAGAAATATGTATTAGGCTATAAACAGACTATTTACAGATGAAATATAAATGCCTAATTTTTTTTTTTGTAAAAAAAGGAACAGTGTTACTGTTTAAAGACACTCACATAAAAGTAATCAAATAGATCGACAACGACTAAAACAATCATGGTAAGTACTGTGTTGGCAAGTACTGGAGGAAATGAGTATTTTCATATCCTTTTGGTGAGAATGTGTCGATTGGTAAAAATATGCCTGGAAAACAGTTCGTTAATGTGTGTCAAAATCTTGATCCAGAACTTCTACTTCTAAGAAATTCTCTCTAGAAGATAATTTATATACCATACAAGAATGCATCATAAAAATTTTTAATGTTTATAAATAAACCTTGGACTCAAGCTAAATTTTTGTCCACAAAAGCGTTTAAGACATTAGATATTGGCAAAAATAGCATGCTATGAAGCCATTTAAAATAATGAATGATGCACATTCCTGTTTATTTACATAGAAAAATGCCAACAAAAATGTTTGAGAGAATAAAAATATTTCAAAGCAACATTTATACTATTATATCTGTATATCAATATCTAGAAAGGAGTTCTTTAAAATGTTTTACATTTTACATTGGGTGGCAGAGTTTGAGACATTTTGTAACTTCCTATACTTTAATATATACTTGAATAAATGTATTAGTCAGGCTTCTCTAGAGGGATGGATAGTATAGATGTATACATGAAAGAGAGTTCATCAAGGAGTATTGACTCACACAATCATAAGTCCCCAATAGGCCATCTGCAAACTGAGGAGAAGGAAGCCAGTCTGAGTCCCAAAACCTCAAAAGTAGGGAAGCCGACAGTGCAGCCTTCAGTCTGTGGCCAAAGGCCCGTGAGCCCCTGGCAAACCACTGGTGTAAGCCCAAAAGTCAAAAAGCTGAAGAACTTGGAGTCTGATGTTCAAGGGCAAGAAGCATCCAGCACAGGAGAAAGATGAAGGCCGGAAGACTCAAATAGTCTAGTCTTTCCAAGTTTCTCTTCCTGCTTTTATCCTAGTCATGCTCGAAGCTGATTAGATTGTACCCACCCAGATTGAGGGTTGGTCTGCCTCTCCCAAGTCCACTGACTCAAATGTTAATCTCCTTTGGGCAACACCCTCACAGACACACCCAGGAACAATACTTTGCATCCTTCAATCTAATCAAGTTGACACTCAATATTAACCATCACAATGAACAACAACAAAAAAATCTGTTCTTGTTTTGGAAAATAATAAAATAAAACACAATCATAGCATACATTCTCTATATGGTCAGGGAGATGGGAGGGGCAGTTTTAAGGACACTAAGAGGAGATTCTGCTTTTTGAAATTTAATATTTTTACTTTTAAAATATTTATTTAACTTATTATTGAAGACATTAGAGCTATTTCCAAGAAGGATGAGAGAAACTAACACATTTCTTCATTAAAAGAATGCTAAAATTAGATTGCTAAAATAAATAGAAAACTGGTTGATAATCTGCAGTCTAAAAAAATCATACTCTTTGGGATTATCTTGTCAACTGGACAGAATTCACTTGAATCACTATCAGACAAATATAATTTATAATTTATCCATCTTCTGTAAATTAATATGAACTTTATATAGCTAGGTCCTAGTGATTAGTAAATAATAAGCCAAAGCTACTCCTCCCTGCTACATCAAATGTTTCTAAGACAGTCTTGTTAGACAATGGTCTCATAGGTAATAGCCTTTTTAGATAATTTTACTCAATATTTTTCAGTTTGAAGAGAATTAATGAATGGTATAGGGCAGATATAAAATAATCTTGAGCTGAAGATGGTCTCTATTATCATTTCTTTTGTTTTATCTCATCCTCTCTTCTTTTTGTTTTATTTTGTTTGTTGATTTGGTTGGTTGGAGTTTTACTTTTCTGCTTTAAAACAGCAAAAAATATATTGTATAGTTCAATTTTGTGGTTCAGGAATCTAATAAGAGCTTAGCTGGGTAATTTTTTCTGTTCCATGTGGCATTAACTGGGGTCACATGGTGGTAATCAGCTGGTAGCTGTGCTAGTCTGAAGGGTCCAACATGACTCTATTCTCAGGCCTGTCTAGACTTAGATAGGTCCTCCTTTTTATCTCCATGTACCCTTTCCATGGGATCTCCTTAGTAGGGGATGTAAGTCAGACTTATGTGGTAGCTCCAGTCTTCTAGAGACCAAGATGGAAGTTGACTGTCCTCTAAGCCTAGAATTGATACAGCATCACAAATGCCACACTCTATGAGTCAAAGCAGTTTCTGGCCAGCCTATTCAACATGGGGAGAAATGGAACCCATTTTTTTAATGGGACAAGCATCACAATATTTACATCTATCTTTAATCCACAATATGAATATCACTAATCCTTATATCAACAAGATCAGATACAGTTTATAGTTTATAATAAATTGTTTCATTAACATGAAATAATTCAGTCCCTGAGTATTATACATGTTCTTTTTGTCACCAACCAAACTCAGTGACTAAAACGTTAAAGTTGAAATGTATTAATATTTCTCAAATTTAATCCTTCATGGAATGCAATTTTAGATATTTTTAAATGTGTAGCATTTAAAACATGCTTGATATTATATTTCTTATAGAAAGAAAAAGATGGAATTGTTCAGGACATATTTAAGGATTAATATATTCATGGTTATTTAAATATTTACCCCAATTATCAGTTTTCTAGGGGTGTGTCCAAATTTATTATTTGGATATTGAAGTACTCTGCTCTGTTGTTTATTTATTTTCACAGCTACGATAATAAGGTGTTGACTTTTTAGCGCTTTCTTTTACAAGAACTTGCTCCAAGCTCCTGCCACTTCTGCATTCTTCAGAATGTCTATCAGGGGTTTCAACGTGGATATAATTATGCTGTCAAGCAGACATGGTCTGGTATTTGTTTACAGTTCAGAAGGAGCTGGAAGTCATGTAGACGAAGTGGCCTGGCCACAGCAGGGAATCAGCACACTCAGATGAAAGCAGTATGTGGCCAAGACTTTGCTCCCCCATTTGAGGAGTTCATGTGTAGGATAGTGAACACAATAAGCTTGGAGGATAAGGTCAGAGTAAGAGGAAGCAGGGTGAACAAGAATGTAATTATTGTGAAAAAAACATCATTTTGTATATAGGGGATCCCCACAGAGGAGCTTTAAAAGAGCTTGGGCCATAAGTGGCTAATCTCCTTTGCTTTATAGCTGAATAAATGAAAAATATAAATGGTATGAGCCAAAGAAGAAAGTTTTCCTCCAATCCAAGACTCTACTGCCCATTGCTAGAAGACCTGATCACTCATGAAGGTTGGTCACTCAGGCACAGATAGCCACGTTATGGTCATAAGCCATATAAGTGAGAAGGACATATTTGAAAATGCCAGCAGTCAGAAAGAAGAAAATCTGAGTTCCACAACCAGTATGTGAGAAGTTTATCTTTCCAGAGAAAACCTCAATACCAATTTTAACAACAGAAATGGCTATATCAATGAGAACTCAGAAAGAGTACAATGATGTGTGAACTCAGAAATCTGTCTAAATCAAGAAAATCAGAATAGATGTCCCTGAGAGGGCCACAGTGTACATCTAAGGAAGTTGTAAAATTGAGAGAGAAAACATTTCCCATGTTGAGAAAGAGTCTCCGGAGAATATAATTTGCCATCAAAGTTTTTACAATCCAACTCCAGCTTTACTCTTTTCACCCACATAGCAACCATTCTGAGGTTTACCATTGCTTTGTGTTGGTCCATATTTCCATATGGTCTCAGTTTCCTTCTACCTGAATTACTTCCTTTAATGTCTCTTTATAATATGTATCTCCCAGAGATTCATGTATTCAGCTTTTGTATGGCTGAAAAAGTTTTATTTTGCCTTTATTTTTTAAATGTATTTTCAATAGGTATAAAACTCTAGGTTTAAGCATTTAAAAGATGTTGCTCCATTGTCTTCTTTTTTGTGATTTCTGCCAAAAATATTCTTTATTTTTGTTCCTCTGTACATAACATGTCCTTTATCTCTGGCTGCTTTTATGGCATTCTCTTTATTTTTTTTTTTTAACAATTTGATCATGATGTGTCATGGTTCTCCAGAAAAACAAACCCAACAATTGTGTGTGTGCATGCCTGTGTGTGTGTGTGTGTGTGTGTGTGTGTGTGTGTGTGTAAAATAAGGAATTGGCTTTGTAATTATGGAGACTGGCAAGTCCCAAGATCTTCAGGATGAGTGAGCAAGCTGGGGACTTAGGAGAGTCAATGGTATAGTTCCAGTCTCTGTGTCCAAAGGCCTGAGAACTAGAAAGGCCTCATGTTTCAGTTGAAGTCCACAGGCAATAAAAAGCCAAGGCCACAGTTTTAAGGTAATCAGGGAAGATGAATCCTCCCTCACTCAGGGGATGGCCAGTATTTTTGTTCTATTCAGGTCTTCAACTGGTTGGATAAGACCCACCCACTTAGGGACCTAAATGATTTCAATGGTAATTTCTCCAAAATTGCCCTCTCAAAAACACCCAGAATTATGTTTAATCAAATACCTGTCCAGTCCATGGCAAGTCAAGTTGATACATAAAAATTAATAATCACAATGTGGATTGATGTATTTTTTTCTTCATGTTTCTTGTGCTTGGGGTTCATTAAGCTTTGCGGATCTCTAGATTTACGGCTTCCATAGTATTTGGGACATTTCTGGCTATTAATTTTTCAAACATTTTGGTACCCCCTCTTTCAAAGATTCCAATTAAATGTACATTAGACAATTGTCTATCACCCTAGTGATGCATTTTATTTTTAAAATTTCCTTATTCTCTGTGTGTTTCATTTTGGGTAATTTCTACTGTCATCTTCAAATTTACTAATGAGTAAATCTTATTCTGCAATGTCTAATATGTTGTTAATCCAATTATTTATCTCATATATTAATTTTTTCATTTCCAGAAGCTTCGTTGGGTGTTTTTTTTATACCATTCATTTTTCTACTTATTTTGCAAACACATGAAATATAATGACTATTTATTGTTCTTAAAAGCTAATTCTAATATCTGACTAAGATTTGGAATGGTTTCAATTGATTTTTCTTCCACATGGTGATTTGTGCTTTCTTGCAATCTAGTAATCTTTGATTGGATTTATGAGTTTTACCCCTTGAACACCAGATATTATGTTCCTACAAATAATTTTGATCTTTCTTGGGGGATGCAATTAAGCTTCTTAGAAACTGTTTGATCCTTTCAGGTCAGGTTTTTAAGATTTGTTAGGCAAGATCTAAGCAGAATTTAATCTAGAACAAAATATTCCCCACTGCTAAGGCTGAGTATTTTCTCTAATGTTCCATAGTCATAAAGTTTTCCAGTCTGGCGGGTGGTAACAGGCACTATTATCAGTCCTATGTGAATGTCAAATACTCATCTTTAATCTGTTCAGCTAGTTATTTCTCTGGACTTGGGCAGTCTCCTCACAAGTATGCACTGATAAGTATTTTACTGAATACTTAAGTGAAGCCTTTTGCAGATTTCTGGGATTCTCTCAATGTGCATGATTATTCTTCCCAGTACTCTGCTTGAGGATTTTAATCTCTGTTGTCTCTGCAGACACTCAGATCCATCTCTTCAGGTTGATATTCTTAGAGATTCTTATAATGGACTGTTATAATTCATTTTGTGTTGCCTGTGCATGCATCCTGAATCTAGGTTAAACTTTCTTATCCCAGAAGCACAGCTTAGCCACCTTTGACAGTTTCCAGTTCGCCTCCTCTCAGTTCCACGATGTGGTCAGTACACACTTCTGCCTTATTCAGCTGCCTCCTGGTGACCACCTCCTTGCGCACATAAATTCAGCCTACTTGACTCATTCAGTGACCCTAATACCCCTCATGGATTACACAGATATGCTACAGTAACCACTCTCAGTCACACTATGACCTCATGAAACTTGCTCCTGCTTGTTCTAAACCCGCCAATTAGAACTCCCTGGGAAACCTGTGTGGGGGAATGCTGTGGACCCCACAGACCCAGTGGTCTGTTTCTCCCTGGCTCCTCACCTGCTGGTTGAGCCCATTGCCCTTGAGACCTTCCCATCAGCTTTTATCAGTACTTCTCCTCTCTCATGAATCTGTGAGTAATAAACTGATTATGTTATTTCACGTATTTTTGTTGCATTGTCTCCTCTGTGTTTCACAGGACCAACACACCCAGACCTAACATTCCTCCTGGTCAAGCCTTTCCTAGACAGTGTCTGTCTTGGCAGGAATAAATTAGATACAGGTCAGACAAGAGCCACATGGTCATCTGCCAATGTAAACAAGTTTCCTATAAGAGGGACACCTGGTCACAGGTGGAACACTTAGGCACTAGGCCATTCGCCAGGATAAAGACGTATCCTGTGAAAGGCACACTGTAAACATCAACAGAACAAATTCCCTGGAGCCTTGTCCAGGCAGGGCTAGAGTTTAAAGTCACTGTTCAAAGAGAGATCTCAACATCAAATTGAAGAAAAATATAACTATTTTTCCCCCTGGGTTCCTCCTCATTGTGCTATATGCCTGTAAACTACCTTTTGGCAATAAACTAGATAAATCACCTGTTTCGTTTCCACATCCTGAGATCACTCTTACTTGAACTTCACTTAAAATTCATTGTGGTATATATTATCTGTTTTTATTTTCTCTTTTTCATAAAAGTAGTGAAATCCAGTTCTGTTATTCTATCTTGCCTGCAGGCAAAACTAATTATTTTAAAATTTTAATGATTGTTTTTTAGAGGGTATGGCTGCCACCCCCACTTTTCTCTCTCATATATATATATATATATATGTATATATATATATGTGATAGGTTAGGATGTCTGTATAGAAAGAGAGAAATAGAGAGAATCATACGCTGGAATTTCCCAAAGAGATCATTATAGTCTGTTACGACAATAGGATTAGAAATTGAAAGATATTGGAGAAGATAATATAATGCAGAAAAAAAGGCCTGCCCTAGGAAAGCTTCAGGCAAATTTTCAACTTCTCAAGTCAGCCTTAAGACATAGCATAATAACTTTTCATCCTTTTTAGTAAAAGGCAACATCAAGTCAATAGAATATCTTAAAATTTTATGAGCCAAACTAGTCTTAGCTTTCTATCATCTCCCAACTCCTTAAGGTATCTGAGGCACATAAATGAAACGTACTTAATCTATCTTGCAAATATAGAAGAAAAGATAGTACAGTTATTATTATACCTATATAGATCCCACTCTGCTCCCTCTGTAAGATATATATACATATATATGTGTGTGTGTGTATATATATATATATATCTCTATCTCACAAGCAAGATTATGCACATACTTTGAAGTTTATTTCCCAGAAGTTGTGAATATAATCCCCACTTACGTGCACTAGAAAATTTTAGAGAATTTGTGAAAAACGAAAATTGGGTTATGCATTTCAGATGCAGAACAGGTACTAAGAACAGTGGTAGAGACAAGGGAAAAACAATCAAAAAAATGTACAAATTTGCTTGTATGTCTCAGTCAGCACTTATGAAACACTATAAGTATAACTGAATACAGTAAAAAAATGCAAAGTAAATGTTTGCTATAATACAACATGAGTACAAGGAACTCATTAAAAGGATATGGAGATTGTAATTCACTAAATTATTATTAGTACATAGAAAAAAGCTCTTAATGTGAAAAGGCTTTTTACCGGCTGACTTGGAATAAAAATTTAAAAATATCTCAGGCCACTTACTTGATGTGAGCATTAAAGCTATGTGTAAAAGCCTAACATGTTCATTTATATTGTTGACTCTTTTCACTTATCTATGAGTATGTTAGACAAAATAAAGGCAACCAGCTTTCCTTTCTTCCTTCCTTTCTTCCATCCTCTCCTTCTCTCTTCCCTTTCTCCCTTCCTCTCTCCCTTTCATCCTTCCTACTAGACCTATAATACTGATTTATCAAGCAAGGGTGAGATTGTAGGTTGCAAGCCATTTGTTTGTTTGAAATATTTATTTATCAATCCACAGTATAGGTTTAAGAGCAACACAGCTTGAGTTTTTAAAAAATCCAATTTAAATAATGCTTAGCTTAATGACATAAACAAAATAGCATAACATTTAGTTATGTGTGTGTGTGTCTATGACAGAACTGGCTACATAATTTTTGAGGCCCCGTACAAAAATGAAAATATAGACTGTGCTCAAAAATTATTAAGAATTTCAAAATGTCAATAGTAGAGCATTAATGCAAGCACAGAACCCTGTGAGATTATGCAGGTAGCACACCTAAGAATCTAGCCCTAGTTTGAGACAATGATGATCATGACCAATGCAACAAGAGTATCCATACTAAACTAAGCTAGAGGATTTATACTATAAATCTATCTGGACTATATCATTATACTAACCTAGCCCCCCCAAAAAAAAACTCAGAAAGATAAAATTGTCCTAATCTTGCCACTGTGAACTAGTTTTATGGACCAACTGATGGGAAAGAAAACTGTTTGAAAATTAATACCAAAAAGCTGACAGAGGAAATGATTCATTAAGTGGAAAAATGGCATTGGATGGTCCTCTGTCTCTCTCTCTCCCTCTCTCTCTCTCACTCACTGTCTGTATGTGCAATGGCTTTGAGATTAAGTTGTAACAAAAGAAGCCAAACAAAACAAATAGAATTTAAGGGACATGCAGGATTATGTAATTACTTCTGTAGTTGATGAAATGTATAGAATTTAAGGGACAAGGAGGATTATGTAATTACTTCTGTAGTTGATGAAATGTAAATGCCTAAAGCTAACAAAGTAATTACAAGGCAATTATGGAAAGAAGAGCTGTTTTGTTCATTCTTATTTCAGGGACTATAAAAAAAAAAGTTAGCGTGTCAAATGATTAAATTTGAGTAAGTTAACAGCCATTCCTAAAGCTAAAATAAGATATTCTGGTGTCTTGCCAAAAAAAACAAAGAAAGAAAGAAAAAACTACAGGAACTACAATTCTTCTAAATTTCAGTTAAACCAGTCTCTTGTAACAGTTGCTTTCCATGGTGAAATAGAACTGATAAATGCAGTATTGGCAATGTTAAGTAGATAAAAAGTAAGTGAATCTTTGTTTCTTCAGGATGATTCTTAAGTAAATACATACTTCATCACCTAAGGAAGTACGGAGAAAGATGGTTCTTGAAATTGCCGAAGAAGATTCCAGGGGAGGACAGAAAATCACTTCAAATCATTTGTGATTAAAACAATTATATAATAATCCTAATCTTTAAAATTGCTTTATGATGCATATTTATCTTTTTACTCTAAATATTCTTGCAATTAATATAGTTTGAGAATATTTTGTCATGAAGCTTCCACTTATAACTACCTTAGAAATTTCTAAACT
The DNA here is from genome assembly GCF_000001405.40 of Homo sapiens. Classification (NCBI taxonomy): domain Eukaryota; kingdom Metazoa; phylum Chordata; class Mammalia; order Primates; family Hominidae; genus Homo; species Homo sapiens. The sequence goes on along the minus strand of NC_000011.10, from coordinate 28,980,893 downwards.
GCTAATGTTTACACATCTCTCCCTAAATTGCATGTGCTGTCTGAAGGAAGGTGGTCATTTTGGTTTAGTAACAAATTCCTCAGTATGTACTGTTGGTGATTATAGGAAATAATTTAGTTTTTTAAAAAATGAGCCTACAATTTTTCATGGTTTTTAAATGGCTTTAACTCAGGAAACATGGAGGTACAGGGCCTTAATAGACCTAAACTCAAATCCTTTCTTGACTACCTAGGATATAGGTAACTTTACAGAAGATACACCTGTTTTCTCACCCATAAAGTGAGATTTAATATCAACTATATAGAATGTGGATAAAAGTTAGGTTTTATATATATATTTTTTAAATCTTCTTACAGGCTATATCATATAGCTAAAGTGTTATACATGTTATTGTTGTTTCTATTTTCCAGAAGTGGAGTAAGTTGCTTTTATTTATTAAGATATAATATTTTAGTCCTTTATCTCTCTATTATACTGTGGATTACTCTTCTAAGGACCTACAATAATGACTTCGGATATGCAGCATATACATATGTTATATATTTATACACAGATCCAAAAATGGCCATGAAAGCTTTGGAGAAAATAAAATAACTTATTACATCTTTGAGAGCCAATATTGGCCTCCTACAAGCATAAAACCCTGGGTATCTTTATCAGAAATGATTATTTGAATTACATTATTTTTTCAAAAAGAATATATATGCTTTCAGACATATAACATATGTGGTCTACTAGTGGCAAGATCTATAAACTTTAGTTTAACCCACATTTATTCTAATTTCAGTTCTCATTAGGAAATCTCCAGAGACAACATGATAGAAAAAACAAAGTGATGTATACTGTTTTAATATACAAATATTTTAGCTATTATTATGGTGTCTGCTCCAACTCTTAGAATAGCCAAAGCATTTTGCCTGATAGAATTGAATTGAACAATTAGAACTTTTTCTGGCTATAGCACTGGGTAATTTGAATGATTTCAGGGGCACTGGATAATGCATTTCACATCTACATCATCACTGGGACACTTGTTCAACAAGTGAGTGCTTACTTGGGAGACATGTCCCACACTGTGCTGGGCACTTAGGATGCATCAGTGAATAAAACAAAAAGACCTGCTCTCCTGTAGGTACTGTAATACCTAGATAAAGACATTATACAATAAATACAGTAATTAAGTCAACTGCATAGGATGGATGGTGATAGGTGCCATATACATTAAAACTAGTGCCAGGATGGGAGAGGAGTTTTTGTTCCTGACTATGGTAAAATAATTGGTAACAAATTCACCTCCAAAGTAAAAGAGAACAATATTTATGAGAAAATGTGTTCAGACATTAGACAACAGGCAGGTCAAAACTGTGAACTCCTGTAAGTTGGATTCCTAAGTATTTTATTCTCTTTGAAGCAATTGTGAATGGGAGTTCACTCATGATTTGGCTCTCTGTTTGTCTGTTATTGGTGTATAAGAATGCTTGTGATTTTTGTACATTGATTTTGTATCCTGAGACTTTGCTGAAGTTGCTTATCAGCTTAAGGAGATTTTGGGCTGAGACAATGGGATTTTCTAGATATACAATCATGTCGTCTGCAAAGAGGGACAATTTGACTTCCTCTTTTCCTAATTGAATACCCTTTATTTCCTTCTCCTGCCTAATTGCCCTGGCCAGAATTTCCAACACTATGTTGAATAGGAGTGGTGAGAGAGGGCATCCCTGTCTTGTGCCCGTTTTCAAAGGGAATGCTTCCAGTTTTTGCTCATTAAGGGATGTGAAGGTCCTCTTCAAGGAGAACTACAAACCACTGCTCAATGAAATAAAAGAGGATACAAACACATGGAAGAACTTCCCAATGCTCATGGGTAGGAAGAATCAATATTGTGAAAATGGCCATACTGCCCAAGGTAATTTATAGATTCAATGCCATCCCCATCAAGCTACCAATGACTTTCTTCACAGAATTGGAAAAAACTACTTTAAAGTTCATATGGAACCAAAAAAGAGCCCGCATCACCAAGTCAATCCTAAGCCAAAAGAACAAAGCTGGAGGCATCACGCTACCTGACTTCAAACTATACTACAAGGCTACAGTAACCAAAACAGCATGGTACTGGTACCAAAACAGAGATATAGATCAATGGAACAGAACAGAGGCCTCAGAAATAACACCACATATCTACAACTATCTGATCTTTGACAAACCTGAGAAAAACAAGCAATGGGGAAAGGATTCCCTATTTAATAAATGGTGCTGCGAAAACTGGCTAGCCATATGTAGAAAACTGAAACTGGATCCCTTCCTTACACCTTATACAAAAATTAATTCAAGATGGATTAAAGACTTAAACGTTAAACCTAAAACCATAAAAACCCTAGAAGAAAACCTAGGCATTACCATTCAGGACATAGGCATGGGCAAGGACTTCATGTCTAAAACACCAAAAGCAATGGCAACAAAAGCCAAAATTGACAAATGGGATCTAATTAAACTAAAGAGCTTCTGCACAGCAAAAGTAACTACCATCAGAGTGAACAGGCAACCTACAAAATGGGAGAAAATTTTCACAACCTACTTATCTGACAAAGGGCTAATATCCAGAATCTACAAAGAACTCAAACAAATTTACAGGAAAAAAACAAACAACACCATCAAAAAGTGGGTGAAGGATATGAACAGACACTTCTCAAAAGAAGACATTTATGCAGCCAGGAGACACATGAAAAAATGCTCATCATCACTGGCCATCAGAGAAATGCAAATCAAAACCACAGTGAGATACCATCTCACACCAGTTAGAATGGCAATCATTAAAAAGTCAGGAAACAACAGGTGCTGGAGAGGATGTGGAGAAATAGGAACACTTTTACACTGTTGGTGGGACTGTCAACTAGTTCAACCATTGTGGAAGTCAGTGTGGCGATTCCTCAGGGATCTAGAACTAGAAATACCATTTGACCCAGCCATCCCATTACTGGGTATATACCCAAAGGACTATAAATCATGCTGCTATAAAGACACATGCACACATATGTTTATTGCGGCACTATTCACAATAGTAAAGACTTAGAACCAACCCAAATGTCCAACAATGATAGACTGGATTAAGAAAATGTGGCACATATACACCATGGAATACTATGCAGCCATAAAAAATGATGAGTTCATGTCTTTTGTAGGGACATGGATGAAATTGGAAATCATCATTCTCAGTAAACTATCACAGGGACAAAAAACCAAACACCGCATGTTCTCACTCACAGATGGGAATTGAACAATGAGAACACATGGACACAGGAAGGGGAACATCACACTCTGGGGACTGTTGTGGGGTGGGGGGAGGGGGGATGGATAGCATTAGGAGATATACCTAATGTCAATGACGAGTTAAGGGGTGCAGCACACCAACATGGCACATGTATACATATGTAACTAACCTGCACATTGTGCACATGTACCCTAAAACTTAAAGTAAAATAATAATAATTAAAAAAAAGAAAGTAATACCATCAAAAAAAAAAAAAGACAACAGACGGAACTTAAACAAAAAAAGTTATATCCTTTCTATACTCATTTAAAAATTCCCATTACTTATAAGTTGTCAGACTGTCTTCAAGAAGTTTTTTCTAAATGAAAAAAATATGGCACGATAACATATTGCATAATTACATTCCAGGTTTGCATTAATAAAGTATTATACTTGTAAGTTTTACAAGTAGAAGTAAAAAAAAAAAAAAAAAACTGTGAACTCTGAGAGCAGAGAAACTAACTACAGAGTCTCCTTATTACCCAGAATCTCTGCCTCAGGAATGTTTCTTATTGTGGCTTAGTAACGTAGAATCAAAACAGAGTGTAGAAGTACTATTCACATAAGGAGACAGAAATCAATGTGAGGGCAACTGAAGTGGATAAAGTCTGCAGGCAGGACACTGGAGAGGAGGGAGGGAGCTGAAGTGTGGGTGAACCCATAGCCAAGAACTCACAGAAAACCTGCCACGGACTTTGGACTCTCCCTCTGCCCAGGATAAATACAAGAAGGCTGTTTCTAGGGAAATTATACTCAAACTACCGAAAACAAAAAATTACCGAAAAAATAAAATTACAGAAGCAGCAGAAAAACAACAACAAAAATACAACAAAACTGCACAAAGGGGAAAAACGGTACAAATGATTGTTAATGGTTTCTGGTCAGCCGCGTAAGGATCTTAGAGGTTGCCACTCTGTCCAAACAACAAGCGAAATGCTGAACAAACTGAAAATCAAAAACTGTTCTTAGATATGGAAGATAAGTGAGGTCACAGGGAAAATTGCTGCCTTCCAAACTGGAGAGACAGATGAGTCCAGAGAATCCCAACTTACCAGAGTAGAAACTCACAAGTAGAAACCTTTGCAGAAAACAGTGCCCAGGTGAGGTAGGAAAACCTAAACTGTCATTGACAAACTGCTGGAGGCTCACTGTGGACGCGACTGAGTGGGGAAAAACTCCAGGGAGACCCAGTCATAAGCAGACTCCTGCTCTTTTGTTTTACTTTCAGAAGCTTGACGAATATTTTTCAGTACATACTGGAGAAAAATCTCCTGTTTCTGCCAGGGAGAGAAGAAAAGGAACCATTTTAAAATATGCCAGAACATCTTGTTGTTAGCGAGGTCTGAACTCAGGAGACAATATTTAATGAGAGCCGGACCTGCTGGGTTTTATCAGACCGGAACTGACTTGGAGGAAGAGAAGTACTCAATTCCAGGTGGCTTTTTCATTCTACTTAGAAGCAGAAAAATACCCATTTCAGTTCATTCTACCTATTCTGTCCCAACTATGGAGTGAAAAAAACTAAGCCCTTGTGAAGCTCATAGTTCAGGGGCACAGGCTTACCAAAAGACTGAGGCCTAACTACAGAACTATATAGTGCTTCCTCTTCCCCATACTTTATCACCACATTAATAAAGACCTATTCATAGCAGTTCCTATTACCCAGTACATCATGTCTGACAGTCAAAAAGGATTCCAAGACATACTAAATGCCAAAAGAAAAACAACCACTACCAACAACAATAACACAAAAACACACAGAGCTTCAAGAGACAGAACAAGCATCAGAAGCAGCCTCAGAGATATCAGGAATATTGCAATCATCAAATTGGAAATTTAAAAAAGCTTTCATTAATATGATAAGGTTTCTAATGAATCAAGTACACAGCATTCAATAACAGATGGGCAATGTAAGCAGAGAGATGTTATAAAGATTCTAAGAACCAAAAAGAGATGCTAGAGAAAAAAAAATGCTGTAACAGAAATGAAGACTACCACTGATGGTCTTGCTAGTAGATTGGACGCAACTGAGGAAGACTTTCTGAGCTTGAGGATATCTGAATAGAAACCTCCAAACATGAAAAGCAAAAAGAAAAATAATTGAAACAACAACAACAATAACAAAATTCTCAATTAAAATCACCAAAGGCAGAATAAGAGTGAAAGACAAAAATAGGAACAAAGAAAAAGAGCAACAAATGAAAAACAGTAGCAAATATGGTAGATATTAATCAAATTATATCAATAATCACTTTGAACAGTAATGGTTTAATAAATGAATAAAAAACAGAAATTCTCAAAGTGGATCAAAAAAGAAAACACAATAATATGTTATCTACAAGAAACCCAGTTTAAATATAAAGGCACATATATATTAAAAGTAAATTGATAAAGATATGCCATGCTAACACTAATTCAAAAACCGGGAGTGGCTATATTAATTTCAGAAATATTAATACTAAAAATCAAAATTTTAGAATAAGGAAAACAAAGTTATCAGGGATACAGAGGGATACAAAATGATAATAAAAGGGTCAAGAACAAAATAAATAATAAAAAATAGTACAGAAATCAATGAAATTGAAAATGGGAAATCAATAAAGGAAAACCAACAAAACCAAAAGCTGGTTCTTTGAAAAGATAAATAAAATTGATAAGCCTCTATCCAAGCTAACTAAAAAAAACAGAGAGAATACAAATTACTAATTATTAGAAATAAAACGTGGAATATCCTGAAAGATTCCATGGACATTGAAAAGATAATAAATGAATAACGTGAACAGCTTTATGCTCACAAATTTGGTAACTTATATGAAATGGAACAATTTCTAGAAAGACTCAATCTGCCAAAACTCACACAAAAAGAAATAGTTTAAATAGGACTATATATGTATTAAAGTAATTGAATCAATCCTTAACAATCTACCAGACAAAAAGCACCAAGCCTAGATGGGTTCACCGATAAATTCTATACTGAATATTAAGGAATAAATTACACTAATTCTCTACAATCTCTTTCAGAGAGAGAAGAAGAGGGAATGTTTCCTAACTCATTCTATGAAGCCAGCATTCCCCTAATACCAAAACCAGATAAAACATGAGAAAACTACAGACCCAGAGATTACTGATTTTTTATCAGTAACCATGGAAAATAGTTACTAGTAAGAGAATTAGATCTATAGGAAGAAATGAAGAACACAGAACATGACAAGCAAGTCGATGTAAATGACATTTTGTCCTAGTAATCTATTTAAAAGGTGATTGTTTAAAGCAGAAAGAACAATATTGGTAAGACAGATTTTGTAACAGATAGAGAAGGAAAAGATATAACTTCAATATATCAAAAATGAAGTGTAGTGGATAAATAGAAGTATACTATTTAAGTGGGAAGTGTGCAGTAATAAGTGGAAATCATACAGTGTCAAGTGTAAAGTGTGAAATGTGAAGTGGTAAATAATATTTACTCTGAATGGCCTTCAGTAAGTTAGGAATGCAAACTGTGAGCCCCAAGGCAAATAATAAAATGAGGAAACACCAAAACAAGTACAGAAAATGAAACGAAAAACAAACAAAAAATTGATTAACCTAAGGAAGTCAAGAAGGGGCAACAAAATAAGAAGAAATATGAAGGGACAAGTGAAAAATAAGTACCAACATGGCAACTTAAGCACTACGATGTTGATGGTTACATCAAATGTAAATGGACTAAGAATAAATAAAATGAAAAAAGTCAGATGTAATAAAAGAGCAAGACTGAACTATATGCTGTCTATGACAGATCCACTTAAAATATAATGGCATAGATACATTAAAAAAGAACTGGCATGGTGTTTCTATTAATACCAGCAGTAGATTATAAAATGAAGATTAGCACAAGAGATTAAAAAAGGACATTTTATAATGATAAATAAATTTATCAAAAAGACAAAACAATTCAAAATAGGAATACACCCCATTACAATTATCAAGTAAATTTCACAGGCTTAATGAGAGAACTAGATAAATCTACAAACATAGATGAAGATTTTAGCACCCTTCTTTTAGTATTTAATGAAAAAGTAGATAAAAAAATCAGTAAAGATGTAAAATATTTAAACAACACTCTCAGTAACGTGACTATTTATAAAAGATTAAACACGCCGGGCACGGTGGCTCATGCCTGTAATCCCAGCACTTTGGGAGGCCGAGACCTGCGGATCACCTGACGTCAGGAGTTCCACACACCAGCCGGATTAACATGGTGAAACCCTGTCTCTACTAAAAATACAACAATTAGCCAGGCATGGTGGTGGGTGCCTGTAATCCCAGCTACTTGGGAAGCTGAGGCAGGAGAATCACTGGAACCTCTGAGGCAGAGGTTTCAGTGAGCCGAGATCGTGCCACTGTACTCCAGCCTGGGCAGCAGAGCGAGACTCTGTCTCAAAAAAAAAAAAAAAAAAAAAAAAAAGATTAAACACAAAAACTAAAACATTTTAATCTTATAGGGAATGTTCATTGAGATAAGCCATATGCTGGACCATAAAATAAACATAAATATAAAAGGAGCATGCATCATGACTTGGTGCAATTGATCTCAACAACCCGAGGTTCATTCAATATTCTAAAATCACTCAATGCAATTAACTGCCATAACAGAACTATTATATTCAAATAATCGTCTCCAATTCAATACCCATTCATGATAAAAACTTTAAGCAAACTAGAAACAGAAACGTATTTAAATTGATAAACAGCATTTAAAGAAATAACAACAGGTGATACACTCAATAATGAAGAATTGAATAATGGAGAATTATTGTCACCATTTTTATTAAATATTTTACCATTTTTATTAAACATTTTACTGGAAATGTAATAAAATAGGAAAAAGAAGTAGAAAAGCATTGTTAGGACAGGAAGATGTACATCAGTCTCTATTCATATATTACATGATTAACGCTGTAGAAAATTCTGAGGAATACAACCAACTTCTAAAATGTATAAACGAATTTGTTAATTTCTCTTATAGACTTCAACTTGATACTTGTTATTGCTAATTATATTCTATTGTATTAATTTTCCACAATTTGTTTTTTCCATTTACTTGAAATTTTTCATTTCCATTGAATTAGCATTCTGGTTGTTTCTAGTTCAAAACTATTATGATTAAATTTGCTGTGGACAATTTTGTAGAGGTCTTAATGTGGATATAAGTTTTCATTTCTCTTGAGTAAGTATCGAGGGGTAGTATTGGTAAGTTATATGGGAAAAGTATAGCTTATAGACTTCACAATAGCTAACAAAATTTTGAAAAAGAAAGAAAGAAAGGGAAGTTAAGCTGTGATTTTAAGGCCATCAAGACAGTCTTACATGGGTGTAAAGCTGAATCAGTGGAAAAAAAAATAAGGAATCTAAGAATAAATCCACACATACAGGGTCAATTGATTGACAAAGGTGCTAACAAATTTTAATGGTGAAAGTATAGTTTTTTCAACAAATCATGCTGTCAAACTGATACTTGTATGAAAAACAAACTTGGATCCCTGTCTCACATTCTGCACAAAACTTAACTTTAAAAGTAACATACACCTAAATATAAAAGTTAAAATTATACATCTTTCGAAGAGAATATAAGAGAAAATCTTTACAACTTGTGTTAGGCAAAGATTTTTTTAAAAGATGAAACAGAAAGCATTAACTATTTTTAAAAAGGATACATTGAATTCCATTAAAGTTAAAAATTTCTGCCCCTCAAATGACATCCTTGAGGAGAGAAAAAAAAGCAAGCCATAGACTGGGACAAAATGTTTTCCATCTATAATACATGATATATATACTTATGTGGACACATATTTGTATACCAGTGATTAAACACTGGTACACAAATATATAAAGTACCTGTATTAGTCAGGGTTCTCTAGAGAGACAGAACTAATGGAATATATATATATACACACGAAGGGGAGTTTATTAAGTATTAATTCACACAATCACAAGATTCCACAATAGGTCGTCTGCAGGCTGAGGAGCAAGGACAGCCAGTCTGAGTTTTAAAACTGAAGAACTTGGAGCCCAATGTTTGAGGGTAGGAAGCATCCAGTGCAGGAGAAAGATGTAGGCTGGGAGGCTAGGCCAGTCTCTCTTTTCACATTTTTCTGCCTGCTTATATGCTGGCCGGGCTGACAGGTGATTAGAAGGTGCCCACCCAAGTTAAGGATGGGTCTGCCTTTCCCAGCCCACTGACTCAAATGTTAAACTCTTTTGCAACACCCTCCCAGACACACCCAGGATCAACACTTTGTATCTTTCAATCCAATCAAGTTGACACTCAGTATTAACCATCACAACACTTTTACTATTTAATAATATGAAGATAGACAACACAAAAAATGCACAAAATATTTGAAAGATACGTCACAAAAACAGTGTAAAATGGACATTAATTCCCTGAAAAGAAGCACAACATAGTTAATGACTATGAAATACAAATTAAACCCACTATAAGGTAGTGTCTCATACTCACTAGAATGCTTAGAATTAAAAATATTAGCAATACCAAGTGTTGTTAAAGATGTAAAACAACCAATACTCATACATTGCTGATGAGGGTGAAAATTTACTCAATGACTTCCAAAAATAATATGGCATTTTTTGGTAACATTAGCTACACTTTTCCCATATAACTTATCAATACTACCTCTCAATACTTACTCAAGAGAAATGAAATCTTATATCCACATTAAGACCTCACAAAATTGTCCACAGCAACTTTATTCATAATAGTTTAGAACTAGAAACAACCAGAATGCTAATTCAATGGAAATGAAAAATTTCAAGTAAATGGAAAAACAAATTGTGGAAAATTAATACGATAGAATATAACTAGCAATAACAAGTATCAAACAACTGATACATGTGAGAACACAGATACATCTCAAAAATTTATGCTGATTGAAATAACACAGACACAAAATAAATATGGTGTATGATTCAATTTATACAAAAATCTAGGATGGATGAAACGAATAGAGACCAAATAAGTAATAAATAGTTGCCATGAATAGGGGTGAGGTTTGACTGCTTAGAGGTATTTGGGAACTTTCTTAGTTGATCCACACGTTCTTATCATGGTTATGACAACGGGTGCACAAGTAACTACATTTCTCAAAACTTCAAATGGTATACTTAACATATGTTTGTTTTATATAATGGAAATTATACTTCAGTAAAGTTGATTAAAATATTCCCCATCATAAAAGAATAAAGTAATAGCACTGACAAACAAGGGTTAAAAAGAAAACAATGATTAAAATAAGGGCTTAAAAGCAGAGTGATCAAGAGTGTTGAAGATGTAGTCTGGTTGGGGTGAGGATAGCGAGGGTGGCAATATTCCTCACTGAGGGTTCACTAAGAAGATTAAATCTGAGAAAAAATCTGAAAGAGGTTGGAAAGTTACTGAGTAGATATCTGGGAGGGGTTGGGGGAAGGAATAGTTGAGCAGAGGAAAAGCTGTAACCAAGTCTGCTGTTGAACATGCCTGATGCATTTAGCAAATACAAAGGAGGCTACTGTGATGTGTGGCATGGTAAACAAGGTGGCAAGGTAAACAAGCAGTAGGAGAGGTTTACAGAGCTTGGTGGGGGGCAGGACCTTCTTAAGTACTTTGGGTTTTACTACAGTTTAATACAGAGCCTTTGCAAGAGTTAGAAAAGAGTCACATGAGTTGTTTTAAATTTTACAATAATCTGGCTGCTGGCTTGAGATTAAATTGCACAAATCAAATGTAGGAGCAGAGAGATCTGTTATGAGGCCATTTCAGTATCCTTGGGAGAGCTGAAAATGGCTAAAATCATAGTGGTACCAATAGAGGTGTCTATTGAAATAGTTGGATTATGGATCTATTTTGAAAGTAGTGGTAGAAGAATTACTTGATTTATTAGATACAGGATGTAGAAAAAGGAGAGGAGTCAAAATGACTTCCAGGTATTTTGACTTAAGCAACTAGAAAGATAGATTTGACTTCAGCTTAGATGACAAAAACTGAGTCTAGAGCAAACTGTGGAGAGAAGACCAGGATTCCTATGTTGAACATGCTGAATTTGTAATGTCTAATTGCCACCTAGCTCCCAAATTAGAAACTGAAGCACAGTCCTTGGTGCCTTTCCATATTGAATCACTCTCCAAGTCCTGCTATTTTTTCCCATTAATAGCAGAGGGGAAGTTTCAATTTTGATCTGTTTGAGTCTAAAATTCCTGTTCTTTCCACATTAACTTGCAAGTGGATAACAGACTACCACTTTTGGTATAACTTTTAAAGGATATTTAATCTAACTTTCTACTCAATGCTTGAATCATGTGAATATTCTGATATTTTGAATGTTACTTTTTTTTTTTAAATTCAATTACTTCCAGTGCAGAAAATTAGCTTTTCTTTAGGAAGCTCATTCCAACTTTGTTTTCTGTTGACTATTTGAAAAAAAAAAAAAAAAGCAAAACTAATATATTAGCGTTTTAGGCAAACTGATTACCTCAAAGTTCTTGAAATATTTAAAAATTGACCAAGCAATTTGAATACAACAACCTGTCAAATAAAGGGCAGTAATTACAAAGATTTATCAACAAACTATGTAAGGTCATGTGCCTGAGGTTAAACTGAGGGTCTGAAATATACCTGGGCAGAGAAACTAACGACTAAATACAAAGTTTCAAGAGGTTCTCAACTAGGTCAAGAAAATAGGAAACTATGTATAAAGCTCAGCTTTCATTACATCCTGGGGTCCTGACTTTCTCCAACTCTAGAACCTATTTACCACTGTTTCTTTGTCACATCTCCTTCAGTGCCATCTATCCAACCACAGAAACCTCTGTTTAAACAGCGTATTACCTCAAAAACCTTCCTGTTTCCCCTCACTCTTTTTTTTTTTTTTTTGGAGAAGGAGTCTTGTTCTGTCACCCAGTGGCACTATCTCGGCTCACTGCAAGCCCTGCCTCCCGGGTTCACGCCATTCTCCTGCCTCAGCCTCCCAAGTAGCTGGGACTACAGGCGCCCGCCACCACGCCCAGCTATTTTTTGTATTTTTAGTAGAGATGGGGTTTCATTGTGTTAGCCAGGATGGTCTCGATCTCCTGACCTCATGATCCGCCTGCCTCGGCCTCCCAAAGTGCTGGAATTACAGGCATAAGCCACCGCGCTGGGCCTCCCCTCACTCTTTAAGAGATGGGTTTTTTCCTCAACGCTAACACAATGCTGGGAAAACTCGACTGCTGAGTCCCTTAGTATTATTGCAACTCCAATCAATATGTCTGTGGGTACATATGTATGTATATGTACATATATACACAGTGTGTTTGATATAACAGTGACACAACTACAAAGAGTCTAATATAGGAAAATAATATCTCAATTTATTCACATATATCAGGTATTAGCCATTTTATAAACCACAGAGGCTTTGCTCACATGGTTACCATGACACAATCAAAATCCCTTGGAATATATTCTGCTGTCTACCCTATATTTCACAACCATTATTGTCGTCTCTTTGTATCACACACCACCTTCTCTTTGGCTCTGTTCTCACCCAGTGTGTCTTGGGAAACTTCTCATGGCACGAATTTGGGAATCAAACACTTCCTGTTTTGTCCTGTTTCACTAAGCCCAAAGGGAAGCACCCAAATTAGCCAAGCAACTCTTTTTCCACCAACGCTGACAAGGGTGTCTGCCACTGAGAGACAGCTCAGCCACCCAGGTGGGAAATATTACTGCAGACCAGACAGCTGCTCTCAATGCCAGAACAAACAGGTGTGGATTTTACTGATGCAACAGAAGTGAAATAAATAAAGCAAAATAGAGTTTTACTCATAATACAAATTTCCCAGAGTAAAAAGCAGGAAAGGGAATTTGCAGAGTAAATAACAAAGCACCCTCTTCTGATCCAGCTCAAAGTCATGGCCCCTGCTGCCCGCCATATTCCATGCTCTGAGAATTGTATGTGAATTGTCTCATAATAGTTGTCTCATAATAGAGACATGGGATTCTCCCCTAAGAATAGAAAGATGCTTACATAGAAAGAGGTACAAGGTTGTTAAATTTGTTTACTATGTTGGAAAACAGAGATGATGTTGTAAATTTTTTAAATGGCCATAGCGTTTGACAGCATATTTTATCTAGTGATGGAGTATTCATCTTCACCTCTTAAATCTGCATTTGACCTTGTGACTTGCTTTGGCTAATGGGATATTAGCAAACATAATGCAAGCAGAAGCTTGAAAAGTGCTTGTGCATTGGGACTTACTGTTGTGTGTGAAAATGCTTGAGTAAGTCTGCTGGAGACATGTATGTTATTCACCCATCCAAAAGCCAGATATGAATAAGGCTATCCAGGATAAGTCAATGCTTGTATGATTCACAAGCCAACTGTAATCACATGAATGAACCCAGGCAAGACAAACAGAGCTGCTCAACTGAGATGAGTCCAAATTGCTTACTCATTGAGTCAGGAACTAATAAATTGTGTTTGATGTGTTTGTTACACACCAGCATTTGACTGATACAGATGGCATAGCCCGCTCAAAGCTGCAAAGGGATCAAAGTCAGAAGCACCATTTACTGCTGAGTTCTGAGTCATACTTCTCAGCAGTATCATAGTTTTTTGGCAGAACAGTGACATGATTCCTCATGGCATTGAGTCCTATTCTAACAACTCAAGTAGGCTGAAAACAAAAGAAATCTTTAACTTTACCTGACATCATATACCATACCAAGGAAAATTTACGTTGCATTTTTTCTCTTTTCAATTTGTATTGGCATCAAGTACATATAGCTCCAGACCTGATATCAAAATAGGCATTTGAATCTGTGTACTACTGTACAAGGCTTAAAGATCTATGTTATTCATGCAGCATGCCTAGATCCCACTACATTTATATTTTAATTTTATTTATTTATGTATATATTTTTTAGATGAAGTCTTGCTCTGTTGCCCAGGCTGGAGTGCAGTGGCACAATCTTGGCTCACTGCAACCTCCGCCTCCTGGGTTCAAGCGATTCTCCTGCCTCAGCCTCCCAAATAGCTGGGATTACAGGCACCTGCCACCACACCCAGCTAATTTTTTTTGTATTTTTAGCAGAGACAAGGTTTCACCATGTTGGCCAGGCTAGTTTCGATCTCCTGACCTCATGTGATCCACCTGCCTCAGCCTCCCAAACTGCTTGGATTACAGGCATGAGCCACTGCGCCCGGCCCACTCCATTGAATTATAACTCAAAACAATTGCATATTCTTGTCAAATAACTCATTTTAAACTAGAAGAAATCTACCAAATGTGGGAAAAACATGTATAGAATAGAAACTTCTAGACAGAATGAAAGAAAAGTAGGAGTTCTAACAGCCAGGTACTGTAGAACAGTGCCCCTCAACTTCTAATGTTCACAAACAACCTGTCTTGTTAAAACACAGATTTTGATTCAGTGTCTCTGGGATCTAGTCTGATAGTTTGCATTTCAAACAGCTATCAGGTCATGCATAGCTGCTACTCCACAGATCATACTTTGAATAGCAAGACACTACAATTTCTCCCTGTTTTTGAATACCGAACATGATTCTGACAAAAATTGTAATGTGATACCAGACCATTCATTACTGAAGATCAACTTTTATTGAAAGAATATGTGGAAGTGCATAAACCCCCAAATATGAGACTCAATAAAAGCTACTGACTTATTTCATAAGTGACTTCAGAATAAGTGTTTTCTTATCTCAGGGATTACTCCTCCTAAAATCCAACTTTCTATGCTGTCTTTCTGGACATGTTATTGATAACTTGATAAAATTATATTTGTATAATATTGGCATCAGAGGGTTGAGCTGGAAGCAGAAAAAAATGTGTGGCCATTCTGTTCTTTTTGTTTTTGTAATTGTTCTTCTTATCCTATTTTTACTTTAATTTTACCTTAAGGATATTTTTCCCTTAAGACTTACCAGATGAAGGTTGGTATTTTTTGAGAAAAAGTATTTCTAGTGCTTGAACATAAAGTTTACCTGCAAGTCTACTATCTCTAGAAGCACTAATGCCAAAGCTGGCATCACATACTATACAAAGTTATATCAATTTGAAACTCCAAATATATCATTTTTTGTCCTACTTGGCTAACATCTACTTATTTTAGGATGAATAATTGTTGCATTAAATTATCAGTTTGTATATTCTTTTTAGTACATTATTGAGAGGTTATTAAAACAGAGACACTTGATTTCTAGTGCTCTTCCAATTTTTCTTGGAGACTTTCTAAGTAAGCCCAACAATTTGCTGGAAATCTTAATTACCATAAAAATTCTCCCTTACACACTAGGAAGTGCCATAGAGAAGAAGATTCATGCATAGGCATTAAATATCCAAACATAGGCATTGCACATCAGCTCTCAAATGCCAAACTTTCTACTTCCTACCTATAAGACCATGAAGAACCTAGCTTAGCCTTTCTTAAACCTAAGTTTTTTCTTTGTAGAAGTGAGGTAATAACATTTTTCTCATAGCTGCTGGTACATAATCCTTCATTTTAAAAGAAAAAAATCATAGTTTTCAACTTTTCAACATTATGTCATCTGGTGCAACAGAGAATAAGTCAACTTCCTTTTTGTAGGACAGCATTTCCAGTGTTTATTTATTCATTTAATTATTCAAAAATATCTGCGGAATGCCTAGTTCTAGGCAATGTACCATGTACAGAGGCTAAATATATGACTAGACATAGTTTTATTTGCCTGTGTGTAGTCCAGTGGGGGTATAGGTGCATAAAGAGAAAAATTGTTATGGTATGAAAAATAAAATAAAATTACGCATCAGGTATTATCAGAGAACAGAAGACATACTCCAGACAGAGGTAAAAGAAGAAATTCTAAGCAGAGAAGACAGAGATGCTATTTTATTTTCTCTTTTCCAGACACTGCACTCTGCATCTTGCAAGCATGATCTCATTTAACTTCCAAATAATGTGGTGAGAAAGATGTCACTATTCTTAATTTACAGAGGAGGAACCTGAGGTTTCATAAATAAGTGAATATTGTCATATAAGTAGTAGAGCAAGGATTTGAAACCAGACCCTTTAACTCCAGAGCTCAAATGCTAATATAGTCCAACTTGCTTTATTGTAAGTGCAAGGAACAGAGCAAAATCCTCTAAGCTATGTGTAGAGAAATATATACAGTTTGATATTTCTGGAATATAAATGTGAGGCAGAGGATAGTGAAAATTGAATCCAAAGCATTAGGCAGTGATGAAAGTCACTACTTTCACATTAAGTAACTTAAAATTTGTCATTGAGGCAATAAGGACCCTTTGAAGGTGACCTCCAAGAGGAAGACGAGGACAGATTTGCATATTAGGCTGATTCCTTTGTCAGTCAGGAGGATAATGGCTTTGAGAGACAAAAAAAAAATGAAACTAGTAATATCTGTTTGGTAACTTCAGCAGTATTCAATGACAGTGATTATGAGAGAAGTTGGGGGGAGCAGAGAAGGAAGGAGGAAAATTATACGGGAAATGTTTAGGATATAAAATTGGGGATTTTCAGTGTTTAGATGGGGAAATGTGGAAAATGGAGGAGAAAGATGACAAATGCCACCCTGTTTTCTAACCTCATTGATTAGGAAGATGTCAATGCCATCAATATGATGCAGAAAGAAAAGAGGCAGGACATTGCAGTTTTGGACATACTGAGCTTGAGGAGGAAAGAAGCTGCCCAGCATGCATTACCCAGGTTTAGTTACCATGCCTCTCTATAGCTTCTTACAACTGTAGTCTTCCTCAGTGTAAATGCATAGCCATCACTATCTGCTTTCCTAAAGTATACCAACCACACATTAAAATGCTGATGAGAACATCACCAGGGAATAGCATCAAACTTACAGAAGTGCAATTTTAGTAATGCATGCTCCTTCTGTCAACATCTGCACATTTTCCAATTCCCTGTTTTCTTCACTACATCTCTTCTCCTTAATTATTTCAGAGATTACTGACAATGTTTCTCCATGTCTTCTGCTAGTTCTTACAAGCCCTTGGTCCCAAAATAGTTAACTTATGAACTTGATATTTCCTAATACCCCACAACTTGAGCCTCATTCTCTCCTTAGTGAAATATTCTCTTTTTATGTGTTTAAAGATCATTACCAATGATTAAGAACTGATTCATTTTACTTTCTTTTTTCTCATTTTTAAGCACTATGTCATCTTCCCACAGGCAATCCTACGTTTCTTCACTGTCTCAGTTGAAACATGATTGCAAAACATCTTCTTGTTTGCTTCATGCTAAGAAAATATCAAATTCTTCTAGCTTTGCTTTCTTGACATTGTTTAAGCCCTTCCCATATTTTTAATTGTATTTAACTCCTTCCAACCTTAGATTATTTATTTTTAAAATCTGATCAGTTAAAAACATTCCTTTGCATTAGACTGTGTATATCTATAATGACAAATCAATTTTGTCAAATCTCTAAATAATCTTGAACTAAATTACTTTTTTAAGACTGCCCTCCCCAGAACATATTTTTTAATACTTTATATTTTTATGATGTATTTTCATAAGGATAATATCTTCTAGTAATGTTCAATATTTTCTGCCTTGCTGTATGAATCTTCAATATATCATGACCTTCCTACTAAGAGCTGCCTATCATCAATATTTTTAATCATTTTCTCCTTGATTATCAGAATTACCCCAAGTGGCTAATTTCAATGATTTTTTTTCAAGATAATATTTATCAAACCCTCTGATTTTAGTTGAATGCTACGTTCAGCACATGCTAAAGTTCGCCATTCCTACTACCTCTCACTTCTGCGATGCTGCCTTTGCAATCCTTATTAGGAAAGCTCTGAACATACCACTTCCTGATCAGGCAGACTATAAATCACTTAACAATGCCACCTTTATGTCTTTCTTTTCACCCTGACTCCTGTGAGTATGTGTGTGTGTGCGTTGTGCCATATTACCCTTAGGTGCTCAGATTTCCAATAAGAGGTATGACACTAATACATACTTGAATTGCTGATCATGATCTCTCCCACATTTACGTCTTTTTTTTTTTTTTTTGAGACAGGGACTCATTCTGTCATCCAGGCTGGAGTGCAGTGGCACGGTCTTGGCTCACTGCAACCTCCGCCTCCTGGTTTCAAGTGATTCTTCTGCCTCAGCCTCCCAAGTAGCTGGGATTACAGGTGGCTGCCACCACACCAGACTAATTTTTGTATTTTTAGTAGAGACAGGGTTTGGCCAGGACGGTCTTGAGCTCCTGACCTCAGGTGATCCACCCTCCTCAGCCTCCCAGAGTGCTGAGATTACAGGTGTGAGCCACCATGCTGGCCCCCTGCATTTTACTTCTTTAAGAATATTTTATTTTCTATGATTATATGAGTTTTTGAACCACTCTAGAAAAATCTCCATTTGAAGAAAAACAAGAAGAAAAAAATAACCTACCATGCATTGATTTGAAATGATCCATAATTGTCAAGGCCATTCATGTGAAGTTTTATAATTCTTCCCTGTCACTGGCTTCACTGATCTTTTTTTTTCCCTAAATTTTCTACTTGTCTCCACTCTGAACATGTTATCTGATCTGCAAGCTGTCACATTGATAGCATGTTCTTGTACATGTCTTACTCAACACGTCCTACTCATACCAGGGTTGTGCAAATAGTTCATACAGCCTTGTATTTTAGTTGTTTTATCTTGCCTCTCCAGCAAAGTCTAAATTCTGAAGGGATAGACATCTGATTTTAATTTGAATACCCTTAACAACACCCAGCACATATTCCAGTTATTTTAAAAAAAATAAACAGAATGAAAAAATAAATCTGTAACAATAGCCCTAACATTTCCTATCAAACTACGAAATCAATTGTATGAGCAGTAAAAAAAATAAGAATTTGTTTCATGACAGTCACTCCCTAATTTATGTGCATTAAGTCCAGAAAACAGAATAATTGATTAAAATAACTAAATTAAACTCTAATACTGTTCTTTAAAGCACGATATTAAAGGAGAAATTTCAATGTTTCCTGTATTGAACATCAACACAAATTCAGATAAATGCAATCATGTTAACATTTTTAACATATCAACAGTGATATGGAAAATGGCATGAATCACTTACGTTAGTCAATAATTATAAATAGGAAACTGATTCCTTAAAATGTACTCTTTCAATTTTCTATTTGCATAATTAAAATTATGGAAGAAGCTCATTTGTACAATTTGTTTTCCCATGGTATGTAGTTACCATGACAATGGTTATTGTTTGAGGATGAGCAGGATATTAATATGAGTATTATTCAGTGCAGAATTATCAGAGAATGATCCTACTCAATAATAAGTCAGTGTATCTGAAAAAAAAAAGAGAATGTAACCATTCTGAGCTTTTATTAAATGAGATTTTTAAAATTACCTTTTAGGAAAGATGGAACTTGTTTTTCAAAAAGCACATTATTACTAATTTATTCAAATATCACAACACACCAGCTTAGATCAGGTGATGCACAGGCTCTGTTCCCTATAGAAGGACAATGTTTTCTGTTCATAATTACCTGCTGTGACAGTGTCACAAAAAGAACATTTCAACAGAAACTGCATCACCAAAAAGAAATTCACATTTAGAAAATTATGATTATAGGATTAGGAATGTTTTATTTGTTCTTAAATAACTCAATTCTATAGAATGAAGTATATAATATGTAGCAGGGAACAGGCTTTAAAACAACAAAAACAACCACCTGGGGATTTCTGAGCTTTAGTCTAATATGATACCTCTTTGAAATTTTGAGCATGTTATAAATAGATTTGAGACTCTTCCCTGTAAATTTAGGAAAATAATTTTTAACCTATCCCATGGTTGTTTGTGCTACACCTAATGTATGCTTAAAATTGTAAATGACTACAACATCTCTCATATAATTGTTACGATATTTTTCTCTTATCAAGAAGCAAGGCTGCCCTATATGGTTACACAAGATATCCACTTAAAATTACACATAGAAATTTACACATAGAAAACTATGTTGACAGTCCTACAACTTGGCAACCTCTGTCCCATTGAGGTTTGTTATCAATTATATAATAGATTTTCACTCATCAGGATATAAAACTTGCTCTAAATGATAAAGAATGTTGAATTCTAACTGATTTGCTCTTTGAAGTGCTTAAAGTTTGCAGAAGACATGTTTCTACTGATTCTTGAGTGGTCCGGATTATTTCTATATTTCAAAACAGCTTTCTAGTTATTAGTTTAATTTCCATCAAAGTTCTCAAATGGAATTACTTATACTTATTGAATGTAAGTAATTTGAAGTAAAAGAAGAAAAAATTTGAACCATTACTTTCAGATTACAAATATATGTTATTCTTATACAAAGCAGAAGGCAAGTGCTAAATAACTTTCAACATAAAATGTAATTTCCAAAAAATGATCAATTTAGATGGGTTTCTTTGCTCTCTACCCTACCCTACACCATTCCAAATGGATTCACTCTTCCTTATAGTTAGGAACACTTCATTTGCAAAGGTAGATAATTTGTCCCACCTGCAACTCCTAAGAACTGAATCATTTTGCTATGATTTTCATAACACCCATCTTAAAGAAAACTAAAGCAATAGTTAAAAAATAACTTTCTTTTTTGAAAACAAGATAGCAGTTTTGGTTCAACATAGAAGCATTTTTCTCAAAATGGTAGTATTCAAGTCTAGTAAAGTTTGCATAAGGAAGATCAGCCTATATAGTTCCGATAGAAATAAAGCTTGCTCATTGTCAGAAAGTAATTGAAACATGAGTATCAAAAGTCTTTAAATTTTGTCTATTAATTCTATATGTAAGACTGTCTCACATTTAAGAACTCCATTATTAAGAATCTCCCTTATATCTCTCTTAGGGAAATAATTCTGAAATACAAAGAAAGATTTCTACACGAAGACATTTTATCATCATCAATGTGTTTAAAAGACCTGAAAGTCCTACATTATTTTAATAATAAAATTATATCAAGTTCATGTATCCAGACACTTTCCATGTGGCAGAAAACCCAACTCAAACTTCTATAAGCCAATAAAAAACACATGTATCAGTAAGATGGGAAATATATTGGCTTACATAGTTGAAATCATCAGGGATATATCAGGAAGAATATAAGTATTGGGGAGCACAAACAATCTGTCGTTTCAGTTTCCTTCCAGTTGCCTGGTTCCTTGAA
This sequence comes from Homo sapiens, assembly GCF_000001405.40. NCBI lineage: Eukaryota > Metazoa > Chordata > Mammalia > Primates > Hominidae > Homo > Homo sapiens. Next base: position 28,959,373 of record NC_000011.10, on the reverse strand, counting down.
GTGTCAATGTGGCTGCCAGTAGCACTGCAACTACCATTCAAGTCCAGCATACAGAATAAAAGGGTCTCTTGTAGAGTTTGTATAGCTTCTGAAAAGTACTGTGATTATAACTTGCTACAGTGCAGCATTGCTAAAGCAATCATTGTGGCTAGAAATATAAAATTACCCTAACTGGCCAAGCTTTAGTCAAGTGCCTATCCTTGACTAAATGAATTATTATAACAAGAGGGTTTCTGTGGTTATTTTTCTTTACAAAGCTGTGTGACTGCCTTATTCTGTTTTCTGATGTTTAAAACAGAATATCTGAAACTGGGTAGTTTATAAAGAGAAGGAATTTATTTTTTACAGTTATAGAGCCTGAGAAGTCCAAGGCCAAGGGGCCACGTCTGGTGAGAACCTTCTTGCTGGTGAGGGCTCTCTGCAGAGTCCCAAGGCAGCACACGCCATGACTGTGTGTGCTAGCTTAAGTCTCTCTTCCTCTTCTTATAGATCCACCAGCCCCATTCTCATGAAAACGCATTGATCCATCAGTCCATGAATAGATTAATTCATTCATGAGCACAGTGCCCTCATGACCCAATCACCTTTTAAAGGCTCTACCTGTCAAGACAGCCACATTGGGGATTGAATTGCTACATGAGTTTTGGAGAAGACAAATATTTAAACCATACCAATGACTTTGGGAAAGTGTGCTAAGTTTTGGGGAACTAGTTTCTCACACACTAACTAGGAGATTTGGGCTAGATCATTTTGGAAAGCCTTTTAACCATTACTATGTATCATTCTACAGTGTTGACTATGGGCTGACTTGTGACATAAAAGCATTTTCTGGGCAGGAACAAGTATTTCAGGATTAACTTATGAATATGGGTCATGTGGTCTGTTACCCAGCATGTCTTAAAGTTGCTTAAAGGAATTATGCCAAGGGGGACAAAAACCAAGGTGTTTTTAAAAAGATATTTTAAAATATTGACTTAATTAGATTGAACCACAACATTTTTGGTGAAAACATAATTGGAAAACTTATCAAAGCCTAGAACAAATCCAAGCTATGGATTTTTCCATATGCTTACAAGGGTATACAAAAAACAAAACACAGTATCATCTTTGAATGGTATTCTTTAAGTTTGTGTTAAATAGCACAAGTTTGCAATTCATCTATCTTTTTACATGGATTTTATGTTATATTCTTATATTAATTCATGTTTCCATATTTTGCCATGTAGTTGGTGAGCTATGTAATCAGAAGACAGCCAGTCTAAGAGATGTCTCTGTTTCTCCCTATCAGGTTTTGTCTCCTGAAAAGGGAAATTTAAAGTTAAGATACATTGTTAGGAGTTTATTCTTTGGACTCACAAGTATGAATGAGTTCTTATGCTCTTGTGAAAGCCTTATTCCAATACATTTTTAAAAATACTTTTCTCCTCATGTTAATTATTGGTTGTTCCCCTGTTGTCAATGTACAACAGATAATCATAAACTTTCAGGAAGTGAGGGTACAAGGGTAGGGTGGGAGACACTGGAGCAAAAGATAAGGAAAACTGAAGATTTCATCTTCTCCATCCTGAAATTCATTTGCTAGTCCAATTTTTTGGTGCATAGCGTACTGTGTATGATGTGGTACAGTTGGCATCTTTATCCCCTTTTTTAAGATTATATGATGTTTTATATAGTTATGTATCATGATTTACCAAAAGTGGAGTCAGAGATATAAAAAGAAAATGTCTCAAGTAAAAAATTACAGGCAGTATCAAATCTAGGGGGGGCCTATTTTTAGGAATAAGGGTTTCTTCACAAGCTTTTGGATGACAAATGACTCATCATATGTATACTACATATTCTGTAAATCTTTCTAGAAACTCTATTGGATAATTAGAAACCCTTATTAAAAAGTCACCATAGCTTATAAAATATTTAAAATAATTACATATGATTTTGAAATTACTTTATAAAGCACAGAGCAAAATTATAAAGTTCCTGCATGAGTCATTCAATCCTAGGCCCATTTTTATTCCTTTTTTTTTTCTTTTTTAGGCAAATGATTCTTATTCACTGATTACAAGTTTTGATTAAGTTGGATGAATAAAGAATGTCTGGTTAGTCTATTGGCTTTGCCAAATATTGATAATTTTTTCTGGCATAGAAACAAGACTAGACACAAAAGCACAGATTTAAATTCACTGCTGAGAAACAACATGACTAGCAGAGAAATACATCACTTAGGAGACGATTCTGGTGCAATATCTATAGGCAAATTTGAACTTCTAGAGAGTTGTATCCCTTCGTCCCTGCATTTAATGAGATTTTAATCAAATGTATCTATTATGTAATGCAGCTAGCTTCATACCAAATTGTTAAAATTTTCTTATCCAAATGAAGTGGGCCCCTTCAATTTAGCCATCAGGTAGGCTAGGCATTGATTCCAATGGTGTTTTTCTTAGAATGTCATTGGGAAGACAATAGCGAGGAAGGAGCAATAGAGGAAACAAAAGTAGGAAAAAGGGAGGGCGGTAGAGAGAAGAGAAAAAGAGGCAACAATATAAAGGTTGTTACTGTTTATTTAAGAGTATGTTACATGCCTGTCACTACCTGGAATTACAACACTAAAGTAAATATTATTAACCTTGTTTTATAGATGAGGAAAACTGATCAAGGGGGTTAAGTAACATTCCTAAAGTCTATGTATTGGTTATCTAGTCGCTAACAAGATTATCCCCAAAATTAGTGGCTTAAAACAACAAACACTTTATTTGCTCATAGTTCTCCAGTTAGCAATTTGGAATGGGCCCAGCTGGGCAGGTCTTCTGTTCGTCTTGACAGGGGTCACTCATGTGGTTGCACATATTAGTTGGCTTGTCTGGACTAAATGATCTAAGATAGCCTCATTCCCGTGTTTAATTGTTAGAAAGAGCTATAGGCCAGGCAATGGGTCTTTAGCAGTCTTCATGTCTTAAACTTCTTTACATAGTGGCCACGTTCCAAGAGAACAAGCTTCCATATAGAAATACTTGTTAAGACTCTGCTTGTATTATGTTTTCTGATGTCCCATTGGCCAAACAAAGTCATAGGACTAAGTCCAGAGAAAGTGTGAGAAATCACAAAACATGTGGATACAAAGAGGCCATTAGTGAAACAATTTGTTAGTGTAACAGTGTCTGGTGTAAGGATTACACAGGCATAATTGAGATACTGCAGGTTTGGTTCCAGACCACTGCAATAAAGTGAATATGACAATAGAGTCACACCAAATTTTTGGTTTCTAGTGCTTATAAAAGTTATGTTTACACTATTCTATAGTCTATTTAGTGTGCAATAGCATTATGTCTAAAAAACCCAACGTGCACACCTTAATTAAAATATACTTTACTTCTAAAAATTCTAATGATCATCTGAGCTTTCTCAAATCCTAATCTTTTTGGTGGTGGATGGTCTTGCTTCGAAGTTGATGGCTGCTGACTGATCAGAGTGGTGGTTGCTGAAGGTTGGAGTGGCTGAGTCAATTTCTTAAACTAAGACAATGATAAAGTTTGCCACATTGATTAACTCTTCCTTTCACAAAAGATTTCTCTGCAGCATGCAATACTATCTGATAGCATTTACCCCAAAGTATAACCTTCTTTCAAAATTGGACTTAATTTTCTCAAACTCTGCTGCTGCTTTATCAACTACGTTAATGGAATATGTTAATCCTTCGTTGTTATTTCAACAATGTTCATAACATCTTCACCAGGAGTACATTCCATCTGAAGAAAACACTTTCTTTTCTCATCCATAAGCAGCAACTCCTCATCTGTTAGGAGGATAACACTCCTCAAGTGTTATCCTGAGATTGCAACAATTCAGTCACATCTTCAGGCTCCACTCTAATTTTAATTCTCTTGCTATTCCCACCACATCTGCAGTTACTTCCTCCACTAAAGTTTTGAATCTCTCAAAGTATCCGTGAGGGTTGGAATCAACTTCTTCTGAACTCTTGTTAATGTTGATAATTTGACCTTCTTCCATGAATCACAAATGTTCTTAATGGCATCTAAAATGGTGAATTCTTTACAGAAGGTTTTCAATTTACTTTGCCCAGATCAATCACAGAAATCACTATCTTTGGCAGCTATAGACTTATGAAATGTATTTCTTAAATAATAAGATTTGAAAGTCAAAATAACTCCTTGATTCACAGACTAGAGAGTGGATGTTGTGCCAGCAAGAGTGAAAATATTAATATCCTTGGACGGGCACGGTGGCTCACGCTTGTAATCCCAGCACTTTGGGAGGCTGAGGCGGCGGATCACAAGGTCAGGAGTTTGAGACCAGCTGACCAACTTGGTAAAACCCTGTCTCTACTACAAATACAAAAATTAGCTGGGCGTGGTGGTGTGTGCCTGTAATCCCAGATACTCAGGAAGCTGAGGCAGGAAAATCGCTTGAACCCGGGGAGCAGAGGTTGCAGTGAGCCGAGATTGCGCCATAGCGCTCCAGCCTGGGCGACAGAGCAAGACTCTGTCTCAAATAAATAAATAAATAAATGAATATATATATATATATATATATATATATATATATATATATATATATATGTATGTGTGTGTGTGTGTGTGTGTGTGTGTGTCTGTGTGTGTGTATCTCCTTGGACATCTCCACCACAGCTCTTGGGTGTCCAGGCACGTTGTCAATGAGCAGTAGTATTTTGAAAGAAATCTTTTTTTTTCCAAGCAGCTATTCTCTTAAGTGCGCTTAGAATATTCAGTGAGCCATTGCTATAAATAGGCATGCTATCGTTCAGGTTTTGTTGTTCAATTTATTGAGCACAGGAGGACTAGGTTTAGCTTAATTCTTAAGGGCCCTAGGATTTTTGGAAGAGTAAATGATCACTGGTTTCAGTCATACACCGTATTAGTCCTTAATAAGAAAGTCAGCCTGTCCTTTGAAGCACTGAAACCATGCACTGACTTCTCCTCTCTAGCTATGAAAGCCCTAGGTAGTATCTCCTTCCAATACAGGACAGTTTTGTCTACATTAAATATTGGGTGTTTAGTGTAGCCATTTCCATCTGTGATCTTACCTAGATCTTCTGGATAACTTGCTGCTGCTTCTAAATCAGCAATTGCTGCTTCAGTTTGCACTTTCATGTTATGGAGATGGCTTTCTTTTTTACATCTCATGAAACAATCAACCTCTGCCAGCTTCAAACATTTCATTGGCAGCTTCCTTGCCTCTCTCATTGTTCATAGAATTGAAGAGATTTAGGGCCTTGCTCTGAATTACACTTTGGCTTAAGGAACTGTTGTGGCTGGTTTGTTCTTCTATCCAGACCAGTTCAACTTTCTCCATATCAGCAAAAGGACTATTTTACTTTCTTATCATTCATGTGTTCACTGGAGTAGCATCTTTAATTTCCTTCAAGAACTTTTCCTTTGTATTCACAACTTGGCTAAATGTTTTGTGCAAGATACTTTTCAGCTTATCTCAGCTTTTGACATGCCTTTCTCACTAAGTTTAATCATTTCTAGTTTTCAATTTAAAGTAAAAAACATGTGATTCTTCCTTTCACTTCAACCACTGTGGGGTTATTAATTGGCCTAATTTCAGCACTGTTGTGTTGGAATAAATCAGAAGGCTTGAAGAAAGAGAGAGAGATGGGAGAATTGCCAATGGTTGAGTAGTCAGAGCACACAGATTTATTAAGTTCATCATTTTATACAGGCATGGATGGTTCATGGTGCTCCCAAGACAATCACAATAGTAACTTCCAAAAATCACTGAATAAAAAAAAAATCAGATACAATAATAATGAAAAAGTTTAAAATATTGTGAGAATTACGAACATGTGACACAAAGACACAAAATGAGCACACATTTGAAAAAATAGCACCAATAGACTTGCTCCATGCAGGGTTGCCACACACCTTCAATTCGTGAAAAGAATAATATTTGTGAAGCACAATAAAACCAATCACAATAACACAACGTATCCTTGCATTTAAAAGAGTGGCAAGATCATGACTGAAATCCAGGTCTTTCTGATATGAATTCTGCTTTTTCCAATGTAAGATGATAGTAGTTTTTGCTGGTGTGTAATGAGGTAAGCTTTCACTTTTAAACGTATGTTGGAGAGAACAAAGTCAGGAGAGAGAGCTATGCATAGTTTGGCAGTAGTAAAAGCCTATCTTTTTGTTTGTTTGTTTGTTTGTTTTGAGATGGAGTCTTGCTCTGTCCCCAGGCTGGAGTGCAGTGGCATGCTCTTGGCTCACTGCAACCTCCACCTCTCAGGTTCACACCATTCTCCTGCCTCAGCCTCCCAAGTAGCTGGGACTACAGGCACCCGCCAGCATGACCGGCAAATTTTTTGTATTTTTAGTAGAGACAGGGTTTCACCATGTTAGCCAGGATGGTCTTGATCTCCTGACCTCATGATCCACCTGCCTCGGCATCCCAAAGTGCTGGGATTACAGGCATGAGCCACAGCGCCAGGCCTTAAAAGCCTATCTTGAAGCTTGCTATTTTAAAAAATATGTTTACTTGTAAATTTGTTTGAGTTCATTGTAGATTCTGGATATTAGCCCTTTGTCAGATGAGTAGGTTGCGAAAATTTTCTCCCATTTTGTAGGTTGCCTGTTCACTCTGATGGTAGTTTCTTTTGCTATGCAGAAGCTCTTTAGTTTAATTAGATCCCATTTGTCAATTTTGTCTTTTGTTGCCATTGCTTTTGGTGTTTTAGACATGAAGTCCTTGCCCATGCCTATGTCCTGAATGGTAATGCCTAGGTTTTCTTCTAGGGTTTTTATGGTTTTAGGTCTAACGTTTAAGTCTTTAATCCATCTTGAATTAATTTTTGTATAAGGTGTAAGGAAGGGATCCAGTTACAAGAAAAAAACAAACAACCCCGTCAAAAAGTGGGCGAAGGACATGAACAGACACTTCTCAAAAGAAGACATTTATGCAGCCAAAAAACACATGAAAAAATGCTTACCATCACTGGCCATCAGAGAAATGCAAATCAAAACCACAGTGAGATACCATCTCACACCAGTTAGAATGGCGATCATTAAAAAGTCAGGAAACAACAGGTGCTGGAGAGGATGTGGAGAAATAGGAACACTTTTACACTGTTGGTGGGACTGTCAACTAGTTCAACCATTGTGGAAGTCAGTGTGGCGATTCCTCAGGGATCTAGAACTAGAAATACCATTTGACCCAGCCATCCCATTACTGGGTATATACCCAAAGGATTATAAATCATGCTGCTATAAAGACACATGCACACGTATGTTTATTGTGGCACTATTCACAATAGTAAAGACGTGGAACCAACCCAAATGTCCAACAATGATAGACTGGATTAAGAAAATGTGGCACATATACACCATGGAATACTATGCAGCCATAAAAAATGATGAGTTCATGTCCTTTGTAGGGACATGGATGAAATTGGAAATCATCATTCTCAGTAAACTATCACAAGGACAAAAAACCAAACACCACATGTTCTCACTCATAGGTGGGAATTGAACAATGAGAACCCATGGACACAGGAAGGGGAACATCACACTCTGGGGACTGTTGTGGGGTGGAGGGAGGGGGAGGGATAGCATTAGGAGATATACCTAATGTCAATGACGAGTTAAGGGGTGCAGCACACCAGCATGGCACATGTATACATATGTAACTAACCTGCACATTGTGCACATGTACCCTAAAACTTAAAGTATAATAATAATAAAAAAAATGTTTACTATTTCTTGCATTAGTTTGCTTTGGATATGGCACCAAACAACTTCAATATCTCAGTGGAATACATCTATTGCAGTTATCAGACTGTTTACTGGGCATGGGAAGTCTGAAAGGTCAATTTACAACTGAAGAATCGTCACAATCTTTTTAAGTTCATTCTAGCAATACAATTCTTTTAAAAACTTTATTGCCCTTTTCTTGGCCTATGTTATTCTATTCATTTCCTTTGCAGGAACCACATAATTGTTTTTCTGACATTCCCAGTTCTCTAAAACTGTGCTGTCCAATAGGGTAGCCATTAGTCACCTATGGCTATTAAGCATTTGCAATGTGACTAGTCTGAATTGAGATTTAAGTATAAAGCACACATCTGATATTGAACAAGAAGTACAAAAAATGGAGGTCTTAATATTTTTATATTGGTTACATGAAGAAATTATAATATTCTGTATATGTTGAATTAATATATCTTAAAATTAGCAAATGTATTGAATTATTTACATGTTTCTTTTTACTTCATAAAATGTGGTTAGCAAAATTTTAGGTTATATATGTGGTAGGTTGCAATATATTTCTGCTGGACTGTGCTACTCAATAGTTAATTTTGGCCACCTCAAGTTTAACATTATTCCTTGGGATAGCAACACATTTAGGGTCTTTGAGACATTTTGTCCAACAGAAAGAATTTTCTGAGTCTATCTTGATCCAACAAGAGGTCTTAAGGTGGAAGAGTCACACCATTAAATGGTTCTTTGCCTTGAGACTGTCTTAATTTGACAATAGTTTACTGTCAAATAAGAAAGCTGTGTGCCTTTCAACTGCCAGTCCTAGAATGTTGGAATTACAGTATCTCTCTTCCCATTCTTCTTCCTTGGAAACAGGCTAATTCTTCTCTTAGCTCATTCTTTATTGTAATATCTAATCAAATTTCACTAATGACAACCAACTCATGCTATGAAAATTCTGCTCAGTATCTCTTTGCCCAAAGTCACAAGTTTATTAGCTGCACTTTCTGTCTTCCAACTTATTGCAGGCAATTATTTTACCAAATGTTTTACCAATGCATAAGATAGATTGCTACATTTTTCTGCCTCCTTTCTAAGTTTGCTTGCCTATATATTTATCAGTCCTGTATTTAAAAGTTCTTTTTGGCATTATGCCACTTCTGGCACCATTCATTTTGCTGGTCAGTTTTTGTGCAGTAGCTTACAACTTCAAAATCTTAGTAGTTAATAAAAACTTCTTGCGCATATAACACGAGAACAATAGGCTTTTGTGGCTCTCATCCACTCTCCTGGACATGACTAGGCTCAAGTAGACTCTATATGTCTTCTCCTTCTGGAACCCAGGCTGAAGAGGCATTCACTAAATGAAAATGCTGTTCATTCTTGGCAGAAGGCAGGAACTAAAGAGGTAGTGTCAACGCATGAGGGCACCTTCAAAGCTTCTCTTAGGTATGGCAAAAGTCATATCATTAGCCAAGCCATGTCATATGACCAAGCTTGAAACCAATGCCTACACATAAATAAGGTAATGGTGGAGAGGAGATAAATAATTATGAACTTACAATTCAATATACCACATTACTCTCTCAGCATTATCTTTGACAGAATTTTGATGCAACAGAAGAAAATTAATATCCTCATCGTCCACCAAACATTCATGCCTAAGCAAGCATTCCCTGGCCTAGTCAATCTCTTTATCCATCAGCAGGAGTCTGGGAAGAATTTATCATCAGGCAAAAATAAAAAGTAACCTTCAGAAGGTGAATATTTGCTTCCAATGACAATATTTCCAAGATAATGTATCACAGACTGTGAGGTCAATGCTCTCCCAAAAAGCTATATCAAACATTTTTTGAGTATGAGAGACACCACAGCAATAAAGAATTAGACCTCCCTTAAAGTTAAAAGTTTAGCTCTGTTAAAACATTCACTGTTTTGCCTTGTACTTACATGTCATCTCACAAAACTGCATGCTAATATTTTTTTTTTCTGGCCAGCTTTTGAGCCCATCTAATTAAGAGGGATATTTCCTTTTCCCACCCTACTTCCTTTCTCTTTGACCTTCACCTATTAATACAGTGAAACCATCCTAATTTGAACTCTGTCTAAAAACCTGTACCTTCGATAATTCAAAGTAATTTTAATAATCTCAAAATAAGGTTTTTAACTTCCTTCAGGAAGAATGATCAATTTTTTTTCTTCTGCTTCTTCATTTTATTCCTAGAAAAACAAAATATTTTTCCTAGAAATGCCTGTGCTACTTCACAGCCATTTAAAAACTCTGTGTGCTTTTACTTTATGATTTCCAAGTTAAATATCCAAATGCAAGAGGGCTCTGTTCTACACTGCCACTTTGTATTTAAGTAAAATTTATTCAAATCTCAATTTCAAGAATGAGGATTTAGAAGCCAAAAATTAATTAACTCTATTAAAAATATTTTCTGTTTTTATTAATTTTAAAACTGTAAACATTAAAATGCTGGTGAAACTTTAGCCCAAATAGCCCTTATGTTTATTTACCTTTTTTTCTAGCAATTTAATAGTTGCATTTTACCTTTATTTGCCAGGTTTTCTACACGCCATGGACTTCATGTTTGTGATCCACAAAATTCATAAGTTGAAGTCCTAAACCCCCAGTGTAACTAATGTGGAGATGGGGCCAGTGAGGAGGTGATAAAGGTTAAATGAGGTCATAAGGGTGGGGCCCTAATCCTATAAGGACAGTACCCTTTTAAGAAGAAGAAGAAAGCCCTCCTCAGAAATAGAATTGCCAGTCATCTTGTTTTTAAACTTCCAGCCTCCAGAACTGTGAGAAACAAACTTATAGTCTGTGTTACTTTGTTATAGTAACCTGAGCAAAGTAATACACTACATTTGTAATTTATTTTTATAATTAGCTATTTTTCACACTATCACTTATTCAATAACCTACTATTTTATGGATTATGTTTGTCAACTTTTTAAATGTAGTATACTCTTACATATAATAGAATGCATTCTGAAATTTTCAGAATTTTACTTCTGCTCCTAATATACCCTGCTTTAATTTTTTACAACATTTTAAGATACTTTAAAGTCTGGTGGTATAAGCCTCCTCCACAGTCTTCCTCAATTATTTATCTTTTCCAAGTACTTTCAGGATATTCCTGCAAACAAACTTTAGAATGTCTTTGAATTATAATTGAGATTGATTTCAAATTACAAATAATTATGTACTAAATAACTTTAGAACATTGAGTTTTTCTAGTCAGGAATAGATATTTCTTGACTAAAGCCTTTTTCTGATCACAGAAGTTCTGAGGTTGTCCTCTTCTCATCTATTATATTTCTTGCTAAATTGTTTCCTTTATATTTTGTGTTTTTGCTACAATTATGAATAAGAGCTCCTTGTCACAAAAAAGTATTGTCATTGGTTAACTAAGATTTTAATTTCTCAGATCTTCAGCTTCAGATATTTAAATAAATTTAACCTACACCTTAATGTTCTAGCAGTAACCTATGACGATTAGACTGTAGAAGTACCATTTTTGCATAGACTCTTTCCTGGGCATCTTGAGCTCACTATACAAGGAATTGCATTTTGTGTAGGGTCTCCAAGTGTAGATAGTGTGGCCATATATATCCTCTTTCTGGCATTAGTTCTATCAATTTCAGAGAAGAACTCTTGAGAATAATCAAAGAATCTGAGAGAAACTCCTATAGTTAGGGCAATGATTGATTCATCTTTTAAAGCGGAACATTTTTGAGGGAGATAGCGTTATTTAAAACTTTACTAGGACAACAAGGATAAAATAAAGCTATTCCAGGCAGACCAGAATGAACCTACCAGTGGCCCATAGACTCTCTATATGTGGATCACTCTTAACCTTGAACCCCTCAACCTAGACTCTTCTGAAAGATGGCGATCCACCAATAAGTCTAAATGGCATCTACCTACGTAGTTTGTGGCCTCCCTGTGCTGCTTCTGGATCTGTTTTCCCTCAGATCTGGTTCTGACCTTTCCCCTACAACTGTACTCTAAATTCCCGTATCACCTGGCTTCCCACTGGGTTAGACTCATGGAAGACACAGGCAGGAGGAATCAGGGGACAGGAAAAGGGAGACTTCCAGGGTACATCCACTCCTCCTACTCAGCCTCAGGTGGCAACTCTGGCAGGGACTGCATTCTCTGAATGGCTCCAGTTTCTGCATACAGGCCTGCAGCGGTCTGTGTTTTCTAATTGTCCTTAGCAAGTCAATCAATGGAATTGACTTAGAGTTGTATTATCAGAAAAGTAAGAAGCTACTTTTGGAACTGGACCTTTGTTCTATTCCAGTGATGAAAAATGAAACTTTTTTATTGGGATTTTTTTAAATCAAAGATCATATATTTAATATATATAATTTTTCCTTAAGAAACTCATATATATAATAGTCTATCATACAGATAATGGTAATAACAATAATAATGAAATAAACTATGTGCCAGTTGCTGTGCCAGTGCTTAATTTGCATCATTTTGCTTATAAAAGCCAACCTAGAGAGGAAAAGTCTGACAATTCCTCCAGGTCCAATCCAGTATGGCACGTTTAAGGGGTCGGACACTTTTTTTTTTTTTTTTGCTTTCCTTGAAAAAAAAAAAGAAGCTAAATATCTAATGATGCTTAACATTTAAATCATCTTATCATGGGATGTTTTTATTTACTTTAACATGAATAATCCATGTCCTTTATGCAAAGAATACAAAACATAAATAAGCAAAAGGGAATATCATAGCATATATGCTTTTCTATATTTTTTCTCATATTGTAATTGAAGCATTTTTCCCATCTAAACATACAGATATAACTTATTCATAATATCCAAAATTTATTTCATTAAAAAATGCTCCATTGTGTATTTAATACTTAACATTTTCCATTTTCCCTATTATAAACAATAGTATGGAAAATAGGAAACACGCTGTAATCAATATATATGATTATCTACTTGTAAAAGTGTGAATTTCCAATAGAAGGTGTTTCGGCTCACAAGTCAAATGAGTTTTTAAAGGCTTTCCATTCACAATGTTCATTACTATCCAAAAAATGTATATGCCCATCTTTATTACCAGTATCAATAAAGGTGAAGTGTTTCTGTCTTCACCTCTTGCTGACAGGATATTACCATTCTTTTCCTTTTTATTGATTTGAAACATGTACAAATCATTTCAATTGCCTATTTCGGAATTATTTTATTACCAGCAAAGTTTCTATTTACTAAAAGCATGCTAATTGGCTATGTTTCTTCTTTTATTATTTGTCTATAAATGTCCTCAGACCACATTCTCTATTAAATAATTCATGTTCCTCATGTTTTTCTTTTATAGTTATGATAGCTAATTACAAGTCTTTGGTTGTCATAGGCATTACATATATTTTTTTCAGCGTGTCATTTGCCTTTCAAGTATGGTTTTAGTCTTTCACAATAGAGATTTTTATAAAATAAAAATAGTTAATTACAGTTCCTTAACCTGGAACTGGTTTGTTTTGGCAAGTTCTACTTGCCATGTGTGTAGGCTTGGACAAGTTAACCTTCTAAACTCTAATTTTCTCATCTGTAAATTACAGAAGATAATAGTGCCATCTCATAGAGTTGTTATAAGGATTAATTGTATTATATGTAAATTATATCTGGTAGGCAAATGTTATATAAAGCCTGATATGGTTTGGCCGTGTTGTCACCCAAATCTCATCTTGAATTGTTGTTCCCTATGTGTTGTGGGAGGGAGCTGGTGGGAGGTAATTGAATCATGAGGGTGGCTTCCCCCACGCTATTCTCATAATAGTAAGTTCTCATGAGATCTGATAGTTTTATAAAGGGCTTCCCCCTTTGCTTGGCTCTCATTCGTCTTCTCCCTGCCACCATGTGAAGAAGGACATGTTTGCTTCCCTTTCCACCATTATTGTAAGTTTTCTTTTCTTTTATTTATTTTATTTTATTTTTTGAGACGGAGTCTCACTCTGTTGCCCAGGCTGGAGTGCAGTGGCACGATCTGGGCTCACTGCAAGCTCCGCCTCCCGGGTTCACGCCATTCTCCTGCCTCAGCCTCCCAAGTAGCTGGGACTACAGGTGCCTACCACCACGCCCAGCTAATTTTACTTTTTTGTATTTTTAGTAGAGACGGTGAAAATTTTTAGTTTTCACCGTGTTAGCCAGGATGGTCTCGATCTCCTGACCACATGATCCCCCTGCCTCGGCCTCCCAAAGTGTTGGGATTACAGGCATGAGCCACCATGCCCAGCCAAACCTCTTTCTTTTATAAATTACCTACTCTCAGGTATGTCTTCATAGCAGTACGAAAACGGACTAATACAAAACCTGACACATACTAAGCCCCCAATCTATTCAAAAATAGTACCTTCTATCTCATAGTTTTCTTTTTTATATCATCTCTGTAGTCTAAAATAGCTCAAGTTTCTCCTGCATATAACCAGTGCATAATACCAGTGGTATTATGTGCACTTCCTCCAATGTAAAATTTAATGAAGTTCATTCATTGTTAGTTTTCTAGCAATTCTTCCTTATTAATTCATACTCTATCTTAACTCACTTTAGCGATTTTGCTCTTCATGTTTCCTATACTGCTGTTATTAAATTTTTCTGTCTATAAAAATACTTTATTCTGTTTCCTGCAATAGATTATTTTCAAAGGCATGCACTTTCTCTTCCTGGTTTCAAGGATAAAATGCTACTTTATTTTCCTTACATATTGTTTTCCCTTTATCCCCATGTTTTTAGTTACTTTGTTTTTGTTTCCTACATTTTTCTTCAAATAGAGTAAATTCTGCCTGACCAAAACCTTATTGGTTGTTTTTAGTATTGGTTCTCTCTCTCCCTCCTGTGACTTTGGGTGTTATCTCAATCTCTTCCTCAGTTCTAAAACTAAAGAGCTGGACAATTCTGTTTCTAAAGCAAATCTGGTCCACTTAATGTCTTCCGTATCTATTACCTGGCTCTCTGATTTTATGAACGAATGAAAAGTTTTTAAGAATTCTAGATAAATTATTGCCAGGGATTTTCTTGACTCTGTCATACCAAGAGTATTTTAATTGTGGAGACTTCACCTGCCTGGATATGGATACAACATACCACTGGTCCAGCCCATGTCCCCTTTTTATTTTTGTTTTTTTTTTTTTTTTTTTTTTTTTGAGACAGAGTCTTGCTCTGTCGCCTAGGCTGGAGTGCAGTGGCATGATCTCGGCTCACTGCAAGCTCCGCCTCCTGGGTTCACGCCATTCTCCTGCCTCAGCCTCCTGAGTAGCTGGCACTACAGGCGCTCACCACCACGCCCGGCTAATCTTTTGTATTTTTTTAGCAGAGACGGGGTTTCACCGTGTTAGCAGGGATGGTCTCGATCTCCCGACCTCGTGATCCACCCACCTCGGCCTCCCAAAGTGCTGGGATTACAGGCATGAGCCACCGCGTCCAGCCCGTGTCCACTTTTGTGATCTTCTCCATGTGCTTTCTTTCCAGTTCTTCACTGAAACTTTGTATATATGAATTTAGAATTGTGACAGAGGAGGAGAATGAGAGGAAAATGTATCAATTAATAGTATAATAGTCACCTGATAAAGTTACTCTTTCTTACTTGGCAAAGGGATTGCTGCCAGTTCTGAGATGGCTACAATCTATGGTACTATGAGTCAGGGCATATAAAATAGAGGAGGGATCTAGTTTTTATTTTTTCATATTTTTCTATATCTGAATGCAGTATCTATATCTGGAGTTAAAAACTGAGTATATTGTAGAACAAAGGATGTCTTAAAGGTTGGGAGAGTCTTTCAAGTATCTGGAAACCAAGGGAAGACAGAGAGAGCTGAGGCTATGAGGAGTCAAGGAAGATGAGTCTGGGAGAGTAGGCTGGGAACAGGCTGTAAAAGGCCTTGTATATTAAGGTATTTTGTTTGTATTTATAATGTAGGTAATGAGGAATAACAGAAGATGTTAACTGAGGGAATATCATAATCAGACTTGAGTCTTACAATGATTACCCTGTTGGGCTAAGATAGATTTAAGGAAAGCAGAGTCTAGAGTCATGGAGACAAATTTAGAAGCTATTATCATATCTAGGTGAGAGATCATGATGGCCAGAAAAAAGACTTCAATCATTGGTACAAAGAAGAGAGGAAGAAAATGAATTTCAAAATATTATTTATAAGCCTTCGTGGTAAAAGGTGCAACTGGAGAGAAGCCTCAACTGCATTTTCTTCATGCTACAACAAATACGACACAGGAAATTTCAAAAAAATGAAAATTTACGCCTCCAACAAAAACAGTTGTAGTGATGGATCAGAACAATTTTTTTCTGATGGGAGAAGAGGGCTTTGTAAATGCAGAGATGTCCTAATGAGGAAACCAGTAATAGAAAGTATCCAGGAGGAGTGAGATGCAGGACAGAGAAGAAAGCTGTGGATGCAGAAGGAGGACCCAAGGGCATCAAAGAAAGGCAAATGTGGCCCCTGTCACTGCTTTACCCCAGGGATGTATATGGAGAGTTTAAAATACCCTTCAAAATTTCAAGTAGTATCTAACCTAGCCTAAAATTTAAAATTTCCTCCAAACTTGATTTTTTAGTATGAAAATCTGATGTGTCTGTGAGGGGTGTGTGTGTGTGTGTGTACATAAAACATGAGCACATCAATACCTTAAGAGAGCATGTGGTCATGTGGTCTATTTATAGGCAAATTGTAAAAGAAGAAACATGGCCGGCCAGGCACAATGGCTCACACCTGTAATCCCAGCACTTTGGGGCTCAAGGCAGGTGGATCACTTCAGGCCAGGAGTTTGTGACCACCCTGGCCAACATGGTGAAATCCTGTCTCTACAAAGAATACAAAAACTATCTGGGCATGGTGGCATGCATCTATAGTCCCAGCTAATGGGGAGGCTGAGGCACAATAATTGCCTGAAACTGGAGGCTGAATTTGCAGTGAGCCGAGATCATGCCACTATACTCCAGCCTGGGTGACAGAATGAGACTCTGTCTCAAAAAAGAGGAAGAAACATGCCCTATTAACATTCCTCTAGTAAATGATCTATTTGCATTCTTCATCTTATGACTAGGAAAAATTCAGTCCTATATAGGAAATTGGTGTGGTTATTGGATAATTCCAAAGGTAGTAGATTGAACATGTATGTGTCTTTTAATCTGAAATGTTAAGAAAATATATAACAAGAAGTTTACACCTGATCCTTTTACCACAAACATTTTCAAGCATGCTTAGAAAGCAAAGCTGATATTCAGGTCAAATTCACACACACGCATATGTAAACTCCCATTTGTTTCTCTTTGATATTATCTTCCCCAATTTGTCCCTATACGGGCACCAGTTTCTCAAGTTGTATGTGATCTTTCCCCCTTGAAATGGGAGGTTCCAGGTGCCTTTTTAAAATAGTCATTCTCCAAAGAGAAATGCCAACTATTCTGGGTTGCTGAGTACTTTGAAGTTATTGTCCTTAAATGTAGTATAGAAGGCATAGGTGAATAAGAGGAGATTTAAAAATCTATCTTAAACATCCAATTCTTCAAGCTTTGTTCTGGCTCCTCATCTTCTAACTAGGACTGTCCCCTGCAAGTGAAGCAGGCTTTTATCTAATTCTAGCTGAAACTTGACAGTCTCATTAGTTTTTGATGACATTTCCTGTTCCTTCCATCACTGAGGCCTTTTGCATGACAGACACTGTCTGGCTGGGGCCCTGAAGTTTTCTTCAGAACTTCAACCCTCTGGTTTCCAGATGGGAATTCTTTTATATGTACATCAGCTCTCTGCCCAATTGATCTGTTTGAGGTATTTCTTTTGTCCTGTTTAACTATTTTCATGCTCAGTATCATTACTGGTACTCCCTGGAAATAATCCCTCCTATTATCCTACATCTTGCACTGTTGGGCTCTACAACGAGTTACTCAGAGGAGAGGAAGGGGACAAAGCCTCCCTCCAAGACTCATGTGATTTCAGAGATATTTCTGGGAAAGACTGTGAAGAAACAAATAATTTTAATAGCTCTTCCATCCTCTTTCTCTTGCCCCCTATCTGAGGTTTTTGTGGCTCTTCTGTGCAAGTGCTTTAGGACCTCATTTCAAGTTCTAGAAGAAGGGGTTAGGAATTCAGGAGCAGCTTAGCTAAGCAGTTCTTACTCGGGGCATCCAAAGCAGTCAAGGTGCCAGCTGGGGCTGTGGCCATCTGAAACCTTCCTCCAGAGGTGGAGAATCTACTAACACGGTGGCTCATACACATGTCTGGCAAGTTAGTGCTGGCCTTTGGTGGGAGGCCTCAGTTCTTGGCACATAGGAGGTATTCAATTAACATGAGCTACTTAAGAGTCCTTATGACATAATGGATAGCTTTTCCCTTAATGCGTGATCCCAGAGACCAAGGTGGACGCTGTAATGCCTTTTATGATGCTAGAAGGGAGTCACAATTCCCTTTATGACCCAGGATCAAAGGTCACTCATCATCACTTCCATCGTACATTATTAGATCACACAGGCCAAATATCATGCAGTGGGAGGGAACTTTTAATTTTTAGTTTATTCTTTATTTACTTTAAAAAAGAATTAGAAGAACAGATTATCTATAAATGTATATGTATATTACACATATACATATATATGAACAATTTAAAGTTTACTCAAGAATGTGTATTTTTTCTACATTATAAAATGTGGTATTGGGTTCTAGGAAATTATTTCAAACTACACGATCATTTGAAGAAGATAGCTCTTAGGAAAAAAGAGATGATCTCCTCTAACTTCTTAGAACCACTGCACTGCCAAATGGGGATTTATTTCTATTGCCTCATCCAAGTCAGTTCCAAAGCTTAACTCTTCCATGAAGTTTTCCATGATCAATCCTGCCTAAGGTAATGTCCCCTTGCTGCAAGCTACTGTCATCCATGCTATTTGTACCATCCACGGTATATGATATTCAATGCACTGTTGTGTTGTCAACTATTTTTAATGTGTATATTTCCATGCTATTCAAAACATCTGAGATTCTTAAACTGTTTTCTGTTTATAAAATGAGTTGAAGAGAATAAATGTCTTGGCACACACTAGGTTTTCAATTAATGTAAGTCTTCTCCTCTTCCTATGTGTTTCTGCCTACACCACCAAACACTGAGCCATACATATCACAAATATATATTAAATGTAGGCGGATTGGTTGAAAGGCATGATGTGATAGTCTCTATGCGGGCATATTACATTACACACTATATAAATGAAATTGTCATGTATAATATTCACATTCACCCAAAAGTTCCGAAACAATCAACCCTACCTCAGAAAGTTAATGAGGGGCATAAAGAAAGTGAGCGTGTTCTCTCTCCAACTAGACAGATGTTTACATTCTGTATAAAACACAGGACTTGCACGGGTCCCAGCTGGGACTTCCTATTACATGGCCCATTAAGATCCATGTGGTTAGAAGAGCTAATAAATATTAAGACCTATTTTCTACCCATGGGTGGGTAGGTTGATTTCTATATACCTGGGAACAGAATCACACACAAGCATTGACTATATGACTTTGAAAAGGAAGTTTTTACTCAATTCTTTTTTTTTCTTCCTTCTTTCTGCAAACATGATGCTCTATGACAAAGGTCTGAAAGTGGAAACCCAAGGATCCTGTCGTGCTGCAGATGTATTTTAGCTTGTATGGTGGTGATTTTTATTTAAATTAAACCATCATTTAATAATAAAGGAAATCACAGAAAAATCTCACATTGATCTTTTCTAAAAACTCTGAAGATCTGTCAGCATGGACTCTAACACCTGGATGGTGACCAAAGGGTGTAGCTAAGTAGCAACTGCCCTTACAAGAAGAAGATTTATATTAAAACAGCTGATACAAATGACAGCACGTTAAAAGTAGATGCCTCAGGTGCTCTGAGGAGTAGGTTTTTATTCTGAAGCAGGAGGATCACACAAAGCTTGTTAAAGAAATAGCATTGGAGTGGAGTGTTAAGATTTGGCTTTGGATACACAAAGAAGATAATGGAGGCAGAGAAGGAAAGCATGACACATTTTTGTGGCTAGCTAATTAGCAGTTTTGGCTGGAACAAAATCTTCCCATAGTAGAGTAAGGAGAAAATTAGTTTGGGGAGTAAGGAACAAATTTTTGAGGTAATTTCAATGCCAGATAGAAGAGTTTACACATAGTTTTATAGGCAATCAAGTCATTCAGGGTTTTTTTCGATCTTTCTCTCTTCATTATTTCTTTTCCTTTCTAATTTTATGATGCTATCAGTTCTTTATATTGATGTATTTTCTGTTTATTTTACTTATAAAATTTCTTTTTATAAATCTCCTGCCAACTCTCTAAGAATGGACAAAATATGAATCTATGATATTTATAAGGCTTACATTAAACTATATATAACTCATAGTAAAATAGTGTCTTGTGGCTTAACCTAATTTTCTTTTAGATTCCAACTACAAACCAGCAATATAAGATGCCAATTCATCATAGACAATTAGAATACCTTGGTAGAAACTCAGGGAGAAATGGAAGCTTATGTCCCATTGTGGGTCATTTCTGTCATGTGGTAACCATAAAGATCACTCTCATATTTTAGGACACAAATGTTTCTAGCTTTGATTGCTCAGATTCCTAGATTCTGGACATCAGAAGCAAAGGTCTACCCAACTCTCCACATCAGACTGCTTCCTGCTGCCAGTGAAGCAGTCAGCCATGTGTAAACACCAGTGGAATTTTATAAGCCTTTGTAATTAGCAAGGATAATTTCTATTTGCGATTAGAAAAAAACGAGTCTGTGTCTCTATTTCCTGTTTGTGTTTTGTTGTTATAATATTGAGATTGTGCAGGGTTTTGAATGTTATCTGTAGAACAATGTCAAAACAACTTTGCTCTGAAGATTTAATTTTTCAATAGACAAGAATTATGGCTGCATTTGTACAGAGTCCCCTATGACAAGGGATAATTCATTCAGAGAAGACCAGCTGAGGTGCAACTACCTTTCTGTCCCCTCAAGTTGTGACTTGGACACCAGTCTAAACAGAGAGTTTTGTAAACCTCTGTGCCATAAGCAGAGGCTTTTCTGTTCTGTCTAGGGGCTGAGGTCCCTCAGCCAGAGGCCTGCTGACAGGTCAAGTATGGTAGTATGAAAACATGCCCCTTTCCACATTCACATTTTTTGACATTCCTCC
Organism: Homo sapiens; assembly: GCF_000001405.40. NCBI lineage: Eukaryota > Metazoa > Chordata > Mammalia > Primates > Hominidae > Homo > Homo sapiens. Next base: position 28,938,451 of record NC_000011.10, on the reverse strand, counting down.
CATCAAGAGGCAGGTTCTGTGTCCCCTCCCTCTTCATCTGAGTGGGCTTCTGACTGCTTTGACCAATGGAGGAGCTTGGAATGTTGTTAAGTAGCTTCTGAGAGAAGGTCAGAAAAGACCACGTAACTTGATGCTGTTGAGATGTTTGCTCTAAACTAAACCAGCTACCACTTAAGAAGTCCAACTATACCCTGAGGCCAAGATGCCAGAAAGACTACATATACACACTCAGGTTTACAGTTCAGTCCATCCTCACTAATGCACCTGACATGTGAATGATGCCATCTCAGGCCCTCCAGACCAGTCCATCCAACATATTGGACAACTCTGCTCTCAGGAAATGCCACAAGGAGCAAAAGGTGTGCCCAAAGAACACTCCTCAAATTCCTCACCCACAAAATAGCAAAACAGTGTGTCTGTTTTACACTGCAAACTTGTTCCGTGGTTTGTTATACATCAGTAGTACCCAGAACACACTTTGCTGTTATTTTTGTTTGTTTGTTTGTTTGTTTGTGGTTTTTTGGTATGGTAACAAGGCTAGAACTAAGAATAATCAGTGCAAGTTACAAAGAAATGTGTATTAATTTAATATGCAAAAAGCTAATGTATTCTATAACGAAATGGGTTGCTACAAAAAATAAAGAGATTCTTGACACTGGAAACAGTTAACCAGAAGCCATGTGACTATATACTTGAAATGTTGTCCTAGAAATGAAAATATCAGATAAACAGAAAGTAAGAAAGACTTCCAGCTCTGAGAATAGCTGTATGCAAAGCAACATTAAATGCTAATATCTCATTTTACTTAATCTTCATTTATCAAAATGGCATAAATATATATTTATTTAATTTGGACCTGACAGTTCTGTAAAGTAAATTGAGACATGCATTGTCTCTATTTTTAATAGTTATAGCCAGTATATTTATTAAATAATTACTAAGTATTAGGATTAAACAAAACATTTAAGATGTGTAATGTAATTAAACCTCAGAATAACCCAATGGAATACATTCTATTGTGATTCCTACTTTATCCTGGACACAAGACACAGAGAGGGTAAGTAATTGACTAAGGACACACAGGATGAGAGGTGAAGACAATCAAGCCCAAACTGTTAGACTACAGAGCCTGAAATCTTAATCACTATCTGAGGCATCTTAGGCTGGGTGCATAAGAACATATACCACATTTACCATAATAATGGCTGACAGACTTGACTTGTTTTCATTGAATCTTAGGGTTTTATTGTTTGTTTTTTTGTGGTGTGTGTGTGCATTTGTGCAAACTTGTGTGTGTATGTGTATGTGTTGGAGTAGACAATGGAAATACAAATCTTTAATGGAACTTTGATTAAAAACTTTTGAATTTTTCATAATCTTGGTTCTTGATGTTTAGAGTGTGTATTTACTTAGCCAACCCTATTAACACAAACACCTTGAATTTTCTCAAAACCACATCACAGTATTGTGGAATTAGACAAGACTGAGAGGATTTGTCTCTTTTTCTCTCTGGCTTGCGCTCCCCTTTCTGTCTCTCTGCCCCCTTCCCTCTCTCCCTCCCTTTGTAATAAGCTAATGTTTTCCCAAGAGTGTACTCCACACCAGGCACATTGCTGGGGGATTTAATTCTTTCGACCACCCCAGTGATATCATACACAATTTCTGGATGAGAAATTGAAGTTCAGAGAGCTTTTAATACAAGAGTTTTTAAGTGACAGCATCATAATTTGAACCCAAGTCTTTCTAGGGGAAAAGGCCATGCTTATAACTACCCAATAGTGTTACTATTAAATGAACCCAATTAAAATCAAATACCCTACCAATCTTTCTAGAAAAAATACACATTTTCTTCAATGCCCCATTCCAAAGTAAACAAATCCTTACATTAATAAATCCCCTTTCTATTTGGGTTAATAATCTCATATTTCAATGTAAATATTTTTCTTTTCTCTGATTTAAGTGGAGACTTAGAAATGCTAACTGTTGTATTTATGAAACAATCTTCTACTCTTCACATTATTGACCAGCACTAATTTATTGTTTAATGTGGCACCATATTTTGGTTGAAGAAGCCCTCAGGTAAGGACTCAATGTAGTTCACAGTAATGCAGGCAGTCCTAGGTTAAAATTCCATCTTCAAACTCTTCCAATTCTTTGTCCTTGTACAAGATGTGTAAGCTCTTGGAAACCTCATTTCTCCTATCTACAAAATGGGGATATTACTGCCTGCTTCAGAGGATTGTGTGAGAATTAAATGAGTCAATGGGAGTGATTAACATGGTGTCATAAAAAAAACAACTACTAAGCTCTGTCCTTTATAAATATACAATTCCCAAGAAAATCCTACGAAGTAAAAACCATTATAATCATTATTGCAGTTTTATAAGAGAGGAATGGAAGTACAAGGAGGCTAAGGAAGTTGCATAATGTTGTCAAGCTAGTAAGTAATAGAGCCAAAATCTCAATGCAGGCAATCTAGCTGCTCTTTAACAAAATGGTATGCATACAAATTAGTAGGTAGATCAAATGTGGTGGCTATTTTTAACCAATATTAATAGTAAGATTTAAGAATATGAATTCAAATGTAGTCTTTCTGTAAGAAAACGGATAATTGATATTTCTTCATTATCTGTAAATATAGTATCCCTTGTCTATAAAATGAAAATCGAGCACTTATATCTAAGAAGAAAGTCTTAGATAATGCAAGTTCATAAGTGAAATACTGAAATATATAATGGCAAAGTAATGTAATTGTCTAAACCAGTAAATTTATATTTGTTATTTTGTTTCAGCGAACAATTAAAAATAATATTGATGCCAATAAGAAAAACCAACATTTATTTATCACTTAGTACCTAAAACTTCTAAACACATCACATGGCCTATTTAATCCTAACAGCAAAACAATAAACTAGGTACAGTGTGGTAACATCATACATACTTTCAATATATTCAAAATCAAATACATTTACTCAGCAAATTAAAAAAATTACAGTGAGAGAAAGAAGAAAACAACATAGACATAAAAATTATCTGCCCTTATTCCACTCAAAGAACATGTGTCGCAAAAGGAACATAATTTGTCAGACTTAAATATATTTTTCCTTTTATTCGTCTCATAACATCTGACATGTTAAATTTACTCTTCAAAAGTACATATATTTCAGATAACATCATCTGTAAACATAAACCAATTTACTTATCCATGGTTCCAATGAAGAAGTGGTGATACATTTCAATATAGAAAAGTAATTGTTATGTTGGATTTACGAAAGAACAGTATGTCTATATAGAATAGACATTTAAGAAATTTCCAAGGATAAATCTAGTTGTATCTGATTTCTATCATTTGTATTGTAGAAACGAATCCCCCAGAAAGATGAAATTCTGCTCTATTATTTTACAAATGAGGATACTGAGACTTAAAGCATTTGCATAGTCTTTTGGGTGGCAGAGATGGGATTTATTTAAATCTAGGCCTCCCTAATTATTCTGTGCTACCTCCCAAATAAAAATCTAACTGGTAAGGGAAACTTGATATTCTCTTTATGGAAAAAACTTTCACTTAAGATAGGTAAGTCAAATCCCATTATAGAAAAAAAGTCGCTTCAATTCACTAACTCTACGTCTCAAAAAAGGCCAACTTGTTTCAGCAATTTTCAGGGCACAGTACAACAAATATAATGTGATCAGTAGATAAAACACTAATCTTGCAATGGATATTTTTCTTCTGATTATTTATATATCTGATAAATTTCACTTTGATGTTTGTTATTTTTAAGAAAATGCTATACATTTTCACCATTCTATGTAATTAATTTCTGTAGCAATTTCAAACTTTAGTTTTATACTGCTTTCAAAACTCATTAAAACATTTTTTAAAATTTATATCCTTAAGATAACTACTGCTAGGATTTTAAAAAAGTCAAATTATATTGACTAGGTCCTCAGGAACTTAATTCATTACGGTACACTGAGCATTTACATTGATCCCACCCTTCTTTCCCCAAATCTCATGGACATGACAGAGAACAGGAACAAACCAGAGAAAATTATATGTGTGAGAATGGAATAAGGGCTATCAGAAGATAGAAATTTTGACATATTTCTGGAAGATGGAAGCATAAAGCAGACTGGAAGAAGCTCTAATCCAGAAAACATACAGAAGCCTTCAACGGATGTGTGGGCTGCTCTTCCTGAGAGAACCATAAGAAGATTCCAAGCTTGGCAACGGCAGGTATGGGGACCAGCAATAGGAAATAAGGTGAATATTAAGGTAACTAATTAAAAACTTAATACGAAATGACTACATAAGCTGCTTCCCCAATAACTCTTGAAGCAAACAAAATACAGTGTGAAGGGTTTCTGGGATACATGATGGCCTCTGAGAGCAAATCTCACCCATGAATATAAATGACTGTTTCATATATTATCACAAAATGAAGCCTTCTAATTTATACATTTGCCCAAGCACAAAGCACACTTTCTTCCCTTTTACAGAGAAATACATTTTGAAGAAAGAGGTATATACACCAAAAGAGCAGGCTCATACAAGCCACCTATATTGATTAACTAGTCCTGCATTTATAAGTATAAAAAAGAAAACCAAAGAGTACCAGACATCTGGGAAAACTAACTGCATGAAAAAAGGCTCAGATGGACAACAACAAAAAACTAACCGAGGTGGAGGGAATGAAAGATCATTTAAAGGACAAAACAGAAGTAAAAACAAAATTATAGTGATTATTCTCAGAAAAGTACAAAAATACAGTATGATGAGGAATCGAGAAAAAGCTTTCTGGAAAAACAAAAAGAAGACTCATAAAGACAGAAATCTTAGAAATTAAAATATATGACTGCTATTTCTTTTTCTAGCAACAAGACAAACTAGATATCCTAAAATCCCTCAAATATCTAATAATGTAAAAAAGTTTAGCCAGGTGCGGTGGCTCACGCTTGTAATCCCAGCACTTTTGGAGGCTGAGGCAGGCAGATCACCAGAGGTCAGGAGTTCGAGACAAGCCTGGCCAACATGACGAACCCTCATCTCTACTAAAAATACAAAAATTAGACAGGTGTGGTGGGTGCCTGCAGTCCAGCTACTGGGGAGGCTGAGGCAAGAGAATCACTTGAACCTGGGAGGCGGAGGTTGCAGTGAGCCGAGATCGTGCTACTGCACTCCTGTCTGGGCAATAAGAGTGAGACTCAATCTCAAAAAAAAAAAAAAAAAAAAAAAGCTCACAACTTAAATTCCAAGTTCAGGAGGTGGCTAAAATGCGGGAATGTGGGAAGGACAGCAGGAGGTGAAATTGATGAGAGAGGTTGGAACAGATTTCAGAAGGCCATGGATAGAGTACTCTCCACAGAGGTTGTAAGGAAGGAGAGTGACAGGGTGTGTTTTTAAGGTAATGTCCTTGGGTGGCACTGTGTGAATTGGACTGGAAGGAGGGAGACTGATCAGAAGGTTTTCAGATATTCCAAACAAGGCATAGATACAAAGCTAGGGAACAAGGTAGTGTCAATGGGGATGAAGGAGTACTTGGCAGGGATGAATAAGTAAAATATATTTTAAAGGCTCTAATGAGTGATTTGAAAGGGAAAAGGAGTAATAATCTGAAACCAAACAAACAACAAGAGCTAGCATCCAGGGATTAAAGTCAGCAGTGAAGCCATGATATACCCTGGGGACACTCACAGAGACTATGTAATTGAAGCTTCATAACACTTTAACAGGTAGAGAACTGACTAGCTTCCACTAGGAATTAACAATGATTAAGGAAGGTCTGCAACCTCTCAGAAGGAAAGAACTAGTGCAAAAGAAAAGACATAAATAAAAAGATTATTCATCTTCTCTAAGGTTCTTGATCAAAAAGCCAAATTGTGGTTTTGAACTTGTGTCTACTAGTTGTGTCTACAAGTTGTGGTTCTTGAATTTTTATCTATTAACTAGTCTGCAATTGAATTTAGAGGCTAGCTTTACATTAGTTATGTGCTTTCCAAAACCAAAGACCTGGGTTTTTAATTTAATGTAGTACCTCAGATGCTAGACAGAAGCAAATAAACTGTCTATCCTGAAAGAATGCTTCTTATACCCAAACCTAAAGGACAAGAAGGCACAGAATCACAGTAAATATGACCTCAAAATAAATACACCCAAACATATATATACACACTAACAATGCACAAGGAAATAAGCGCCATGAGAAGTTGCCAGAGGAAATATCAAGAGAATCAGCATGGAATGTTAAATAAAATACAAAGAAAAAAGTATAAGAATAGAAATGATTGGAAAATAAACATATAATTGAGAAGAATAAAAATGTGAAAAGTTGATGTTATAAAAAGACAAAAAAATTGGAAATCATCATTCCCAGTAAACTATCACAAGGACAAAAAACCAAACACCGCATGTTCTCACTCATAGGTGGAAATTGAACAATGAGAACACAGGGACACAGGAAGGGGAACATCACACTCTGGGGACTGTTGTGGGGTGGGGAGAGGGGGGAGGGATAGCATCAGGAGATATACCTAATGCTAAATGATGAGTTAATGGGTGCAGCACACCAGCATGGCATATGTATACATATGTAACTAACCTGCACATTGTGCACATGCACCCTAAAACTTAAAGTATAATAATAATAAAATTTAAAAAAAAAGACAAAATATACAAATCTTTGGCAAGTTTGTTCAAGAAAAAGAGGGAGAAGCAACATATAAGTAAAAAGGGAAATAAATATTTAAAAAGATTAAAAATACAAGAAGAATACCATTAAAAAGAGAACACTGCCAGTCTGAGTGGCTCACACCTGGAGTCCCAGCACTTTGGGAGACTGAGGCAGGAGGATTGCTTGAGCCCAGGGGTTTGAGACCAGCCTGGGGAACAGAGCAAGACCTCGTCTCTGCAAAATATAAAAAATAAAATAATTTGCCATGCATGGTGGCATGCACCCACTGAGGTGGGAAGATTGCTTGAGCCCAGGAGGTCCAGGCTGCAGTGAGCTATGATTGCCACACTGCACTCTAGATCCAGCAACAGAATGGAAAAAAAGAAAAGAGAGAGAGAGATAATATCATAAACCATCATATGTCAGCACATTTGAACATTTACATGAAATAGACAAATTCTTAGGAAAATATGATTTACAGAACTGACTCAAGAAGAAACAGAAAGTATGTAGTCCTATAATTATTCATAAAATTTGACAGAGCAGGAGCACTGTCATCTTGGACAAACATCACCACTTTAAGTTCCAGCTCCCTTTCTAGCCTCATGCATTTCAAGGAAACCACTTCTCTTCTAACTACAAGCATCCAGAAAGGGCAGACAGTAAAATACGGATAAGACAACTCAAACACAGAGGGAGATGGGGGAAAAGTCTCTTGGGTAACCGCCAAACTTCCTCATACAATGGGCCCAAGTAAAACAGTCGGCCTTAATAAGGACATTCTTTTCCCTTCAGGTGCACTAAAATAGAAAAGCTAAAAGCAGACTTAGGGGGTATGCCTTCAGCTGAAAAAAAAAAAAAATCTAGGAAAGAAACATACAACTCTCCCTCCCAAATTAGCACAGAAAAACAAAAACAAAAACAAAACAACAAAAAAAAAAAAACAGAGGCAGCCCAAGCCTCTAATAAACTCTCCCACCCTAAATCCTTAAAAACTATTAGTCTGTAAAAGAGTGGGCCTCTAACCTAACTCAGCCAGAAGCTCCCCTCATGTTTGTTTTCTCTAAAATAAACTGTCTTAACTGGCAAGCCACCTTTCATGTTTCTTTCCTTTCTTTAATTCTTACAAAATTGAAGCTATAGTTGAAAATACACACAAATATACACGTATACAGAATCTGAGATCTTTCACTAGAAACTGCTAGCAAACAATTACTACGTAATTCCAATCCTTTCCAAATTTTTCTATAACTCGGTGGGGAAAAAGGACACTCCCCAGTTTACCCTGTGAAGATGATATATGTTTGATACAAACCAAAAAAGAGCTGTGTAAAAGGAAAAAAGAAAAGAAAATTATCGAGCAATCACTCTCATAAATGTAATTGTAAATAATGAATATTAGGAAGCAAAATTTAACAATATATATAAAGACGATATTTCAGGATCAATTGGAACTATCTCATTGGCAAGTATGCTTTCACTTTTTGAAAAAATCTATAAGTATACTCTAATTTATTAACTGATTAAGAAGAATAAAGGATACTGTTTTCAAAAGAGATGACATGAGGCTTTAAATAAAATACCACATACCACATGTATTATAATAAAAAGCTTTTAACAAACCAGTAGTTAACCCATAGATCTACTGAAATACTTATAAGAATTAATATAGGTAAAAGCCTTATAACAGTGGTTGACACGAAGCATACTTATAAGCAGACACAACATTAAAGACCTGGTCAAGGGTACCTGAAGAATTCTAAAGCAAAATAATGCTGATTGCTTAAAAAACAAAATAAAACAAGAACAGAAAAAAAATTAGAAACTATTTAAAGATGCAGCTCAAAACAAAACGGCCACATTTCACTTCTTTCATTTAACATTGTACTATACAGGTATTAAATACCACTTTAAAAAAGCAAAAATTAAAGCCGAATATATTAAAAGTCCAAAAGAATCAGAGTGGCAGCTATTCACAGATTTCATGTACTTAGAAACTTCAAAAATAATCCAGAATTATTAATAATAAGGGAATTTAGCAAAGTTTGTGGTCATAAGGTCATTTCCCCAAAGTCAATTATATTTTTATATTAGAGCAAAATAATTAGAATATAATTTTATAAAATGCAAAAAATACATATGAATGAATATAACAAAACAATAAGAACATATTAATGAATCTAACAAATAGTATGCAAGATCTTTATGAAGACAATTCTAAAACTTTAGAGCAATAACAATAAAGAATAACAGAATAAACAGACTAATTATTTCCTTAGTTGGGTTGACTAAATAAAACATATCAATTTTTCCTAAAATGATGTATAGATTAAATGGAGTTCCAATAAAAATTTTAATAAATTTTTTCATGAACATTGAAAAGGTGACCAATTATTTTATAGAAATGCTGTCAAATTCAATAGTAATTGGCAAAATTTAAAAATTCTGACAACATCACAGGCAACAAAGTTATGAAACTATGGGAATGCTCACAAACTGTTGATAGAAATATAAATTGGTAAACCTAATTAGGTATTTTCTTGTAGTGTTGAATGTTTACATGTGTTATCACTCAGCCATTCTTCTGTAAAGAGGCTTATACATAGAAAGAAAACTTGCACATGGAAATAGGTACAAAAAAAATCATAAAAGCATTATTCATCAAAAATAAAAAAGAACACAAAACCAAAACAAAAATGGCCCCAAAAAACAATAGTTTAAGACGCTTTGACAGAATAAACCAATTGTGGAAAAAACTCATTCATTGCTCACTCTATATGGAACCTTTGCACAAAATCCAAGAAGAGTTCTCCCCCTGGGTCGATGATTACAAAAGGTATCCCTCCACTGGACTGACACTTGGAGTTTGTAAGCAGTAGCTTGGACTTGATTTCAGTCTCTACTTAAGCTGACACTCTCTGCCTAACAGTCTTATACATTCATATGATAGAATTTCCTGCACAAAGTGAAACAAACTATAGTCACATGTAGCAAAATGAACGGAACTTAAAAATATGGCCGGGCGCAGTGGCTCATGCCTGTAATCCCAACACTTTGGGAGGCCGAAGTGGGCAGATCACCTGAGGTCAGGAGTTTAAGACCAGCCTGGCCAACATGGTGAAACCTCATCTCTATTAAAAATACAAAAAAACTTAGCTGGGCATGGTGCTGGGCGCCTGTAATCCCAGCTACTTGGGAGGCTGAGACAGGAGAATCGTTTGAACCCAGGAGGCAGGGGTTGCAATGAGCCGAGATTGTGTCATTGTACTCCAGCCTGGGCAACAAGAACAAAACTCCGTCTCAAAAAAAAAAAACTATTAACTGAAAAAAGTGTACTGCAAAATGTTATGAATACATTATTTTTATACAGTCTAAAACATATACAACCAAACATACATTGTTCAGCAATATGTAATTACTTAGTAAAACTACAAAAAAAGCAAGAGGTGTATTAAGAAGAAAGTTTATAATAGTCTCAACCTCTACAGGGATAATAGGTGTGGGCTGAGAACCAGAGTTAACTTTACTAGTATCGATAACATTTTACTTTTTAAGTTGGGTCTTGGGTTATAGTTATTATGCTTCAAGCTTTGCCTCTATAACACATACAGTTTGAATATATCAAATATTCAATCAATTGCAAAAAAATAGCTGTAAGAAGAAAAAAATTAAAAATCTAGGAATGCTCCTAATGACATAAAACATTAGAGAATTCTGAAGAGACAGAATTAATGAAGAATTAACATCCATACTGGAGGCATTTCACAAAGAGAGAAAAGAGAAAATCAAGAAGAGAAACCGATACAATAAAACTTCCTAATGAAATTTTCCACAGTTGAACAGCAACAACAACAAAAAACCCCTACAAATTCAAGCATTAAAACATAGACTGGGCCAGGCATGGTAGCTCATGCCTATAATTCTAGCACTTTGGGGGGCCAAAGTGGGAGGATCACTTGAGGCCAAGAATTCAAGACCAACCTGGGCCATATAGTGAGACCTCCATCTCTACAAAAATAAAAATACAATAAAAATTACCCAGATGTGGTGGCTCATGACTTTAGTCCCAACTACTCTGGAGACTGAGGCAGGAAAATAGCTCAAGCCTAGGAGTTCATGGCTTCAGTGAGCTGTGATTGCATCACTGCATTCCAGCCTGGGCAACAGAGCAAGACTCTGTATTTAAAAGATAAAAATTAAAATAAAATAAACACATAGACTACCAAGAAAGGTAAAGTAAAACACTCTAACCCATCATTTTAAAATTTAAGAATACAATGAGAAAAAGAAAAGCTACTAAGGATTTACAGCAGAAGGGGAAAGGGGCAAGATAGATGAAGATGATAAGTAATAGAGTGAGCATCAGTTTCGCATTAAATTCTCATTACCCAAACTGAATTCAAAAATGGAAATAAAGTTCATAGAAAAAACAGTTTTGATTTGAAAACACTTCGTCAGACTTTCAATCAAGTGGTGAGCAAAATAAAATTATTTACAATTTATTCTTATTTTTACTTGAAGATATGTTTAAGCAAACTAAAATAAATGCTAATAAGGTAAATATTAATGAGAAAAAAGCAAAATTGAAAAGGAAGAACAGGTGCTACCTCAGGGTAGATAATTCTCCATCTATTATTATTTCATCTCTCACTCTATTTTCACTAGGCGAGGTTCTTTGACTATCTGCTCTCATAGCATACTCTATTGTTCCTTTGTGGTAGTGATCATATAATAAGTAAGTTATCATGAGTGCTGTTTTAGTAATTTTTTTCTCCTAGACTAGATATCAATCTTCATGAAGGAGGGACTGACTACACCTGTTATATTCACCATAGCAACTTTAAAGCATAGCTCAGAATTGAGCAGTAAACATTCAAAAATGCTTTTGAATAAATGAATGAATGCCTATAAACATGTTCACAAAAAATTCATTTCAACCAAGCCTCATCTTCCTACTGCTGCTAATTTATGTTTCCTCCTCCACTGCCTATATTCCGGAAACCATTATAACCCAAATATCTATGGGTATGTGTGACGCCACATGAACAGGTCTACTTCTTCCCTCCAATGCTAATCAGTTGTGAAATTCATTCTTTGAATATGCCCAGTTCCTCCAGGCCCAGTCTCAATTTAGTCAACTATATCATCGCCCATCCAAAATTTTAATTTCCTTACTTCATGGCAATGAAGTCTCAGTCTTGCTCTCTGTCTCTGAACCTATTCTCTGAGCGAACCCATGACATTCCTTGTGTATCCATGCAACCTACCCTTCACCCACATTTAACTTACATTGCAGCTAGTTTTACTATAGCTTCTGTGCACACTGATGGCATTCCACCTCCAGTGCCTGCCAAATCTTTCAGCTTTCTGCATCAGGGCTTTCTCTGAGCTATGGCTGCTGCTCAGTCCCCACTCTCAAGTATTTGGGAGTTAGTGACCCTGGGGAAACCTGGAACCACTAGCAGTGGTAGCCCTCAGCTGTCAGCCCTTTGTTGAGACCATTGTGAGGTGCTTAATATTTGCTTCCTCAGAGGGCTACCTGCAGCACAGGGACCCAAAGAGTCAGAGCCATAACCTTTATTGAATTCTCTTCTTTGCCTGTTGTGGTTGTCCATACCTTCTATCTGGCTTCCTAGGATCAGCTCCCAATAATCTACCTGTAACTCAAGTACTTATCTCAAGATTTGGTTCAGAGAAAACCAGAGATGAATTTCTAATGAACAAATTCAATGAATATATTTATATTCTTATCAGTTTTGCAAGATTTGACCTTATGCTTCCTTTCTCTATGAAATTTTCTCACCTTGACTTTTCTTACAATGTGTTTCTGGCCTGTTCCTACTTTCCTGATCCCTCCTTTGTTGACTTCTAGTTTTCCCTTTAAGCAGAGGAACTCTTACATCTGTTCTTAGGTGTCCTTGATTCATGTTCCATGAACTCTTCCTGTGTAATATCCACTTTCATGGGGTTAACAGTTACTTATTCATATATCAATGGCTATGGAATCTACTTAAACAGCTCTTGTCTCTCTAGAATTGTGAACACATATTTTTACTTGCCTGTTGTGTGTTCCCACTTAGATATCCCCACAGACACTTTCTTTAAAAAATTAGGCTTTCACTCTGTCACAGCCTAGAATGCAGTGGCATGATCATAGCTCACTGTAGCCTCCATCTCCTTAGGCTCAAGTGATCTTCTTACCTCAGCCTCATGAGTAGCTGGAACTACAGGCATGTGCCATCATACCTAGCTAATTTTTTTGATCTTTAGTAGAGACAATGTCTTGCTAAGTTGCCGAGGCTGGTCTTGAATTCCTGAACTCAAGCAGTCCTTCTCCCTCGGCCTCCCAAAGTGCTGGGATTACAAGCATGAGCCAAGGACACTTAATTCTCATTTACCTATAACTGTATTCATTATATTTCTTTACCTCAAATATGCGTGTCTCTTTCTATACATGTTTTCTGACCTAATGTCCCCCATCATCCACGTTCTTACCTATTCTTGCCATTCCTCTTTTTTCTCATTTGCTATAGAAATCATCTCTATAAATTCTATGTGCTTTCTATATATTATATAAGTATATATACACACATAGCATATATATTCCATTTACATATGCATTATATATTTATATATGCCATATCTATATTCCACACATATATATGGAGTGTGATTGTGTGTGTGTGTTATAACATTCTTTCTGTCCCTCTCCTGCCTAATGCCTTCATACTACTTCATCTGAACTATTACGAGAGCAACCCTAGTCACACTGTTTAATGCATCCAGGATGCTTCTATAAGAACTGATTTTCTAAAATCAAAATATAATAATGAAAAACTACTGCTTAAAATTATTACATCATGTCTTAGCATTTTTTCATTTATTATACTAATTCTTTACCCAGGAATTAGGAATCTGGGGAAAATGGTGCAGGTAAGTAAAATCTTATGATTGGTATAAATGTGGCTGTTTGAGGAGGAACAGATAAAGTGTAATACCTGAATGATGACCCAAGAAACAAGCAAGTGCAGGCACCTAGGACTTAGGTGGAAAGAAGTTTTCTAAAGGCGAACGTTTATTTCTGAGTGAGCTATTTTTATCATAGCTGTCTCTAAGAGATGAGATTTGTAAAGATACCTAATAAATACTGCAGATTAAAAAATTAAATCATACCAATGGTTTTCATGTTCCTGGGTGAATGACCAAATGACATTTGCAATATACTCTTCAATATTATAGAATTTTTCAAGAGTAGATTATTCTACTATGTAAATATGTAGATGGTACTGTGTAAATGGTAAGCCAGTAAAGAATCAAGACTGACTTTTCTTGCTTCCTGCGTACTATAAACAGATTTGTTTGAAATACTTTCATTCCTTTTTATTCAGCTCATTTCTGATCACTGCCCAAGGAAGGTAGTTAAAATAGGCCATTGACAGAGTGATAACACTTATTTTCTCAACAATGATCTTTGGTAGGTGATAAAAATGCTACTTCCCTTGTAAAGAGAAAGGGCAGCTGCCTACAAAACAACAGTGATCTTCTAAGGTGTGAGCAAAAGAAAATGTATTGTGCAATAAATCTATGAAGCAAGGAGTTATTTCAGGACTACTTGATGACGCCAAATGTGGTCTTTTGAAGGTCAGCAATTTCGTGATCCATGTTATTAGAAATTTCAAGGAGTACTGCAATATCATAATCTGACTTTTTAAATGTAAATTACTTGGTTGGTCTTTACAACTAAATTAAAAAATAGTTTAGGGCTATATCAATTGCTCCCCATATTTGAAATTTCCAGAATTGACTATAGGATACAAGTGAGAGAATCTAATGAGAATAGATAACAATATTTACAAGACCTCCCATTGACTACAGGATAAAATTCAGATTTCTTATCATGACAAATATGTTCACAAACTGGCAGCTACCTACTTCTCCTAGCTCATCTCTAGCATTCTCAACATACCACTCAGCACCCTACAAACATGCACCCAATGTCTACAATACCTACAACATTATACTTCCATCCACTTGTTACTGTAGCAATGTCTTACTGTCATTCATTTTGTGAAAGTAATTTCTATTAATTCTTCAAGGTGTGAGAAACATGTAACTTCTTTTGTGAACTCTTCACAGTGACTCTACAAGCAGTATACAACTTTGTATATGTCTACCTGTGATGTAGTCATTACCATACTATTTACATGTGATCAGCAACAGCACAATTGCACAAATGATTTTCAAGCTCTTTTCCCGCCCAAATCACCCTTATCCTGACTACCCATTTGGAATTTCTTTCAGTGCTTTAAATGTACCTTGCTGAGTCTCAATTCTCTCTTACCTTAAATGTTTACTCATTCCTGCAGGGCTCAGCTTAAAAGTCAACCTGGCAAGAAGTCTCCCTTTATCTGTAGACTAAGTGAGATTAATTTGCTCCCACATTCCCAAAGGTTCTTTCAGTCTCTATTATAATGCTATTCATTTATAATTATAAATAAATAATAAATCTCTCCTTTTCCATTTATGTCCAAGTGATAGAAATATAATTAATTTCAATAGTAAGTAAGTATAAGTCCACTTTGTCTTAGAAGGTGATCATATTAGGATTCACTGGAGGGTAAAACAGGGCTCAGGTAAGTACTAGGGACAAAAAAAATATGCCTTAAATAGTATGGTTTCCCCTAAGTGGAAATAAATATAAAGTTGTATCCCATTGTATCAGATTCATGTGAGAGCTATGAGAAATCTGATTATGATAAAACATGAATTAATGCTTGCTATATGCAAGATATCAGTTGCAAGTACTATAAAAATAGGTTTGTTTCTTGATTCTAAAGAGAACGTCTACATAGGGCCTTTTGTTTCTCTCAGCTGAAGTGGCCACCTGTGGCTCTCAAGCCTCTTGATCAGAGGTTTGTTTGAAGTAATGAATCAGATATGCGGGGATCAATTTCCAGAACCAGATAAGGGGGAAGCAAACTGGTTAACACTATGTTGGTGTGAGGCTGCCAAGTGGCAGACAAGCAGCTGGCCATATAGAACAAACAGAAAGACTGCAAAACTGTAAGGCAAAGTGTAACAGCTGATGCACATTTGCACTGTTGATTGTTCCTTGGGCCCAAGCCCAAAAGCTAGTCCCCTGATAGAGAAGCTACCTTTGGACAGTAATCTTTGCTCCAGTAAAGTGATGGGAAACAAGAAGCTTTCTCTGCTGGGATGTCCATGGTGTTGCTTTGCTTCTTTGGTCCATCCCCCTCATCTGGCTTGTATTTTGGAGAACTGGCAGGAAAATAAGGGAATAGAGCTATTTAAAGATCCAGGAGTGCTGGTTAGAGTATAAGGAAATGTTATGATTAAGCTGTTGTGCAAGGATAGGGGCAAATGGTAATGAATCTTCAGGGAATCCTGAGGATGGAGACTTTAGGCTCCTTAAAAAAGGGCTAAAGATTTGGCCTCAGACAATCTAGCAGGCCGTTATGACCCCATGCACACTTAAAAACTGAAGAACAAGATGAGAAGAAAGAGAAAAAAGAATGGAGAAACATGAAGGGAAAGGGAGAATCAGAGACATCCTAAAATAATGCATTTACTCAACAGATATTTTTGAAGATCCACTGCGTGTATACACAGTATGTCCTTATATTAGGTACTGATGGTCAAAAGCCAATTGAAATTCTCATTTTCAAGGAAATCAATCTCTAGAAGGCAAAAACAAAACAAAACAAACAAAACAAAACAAGGTTAGAAAAATAGATAACTACAATACAAAATTATACGGATCCAAAGTTATATGGGCCATATATTGCATAAATAGCAAGAAAGAGATGATTACAAGGGGTCCTATAACATGAAACAAGAAGTATAAAATTACCTTACCTGAAAATCTAAGTTACTCAAAAAAGGTGAAGAAAAATAAAATTTGATGACTTGTGGATGGTAGTTTGCAAGGTTCATGGTTTTCCAATAGGTATTATGGAAGGTTTTGTTTTGTTCCTATTCTGTGAAAATATGCAAACTTGGGCAATAGATCAAACTCAGAAATTCTTCTATCTACGCTTTATTTTTAAATATAAGCTTGAAACACATCAAAATATCACTTAATTATCAGATTTTCTAATGGTGCCTTATTGTGGCATTCCCACTTATATTATGTCAGATAACATCTGTCACGAAGAAGAGCCATTGATGATCCACTGTTATAAAGGCTGCACTTTGGGGAGGAAAGTAACTTTTGCTACTAGCACTAACCAGCTGGTAAATTATAAAGCAAGAAAGGAGATATATTTCAGTAGCTGTGACAGATGTAACATCACATCTGAACCACAAGAAAAAGCCATTTAAAACTATTTAAAAGTTGGAATGCCAATAATAATTTATCCCCTGGGGTGACAAAGAAGGGGTGAGAAAAGGGAAAAGAATAAGAGAAATAAGGCTTCAGTGGCTTATTCCACAAACTAACGTGATAGATTTTTTTTTTCTTTTGGCTCTGGTTTCTCAATAGCCATATTGTCATATGATTACTAAGATCAAAAGTATTTATTTTAGAAGGACGAAAAGCCTATGAAAGTTGATTTTTAAACTTATGTTCGGATTTTAGTCAATGCAATATTTACATTGTTTGATCCACTATGAAGTGAATCAGCAATACCTCCTTTTAAACAAGGGTCAGAACAGAGGTCCGCTTGAATGAGGAATTTTGCATAAAAAGAAAAATAGGAAGCTGGATAAGAATAAAATATTTTTAAGGTTTAAAATAGTGGTGCTAACTACCTGATAAAAGATGGAGAAAAAGGATATAATGGGGAAAGAGGAATCCATGAAGAGAGAGATAAATTGTATTTTCCAAAAAGTTTAATTGGTTAACTGGAGATGAGTTAAGAGTGCTTTGATGTCTTTCACAGGTTCTAAGTTTGATGTCTTTCACAGGTTCACAGGTGCTGTGATGTCTTTCACAGGCAATGGATAAAGCATCCTGCATTGTCCTAGGCACACTCTGTAGGGAAGATATGGGAATCTGAAGTCAACTTTGCCAAAATTGGTAAGTGAATAAGGTAGAATATCATCAAGATCTTGCCCCAGGTGATCTGAGAGTTCTACAAGGGCTCCCACGGTTGGTTTGCTCTTTGAAACTTAAGGTTCTAACTCTGAAACACAATAGCATAGTGGCAAAGGACTCAGGGTCTGGACTCAGAAAAACCCAAGTCATAGGCTAAATCCTAGGCTCTATCATTTGCTGGTTATGTAACTAAAAGAAAATTAGTCTATATCAGTTTCCTTGCATAAAAAGTGGTGATAACAACAGTTACTATTTCATAGAATGCAACACATGTAAATATGAGCTTTTATGTTTATTCTTACTAATGATAGAAATAATGATATCCAAGTCAATTGGACTTCAAGTCATGTTTTGCTGTGAGAAGTATGGCAGTAGCTTACTACATTATATTGGATGTCATAACAGTATAAACTGGATAAGAGTTGCATCATATTAAATTGATATACCATAGTACTTCCTGATCCATGGGGGATATGCTGCAAGAAGCCCAGTGGATGCCTGAAACCATGGAAGAGAATCAAGCCCTATATATACTGTTTTTTTATACATACATACCTATGATAAAGTTAAACTTATAAATTAGTCACATTATGAGATTAACAATAACTAATAATAAAACAGAACCATAACAATATTCTATAAGAAAAGTTATAGGCATGTGGTAATTCTGTCTCTCAAAATATCTTATTGTACTGTGCCCACCTATTTTAGGATTACCTTTGACTGTGAGTAACTGAAACCATGGGGAAAAAAATGTGGCTTAAGGGGGACAACTGTAGTTGCTTAACAGGGAACTTGACTTAGAAAATGAAACAGAGTTATGTTTTAATCTCATGAAAGCATAATAATAATGGATAATGTTTCTGAGCTTATAATTTTTTATTCGTGTTGTACTTCATCTGGAGAAATATTCTACAGATAAAGAAATTGGAATTGAAAGGAGCAAGTTAATTATCCAGAACCACACAGCCAGGATGCTGTGGAGGTGAAATTAAACCCAAGCCTTCTAAGTACACGTGTCATATCCCTTCCTTGTAAATTCACTTAACAGCCATCATCATATCAGTTGACTATTGCTCTGTAACAAATCCTTTCAAAACTTCAGAGGCTTAAAATAATCAACTTTTTTGTTTTCATGATACTGGGTTGGATGGTATGTTTTTTAGGTCTAGGCAACTTTAACTGGGGATCGATGTTTTAGGATGGCCTCGCTCACATAATGAAAGTCTGGTTGGACTAGGAGGTCTCAGCTGAGATGGCTCACCTCTGCACCATCACTCAGCAGGCAAGCCTGTGCTTTTTCGCATATCAGTCTCAGGGAGTCAAAGAGCAGTAAGTGAGCAAGCTACAGCACAAGAACTTTGCAAGCCTCTGCTTGTGCCATATGTCTCACTGTTCCGTTGGCTATAACACGTCATACAGCTAAGTCCAGGGTCCCTGAATACAAGGAGGTATGAAAAAATTAAAGGATTCACAGTAAACATGCCAACATTTTAATATCCCTTAGTTCTGAGTGGTAAGAGTCTAGGTAATTTTTTTTTATTTTTTCTGTATCTTCCAAATTATCCAAAATGAACATTACTTTTGTAATATCAAAATAGAAATTTCTTAAATAATTTAGAAAATCGGGCCATTTTCTGGAGAACCACAAGTCCTGGTTGCAAGCTCATTTCTTTTTGAAATGGGAATTAAGACTTCTTTTCTCTAAACCACAACAGATAATGTTACTGTTAGTGTTTCTCAGGTTTCTCTTTTGTCTTTCTCATCTTATTGCTCTGCTCACTCTTCCAGTATGATCTCATGAATTCCTGTTCCCTCAATTATAATTTACATGCTGATAACTCCCAAATCCATACACCCAACAGAGTTCACACACAAGTGCCTCTGACCTGTTTCTCCAAATGCCTGCTGGACATATGCGCTTGGATGGGCACCTGCCCACTCTTAAAAATGCAAATGTGATTGTTACCATGCTCTTTCCTGTTTAAAACTACTTCCAGGGTCTAATCTTGCCCCCTTCTTCCATATATATTTTTTTCTGTCTCTCACTCTCATTCTGCTATGCACACCTTTCTTGTAGTTTTTTGGAAGTTTTCTCCCCAAAGTTTTTTCAGAGCTGCAAGCTGTCTTTTGCCACAAGCCTTCTTCATACATGCAGTTTTCTGGTGTTTGAAACCCCAGAGGTACCTTCCTGTATTTTAATAACAGCATTTTTATGATCTTGGCAAAAGCATCAACTTCAAACCAGTCAAATCGGTTAGGTTCCCAAGTTTTAGACCATTTATCTCAGGATGTTACTAGAAATGATCAGCTCCTT
This sequence comes from Homo sapiens, assembly GCF_000001405.40. Classification (NCBI taxonomy): domain Eukaryota; kingdom Metazoa; phylum Chordata; class Mammalia; order Primates; family Hominidae; genus Homo; species Homo sapiens. The sequence continues at coordinate 28,918,407 of NC_000011.10, read as the reverse complement.
TTTATCTTCCATATTTCAGATTAAATGTCACTTCCTCCTAGAAGCATTCCCTGATCACCCAGACATGGGTCACATGCCCTTAAGTGTTTTGAGAGTACCCCAAACTTCTTCTGCTACACAATTTATAAGACTATATTATAATTTTCAGTAAAATTTTCTGTGCTTTCTAATTAAACTATGATATTGGACCAAAGTTAAGGGCTATATTGGTCTGGTTTACCCTGGTATTATTCCCATTCCCTAGAAGAATGTGTGTGATATGAATACATATGATATATTCAGTAAGTTACTTTATTTGCTCAACTAAAATATTCTCCTTAATACATATTTTATTGGAAAGAAACATTGGTGAGAAAATGACAATAAAAACATGTCATATAAATCTATTTATAATTTTATTTGAATAGTTCTAGGGGTATACGTGGTTTTTGGTTACACAGATGAATTGTGTAGTAGTAAAGTCTGGGCTTTTAGTGTACTCTTCACCTAAATAGTGTACATTGTTCCTAACAGGTGATTTTTTTTTTTATCTCTTATCCGCTCACTTTCCCACTTTTGAGTCTCCAAAGTCCATTATACCTAACTCTATGTTTTTGCCTATCTATAGGTTAACTCCCACTTATAAGTGAGAACATGAGGTATTTGGTTTTCCATTCCCAAGTTACTTCATTAGGATTATGGCACCCAGTTCCTTCCAAGTTGCTGCAAAAGACATTATTGCATTCTTTTTGGCAGCTGAATAGTATTGCATGGTATATACATATCACAATTTCTTTGCCCACTCTTAGGTTGATTCTATTCTGTGCAATTGTGTACTGTGCTGAAATAAAAATACATATGCAAGTGTCTTTTTAATATAATGACTTATTTTCCTCTAGGTAGATACCTAGTAGTGGGGTTGCTGGATTGAACTGATCTACTTTTAGTTCTTTGAAAAATCTCCATTCTGTTTTCCATAAAGGTTGTACTAATTTACATTCTCACCAGCAGTGTGTAAGCATTCCTTTTTCACCACATCTGTGCTAACATCTATTGTTTTTTGACTTTTTAATAATGGCCATTCTGGCCATGGTAAGGTCATTCTGCTTTTAATTTGAATTTTCCTAATGATTAGTGATGTCGAGAATTTTTTCATGTTTGTCGGCCATTTGTATATCTTCTTTTGCTAAATGTCCGTTCATGCTGTTTGCCCACTTTTTAAATTAATTTTAATCTTTATGTTAATTTCTGGGGTACGTGTGCAGGATGTGTGGGTTTGTTACATAGGTAAATGTGTGCCATAATGGTTTGCTGCACCCATCAACCCATTACCTAGGTAATTAAGCCCAGCATGCATTAGCTATTTTTCCTAATACTCTTCCTCTCCTGACCTCATCCCTTGGCAGGCCCCAGGTGTGTTGTTCCTGTCCTCGTGTCCATGTGTTCTCATTGTTCAGCTCCTACTTATAAGTGAGAACATGCGGTGTTTGATTTTCCGTTCTTGCATTAGTTTGCTGAGGATAACGGCTTCCAGCTTCATCCATGTCCCTGCAAAGGAAATCCCATTAAAAAGTGGGCAAAGGACACAAATAAACACTGCCTACTTTTTTATGAGATTATTATGTTTTTTCTTGGTTATATTTTGAGTTCCTTTTAGATTCTGGATAATAGTCCTTTGTCAGATGCACAGTTTACAAATATTTTCTCCTATTCTGTAGGTTGTCTGCTTACTCTGTTAGGTCTTTTGTTGTGCAGAAGCTTTTTACTTTAAAGTCCCATTTATTTAATTTTGTTTTTTTCTTGTATTTGCTTTTGTGGTCTTAGTGATAAATTATTTGTCTAGAACAATGTCCAGAACAGTTTTTCATGGGTTTTGTTCTAGAATCTTTTCAGTTTTAGCTTTGAGATGTAAGACTCTAATCGATCTTGAATATTTTATATGGTGAGAGATGAGGACCAGTTTCATTTTTTCTGCATGTGGCTATCAAAATTTCCCAGCATCATTTATTGAATGTCCTTTCCCCAGTGTATGTTTTGTCCCCTTTGTTGAAGATCAGTTGGTTGCAAGTATTTGCTTTTGTTTCTTGATTCTCTATTCTGTTCCATTAGTTTATGTGTCTATTTTAATACCAGTACCATGCTGTTTTCGTTACTATAGGCACATAGTACAATTTGAAGGTGGTTAATGTGATGCCTCCACGTTTGCTCTTTTTGCTTTGGATTGCTTTGGCTACTCAGGCTCTTATTTGGTTCCATATGAATTTTAGGCTTTTTTATCCTAATTCTGTGAAAAGTGACATTGGTATTTTGGTAGGAATTGAACTGAATCTGTAGATTACTTTGGGCAGTATGGTCATTTTCACAATATTGATTACTCCAATCCATGAGTAAGAGATGTTTTTCCACTTTGTGTCACCTAGATTTATTTCATCAGTGTTTTATAGTTCTCCTCATAGAGATTGTTCACCTCGTTAGTTAAGTATGCTCCTAGGCATTTTTTAGTAGCTACTGTAAAAGGGATTGAGTTCTTGATTTGATTCTCAGCTTGGTCATTGTTGGTGTATAGCAGTACTTTTGATTTGCATATACTGATTTTGTAAACTGAGACTTTATTAACTTACTAAATCTAGGACTCATGGAGGAGTCTTTAGGGTTTTCTACGTATAAGAGCATATCACCATCTAACAGAAATAGTTTGACTTCCTGTTTTCCAATTTAGATGATTTTTATTTTTCTCTTCCCTGATTGCTCTGGCTGGGATTTCCTGTACTATATTGAATAGAAATGGCGAAAGTGGACATCCTTGTTTTGATCCAGTTCTTAATGGGAATGCTTTCAACTTATCCTCACTTAGTCTAATGTTGGCTGTGGGTTTGTCATATATTGCTTTTATTATTTTGAGGTACAGAACATGCCATATACATTTAAATGCCTCATATATTTTGGAAAATATTTGACTTATTCACTATATTGATGTGGGCTATTTTCAAGGTAGAATTTAACAAGTGATATTAGGAACACATGACCCAGTACACTCAGAGTTACAAAGCCTAAAAATAAAGCCTATGTGAAGACACACAGGGAACTCACAGTATTGACTGTAGAAGGTATGATTTCCCAGAGAACTCCAAAAAACAAACACACTTGATTTCTTCAGCTTTTTGTTCTTCATGTTTTTAAAGTGGCAAACAAAGTGAATTTATTGGCATTTCCCTTATATTGATTCTTGTCAGACAGGAGTAGACCTTTTTCAGATAGCTTTATCCAATAGATAATTCCAAAATTAATTTTAAAATTAAATTATATATGCATATACTTTTGCTTATTAAATATATCTAATCATATGAAGAGTCATACCTTAATAATGAAAATAACTTAAAGCAACATAAATATGTATAAAAATACCAAGGAACCACAGCCTTATTAACACAGACTTAATCTGGAACAGTTGTGAAGCATTTTAGATGCTTTAGCCTAAGAAAAATTTCAGTAGGTTACTGTTTCATAAGAGAATAAAGAATTTTATGTTGGTAGTAGGGTCGTTTTTCCACAAAGGAATTAATATATTTAACTGAAAATTCTGTCCAAAAAACTTTGCCTCTGGTGAATATTTTCACCTAATTGTAATGTAATTAAACCCATGGACTTTGGAGTAAGGATGAGTTTTGGAAGTTCTCTTCCAAGTGAGAGACTAGCCAATCTCATTTTTCTCATTTGCATAATAAAGACAATTATGTCTGTTTTATAACTATATAGTGATATTCATTCCTTCACTCAACTAATATCTATTGAGTGTGCATTATATAATAGGCAGTATCTAGTAACAAACAAGATACACACAGGCTACTTCTACACTAAGCTTACCATTGATTAAAGGAGGTTTTATTAAAGTGTGTGATGAAGCACTTTGCACAGCATTTTACACATAATAATCAATAAATGTCAATTATTGATATTATTACTTCTTAAAGAAGTAATAGAGCATGCCATCCTAAAACAAAAGAAAAAGGGGGGTGGATGGTATGAATTTACCTATATTCATATGTATACATACACATACATTCATATACACAAATATATGTGTATACATACACATACTTTCATATACACAAATATATGTGTATACATACACCAAGATTTCCAAATACACAAACATTTCAATGATTCTGCAATATCCACTACAATTCTCTATTTTAAAAGTATAAAATTCAATTTAGCTTCTCTTAATATAGAGGCTTGGGATTCAAACTAATTTAATAAAGATTTTTAATGAAGTTGGAATAGTCAGTGACTCATAGGTCAGAAGTGGTGGCAGGTGACAGAGGGGAAGGCCTCAGGGGGAAAAGAGACTCTCAGTACCAGTTCCCTATTCAGAATGCCACAAGATATTATTTATTCCATTATTTTAACCTACAGCTGATGCACAAGTCACATTTTTCTACACTTATATACATGAAAGTAGTTATGTTTAAAGAATACCTGGAAAAAAAAACTTGCCAAGCACTCCCAAACCAAAACAATAAAAGGTTAATTTTTTTAAGAACTGTCTTATTCTGAGTCTTACCCTCTCTAATCTCCACTCCCCACCCCCGTAAGCCAGTTATAGAAGAAACTACAACCTCTTGTTTCATCAAGAACTATATAATGTTTATAATTTATAATTTAACCTAAAATTCTGTGTTATAAAAACAGTCATTTTGTCTCAATTTTAAGGTGCTTGTTGGTTGTCCTTAGTAATTTGAACAGCATAGAGTAAACAAGAAATATGTTTAAACCTATATTCTATTAATCAAAGATTTGTGTAGTTTTGTCTATCTTTATCAGAATTATATTCATTTACATATTGATGTGCAATGTGTAATAAGCAAGAATTCACTGGGCTATGATTTCAATACTTTAACTGTTGTAAGTTGAATAAAATATATTTTAAGGGTACAAACTATTTATTGCAATAATATATCTAAACCAAATAACCTACTTAAAAGCCTTCAGAGCCTAAATATTTAATAATAATAATAGCAATACAATAATCTCCTTGTGTAACCTGAATGTATTGAACAAAAGCCTCACTGGTATTGAAGTATAAGATCAGAAATTATTAGCATAAATAGGAAATAGTATATTAGGCCAACTAACATGAAACTATATAAAATGTAGTCAGAGACGATTATGAAATAATTGTGCCAGCCCTCTCATAAGAACAGCGATGCAGAATTAAATGGGTGGTTAATATTATAAGGTAAACTCTTAAGCTAGACATTGCTAAATTTATTTAGGCAATTTGGTTGCCAAACAAGACAAGATGTTATAAATACTTTTAAAAGAAATAAAAAGCAACTATAAATGTGGGTATTTGCAGTATAAGTCTACCCTATGAAAAGATGTCTGTAACAGATAGCATTCACTATAATCAAGAAGGAAAAAATATATACATATATAAATTAAACAGCCAGAAAGAATGGAGGGCATAGTACGTGGCACACATTTGACTAGATTCTGTAGGTGAATCAGAGCTAAGATATTTATTTTTCAATATATTCTGAGCACTTGCTAAGTGGCAGACATAGTGCTAAGCACTGAGTATATGGCAGGAAGCATAATAAAAGTCCTTTACCACTATGAGTCTGGTAAGACTGGTGAGTAAACAGGAAATTGAAATTTAATGAAATATATTCTGTAGTACCCGAAATTTAGTATACGGCAAAAGAGAAGTTTGCAAAATCTAGAAATCAGGAAAAGAGTTTCATGTACATTTGAAAAAGTTCAGATAGAAGATACGAGAACACAAATTTATCTGGGGCAAAGGTTAGAAGCTAATGTTTAAGGAGAAAAGACTAGCTAGGTAAAGTGTGGTAAGCTTATCAGAATATTATCCTTGACCAGAAAGTAGGAACTTTATGTTGCAGGCAAGTCAATCGTGAGACTGGCAGGTAGAAAACTTCATTTACTATTATAATATAGTGATTATCCAATGATAGAAAAACAGTGGAAAGGAAAGGAAAACTAGTGTGAAAGTATGTAGGTTAGGGTGTTGGAATCCTGGGCTCTTCACTTTAGTGAACGATGAAAAGGGGAAAAAATAGAATCCCAGAGATTTTTCAAAAGAAGAATCAAAAGACATAGTGACATATTGGATGCTGTAAGATGCCCGAGAGAAGAGTGAAAGGCAATTCTATAATTTGAGTTCAGGTCTCTAGAAGTATGAGAGTGCTACTGCCCATGGTTTTATCTAGAAAGAAAAGGTAGTTTGGGGAGCAAAATTCTGAATTCACTTGGAATGCACTGAATTTAAAATGATATCCACAAATCAATCCAGTCTATACTACTGCGAGTTGAGAATAAACACAGGAAGAAGGCATGCAGGAAACCAGGGCTGAAGATGTCATTTGGGAATTATCTGCATAGAAATCAGAAAGGAAACCATGAGTATATTCTAAGAACAGGAAAGGTTTGAGGTAGAAGCTTGAGTGCCCTCCCTTAAAGACTGAGAGAAGAAAAGGAAGTCATTAAAAACATAGAGAAAGAATGAGTAGCAGAATGGGAGAATCTATGCAACTTACCAACCAAAGCAGAAGAAAGATTCAAAAAGAAGGTGATTTCAAATATTAAATATTTAAGTGCTTCCAAAAAACCAAAACATCTAAAAAAAATAATAGCTAAGGTACAGTTCCTGGCTGTAGGGGCAAAGAGGTCACTGGTAATCTTTTGATAGTATTTTCAGGAGTTCATGAATTTGGAAGATAAATCTTATTTCACATAGTTAAAATGGAGCAAGTGGGTATGAACTAGAAGCAATGGAGAAGTCCCTTTCTTCAATATTTTGATGTAAATGGAAAGACTAAAATGTAGCCAGAAAAGTAGCAGGGTCAAGGAAGGTGGGTTCATTTTATGTTTTAATAATGCATATAGTTGAGTAAGTTTGGAAGCAACCTTTACGTTAAAGACAATCAGTTGGGCATCAAAGAAAAAAAAAGTGACTAAATTATTATTTCTACCTTCAAGGAGCTTACAGCTCCATGGACTTTTTTCCAAGTGCCTGAATCGAAACATGAGAGGATGAAGGTGAGGTAATGTGAGAGTGTTTTCAGTAAAATTCAGCTTTCAGCATAAATAAGAAGCAATTTTTCCACTAAGAACGAGGGAAAGAAAAATGGAGGATGGTTAAATGTTTTAAGTAGAAAATAATAACCAGGATAATAGCTTGGTGACATTTGAGAGGTGAATAAAAGGGTTGATGTGATGACAGGCATAATCATGATGAAACTCCAAAGAATGAATCTGCAATTTTCAAACTCTTGTGCATTTTCTTTCATCAGCAATCCCTGGCCTGACAGCAAAAGCAGAGTGAGTAGGCGGTAAGGATAATAGATATTTGAGGAATGATGTTTAGGGAATAAGCAGCATCTTTGAAGATTAAAAAGAGCATGTAGTGATCTAAAGTTAGATTACATACATAAATTAAAGTACAGGAATTCTAGTCCTATAAATGAAGTACCTTAAAGACTAATGATATAATAGGGTTAATATCATCAATACTAATTGACATCCATAACAAAAATGGAAGATACAACATGGTAGAAATATCAATGGCTTATTTCTGGTATGAATCTGGTCTGCTATTTAATAGAGAACTTGGGAAGAAACAAAAATAGCTTTCAGTTCTGCTTAAGAGGTGATACCTATTCTCATTAAAATGTTTCTTAGTTCTCACAGGGCAACTAATTCCATGGCTAAAAACAAACAGAAGTTAACTGTCTGTCAAAAGCTTAAAATGGGCCTTGATAACGCATCTTGACTTTCGCCCATGGTCCTCCTGGAGAAAGGCCACAGCCAGAATCCTCGATGCCAAGAAAAGTTATTGAAAGAATTCTCTTACTAACAGGGTCTTCCGGTACTGAAGTGCAGAATGACTCTATCACCCTTGTTCATTCACTTTGGTTCCAAACAAACTATACACAAAGCTCTACTCTGTGAAAAGAAAAAAATGAAGAATTTGGAGGGTAGAAAATATATCTCTCTTAGTTAGACATGTTTGATGGCAAAGAACAAAAGCACACAAAAATAAGTTAAAATTCAAAATGGATGTTTTTGTAGGTGTGCAATAGTTGATCACACATTCATTTTTGGCCAAGAAATGAAAGGAGCTGGACACCAGAGGGACTGAGCCAGGGAAATGGAAATTCACTAGTGGAAATTTCTTTCCTTCTCTCTCAGAATTATTTTCTCTTTCTGCTTCCTGCTGCATATCTTCTCCAAACTTCTCTTTCTCTCTGATAGCCAGTTTTCCTGCTATCCTTGAAAATGGTCTATCGTGAATAGAGGTCCAGCTCCCTAGTTAACTAATTTACATTATCTCTGTATAAATTCTCCATAGCTAGAAGAGATCATTTAAATGGCTTCCAGAGTTCTGGATGAACAGTTTCTTCAAGAAGGAATTTGGGTAAGGAAAATATTGAGCATTTCCAGCAGCATGGTCTAGAACTTTGATTTGCAATCCAGACCATGTCTAAATTACAGCAATTAACTCCAAAGTTGTATACAAAAACATTCTTGGATATCCCACACAACATCAACTAAAAGGTTTGCATGTATAAATTATGTTTAGCTGAGAATATGGGAGTATGTTATTCTGTGTTTCTCTGAATTGTCATGTAGAAATCTTGAGAATTAACCAGGAATTAATAAGCTGCAAATTGAGTGCACATCCTTTGAGATAGCTAACAATCTACTTTTCTGAGGATTCAAATTATGCTTTCCAATCAAGTATTATCACTATACATTTTAGGAACACCAAAATCAAGTCCTCAAGTGTGGCAAGCTAATATAACGAAAAATAATGGTTACCCATCAGTAGAAGAAACCAACAGAACATAGCAACATAAAAGTACTACAGACTTTTTCCAGCAGAGGTACTTGATTACCTTATGAATTGACAATCTGTCTCTACATTTCTAAGTTCCTACTTAAGTCAGACAAATTTAGCTCTCTTCAAGAAGGTATGACTTATTCCAAAACACTAATTTGTATGTAAGAAAAAGTTCTGCTACTACCATTGCCCCTTCTCAATTCTCATCCAAGCAAGGATGTTGTTTTAAATTGGATCCTCACACTTGAGTCAGATCTTTATAGGAACACAGCAAGACAGGAGACTTGTCCTGTGTGAATCATATCTTCAGCAACTGTGTTAACCTGTAAAGATGGCAACAAAATGATTGAGCATGTTATATTGAAACTACAGGTCAAATCCCTTAAAAAACTGATTTCAGATAAAGATTTTTTTAATCTTTAAATGTCCTTGCTTTGTATAAAATATTGTTCCAAGCAACTTCCATTAGCTATGACAGGAAATATTTGTATCACAGAAACATTTGGAATGTAACAGCTGATTGCAAACTTATAAGCATATGCTGTGGACTGAATTGTATATCCCCAAAATTCACGTGTTGAAGTCCTCGTTCTTGATGGGACTTTATTTGAAGACAAGGCTTTTAGGAGGAAAGTAAGGTTAAATGAGATAAATCATAAGGGTAGGGTCTTAATCCTATAATATCAATTGCCTCAGAAAAGGAGGAAGAGAGAGAACCCTCTCTCCAAATGCACATACTGAAGAAAGACCATGTGAATATACAACAAGAAGGGGATTGTCTACAAGCCAGGAAGAAAGCACTCACCAAAACCTGACCTTGCTGGTACCCTGATTCCAGATTTCCAGACTTTGGAACTATGAGAAATAAATTGGTTGTTTTAACCACGTAGTCTACAGTATTTTGTGATGGCAGCCCAAGCTAACTAATACACAACTCAGTTGCTCCAAAATCACAAAATTTGATGCTAATTACCAAAGAAGAGATCTTTAAGCATAAGGGAAATTATGAACTTGCAACTTCTATGATAGCTTTTAATTAATTAACCAATTCATCAATTATAATCGTGCTACATTTGGCTACTTTCGATATATTACTTTCTTGTAGATGCAGAATAAATGCTAAAATATAGCTACAAAGATAATTACATTTTGAACTGACACTTTATGAAAGTTATTTTGATTTATGAGAAACCCAATAGCTCTTAACTTGAGATAACTGAATTAATCATAAATTGATTTTATTATGGAATGATTAAGCTTGAGGATGAAGTCATCATTGCATTATTAATTTATATACTATGAAGACACAATTTATGTTTGTGATTTTTTAATTTACAAGTTCCAAATACCAATAAAGCCTGCTGCTAATTTGGGTCTTTGGTTTAGCACTTCAGTTGCCTCATTTTACGTAATGCCACCTAACTTTATTCAGAAGAGAATTTCTAAATATAAATAGAGAAGGTAATTTTAGAAATTTAATTAGTGATCCCTCCCACACCACTGATTAAGTTTGACTTCAGATCACTGATTTTCAAAAAATATTATCTAAAAATTCCATGAGCTAAAATGATTATTTATTTAATATCACATCCCTGTATGCTATATACTTTTTAAAAAAGTACAATCTCTGCTAGTTGTTTACACGAATGGAGTAATGAAAATGGATGTATCGCAGCTATATGGGTTGCTTTGAAATGGAGGATTTATTTCCAAGAGGGTATGATATTTCACTGAGGACCTATGATGTTACATGCAAAAGAAATAGGGAAAAAACATTTTTTAATTATATTATTTGAGATACTGAGGAAATATAAGTATTTTCCTGAGCTAGAAACCATTTAGGTAGAAGGCAACTCTATTTTTAGTTCTCTTTATTAAAAAGAAATGTAGTAGGCATAGAATGTTTAAAAATAATTATTACCCAATGGCATGTTAAGATATTATAGATCATAGGGTTTACCCCATATTATCCTTCAAAAGATAAAAAGAATATATTACACTCCTCCTTTCATACATTCAACAAAATATTTATTCTGTACCTACCAATTGTTAGGTTACATGCTAGGAATTGTAGAATGTATGATGATTAAAAATAGACTTGGTTTCTATGTTATTGTACTTGTGGTCTAGTGGAGGAGCATGCCACTAATAAAGTAATCACATTAGTCAATGTAAAATTACAGATGTGGCACATGCTGTGAAAAAAAATATATATGTTGTTGTAAGAGTGCTCTGGGCTAAAACAAAAGCACTGAATTATCCTGAAACAGAAAAGACCTCGAAGAGGTAACTGTCCAGAGCTAGAGAAATGAGAGAGAGCCTGGTAAAAGATGACATTTAGTGTTTTACTTTTATCCCAAAAGTAATAAAAACTCTTTGAAGCTTTTAAGTAAGTGGGGTAGATGATTGGAATAATTACATTTGCGTTTTAAAAATACGTGCAGTCTAGTGGAAGAAAGGTTGGATGCAGGCAGACCAGTTAGAAAATTATTTTGGAAGTCCAAAGGAGAGCTCTTGTTGCACAGACTGGAGTATTGCTATGAAAGTAGGAAGAAGTAGAGGGAAAATCAACAGAAGTTGATCAAAGGATTGAATATGTTCAAATCATTAAAACATATCTTGCTCCCATTAGATTACAATATCAGTGTTAAAATAGATTAAGAAAAAAAATCTACTCAGGCTATGATATAAAAACTTCTCCAGCTTTTTGTGCCAATGAAGTGAGCACTCTGCAATGTGGATTAAAAAAAACTTCAATATCAGTATTTCCAGACTTATAAGAATCCCAAATATAAATAGCCTATTCCTGGTTAATCATGATGCTGCTTTGTTCCAGAAGTCCTAGTATACAATATTCAAATGTAATTTTTGTCTCTGAATTCTCATTTAAATCTACTTCTGTAGAAGTAATCTCACATCCTGTGTAAAAATTATCACTAATTTGTCAGGTACTGCTTAGAGCTTATCATTTATAAGGGGACTGACATTTCACCAGGGGAAGACTACCCTTCGATAGTCAGGATTTCATGTTGCTAGGCAACCCAGCAAAGTAGCCCAGAAACATTTAAAAAAAATAGATTGTGTGTGCTAACCTCTACAAATGAGGACATATCCAAATATGAATTGAAATTCCCATATATTTTTAAGGAAACTCTCTAACTTATTCTATAATCCTTCTTGGTCTGCAGTGAGGATTGCTAATGTGAGATGAGAATCTACTCACAAACATTAAGAAGGTAACATGATGAGTGAAGTAAAGGTAAGTAATTTTCTCAACATATGAATCAATTTAAGCTTATAATTGAGATGATCTTCTTTTTAAAATAATAATTGTTACATAAATAATTTAAGACATGATATCAATTATTCACACCACCTGACTGATCTATTTTCCTAAAAATCAAAATTAAGCCCTCAATAATTTTTGTATGAGTGGTCTGACTATCAAAGGATTCTCCATGAATTCACAAAGATGAATTCTTCCATTCATTATGGAGTTGTTTAGTTTGACTTTTCCTCTGAAGGTAAAGCCTCCTAGAAAATCAGGGGAAATAATAAAACTGTCAGATGTCAAATTGGCTTTTCTGTCAACCCATTCCCCAGTGTCATTTTTCTTGGATTTGGATTTCATCTAAAGAATAAAATTTGAAATATGAATTTAAAACAGCAACACTAAATTCTTATTGCAAGGTCTTCAGGTATCAGTATATAGATATATATCTATAAATGCACAGATTATGTACCTGATGTACAAATATTTTCCATTTATTCCTTTAAAAAGAATAAAGTGTAGGCAATTCCATTTATCCAAGTTTTCTTATATTTGTTTCTTCTTCTGTGAACACCCACTTTCTGACAATGCTGTTGACAATGTCACCCCCAATATGACAGTTTTATTATTTTATTCAATCTGTGGTTTAGACAAATTCAGCATACTCTGAATTTAAACCAACTTCAGCTTAGAAATCTTAAGAGAAAATGCCATTTTTAGCAGAAAAACATTAAATAAAAGATCTTAGACAAAATATAAAATCAGAAGAGAGGCCAAGAATATTGACATTAAAAGCCTAATACCCTCTCTACTTTTGTATCAACTTTATTCCTTTTTTTTTTGAACTGTACATGCACTTATGTTTGCTTCTCCTTTCCTTTTGCAGATTTTTCCTTTAGTTTTTATAGTAACACTTGACTTACTGCATTTTGTTTCTTGATATTTAATCTTTGCTTGTTAAACAAAAATAGAATATGCATGAATATCTCTTCATTATAAAAGCAATATTTGTTCACTATATAAATGTGAAATATAGGGACAGGTAGTAGGAAGAAGTTATCTATTGTTCCAATACTTACAGATAACCAACCACGGACCTTTCTTACAATCTTAGAATGATGAGACTGAGAATTATTTCAAATATATGATCTCTTCTATAAAGACCAAAGAAATTCTACAATGCCCAAGCATTTTTAGAGGTAATGACCTTAAACAGGAAAATTAGAATTTTAGAACCGATTACCACTCATTTTACCAACGAAGAAACAAGTTCAGAATAACTAAATGACTTGCTAAGGTGAAACAGCTTTCACTGTCATGAGAAATGGATGATTATTCCCTGTATGTTTCCGCTGTCATCTGTCATTTTCAAGCATCAAATGTTTTCTTTCTTTTTCTTTTTTTTTTTTTAAAGATGGAGTCTCACTCTGTCACCAGCCTGGAGTGCAGTGGCGCAATCTCAGCTCACTGCAACCTCCGCCTCCTGGGTTCAAGCAATTGTCCTGCCTCAGCCTCCCCAACTAGCTGGGACTACACGCACACGCCACTACACCTGGCTAATTTTGTATTTTTAGTAGAGACAGGTTTCTCCATGTTGACCAGATCTCGAACTCCTGACCTCAGGTGATCTGCCCGCCTTGGCCTCCCAAGGTGCTGGAATTACAGGCTTGACCCACCGCTCCCAGCCTGTTTTCTATTCTTGACCAAAAAATAGAACCATCTAAACAAGTTGTCTATAACAGAGATTTCTGGGTTGCATAATTATTCAATGAATTAGTTTCTCAGGGAGAAACCCACATTTTCCCAAAAGTTACCAAGCAGCTGATGACCAGCAAGTTTTGCAAATCTGTTACAGACCAACTCTTTCTTCTTTCGTAACTTTCACGTTATATGTTGTCTCCCTTCTTTATATTCTCCATTCCATTTATATTCATTTAAGGCATTTATATTCATTCAGGCAGTGTGCTAGCTATAAAGGCAGACATATAGAAAATAAAGAAATTGACTCTGACCTTGAGGGTTGAGAAGTAGGGCATGGTGAGAAAATGAAAGAGAGGTAGACACCACTTAAACTAGTAACTACAAATTAAGTTCTATAATACAGTTATGAAGTGCTTTGTGAGTGTTGCTAGTTGAATTGTGTCTCCCCTCAGCAAAATATATTCAAGTCCTAAACCCCAGTACCTGTAAATGTGACTTTATTTGGAGACTGGGTGTTTGCAGATGTAATCAAGGTAAAATGAGATCATGCTGGATTATGGTGGACCCTAAATATGATGACTGGTGTCCTTTCAAGGAAACAGAGCTTCAGAAATACAGACAGCCACAGAAAGAAGGCCGTGCACAGACAGAGGCAGAAATTTGAGTGATTTGGCTACAAGCCAAAGAACTGCAAGGATTGCCGACAACACTAAAAGCTAGGAAAAGGAGAGGAGGCATTCTTGCCTAGAGCCTTCAGAAGGAGAATGGCCCTGTGCTATTTTGATTTCAGATGTTTAATTTCCAGAACTGGAGAGAATAGATTTCTGTTGTTCTAAACCACCCAGTTTGTGATGACTTGTTAAGGCAGGAAACTACTACAGTGAGTATCCGTTAAATGGCTTCATTTTGCAGGAAAACAAAAGATTGGAATGGTCAGTGAAACATATAAAAACCGTATAAATTAAACTGTCTTATATTTTGTAACTGCTAGAGCCAAGTCCTCTGGGAAAAATTAATCATATTAAATCTGTGTTTATCTTTGCCTATTTTTCACCAACATGAAACAAAACACAGAGGTATAAATATTTGCAATAAAATGTATTTTAAAATTCAGTAAATGCATACAAAATTCTTGAAATATATATATTTTTTACTATATAAAAGGCCCAAATAGTTTCAATTCTTAATGATACAGAAGACTATACTCAATTATGTTACAGAAATTTATCTCTCACATATATAGATTATATTTTCTTTGGGGAATTTTCAGAGATATTTTAGGAACCCCTAACAATGAATAAAAACAACAGACTGTGTACCCTGCAGCATCCTGGCCTAAATCACACAGCTACTAATGTCAAGATCTCTCAAAAAGAGAGAAGATTCTAGCATAGGGAAAATGAAAAAAGAATGATACCAAATACAAAAAAAAGAGCTAAGAAATGAACGTGTAAGGAAAAGATAAGCCCAACTTTAGGAATGAAACCTTTGGACCAAGATAAGAAAATATAGGCTAATGTTGGATTCCTATTTATCACCTAAATTAAATAAAATATGGGGCTCTTAGCCATAAACTCTCATCTTAGGAGATAAAAGTAGAGAAAGTGGAAAGAAAGATCTATTAAAAAGATACCAACAAAAACTAGAAGGAAACTGAATTCAGATGCAGTTGCCCCAGTTTGTAACAAGCAGCCTAACCCTTTATATAGAAACCTGTGTTGGGTGTCTTTCTTATTTTATTTTGTTTTGTTTCACCCTTGAACTAGAAACTGAACTTATAAATGTAGTATAACCAGATTTATAAACTGTAGATAAATACTACACATGGAAATATGAAACAGCTACTATAATTACACAAATATATGAATAACAGTAGTAGCTGCTGTTGCATTTTCTAACCCAACTTCTCTGCCTTCCCTCTTTCCTCAGAGGGACTCCATCTGATAACCATAATGAAATAAACATAGATGATCATTGCCATCATAAGCTAGCACATGTGCTCTTGCTATATATCAAATTTTACTCTAATTTATTTATATATACCATCGATTTTATCTTCCTATTAATAATAGAATAGATATACCAATATTACACATGGAAAACTGAGGTTCAGGGAGCTTAAATGAGTTGCCTCAACATCCCTCACTGGTAAATGAAAGAGTTAGAATTCAAACCCAGGTAAGTCTAACACAACAGCTCATGTTATTAACCACTGACTTACACAGTTTCCCTTTGCCTTCATTTTCTGTATCCTCATTTTAAATTGACACAAAAGTAGAGCCTGTGATATTCTGTAGACTGGACGGTTATAACGTCCAAAATGGGGGAAAAATCTCCTTACGATGCTTTGCCCAATCACTTGCGAGATTCTCTCAAATACTTTGTGGGTGGAGCCATCAAAACCTTGGGCCTGGTCAGTCTCTTCTAACATTACCCAAAAGGGTGAGAAAGTGGGAAGAAGCAGAAATTTCTCACGACATCCTAAACTTACAGGTGAAGAATCTGGCTTGCTAATGCCCCAGGTTCAAACCTTGAATGCCTATACTTTGAATGGATAAAGATGTATCAAAGCGAAAGAACAGCTTTCAAACCAAGAAGGAGAGACAACTCAACCAGTCGATGAAGGAGGAAAATCAGAGAGAAATTAGGGAGCTGCTAATAAGAGGTCCAATTGTCTTCCTACTCCCCTTAGTCAAAAATTGATTTTATGCATGTATGAATGGGGAAGAACAGATAGTTAGAAATCTTCATAGGCCTGATGGTGCCTTATGCTTGGTAGAAAAGGGCAGGTGGGATCTGGGCAGTCTGCTGCTTTGATTGCTCTTTCTGCCCTCACAATCTATCAAGAAGACAGAGCCATCCCAGAGGGAGAGTAGAGAAAGAAACCAATGACTAGCCAATATTTTATTAATTTTAATTGTCACTATACAAACGAGCATTTGAATTTATTTTAGAAAAAAGATAAAGACAGAGAACAGCAAAAGGAAGATAATTTTTTAAATAATTCCTTATAAGAGGGATGACTATTTTAACATCATAATAGTTTTTTTCTTTTCTATTCATTTGCCTCTAATATATCGAATGCGATTATAACTGGCTAATTTCTCTATGACTGTATATTTACATATCATATATGTCTGACTATAAATAAATATACTTATTTCTACAAAAGTAGAGTTATATATACCACATAGTTTTCTGTAACCTCATTTTCCCTCTTAGCAGCATAATATGAACTTTTTCTATATCAACAACATAAATTTGTGAAACTTAAATTACGAAAATTTGTGGTACAGATTAGTATTAACATATTTAAAATCATCTTGTAAGAAATTTTAATTATTTTATTTATTCTATTAAAAATAATATTGCAATGAATATGCTTATTTGTCTGATTAATTCCTTGGGTAAGATTTCTAGAATTATATTTTGGTTCAAAGAGTATGTCATCTTTTGATATGTGTTTCTTTCTGGGAATGTTGTACTGGTTTACTCCCACAAGCAATATATGAAGATACCCATTTTCCAACACCCTCGCCCACACTAGGCCTGGTTAATGGCATATTTTAAAACTATTTTATGGTATGATACTTATGTGTAGGATGGAAACTCTAGTATTAAGTGTCAATGTTGAGATTATTCCCTTATTGAGTGAAACAATGAAACCAATTATTTACTGCTTGATAAAGAATAGATTTTCTGAAGAATATTAGCAATTAATGGTAGATTATATTAAGGACGTGAATATTAATAATTATGGTAGATTACCATAAATGTTCGTGCTTTCAAAATATTCTTGGATTAACAGCATCAGAAATTTTAGTTTTAATGACTTGAATTATTTATTAACTTTCCCATTATTAGCATAATATAAACCAGTATCATTTTATAGCCAAAAAAATAATTAATCTGCACCACAGTTCCTCTTTTGTGAGTCATCAAATACCACCTACCTGTGACAAGTTTCATGAGCCATTAGAAGGGATTTTCCATTCTCTGCAATGGATCACTGACACACAGTAAAATGTGTACAAATTAGTTTTACTTTTCCAGACAAATAATTATATTTATTTTTAAGGTAGGTTATAGTTGAAAGAGCCACAGGAAACTCTGTGTCCTTGCTTCCCTTTCACGCGTATGGACTCATATTCCATGATTGAAAGGTAAGCCATATTTTTTTTCTCTAACTTTAAAAGATAAGGAAGAAAAAGCTCACCCCATTTAATATGCTAAGTGTAGTCATTAAGTGTTTCTCAGTTGCTCAAGATCAGTAAAAGAATAAACATATTCTGTACATTATACAGGCAAAGCTACAACTCAGTCTCAATGTTCCCCATGTTCATGGGTGATGCATATGCTGCCTCAGGTTCATCCAAGCAAAGAGACCCACCAATGAGCTCTTTGCCTAATTTTGCTTTGAGTCACTGCCATAAAATTACTAACATTTTAGAACAAAATAATTCTATTTTAAGTATATTCTGAATAGTACTTTATTTTGTTTAAGGTTATGTTTTTAGTGGCAGTTGAAACAGTTTTGCCTTAACTGTGAATTTAGGAAAAGTTAAAAAGTCCCAAACAAGTCCTCCAAAAAGTCTCCAAAACAAGAATGCCAAGAAAAGTAATTCAATATATGAAGCTAAATGGAAGTTCTACCTCCCTGAACAACATCATTTCTTACATGTTGCTCATACCAATCCTGATTAAGAAACAGTTTGGGACTAGTTAAGCCTGGAAAAGTAAGTGATGTGTGTATGGCATTTCTGGAAACTTTCTTCTTTCCTTTTGTTGTTGTTTTTTTTACCATAAGAATGTAATGTTTAAAGGCTTTCTTAATTTTTTCTAAAATGATGTTTCAAAATATCAGATTGCACCAGTTATATACAGGCCCCCACACCTATGTTGGTAGAACTTTGAGCTAGAAATTACACCTAAATTCTTTAACCCAGTGAGCTCCCACCCCCAGGGAAAAATCAGAAAATTGTCTGCATGAGAATTTTTTCCTTTTACAATTAGTTAATAGTTAATATCTTAGAATCTACTGACAATGACTGAGGCTGATATAAAATAATGTGAAATTATATCAAATATATCATTTTTGGGCATTGTTAGTATTAACTGGCCACTTAGTTGGACAGTTGGGCAGATGGGTAGATGCATCAACTATTAGGATCATTATAGCAATCAAGATCATTCCAAACAACGCACAGAATAGAAAGACCATTGGATCTACAGTCAAAAAAGCCTCGATTTAAATTTAAGCATTTACTAAATGTGCAACTTGGCTAATTCCGGAATCATCATAATAATGGGTGCACAATTATTTGTTGCATAAATGATTGACCAATTCCCACTAATTCAAGAATTGACAGATTCTTCATTCTGTTGTACTGAATGTGAACGGACTAAAAGATAATTTTGTTTTTTCTCAAGTTACTGACATATTTTTCTTCTTTTCTTGCTTTTTTTAAATTTTTTTTTAAATTTTTAACTTTTTTTTTTTTTTTTTTTTTTTTTTTTTTTTTTTTTGAAACAAAGTCTAGCTCTGTCGCCCAGGCTGGAGTGCAGTGGCACGATCTTGGCTCACTGCAAGCTCCGCCTCCCGGGTTCACGCCATTTTCCAACCTCAGCCTCCGGAGTAGCTGGGGCTACAGGTGCCCGCCACCACGCCCGGGTACTTTTTATATTTTTAGTAGAGACGGGGTTTCACCGTGTTAGCCAGAATGGTCTCGATCTCCTCACCTCGTGATCCGCCTGCCTCGGCCTCCCAAAGTGCTGGGATTACAGGCGTGAGCTACCACGCCCGGCCTTTTCTTGCTTTCTTAAGGAAATTTTAAGTTTGCATGCCGATCTACTGAATGCTTTGGAAAATTGATGCCTGAAATTAAACATTTTTCCCATCATTTCACCTATGCCAAAGAAGAACAACCAAGAGGAAAATAATTGGACTTCATTGTTATTATGCAAGCCCAGATACTCTGCTTTCTGCTTCCTAATTAAATACCTAAGCAGTGAAAGTCTTCATGGTCCTTCATTCCTTGAGGACTGCCATAACATAAAGTATAGTCAGTGTTCCTTAAATCCTCCTATATAAGAAGAGAAAGGGAAAGTTTCTGGAAACGTGACCTTATTTAGGCTAGAGAAAGCATATGGTGGCAAAAACCTACACTTACATACACTTTTTTCCTTTTCATTTTTGTACCCTCCCAAAGCATATTTGGCAGATAAACCTTTCACGCCTATGGCAAGTCACACATGTTGGCTCACTCAACACCCATTTCAAACCACTTTTCCTTGCCTCCCTCTATTTTGTCATCCCAGGTTTCCCTAAACCTAGGGGTGACACAGCTATAGTCAATAAAGCATAGGATAAGATTGCTGGGCAACTCTTTCCTCTTTCCTTCTCTATTCCTATAACTTTGGCTAAATCCTCACAGAAGCAACAACCACCTTTCAGCCAGAAGGACAAAAACCACACCTTAAGGACAGCAAGAGCTGAGTTAGCCAGAATTCTTGATGATGTTGTTGTGATACGTACATTTCTGAGTTGTTTTTGTTATGACAAACATAAAGCACTTACTTCTTTAACCCACTAAAGAAGGATTTCTTCACTTGCCTTTGAATGTATCAATGATACAGTCTGACTTCTAGTCTTCTCTCTGAGATGCTTTCTGTGATGTCCCAAGTCAGATACAGCCATTTTTATTCTATGCTGTTCCCATATAACTTTTTGCATACAGTTTTTCAATAAAAAAGTTTTCATTGAAGTATAAACAAAGGTACATAAAATAAAGGACACAGCTTGATGAGCTATTATAAATAGTGAACACAGACTTGCAACCAAGTCAAGAACTAGAATATCTGCAGAAACCCAGAGTGCCGCCTCGTGCCCCCTCCTAGTCAATACCCTTTTCCTTCCCTAAAAGTAATTTAACTTTCGCCACCAGATTCGGTTTTTCTGTTTTCTTAAATTTATATAAATAATGTCACGCAGTATATATTATTTTGTATCTGGAGTCTTTAGGAAAAAAATACATTTATTAAATTCATCTGGGTTGCTTTATGTAGCAGTAATTCATTAATTTTCCCTGTTGTTTGATATTTCATAGTATAAATATATCACAATTTATTTACTCAATTTACTTTTAGTTGATACTGGACTCTTTCCAGACCTTAGAAATTAAGAATAATACTTATATAAACATTCTCATTATGGCTTTTGGTGCACATATGCACAAGTTTCTGTTGGGCTTATACATAGGAGTAGAATTACTAGGTCATAGGCTGTGCATATGTTTAACAGTATTACCAAACACTTTTACAAAGTGCTTGTACAAATAAGGCACCCATGAAAATTCCAGCAGCTCTACACATACAACAATATTGGCTATTTCAGCAAATTTTATTTTAGCCATTCTTATTGGTATGAAGTACATTTTCACTATGGCTTACTGTTGCATTTCCCTGACTATGAATGAGTCAAACTATTTTATATGTATCTTGGTGGCAATTCAGATATCCTCCCTGATGAAGTGATTGTTGAAGCCTTTTGCCCATTTATCAATTTTAAAATTGAACTGTGTCTTTTTCCTTGTTGATTTGGAGAAGTCGTTGCACATTCTGGATAAAAATGCTTTTCAGTAATATGTAATATAGATAATTTCTCCTACTCTGTGGACTATCTTTTCACTTTCTTAATGGTGATCCTATTTTTAAGGTAGTCTAGTTTATTAATGTTCTTTTATGGTTAAAGCTTTTATGTTCTGCCTAATAAATATTTTTTCTGCTTTAAAATATGAAGGTTATCTTCTGGAAGCCTACTGTTTTACCTTTCAGAGTTTGGTCTACAACACACCTAAACTGATGTTTGTGTATGGTATGAGGTAAAAGTCACTATTCAGTTTTTGAATATGGATATTAAAAAGCATTGTTTTTTTCTTAATGATGCAATATGTAGCATCTTAGATTGAATGAAAAATGGTAATATTCTAAATTAGCAATATTATTTGCAATAATATAATACAGCATAGCATACAAAATTGATTAAAAGTTGTGAAAGAGATGGTATATTTAAAAAGCAAAAATCATCACATTTTTAAAATAGAAGAAATGACTTTAAAGTAATTTAATAAATTAGATATATTAATAGGAATTCATGAGTTTTAATAAATGTTCCCAGCTCCATTAACTAATCTAATATATACTCCTAGAATACAGAATGTATACTTCTAATACTATTATTCACTAACAGCGAATAATGTGAATAGTTAGGATCCATGTTTTGGACACGGAAAATCAAGTTGTGCCTGGAATAACTTGA
Source organism: Homo sapiens (assembly GCF_000001405.40). NCBI lineage: Eukaryota > Metazoa > Chordata > Mammalia > Primates > Hominidae > Homo > Homo sapiens. The sequence continues at coordinate 28,896,273 of NC_000011.10, read as the reverse complement.
TGCTAGACTGCCAGCATGCTTTCAAAGATAGCTGAAATCATGCTAAAGAGGACTATGGTCCTAACTAAAAAAATAAAAGCAAAGATAATTGTTAGAGTTCATTGGGCAGAGTTAAACCTTTGAAGTGCTGTGAGTCCATAATATTACTCGAAGGGCAAAAAATATAAATTATAATAATGTCAAGTCACAAGAGTTATAAATATTTTAATGTTCTAAATAACCCAAGTTCTTTGAATGCAATCTTTACGGTTTTTGTTTGGTTGTTGTTGTTTTTTGAGACAGAGTCTCACTGTGTTCCCCAGGCTGGAGTTCAATGGTACAATCTCAGCTCACTGCAACCCCAACCTCCCGGGTTCAAGCAATTCTTGTGCCTCAGCCTCCCAAGTAGCTGGGACTACAGACATGCGCCATCACACCTGTCTAATTTTTGCATTTTTTTATAGAGACTGCATTTCACCATGTTGGCCAGGCTGGTCTAGAACTCCTGGCCTCAAGTGATCCATCCATCTCAGCCTCCCAAAGTGCTGGAATTACAGGTGTGAGCCACTGCACTCAGCCCATCTTTGTTTTTATCAGAGCCTATCTTAACTATGTTGACATACGTGATAACTATAGCAACAAGTAAATGTTAACACACATATTCAGAATTATCCAAATATGCTTATATTCTTGTCAACAGTAGATAAAAAATTTTATTAAAATAAATTGGTTGTCCAGAGAGTTGAAAGGTAAGAGGAAATAAAAGACAAAGAGAAATTTTCGTTGCAGACTGAGCATCACCTAAAACAGAAGTCTTCAAAATGTGGTATCCCAACCAGCATCATCAGCATCACCTGATTAATTTGTTTAAAATGCAAGTTCTCAGCCCCTAGACCTACTGAAGCAGAACATATGGAGGTGGCATTCAGCAATCTGTATTTTTAAAACACTCCCAGTGATTCTAATGTGCATTACTATTTGAGAACCACTGATCTAATGACACCATTTAAATTATTGCACCTGCCTGAGCTTTATAGCTTAATTGTGTTGGATATATAACACTGACTCCCTTATCAGAGGAATTTGACAGATTATAGATCAAATTTTAAAAACCTACATTTTTCTCTGTACTACTAAGTTAGCACTAGGTATTTTGACACTCCACTGGACCCCAAAGTGCTAGAATGTGAATTGAAATCCAGATACTTCTTAATACAAGACTGCACTTCTTACTATGCCATTCTCTTTTTTTTTCCTAAAATTTATTCTAGCTCTTTCCACAAAGAAAAAGAAGAAAGTAATTTCCTAAGATGAGCATCTCTCATATCTTAGGATCTATCTATATGATATTTCTAATCTTTATAATCACATATATAAAGATGAGATGCAAAGAAGCTGAAATGCAGTTAGGTTAAATATATCACCCAAAGCCACACTGCAAGCAAGGGCAGAAGTGGGATTCCACGCCCAGTTTTCCTGGACCCATAGACTATTTACTTCCCACTCACATGCTCGTTTCTCAATATCATACGCTTCTAATATGTACACCACAAGTGCTCAATAAAAGTTTATTGGGTGAATGGTAAGTCAATGAATGACCTGAATTTCCCTGTTACTGCATTTTCAGGGGCTGCTACTAAGAGAAAGCATGCTCTCAGATAACCGTTTTCAGATAACGTCGAGAAAGTGAGAGTATACACAGATCAACATGATGGTCCACTTAACGGGGGAAGAGAGTAAAATGTTGGTGTCACTGACAAGGATGGCAACATTTAAATGTTCAGATCCTTACAGGAGAAGCATTGCAGTCACTTGACAATCTCAAGCTATGTGTTTCTTCAGTGCTTCTTGAAAACATTTATAATACAGAAGATGGTTTTAAAAAATGTATAACTTTTTCAATGAAAATGTGAATTTCAACACCTTAAAAAGCATATTATACTACTGTGAAGTGCTCATGGTTCATTTTATTTAACTCACCTTCTAGATAACTTCTTAGAAAAATAGGACTCAATTTAATTTTAAAATCATTTTAAAATTACATGAAATGACATAAGGAGATGAATGCAATAGTTGCTAATGTTTCTTGGAGGAGTCATGGGGCAAAGAAGAGAAAGAAACAGATTAAAACATTTTAGACATTTGTTATTTGAATAGCAGCAGGAATGGAAAACACATAGGGGTAACATTTTAAAGCTGTGTGTGGGAGGCACTTGCACAAAATATTTTGTCAACAGGATTTCTGCGTACACCTCTCACACACTGCTTAGGAAATTTACCCCAGAATAGAGATTCTCGACTTTTTTTTCCCTTGCAAGCTGTCTAGCCTATGTAATTAAAGTCCGCCAGCAAAATAGTATTCAGGTGCTGACAAAATTGATAGGTCCTGAGCCTTTGCCATAGAGGAACAAAGCTAGGCATTTTCATTTCAGTCAACTGTAGTTGTGAAAAACCATCTCTTTAATCTGCCTCCTAGAGCAATCTCCACCACTTTTTGTAACAATAAGTTTTATTATAAATAAGTTTTCTTAGTAGAAAACTTAGTAGTTTTCTACTAAGTTCCTCTGCTAGCTCCAAATGACATTTTCCGTCTATTTTGCTGATAGACATTCACTCTCTCCAAGCACATTTGTTAATATTTGATCAGATGCATGATAACATCTTGAACTTTTATTCATGGTAATAATTAAAAATCATGTTAAAGTTCTCTAAAAGAGCACAATGTGAGGCAGAATCTGTTGTGAGATGCTAAGAATCACTGATTTTCTCTTTATTTATAAGTATGTCACTTGCATGTCTCATGCCATTACCATGTGTGTAATTATCAGGTCATATTAACATTCAGACACAAATTTGCAGATCAATTAACTCAAATATTATTATATAAGATTCACTGCGCCACATTCCCAAACCCTCTCTGCAAAGTCTGTCTCAGTTATTTCATGGCATATGCAGTGACTATCTTACCTTTCCTCCAGAAAAATTGCAACCATGATACCAGACCACTGGAGATGACCTCTGTACTCAAGGCAGTAGGGGCACTTGACACTTTGACTACTGCTGGTGCTCTCCATAAAATTGCAAATTGCTGCCTATGATGTCTCTTCTCAACACAGGCAAATGTGCAAAAACCCTTGTTCAGTAGTTCTATTTCCTCTATCTTTACCAAAAATTGAAAGTTACCTAACTCTTCACTAAAACAGGGATAACATTACTTCCCATTGACTATGTCAGAGACTGTTTGACTCTAGATCAGCACTGCTTACCCCAAATCTCACAATGTTCCTCTGCACACAGCTCCTTTGACTTCGACATGCAACTCATGTTTCTCTGGTCTTTCAAATTTAGAATTTTCAGTCAATATGGGAAGAAAATGTCTTCCATTGGCCCAGACCATGATTAACAAACTTTTCTTCAAAAGTCATTCCTATCACACACAAAAATTAACTTGAGATATGGATAATCAAGTGGTTTAACCTCCAAACTAAGGCATTTTTCTTTGGTAACAAGGATAATAGTTGTATTAGGACCATTGGTATAAACCAGAATTGACCCAGGTATACTAGAATGGATGGTCACTTTACCTCTAGGCTGCTAACTTTGTTTCCAATTTCATCTTACCCTTCAGAAAGTTCGCATCCTGCTATTAACACATTTATTTGTTAGGACAATAGCATTTGTTGACTGCATACAATATCAGAACTCTAGGTTAGAAGATAAAAACTTGAGCAGGATATGGCTCCTATTTTGATAGACCAAACACAGAATCTAGTGGAGAATTACAGAATATTTTTAAATCAATAAAAACAATGACAATAAATAGCTAATTATGATAATAAATTAAAAAGATAATCATTAATTCAGGCACAAGGGGAACTTAACTTACTGGCCTGTTTCTATGTGTGTGTGTGTGTGTGTGTGTGTGTGTGTGTGTGTGTGTGTGTGTACAGGGAGGGAGCAGTGATTTTGCAAGTTTTTAGGGTGAGGGGCTGGTGCTTGGCTGATCATTGAAAAGTAATGAAAGACAAAGGCAAATAAAGAAGACAGTAAGTAGGCAGAAAGATAAGGATCTGAAGAAAGAGGCTTTGAGAAAAAATTAGGAATTTATAAAATTTGAACATGGTTGGAGGAAAGAGTAAATATGAAAAGTAGCAAATGAGAAATGACAGCAGGAGCCTATAATGAAGTTTCTTCTAAGCTATGTTAAGCATCCTGAGGACAATGGTGAGCCATTACAAAGCTTCAAGTTTATAGTATGGATGGCTATGGCAAAACACAGTGGTAAGAAATTGAGTGATGAGACTCAAACTAAGGTTCTAATGTGTCCGGAATCGGTGGGTTCTTGGTCTCACTGACTTCAAGAATGAAGCCACGGACCCTCGCGGTGAGTGTCGCAGTTCTTAAAGGTGGTGTGTCTGGAGTTTGTTCCTTCTGATGTTCGGAGTTTCTTCCTTCTGGTGGGTTCGTGGTCTCGCTGGCTCAGGAGTGAAGCTGCAGAACTTCGTGGTGAGTGTTACAGCTAATAAAGGCAGTGTGGACCCAAAGAGTGAGCAGTAGCAAGATTTATTACAAAGAGCGAAAGAACAAAGCTTCCACACTGTGGAAGAGAACCCCGGCAGGTTGCCACTGCTGGCTGTGGCAGCCTGCTTTAATTCTCTTATCTGGCTCCACCCACATCCTGCTGATTGGTCCATTTTACAGAGAGCCGAATGGTCTGTTTTACAGAGAGCTGATTGGTCCATTTTGACAGGGTGCTGATTGGTGCGTTTACAATCCCTGAGCTAGACACAAAAGTTCTCCATGTCCCCACTAGATTAGCTAGATACAGAGTGTTGATTGGTGTATTTATGAACTCTGAGTTAGACACAGAGTGCTGATTGGTGCATTTACAAACCTTGAGCTAGATACAGGGTGCCGATTGGTGCATTCTCAATCCCTTAGCTACATATAAAGATTCTCCAAGTCCCCACCAGATTAACTAGATACAGAGTGCCAATTGGTGCATTCACAATCTCTGAGCTAGACATAAAGGTTCTCCAAGTCCCCACCAGGTTAACTAGATACAGAGTGCCGATTGGTGCATTCACAAACCCTGAGCTAAACATAGGGTGCTGATTGATGTGTTTACAAACCTTGAGCTAGATACAGAGTGCTGATTGGTGCATTCACAATCCCTTAGCTAGACATGAAGATTCTCCAAATCCCCAGCAGACTCAGGAGCCCAGCTGGCTTCACCCCTGGATCCCGCACTGGGGCCGCAGGTGGAGTTGTGTAGCTGCCTGTCAGTCCCTCGCCGTGCGCCTGCACTTCTCAGCCCTTGGGCAGTCGATGGGACTGGGTGCCATGGAGCAGCGGGCAGCGCTCGTGGGGGAGGCTTGGGTCGCGCAGGAGCCCACTGCGGGGGCATGGGGGGAGGGGGAGAGGGGGCTCCGGCATGGCGGGCTGCAGGTCCCAAGCCCTGACCCGCGGGGAGGCAGCTAAGGCCTGGCGAGAAATCGAGCACAGCAGCTGCTGGCCCAGGTGCTAAGCCCCGGTTCCCGCAGGCGCCTCTCCCTCCACACCTCCCGGCAAGCTGAGGGAGCCGGCTCCGGCCTTAGCCAGCCCAGAAAGGGGCTCCCACAGTGCAGCAGCGGGCTGAAGGGCTCCTCAAGCTTGGCCAGAGTGGGCGCCAAGGCCAAGGAGGCACCCAGAGCGAGCGAGGGCTGTGAGGGCTGCCAGCACACTGTCACCTGTCACTAACACTAGAAATCCTGCACACACACATGCACATATACACGAAGAACACATACATAAATATGGTTGATTTGTCTTAGAGCAGGAATGGGCGAAGTTTTTCTTTGAAGGACAAGAGAGTTAAAAAAAAAAAAAAAAAAACTTAGGTATTGTGAGCTACATGGTCTCTATTGCAACTTAATTTTCTATTGTAGCATACCTAAACAAATGGACATACCTATTTTCCAATAAAACTTTACAAAAATAGGTTGAGTGATAGAGTTGGTCTGCAAGTTGTAATTTACCAACGTCTGTCTTAGACTATGCCTAATTGAGTTAGCCTCACTTTCTACCCTAGATATAACCAAGTGAGAAAAATATTTGTTACTATTTACAATGTGCATTCAGAAATGCACTGTTTTTTATAGACAGTCATTTTTCTTTTGATCCTAGAAACTGTGGCTCTCATTTGTGAAGAATATCTGTGGATCCTCCATAGCAAAATGAATCCACAGTAAACATCTGATAAGATCCTACAATCTTAAGTGTCTCCTGAGCTGTTGGACCTGAAACAAATACTCCACAGTCCATTGACCATAAATAGGTATGAAAATTTGTTTAAATTCTAAACCATAGTCATTATTATTTAGCCATCTTTGGAAATGTTACAATCCATATACCTTGAAATTTTTACCTGCATGAACACAAAGGCAATTGATAGAAATATAGTAATCTTCCTTATAGAATGTTTTTATTAGGAACTATTCAATAAATATATCTGAGTAATATTATCAAAGTGACATTCTCAAGTTTATCATCATCATCCATTTAATAAAAAAGATTCATATCAGGTATTGGATTAGACACTGGGATGCATTTATGAATAAAACATGGTCTGAGTTTTGAAGGTAACCACAGTCCAGGGTGATTGTTGGATTGTGTAAATCCTTTGTTAAATGCCAGCATGCTTTGTATCTCACTAGTTTGAGTACAGAAACAAATTTTATGACCAATCAAAATGACTCTGGGACCAGCCATTTTACTAGTTTTACCATTTTCCAGGGAACTCCCTAGCCCAAATACTCAGTGATGCTTAAATATGTCCATGAATTAGTTACTAGTACTGCTTGTCTTCAATTGCTTGACAGAAGAACAGATTCTGAAGCCTTCTTCTGAAGGCCAGAATCTATAAATGCAGATGTTTTAATAATTGTGTGTCCTCTTTGGATGTCACCAGTGCTGCTGACAGAGGTGCTTAGTGTCCACAAGCATTTGATTGATAATGACTATGCCAAAATTCCTAAGTAGTTGTACAGTGAAGTCACTATGGCTGAACTTACCGTCCTTATTATCGCTGGAGCCTTGTTTGTGGCCCCCATATTTTTCCTGCTTCTTCCTAGACTTCTACTAATTAATACAAATAAGGTCTGTATCATATACTTTCCCCTCCGCAACTGAAACTTAAGGATGCCCTACAAGAAAGCTGCCTGGATCTTTAGGACAAGGTTTCTCCAGGCACCCCCAGGATGCCAAGATGACGGTAGCTTTTACAGATTCCCAAATTATCCACAGTGCATATCCAACAATTCTCCCACAACTACCTTCATCCCTTACTTAAATAACTGAGGTCTTTGTAATAAATTCAGGTACTGGTCCAGAAACAGCCCTCTCTTAAGGAGCCTCTCCATGAGCCCTTAAGAAAGGGCTGTTTCTGGACTATTAATATTTTCCAATTCCAATTTAGGAACCCCCTACACCTATGGACATTACATATACAAATAGATATGTGAGGCTTTTTTCTTTCCAATCTTAAAAACCCAACGAAACTATTTTAGGGACAAGTGAGTCTTAATATTACTTATGAACAGCTTAATAATAAGCATTTACTAGTTACAGTCAGAATTACTATAGCATATGCTTCCACTTAAAATATAAAAAGCTCCGAAGAACAACAGCCACACCGTAACAATGAGAAAAACCTGAAAAGCCTAAAAAATCACAACTTTTCTTGAGTCTATCAGAGAGCTGAGGTTTCAAAGCAACAGAATAACTTGAATTCCAAAGAGAAAAAGAATAAGCCCTTCCAAGGACAGACAAAATACAAGAAGCATGTCACCTTTGGCAGAACTTGGAGAAAGAGGTGAAAAACATTTTTTTTCTTATTATACAGGCAGGTAAGAAAAACATCAATCTACAACGTAATATATTATAAAAGGCCAAAGGTGGGCTAACATGTTAATTTAGAATAAACAGAGACAGGAGACATAAGGCAAGTCTATATTCACTTGCAAGATCTTTTCCATGGACCTCCACTGGGTTCTTAGAAGAAAAGTTGAGAACAGGGCAAAAGACTGAAAAGAGCCCACTGCACCATTGCAGGCATGTGGGAGTTCACTGGCAGCTACTAACAGGCAATTATGAACCTCTGCACATGCTACGGACCCTTCTCTTCTACAAAGCAAAAGTTTAAAACTATTTGGGAAAGGGCAGTAAAACTGTCATTCCCAGGACACAGAGATCCACTATGACTAGAGAAACAATAGCAGAAAAATAATTCTCCACCCCTGGGGAAGGAGGAGTAAATTATCTTGTACCCAGAATCCTGCACTGATACCAAGCAGAAGACTGAAGCTACTGCAGGAAAAACAGGAAACTCCTGCCAAAGACTAAGTGATGATGAATGGGAGAGTTTGGTTGTTAAAGTGAAGAGGAACAGCTAAGTTGAGAAAGACTCACCCCTGAGACTCACATATACGGAGCCTGCTCAGACTGAGACTGGTCCAGAATGACAGAATATAGTCCAGCTCCCACAACAAGTCCAGCACTAAGTAATCCAGAAGCAGCAGTCTCTCACTCAGCAGAAGCAAGGGTGTATAGACAGATTCCCTCTATGGCTCAAGTATACAGAAAGCTGAGGGGTATAGCACTGCAGACCACACTATAAGAACAAGGCAAAAGCAACCTACCAGTAGAGAACTGGAAACTTGTAGAGCACTGAAGGTAATAATAAAAACCCACCATTCAAAACTAGCTAGTAGCTCAGTTGCTGACTAGGTAGACTCAACTTCCATACTCAGAGTTGGGTAGAAATATTTGCTGAGATAGACCATATTCTGGGCCTTAACACAAACCATCAACAGAGGTAAAAAATTCAACATTCCCAAAATGGAATTAAACTAGAAATCAAAAAGACAAGTTAAACCCCAAATTAAAAAAATTACCACAGGTTATAGAGGAACTCACAAGAAAAATTAGAAAATATTGTCCAGAAATCATAACATGTCAAACATTGTGGAATTCAGGTAAAAAAAAAGGCTTAGAGGGAAACATACAGCATTACATGCTTATATTAGAACATAAGAAAGGCAATATCAGTAATATCAATAATACAATTGTTCTTAAGAAACTAGAACAAGAAGACAAACTCAAAGCAAGCAAAAAGAAGGAAATGCTACAGATGAGAGAAAAACCCAATGACATTGGTAACAGAAAGTCATAAAAATTAAATAAAATCAGAAGTTTTTTTCTATGAAAAGAGCAATAAAATGATTAAACCTATATACTAGAAAAAAAGAAGACATAAATTACCAATATCAGGTGTGACAAAGGGGACATTACTACAGATCCTAGAAATAGTAACAGAACTTCAAGGAGGATCATGAACAACTTCACATACATAAATTTTATAACTTGGATGAAATGACAAATATCTTGAAAGACACAAACTACCAATCTTAGGTAGAAATATATAAGCTTGAGAGTTTTATATTTATTGAATAATGTATAACTAAAAACCCCCCAACATTGAAAACTCCAAGCACACATGGCTTCATTGGTGAAGACTATACCAAACATTTAGAAAAAAAAATCAATTCTATACAAACTCTACCAGAATACAGAAGAGGAGGTGACAGTTTCCAACTTTTTATGAAGCCAGCATACCCTAATATCAGACAAATGTAACAAAAAATAAACCACAGACCAACATGCTCATGAACATGAATGCAAAAATTTTTCAAACTGTAGTAAATTGAATGCAGCAACAATTAAAAAATAATATATCATGACCAAGTGAGGTTTATTCCAGGAATGAAAAATAAGTTTAACATTTGAAAATCAGAAAACATAATTCGCCATCATCAACAGGCTAAAGAAGAAAATCATGTAATTATCTCAGCAGATTTTTTACAAAGGCTTTTGGTAAAATTAAGCATCCATCAATTATAAAAATCCTTAGCATACTAGAAATATAGTATCCTCAACCTGATAAAGTGAATATATGATATATATAGCTAATATCACGTATATGGTAAGCCTTTAATACTCTTGCTAAAATCAAGAATGAGGCAAAAATGTTTAGTCTCATTATTTCTATTCAGCATCATAGTGAAAGCCCTAGTCAATAAAATAACGCAAGAAAAATAAATACCAAAAAAAAAAAAAAGGTACAGACTGGAGAAGAAGAAACGAATGTATTTGCAAAAGACCCAATTGTTGAGTAGAAAATCCAAAACATTCTACAAAACGCTATTAGAACTAATAAGTGATTTTTAGCAAGTTCTCAGGAAACAAACATCAGTTGTCTTTCCATGCCGGCAATGAAGAATTTCAAATTAAAATTAAAAATAAAATTACCATATAACAGCCTCAGAAAAAATTTTTAGGAGAAAATCTAATAAAACATGTAAAACTTGCATACTAAAAATAACAAAACAGTGCTAAGAGAAATCAAAGATCTAAAAACAGAAAGATACACTGTGTTCATGGATTTAAATATTTAATGTTAAGAAACTAATTCTCCAAAAATAAATCTATATATTCAACTATAATCCCAATAAATAAATAAATTCCAGAAGGGTTTTGTGTTAATTTAAAATATAGTTATAAAATTTATTTTTTTTCTCTTTATTATTATACTTTAAGTTCTAGGGTACATGTGCACAATGTGCAGGTTTGTTACCTAGGTATACATGCGCCATGTTGGTTTGCTGCACCCATCAACTCATCATTTACATTAGGTATTTCTCCTAACGCTATCCATCCCCCAGCCTCCCACCCCCCACAGGCCCCAGTGGGTAATGTTCCCCTCCCTGTGTCCATGTGTTCTCATTGTTCAATTCCCACTTATCAGTGAGAACATGCAATGTTTGGTTGTCTGTCCTAGTGATATTTTGCTGAAAAGGATGGTTTCCAACTTCATCCATGTCCCTGCAAAGGATGTGAACTCATCCTTTTTTATGGCTGCATAGTATTCCATGGTGGATATGCGACACATTTTCTTTATCCAGTCTATTATTGATGGACATTTGGGTTGATTCCAAGTCTTTGCTATTGTGAATAGTGCCACAATAAATATACATGTGCAGGTGTCTTTATAGTAGCATGATTTACAATCCTTTGGGTGCAAATCCAGTAAGGAGATTGATGGGTCAAATGGTATGTCTAGTTCCAGATTCTTGAGGAATTGCCACACTGTCTTCCACAATGGTTTAACTAATTTACACTCCTACAAACAGTGTAAAAGCAATCCTATTTCTCCACATCCTCTCCAGCACCTGTTATTTCCTAACTTTTTAATGATCGCCATTCTAACTGGTGTGAGATGGTATCTCATTGTGGTTTTGATTTGCATTTTTCTGATGACCAGTGATGATGGGAATTTTTTCATATGTCTGTTGGCTGCATAAATGTCTTCTTTTGAGAAGTGGCTGTTCATATGCTTTGTCCACTTTTTGATGGGGTTGTTTTTTTTCTTGTAAATTTGGTTAAGTTCTTTGTAGATTCTGGATATTAGCCCTTTGTCAGATGGATAGATTGCAAAAATTTTCTCCCATTCTGTAGGCTGCCTGTTCACTCTGATGATAGTTTCTTTTGCTGTGCAGAAGCTCTTTAGTTTAATTAGATCCCATTTGTCTATTTTGGCTTTTATTGCCATTGCTTTTGGTGTTTTAGACATGAAGTCTTTGCCCATGCCCATGTCCTGAATGGTATTGCCTAGGTTTTCTTTTAGGGTTTTTATGGTTTTAGGTTTTACATTTAAGTCTTTAATCCACCTTGAGTTAATTTTTGTATAAGGTGTAAGGAAGGGATCCAGTTTAAGCTTTCTATATATGGCTAGCCAGTTTTCCTAGCACCATTTGTTAAACAGGGAATCCTTTCCTCATTGCTTGTTTTTGTCAGGTTTGTCAAAGATCAGATGGTTATAGGTGTGTGGTGTTATTTCTGAGGTCTCTATTCTGTTCCATTGTTCTATATGTCTGTTTTGGCACCAGTACCATGCTGTTTTGGTTACTGTAGCCTTGTAGTATAGTATGAAGTCAGGTAGCATGGTGTCTTCAACTTTGTTCTTTTTGCTTTGGATTATCTTGGCTATGTGGGCTGTTTTTTGGTTCCTTTTGAAATTTAAGTAGTTTTCTTCCAATTCTGTGAAGAAAATCAATGGTAGCTTGATGGGGATGGCATTGAATCTGTAAATTACCTTGGACAGGATGGCCATTTTCACAATATTGATTCTTCCCATCCATGAGCATGGAATGTTCTTCCATTTGTTTGTGTCCTCTTTTATTTCACTGAGGAGCAGGAGATCCTTCACATCCCTTATCTGTTGGATTCCTAGGTATTTTATTCTCTTTGTAGTATTCGTGAATGGGAGTTCACTTGTGATTGGCTCTGTTTGTCTGTTACTGGTGTATAGGAGTGCTTGTGATTTTTGCACATTGATTTTGTATCCTGAGACTTTGCTGAATTTACTTATCAGCTTAAGGAGATTTGGGGCTGAATGATGGGGTTTTCTAAATATACTATCATGTCATCTGCAAACAGAGACAATTTGACTTCCTCTTGAATACCCCTTATTTCTTTTTCTTGCCGATTGCCCTGGCCAGAACTTTCAACACTATGTTGAATAGGAGTGGTGAGAGAGGACATCCTTGTTTTGTGCCAGTTTTCAAAGGCAATGCTTCCAGTTTTTGCCCATTCAGTATGATATTGGCTGTGGGTTTGTCATAAATCGCTCTTATTATTTTGAGATATGTTCCATCAATACCTAGTTTATTGAGAGTTTTTAGTATGAACGTCTGTTGAATTTTGTTGAAGGCCTTTTCTGCATCTATTGAGATAATCATGTGGTCTTTGTCTTTGTTCTGTTTATGTGATGGATTACGTTTATTGATTTGTGTATGTTGAACCAGCCTTGCATCCCAGGGATGAAGCCAACTTGAAAGTGGAGGATAAAATTTTTGATGTACTGCTGGATTTGGTTTGCCAGTATTTTACTGAGGATTTTCGCTTTGGTGTTCATCAGGGATATTGGTCTGAAGTTTTTGTGTTTTGTTGTGTCTCTCCCTGGTTTTGGTATCAGAATGATCCTGGTCTCTGATAAAACAGACTTTAAACTGACAAAGATCAAAAGAGACAAAAAAGGGCATTACATAATGGTAAAGGCATCAATTCAACAAGAAGAGCTAACTATCCTAAATATGTATTTACCCAATACAGGAACACCCAGTTTTATAAAGCAAGTTCTTAGAGACCTACAAAGAGACTTAGACCCCCACACAATAATAATGGGAGACTTTAACGCCCACTGTCAATATTAGACAGATCCATGAGACAGAAAATTAACAAGCATATCTAGGACTTGAATTCAGCTCTGGACCAAGCGGGCCTAATAGATATCTACAGAACTCTCCACCCCAAATCAACAGAATATACATTCTTCTCAACACCACATCACACTTATATCAAAAATTGACCACATAATTGGAAGTAAAACACTCCCCAGCAAATGTAAAAGAACAGAAATCACAACAAACTGTCTCTCAGACCACAGTACAATCAAATTAGAACTCAGGATTAAGAAACTCACTCAGAACCACACAACTACATGGAAACTGAACAACCTGCTCCTGAATGACTACTGGGTAAATAATGAAATGAAGGCAGAAATAAACTTGTTCTTTGAAACCAATGAGAACAAAGACACCATGTACCAGAACTTCTGGGACACATTTAAAGCAGTATGTAGAGGGAAATTTATAGCACTAAATGCCCACAGGAGAAAGCAGGAAAGATCTAAAATAGGCACCCTAACATCACAATCAAAAGAACTAGAGAAGCAAGAGCAAACACATTCAAAAGTTAGCCGAAGGCAGGAAATAACTAAGATCAGAGCAGAACTGAAGGAGATAGAGACACAGGAAAACCCTTCAAAAAATCAATGAATCCAGGAGCTGGTTTTTTGAAAAGATCAACAAAATTGATAGACCACTAGCAAGACTAATAAAGAAGAAAAGAGAGAAGAATCAAATAGACGCAATAAAAAATGATAAAGGGGATATCACCACTGATCCCACAGAAATACAAACTACCATGAGAGAATACTATAAACACCTCTATGCAAATAAACTAGAAAATCTAGAAGAAATGGATAAATTCCTGGACACATACACCTTCCCAAAACTAAACAAGGAAGAAATTGAATCTCTGAATAGACAAATCACAGGTTCTGAAATTGAGGCAATAATTAATAGCCTACCAACCAAAAAAAGTCCAGGACCAGACGGATTCACAGCCGAATTCTACCAGAGGTACAAAGAGGAGCTGGTACCATTCCTTCTAAAACTATTCCAATCAATAGAAAAAGAGGGAATCCTCCCTAACTCATTTTATGAGGCCAGCATCATCCTGATACCAAAGCCTGGCAGAGACACAACAAAAAAAGAGAATTTTAGGCCAATTTCTCTGATGAACATCGATGTTAAAATCCTCAATATAGTTATAAAATTTATATGGAAAAGCAAAAGACAAAATAATTGGAAATTTTTTTAGAAAAAGAACCAAAGTTGTTATACATACAAAAGCCTGATTTAAAGATTATCTACAAAGCTACAATAGTCATGATAGCATAGTACAGATAAAAAGATAAACATATAGATAAATGAAAAAGAAAAGCCAGACATGTATAAACATATTGATGTCAATTAAATTTTGAGAAAGATGCTAAAATAATTAAGTGGAGTAAGAATTGCCTTTTCAGTATAAAAGTGCCCCTAAACTCATTGAGTTTATCTTAAACTAAATCATAGTTCTAAATGGAAAATCTAACTCTATAAACGTTTTAGAAAAATGTAAAAAATCTTTGGACATTGTCTAAAGCAAATACTCTTACATATAATAGGAAAAATTATAAACTCTAAAAAATGTTAATGGTACTTCAGAATTCAAAATTTGTGTTGTTTGAAAGGCATTGTTAAAATGAAAAGAAAAGCCACAGATTATAAGAAAATATTTGCAAAATCTACATTTGATAAAAGACTGGTATCAAGTATTATGTAAATAATTCCTACAACTCAATTATGAGGAAATCAATGAACTAAGAAATGGGCAAACAATTTGAACAGACATATCACAAAAGAAGATATACAAATAGCAAATAAGCACAAGAAAAGAAGTTAAACATCATTAGTCATTAAAGAAGTGAAAATTAAATCCACAATGTGATACCACTATCTATCTGATGGAATGATTATAGTGTTTTTTTTTTTAATCTGAAGATACCAGGTACTGGAGTGGATATGGAGAAACCCGCACTCTGAATTATTACTGGTGGGAATGCAAAATGATACAGGTACTTTGGGGCACAGTTTGGCAGTTTTTATTAAGTTAAACCTATAACTTCCATACAACTCAGCAATCCTGCCCCTGGTATTTATGCAAGATAAATGAAAATATGTCTACCTATCCATACATTAATATTTATAGCAGATTTATAATTACCCACATCTAGGAACAGCCAAATATCCATTAACTGCTGAAAGGATTATCAAAGTGTGGTGGTACACCCTTATAAAGGAATACTATCTACCAATGACAAGGAATGAACTACAGATACATTCAAGATACGTGGTTGAATCTTAAATATGTTACACTATTTGAAAGGAGTCAGAGACAAAGGCTACATACCCATGATATTCTTAAACAGCCAAAACTGTAGGTACAGAAATCAAATTACAGGTTGACAGTGGATAGGGTTGGAGAAAGGGACTGATTCTAATAAACCGTGAGAGAAATTTTCATGGTAATAGGTATATTCTATATCTTTGTTGGAATGGTGGTTACACAGCAATATATATTTTTCAGACTTATAAACAATGCGTATTTAATGAATATGTATCTATTTATGTAAATTATACTTCAATAAACCTGATCTGTTTCAAAATATTTTTTAAAAAATCTATAATAGGTCTTAACTCACCTTATCTTTGATGATTATAAGACAAGAGGATAATAGGAGCTTCACCTCTCAATCGTCATGAACTCTACGGAAAATTTAATGCTGAACACTTGGAAAATATTGTCTACCTCTCCCTATTTGCTTCTAAGGACTTTCTAAATGAGCATACTAAGACAAAGCTTACTTTATTGGAAATATAAAATGACAAAGTAAAAAACAAAGGCTGCCTCAAGAAACTCTTAGGAGAATGACTCAAACCTTAGTGTTTAGTGAACATGGGAGGGTCTAGGGTCAACACACAGGTGAAGATAAACATAAGTCACATGGCATTTTTCTCCGTTTAAAGAAAGGTGACCAACAAAGTGTCTACTATGGGTCTTAGCCTAAAGTCAGGGTTATACTGATAATAAGATAAATAATAACATTTCTAATAAAAATTGTTAATTGAAATTAAATCTTCCTATCTTCCAGGTCCAGAACTGATTTCTATCTCCCCAAAATCTGAATGTTTAATGAGTATGACACATATATCATTGATATCATTTTTCTCTAATTTCATAATGTTTAAAACTATTCAATATTCCATGCTTGCTTTAATTTAACAAATTTGATGAGTATATTCTGGGTAGAGCTGTCGAGATTATCAATGCAGCTGCTCTGGACTATGATGTTAGAGCTAATTTTCAAGAGAATTTCCTTTGTGACATTATATAAAATTTTTCTTTTGATTTTATCTATAAGAGTTATTGACTGGTATTTCCTAGGTTTTCTTCTAGGGTTTTTATGGTTTTAGGTCTAACATTTAAGTCTTTAATCCATCTTGAATTAATTTTTGTATAAGGTGTAAGGAAGGGATCCAGTTTCAGCTTTCTCCATATGGCTAGCCATTTTTCCCAGCACCATTTATTAAATAGGGAATCCTTTCCCCATTTCTTGCTTTTGTCAGGTTTGGTCAAATGGCGATCATTAAAACGTCAGGAAACAACAGGTACTGAAGAGGATGTGGAGAAATAGGAACACTTTTACACCGTTGGTGGGACTGTAAACTAGTTCAACCATTGTGGAAGACAATGTGGCGATTCCTTAAGGATCTAGAACTAGAAATACCATTTGACCCAGCCATCCCATTACTGAGTATATACCCAAAGGATTATAAATCATGCTGCTATAAAGACACATGCACATGTATGTTTATTGTGGCATTATTCACAATAGCAAAGACTTGGAACCAACCCAATGTCCACCAATAGACTGAATTAAGAAAATGTGTCACATACACACCATGGAATACTATGCAGCCATAAGAAAGGTAGAGTTCATGTCCTTTGTAGAAACATGGTTGAAGCTGGAAACCATCATTCTGAGCAAACTATTGCAAGGACAGAAAACCAAACACCGCATGTTCTCACTCATAGGTGGGAACTGACCAATGAAAACACTTGCACACAGGGCGGGGAACATCACACATCAGGGCCTGTCATGGGGTGGGGGGAGGGGGGAGCGACAGCATTAGGAGATATACCTAATGTAAATGACGAGTTATTTGTATGTTACAAGTTATATGTATACATGGCACAGGTATACATATGTTAACAAACCTGCATGCTGTACACATGTACCCTAGAACTTAAAGTATAATAAAAAAGAAAAAATAAATAAGATAAAATGTATTCAAAAACATTTTAAAAAGAGTTATTGACACCAGCATCTCACTGAAGAAAGCAGTGTGCTATAACATTAGGATTCTTCTTTTTCTTTCTTTTTTCCTTCTTTTTTTTTTTTTTTTTGAAAGAGGTGAAACTTCTGATAGAGTCAACCACTGAATAGGCAGCATCCACAGAAATACCAACTTAGTTACTCCAACATTCAATTTTTGTTTTGTTTCAAGATATGGAAACAAGATATTAAATTTAACCTGGCACTTACCTGTTGTTTGAAACTTTTTGCAGCAGAAAAAGCGTTTTCTTAAATTTCACCATTATTTACAAATCTTACAATGCAACATTATGACATTTCTCGCTGAAATCTGTTGACTCATCAATCTGGAGAGAAACTGTTGTTTTTCATGTATTACACAAAACCTCTTAAGCATGATGTGACATGTCATCAATACGTCAACTTACTCTGTTTGAGAGCAAAGCCTTCAATTTCTCATACTGCATCCTATCCAAACATTTTACGCACTATAATTTTACATGCTGACATCATTAGTTTCTCACCAGCTGTGTGACTTTTCCTTTTCTGGGTAATAAATTTAATTACTAAATAACTTGATTCCTGAGGCTTCTGACTAAGCATGACTTTCAAAAATAAAACTTTGCTCTAGTTTGAGAATATGATAACCATTTAATCACTAGCTTTACCTGTTCAAATGGTTGTGACTTGTGTATTAGTGACTTTTTAAAGTTTTTTTTTGAGTCTATGTTTCATTTGTAAGTTGTGATTCTTTATAATCCATTCTTTAGAAACTGACATCAACCAAAAATCCTCTTCTTCCATGTCTTAAATTATTTTCAAATAATCACTATGTTAACATAGCCAGATATGTTTTTAATATACAAAGGCCAATACAACATAAAATAGGAGGGCATAATAAATAACTAAATGATAACTTTTTAAAATACCACAAAATTTCACAATAAAATTCAATCTAATTCACAAAATTTTTATTTTGCCAAGCACACAACAGCAAAATGCAAAGGAGTAACTAAGTCACACTGCATAAAAATTATTTTTTTGTTACACAGCCAGAGTATGTTCAATCCTATGAACTAGTCAGCAGCACATAAGGGAAGGTGACAGGAAGTAAGTTAGAGGGAGAAGCTGATGTCATCAACACACTTTCCTACCCTCTCTCCAAAAGAGACATCAATAGTCAATGGCCTCCCATATTTCATGACAGAAGCTGATAGTGAATTCAACCAAATGAAATGGCCTTTCCTTCTGTGTACTGTCATAAAAGGCTGAAAGACCTATAATAAAAATTCTAATGGTGATGAGCTGTCAATATTCACTACTGGCAGTGTTAGCTTGGAAAAGCACTCAAAATCTAAGTAACAATTATTTTTTCTAATCATCATGTTTTACGGAAACTCTAACAACATTTGCAGAACCCCAGTTGAGACACTGTTATAAAAACAATTTAAATAAAATCAACAGAATATTGCTTTAGTTAAACACACAGAATTTTTGGAATTTTAGAACTCAGAATTAGATGTCTATACTGATGGGATACTATTATATGATAAACATGAAGTTTAATTCGGTGAGTAAAATATAGATTATCTAATGAAAGGTGCCGACAAAACTTGGTAATTTGAAAGAAAATAATAACTCCTAATATCCGAAATATCCTAAATAAGATTCTGAAATAAATGTCAGGTAGATAAAATGGTTAACAATAACCAAGTAAACCAAAAGACTTGCAAGAAACTCTAAAAACTATACTATCTAGGAATCAGGGAGACTTTCCTAATTCAAAGCTAGATAATATAAAAGAAAAAAAAAACAGATTAAGGTTTTTGTATAGAAAAAAATACCATTAAAAAAAGCAAAAAGAAAAGAAATTTTTCTAAAAAATGTAAACAAACAGATAAATAATGGGTTAATTTATAGAATACACAATATCTCTTACAAGATAAATACAGTCCTCTCTCAGTTTCCATAAGGGATTGGTTCCAGGACTCCCTTGGATACCAAAATCTGGGGATGCTCCAGTTCCTTGTATTAAACGGTGAAGCATTTGCATATTCCCTACACATAACTTCCCATATACTGTAAATCACCTGTAGATTACTTATAACTAATATAATGTAAATACCACATACTTACTATACTATATTGTTTTGATTTGCATTATTTTTATTGTTTTGTTGTTATTTTTATTGTTTTCTCCTTAACGTTTTTAAACCATGGTTGTTTGAAACTGCAGATGCAGAACCTGCCCATATAGAGGGCTAAACTCACTGCTAAACAAAATAAAATAATACGAAAATGTACAAATAAAAGAATACATAATTCAAAGGAGAGCAAATTCAAGTAAACAGCAAATATGTAGAAATGTTTTCAATACCATTAACTGTCAGTAAAATGTGGATTTAAGTGACAATTATATAGCATCTAAATTCAAGTGTCTAGAGCTCTTTCTGATAGGAATGTTTTTTCTTTTTCTTTTTCTTTTTTTTTTTTTTTTTTTTTTTTTGCAGGTTCAAGCAATTCTCCTGCCTCAGCCTCCTGAGCAGCTGGGATTACAGGCGAGCACCACCATGCCCGGCTAATTTTTGTGTTTTTAGTAGACACGGGGTTTCACCATGTTGGTCAGGCTGGTCTCAAACTCCTGACCTTGTGATCCACCCACCTCAGTTTCCCAAAGTGCTGGGATTACAGGCATGACCACTGCGCCCGGCCTAATTTCATATATTCTAATTGTACTGTGAAGTGCTATGGCCCTTTTGGAAGGCAATTTAGTAATATTTACTCTAAAATAACTCTCATAATATTCTACCGAATGGAAGGAAAAGTATCAACTCCTAGATAATAAGGGCATATGGATGAGGATGTTTATTTAGCCTTGTTGACAGTGGCCAAGAACTGAAACAGAGACTGCCCATCAAAAGAGGAATCACTAGCTTCATTGTTGTGATGCACACCATGCAATATTACACAGCCATTGTAAAGAATGAATTTAAACTATAGCAGATGATAGTGAGAGATTCACCAAAATGTTTTAAAGGCTGATAAAGGAAATATACAGAAAAGTAACTAATAACATGCTTTTTAAAAATAAATCTAATATCTAATCATCCTTTAATAGAAATGAAAAAGAAAAAAATATGTGGGTATTACATATGTGTATATGTATAATAATAGAAAAAATAAAGACATGCATACACTATATTATCAAAATTATTTATCTTAAGGAGTGAGATTAAATGGGCTGATATTGTGGTCATAAAGGAGAATAGGAAATGTGTCAAAGATAAAAAAATAGATAAATAATTAAATATTATAATAGTAAATAATATAAAAGAAATGTTCTTAGGAACAGAAATAAAGAATAAATACATGGAAAAAAGACATGGAAAATTAATGATAAAAATGTTAACTCTACTTAAAATAATTTGCAAATTGTGTGCAATTCTAATAAAATTAATAATAGAGTTAACACTGGAAATAGATAATATTATTTAAAAGTTCATATACATAAAAAGGAAACTTGTCATAAAGAGCCAGAAAATTCTGAAAAGAAGACTCAGAGAGTAAGTGCTTCATCAAAAATTAAAATATGGCAGAAGATCCCGTCATAAAAATGTTAGAAACTAGCATATAAACAAAGGTAGATACATGGAACAAGTGAAAGTCTAGAAATAAACCCCAATACATATGGGAATGTAGTATACATGGTAAATGTAACATTTCAAATCAATGAGTCAAACATTTAAAAAAAAAATGTTGAAACAATTGTGCAGCCATCTGGAAAATACAAACTTAGGTTATAAAGTCATCTCTGCTTCCCAAATACTGTCCAGATGTCTAAAACATTTAAATATATAAAATGAAATCATAAAGGATAACAAAAATATATGGAAGTATTTAAATTATAATATAGTAGAAAATTTTTATTTAAAACATAACACAAAGAAAATCATAGAATGATTGATGAATTTGACTTACAAAAGTTAAAATTTTCTACGAAGCGAAGAACACCGTAGACTAAGTCAAAACAAATTACAAAATGGGACAGAGTATTTCCCACACTAGAAAAAAGATCAAATACTTATAATACATAAAAAGCATTTGCAAATCAATAAAAAGGGGTTAAAGGATATGGATATGAAACTCACAGAAAAAAATAAAATAGAAATTTAAGCCTATAAACACAATACCATTCAGGACACAGGCATGGGCAAGGACTTCATGACTAAAACACCAAAAGCAATGGCAACAAAAGCCAAAATTGACAAATGGGATCTAATTAAACTAAAGAGCTTCTGCACAGCAAAAGAAACTACCATCAGAGTGAACAGGCAACCTACAGAACGAGAGAAAATTTTTGCAATCTACTCATCTGACAAAGGGCTAATATCCAGAATCTACAAAGAACTCAAACAAATTTACAAGAAAAAAACAAACAACCCCATCAACAAGTGGGTGAAGGATATGAACAGACACTTCTCAAAAGAAGACATTTATGCAGGCAACAGACACATGAAAAAATGCTCATCATCACTGGCCATCAGAGAAATGCAAATCAAAACCACAATGAGATACCATCACACACCAGTTAGAATGGCGATCATTAAAAAGTCAGGAAATAACAGGTGCTGGAGAGGATGTGGAGAAATAGGAACACTTTTACACTGTTGGTGGGACTGTCAACTAGTTCAACCATTGTGGAAGTCAGTGTGGCGATTCCTCAGGGATCTAGAACTAGAAATACCATTTGACCCAGCAATCTCATTACTGGGTATATACCCAAAGGATTATAAATCATGCTGCTATAAAGACACATGCACACATATGTTTATTGCGGCACTATTCACAATAGCAAAGACTTGGAACCAACCCAAATGTCCAACAATGATAGACTGGATTAAGAAAATGTGGCACATATATACCATGGAATACTATGCAGCCATAAAAAATGATGAGTTCATGTCCTTTGTAGGGACATGGATGAAGCTGGAAACCATCATTCTCAGCAAACTATTGCAAGGACAAAAAACCAAACACCACATGTTCTCACTTATAGGTGGGAGTTGAATAGTGAGAACACTTGGACGCAGGAAGGGGAACATCACACACCAGGGCCTGTTGTGGGGTGGGGGTAGAGGGGAGGGATAGCATTAGGAAATATACCTAATGTCAATGACGAGTTAATGGGTGCAGCACACCAACATGGCACATGCATACATATGTAACAAACCTGCACGTTGTGCACATGTACCCTAGAACTTAAAGTATAATAAAGAAAAAAGAAAAAAAAAGTGATCTAATTCCACTCTCATCATTCAAGAGGAGGAAACAGAAGTCAAGACAGTGACTTGGCTAATGATCCAGGGTAAGTTTGCTGTAGAGAGTGTCAAAAAAACAAATTTTCTGATTTGGACAGAAACCCAGGACAGAACCACTCCACCACAATGAGCAGGTTCATACTCTCTTGATTTCTAAGTCTAAACCATCTTAAAGATCATTTTACAGCAAATATTTGCCATTAACTTACGTAAATAGCCACCTCTCTAGAACTATGGCCATTAGTAAGCAAAACCTAGTAAGGTCTAAACTGAGAAATTGCTGGTTTGGGGAAACTATTTCACATCTCACTTGCTGAATGTCCAAGGTGTTGCCTGAATTCTAAAGTGAATAACCTCCTGGAGCTATCTGTATTTTCCACATTGGGTAAGATTTAGTTGGTAACAGCCATTTTATTTGTCTCTTTATGATTGCTAGAGTTGAACAAAAAAAAAATTTATAAAATGTCCAAACACTTTATAGTTAATCTGATCATTCTAAAAGGAAAAATTGAATGCACAACACATCTCAATGCTCACTTTTGCCCTAAAGTCACATTGGGAGAAGAGTGGACAGATGGTAATGGAAGAATATATTGTTTCACTGATTAATTGCCTGGCCTTGAAAAATTTCTCTCCCCTTTTTGTGTGGGAGTATCTATAAAGCAGTCATTGCTTTATAAACTTTATTCAATAGTATATTTGGAGTTTTAAAATATTTATTAATTTTTTAAATAACCTAAATGCCACAAAATGAGAAGAAAGTTAAATTATGATACATTCACATGATGCAAACTTTTCATAAAATGTTGAATTACAAATATAATAATAACAAGTAAAATAGCAACCACAACAAAAGTTTACACTACATGCCAGGCAACATGGTAAACACTACATGAAAATTATAATAGCCCTGTGAGAAAAGGCCTTTGATTATCATGCTATACATATATATATATATATATATATATACTTAAAAGTAAATATGTCAAAATGTAAACAATAATTATTTGGGGGACAGATGATTATTTTTACTGTGTGATATCCTTTTCCAAATATCTGTATTTAAATTACTCACTTTTAAAGTTAGCTAAAAGAGTTGTTTTCAAAATTGAATTAGTTAAATGAGATATATCAAATTCTATAAAATTTTGCTTGGGTAGAAAAAGTCTATAATAACAAAGGCCATAATAGTTGGACAACCATTGTTTAGTTTCTCATTTCTTTTGCATTATAGTAATACTTGCATCAACAACTGCCTGTGACAGCTCAGAAAAATCACAATCTCAAGAGCATCAAGAGCTTCATGTACCCGCCCAACAGCTAAAATTAGCTTCCATTTTGTCTGTAATGACACCTAAAATTTTACAATAATATGAAATCAATTATTTTGTAATCTCCCTGGGAAAAATAACTCATATTTCTTAGACGCTAACAATTTCCAAGAAGTTAGTTCAATGGTTCTTGACCAGGAAGATTTCACCCCCTGAGGGGATATTTGGCAATGTCTGGAGATAGTTAATTCTATGATTGGGGAGGGAAACTTCTGACATCTACTGAGAAGAAGAGAGGGATGCTTCTAATCATCATGCAACACATAGGACATATTCCCAAAACCCAACATAGTATTATGTACCCCAAAATGTCAAAAGTGCAGAGATTAAGTAACCCTGAGTTAGCTTAATTTCTTGCTATAAGAAACGGTCTTTCTAGGGCCAAGGACGAGGGTTCTAGATTGAGGTTGGCGAAAAATACTAATACGCAAAGTGGAAAGAGAAAACAAGATTAAAAAAAGTCAACCTTAGTAAAAACCCAGCTCTTCTCTTCCTCAAACTGAAAATGTAACTTTGTGTGAGTTACCACAGCCTCATTTTCCTACCTGTAAAGTAGGAATCATAATTACAATTTTTTTTTGGTAATAAGGCTATGACAAACAAGCATCTATAAAATTTCTGGCATGATTGCAACTTCAGCTGGTGAGCCAGCAATGAACAGTGATGATGATGATGATGATGATGATGATGATGATGATGATGATGATGATGTTGATGACAACAATGATTATAATGATTGTAGTAGTGGTAATTGCTATGGGTTGAATGTTTGTCCTTCAACACATGCTTGAAATTCATGTGTTGAAGCCCTAATCCCCATGTGAGATATTATAAGGCTGACTTTGGGAGGCAATGGCTTTTTTTTTAAATGGAGTCTCACTATGTCACCCAGGCTGGAGGGCAGTAGCGTGATCTCAGCTCACTGCAAGCTCAGGAGAATGGTTCACGCCATTATCCTGTCTCAGCCTCCCGAGTAGCCTGGACTACAGGCACCCGCCACCATGCCTGGCTAATTTTTTGTATTTTTAGTAGAGACGGGGTTTCACCACGTTAGCAAGGATGGTCTCAATCTCCTGACCTCGTGATCCACCCGCCTCAGCCTCCCAAAGTGCTGAGATTACAGGCGTGAGCCACCGCGCTCGGCCAGTAATGGCTTTTAAACGAGGTCATGAGGGAGGAGCTTATGATTGGATTAGAGTTCTTATAAGAAAAGAAAGAGACACCAGAGCCCTTTCTCTTTTCACCATGTGAAGACACAGCAAGAAGGAAGTCATCTGCATGTCAGGAAGAGAGCCTTCCCCAGACACCAAATCTGCCATCACATTCATCCTGTACTTCCCAGCCTCCAGAACTGTGAGGAATAAATGTCCCTTGTTTAAGCCATCCTGTCTAGAGTATTTTGTTATAGCAACCTGAGCTGACTTAGACAGTGATAGTGATGACAATGGCATTCATGGTGTCATGATGATAACCGTGATGGTGGTGCTGTTCATTATTTTACTGTGCCTTAAAATCCTCTAATGTTTTAGGCTGAAGACCATTAGAAATAGAGATGACAAACCTGCTTAGTTTTTAATTTCTCAAAAATTGGATTTATTCTATTTGTTAACATTTTGGCTACAGGAATATAACTCATTACTCAAGAGAATGATCACCAGGGACCAAGCAGAAGAATTCTGTGGACAGAGACAAGAAGAGCAGAGATGCATTAGAAAGGAGGTGCAACCTGAGCCTAACACTAAGCATCTGATACTTCCACAGAGAAACCATTCTCCCAGAAAACACTGCTGAGGTAACTACAGCTGTGGTGAATGTCCTTCTAAAACAGGAATAAGTGGAGACAGAAAACAGAACTTCAGTGGAGTCTTGAAGACAAACAAAATTAAAACTAAAAATGAAAGTCAACTATTCACTCAACTGCTCAGGACATAAGATTGTCACTGGACCAAAAACAGGCTTCATGACTTTACACAATCATTTCAAAATGTTAAGTATGATAAAAAGCACTGCCATTTTCATTATTGGATGGCTTTGGCATCTTCCAATTACTCTTCGATATGAGTTCACTTTTTTATCCCACGGATTCTCAAGTGAAGTTCAATGAGCTTGTCACTTAATGATGACCCTTGAAAGGATTTCAAGAAAAGTAATAGATTCGAGCTAACTCTACCTGTCAATCATTTATGATTTTTTTTCAATATCGACCCACTCAATTCGATTCCAGCTTGAAGGCTCTTGGGATGGTTTGCTCAATAGTTCTGTCTGTCCAAGTTGTTGTTGCAGTGTCTGGACACTTTCATCAACAAATGGCACAGTTCTGTTTAGTGTATTAGAATAAAAGTGTTTATATTGCAAACCATATTGCATGATCATGCCACTCTACCTGCCTGAACTGTTCATCTTGGCCTTTTCTGTTTGTCTACTTTTAATCCTGTTTTCAAGGTCTAGCAAAAGTTCCACCTCTATTTCTTACCTAAATTATTGTAACATATACGGACTGCTCCATTCTTTTGATTTTCCACACTTAAACTTTCTTTGCTTTGGTTTCTTTATCTGTAAATAGGGATAGTGGTAGAATTTATCTCATAGTATATAAAGCATTTTTCCATTGCCTGACACATAGAAAGAACTCAATTGTTAGGTATGATGCCACTGAGTTTATTATCCCACTGGATATTTGTTTGCTTGTTTCTCTCTCCCGTTGGGTTGTAAGCCCTTTGGGCAAAAACACAGCAGCAGTGGCAATGTGACAGACCTAGATTCTAAATTTAACATTTAGTAGACCTTCAATTTCCTCTATTCTTGTTTCCTTAAGAATATTGTTTCCTTAAGAATATTGAGAGGACAAAGAGACTTAATAATTAATTATATGATATTTAGCATATTATCTGGGTCACAATAGGAGCTCAATATATTTATTTATTAAAAGCTCATTAAGCTCTCATTTATTGAGTGTGGCTTGATGTGAAATGTGTGTTTGCATGCATTACTTCATTAAATCACATCACATCATGATATAACGCATGTGAACACACATTTCACATCAAGCCCCACTCAATAATGAGTGAAAGAAAACGGTACTGTGGAACAGGTACCATTTTGACCCCCGTTTTACAGAAGGGAAGCGAGGTTCAGGGATGCTTAGGGTTTAAGATCACAAAGCTCAAGTGGCAAAGCCAAGAGTTAAATACAGCATTGTCAAACTTCAAAGACTTGCTCTCTTAACTCCTCTGTAATTTTCCCCTTTTCTTCCCTTTACATCAATACATTAAGTATATCAGCTGTAGAATAAGTGCTTATTGGTAATTACTATGCAAACTGTGTTTATTATAATGTTGAGCAATCAAGAGCAAATAAGTACTATTTTGGCATTTTTTAATATCTGAAAATGTATTGGAAACAATTTCTATTCAGAGGTTTAATATAGGTTTCCTCAAATAGGGAATGTTTTCCCACATAAATATTCCTAGACAGTATTTATGAACCAAAACCATTTGTTTAAAATGAACATTGAACAAACTTTAATCTTACTGGAATGAACCTTTTGAAAAAACAAAATGTATCAAGAACCATAAAGAAAGTGCTAAAAGCAATGATTGTTTTGCTTAATGGAGCAAGTGGAAAGTCTTTGATGCTGCTCTTAATAGTAGTCAGTAAAACAGTTTCCAGTAAAACTTAAGTGAGGAAATTAATCCCATAATAACAGCATGCATGCAGGTTCAGCTCGAATAATAGTGTGATCACATGGAGGAAAGGGGCTTTAATTTGTGTTTTAAAATGTATTTATTGGGCAAATTGCACACTCACGTAGAGAGTTATTTCATAAATTTTTTATTATTCAGCAAGAATTTTGAAAATACAATATTAGGTAAGTCTTATATAACCTAAAAATATCAAATAATAGTTTTGCAATTGAAATGCTACTATAATCAATCATTCAGTAAATATTTATTAGGAATCCACTACTTTGTACCAGGTACTTTGCTGCTAGGCTCTGAAGCTATCAAATTATAAATGGAAGTGATCTTCATCCTCAAAGAGTTCACAAAGCAGTGGGAGAGATCAGCAGATAAATAAGATTTTAACAACAGTATAATGTAAAAAGTTCTATGTGACATAGACTGCTGTGTGTGCACAAACACCCATTTCAGTTTTCCTTCTGGGAAACTAGAATACATTTCCCAACCTCCTTTGCATTTAATTGTGGTAATGTGACTGAGTTCTTGCCAATGAATATGGAAAGAAATGATGGCACATATAAACCACCCACAGGAGATACTTTCTCTCATTTCCTCACCTGCTAGATAAATGGAACAGACTCCGAAATCTTAAACATGGCAGAGCCACAACACAGAAGGAGTTTGCATCCTAGAAACTCGGCTCACTCAGTTTTCTGCTGAATACCCCCACTGAATGCTTACCTGAGTAAAAAATAAAGATCAATTATCTAAAGCCATTGATATTTGAGAATTTAGCCAACTCTGACTAATACACACTTTATTTATTTAATTTTTTTTGTTTGTTTTTTGTTTGTTGGTTGGTTGGTTGGTTTTTTTGAGATGGAGTCTTGCTCTGTCGCCCAGGCTGGAGTGCAGTGGTGCTATCTCAGCTCACTACAACCTCCATCTCCCAGGTTCAAGTGATTCTTCTCCCTCAGCCCCCTGAGTAGTTGTGATTACAGGTGTGTGCCACCACACACCTAATACACACTTTCTACAAAGAAGATGAGCAGGCGAGCCAAAGGCGCACAGAAGCAGGGAGAAGTACTTCTGCCTAAGTCACACTCTAAAGGTAGTAAAATTCAGACTGGATCTTTAGGGACACTTTCCCTTTACAGTGTACATGTTAAAAGTGCTCAGAGATAGCCTACTCCATTCTTGCAAACCTTTATCTCAAATGAGACATGGTTCTGTTTTGATCTTTCTGGATTCGAACACTCTAGAACCAAGGATTTATGCCTGAAAATTGGCCAATCGGAGACATGCTCTAGTGAGCTACCAATATTAACATGGAGTTGAAATCATGCTTTCAGGATGGCAGCCCTCTTCTAGCAACTACTTATGTGAGATGGTTAGAGTAGGTCACTGACAATATGTTGTGCTTTCTGGTACCTAAGAAAAGAGACCCTCTGTATTCACACAGATTACTATGTATATGTCTACATTAACATGATTCTATAAATGATATGGTTTGGCTGTGTCTTCACTCAAATCTCATCTTGAATTGTAGCTCCCATAATCCCCATGTGTCGTGGGAGGAACCCAGTGAGAGGTAATTGAATCATGGGGGCATTTTTTCCCGTGCTGTTCTCATGATAGTGAATAAGATCTGATGGATTTATGAAGGGCAGTTCACCTGCACACGCTCTCTTGCGTGCCACCATGTAAGGTGTGCCTTTGTTCCTTCTTCACCTTCCACCATGATTGTGAGGCCTCCCTACCCATGTGAAACTGTGAGTCCATTAAACCTCTTTTTCTTTATAAATTACCCAGTCTTGGGTTTTTCTTCATAGCAGTATGAAAATAGACTAGTAAAATAATTTTCTTGTCTTTGTCACTATAATTTACTATTCCAGGAAACTCTTGTCAAGGAAGGTGATAATTTTAAATAACTTTATTGTTCATTCTGTGATATTTCCTGAATGACCTATTAACTGTTCTTAGAAAGCTCAAATGACAGTTTATACTCTAAGATTTTTGATCCATCACGTCAACTCTCTCATTTTGCTATCCATCTGTCCTAATGGTCCTTACCCAGTGCTCAACCCATTTAAAAGTTCACCTTCAAAATCTCAACAAATATTCTGATGACATCCCTACCCTCTCTAAGAAGATACTAAAGCTCTGTCAAGATAGGAGATAGTGTTTGTCCTATTGCAGTAAGCGATAAACTCAACTTTAGCTTATTAACAGGTTGTTGGGATAATTGATTAATTTTCTAAGGCTGATGTAACAAATTACCACCAACTGTATGGCTTAAAAGAACAGAAATTACCACAAACTGTGTGGCTTAAAAGAACAATTCTGGAGGCTAGAAGTCTAAAATCAAGGTGTTGGAAAGGCTGTGCTATCTCTGGAGAGCCTAGAAAATCCTTCTTTGCCTTTTCCTAGCTGGTTATTTCCTGGTTATTGACAGCAATCCTTGGCATTCCATGGCTTGTAGTGGGAACTCCAAACTCTGCCTCTGTCTTAACGTGAAATCTTCCTTCTGTGTGTGTCTGTGCCCAAGTATCTTCTTCTTCTAACAACACCGTCTTGGATTAGGGCCCGTCCTAATCCAGTATGACCTCATTTTAACTTGATTACATCTACAAAGACCCTACTTCCAAATGACATTAAATTCACAGGTTCCAGTGGAAATGGATTTGGTGGGGACACTATTTAACCCAGTACAGATAATATTTTGGAGCACAAGAATTTGAATTCCCTCTACTCTACCTTAGAGACACCAAAGCATATTTTACTGTGACAGAACTTCTTGTTTTTAAATTAAACCTAAAATTCAGATACAACTGGAGAGAAATACTGGTACGTAAATTTGCATTAAGCTATAAATGACTGGTATTAGAGTCTTTCCAGAAGGCAGGCTTTGCAAAGGAGATGTAGACAGAAAAAAGGAATAGTGGGTTTAAAGGAATTCTGGGACTATTACACACCCTCTGCCCCCGCCCCCCTCCCCCGACCACACACACACACACACACACACACACACACACACACACACACACACACAATGCCCCATAAATTTGGGCAAAAATACTAATATTAATTCTAAGAAAAAGTTCTGTGCTTTTTTTGGCCTATTTTAATGATTAAATTCCTCTTAAATGATTAGTCATTTGGGATCAGGGCAATTTGTCCTTAGAAAATCCAGCCTTTACATGTAAATGTTTTGGAAAGAGGTGACATCTTAAGATATTATCCGTTAACATTTTAGTGGAATTCTTTAACAGATAACCAGTTATCTATCAGAACTGCAAAATAAAAAGTCAGAAGAGGGCTAACAATACAGCAACCCCTAGCTTCTTAGCTAGGAAGATACTGGGGGAGAAAGCCTTGACAATACATTTACAAGTAGTTATTCTTTAGAGTTATTGCACCATAAAGCTAATCAATAATTTATCAACACTTTTTGTATTTGTCTAACCAACTGTAGGAATGATAATTAATATTGACTAGTGTCATCTTTACTTATTATAAATATTTCTGTTTTTCCAGAACTTTACCATGAGCAGAGTTGCCTACTAAACTTCTGATAACTGTTTATGCTTCAGGTGCCTAATAAATTCACCTGTGAAGTCAGCAAAATCCAATTTTATTGAACCTAGAAGCCCTATCAATTAATTCTGCAAATCGAGGGAATGGAACCCTTACCAGCTCCTTGATAAACACATTCACTCACTCCCCAACACAAAATTTCTGCTTAAATATTTTAGTTTAAATTTGCTAATGACTAATATAAGCTTTCTAACATCTAATTTCTAGTTTACCTGAAACCTGCCACTGTCCTCTTTTAAAATCTAAAACATGTTAATTTCTCCAAAATTTTAAAAAGTCTGCTGTTTTCTAAAAGTTATCAAAGTTTTGTGCATTTTTCTGAAAGTACATATGCAGACTTTTATATACTTTAAATATACTTTAAATTATATACTTTAAATATAATTGTCTTTGCATTACATATTTTATATATCTGGTCTTATATTTGAAATTATTTTACATGACTAAAAAAGGAATTACACCTATTGTGGGTTTCAAGTGTCTGTTATATTTATTTCACCATCTGCCAATTAAAAAGAAATGCTCTTTTGTGTAGAATTTTCTAAAATAGTGAACACATTCATATTTTCATTGATATAATTTATGCAATCAATGTGTATGGATATACATAATTTATAATGCCAAAAAGATAAAAATTATCCATTTCAACTAACCAATTCATAAACATGTGAGTTCCACAAGCAGATCACTTGAGTTCCAATCTCAAACTAGCTGTGTTACTTTGGGTAAGGTACTTAACTTCTCTGTGCCTCAGATTAATGAGGTTTTACTGAATCAGTCTGTGCAAACTGCTAAAAGCAGTGACTGGATGCAATAAGTGCTCACTAAATGGTATCATTAACATTATGATTCTCTGAGGAACCAAAAAAAAAAAAAATCCCCAAAGTGTTCCTGCCCTCAAGGTGTTTGAAGCCTGGTGGTGAAAGGCAGTATAAAAGGTAACCAATCAGGCAGGGCACCATGGCTCATGCCTGTAATCCCAGCACTTTGGGAAGTGGAGGTTGGCATATCACTAGCAGCCAGGAGTTTGAGACTAGTCTGGCCAACATGGTGAAACTCTGTCTGTATTATTTTGTTGTCACACTGCTCTAGAGAACTACCTGAGATTGCGTAATTTATAAAGAAAAGAAGTTTAATTGACTCACAGTTCCACATAGCTGGGGAGGTCTCAGGAAGCTTGCAATCATGGCCAAAAGTAAAGGGGAAGCAAGGCACATCTTCCCGTGGTGGAGCAGGAAAGAGAATGAGGGGAACTGCCACATACTTTTAAACCATCAGCTCTCATGAGAACTCAATCACTATCACAAGAACAGTATGGGGGAGACCAGCCCCATAATCCAATCACCTCCCCCCAGGTCCCTACCCCAACATGAGGGGATTACTATTTGACATGAGATTTGGGTGGAGACACAGAGGCAAACCATATCACTGTCTCTTCTAAAAATACAAAAATTAGCCTGGTGTGGTGGCACATGCCTGTAATCTCAGCTACTCGGGAGGCTAAGGCATGAGAATCACTGGAACATGGGAGGCAGAGGCTGCAGCGAGCCAAGATTGTGCCATGGTACTCCAGCCTGGACGCCAGAAGGTAACCAATCAGTAATAAAAGGTCTGTTGAGCTACTAGTCAAAGGAGGCTAGAAGACTGAAGTAATTAAGGCTTCATTGTGAACTTCTGACTGGAAGTAGGTCTTGAAAGATGAATAGGTATAGCTAAGGATTTAGGAGAATGGCAAGGAATCAGGGCCGGGGTGTAGCCTGAAGGACAGCATGGAGGTAACAATGGACACTGCATTCATCAGATAGGGAGACATGCTTTTATGGGACAGATACTTACTATTAAGCAGAATCAAGGATGAAAGTAGATGTAGCCTATTACAGGAGGCCCATGGAAACCAAGCTAAGGTGTTTTGTTCTTGAAGATCATGTTCATGAAAGAGACATGCAGCAATATTTGGCTTGAAACAAAGTCAAGACTGCTATCTGATAGCAAATTCCTATGTGAAATACTAATGTCATTAAATTATAATTTTATCCAAAATAATTTTTCAGAGATGGATTCAGCCACAATACTAAAATTTTATATTAATAATGTATAAAGATTTTGTCATTCATTCATTCCTCTGTT
This sequence comes from Homo sapiens, assembly GCF_000001405.40. Lineage (NCBI taxonomy): Eukaryota > Metazoa > Chordata > Mammalia > Primates > Hominidae > Homo > Homo sapiens. The sequence goes on along the minus strand of NC_000011.10, from coordinate 28,862,600 downwards.
GTTTCGTTTGTTTTAAATGCATCAATGCTCTAGAAAAAGTACTATAGGTGACAGGTATATTATCTATACTAAAGATTATAAAACAATGAGTAAAACTGGGCTGTGTCCTCAAGGATCCCACAGTCCAATGAGAGTAATTAAACTGGCCTTAATTATTATTCAATATAGAGAATGAGCAGTGCCATAAAAGACACATTGATAAAATACAACAGGAGTTCAGAAGTGGGAGAGGACACGTCTGTCTGCGAAGATCAGGAAAGACGGTGAGTTACACTTAGACTTAGCTTTGAGAGATACTTGAAAATAGCAGCTGAGGCATTCCAGGGTGAGAGACCATGAATGGACATAGGAAACTGCTACCCAACAGTTCAGCAAATCTTTCCAGAACACATAAGGCAATGTAACACTTCCCTTAGCAAGTTAAATATATATATATGAAAAAAGAGAATCTATGACCAAGTAAGTTCAGAAAAACTTAAACAAAATGGATCCAATTCCATTATTAAAAGACTTCTTAAAGATTTTAATATGCTAATTTGCATAATAAATCTTAACACATTAATAAGCTAATTTTACTATGGAATCCACCTCCTCAGCACATTTAAAAAGATTAATATTCAATGAAGATACATTGTAAAATGCTTGGTTAGAGCATAGAGCAGAGAATGCTTAGAGGGATCTGATGACAGAGAACTTAGAGAGCCAAGCTAATGAATTCTGGCCTTTATTCGGCAGATTTCAGAAAAACAAATCAGCAAGGGAAGCCAATGTTTGCCTCTGTAAATTGATTCATTATAGAGTGTATTCGAAACATAGCATTGGTCAATTGGGAGTCATTCTTATTCTAAAGCTTACTAGCCAGAGGAAAATTGAAAGGAATTTGCCAATATGCCCATGGTAATATTCAAATGATCATGAGCCAACATTTTAAATGTGGGTGGGATAACAGCATGTTTAAGAGGGTACAAACAGGAGGATAAGCCTGGAGACCTTACTGAACAGAATGTTTTTATGCCTCTATGTCCCCAGCTATTTTATTTCTACATTTATGTCATATTGACCTAAAAAATAAATATGATAATACAGTGAATAGGAAAGAATTTTCAGTCCTGTAGCTAAAATATGCTCTATAGAAATCCAGCTTATTGGTGCATATCCGTGTTTATTATTATTTTCCTACTTTATCACTGAGTTGTCTAGGAAAGCAGAAAAAAATGGATTTTGGTCTTTGATATTCCTACCAAGCTACAAGGAATTATCAAGCCTGAAAGCCAAAGCCAATCATATCAGGCTTTAAGAATTCTTTAAGAAAAGGGACCAAATATTTGCAAAGATGCTTGAGCTCCTTAAAACAAAGATGCAACACGCTTAGCTCACATTTCAAAAAGTAGAAAATTAAATTGATTTAAAGAGGAATTTTCTCCCCAGGAGAATCTATTTACGCAGCCTCTGCTTTCATTGCTCTTACACTCCATGAGTCATCAGGAAGTAACACAAAGTCACACAAGAACACAGAGTCCTCCTGGGATTTTGAAACAAATGGATTTGAAACTGCACAGTTGATCCTACCCAGAGGATGATATATACAGGAATTCAGCATAAGGAGAGCTTGATCAGTGCAATTAAATGTAAGCATTGCACCTGTGGAATCTGGAACAGAATGTAGCACTGTGATTTATGAGGCCAGAGTGGATGGATTTCATTAATTCATAGCCTTACTATCTTGCATATTTGCCATGTAGTAAATATTACTACCATTTTAATGATACTTGAAAATTATCAACAAATGAAATAAGAAGCATATTTTTCAACTTCCTATAAATTTATTGAGTGCCTACTGTGTGTCAACTACTGTGAAAGCAACTGGGAATACAAAAGTGAATGAGAATCAGTCTGGGTTCTTTAAAAGACAACTAAAAGTCAGTGTGATAAGTAGTAAGCTATGGGCAAGCACAAGGGCCTATATGGGCATGTTGGAAATAGACTGTACCTTCAGTGTTGGGAAGAGATGAAATAATTCTAAGCAAGTTACAGAGGACTGGACAGATTTGGCTAGGCATAGCTGGGAGCAGACCTGGGAGGTAGAAAGAGCCAAGGTTCCTGACCCAGATAAGGGTAGGACTGATTTTAATTTTGATAATATAGTATTCTGTGAAGCCAAGGACTTATGTAAAGCTTATGCAGAGCTCAGAAAAAGTTTTGCCTGTCATATTAGAAAATATGGAATCTATCCTGAGAAACATGAAAGATACTAAACTGTTTTTAAGCAATGTAAAGAAAATATATATGGAGATAATAATCATTTATCTGTTTGGGCCCAACTGGCATCCATTTCTCCTTTCTACCTGCACTCCCATTTCTTCTTGGGAATGCCTTCTTACCTCATCTCAATGTTAGTGAGATTATAATTCCAGTGCTTCTGTCTTCAAAAATTGAAAAAGTCTTTGGGGGCTCCAATAACCACATCCTTTTAGTATTTTATGGATATCACTCTAAACAAAATAAACACCTAAGATCGGCCAATCAAAGGGAGGAAAACACTTTTTCACTTTTTTTTTTCCATTTCCAGCACATAGCCAAATTTATTGAGAAAGTCCTACTGGTTTTCTTTAGAATTCCCTTCTATCTTTAAACTTCCATGCATCTTTCCAATTCTTTTTACTGTATCACTTTTTGCTTTAGGTAACTAGAGATGGTTTCTCTTGCTTGCAACTGAGAAACTCTAATTAACATAAGCAATTAGCTTGATCTCTGAAGAATGACTTGAAGAAATACAAAAGTGAAGGCATGAAAACCAGTTAAAAGGAAACTGTAGGAATCTAGTACAAGAGATAATAGGGTACAAAAATAATGTAGAGGGTAGAGGGTTTGAATGAAGTGAATGCAAATAAAATATATTAAGGAGTAGTATTGACAGGACTTTGTAATTAATTAAATGTGAAAAGTGAGGGAGAAAGAAGACTCATTTCACCCAGGTTCCTGGCCTGAGCAACTGAATATGTGATACTGCCATCCACTGAGACAGGAAACACAAAAACTGGTACACAGTTAAGGACAAAGATGAGGAGTTTGTGTTTAGACATATCCAGTGAGGCATACATGTTGAAATAGCCCATCAATTATTAACTATTCTAGAGCACAGGGAGACCTTAGTAGGACATAGAAATATGGGCATTATACAATGTTAAGAAAGAATTAAATAAAACAGATGCATCACAAACCTAGTGCCTAAAGTGAAGAGAACACAGTTAAGGATGAATAGAATCTGGATTTAAGGAAAAAGCAGAGAAAGAAAATCCACAAAGGAAAGCTGAGAAAAAAAAAACAACCATAAAGATAGGCAGGTAGAAAAAAAAAAAAAAGTTGGTAATGGAAATCAAGTAACAAGAGGAGCAATTGGCCAAGAGAGATTTAGACTTATTGACTTTAATAAACAAGAGATTATTAGTGACTCCATCAGATAGCTATCCATACACAAATGCAACATGACAAACAACCCTCAAAATCAGCGGTTTAAAACAATAATCCTGACACCTCCCCAGAATTACATTCTGCTATGCTTCTTGTACAGCCTGCAGAACTGTGAGTCAATTAAATCTTTTATTATAAATTATCCAGTCTCAGGTATTTCTTTATAACAGGGCAAGAACAGCATAATACAGAAAAGTGGGCCAGATACAGTGGCTCATGCCTGTAATTTCAGCACTTTTGGAAGCCAAGGAATGTAGATTGCTTGAGCTCAGGAGTTTGAGACCAGCCTGGGCAACATGGCAAAACCCCATTTCAAAAAAAAAAAAGACAAAAATTAACAGAATGTAGTGGTGTGCACCTGTAATCCCAACTACTCAGGAGGCTGAGGTGGGAGGATCACTGGAGCCTGGGAGGTCAAGGCTACAGTGAGCCATGATTGAGCCACTACACTTCAGCCTGAATGACAGAGCAAGACCCTGTCTCAAACCAAAAAAAAAAAAAGAAAATAAAGAAAAGAAAAATGGTAACAAGGAGTAGGGAGTGGGGCTTTGCTATAAAGATAGTTGACGATGTTGAGGTGACTTTGGAACTGGGTAACAGGCAGAGGTTGGAAGAGTTTGGAGGACTCAGAAGAAGACAGGAAGATGAGGGAAAGTTTGGAACTTCTTGGAGACTGGTTAAATGGCTGTATCCAAAATGCTGATAGTGATATGGACGATGAAGTCCAGACTGTCAAGGTCTCAGATTGAAATAAGGAACTTATTAGGAACTGGAGCAAAGGTCACATGTGTTATGTCTTAGCAAAGAGCTTGGCTGCATTCTGTTTATGCCCTAAGGATCTGTGGAATTTTGAACTTGAGAGTGATGATTTAGGGTATTTGGTGGAAGAAATTTCTAAACAGCAAAGTTTTCAAGACGTGGTCTGGCTGCTTCTAACAACCTATGCTCAGATGTGGGAGTAAAGGAATGACTTAAAGTTGGAAGCTATATTTAGAAGGAAAGCAGAGTATAAAAGTTTGGAAAATTTACAGCCTAGCCATGTGGCAGAGAAAGAAAAAGCTTTTCCAGGAGAGAAATTCAAGCAGGCTGTGGAGCAACGACTTGCTAAATATATTAGTATAACTAAAGGGGAGCCAAGTACTAATATCCAGGACAATGGGTAAAAGGTCTTGAAGCCATTTCAGAGAACTTTGAGGCAGCCCCTCCCATCTTAAGCCCAAAGGTGAAAGAGAGAAGAATGGTTTCATGGTCAGGCCCAGGGCCCTGCTGCCCTGCACATAATGCTCCCCACATTCCAGCCACTCCAGCTCCAGCCTTGGTTCAAAGGGGCCCAAGTACAGTGCAGGCTGCCACTCCAGAGGGAGCAAGCTACTGTAAGCCTTCTTGGCTTCCACGTAGTGTTGAGCCTGCAGGAGTGAGCCTGCAGAGCAAGTGAGGCTTAGCAACCTCCACCTAGATTTCAAAGGATGTATGAAAAAGCCTGGGTGCCCAGCTGAAAGCCTGCTGCAGGGGTGGAGCCCCATAGAGAACCTCTACTAGTGAAGTGCCAAAGGGAAATGTGGTGTTGGAGCCCCCACACAGAGTTCCCAATGGGTCATTGCCTAGTGGAGCTGTGAGAAGGGGACTACCATCCTCCAGACCCCAGAATTGTAGATACACCATCAGCTTGCACCCTGTGCCTGGAAAAGGCACAGGCGCTCAACAATGTGAGAGCAGCCTGGTGGGCCTGTACCCTGCAGAGTCATGGGGTCAGAGCTGCCCAAGGCCTTAGGAGCCCACCCTTGCAGCAGTGTGCCCTGGATGTGGGACAAGGAGTCAAAAGAGACTATTTTGAAACTAGGAGATTTAATGACTGCCCTGCTGAACTATGAACTTGCATGGGGTCTGTAGCCCCTTTCTTTTGGCCAATTTCTCCCTGTTGAAATGAAAGTGTTTACCCAATGCCTAAAGCCCCATTATGTCTTGGAAGCAACTAACTTGTTTATTATGTTACAGGGTCATAGGTGGAAGAGATGTGCCTTATCTCAGATGAGACTTTGGACATTTGAGTTAATGCTGAAATGAACTTTGGGGGACTGTTAGAAAGGCATGATTGTATTTTGCAATGTGAAAAAGACATGAGATTTGGGAGGGGCCAGAGGTGGAATAATATAGTTTAAATATTTGTCCTCACCCCAATCTCATGTTAAATTGTAATCTCCAATGCTGGAAGTGAGGTCTGGTGTGGGGTGTTTCGATCATGACGGTGAATCCCTAATGGCTTGGTTCTGCCTTCTCAATAGTGAGTGAGTTCTCTTGAGATCTGGTCATTATAATAGAGTGTGTGACATACCAACCCCCCAATGGTCAATCTCTCTCTTTCTGGCTTCTGTTCTTACCATGTGACGTGCCTACTCCCCTGCCATGATTGGAAGCTTCCTGAGGCTTCCTCAGAAGCAGATGCCACTATGCTTCTTATACAGCCTGCAGAATAATAAGCCAATTAAATCTCTTTCCTAATAAATTACCTAGTCTCACGTATTTCTTTATAGCAGAGCAAGAATGGCTTAATACAGTAGCATATATGGTAACTGAATTTTCTGAAACATTTAGTGGTTTTTTATTAGACAGCTCTACCAGAGCCATCTAATAAAACTTTCTAGAATAATGGAAAGAGCCTTTATTTGTGATGTCCAATAAGAGAGCTACTAGTCACATGCGGCTACTAAGTACTTGAAATATAGTTAGTATGAGTAATGAACTAAATTTTAAATTTTAATGAATTCTAATTTAAACAGCTACTTGGGTAGAGGCTACCATGTAGGATAATACAGCTTAGGCTTAATTGCAGTATTTTGGGCATATTAGGCTGCTGTGTGATCATAATATCTACTAGGTATCACTGTAAATTTTTCAGAAGTCTTATCAAAAGAACCTACAGTCATACCATGTAGTTAGTCTGTATTCTGAGACCATGTATACATCAGCTATTTCCTAGATTTAATCTTCAGCCCCAGAATTTATCAGAATTGAAGTTTCTTTTATTATCTGGAAGAGTTGGAGATAAGAACCTCTTTTACTTTCCAACCCAACAGGTTATAGACTTTGCATTCTCACCAAATTTTGCTACAATCTGATTCGTATTTTTCTAAGCTTATCTCTTTCTTAAAGTAGTATATCAAACACAAGTAAAAGAAACAAGAGTGCACTTCAACATTTTGCTTAGGGTTTACTCAGCCAAGTACAAAAATCTATTAAATACATTTACTATCTTCCCAGTTATTGTAACAGACAATATTACTAATTTCATCACTATTTTACGTGGATTGCCATTTACCCAGCCTCTTCTCATTGTTCCTTCATCACTGACCTAGTGATGAGGGAACATCACTGGCTAGTTCTTTTTTTTTTTTTTTTTTTTTTGAGACAGAGTCTGTCTTGTCACCCTGGCCGGAGTGCAGTGGCACGATCTTGGCTCACTGCAACCTCTGCCTCCCAGGTTCGAGTGATTCTCCTGCCTTAGCTTCCTGAGTAACTGGGATTACAGGTACCTGCCACCATGCCCGGCTAATTTTTGTATTTTTAGTAGAGATGGGGATTTGCCATGTTGGCCAGGCTTGTCTCGAACTCCTGACCTCAGGTGATCCTCCTGCCTTGGCCTCCCAAAGGGCTGGGATTATAGGCTTGAGCCACCTTGCCCGGTCCACTGGTTAGTTCTAACACTAGCTAGTTCTCAAACTCATGCCACAAATTGTAAGTATTTAATACAGCAGCACTTCACTTTCAGGTGCCAAATTTTGTATCAGTCAGCTACTTTATTTTCAGGAAATGTAGCTTTGCAGCACTTGATTAGGCCAGATCCAGTGGGGATGGTTCCAACCTGCACTATACATCTTTCATCTTTCTCCTGGGACCAGTAGACTATCCCAGAAATGTCATTCTCATGAAAAAAGCAGGGGCATGAGAAGGTAAGCTCAGTCACACAGAAATTTTTAAGATTTTTTTAATGCCATGCCTGCTAATATCACATCAACAAAAGTAATCCACATGGTCAAACTCAAAGTCAAAAAGCAGGGAAATAGTGGTAGGAACTGCAAAGTCATATGGTACAGAGTATAGCTATACGATGAGTGAAGAATTAGGACCATTAGTGAAATCTAGCATAGTTTCTTTGCTGAGAGAATTCAGTTGACCAGTAATTAACGGAGCCAGATCACAAAAGGTAAAGAGTTAATGGCAGAAAATAGAAAGTAAGACATCTAAATGACGTACTTCATAGGATCATGGGTTACTAGGGTTACAAGGAACCATGCAGGCTATTCAGTAAAACTGTCATCTTGAAGCTTGATTTTTTTCCCTAAAAACCTCTCAGCGAGTACTCTTCATGTGACTTCTTGGGTGTCTTTACTGACAAAAAGCTAACCACATATACTTATTATACTATATTCTGAGAAATCTATGTTCTTCATGTATTTCTTGAAACTCTTTCTGAAACAAGTCAAGGGGTAATGAAATAATTCTACTGTCATGTGTCTGTGACTACTTAGTATCAGTTTTGTTCTTTATGACAATGCAGAATAAGACCATTCCTTCATTTGTGAAATAGCATTCTGAATGACTGAAGTCAACCATGATGCCCATTGCCAAAATAGCCCACCTTCAACCTATATTTACCTAGTTCCATTGGCTGTTTCCGATAAAATGGGGTCTGCTTATCTATCTGATTTGGGCTTTGGAGCACTAACAAACTTTGTATTATAGCAGAGGTAATTATCTAGTTCTATAAAAAGTTACACTACTTATTAGAATTTACAAGTACAATATTTTAATCATTGTTGCATTAGCAAGATGATCAGTTCTTGAGGAACTCGATGAAGGTAGGTTAATCTGGTTTTGATGCTGAATTGTGAGTATTACATAAATAGATAATTGTAGAAAGGAATATTCTCTGACTCTTCTTTGAAAGGAAATGCTCCTACAACATATGCAATTATTTTATATTCAATTGTGAATTCAATAAAAATGATAAAATATACTCATACAATTGATAGGGGATATTAACTTGGTAGAGTTGCCTGTAACTCAGAATAACAAAGTAGTTAAAATTAACACTTGATTAATTTTTAAAATAGTCTATCAGAAAAAGGACAAAGTTTACTGGGGATAATTGTTAGCTTTTGCACTAAAGAGCTTTGAAAAAAAGTCAGAAAGTCTGGTTAGACTTATGTACAGCATAAAAGATGGAAATATCAAGGTGGCTTGCAAGCTGGGAGGGAACTAGTACTGTTCGGTTGCTTCTTAATAATTATTAATTAGTTACAATGGATAATTAATGATAAAGAGTAATAATATTGATGAAATAAATACAAGAGAGGAACTACAAATAATAGGGTGGACTCATAGACTAGCAGAGATTAGAGATGAAGTTAGCAGGTAATACCATTACAATGGAGTTCATATTTAATGTTGATGCTTGCTTTAATTTATATTATGGCTGCCTATTAAACAGGATGAGGAGGTTTTTAGAAGTGGACCCTACTGTACACTTTTTCATGAATTTTCTAAACATATCCATTTATATTCAGATAAGATAGATACATAGAAGAGAAAGAGATGAGAACCAGATCCATATTTTTAATGTTATTAAAATATAACAAAAATCACTCAAGACTGCTTACCCAAAGCAGGGCTCTCTTCAGATTCCCATTAGTGTCTGCATGGGATTCAGCCAATGGAATATTTAATATTAATTTTATTTCTTAAGAGGGCTATGGATTTTTTAAATAAGAAAATAGTACAAGTGTGAAATGCTGGCTACATTTGATACTTTTCCTGAAAGAAGGTATTTAGTGCCAGTAAATGGCTGACATGAGCTGCTATCACTTCTGAGAAACAAGAGAGATGCCCTAGCCCAATTTCCTCATACTCTGGATGTTGCTTCATCTTACGTAAAATCCAACTGAGTCCTTATTATTAACACTCATCACGTTTTGGTTTCGTTTATTTATGCTAATTTATTCAAAGGCCTCTCGTTCATCATCTTTTCAAAATGGATTATTTCCTATGGACTGATAGGGGTGGAAAAGCAAAAGCAGAAAAAGCCAGTTATTACACACATCTCAGGCCAGACAAAGTGGTGGAGAGGGATAGTAATAGCCCAGAAAAGCACAGCACAGTGAATCCTTGTCATGAACATATTTCACATTTCATGGGGTTACAATTCTCAAGCAACCCCAACGATCCCTGGCAGTTAATCTGGGGTAATTTTGCCAGGAATGTAAATTTGAATCATGGACTTTGAGAAGCCCATGAAAAAAAAAGTCATTATTTACGACTGGAGCCACCAAGCCACTACCCAACAGATACTTCAGAGCATATGTATAATGAAGCAAAGTAATGCATATTCGTGTATTTATAAATATGGATACTTAAATATATTAGGATTTATCACTACATTTATCTAATATTTATTAAGTGCCTATAATGGTCATCAGTGTGTTATTGAGTCTCTCCAGTCCTTAGATTTCCTTTCTATAAAATAAGATTAAAATGACCCACTTTTTTCTTTGTCTTTTTGAGGATTAGGGAATATTTTTAAGGCCTGGTAAATTGTCTGACACTTAGTAGATGTTCAATTAGTAAATCTTGACAATACTAACAGTAGTATTAGAATTGTATTTCCTAGTGAGAAATCAGAGAATATATACATGTACGTGTGTGTGTGTGTGTTTACTAAGATTGCAGTTTTTGAATTAGGGTTCAGAAATAGTAGAATGACCCTTGAATCTCACAGTGATCAACAGCATTCTCTGAGCCAATGTAACTTGATTGAAATCTTTTATTTGCCATTTCCTAGATTAGTGATTTGAGCAAATTATGGTTTTCTGGGCCTCAGTTTTCTCATGATTAAATAGATAATAATGAGCACCTGCCTCAATGAGTTACTATGTGGATAAAATGAATTACTTTTTAGATTTAAATATTTAGAATAATGCTTAACATCTTATAAGTGTTCTGTAGATGTTAACCATTGTTATGAATAATAAATTGCCAAAGCTCACTTCCATTTTGCACGTAATAGTAAACCTATTTTAGCTGCTTTGCTGGGTATCCTGAATAGAAACAAGAATGAAAAAAAAAAAGACTATTGGAAAAACCAGGCAAGAGATGATGCTAGAATGCACTAAGAGTAAAAACAGTGAAAGTGAAGTGGTAAGAAGTGGTCAGAGTCATGGCGTATCTTCAAGGTAGCCACAAAGAAATTGTTGACACTTTGGATACAGGTTTTCAGAGACAGAGCAGCAGTGTGGATCATTCTAAGTAGATGGAATTATTATTAACCATATGGGAAGAACTATGGGAAATTCACTGAAAGTCTGGTTTTGGAAATGTTACAATCAACATGTATTCTGAACTTAGGCAATGGAGAGAATGAACTGACATTGGGATGTATGAGTCTGGAGGTTAAGGGAGAGGTTTGTAGTACAAATATAAACTGTGGAATCATCCTCATGTAGATGTTACTAAAAAGCACGGGACTATATGACACTACCAAGGAAGAAAGTTCAGATACAAAAGAGAAGGGGTTCAAAGATTTAGCCCAAAAATGTCCACATTAAAAAGTAAGGTAGATGAGTAGGAAACATAAGATTGAGGTCAGTGGGATGGGATAAAAAAACAAGAAAGTAAATAGTTTTTAAATATATGAGTTGCTCAGTTTGAGAGAAGCATAAGCAATGAAATTATTCAATGAAGTTTAAGGGGGAAAAAGGAGCTTATTTTGAGGGATATCATGTAATATCGAAAAATGCTGAGCAACAAGGACTCAGGGAAGATGGAGAATTAGACATCCCCAGGGAATGCACTAAAACAGGTGTCCCCAACCCCCCAGATCACAGTGGCTCATGGCCTGTTAGGAACTAGGCCACACAGCAGGAGGTGAGCAGCAGGCAAGTGAGCAAAGCTTCATCTGCATTTACGGCTGCTACCTAATGCTCACATTATTGCCTGAGCTCCATCTCCTGTCAGAGCAGCAGTAGCATTAGATTCTCATAGAAACACAAATCCTATTGTGAACTGTGCATGCAAGGTATCTAGGTTGCATGTTTCTTATGAAAATCTAATGCCTGATGATCTGTCACTATCTCCCACCACTCCCAGATGGGACAATTTAGTTGCAGGAAAACAAGCTCAGGTTTCCCACTGAATCTACATTATGGAAAATTGTATAATTGTTCCATTATATATTACACTGCAATAACAGAAATAAAGTGCACAATAAATGTAATGTGCTTGAATCACTCTGAAACCATCCCTCCCACGTCTCCTCCCCCAGGCCATGGAAAATTTGTCTTCCATGAAACCAGTCCCTGGTGCCAAAAAGGTTGGGACCAAGGCACTAGAAGACTTTAAGAGCTTACCCTCTAAAACTACCAGTTGCACAACTCAACTCCCAACTTTTCTTCACAGCATAAACTTCCAAGACCCTAAAATATGATTGACCCAGCTTTTGGTAGGTGTCTATCACTTCTCCAGTTAAAAATAGCCAGGGGTCAGGGGTTAGATTGCACAAGCATGTATGTGTGTTATCTGAAAAATTATGTCAGTTCCCAGAGAAGAGAAAATTGTAAAGTTGGTAGACCATCCAAAGAGAGTCTGCAATTTAAAAATTAATTGTAAAATCACTTGAAAATACTGTTTTCTTTGACCTCCAGATATGTTAGTTTAGATGTTTAAATTTATCAGCAAATTTGTTATAGTTATTATAATAAACTTTCCCATTGCTGGTCTAAGGATAAAAAATCCAAAATATTTAACATCTTATATCTCAGTATTCTCATCTCTATGGACAATATTGGATTTCAGAAATGGCAACTTTCTTAATCCCTATATCAACTCCTATCAATTTTGTCTAGAGAGAGTTCTGAGATAATATATAAGAGATGCTGGAAAGGAGACATTAGCTTGATCAGTTAATAAAGCCAGCCACACCTGTTAGAGGGATAAGGCCTAGCAGAAAATCATTTAGCCAGGTCCTTGTCTGGCAGAAACTAGATGGTTTATTTATCAAAATGCATTTATTGAGTATTCGCCCATGCCTGCCACAGCATTAAGCAAGGGGAAAGATAAAGATGAATTGGTAAAGTAGAGTTCCTTGTCCTGGTGAAACTCAGATTCCAGCAAGTGTAGTAAGAGTTATAAGAAATTGTCTCCAAAGGTTATTCAAGCTTTAAAACTGTATGCATTCCTGATTTTTCTGAAGGTATAAAATCTAGCTACTTCAGAGAAACTCTTTACACCCTTACTAACAGTCCACTTTCCCCCATTCTCCCATATAAGTTCATTAAGAGAGATCATTGCATAGTGATAGAGAGCCTTATGGATAGTTAGTGGTGCTGTGGGCAGGAATGGCAAGCAAATTTGCAAAACTGATAAAATGAAAACAGCATATTGCCATTGCCTCATGGAATATACTCTTAGCTCTCACTGCACACATCACTGATGCAGAGCATTTGACAAGAACACTAAATCTGCTGCCTTTGCACACAGGATGTATCCGCCACAAAATTCTGATACTCTGAATGGATTTTGCACAATTCATGCTCCTGTACCACTAGCTTCTTATTCAAAGTCTGAGGTGAGCCTGAGTAGGGAGCATAAAGTGCTTAGACATTAGCTGCAAGGAGAATAGTAACTTCAGTTTCCATAGTGTACTTTTATTACTTGGAAGAATTCTAGAACTTCCCTATTTTTTGTTCCCACCCAGTCAATATATACCCTTTTTGGGGTTGTGCCCTTAGTTACACTTTTATCAGTGGTTTTCTTATTTGTACATCAATCTTTTGTGAGATTAGTTAGCATGAGTCAGGATACTCATGTCTGATCATGTCTCATAGTCTCATATATTTTTTTAAAGAAAAATTTATGAGCTTATGAGCAGGTATTGCCCAAACCCTGGTATATAGCAACTTTATCAGGGAAAAATACTACCTTCTGAGACCTCTAAGCAGTCATCTAGCTAGACTTCTAGTAGCAACTCTGCATCACCACATGTTGGAGGGTATGTTTTCTTTTTTAGACTTCAAAAATGATAGCTGTCAATGTGGTCGAATAAAACCAACTAGAGCCACTGACATACTTGTTATCTTGCAAATTGAGAAGGAGGTTAAGGCCGGGTGCGGTTGTTCATGCCTGTGATCCCAGCACTTTGGGAGGCCGAGGTGGGCAGATCACAACGTCAAGAGATCGAGACAATTCTGGCCAACATGGTGAAACGCCGTGTCTACTAAAAATGCAAAAATTAGCTGGGCGTGGTGGTGTGTGCCTGTAGTCTCAGCTAATTGGGAGGCTGAGGCGGGAGAATCACTTGAACCTGGGAGGCAGAGGTTGCAGTGAGCCAAGATTGTGCCACTGCACTCCAGCCTGGTGACAAAGCGAGACTCAGTCAAAAAAAGAAAGGAAAGAAAGAGAGAAAGAGAGAAAGAAAGAAAGAAAGAGAGAAAGAGAGAAAGAAAGAAAGAAAGCGAGAAAGAAAGAAAAGAAAGAAAGAAAGAAAGAAAGAAAGAAAGAAAGAAAGAAAGAAAGAAAGGAAGGAAAGTAAAGGAAGAAAGGAAAGGAAGGAAGAAAGGAAGGAAGGAAGGAAGGAAGGAAGGAAGGAAGGAAGGAAGGAAGGAAGGAAGAGAAAGAAAGAAAGAAAGAGAAAGAAAGAAAGAAAAAGAAAGAAAAGAAGGTTAAAGCTATAAAGGAAACACTTGCTAGTTCTGCCAACAACAACAAAATACTGTTAGGCCATGAGTAACAGTTTCCTTTCTCCTAAATAGCATGATATAGGTTCTCCTACAACAGTCTTTCTTCTACTGGTTCCTCTAAGTACCCCAATATCTCTGTTTCCTCTACTTTCTATTTAATTGACAGGTAACTGCCAGAATAATTTTTCTAAGGCATTGTTTTAAGTATACCAATCTCCCACAATGAAAATTTTCTGTGGTCTCATTTTGCCCAATACCTCTCAAACTGATATATAAAGCCTCCTACAATCTGGCCCCACTATCACCTCAGCATCTTTCCCCACTTCCTATCCCCATTCTTTTTTTTCCTGCATGTCCTCACCATTGTTCTCTTACTTGAAATGTCCTCCCCATCACTTCCAATTAGCTTTTGATCATTACAGCTCCTACAGGAGCACTTCTGTTGAACTTTCCTTATTCCCTCAAATACGTTTACTTTCTTCCCCTTTTAAATCTGAATAGACACATTTTTCTAAATTGCATTATAATTTGCATGGAGAAAATGTATGGATTTTAGGTGTCCAGCTTACAGAGTTTTAATTCAGGCAACCCTAAGTAATGTGTAGAACATTATCACCAGCAGAGAAAATGTCCCCATGCCTCTTTCCAGCAGGGCCCTCCACCTCAGAAGCAGCCACTAATATGACTTCTATCACAAGAGTTTTGCCTATTCTGGAAATTGATGTAAGTGAAATCTTGCAGTGTGTACTCTATTGTGCCTGGTTTCTTTTCTTCAGTATATTTTTGAGATTCTTCTATGTTATTAGTTGTGGTAATAGTTTCTTCTTTTTTTTGCTGAGTAGTATCCCATTGCGTGATTATAGTATTGTGTCTTTATCCTATTTTATTTCAATTTTTTTATTTGTCTACTATCTCAGTCCATCAAGAAATGAAGCATACTGATATTTTTACCTTTCCTATGAATCATTACAATAATTTTGTAAACTGTCTTATTTGCCCTTTGTATTGTATTTTCTGTTAAAAGAAAAAAAATGAGAAGGAAGTCATTTAATTCCCATTATACTCTAAGTGCCAAGCTAAGATACTCTATTTAATCCTCACCACAGCCCTATGAGGTAGATATTATGCTCCTTTACAAATGAGAAAATTAAGGTATAAAGTATCGTGCCTCAGGTTGCACATTATGTGGAGAAAGCAGAATTTTAACCTGGATACTCCCAGCTTTAAAGCTCTTACACTTATTTTTGTGTCATGCTTTGTATCCTGTGCGAAATCCTGCAACTGTGCTTTGTATATAATTGTTTGTTGAACTGAGAGATATATTCAGTAGTTTGTAAACATTGTTAAAAGATGCATAACTTAACAAATAATAAGAGAAACAGGAATCACAGTAAACCAGTGTGATAAAATGTCCTCAACTAACCATTGTTACCCAGTCCTATGGCAGGCAACAAAGTGATGACTGACAGCTTTCCCAGAAAAACAGTTGATGCCTGTTCTTCTTCCCATGATATCTTTGGATGCATTATTATAGCTGTTTTACAGATTCCATCTACTAGGCATTCCATAATTTCAAATTCTTCTTTAGCACCATCTTTTTCAGACATTCCTCTCTAATGTGGTAGAAATAACATAGATTTAGGATGCTGACTTACCTAAATACAAATTTCACTTGCACCTACTTACCATCT
Organism: Homo sapiens; assembly: GCF_000001405.40. NCBI lineage: Eukaryota > Metazoa > Chordata > Mammalia > Primates > Hominidae > Homo > Homo sapiens. The sequence continues at coordinate 28,846,711 of NC_000011.10, read as the reverse complement.
TTGCAAGACTGGATAAACCATTTAACTCTCTAAGCCTAAATTTCTTTATTTTTAAATTGAATGTAAAAACATTTACATCTCAGTATTGTTGGAAGAATATACACAAGTTTGTATGACATTCTTAGCCCAGTGCATGGCATGTGGTCAATAAGTATTTTCCAAAATTAATATTGTTATCCCAAAAAAACTAAGTCTATTATGCTGATCACCATGGTCTATTAAGTATCACCTAGATTCTCTGTTAACAAAGAAAAGCTGACCCACAATGAACATACAGGAAATAATTTAAATTTAACACCTGAAGGCACACCAGCTACAGTCCTGTAGGAAAGGAGAGCTAAGGACATTGTTAGAAGGAATGACACTACATGGGGGAATATTGGAGTGGTTAAGCATGGATTGTAGAGTCATCATCTATATTAGAATCCCGGCTCTAACATCACCAATTGTATGATAAAGGCCAAGACACTTAACCTTTCTGTGCTTATGATCCTCATTTGCAAAGTAGGGTGGATAATAATGGAATCTACTTATGGGATTGAGAATTAAATGAATTCATGCATGTAACATATACAGCATACTGTCTGGCACACTGTGAATTTTTAATAATTTAATTTTTGTAATGATAAAAAGTAGTATTGTTGTCAGTACAGTTGGGGTTATGAGGGTCTGCTTTAGCCAACTGTCAGTTAAAATGATAACTGAGTTCACATCTGTTTGGTTTTCCCCAGAGGACCTGCTTTTGTGTATCTTCCCCAAGTGCTAATCTTTTCTGACAGAAAAGTACATGGTAAATGAAGTACCTATCCCGTTATTGGGGAAAATGGCTGTTTTCCACAAGTAGACAAGCTGACGTCCCACTTTGAAAACCACAGTGGTGGGAGGTTATCACAGTTGAAGAAGCAAAAAAATAGTGAGCTGCCCCAGTATGAAGGGTTAAATACAAGAGTATTACCACAACTAGGCACTAAATAATCACACATGAAGTCTCAACAGTGTTCACAGCAAGCAAAAAAGAACCTCCAAGGAACTCACAAAAAAAAAAATAACCCTGCACATTAGAAACCCTGCACATTAGAAACCCTGCACATTAGAAATAGAAGCCATGGAAAAGAGAATACTGCTATCTGGGGCCTCTGATTCCTGGAAAATCAGTGTTGAAGCACTGTACCTGAAGCCTTGAGCAGCTAGGACCTGAATTCCACCTTTCTGATAACATGTAATTGACTGTGAGAAAAGGCCAGATGTAATGGTCAATGAAACTTGTAAGTAGATCATATATGTGGTAAAGTTTTTCCACACTGGATTTCTTTGAACCTAAATTCAAATGATGAATGTTATGTAAATGCTGTTTAGAAACAAATATTATTGAATTGGCCAGGTAAATATTAGATAAACCTATGGAAAAGTTATCACTCAGAAATAAGCTGTTTCAGAATAGATTATGCCATTTTAGGATCCACTGCAAAAATTTTAGGCACAAGAACTTTGAAAGGAATGTACCTAAACAATAGTTTTCTAAGCAAATGACCAACATATATGAGTTCCTTTTTTACCAGGTGAATATGCAGAGTTCTCAAAATATAAACATTTTTTCAGTTGAAAGCTAGTAGAAAGAGGGCATCACCCCTCATTAACTAGCTATTTTCCCATCCAGAAGAGATGTCTTCTTGACATTGTAATGCTCTGTGGATGCACAAAATAAAAGCCATTACCTCCAGCCACTGGAGTTAGTGCCCAGCTCTGGGTCTCTGGGAAACAGCAAAATTGGTGGTGTGCTGCCTACAGAAAGGTCCTTGTAGGAAAAGCCCCTGAACTGGAGTGCAAATAAAGTATGAAGATTATACCCTGGCAGGGGGAGGTATCAGGGGAAAAGACAGAAAGAAAATAGAGGAGGGAATGAGGGAAAGAGGGAAGGAGGGAATGAGGGAAGGAGAGAAGGAGAGAAGGAGGGAGGGAGGGAAGGAAGGAAGGGAGGGAGGGAGGGAGGGAGGAAGGAAGAAGAGGGAGGGAGGAAGGAAGAAGAGGGAGGGAGGGAAGGAAGTAAGGAAGGAGGGAGGGAGGCAGGGAAGAAGAAAGGGAGGAAGGGAAGAAGGAAGGGAGGGAGGGAGGAAGGAAGGAGAGGGAGGGAGGAAGGAAGAAGAGGGAGGGAGAAAAAAAGAAAGAGGGAAAGGAAGAAAGAGAAAGAAAGAGAGAAGGGGAAAAAAGAGAGAGAGAAAGCAAGGAAGGAAGGAAAGAAGGAAAAAAGAGAAAAGTGGGAGGGACGGAAGGAAGGAAAGCAGCATTGATATAAAGACAAAGAGAGGTGAATTTAGATGGAGTGAGAATCAGGCCTAAGGCATGGAAGCACTAGAGTTTATTAATTTAAAAACTAACTTTTTATCCTTTACCATGTGCCAGAGATAAGCTGATACACAAGACAGACAAGGACCCTGTTATCATGAAACTTGCATTCTAGTGAGTAAAAATAGACAATGAATGAGAAAATAAATGTCTTAGTTTGTTTTCTATTGCTCTATCAGAATACTTGAGACTGAGGAATTTATCAAGAAGAGAGGTTTATTTAGTTCACAGTTCCGGACTTTGGGTAACTCGAGATCTGTCAGCCACATCTGGCAAGGGCCTCATGCTGCACCATGACCTGGCAGATGGCATCACATGGCAGAAGCGTGTGGGGAGCAGCAAGTGTCTACATATGTAAGAGACAGGGGGCACAGGAGTCTGAGGCAGGAGAATGGCGTGAGCCTGGGGGGCGTAGTTTGCGGTGAGCCAAGATCATGCCACTGCACTCCAGCTTGGGTGACAAAGTGAGACCTTGTCTCAAAAAAAAAAAAAAAAAAAGAGACTGGGGGCAAAGGAGGCTGACCTGCTTTAGAACAACCTGCTCTCTTTCGTGCTTACCCATTCTCCAGAGACAGACATTAATCCATCTTAATGACTTAATCATCACTTAAAGAAACATGAGTTGAGGTGGAGACAAACAAATCATATTCAAACCATAGCAACAAATGAATAGAATAATCACAGACAATGATAAACACTAGAATTAAAATAAAAGGATAATGTGATTGACAATGACAATGGGGAAGGGGAGCATCAGAATAGGTGGCCAGGGAAAGAAAACCTCATTAAAAAGATAATGCTGAAGTTAAGAACTAAATGATGAACAACTGTCAGTTATATGAGGTTCTGAAGAGTGGATGCTCCCGGCAGAGAGAAAAGCAAGTACAAGGGCCATACGAATGAAATTTTTTATTCAAGAAAAATGAAAATATCACATATGCCTAAGGAATGCAGGGAAGAAGCTTTGAAAGGAAAGTGAGATGTTCAAATGTTATTTTTATTGGTATGGAATATCACTGGAGCATTTTAAGCAGGGAAGTGACATAATTTAATTTGCATTAAAAGTCTTTATGACTGCTTAGGTGGTCATGGATTTTAATTAGGCAAGGGAAAAAAAAAAAAAGAGGACCAGTTGGGAGGCTCTTCCAGGATTCTAGACAAGTAAGATAGTGTCTTGAATAGACATGGTAGAGATACAGAGAAGTAGACTGTTTGGGGCTATATTTTGAAAACACAGAAGTTTTTGACAGATTATATGTAGGTATGATGTAAAGGAAATGATACATATGATTTGTTTTGCTTGGGGCTTGAGTAACTAAGTATTGCCACTCACTAAAATAGAGAACACTGGAGGAGAAACAAGCTTAAGTGGAGAGGAAAATGAAGAGTTTGTTTTGCCCATCCAGTGGAGATAACAAGTAAGTGTTGGAATATGCATGTTTGTAAGTAAATAAGGAGACCAGGGCAGGAAACTTAAATTGGGAGGTCAGCGGCCTACAGAATGCTAGTTAAAGCCACAAGGGCAGATGAGATCACCTGGGAAAATTGTGTCATCAGGGAAAAGTAGAAGAAAGAACCCAACAGGAACCTAAAGAAGCAGTAGTTAGAGGTTGAATAGAACAAGAGGAGTTCACAAAGGAATCAGAGAAGGTGCCATCTGTGAGCTGGAAGAAAATCCAGTAGTTGTGGCATCATATAAACAAGAGAAAACGTGTTTGAATTAAAATGCCATAGTCACTACATCAAAATATGCTGAGAGAACATGTAAAATGGCAGAAAAAATGGCAACTGGATTTAGCCATGTGGACTGACCTTTTCAAAGACTCAGAAAAAGACTGGAGAATGAAGCCCATTCATAGTTCATTGAGGAGAGAACAGAACATGAGGGAGTGAAGTATGAGTTATCTATAATTTTTGATGTAAAGGAGAACAGAGAAATGGTCTAGGATCTAGAAGACTTGCTTAAAAAGGTTTTTTGAGTTTATTGGCATGCTATTTGGGATGGGAGATATGAACACTACTAATTCTAACTATTTATTTTGTGGTTACTATGTGCAAATGGCTATTATAAATACAGCCCCTGATTTTTATTTACAAATCCTCACAAAATCCCTATGAGATAAGGACTACTAAGATTTCCTTTTATAGATGAGAAGGGAGAGGTATAGAATGGCAAGGTAATGTGCTTTACCTGGTGGCTGCTGGAGCCAGTGTTTAAACCAAGGCAGGCTGACTGTCAAGTTTATACTTTTAAGCCCTGTTATGAGTTGCCCTTCACTATGCTGGTCTGCCTCTACTACGTGTATTGTTATGCTGATGTAAATGAGCCAGGAGATAGAGAAAAACTGGTGTTACCAGAAAAGAGAGGAGCACTGCAGAAATGATGTCCTTGAGAAGATTTAATGAGATTGGCACAAAATGACTTAGATTATAAGGACACTTCTCCAACTGAAGGGAAAGGAGAGAGCATGGGTCTGGATGAGGAGAGTTTTATAGATTTGATGGGGAAAAGGGAGGAAGGCATTGCCAGATGTATTTTTCCTTCTCACCAAACGGTAAAGTTGAGGTCTTCTAGATCTTTCCAACCAAATTATGAAGCAAAGTAACAAGAGCATTGATGTTTTAAAACTAAGAGAGAAATAGAAATGGAAAACGTAGAGAGTTCCACAGAGTACATGCCCAGGAGCACAGTAGGATCCGTTGACAGGGTCAAGTGCCCTTTTGAGATAGGTGATCATGAATTTAGAGTGAGTCAGCATGGTTGTGTGTTTTTCTCCAGACTCATTTACCAGCTTGGGGACAGGTAAAAAGTATGCAAATTGTTGGGTTTAATCAGGCATATAAGATGGAAGGACAGTGGAGCAAGTAAACTGGGAGTGCTGTCACAAGTTGAGTTCTCTAGGAGAAAATGCTAGGATGAAGTTTGGGGTGCAAGTTGTTTATTGGGTATCAGCACCTGTGAATGGAAGAGGGACAGTGCGGGATTCAGCAGAGAAAGGAGTTAATCTGAAATACAGACAGAACAAAAAAAATGGGGCAACCTGGTGGAGAGCTCTGGAGTAAATACTGTCCCATCAGGGTTTTCTCACATGACCACATCAGGTAGAAATGGCTGAATATTATGATACCTCTACCTCGCTTAGTCAAGGGATGCAAGCTGCCCTGTAAGGGATGAAACTCCAGACGAGGTGATTCTCCAGCTGGGGCCAACTTTGTAGGATTTGAGAGTTGGAGACTGCCTGATGATGGCACTCCCTATACTTGGCAGCAAATCCTTCTGCCAAGTCGTTGGCAGAAGGGGAATCTGGACAGCCCATCTTTGTCTATTACAGAGAGGAAGGGTGAGAGAGTATGTTATAATAGACCAAAGAATTTAAGGCTAATAAGGACAACTGTGAGAGAATGATTTTTTTCTTGTATTATATAGTTTGATATCCACTCCTGGTGTAAAAAGTGTCATGTGAAAATACCAAATAGTGATGGACAATCGTAACTCATGCAGATTATGCTCATCCCTAATGGCAATTTGGAAATAATCTAAAAGTGTGTAAAATCCCAAAGCAGTCTTAGACCCTCAGATTGACGTTTGCATTTGAACACCCTCCTTCATATTTATCCAAACACCCATAGCAATGTGGTGACTGGTCAATTGTCCCTTATGAGAAGATCTAGACTCTATCACAAGAGATGAGAGCTATTTGACTTTAAGGAAAGTTTCCGTCACCTGGCGTGACTTAAATGTGATCCAGCAATAAATTAAAGAGACAAATTAGATGACCTCCTAAACTGTCTTCCTTCCTGGTAATGTCTATAATTGTATTTTAATTTTGTTTAACGTATACAAGTTTAAGAAACTAGGAGCAAAGCATTATGTATGAAGATTATTTCATTGTGATGTTACACTCACATTTAGAGGGCAAATGAGTCAGGAAATAATACCAAGAAAGCCTTTTACTTTCCTTTATTTTACTTTTTCATTATGATGGACAATAGAATATGCACCACATCACATCCTCTTCCTCACAAGAATATCAGTCCCCTTGAAGGTAATTACAGAGTCTCCTGGTTATAGACCCCACCACCTAATGTAATTGCTGCCAACTCTACCACCTACCATCCCTTTCATTGGAAATGGTCGTGTAATACCTTGCGGCTCTGTCATCTGCTGATACAAGGTAAGATATGTTGTATGGCCCTCTTTATTTTCTGTAAATCATGTGACTAAAAGCAATGGCTTTGGTTGCTTAACAAAAGATTGTTTCATCTTAAGCTGTGATAATTTTGCACTCAGGAAAAAAAGAATTATTGTAATGACAAATTTAACAGCCTGGGCTATTAGCGGCTAAGTTTAGATAGACTTTACGCTAGTTACTATGTTTAGACTTGAAAATGAAAATATTATTTCAAGATGGAGTGGAAATGCTCACCATGCTTCTTATATGGGAAAGAAATAGTTGTTTAAATGAGTTTGAATTGGTTATGAATATAATGCAATTATTCTTTTGAAAACATTGGCTAAAGGAGTTTTTTTTTCTAAAGATAGGAACCAAATAGGCTGAAACTACTTCGGTGAGGTTCCTCCTCCCCAATTCAGACTCCAGCGACCCCCAAAATACACACATCCAGATGGAAAAATTTAATATTCTTAGTCAATCAATCACTGACAAGTATTTGCCACTGAGCACCTGCTTGCTGCTCAGGGAAAGGAAGCATGACGAATTAGGAGTTGAGACTACTGCTACTGCTATATTTGTGACCTTGGAGAAGCCACTTTCTCTCTCAACCTGCTTTCTTACTTGCAAACTAAAGCCACTTTCAGATGTAAAATTCTATAATAATATCCCCATGGAAATAAAACAGCCATCTCTGATATTTCTGCATGTGATTCTAAAGGCAATGCCGGTTTTGCAGAATGAGCAAAGGATCTACTCAGCAAAGAAGGGATTGAGTCAGGTAAGCACAAAACCAACAACCTGAGATGCTTACTTTGTGTCAGACATGATTCAAGACACTTTACAAGCCTTATATCTCCTTTTATCCTCTCCAAAATACACCCATGAGAGTGTAATCACTATGAGATGGACCCAAGGGTCAGATTGTTACAACACAAAACATGTAACCCACCAAGGCATTTGAACCCTGGGCAAGGTCATATTGATTCTATGATTTCAAGCTTTCCTACACATGCAAAACTTTCCCCTACTTATAGAGTAAATTAAGTGGTGATAACTTCATATGAGAAATTCATTTCTATTTGTTTTATTCTTTCCAGATATCTCCTTTTGAAATAAAACATTTCATAATTTGAAGTACAACATATTACTTAAGAGTCAGCTTGAGTTGGAATTCCAACTTTGTGATAATTTGAGAGAAAAGAGGTAGAAAAAACACTCATAGAGATGGAATTCCAATGACGACATTCTCATTTACTTTATAATTTTGCTGCTGATTGGCCCTGATTAAAAACAGGAAGGAAGAGTTCAATTTCATCACTGGTATTTATTTTTGCTGATGCCCTTTTAAACTTGAGCACCCATTCATTCTCACCCCAAGTGGTTTTCAAGCTGAAACTGCCAATTATCCAAAATGTCTTCCTAGTATCTAATGTCCATACCACTTGGGGCTCCCTTATCCCATAAAACTAATTTAATGTATGAGCTTAATTACATAGAGGTAGATCAAGGGCCTTAGAGGCAAAAGGCTAACGAGGGCATTAAATCCTGAACCACTTAACAGCTGCCCCATCACTTGGCAGAACTGTATTTTAAAATAGTGTTTGAAATATATTTAAACTGAAATAAATAAAACATGTTTTCCTGTAAATGATGCCAAGTCCTGCCAATTAAATTCATATCTATTTAAAAAAAAAAAGATCTTTAGCTCTCAACAAATGCTGGCTGCTTCTTTCCACTAAAAGCAATTCTGAGCATTCATGCTCTCACTTCTTCCCTGTATCATTATGCTGTGTTCCTCTTGTTAATATTTAAAGCTTCTGAAACTGTTTTTCCCATATGCTTTTGGACTAGAATGAAAAACTTAAGTTTTCCATTTTTATGAAGCCTTGTAAGAAATAATCTCATTAAGAGATTACTATTCTCTTAAGAAAAGATAATGCTAATATAAACAACATAAATTCTTACTAAATATGAAGAAAAGAAAAAGGTAAGATTTTATAGAATACATTTCATCTTTATCATACTGTACTGTTGACCATTAAACTTGATTAATAACAATGATACAGCAATAATCATAATTTTTCAATGTGAAATTTCAGGTACATTCCCAAACACTTTACATATACTTTTGTTAAATTATATACTCACTACTACTATACAATTATTTTTCTTTTTTTTTTTTGAAACAGAGTCTCGCTTTGTCACCAGGCTGGAGTGCAGTGACACAATCTTGGATCACTGCAACCTCCGCCTCATGGGTTCAAGCAATTTTCCTGCCTCAGCCTTCCGAGTGGCTGGGATTACAGGCGCCCACCACCATGCCCGGCTAATTTTTGTATTGTTAGCAGAGATGGGGTTTCACCATGTTGGCCAGCATGGTCTGATCTCTTGACCTCGTGATCTACCCGCCTTGGCTTCCCAAAGTGCTCAGATTACAGGCATGAGCCACCGTGCCTGGCCTACCACTATTTTTCAAATAAAGAGACTTAGTATCAGCGATTGAAGAAACTTGCCTAAGATTTCAGAGTTGTAAGCACCTAACCTAGAATTTGTGCCCATATCTGTCTAACATGAAGTGAAATCACTATGTTATTCTGCCTTTAAATTTTATAGTTGGTGTTGTTAACCAGATATGATAATGGAAACCACAAAACATGTACATTAATCTAGATGTTACAGACTCAATGAAAGAGTGACTATTATTTGGATCATAAATCCCAATTTATGGGATGAAATGATGAAGTCATATGATCAGAGGAACTATCTTCTCTGAATTGAGGGGCTGATACATCAATACAGGATATTTTAAGGACACTGAGGTTTTGAGCACTGAAGAAGATGCACTTTCTGTGTCCTGATAGAGTGGGGATCCCAGCTGAAATGTAACGGGTTGGGGTACAAAAAGGGCTGGACATCTTTGGTAAATTGCTGGAAGAGTCCTATCTAAAGTTAATTTTAATAAAGTGCATCTTACAGAGCCATGAACAAAAAGGTGGACCCAGTTTGAAAGCCAGAATCAGAGGAGAAGAACAAATCTGACTGCAATAAGCTGTTTCTTAGATTGATCTCCAAGTACAGCCACTTCCTCAGACTAGATTCTAAGATTCTAAATCAGTGTTAATGAGAATATGAGTGAAGGGGATGGGAGGGGACTCTATATAAAACACCAAAGTTTTCTCTCTCTTCAGATAAATCTTACCTGTCTTTAATCAACTCTACAGCAGTTCACTACTTTGATAAGGACACTTACTCCTCTCACCACCCAGCTTATAATACTTTACTCTTGAGTAAGACATCAGACCTTAACGAGGCTATTCTAGCTCTTATAGGCATCAGGTTGCAGCATTCTCTCCCTTATTCTCTGTAATTTACCTACTCTGGATTTTTTCAGATCCTGAGAAGTTTCACACTCCAACTGGCACAGAATCTTTGGGTGATTTCTTTTGCTGTGATAATGGACCCCTTGTTCCCACTCTGTGCATCCCTACATTACTTAGCTAGTGCTTACTAATCCTTCAAATCTCATAGCAGTCTCTTCCTTTAGAATTCTTCCTGTGATTGTGGTCTTGTGTGCGTCATTATTGGACTTATTTGAGTAAAGTCTGGCTCTTCTACTTAACGTGGGTGCTTTTGCTAACTATTTTATATCCAGCACCAAGCACTATGCCTGGACTGAGTACACATTCTTTAAATGTTTGCTCCATGAATAAATGGACTTTGGTACCAACGGAATGCTGCTTTAGAACCCTCTAACAGGATATAACACAAGAGAATGAAAGCCAATCCCTCCTTCTTTCACAAAAGAAAATTACACAGCCCAGTGATCACTTCCTGTGTCCCATCACAGCATGAGACTGGCAAGAGCTGGCAATGCCCTGCAGCATCAGACTGCAGAACTCTGTAGAAGCTATGGAGGTTCCTGGCAGTGTCTGAAAAATGTAGTGACATTTTTACATTTAGTGGGAGTGGGAGTCTAGGCAGGAGACAAGTGGAAAATTAGTATCACCAGGTAACTAGTCAAATTGATGATGGAGATATTTTCTTGATCATGTTTGAGACATCTTCTAAGAACTCTCAAAACATAACTCTTGAAGGTTTTTAAAAATCTGAATGTCCTGATTTGGTAGATTCAGGCTCAAGTATTTAAAATTTCAAGACGAGTGTGTTAATTTCCCACTAATCCAGACCAAGGTCAAGGCCCTGTTAGAGGAAGAAAGTCAGTGATCGCTGACTCATGGCCAGCAATTAGAATGTAGGTGCTGGCTCTTTGCTCATAAACCACATGATTTAGGACAATTAGAGGATAATGTTGCTTCGGGATTTCTACATTTAGCATTTGGGCCTATCTCTTGTTTTATTATTTCTTTATTATTCTATAGTTGTAGATGTGCTTTCAGAATTTACTGAGCCTCAGTATTTAGAATAATGTATTGCTGTTAATGTGTTTTTTTAGCCACAATCTTAAACATTTCCATCTTTCTATTACTTGGAAACCATATTAGTTAATACATCAATTTCATAACATTGCAAAAAGATTTAAGACATTACACATATTACCCTAATTTGCTTCTTAGGATAATATGTCAAGATTTCTCCCCATATATATATATTTTTCAAACAACCATTCCAGATGTCTTTGGCTGTAGTTTGCTCCCAAGAGGGAAGAGTGTGGTGATGGACCACCCAGATTCTTTTTGCTAAGCTAATGCAATGGGAAATTAAGTCTTTGCACTGCCATCAGTCCCCAAGCCTTCCATTCCTTTTTCTTGTCCCTTAAATTATTAGCAATTCCTGTTGTTCATTTTTTTAAAAGCATTTCTATGGGCCTTTCATCTTGTGCTCATCTCCCCTCATGGTTTTTTTTTATATATACTTTAAATTCTAGGGTACATGTGCACAACGTGCAGGTTTGTTGCATATGTATACATGTGCCATGTGCGTATGCTGCACCTATTAACTCATCATTTACATTAGGTATATCTCCTAATGCTATTCCCCCCCTCCCCCAACGTGGATGAAGCTGGAAACCCTCATGTTCTTAATGCCAGCAACATCTGCTGGTCCTGAAAAGCTTGCTGGCTGATACACTCAGATTGTTAACATAATACTAACAGTCAAATACTTGGTGACTCATGACCTATCAATTGACTTTCAGCTCTTGTTCTTTCAGTTTAAAACTGGCAAATTAAAAAGAAAATACATGCAAATTCTGCAAACAGAGACAGCCTTTTGTCAGCTGGAATCGAATTTCCTTGTAGTCTTTTTTCAATGAATTTCTCAACTTTTCTTCTTCCAGCACACTCCCTTTTACCTCAATTTTTGCTAAGGAGTGTTTCATTTTCTTCTCATTCTTCTCAGTTGCCTAACTCTTACCTATGAAGCCTCTCTCAAGTCTATATTTTCAGTGAAGCTCTCACTCACTAATGCAATAGTTGTAGGCTTCATAGCTACTGGGAATCTCCATCCAGATGTGCCACAAGCAATTCACTTCCTGTGCTCCTAAAAAGAATTATCACATGAAGTGAGAAAATCTAAAAATGGTATTCTTTTACTATCCAGAATATTTTCCATGAAAAACCACTGAGGAAACACAAAATAATTGTGATTTCAGAAATGATATCTCAATAACTTTTCTTTCAAGACACCTTTTTCCTTAGCTAAGCTGTGATGAAATCAAACTTCTGATGATACCAACATAATCAATTACTGTGCTAAAAATTTTCCTAATCACTAAATTTTCCTGGTGATATTATGACCAACTGACATCAAATTCCCTTCCAAGTTGAATCCCTCTTTCCCTATACCTCAACAGCCTCTGTTTCCCCATTGCATATTTCAGTGAGCACCACTAAATATCCACCCAGTCCTCTGAGAATCTTTTTTCCCAATCCTCAATACCTAAAGAATTGATTTTTACATGTAGCATTTTAACATTTATACAGTTTTCCTCCATTCTATTCATTTCTGTCCTAACACTTCCTATCTTCAGGCTTTCATCACCTCACTCCTCAATTTTTGCAAGATACTCAAAAGATTTCTTCCTATATTGGTCCATACCTTGTTCAATACATTCTTCTCAATGATTCTGGAATAGTTTTCCTAAAACAAGAAATGTAATTATGTCATGTCCTTACTTAAAATTCTTTAATAAGCTCTCATGTCACTCTCAGGAAAATAATTCAAACACATTAATGTAACATTTCATATCTGACCCTTGTCTGCTCCCTGACTTCATGCGTCACCAATCCCCTCCATTCAATAAATGCTCCCATTCCTTCTGAGCAACTTTCACTTATCTGAATGCACCATGCTCTCTCATTCCTCTCTGACTTGGCACAGGAAATTCCACTTGTCTGAAACACATGCATTCCTTCTTTGCCTACGTAAATTCTATTCAGACCTCAAAATCTTCTCAGATCTTGCTTCCCCAGAAAGATTTCTCTATTTCCTCACATTTCCATCAGAATGGTTGATGCTTCCTTTCCACTATAGCACCCAGCACCATTTATAATAGTTTGTCATACTCATTGCAATCATCTGGGTCTGTGACTGATTTTCAATTGTAGAACATTATCTATCTTTGTAAATGCTAAGACTTAAGTTATTCTTTAAGTAGAATTTTCACCAATGATACTGATAAAAAGTGTCAGTTCCTTCAAAATATAATTTATAAATTTTCTACTGTCAGTTACTTATTAAGTAGGAATGGCTTCTCTCTATTTCAGCAGCCAAGGCATTTCCTACTTTTCTCAGCCTCTGTGTTCAATGCATACTGTGAGATAAGGCAGGCTTTGGTAGACATAATGGCTTCCTGACTCTACAAAAAAGTATCTTCCACCCCAGAGAAAAATGTGGATTCTAGATCTGTTCTATTGTGTCAATATTAAGTATTCTACATGACTACTCCTCATTGGCCACCTTACACCGATTATTCAGAGAAGCTACTGGTATTGACACATGTGACCTCCCTCAGGAAAAAAATCGTTGTGTTGTGTCTCTTACTATTAGCTGACTCAAGTTTTTAAAAAGTACTATTGAATTTTCAAAAGTCTAAATATTAATGTAAGTGCTTAATGAATAATAACTAAACAAATGAGGAATCTTACTTGATTAGATTTAAACAGTTTTGAAGTAATTATCCTCAATAACCTAATATAACTTAATAGTATAAAGGAAGGCTTTTATGCATTTTAATAGATGTAGAAACATATGGGGACCTTGAAGGCTTCAGTTACTCCTTAGGTGATGCTACCTGAGGGCATATTTTTTTATACTATAATAAAACTCAATCTGTTTAGAGATCACTTTGGTTCAGATGAATTTTATCCATGTGATAAAATTATCTTTTATTCTCTTTTTGGAATACTTTTATCAAAAAAATAAGAACATCTGAGTCAGGATGCACAGTTTGTCTAACACATTTTTGGTTCAAGGGGATTTTTCCCCTTACTAATACTATTATCCAATATGATTCTATGGTAAATATTTAAAGTTGTACAGGCTTTTACTTGTACTTGAGAACAACAAATTTTCAAATGCTAATCATGTTCACTTCCTGTGGTCCTAAAAAGAATTATCACATGAAGTGACAAAATCTAAAAATGGTATTCTTTTACTATCCAGAATATTTTCCATGAAAAACCACTGAGGAAACACAAAATAATTGTGATTTTAGAAATGATATCTCAATAACTTTTCTTTTAAGACACCTTTTTCCTTAGCTAAGGTGTGATGAAATCAAACTTCTGATGATACCAACATAATCAATTACTGTGCTAACAATTTTCCTAATCACTAAATTTTTCTGGTGATATTATGACCAACTGACATCAAATTCCCTTGCAAAGAATATAAGTCACCACTGGTTGTTATAAAAAGAGGAATGAAAATGGTTGGAAATAGAAGGTAATTCCTTTTAGTATTAATAGTGTGGACTTCAGAGTCAAAAAAAAAAAAAAAAAAAACTGCGTTAGAATCAGGGCTTTGTTACTTATTAGTTAGAAAGTAATAAACTTAGACAAGTTATTTACCTCCCCTGAGTTTTACCTATGAAATGAGATAATAACACAAATGCAATTCCTAAAAGATACATTTTTAGGATTGTTTGAGGCTATGTATATAAAACATGCAGCACAATGCCTGGTATGTACCAAATGCTCATTGACTGATGAGTAGCAAAGTTCAAGGAGAGAATTCTTCTAGGCATCAGCTGTGCTGGAAAGCTATTGTTGTCTTATATTTACTATTACTTTAATATTACTTTCTAAATTATCTCCAGTTGCATCAGTAAAATAGCAAATGACAAAGTCCACTTCTAAAATTTAAGCAAATGTTACTTTCAAATAATCCTGAAGCACACAAAATGACTACAACTTCATAATTCCACTCTTTGTCCCCATCTCCTCTGAGAAATTTAGGAAAAGAGAAATATTAACCCCGACTTGTACCATATTTGTTCAAAGAGTGATAGCCTCTTACCTACATCTTTAAGTCAGACAGTAAAGGGAGTAGATTTTATAAATTCGAAATTAAAAAACAAAATTTATAAAGCCTCCAGTGATTTCCTGAGAAACCAGACAACATAACTTATTAAGGACGCAAACAAAGCTCCTTGATCCCACTGTTCCAGAAAATGTTCTTTCAGTACATAAGGAAAAGCAGGGAAGAAATGAACATGAAGACTAAAAGCAAAAGAGAAAGTGAGAGTGATTGTCAATCTCAACAGCGGCATTCTCTATGGACAGAAGACTTTACTGTCACCTCTGTAAAAGATCAAAAAAGCCTAGAGTCATCATGCATTTTAAATTTAAAAAAAAATAGTTAAAGTCTTCTCTTTAAGCATTATAACACTTTTCAAATAGATGATTATTGTTATCACCAGATGACACTAATGGAAGTGCATTTTACTGACGCACTAAATTCTACCTAAAATAATAGAGCAATGCATCAATTCCAGATTTACTTAAGTTGAATTTTTTTCAGGGCTGGGAAATCTACTTCAGATTTACAGGGGGGAAAAAGTGACCGAGCAAAAAACCAACCTTCAGTCTGTAGATACTGAACTAGCCTGTGAACAATCCATAGTGATTTGGCATCCAATAGTTATATCCCTACTTTTGGCTGGAAAAATCAGTCATTTAAGTAGATGAAAATAGTCATCTAATTGGTGTGATATGAAATCACCTGAAAGATTCCTCAGTCCCCTGAACACCATGGTATTCCTTGTCATGGTGTCTAAAATTCTACCATTTGGATATTTGTTATTTTTGTTACAGAAAGTTATTGTCCTTAAAAATCTACCACAGCTCCAACACTTTGCCTTTGTGATACAGATAATATGATATCTTGCTGAAGTTTATTCATCTATTCATACAATGTGTATGTATTCTTTGACATATATTAAAAACATTTTATTTCACTGGGGATAGAATAATATGCAAGAGGCATAGCTCTTGCCTTCAAGAAGTTTATAGTTAGTGCATCCCAAGAGACTGAAGCAATATTATTGAGGGGAAGGATACTGTCAGGATAGGTACCCAGGAATATTGTATAAGAGAGGTGGAGAAAAAATGTGATAGTAATGAAAGAAGCAAGAATGCTTTGAGGATTTTTGAACATATTTCTACACATTTATAATATTTCTTAACATCAGCCAAATTTGAGACATACCCTTGATCAATAAAGTAATCAATTATATAATTCACTGATTAATTTCTTATCGACACTGATGAATGCCTATTATCTTTGGGTTTGTTATAGATTTTAATGCTGTTCTCGTATTTAGTTTCAATTATAAAAAATTAAACATATTAAAAGTACAAGTGATATTTTAACAGAGCCCTACATGTGCATACCATTAAGATGTTATATGTTAACATGTCACCATATATCTGTCTGCTGTCACTCTCTCGAAAGTGCTCTCTCTCTCCCTCTCTGAATAAGTACAGTTACAGCTAAAGACTTACCCTTTTATACCTGTTTTTTGCCTTTTTCCCTTCTCCTCAAAAATAACTAATATGAGGCTGCTTCATTTATTTATTATTTATTTATTTGATAAATATTTAATGAATGGCTACCATGTGCTAGACATTATTCCAGGTATTTGAAATGTATCAGTGAACTAAAAATAAAAAAAAACAACAACAACACAGGTTGCTGCCCTTCCAAAGTTTACAGTTTAGATGGGCAACATGTATTATAATCAACAAACAAAATTAATACATACATTTTATATTATTTGAGAGAGTGACCAATGCTGTGGTAAAATAAAAATGATGGAGCAGATGAGGAAGATCGGGTGGGGGTGACAATTATAAACTGAAAGCTGACAGAGCAAAAATTTTAAAGGGGTAAGAAAATGAGGAAGTGAGCTTAATGAATATTTGGAAAAATTAATTTCCAGACAGAGGGAATAAGTATAACAAAGACTCTACAGCCAAGGTTTACCTTGCATGCTTTGGGCTCTAGCAGAGGGAACTAAGAAATGAATTCAGAAAAATGTTAGGAGTTGGGTTATGTGGGGCCTATTAGCTCATTAATAGAACTTAATTTTAGAGAAATGGGAAGCCATTGTAGGGTTTTGAGCAGAAACACAACATCACATAACATGTTTTAAAAGGAACATTCTGATGTTAAAAACAGATGGAAGAATAGCAAGGGTAGGTGTAGAAATACAAATTAGGAGGAAATCGAAGTAGCCAAAAGGTTATGGTAGCTTGGGCTGGTGAGGATACTAAAAAGTTTCTGATAATGCATATACTTTGAAGCAGAACCTGAAAGAAGAGCATCATTCTTAATCTTTGCTACTGTTACTTAAGCATTTGTGTTTTAATTTGCTACATCCTGATTTCATTGCATGGATTATTATATTATAGTAAATTCAGTGTATCACATGTGTTTATTAACTAGATTTATATCTGTTAGGAGATGACGACCTATACACTCTGCAACTATGAAATTAAGATTTGCTGAAGACAAATTAGAGTAATTAATCACATTATCATGTGTCATTCAGACAGGCAAGAACAAAACTGCAATGAAAGGAAAGATGAAATCCAGTTATGAATTTGTAATTTACGTGAAAATTTAATACCTGCTGAGCAACATTCACAATTCAAATGTAATTCAGAATCACTTTATTCCTTTAATTGGATAGTACTATATAAAGTTTTAGTAATCAGGCAAAGCTTGTTTTGAAGAAAATATTTTGTTGCTAGCAACTTTGTTGTGTTTACATCTAAAATATTGTTAGCACAGGAAACAATCATTTATGCCCTTCATAAATCTAGTAAATTGCCATATCCTATATCAATCTTTAAAATATTTTCTTTAATGATTTTCAAATATCTCTCATTTTCACCTACCCATGTGTCTAGGATGTTCCAACCAACCAAAGTACTTTTCGTTGGAATAATAAGTCCTAATACTTCTGAAACCTTCAGCTACTTCGTACATACTGCCACATTAATACTAGAAAAAGCCATTTCTTCCTCTTTGATTCTATAAAATCATATCTAATGTATAATTTCTTACTGTATAGTGCAGTAATTTGAGTCTCTACAAAGACTTTCCAAGTCATCATAAATACTTCAGAAAGAATACATCAAAACTAGCTTGAAATGCAAGGAGAAAATAATAATTTCTGAGCAACAATTTAACACAATTTTCTTTAGTTTACAAGAGAAAATATTAGAAAAAATAATGTCACTGAGAATATAAATGATAAGATAGTAAGAGCAAGTTAAAGCATATTTATTAAAATCTGTGCCTTAAAAATATAAAGGGTATCAGCAGGATAGAGAAATAGGAAGCCCCACACCTTCCTTTTTCCATGTAGGCACCTACTCAACAACTATACATGAACAAATTCCACAAATCAGCTAAGAGGCTTCTATACCTCAGGCAAACATGCAACCAGCTGCATCAAATTGGTAAGAAAATTCATGGTATTCATTTGGTATAGTCCTTCACAATGGCTCAGCACAGCATGACCAAGTGAAAATTAACAGCTCTCAACTTTTCCTTCAGTAGGGATACAGAAGCCTGGAACATACTTCCAGTATTCAGACTTTTGGGTGGGAGGCTTTCTGAGGTTTCCACCTTGCCTGACTCTTACTAGTGACAGAAAAGGGTGCCAGGTTAAGGGCCATGCAGAATAAAGGCAAAAGATTGGACTAGTGCATACTCACTGCCATAGTTCCTCCCTTCCAGCGCCACACAGAAAAAGTAGAAGAAAATTCCTAACTTCTAGCATCTCCCTTAGGAGGGAAAGAATTAGAAAATGTGTCCAACATTCTATCATTTTGGAGGGCTTCCTGAGGGACTAGTTTCTGTCTCACCTGTCTCAGGATGGGAATAGGACTTGGCATTCCCTAGATTGCTAGGGACCAAAGAGAACAAGAGAGAACTAGGTGGCTTGCTGCTGCTCCCAGAGATCTGTGGTACAACAGACAGAAGCCAATACAGCATAGCAGCCTCTCCCTCAGTGGGGAAATGTAAGAGTGGAGCTTGCATACAATCATATGAGGCCTTTTAGCTCATTGATAGAACTTACTCTTAATTTCTGTCTTGCCCACCTTGGAGCATTCATGGAGCCTAGAATAATCTGGAATTCTGGGAACTGCTAGGAACAACAACAACAACAACAACAAAAAAAAAACTGTGTGAGTTGCATCAGCTCCAGAGAACCTGCAATGAGGCAGAGAAGCAACTGAGGGAACAAGACAGAATGAGGTCCTGAGGTAAGAAACCAACAAATCATTCTAATTGGGAATTTACACATACAAACTCAGAGAAGACACATCCATAGAAAAGGTATGAGAGGCCCCCAGAATCTCAACCGGGGCTGATTGGTGAAGATCTTTCCTGTATGAAACCAGTCCATGAAGACTGGGAGAGGTGGCTGTTTTTCCAAATGCATGAATTTTAAAACAGTTAAAAACATGATCGAATTAAAGCAATAAAATGTACCTCAAGAAACCAACTGTAAATAAACAAAAGTAAATAAATTACCTGACAAATGATTAAAAATAACCATCATGAAATGCTCAATGAGCTCAGAAAAATAATGTATGAGCAAAATGAGAATAATGAGACAAACATTTTTAAAATCAAGGAGAAATCTTAGAGCTAAAGAATATAATAACTGAATTTAAAATTTCACTAGATGGTCTTAACAACAGACTTGATCAAGCAAAAGAAAGAATCAGCAAATTTAAAGGCAGGTCATTAAAAATTAACCAATCAAAGGAGCAAAAAGAAAAAATAATTTAAAAAATTAAAGCATAAAGGACTTACGGGAAACCATCAAGTGGAAAACTATATACATTATGAGAGTCAAAGAAAGGGGAAGAGAGATAAAACAGGAAATAAAAGTTATTTAAAGAAATAATGGCCCCAAATTTTACAAATCTGGAGAAGGAAATGGACTGTCATATTCAAGAATGAATGAATCCCAAATAGGATGAACCCAAAGTAGTTTACACTAAGACACATTATGATCAAATTGTCAAAGACAAAAAGGAAATTTTGAAAGGAGCAAGAGAAAAGCAACTCATCACACACAAGCGAGCCTACATTAAAATATTAGTGAATCTCTCAGCCAATACCTTGCAGGCTAGGAAATCTTGTGGGATGATATATTTAAAGTGCTGGAAGAAAAAAACTACCAAATAAGGATACTATAGTGGCAAAACTATCTTTCAAAAATGAAAGAGAAACAAAAGATTTTCTCAGAAAACAAAAGCCAAGTGAGTTCATTACCACTCAACCTGCCTTATAAGGAATGCTAAGGAGAGTCCTTCAAGTTGAAATGAAAAGATACATGAAAGCAACACAAAAGCAAACTAATATATAAAGTTCTCTGATAAAGGCAAATATATAGACAAATACAGAGTATTGTAATACAGAACCATGGTATGTAAATCTCTTAATTATCTTAAAGAAATTAAAAGACAAAAGTATAAAACTAAAACTATAAAAACATGTTAATGAATACTGAATTGTTACAGGCAGAAGGTGTCACCCCAAAATTCATATGTTGCAACCTAATCCCCAGTGTGATGGTATTTAAATGTGGGTCATCGGACGTAATTACATCATGAAGGGGGAACCCTCATGAGTGGAATTATTGTTCTTCTAAGAGGAGGCCAGAGAGCTAGCCAGCTTTCTTTCTGCCCTGTGAAGATACAGAAAAAAACATGGCCATCTTCAAACCAAGAAGATGGCTCTCATCAGAACTCAACCGTGCTTTTACCCTGATCTCAGGCTTCCAACCTCCAGAAATGTGAAAAACAAATGCTTGTTTATTAAGCCACCCAGTCTATGGTATTCTGTTGAAACAGCCCAAACTATGATAAAAATATAAAAAGATGCTCTTGCTTATATGGAGAATCTAATAAAGTTGAACTTGTAGAAGTAGAGAGTAGACAATGGTTATCAGAGGCTTGGTGCAGAGCAGGTTGGCAGTGAAGAGGAAGGAAATAGGGAAGCTGCTTATTAAAGGATATAAAGTTTTAGATAGACAAAAGGAATAGATTTGAGATTTATGGCACACCAGGGTGTCCATTGTCAATAAAATGTATAACTTATTTCAAAATAACTAAGAAAGTAAATTTCAAATCCCTCACCATAAAAAATGATAGGCAAGCAAGGTAATAGATATATTAAGTAGCTTGATTTAATCATACCAAATTATATACATGTATCAAAACAGCACATTGTACTCCATAAATACACATAGTTATAATTAGTCAATTTTTTTAAAAGGGAAAATAAAAGAAATTTAAACTTCCACAAATTCTATCTGTATATTTCAGGACATACTCTAGGAAAATAAAGGACAAAATCATTAGGTAGGAAGACATGGGACCTGGGAAACTGCAGGTTAGAAAGAACTAGAGGTTAAAAGGCTCAAAGAAGGGAGAAGCTATTTAATTCAATAGAAAATCTGATTAAACAGCTAGATAAATTTGACTAAAAGTAAGTTTGTTCATTAATAATATTATTATAATTACATCAGAATGACCTAGCTGAATTTGTTAGGCTCAAAATCTATGACTCCCAGACATTCATTTGACTCAATATACATTATTATACTTTAATATCCAAGAAATGTTGCTGCGCATCCCAAGGATAAAGAGTTAGGAAGAATCCCTATTTCCTTACGAAACTCAGCATAGAACTGGTAGTGCAGAAACTTTGGAAACAATCACAGAGACATTTGGTGTCCTCAGGGCTTTAATCTGTGGGAATATGTGGCATGAATCCATAATAAAGCAAGCACCTTTTATCAAAGGTTATCTTTCTTACAAAGGGTACCACCAGCTGAGAGAAGAGGTGGCCACACATACTTCAAGAAATTTCAGCATCAATAAGGAGGCCAGAGTGGAAGACCATACCGTTAATTCTGAACACATCTATTGAATACTCTCTGGAAATAAAAACAATAAAATCACTAAGATTTGGGATAGGGTAGTGTTTGGTTTACAACTGTCAATAGGGCAGAGTTCCTGATCAATGAGCCAGCAACCTTTAAATTATTCATAATACATTTTAAATCATATCCACAAGCTGATAGAGATAAGAAACATTCATTTTACATGAGAAAATTTATTAAAGATTACATTGCAAAAATAATTAAATGAGAAAACACACGTTTTTTTCAAGTGATGGCAAAAAAAAAAGGCCTTTGATAAAAATTAAACAGCTGTTCCTGGTTAAAACTCTCAGAAAGCTAAGAAAAGAATATTATGAATATAATACCATAATATCTAATATAATACTTCATAATGAAACACTGGAGTTGTTCCCATGGACATCAAGAGCAAGACAATAATGTGGAATATTTCCATTATTATTTGGCATTTTCCTGAAGCTTTATCTCATAATATGTTAAAACGAAAGGGGTAGAAAATTTACCATTATTTGAATAATGCAAGATTATATGCACAGAAATTCCAGGAAGATAAACGAAAATTTCTAGAATCATTAAAAGATGAGTAACAATATTTTCAGATTAACACATTTCAACATTTTCATATAAAACAATAATAATAAGTTTGAGAATATTTTAAGTTTTGAGTTGCATAGCTATAAAAAAAAATCCAGAAACAC
Source organism: Homo sapiens (assembly GCF_000001405.40). NCBI lineage: Eukaryota > Metazoa > Chordata > Mammalia > Primates > Hominidae > Homo > Homo sapiens. The sequence goes on along the minus strand of NC_000011.10, from coordinate 28,824,080 downwards.
TGCAAAGAATAAATATGAAAGACCTTTATGAAGCAAGCTATAAAAATCTCTAGAGAGACAGAAAATAAGTTTACATTTAAATATGGAATGTATTTATTTCACATTTTTGGTGGGGAAACTAAACATTACAAAGTGTGAATATGGAATTTTTACCTATTTTTTAACATGCCAGTATTTTCCAATTTTTCTAAAATGAGTGGCCAAAAAATTTATAATAAAAAAGGTAACAAGTACACTGAAGGGGAAAACAGGCTGAATGAAACACAATAGTAATTAGTGGTCCATTGTGTGCTTTGCCAAAAATGAATAATGGACATAAACAATGATGCAGGAAGATCATCTAAGGGTGTTGGCGGGGGTAGATTTGAGGGGAAACAGGCTACGGTATGAAAGACCAGCAAGAATACAGCTATATGACAAGAACTATGAAAAAGAGAGAAAAAGAAATAGTGAAAAGGGGAAACACTCTTGAGGATGAACTGATGGGTTTCTATGATAATAGAATAGAGGGACTGGAAGGGAGAGGAAGCTAAGATCATCAGTACTTCATCTTGAGGGACTGCAGTATGGAGGTGGAGAAAACTGATGAGAAGGATAAAGTAGAGAAACAGGTCATGAGTTTCATTTTGGACAGAGCACACTTCAGAAGCAGCACACCATTCTCAAGTTCAGAGTATTAGCTGTGCTCCTCATGTAGATGTATAAGTTAACTAGGATGATAGTAGTATTGGAATATGAACATCAAGCAGCAAATAAATGTCTTCAAAGAGAGGACAATGAATAAGATAGTGGACAGATGATAGTGACAAGGAGGGATGGAGGGTTGTATAGTCAAATATAATGTTCAAAGAAGAAGAAGGAATTGTGATCTGTAAGACAATATGAGGGTTATGGCTTAATTTGACAAATAATACTGTTATTTCAAATATTAGAGCATTTTTCTACATAAGGAATTTAACAGAAAATATGTTATGATTCTGCATTTAAAAAGTAGTATCTGTGTAACCCTGAACAAGAGTAACTATTTCATAATTCTGCTAGATCAGAAGCTCCTTGTGGATAAGAATAATTCTATTTGATCTTCATAAAATTCCATATTCCATACCACAGTGCTGGGTTTCCCCCTGAATCTCAACAGAGAAAATCTGGCAATGTACAATGCCACATCGTTATAAAATATTTGAGTCATCACAGCAGATATGCACAAAGCTATTTAGCACAGGTGTCTCCAAAGTTGAGACACATTTGAAGAGTAAAAAGGTACCTACGGTTCTCACACTCACACTCCTGGTGTGATTTTGTGCTAATGTTAGCACACCGAGATATAACGTTAAATGTGTCATATTTCTGGGTGACTCATTAGCTGGTAGGAATTTGTTAGAGGAGAGTCAAAGCTTTCCAATATGTCTATCTTTATTTGGTAATTTCTATGTTTATATTTCCCCATTTAGAGAAAATTCCAGAGAGTTTGGAAGCATATATAAATACATATGAATAGCTTAAAGTTTTATATGCCACATATTATTTTGATATACCCCAACTGGAGAGTAGAAACTCTCTTATCTGTGTCTCTAAAATACGCACCTACCTCTGCACTTACATGATACTGCAACTATTTATATTTACATCTATCTTCCTCAATATACTGAGAGACCCTTGACACAGAAACCATGCTTCATTCATTTCTGTATTAAGGTTTACTAAAACAGTTTCTTGCACATAATAAGCATTCATTAAATGTTTCTTAACTAAATGGATGAATTAATTAACATGATTTAAAAATTAAATTCTTATGAAACAATACAAACAATTCAGTAAAAATCTCCAAGATAAGCAATACTAATTATTCCATTTACCGAAATGTGGGAGTTTGATTAAAAAGTTTTCCTGTTATGTCATAATTTTATTTTTTCTGTCTATCATATGGTTTTAATCCTAGGTTAGAAATTATTCCTGTATATTACCTTCAATTAGGAATAAGAACAATACATTTATGGTATTTATTAAATAGCTATAAATCCTGTAGGATCTCAGAATTCACAGTTCTAGATATCACTTTTAGTTGCAAAGTTTGTAAGAGATACAGACTGAAAAAATAAAGAAAATTTGAATGGCTATATGTTATGTGAGCCTAGGATGTTATAGGAGTCAATAATATCAGATTTTTGATATTTCACTTTTCTCCTAAGACTAAATGCAACTCTTCCTTTCAACACATTACCAAACAAGAAAAAACCGATACTGAATGTATAAGGTAAAAAATAATAATTTTACATTGCTCTGAATAAATTTGATATGCACAGAATGGAGGACTTGAGGTCAAAATTCAGTTCAGCTCAAAAAACATTCATTCAGCACCCACACAGGCAGGTTCTGTGCTAAGTGCTATGGTCTGTAAAGATGCAAGCCCTCTTGGAGCTAAAAGTTCACTGGGGAAATCAGACAAAAATAATTACAATAAAAGCAAATAAGTATAACACAAATGTTCCAGCTCTGTGACTATACGTGAGTTAACCTCTATGATCCTCAATTATTCTCATTTGCAAAATAATGGAAATAGAACCTGTTTCAGATCATTGTTATGAGAATTAAATAAGACAATGTATATAAAGTTCTTGGCACAGTGCATGGCATATTGAAGCCACTCAACAGTGCTATCTATTACTAGCAATTATTTTATATGATACTCAAAGAGGTGTCATAGACAAGACAGTGATTAGTTTTATTTATAGGATTATGGTTTACAGATTATATCAATCAGGGAATAATTTATGGGGAAAGTGATATAACAGTATAAAAAGAGAGCACAGAGAGCTATGTATAAACATTAATTCTTTATTTGCTAGCAGTGAGATTCTATAAACTCCCTAAGGCTCTACTTTCTGATCCGTAAAATAAAAATTACAATGTGTACCTCATCACAATGAAGATTAAATAAGACAATGTGTGGAAAATATTGCCTGACACATAACAAGCATTCAGAAAAAGGAAAGAAGGGTGGAGGGAAAGAAAAATTCTGAGAGAAAGAGAGAACTTAACAGAAAGAGAGAAAAGAAGAAAGGAAAGAAGTGGAAAAGAGAGACCAAGGGGTAAGTAATAAAACTGCTAGAGTGTTAAATCAGTTATCATTACTGTGTAACAAATTATCCCAAAACTTTGTGACTTAAAACATCTATTATTTCACAGTTTCAGTGGGTCAGGAATCCAGTTCCAGTTTAACTGGATTCAGGTTCTCTGGTTCATGTTCTCTTAGAAGGCTTCAATGTGTTGATGAAATCCATAGCCCTTGCAACGCTTGAGTAGAGAAGGATTTACTGGCATGCATATTTGTGTAGCTGTTGACAATATTCAGTTCTTCAAAAGATATTGGCCTGAAAACCTCATTTTCTGATGGCTGTTGCCTGTAAGCCACCCTTAGTTCCTTGCTAAGTGGGCTTCTCTATAGGACAGAGGGAAGAGAGAAAGAAAAAAGTCATAGACTTTTATAACCTGATTTCAGAAGTGATACCTCTCCTTTTTTTTCTGTGTTCTGTGTATTACAAGCAAGTCATTACATATTAGATCCAGCCCTTGCACAAGGGGAGAAAATTACACAAGACTTGAATACCAGGAGGCAGGGATCACTGGGGGTCATTTTAGAAGCTACCTACTGAAAGTGTTCATACCAAGGTTGACATTTATAAATATAGTGGTTAAAAGTATGGGCTTCTAACATACTGCCTGCACTCAAACCCTGGCTCTATTACTTAATAACGTTATCATTCAGAACAAGTTACTTAACCTCTCTATTCCTCAGTTTTTCACCTGCAAAGGGTAGATGAAAATAATTTCTACAACATTAGGAGTAAATAACAATATTTAACATGTAAAGTACTTATACAGTACCCCAAGTAAACCCTCAGTACATGTCAGTTATTGTTTTTGTTATCAGTGTTATTTATAAACTGTTGAAAATAGAGCCAAAATGCAGCAAGTCACAGAGTGACAGAAAACAAAAGGAGGAAAATGAGTCTATACGTTCTTGCAACACGTTTTTCCCAAGACATCTTGGTAAGACACCTTGTCTGGGTCAGGTTGGCAGTTTGAAACAATCCTTGCCTACGGTGCAGTGCATTATGTTCTGTTGCAATAGCAAGTCACCTGGCAGCCAGGAGGAAATACTTCCCCACTGCCTTGTAATTGGCAGGTAGTGAGACAAAAGATGTGTTATCATTGGCAAGGGAGAACTTTCCTGATAATTCCTCTTAGATGAGCAAGCAATTTAATCAAATATGTTGATATAGTTTGGACGTTTGTCCCTCTAAATCTCATGTTGAAATCTGATCCCCAGTGTTGAAAGTGGGGCCTACTGGGAGATATTTTGATCGTGGGGGTGGATCTATGAATGGCCTGGTGCTATTGGTGCATTACCGAGTGAGTTCTCAAACTATTAGTTCCCACCAGATCTTATTGTTAAAAAGAATCTGGCACCTTCCTCCTTCATTTCTTTCTTCTCTCTTACCATGTGACGCCTGCTCTCTACTTTCCGCCATGAGTAGAAGCTCCCTGAAGCCCTCACCAGAAACAGATGCTGGCACCAGGCTTCTTATACACCCTGCAGAATCATGAGCCAAATAAACCTCTTTTTAAAAATAAATTACCCAGCCTCAAGTATTCCTTTATAGCAACACAAATGGAATAAGACATATATAAAATCAGAAGATTGGATCTTCCCAACCCCCTCCCCCAGAATAGCAAAGCTAGAAATATGGAAGAAGCAATCCCAGTTTTTATAAATGGTAAAAGCTGTTAATTTTGCAGTGAATTTTATACATGTTTATTCACAGCAGAGAAATCGTGTTATTTCCAGCTCCTCTTTTTATTGCTAGGAAGCCTCACAGAATTACAACCAGTGAAATATTCCCCTTTTCTCTTGGGTGATAATAAATTTCCCGGTGGAAAACAAATAGTTTTGCATTCTTGCTATATAATAACTCAAATATTTGGGCATGTTGTAGTATAACATTTTTAATTGTATAATCAAGACAAGACAATGCTTTCTTTGCTTAAATATCTAGCTATAGATATGTTTTTATATGCTTACAAGGAATTATATATGTAAAGGAGACCCGTGAAATAGCCTAATGCTTTCATTTTACAGGTGAGGTATAAGAGGCTGAAGGGCTAACAAATTTGCCCAATTTATATAATTGTTGGACTCTAATAAAATAATAGCTTATGTATTTTTAATGAAAATATCAGTACTGGGTCAGGCACTCTGCCAGATCCTTCCCACTTCTAGCTCATGTAAATCACAAACCAAATATTTATGATTATACCCTTTACAAATGAAGAAACTGAGGCTAGATAATTCATTTGCTCATTGCTTTAATACTGTTGCGCTCCTTTTATATGTCACTATGTGGGACACGGGGTGAAATGTAGTGAGATGACAGACCTAGTTTCTACCTCTGAAGAGCTTAACTTAGTGTAGGGGTGTGGAGGGGAGTGCACAACAATCAAGTACAGAAACAAATATATCAATTCAAATTGTGACTGGTGAAGGGAGCAACCAGAGAGCTATGCTAAGACTAAAGGAGGAAGAGGAACCAACCTGAAACTGATGTCTCTGAAACAGTAAATCTTCAGCTGAGCCTGAAAGAGACGTAGTCCATCAGGAGAAGAGGGGAGACAGAAGACTGCAGCCATTTGTGTTGTGTCCTCCTGAACAATATTCCATGAGAGAGGACTGAAGGGACAAGGGACCTAAGAGCAGGAAAGAATCTGACTGCTCAAAGAACTGGAAGAAGCCTGCTATGGGCTGCATAACTTGCCTGAAGTCATTGGGATAAGACCCCAAGTTTGTCTTTCCCCAGCTGCCTGACTCTAACATCCATAATCTCTCCCCTTCCTTGTGCTCATAAGTAAAGTAGGTGGTAAGAAAAGGGGCCAACATGGCCATAATCCTAAACCTCTATGTGCTCATAAAACACCTTCCTTCTACAAATCTTCAGAGGTGACAGCAACCCCAGTAGAAACTTTCATCTTTAAAATTCACCATGAGGAGGCAAAGAAGACTGCAGCCATTTGTGTTGTGTCCTCCTGAACAATATTCATAACACAAAAAGGACCAAAAAGAAGGGGCTTTCTTCTACACATCTCAAAATAAGACTACACAGGAGCTAAAAACAATACCAGAGCTGCCTCCTACCCTCTCCCTGAGGCACTGCCAGTTGAAGGTAATGCTGGCTCCCCAAAATCCAAGGCTGGAACAATTGCAGTACATTTTTTTTTTCTTTTTGATAGTGCTAACTGATAGCTCTAACTATGAGAGTAGCAAATAAGTCTTATCTTGGCATTAAAGGAAAAAGAGAATTAATAGATCCTGATCACCTATTAAATGCCAAATAACATTCTAGGCCCTATGTTTATATTACCTCATTACTTCCCTCATAGCAAACTGAGTTGTAGGTGTTTTTTGAAATGTAGTTATTTGAAAAAGGCTCAGAAAAAGTAAGATTTTTAATCTCTCACAAATAAAAATTTTTAACTCATGCTTAATTTACTCCAGATTATAATTTTTGTATTTTCCCAATACAATTGCATCTTTTGAGGTAAGATAGTGGGGTAGAGTGGCAGAGTTCATAGCATGGATGGAAGAGGAAATTACTGTATATGATGGTCCACAAATAGCCTCTGGTTTAATAGTACAGTTTTGGGATACATTTACAAAAGCAGGTTAGGGACAGATTATATTCCACCTAATTGGCACACAACCGGATACATTTTGATACACTATGATCATTGGTAGGTCATTTTACCTGAGCAGCCATAGATAAAATGTAGAAAAACCCTATGCTGTAATATGGCATTTAAATGAATTTTCCTGAATTCCAATCTGTAAGCAAAGGCAGATTCAACAAATCTCTTAGGACAGCCTCTGGTGTAGGCAAACAATCTGGCTCCGAATGCAAACACCCCCATACATCCCACATTTGTGTGCTGAGTCAAAATGCTATAAGAATATAAATTCCTGCCCAGTAGACTCTGGGACTGCGTGCTTGCTTTCAGAGATGGTTTTGTGAGGTGCTGTCCCAATTCTCTTTTTCTACACTAATGGGCAGATTGCCTTACAAGTACAAATCGTATCAAAATAGACCAGAGATTTGACAGTACCTTTCATCGGCAATTTCAAATGCACTAGCTGTATGCTAAGGTAAAATAAATCAACCTGTTCTAAAAGCAGGTAAGTTGAGCTACAAGTTAACTTCTGGAAAAGGCAAGTGTAAATGAGGCCCACAGTCCTCTGAACTGAAGGAAAAAATATTCAAGGCAGAAAGGTATTACTTTTCTTTATTCCCCCAAGCAGTTCTTAAGATTTAGATTTAATTTTTTTTCTCTTTTAGCTCTCTTGCTCATTTAAAAAATGCCAGAATATGGGTGTTAGGTTTAAATATCCCTTTAAAAAGTTATATAAGAGTGGCATTACAAAAATGCCCACATGAACCTTTGCAAGTAAAAATCAATCAATCAATTAATCAATCAATCAAAACTAACATTTCTGAGCCTCTAATGGGCCAGGTACTGTGCTATAAAATCTACATATGAGCTTGGGTATAAAAATGGGACTTTCCTGTTGTATGAGCATTTTGGCTCAAGTTACACATCTGCAGACAATGAGAGATAAGTCCCACAGCATTCTGAAGGCAGCAGTCAAGGAGATATAATAGAGTTATCTGGGTGCCATAGAAAGTGCCACGCCAGCCCTTCAACCTTCAGCCTATCACCCCATCCAGTTCATATAAGGTCGGATGGAGAAGAGTTGCCAGCCTACTGGGAAACATGTCCACCTCTCTTCCCTAGTGGGAGAGAAGAGGTAGGTGGTTCTCTGCTGGCCACTAGCCAAGAGATGCAGAGGACCAAAATAAAAACTCACAGACATCGAGAATGCTTGAAAGAAGAAAAAAATGTCATATTCTTCCATGGCTGGATGCTTGATGACCTAGAGAAACCCACAGACTCAGCTCAATGTTTTCATGAGAACATAGTGTGGGGAGAAATGTCTTAGGACCTGGATATATATTCTCTAGAGTTTTATCCTGAATTGAGATTAGTATTTGCTTTTCATCAGAAAATTCTTAAGGTGGGAGGATGACAAGAGATGCCATAAAGTGTAAGACAATAGGAAAGAGTAGCAAATAGAATAATTTTTCCTGTTCATGTTTGGAAAAGATGGTGTATTAGTCCATATTCACACTGCTATAAAGAAATAATGAAACCGGGTAATTTATAAAGAAAACAGTTTAACTGACTCACAGTTCCACATAGCTGAGGAGGCTTCAGGAGACTTATAATCATGTTGGAAGGAAAAGCAGGCACCTTCTTCATGAGGCAGCAGGAGAGAGAGTGTGAGTGTGCAGGAGGAACTCTCAAGCACTTATAAAACCATCAGATCCATCAGAGCTCATGAGAACTCACTATCATGAGAACAGCATGGGGGAACCATCCCCATAATCCAATCACCTCCCACCACATCCCTCCCTTGACACATGGGGGTTATGGGAATTACAGTTTGAGATGAGATTTGGGTGGGGACACAGAGCCAAACCATATCAGATGGAGTCTCTTTGGGCCAAGTAGATTCCATAAGACATAAGCAGATAACCAGCTTGAGGCATATTATTGAGACTACCCAAGGTATAAGGGTACAATAAGTACCTCGGGGTAAACTACTAGGACAAGATTCAACAGGCCAGGTGTAAAATGCCTTTGTGTTATCAACTGTCCAGTGTGAAAATCTATGATGGGTATTCAACCAAACCACATATTTGTGCCTTACGAAAACATGAACATTTGAACATTTGCCAAAACAGAGGAAATGACAGATAATACGAGCCAAAATAGAACTTCAAACAGGGCAAGGTAAATAGAAACCACTTTCATCCCTTTCCTCTTCTCTTCCTTAACGCTGAAGGAGCTTGAAGGGTGAGGAAAGAGGGGAGATGGAGGAAAAAAGGATACTAAAAGGAGAAACCATGCTGTCTTCCCAATATAGGTGGAATATATTTGAGACTGAAGTTTCAAGTTTACAATTGAAGTCATGAAAAACATAACTACCTGAAACTGAATGTTTATGGCAAAAATGGAATTACTCTTGTTAAAATAATCTAAAGCTGTAGATTCATCACTAGGTATTATTAGAGTAAGCGAAGTCCAACAGAGCATGTCTGAAGGGGGTAGAAAAATAAAATAGTTTCCTCATTGAACCACCCTATGTTTAGCCTACTAAATAAATTAGTTGCATGTCATCTTTTTTTTTTTTTTTTTTTTTTTTGAGAGGGAGTCTCACTCTGTCACCCAGGCTGGAGTGCAGTGGCGCAAGCTCCGCTCACTGAAAGCTCCGCCTCCTGGCTTCACCCCATTCTCCTGCCTCAGCCTCCTGAGTAGCTGGGACTACAGGAGCCCACCACCATGCCTGGCTAATTTTTTGTATTCTGTTTTTAGTAGAGACGGGGTTTCACCGTGTTAGCCAGGACAGTCTCGATCTCCTGACTTCGTGACCCACCCGCCTCGTCCTCCCAAAGTGCTGGGATTACAGGTGTGAGCCACCGCACCCAGCAGTTGCATGTTGTCTTATTGTAAATTTATGACATCCCAACTGAATAGGATTGAGAGCAATAAAACCATTCGAGGTCACATGCATTGTCATGGTTGCTCTAGAATTCACACTAAGATCTATCAGATTTCCGAGTCTTGTCTCTTCCTTTTACACAGGAGAATCCATAAAGGGGAATATGAGGTTAAACCTGGAATATCTAGAACTTAAGTTTATATGAGTGAGTGGTTAAGTTATTTATTTGGAGAAGCAAGAAAAATCAAAATGAGATTATGTATCACATCAAAGCATTAAGACTTAATTTTGTCCTCATCTTATTCCCTTTTATTCCTTCAAATAAAACAGGAATGGGATTCAACAGGTGGCCTAGGAATGGGGACAGGAATGGAAAAGGAACATAAGTGGCAGAGGGTGGGGTGACATTCCAGGAGGAACAAACAGCAAGAGCAAAAGACACATGCAGGTCTCCATCTCCACTTGCTCTTCCTTCTGGCTGAGGTGCCACCCACACAACCCCACCCATCACATCCAAAGTTTGTATTTACAGTGAAGATTTGTTGATCTCTCTAGCTAAAGTTAGGGTCCATCTCTGATTTAATAGTTCATAGTAATTTACTTTATACCACATTGTGTTTCTTTAATATGATATGTCCTTCTCTGTCTCCCCTTCAGATCCTGTTTAAAGAATAATGACTATGTGTTACATTCATTTTTGAATAGTCTGTACCTAGCAGAGTATCTGATACACAGTAGACTTGTCAAATACGATAATGAATGGATAGGGGCAGTGAGGAGGGAGAATGAGGGCATAAATTTAAAATTGAGGCAGTCAAATTCACCTATGAGAAGCAAAATCTCCTTTACAAAAGAATTAAAAAATAATAAATCCAGAATAAACTCCAAGAGAAGCAGACATATTTTGGAGAAAGAAATGAGGTTTAGTTGGTTAATTTGTAGATTAAGGTTTTAGAATCATAGTAAAGCAATATCTACATACGTTCTGAAGTTTAGATGAAGTAGTCTCCTCTGTCAAGGTAAATTTAAATTGAAAATAATTTCCATGTAAACATGTTAATTTAATATTTAATTAGATTTTGTGTTAGGCAGAATAATGTCCCTCCCCAAAGATGTCGGTATACTAACCCCTTGGGGCTGAGAATACATTATGCTACAGAGCAAGAAGGGATTATATTTGCATATGGAATTAAGGTTGATAATTAGTTGTATTTAGAATTAAGACATTATTCTAGATTATCCAGGTATGCCTAATGTAGTCACAAGCGTCCTTTAAAGTGGAAGGTGGTGATAGAAAAAGAGGTCAGAGTCAAAAGGAGATTGGAAATGCTATGCTGCTGGCTTTGAAATAGAGGGGGAAGGTCCCAGAGTCAAGGAATGCAGTGGCCTCTAGAAGCTAACAAGGCACAGAAACAAATTCTCCCCTACAGCCTCCAAAACACCCCAGCCCTGCTAATGCCTCAATTCCAGCCCAGTGAGACCCATTTCAGACTTCTGAGCTCCAGAGCTGAATGATAACAAGTTTGTATTTTTTAAGTTACTGAATTTGTAGTAACTTGTTACAGCAGCAAAAAGAAACTAATCACATGTTAGAGTCCACATTAATGTAATTGAACGGTAACATTTAATAAAGACAAGAAAATAGCCCATCTCCCATATTACTAATTGATCTATGAAGCATATCATAAAGAACAAAATCTCAAATCTTAAAACCTGCTTGCACCATATGTGACTGGTTTTTGCTGATTTTTTCTTTGCATTTTCTTCATCAATCGTTAGTTACTACCTGCCCAGAATCCCCCTCTCTTTCTTACCTATAGTCTTAGATCTGAACACAAGGACCTGGCTGTGCAGACTCCATACAATGGTGCCCTTTTCTTTGCTATATATATAATCATTAACTCACTTGCTGTTTTGAATAGTGCTTTCATTATCTCCAAATCAACATCTGTATCTTTAGTGGAACATTAAATCCATTTTCCAGGCTTGGCTTTTTTCCTTGTTTTGTTCTAGGAAATGATTTCTGAAATAACTCCGATCCATTGTGTATATAGAAGAATATTGAGAGATGGCCTCAAATTAGCTCATGTTTTATTGCCACGTGCATGAAGCAAAATTTTATTGGTCTACTCCCCTTCCATTCTGAGGACATGCATCCAAAGGATCTTGAGAGGGAAAAATCAAAATAAAGCACATCTTGATAGACGGCACAGCTAAGTCTAGGCTATCTATACTATATGAAAAGGGAACCCTAAGAGAGCCAAAGGGGCTGTGTGTTTTTTGCAACAACGTCTAGGCATCTAGTAAGTATTTCTATTTATTCTGATTACCTACATTCCAAATTACCCCAACATGAAGAGAATATCCTGAGGAAAGCATGCTAACTCATTTCTTTCATTTCTTTTCCCTTTGTTCAGTATCTCACTGGTATCATTTTAAGCCCTCTATGATATTTTCTGTTGTCATTATGGCCTTCTGAGGATTTTTGCTCTTTCTCTAGACAGTCACCTGTAACATTCTGCTTGTAAGCTTCAGGTTGGTTTGCGGTCCTGCTGGGAAGCTTTATTAATCATTTAGGTGCCACAAAGTACCATCTCTCAAGTTGGGCTGAATATAAAGGTTGGCAGGAAGTGACCTGAACAGAAATATTTTGTCCCTTCCTGCCTCTCACTTCCCGCACATGCCCACTCTTTTTTCCCATAAACATTTAGAATGTGCAAGTTAAAACTTTCTCTCCCATCTCTTTCCACCAATGAAAAATGCAGCAAATTTAAAATGTCAGTATCTTCTATAACCAAGTGCCCACATTCATTCTAGGTGCAATAAATGGTGAACCATCAGAAATACCTGTTCTAGAGTTTGTGAGGAGGTAGGACAGTTTTGTGACAGCTGAATATATGGGCATTTTCTCCAATATTCCTCTGACCTTTACGCTGAGACAGGCATTTTGGTGGTAATGAAATCCTTAGTCTCTATTGATAGGAAAAATGACAGTTTTATCACATAGTAAATTGTCCCAAATGCAGCTAAGAGAGTAGACTTACTCTCTTGACTTTGTTAAGCAGAAGCCTCAGAATTGAGCTTAAGCTGCTAATAAAAGCTTTAAAAATAAAATAAAGTGAAAACAGCAAAGCTATTCTTGGCATATATTTGGCTTTATGCCGTCTTCTCTGAAGTTCAAATACTAAAAGATGCCTTTATGCCAAAAGAAATTGCTCCCTTGCCACGTATGGAAGCTCAGTGTCACAAATTCATTCCTTCATAAAACCCTCTATGGGTTTCCACTGAAAATAAGTCAGTCTAATGTCACTCCATCTGCATCTTTCACATTGCACCTTACACTCTGGTAATTCATATGCATGTCTTATCTTCCCTGAAAAACTTCCCCTTTCATTTTGAGATAGGGACCAAAAGTGGTGGTAGTAATAGAAAAATAAGTTTTGGTTGCATACTTCAGAGACTCATTTTCAAAACTAGGCTGCACAATTTACTGGCTATATAAACTTTTAGAAAACCATTGTGCTTCTCTGCACCTCATTTTATCCTATTTCTAACTCATTTTAGTCAGAATTGTGGAGCTGCTCTGGTGTCCCTTACCATCCAATGATAATTTGCATTGACTTTTCACTAAAATATCTTGCCTTAACCTTCTTTTTTCCTAGCTGGTGTATGTAATCTACATAATGTTGGCTTCATTTCTTCTGTTGCTCGTAGACATGTGGGAAAGACCCGATTATACCTTTTATGGGAAATTAAAATATGGATTCCTTAATACTTTTGTGTTTATGCTGATGGTTGTAAGATGCCAATAGTCCAAGGAGACAGTATCAGAACAGTTATCTGAGGACAAATGTCTCTGCGTTAGCAGCACACAGCTCAGTGACAGGCCGTCATCCCTGTTACCTCTGGTGATAACATGGATGTAACAGTATCAGAACTCTAAGACCAAGGAATGTTACAATGAGAGAAGTAATTTTTGCTGTTTCTTGTGGTCATTTTAATCTTATATGCTTTGTTCAAAATTGAGACTTTGAGCTGGGGAAGGAGAATTCTTAACTTAGTACCTGAGGTTATGTTGACTATTAATAAAACTGCTTTAGCCTCCATAAGCCAGAGAGGTCTCTGCCTTTACTGCCTGCCTTCCAGTTCCCCAAAAGATCATGCTCCCTGAGAAAAGAGTCTGGGTATTAACATCAATGTAAAATATGTTTAAGAATATCCATTTGCAGAGTACTGTTTTGTGAAGTAGTTAAATTAGTGTCTAATTTTAAAAAAAATGCTTTATAAATGATTTAGTACAGGATGAATTTATAGGAACACTGTTACATTAAATTTAAACCTTCTGGCACAGTGTATAAATCCTCATGAATACATCACAAACTAGCCTCTTCAAACCATGATTTCCCAGCATGCATCTAATTGTCTAGCCACACCAGACTAGTTTTCTCCAAACACTTCATACTTATTTTA